>NC_000021.9:14215808-15465808 GCF_000001405.40 Homo sapiens | reverse complement strand
AGCAGAACTCTGGCATTTTATAGTAGGTGACAGTCTTAGTCCGTTTGTACTGCTATAACAAAATACTAGATACTAGGTAATTTATAAACAACAGAAATTTATTTTCTTACAGTTCTATAGGCTGGAAAGCCTAAGATCAAGGTGCCAGCAGAGTTGGCATCTGCTGAGGGTTTATTCCACTGATGGCATCCTCTCACAGTGGCAGCCTCACATGGTGGAAGGCGGAAGAGCAAAAGGGGACAAATATGTGTCCTCACCTAGTGGAAGAGATGGAAGGGCAAAATTGGTCTAGCTAGTCCCTTCCAGCACTTTTATCTGATCACTAATCTCATTCATGAGGGTTCCACCCTCAGGACTTAATCACCTCCTGTATTAGTCCGTTTTGACGCTGCTGAAAAAGACATACCCAAAACTGGGTAAATTATAAAGAAAAAGAGGTTTGATGGACTCACAGTTCCCTGTGGCTGGGGAGGCCTCACAGTCATGGTGGAAGGTGAAAGACACATCTTACATGGCAGCAGGCAAGAGAGAGAATGAGAACCAACCAAAAGGGGTTTCCCCTTATAAAACCATCAGATCTCATGAGACTTATTCACTACCATGCAAACAGTATGGGGGAAGCTGTTCCCATGATTCAGTTGTCTCCCACCAGGTCCCTCCTACAACATGTGGGAAAAATGGGAGCTACAATTGAAGATGAGATTTGGGTGAGGACACAGCCAAACCATATAACTTCTTAAAGATCCCATGTTTTAATACAGTACTAT
The DNA here is from genome assembly GCF_000001405.40 of Homo sapiens. Classification (NCBI taxonomy): domain Eukaryota; kingdom Metazoa; phylum Chordata; class Mammalia; order Primates; family Hominidae; genus Homo; species Homo sapiens. Next base: position 15,465,041 of record NC_000021.9, on the reverse strand, counting down.
CACACTGGGGTTGAAGTTCCAACATGAACTTTGGAGGAGATACAAATATTCAAATCACAGTATCTTTTCACTCACTTTTTTATTTATTTTACCTTAAGTTATGGGATAAATGTGCAGAATGTGCAGGTTTGTCACATAAGTATACATGTGCCATGGTGGTTTGCTGTACCTATCAACCCATCATCTAGGTTTTAAGTCCCACATTCATTAGCTATTTGTCCTAATGCTCTCCCTCTCCTCGCCCCCCACCCCACAACAGGCCCCCAGTGTGTTGTTCCCCTCCCTGCGTCCATGTGTTCTCATTGTTCAGCACCCACTTGGTTTTCTCTTTCTGTGTTAGCCTGCTGAGAATGATGGCTTCCAGCTTCATCCATGTCCCTGTGAAGGACATGATCTCATTCCCTTTTATGGCTGCATAGTATTCCACAGTGTATTTGTACCACATTTTCTTTATCCAATCTATCACTGATGGGCATTTGGATTGGTTCCATGTCTTTGCTATTGAAAATAGTGCTGCAATAAACATACGTGTACATGTGCTTTATAGTAGAACGATTTATACTCCTTTGGGTATCTACCCAGGAATGGGATTGCTGGGTCAAATGGTATTTCTGGTTCTAGATCCTTGAGGAATTGCCGTACTGTCTTCCACAATGGTTGAACTAATTTACATTCCCACCAACAATGTAAAAGTGTTCTCATTTCTCCACAGCCTCGCCAGCATCTATAGTTTCTGGACTTTTTAATAATCACCATTCTGACTGGCAAGAGATGATATCTCATTGTGGTTTTGATTTGCATTTGTCTAATGATCAATGATGTTAAGCTTTTTAAAATATGTTTATTGGCTGCATAAATGTCTTCTTTTGGGAAGTGTTTGTTCATATCCTCTGCCCATTTTTTGATGGGATTGTTTGGTTTTTTTTCTTGTAAGTTTGTTTAAGTTCCTTGTAGATTCCGGATATCAGATGTTTGTCAGATGGGTAGTTGGCAAAAATTTTCTCCCATTCTGTAGGTTGCCTGTTCACTCTGATGATAGTTTCTTTTGCTGTGTAAAAGCTCTTTAGTTTAATCAGATCCCATTTGTCAATTTTGGCTTTTGTTACAATTGCTTTTGGCATTTTCATCATGAAATCTTTGTCCAGGTCTATGTCCTGAATGGTATTGCCTAGGTTTTCTTCAAAGGTTTTTGTGGTTTTGGGTTTTACATTTAAGTCTTTAATCCATCTTGAGTTAATTTTTGTATAAGATATAAGGAAAGGGTCCAGTTTCACTTTTCTGCATATGGCTAGCCAGTTTTCCCAGCACCATTTATTAAATAGGGAATGTTTTCCCCATTGCATTTTTTTTGTCTGGTTTGTCAAAGATCAGATGGTTGTAGATGTGTGGTATTATTTCTGAGGTCCCTGTTCTGTTCCATTGGTCTATATGTCTGTTTTGGTACCAGCACCATGCTGTTTCGGTTACTGTAGCCTTGTAGTATATAGTTTGAAGTCAGGTAGCATGATGCCTCTGACTTTGTTCTTTTTGTGTATGATTGTCTTGGCTATTAGGGCTCTTTTTCGGTTCCATATGAAATTTAAAGTAGTTTTTTTCTAATTCTGAGAAGACTGCCAATGGTAGTTTGATGGGAGTAGTATTGAATCTTTCAAATACTTTGGGCAGTATGGACATTTTCACGATATTGATTCTTTCTATCCATGAGGATGGAATGTTTTTCCATTTGTTTGTGTCCTCTCTTATTTCCTTAAGAAGTAGTTCGTAGTTCTCCTTGAAGAGGTCCTTCATGTCTTTTGTTAGCTGTATTCCTAGGTATTTTATTCTCTTTGTAGCAATTTTGAATGGGAATTCATTCATGATTTGACTCTCTGCTTGTCTATTGTTTGTGTATAGGAATCCTTGTGATTTTTGCACGTTGATTTTGTATCCTGAGACTTTGCTGAAGTTGCTTATCCACTTAAGGAGTTTTTGGGCTGAGACAATGGGGTTTTCTAAGTATAGAATCATGATGTCTGCAAACAGAGATGATTTGACTTCTTCTGTTCCTATTTGAATACCTTCTTTCTCTTGCCTGATTGCCCTGGTCAGAACTTGCAATACTATGTTGAATAGGAGCGATAAGAGAGGGCATCTGTGTCTTGTGCCAGTTTTCAAAGGGAATACTTCCAGCTTTTGCCCATTCAATATGATACTGGCTGTGGGTTTGTCATAAATGGCTGTTATTATTTTGATATTTGTTCCATCAATACCTAGTTTATTGAGAGTTTTTAACATGAAGGGATGTTGCATTTTATTGAAGGACTTTTCTGCATCTATTGAGATAATCATGTGGCTTTTGTCATTGATTCTGTTTATGTGATGGGTTATGTTCATTCATTTGCATATGTTGAACCAGCTTTGCATCCCAGGGATGAAGCCGATTTGATCGTGGTGGATAAGCTTTTTGATGTACTGCTGGATTTGGTTTGCCGGTATTTTATTAAGATTTTTGCATCCATAACTCACCTTTGTAACCACTCCTTTGTGTAGGATCTAAGAGAAGAAAGGAAAGACTTCAACCCACTCACCAGAAAGGTTCAGCCATATCTGATGTTTTGGAGGTGGCAGAGAGTGATCTCAGAGGACAAAGGAAAGGGAACAATGAGAAGGAACTCATCAAAGAAAAGGGGTGGCATAATCCAGTGGTCTGGAGTCAGCAGTAGGTCCTGAGTGGGGAGGGGGTTAATGGATGTGGGTATAGTTTGCCAGCTGATTACAGGAAGTGGACCAAACAACCTTATTTCAACAGGACCAAACAACCTGTTAGTTGAATGATCCATCAAAGAAAACATGATAACATTTGGAACTGAAGAAGCTTTGTTCTAGGAGCCCTGGCTGAGTATACTGGAGAAGGAACACTGTTTCTCTCACTTTGCATAGGTGGCAGTGAGGGTTTTATCCGTGAATTACATTCTAAGCATGGCAGATTTTCCAGGAGAAGAAATATCTTGCATTTTAGGCAGTGCTAGTTCTGATTTCAGCGACATGGAAAAATGCAAGAGACCCCATGTGGTGCAGGCGGGAAGGATAGCAATGAGAGGAGAGTCTCAGCCTGGAAGAGGCCTTGACCTTTAGGCCTGGAACTTTAGGATCCTGGCTCATTCTCTATGGGGGTGAGTGAGTGTGTGAAGTACTGGATGCCTAATCCTTGAGACTCAACCGAAATTGCCATTAGAAGCACTAGCTAAGCCTAATGTAGAATGGGTATCCTTTCTACCACCCAATTACCCTCCACCTTCATGACAGAGGCACAGGCCCAGTTTCACTGGCATGTTGCATGCGAGATTCCCCTTGTGGCCATAACGGCAGTGGCTAGGAAAACAATATTTTAACCTTGGAACAGTTTTTCCATGAATCCAAGGGCCAAAGATTGGAGAGTTCTGGGTTGCTAGCCCTAGCAGCAAGCAATAAAAACTAACAAGTGCCCCTGGAGATGTTAGAATACTTGGGTAGGGAAGCTACAAAACACTTGACTTCCTACAGTTAAACAGAAGGATAGTTTAGGAACAATAAATGTAGGATATTAACATCCATGAGACTATCTTTGTACTTAACTGGTAGGTGGAGTCCACAATGCTTGGACTTATTATGAACACTTATCATCTCATATGTTTATTCATTGACATATCCAGGAACATTTACTGAACATCTGCTAGATGCTAGACACTGTGCTGTCCTCTGGGGACACATTAGAAATAAGGTAGACATGATCTCTCATTTCCCTGGATGGAATTTGCAGTCTAGCTCTTGCATATCTCCAAGGAAACTTCACTATTTTAAAATCATCTTTTCGTTAATTTAAGGCAATGAAATCCAAGGATTTAAAAATAAAAACCTTGCAAATCTGTATAATAGTTAGGCATAGACACTACTTTTAGTGTGTAGAAATACTGATTTTTGCTATTGTTTCCTAAAATATGGTAGAGAGAAGGTGGAGCTCCTTTTATATTCTTGACTGTAGAATGTTCCTTCTTCTCCAAATGGGATGCTCATCTTCTCAATTTTTTTTCATGATTTCAGCATCCAGGAATGAATAGGACACCTGGCCAGCAAGCCAGATGAACTAATTCCACCCAGAAATCAAATGGATACCAGATAGCGCAGCCAAATGATCCTCTCATCCTAAAGGTTGATGTTAGATATTTCCAATTCAGGAGAGATAGGTCAAATAATTTTTCAGCTTCAGACTTTCAGAAAGAAAAATTGCTATTCCATTTTATGATAAATATATTTGCTTAAAGTACCACCCACAACATGAAATATAGCTTGGTCCTTTGGACCCTCTTTAATGCTATTACGTACATGTCAACACCTGCCATGTCAGGCATTAATAATGAGTCAAATAAAATAAATGATTATTAGCACTTAAGACATGTTAGATTTTGCTAGACAATAAGAAGCTTATCAACCCTACAAAGGGATAAATAGATTATATACAGTATGGTTCAGACTTTCAAAAAAATTATAATCCTATTGGGAAGGTAAAATTAAAACACATGAGACAAGACTAAACACAAAATATAAAGAAGTGTATAATGAAGTGACTGAAGCATTGGCAAGTGGTAAAGGGAATTAGGGAATATCACTAATGATTGTGATAGTCCAAGAAGGCTTTACAAACTAAATGGCACTTGTACTGAGTCTTGAGAAAATGTCATAGGTGAAAGTAAACAGGAATTTGCAGATAGGAGATAAACAAAGGTGTAGGTAGTGGTATAAACTTTCTGTGTTTATAGAGCAATAAGTAAACTGGTGTCACTGGAGGGAGAAATGAAATAAGATCACTAGAAGGGTGGATGCTTTAGGGAGGATTTGAAAGCTAAACAGAGATGTTTTAATGTGGGTAAAGAGTAATAAACCATAGAAGATTCTGTTGCAGTGGAAGCACATGCCTTAATTAGTGGCTATAGAAGAACTAATCTGAAAACTATATGAGGGCTTGAAGTGAGAAAGTTGAGTCAGGGAGACCATTAGGTTACCCAGCCACTGGCCAATGGTGTCATTTCTCCACATATAAAACTTTAGGCTTATCTATAGGGGATTTGTTGGCATGAACGGATAAGGTGTAAGTTAGAAAAGAGTAATTCAATGAAAATTCCAGAGATTGGGCAAGAAAAGGGAGAGGATTAGTTTGGGAAGTATGAGTTAGAAGGAGAAGAAAATAGGCACAACATCTACTATTTGGAAGACCCTGGTAACACAATGCTCTGTGTTGGAAAGATTATCTTGGAAATTCTGTTAATGAGCAATAATTAGAGGGCCTTAAAAGAAATTATTAGCAGGGCCCTGATTCTGAATGACCTATACCACCCTGATGAAATGTACACATTATGGAGCAATGTTTAGAGAAAAGAAAAATATTAAGGTCAATGTAAACCCCCATATCCACAAACAGGTCATTATCTGAGATCATCTCTAGATCAAAATGTGAAAAATGCACTATGTTCAAATTAGTATGCAAAATAAAGCATCAGCATGAAGTGAATTTATGTGATTATGCCATGAATAATTCATTAGTACAACCAGTACAATTAGCTGCTTATAATATAATGATATAACTATTGCATTCATGTACAATAAGCCTGACCCAAACTGTAGTAATAACAAGACTTATTTTGAAAGCAAAAGAAAGCCCCAAATGTGTCAAATCCAAAAGCACACAATGGCATGTGTTGCTAGCTAGTGTGAAAAAAAAAAAAAAAAAAAAACTAGTAAGAGGACAGAACAAGTTTATGCCTAAAATTTGCTTTTTAAAAGAGTGTGATTGCTTATCTGAGCATTTTATCAAACATCAAATAAAATTGCTTTACTCAGCATTGTAATCTAATTGATATGTTTGCTAAATATATCTTGACACATTTAAAAATTACTATATAAAGTACGTAGATAAACAGTGAAATAGCTAGTTATGCTGAATGAAAAGCATTTTAACTATAGAAAAATCTTTCTCAGGCTTTCAGTAGATAGAAGTCAGGGTTAAAGAGAAAGAAGATAATCAATTCATGGGCTGGATCAATAAGTAATGGTATCTGCAGTCTGATTCAACAGAGTCTTTACTTTTCAGAATACAGGTTCAATTCACTTTAAGTCCTGCTTTAATCATTTTCATGATGAAATTACATCTGTCTTGGACTTCCATTGTGTTGGTTCAGGCTAAGCTTTCCCATTGAATGGACATTCTGTGGGGGGTTTCCTTAGAACTTAATTCTGCTCTTGTTTAAGAGCTGCCATGCTTTTACCTGTAAGAATCCAGGACAGTAATGTACTTGAACTTGGCTTTAGGTAACTTCTAGTTGATTTTGCTTCAACACTAATTAATGGACAACAGTAAAATATGTAAATTGAAAATGGTAAACCGGAGTGATCATTTTGAAAAGATGCACCAAAAATAATACAATGTTCTTATCACTGCTCTAGTCATCCTGTTAGCGAGCCATTTTATGAAGGTGAGCAGTGTTGCAGTGAGGTTTGAGGGGCTGCTTTAAGTGAAATCATGCATCTCAAGCAGGAATGCATGCTTATATTGTTTCCTACACTAGCAGTTTCAAGTTACTCATATTTCCCAGTTACAATAAGCAGTGATACATTATTGGGCATCCTTGCACATTTGTAACAATATACACAAAAGTAAAATGACATCAGATGATTATTGGTGTAATGAGGCTCATCTTAGGCTTTTTGTATATATGGTCTCTCTTAATTCCCATAAATACCCTCTATAAGAGACTTTCCTTTCTGAACGTGGGACACACGTCCTCTAAAACTAATCTATTGAGAAACATTTAACATATTGAAGAAAATACACACGTATGTGCAAAACACAGCCATGCTTATATTGCTGAGTTGGCAAGAAAGTTCAAGCTAAGCCAAAACATGAGTCCAGTGCAAAGAGTGCTAGCTGAACTACAGGTAATTTCCAGAATTATCTGAACAGGAGCTTTGATATTAATGAACTACATGTGTTAGGAAGAGATAAAACCTAAGGCCCTCAAAGAAAGAGAACTGGGTTAGAACTTCAAATAAAGCTGGGATTCCAAAAGTTTGCTCATTTAAATGGTTAGCGAGAAACAAAATACAACCAAATAAGTATCTCTTGTAAAGGTTATCATCAAAGAAAATTGGATTGTTCTTTGTCCTGATGAAGAGAAAAAATAAAAACCAAAAGCAAATGTAAACTAATACACTTAGCAAAGTTGCAGGATAAAAAATCAACACACAAAAATCAGTTGTATTTCTGTATACTAACAATAAAGAATTCAGAAATAAAATTAAAAATAAATTCTTTTTAGAAAAGTGTTAAATATTATAAAACACTAAGTGATAAATTTAACAAAGAAGATACAAGACTTGTATGCTGAAAACTATAAGATATTGTGGCAACAAATTAAAGAAGACATAAATAAATGGAAAGTCATCGTGTGTTGATGGATTAAAAGACAATATTGTTAAGTTGGCAATACTACTTAAAATAATCTACAGATTCAGTACAATCCTTATCAAAGTCCCAATGATTTTTTTTTTTTGCTGAAAAAAATGCTAATGAAATTGTAAAGGGCCCTGGATAACCAAAATAATAAAAAAAGAAGAACAAAGAGAACTTACATTTCTTGATTTTAAAACTTATTACAAAGCTTGAATAATCAAAACATTACAGCAGGGGAACAAGGGTAAACACATAGACTAATGGAATGAAATTGGGAGTCCAGAAATAAACATATACATCTATGCACAATTACTTTTCAATAAGGGTGTCAAAACCATTTAATGGGGAAATATAGTTTCTTCAATAAACTGTGTTGGGACAACCAGATATCTACATACCAAAGAATAAAGCTGTTCCTTGATTTCATATATATAAATATTAACTCAAAGCTGATTAATGACCTAAATAGAATAAAAACTACAAAACTCTTAAAACCTTAGAAGGTTAATCGTCATAATCTTAGGCTTAACAATGCATTGTTAGATACGACATTGAAAGCACAAACAACAAAAGCAAAAAAAATAAATAAATTAGACTTCATCAAAACTGAAAATCCCTTTATGCATCAGAGCACACTACAAAGAGTGACAATACAACCTACAAAATGGGAGCAGATATTCGCAAATCATGTATCTAATAAGAGCCTATAGGCAGAATTTATAAAGAACTCTTTTAACTCAACAACAAAAGACAAACAACTCCTTTTTAAAAATGAGGAGGGACTAAAATGGCCAACTAGAAACAACTGTGGTTAGGGGCTTCCACCAAGAAGAACAAAAACAAGTGAATCCTGCACTGACAACTGAGGCAACTGAGGTATCCTGTTTCTCTCATTGGGACTGACTAGGCAGTTGGCGTATCCCATGAAGAGCCAGGAAAAGCAGTGTGGAGCGACGGCCCACCCGGCCACATGGAGCAAGGAGAGCTCTCACCCCCAGCTAAGGCAGACAGTGAGTGATTGTGCTACCCTGCCTGGGAAACCACACTTTTTCCATGGATCTGTGCAACCCACGGATCAGGAGATCCCATCATGAGCCCACGCCACCAGGACCTTGCGTCCCAAAAACAGAGCTGTTCAGATTCTCAATGGTTGCTTGGCTGGAGACTACCTAAGATGACTGAGCTCCCAGGGGCATAGGCGGTCGCCATCACTTCGGCTGCCTGCTGCCTAAGACTACTGAGCTCCCCAGGGTTGGGGGCGGGGGTGTGGTCACCATCACTGCCGCTGCCTGGTGCCTAAGACGACTGAGCTATGAGGGGGTGGGGTGGCTGCCATCACTGCAGCTCCAGTCTGCCATTTTCCCCTGCTGGGGTGGGGTTTGGACCCAGGAGGAATTCCCCACAGTGCAGCACAGTTGTTGTGGCAGATTGTGGCAACACGGCCTCTTTAGGCTGGACCTTGAACCATCCCTCGTCATCAGGCAGGGCCTCCCTGTGAGAATTTCAAAAACTCCAGCCAGGGGTTTATGGACAGAACTCTGATCTCCCTGGCACAGAGCCCCTGCGGGAGGGGTGGCCACAGTCTCTGCGGATCAGTGAACTTATTCTTTTCCCCTGCTGACTCTGAGGAATCCAGGCAGTCTGGACGAGAGGGAGATCCCCCCAGTGCAGCGCACCTCCTCCACCAAGAGGCAGCCAAACTGCTTCGTTAAGTGGGTCCCTGATCCCATGCCTCCTGACTGGGCGAGATCCCCCAAAAGGAGTCACCAGACACCTTATACAGGAGTGTTCTCGCTGGCATCAGCTTGGTGCCCCTCTGGGACAGAGCTCCCAGATGAAGGAGCAGGCAGCCATCTTTGCTATTCTGCCTCCACTGGTGACATCTCCAGGAATGATGGGAGGGAGCCAAGCGAATAGGGTATGGAATGGACCCCCAGCAAATGGCAGCAGCATGACAGAAGAGTGCCTGGCTGTTAAAAGAAAAACAAACAGAAAGCAATAATAACAGTATCAACAAAATGTCCTCATAAAAAATCCATCCAAAGGTCAGCAGCCTCAAAGATTAAAGCTAAACTCGTGAAGATGAGAAAAAAATCAACAAAAAAAATCCTGAAAACTCTAAAAGCCAGAGTGCCTCTCTCCTCCAAGTGATCATAGCACCTCTCCAGCGAGGGCATAGAACTGGGATGAGGCTGAAATGGATGAACTGACAGAAGTAGGCTTCAGAAGGTGGGTAATAATGAACTTTGCTGAGCTAAAGGAGCATGTTCTAACCCAATGTAAAGAAGATAAGAACCGTGATAAAAATTACAGGAGTTGCTAATCAGAATAACCAGTTTAGAGAGTGTATTAGGGTTCCCTAGAGGGACAGAACTAATAGGATATATATATATATACACACACACACACATATATATACACATATATATATTACGTAATAGGATTATATATATGATATTATAGGATATATATAGGGGAGTTTATTAAGTATTAACTTACATGATCACAAGGTCCCACAATAGGCTATCTGCAAGCTTGAGGAGCAAGAAGAGCCAGTCCAAGTCCCAAAACTAAAGAACTTGAAGTCTGATGTTTGAGGGCAGGAAGCATCCAGCACAAGAGACAGATGTAGGCTGGGAGCTAGGCAAGCCTTGCCTTTTCACGTTTTTCTGCGTGCTTTATATTCACCGGCAGCTGATTAGATTGTGCTCACCAGATTAAGGGTGGGTCTGCCTTCTCCAGCCCACTAACTCAAATGTTAATCTCCTTTGGCAACACTCTCACAGACACACCCAGGATCAATACTTTGCATCCTTCAATCCAATCAAGTTGACACTCAGTACTAACCATCATGGAGAGGAGCATACATGACCTGATGGAGCTGAAAAACACAACACGAGAACTTCACAATGCAACTGTAAGTATCAATAGCCGAATAGACCAAGCAGAGGAAAGAATTTCAGAGCTTGAAGACAATCTTGCTGAAATGAAGACAGGCAGACAAGATTAGAGAAAAAAGAATGCAAAGGAACAAACAAAACCTCCCAGAACTATAGGATTATGTAAAAAGACTAAACCTATGACTGATGGGGGTACCTGAAAGAGACGGGGAGAACGGAGGAACCAAGTTGGAAAACATACTTCAGGATATCATCCAGGAGAACTTTCCCAACCTAGAAATACAGGCCAACATTCAAATTCAGGAAATCCAGAGAACCCCAGTAACATACTCCATGAGAAGATCAACCCCCAAACACATAATCATCACATTCTTCAAGGTAAACATGAAGGAAAAAATGTTAAGGGAAGCCAGAGTGAAAGATCAGGTCACCTACAAAGGGAAGCCCATCAGAATCATAGCAGACCTCTCAGCATAAACCCTGCAAGCCAGAAAAGATTGGGGGGTCAATATTCAACATTCTTAAAGAAAAAATTTCCAACTCAGAATGTCATATCTGGCCAAATTAAGCTTCGTAAGTGAAGGAGAAATAAAATCCTTTTCAGACAAGCAAATGCTGAGGAAATTCATTACCACCAGGCCTGCCTTGCAGGAGCTTCTGAAGGAAACACTAAATATGGAAAGAACAAACTGTTACCAGACACTACAAAAACACACTGAAGTACACAGACTAATGACACTATGAAGCAACTACATCAACAAGTCTGCAAAATAACCCCTAGCATCATGATTACAGGATCAAATTCACACATAACAATATTAACCTTAAGTGTAAATAGGATAAATGCCCCAATTAAAAGACACAGAGTGGCAAGCTGGATAAGGAGTCAAGACCCATTGGTGTGCTATATTCAAGAGAGCCATCTCACATGCAAAAACACACATAGGCTCAAAATAAAGGGATGGAGGAAAATCTACCAAGCAAATGGAGAGCAGAAAAAGCAGGAGTTGCAATCCTAGTTTCTGACAAAACAGACTTTAAATGAACAAAGATCAAATAAGACAAAGAAAGGCATTACATGATAAAGGTTTCAATTCAACAAGAAGAGCTAACTATCCTAAATATATATGTGCCCAGCACAGGAGCACCCAGATTCATAAAACAAGTTCTTGGAGACCTACAAAGAAACTTACACTCCCACACAATAATAGTGAGAGAGTTTAACACCTCACTGTTAATGTTTGACAGATCATTGAGACAGAAAATTAACAAAGATATTCAGGACTTCAACTCAGCTCTGGATCAAGTCAGTCTGATAGATATCTACATAACTCTCCACCCCCCAAAAAACAGAATATACATTTTTACTGGTGCCACATGGCACTTAATCTAAAATCAGTCACATAATTGGAAGTAAAACACTCCTCAGCAAGTGCAAAAGAACTAAAATCAAAACAAGCGGTCTCTCAGACCACCGTGCAATCAAATTTGAACTCAAGATTAAGAAACTCACTCAAAATCACACAACTACATGAAAACCGAACAACCTGGTCCTGAGTTACTCCTGGGTAAATAATGAAATTAAGGCAGAAATCAAGAAGTTTTTTGAAAGCAATGGGAACACAGAGACAATATACCAGAATATCTGGAACATTGCTAAAGTAGTGTGAAGAGGGAAATTTATAGCACTAAATGTCCACATAAAAAATCTAGAGAGATCTCAAATTGACATCCTAACATCACAACTAAAATAACTAGAGAACCAAGAGCAAACAAACCTCAAAGCTAGCATAAGACAAGAAATAACCAAGATCAGAGCAGAACTGAAGGAGATAGAGACAAGAAGAACCTTTCAAAAAAATCAATAAATCCAGAAGCTGGTTTTCTGAAAAAATTAATGAAATACACAGATCACTAGATGGACTAGCAAAGAAGAAAAGAGAGAAGAATCAAATATACACTATAAAAGAGATAAAGGGGATATCACCATGGACCCCACAGAAATACAAGCAAACATCAGAGAATACTACAAACACCTTTATGCAAACAAACTAGAAAATCTAGAAGAAATGAGTAAGTTCCTGGACACATGCACCCTCACAAGACCGAACAAGGAAAGAGTTAAATTCATGAATAGACAAATAACAAATTCTGAAACTGAGACAGTAATAAAGCATACCAACCAAAAGAAAGCCCAAGACCAGATGGATTTACAGCTGAATTCTACCAGAGGTAAAAAGAGGAGCTGGTACCATTTCTTCTAAAACTATTCCAAAGTTTTGAGACTTCTAAAACTATTCCAAAGTTTTAGAGACTTCTCCCTAACTCATTTTATGAGGCCAGCATCATCCTGATACCACAACCTGGCAGAGATATAACAAAAAAAGAAAACTTCAGGCCAATATCACTGATGAACATCACTGCAAAAATCCTCAGTAAAATACTGGCAAACCAAATTCAGCAGCACATCAAAAAGCTTAGCCACCACAATCAAGTTGGCTTCATCCCTGGGATGCAAGGCTGGTTAAATATACACAAATCAATAAACGATTCATGACATAAACAGAGCTAAAGACAAAAACTTCATGATTATCTCAATATACACAGAAAAGGCCTTCAAAAAAATTCAGCATTCCTTCATGTTAAAAACTCTCCATAAACTAGGTATTGATGGAACATACCTCAAAATAATAAGAGGTATTTATGACAAACCCACAGCCAATATTATACGGAGTGGGCAAGAGCTGGAAGCAAAATCAGCACAAGACAAGGATGCCCTATCTCAACACTCCAATTCAACATAGTATTGGAAGTTCTGGCCAGGGCAATCAGGCAAGAGAAAGAAATAAAAAGTATTCAAATAGAAAGAGTAGAAGTCAAACTGTCTCTGTTTGCAGATGACATGATCCTATATCTAGAAAACCCCATTGTCTCTGCCCAAAAGCTTCTAAAGTTGATAAGCCACTTCAGCAAAGTCTCAAGATACAAAATCAATGTGTAAAAATTATAAACATTCCTATACACCAACAATAGACCAGCAGAAAGCCAAATCATGCATGAATTCCCATTTACAATTGCTATAAAGAAAACAAAATACCTAGGAATATAGCTAACAGCAGAAGTGAAGGACCGCTTCAAGGAGAGCTACAAACCACTGCTCAAGGACATCAGAGAGGACACAAACAAATGGAAAAACATTCCATGTTCGTAAATAGGAATAATCAATATCATGAAAATGACTATACTGCCCAAAGTAATTTATAGATTCAATGCTATTCCTATTAAATTACCATCAACATTTTTCACAGAATTAGAAAAAAACTACTTTAAAATTCATATGGCACCAAAAAGAGCCTGTATAGCCAAGACAATCCTAATCAAAAAGAAAAAAGCTGGAAGCATCATGCTAACTGACTTCAACTACACTACAAGGCCGCGTTAACCAAAACAGCATGGTACTGGCACAAAAACAGAAACATAGAGCAATGCAACAGAATAAAGAACTCAGAAATAATACTGTGTGTCTACAACCATCTGAGCTTTGGTGAACCTGACAAAAGCAAGCAATGGGGAAAGGATTGCCTACTTAATAAATGAAGCTGGGATGCTAGTCATATGCAGAAAATGGAAACTGGATCCCTTCCTTACGTCTTATACAAAAATCAAGTCAAAATGCATTAAAGACTTAAATGTAAAACCCCAAACTATAAAAACCCTAGAAGAAAATCCAGGCTATATCAATCAGGGCATAGGCATGGGCAAAGATTTCATGATGAAAATGTCAAAAGCAATTGCAAACAAAAGCAAAAATTGACAAATGGGATCTAATTAAACTGAAGAGCTTTGCACAACACCAACAACAAAACTGTCATCAGAGTGAACAGACAACCTACAGAATGGGAGAAAACTTTTGCAATCTATTCATTTGATGTAGGTCTAGTATCCAGAATCTACAAGAAACTTAAACAAATTTACAAGAAAAAACAAACAAATCCATCAAAAAGTGGGCAAAGGACATGAACAAACACTTCTCAAAATAAGATATTTATGTGGTCCACAAACATATGAAAAAAAAAGCTGAACATCACTGATCACTAGAGAAATGCAAATCAAAACCACAATGAGATACCACCTCATGCCAGTCAGAATGGTGATTATTAAAAAGTGAAGAAACAACAGATACTGGCAAGGCTGTGGAGAAATAGAAACACTTTCACACTGTTGATGGGAATGTAAATTAGCTCAACCATTGTGGAAGACAGTGTGGTGATTCCTCAAGAATCTAGAACCAGAAATATTATTTGACCCAACAATCCCATTACTGGGTATATACCCAAAGGAATATAAATCATTCTATTATAAAGACGCATGTATGCTTATGTTCATTGCAGCACTATTCACAATAGCAAAGACATGGAATCAACCCAAATGTATGTCAATGATAGACTGGATAAAGAAAATGTTGTACATATACACCATGGAATACTATGCAGCCATAAAAAGGAGGGAGACCATGTCCTTTGCAGGGACATAGATGGAGCTGGAAGCCATTATCTTCAGCAAGCTAATGCAGGAACAGAAAACCAAGCACCGAAGCACCACATGTTCTCATTTATAAGTGGGAGCTGAACAATGAGAACACATGGACATATAGAGAACAACATACACTGGGGCCTGTTGAGGAGGGATGGGGGAGGGAGAGCATCAGGAAAAATATCTAATACATGCTGGGCTTAATATCTGGGTGATGGGTTGATAGGTGGAGCAAACCACCATGGCACACATTTACCTATGTAACAAACCTGCAGGTCCTGCACATGAATCCCAGAACTTAAAATAAATAAAAAAACAAGCAAACAACTTAAATGGATATTTCTCCAGAGAAGTTATCCAGATGGCCAATAAGCACGTGGAAAGTTTCTCAACATCATTATTTATGAGGGAAATGCAAATCAAAACCACAATGAGATACCACTTCACATCTGCTAGAATGGCTATACATAAACAAAATAAAATGGAAAATAACCTCTGTTGACAAGGATGTGGAGAGATTGGAACCCTCATACATTGCTGATGGGTATGTAAAATGGTACAATCCACAGTGGAAAACAGTTTTGGGGTTCCTTAAAAAGTTAAACATAGATTTACTACATGATCACAGTTCCATTCTTAGGTGTATACCTAAAAGTACTGAAAACAGATATTCAAACAAAGACTTGAACATGAATGTTCACAGCATCACTATTCACAGTAGTGAAAAGATATAAAAAACCCAAATGTCAATCAATGGAATGGCCAAGCAAAATGTAATATGTGTGTACAGTGGAATTTAGCCATGCAAGGGAATAAAATACTGATAATGCTACAACATGGATGAACCTGGGAAGTATATTAAATAAGAGAAGCTAGAAATCAGACATCACATTTTATGTGATTCCATTTGTATAACATATATAGAACAGGTATGTCTATAAAGAGAGAAAGAGCACATCTGTGTTTGCCAGGGTATAGGTAGTTGGGTAATGGGAAGTAACTGTTTAGTGTGTGTATTAGTCCATTCTCAAGCTGCTAATAAAGACATACCCAAGACTGGGTTATTTATAAAGGAAAGATGTTTAATTGGCTCAGTTCTTTACAGTTGGCTAGGCCTCAGGAAACTTACAATCATGGCAGAAGGGGAAGCAAACATGTCCTTCTTCACATGGTAGCAGCAAGGAGAAGTACCAAGCAAAAGTGGGGAAAGCCCCTTATAAAACCATCAGATCTTCTCAGAACTCACTCACTATGACAAGAACAGCATGAGGGTAACTTCTCCCCTGATTAATTTACCTTCCACCAGGTGGCTTCCATGACACATGGGGATTATGGGAATGACAATTCAAGATGAGATTTGGGTGGGGACACAGCCAAACCATATCAGTGGGTTTGGGATTTCCTTTTGGGGTGATGAAAATATTTTTAAACTAGATAGAGGTGATGGTTCCACAACATTGTGAAGGTAATAAATGCTACTGAATGTACAGTTTAAAATGGCTAGTTTTATGTTATGTAAATTTTACCTCATTTTTAAAAACAAAAAAATACACCCACTGGAAATGTATCAGTATAAACGGGGCCTAATGTGGGATTGTGCTCCAAATTCATATCACCCCCTGACTGGTAGTGCTAGTTGATGAATGCCATAAGAAAATACACATATTTTTGGAGGAATACACTCTCAATCTAAGACTCAGAATAGCCTCACAGAAAAAGTTTCATCAAGCCTAAACTCACAACAACAACAAAAATAACAAAACACAATGGAAAATAACATATTGAGACCAAGAAAGAGGATAAACAACAAAGAATACAAAGAAAAGAATCAGATGCATTAAGATCTCAGATATGGAAATTACTGCATTTAGAATATAAAAAGTAAGAATACTGTTTTTTCTTTTAAAATTTAAAAATTTTAAAATCTGTACTAAATTTTTAAATCTCTACTTTTTTTCTTTTAAAATTTAAAAATTTTTAAGTCTCTACTAAAATTTTTAAATTTTAAAAGAAAAAAAGAAAGGCATCAAATGTGTGAGGAAGGCATAAGACTGTGGAGACTGATCATGCAGAATTGCTAAAAAATTTTAAAAACAGAACTTACAGTAGTAAAAAATATAATTATTGAGATTAAAAACTCAATGGTAGAGTATCAGATACAGCTGAGGAGAGAATTTACAACTGGAAAATACAGCAGAAGAAATGACTCAATATAACATGGGTAAATATTTGGAAAACATGAAATAGAGGTTAAGGGACATTACAGTAAAGTTAGAAGGTCTGGCTTATTGCTTAGAATTTCACAAGAGAATATAGAGAATGGAGAAAAGTCAGTATAGGAAAAAAAATGGCTAAAGGCTTCCCAATATTGGTGGCAGACTAGATTACATCAGAAGACCTCAGTGAAATATAAGTAGGTAGCAACAAAAAAAACACACACCTGAACACACCTTAGTGAAATTTCAGCTCACCAAAAACAAAGCAAATATGAAATAACTACAAAGGAATGAAAGCAGCTACAATGGAAGCCAGAAGATGATGAAAAATGTCTTCAAAGAGTCAAGAGAAAATGACTATCAAATAATTATATACTAGGTGAAACTACTTGAAATAAAGCCATCATCAGATAAACAAAAGCTAAGTTTTTAGGAGCAAATCTTCACTAAAGGCTATTGTAAAGACTGTACTTCATTAAAAAAAGAAAATATACAAGAAGAAATGTGATGCTTTTAAAAAGCCCAATAATAATGCTGGGCAGGGTGGCTCACCCTGTAATCCCAGCACTTTAGGAGGCTGAGACGGGCAGATGACCTGAGATTGGGAGTTCAAGACCAGCCTGACTAACATGGAGAAACCACATCTCTACTAAAAATACAAAATTAGCAAGGCATGGTGGTTCATGCCCATAATCCCAGCTAGTTGGGAGGCTGAGGCAGGAGAGTCGCTTGAACCCGGGAGGCAGAGGTTGCAGTGAGCCGAGATTGTGCCATTGCACTCCAGCCTGGGCAACAAGAGCAAAAATCCATCTCAAAAAAAAAAAAAAAAAAAAAAAGCCCAATAATGAAGAAAATACTGTACTTATTTAATTTAGAAAACTGAAGTTTGGAGTGTTTCCCCAAATCTACAAATAGCAATTTAGAGTTGGTGTTAATATCCTGTTCTATATGACTCAAAGCATGTATTCTCCTATAATATATATATAAAATACTTGACCCGGCTGCATAGGTTTGCTTGGGCTGCCATAACAAAATATGATAGACTGGGTGACTTAAACAACAAATCTTTATTTTTTCATGATGCTGGAGGCTGGGAAGTCCGAGATCAAGGTGCTGGCTGATTCCGTTTTTTGTGAGGGCTCTCTTCCTGGCCTGCTGATGGCCCCCTTCTTGCTGCGTTTTATACTGGGGATTGGAGTTTCAACATATGAATTTAGGGAGGACATATTTCAATCCATAGCATCATCCTTCCACATTTTTTAAATTCCTGAAAGTTAGTTATAAACCCGATGATTGAATTCACTCTAATTCTCTCATATTTAAATGGGAAATTTTGTGCAAATTATTCCTTAGTCTCCATACCAAATTCCTTGGCAACCCATGTTTTCCCTGCTGTGTATCAGGAAGCTAACCCCACTGAATCTTTTTACTGACAGGTTACAGCTGATATTTTGCCACAGGATGTACTGGCAGGAGCTGACTGAGTTGCAAGGAAGTAAAGCCAGGGTATTTCTTCTCTGCTGCCCTGTGGCTTCAGCACCACGTCTTGGGCAGCTGCTGCATTTCTCCAAAACTACAGCTCCAACTGGGCGGCCCCTCCTCTGTGCTTCCAGTTCTCGCTGGGTTCTGTTAACATTATTTCTTCTCATTGTCCCTTCAGCCCAAGAGGTTGTAATGTTGCTAGTCCCTGGGTAAATTATTTATTTGCTCCTAAAACTCTGCCTATGCCTTTTTGGAGTGCTACCGTTAACATATCTTCACTTAAACCATTTTAAGGGTGAATCCCATTTCTTACTGGGACCCAGGACCTAACAGGCCTTGCTTACATATTGCATTTAAATTAAATCTCAGGTTTATGGTACTTACATGCCATTCTACATTTGTATTTCAGAAAATATATATGTACATAGACATCCATTTCATTTAGGGAGAGAAAAAGGAAAAGGATAAAGTAAGATGTCAGAAGGAATGAAAGGGACCTTGCAAAACTACATAGAGAAATCGTCCCTTATGCCTTTAGAAAAACCTCACATTACCAAAGGGTCTCTGGCAAAGAAGCCATACAGAAAAAAATGCCCTTTTGTCTTCTTATGCATAAGTTGAACATCATTACCCAAGTATTGTCCATTCCTTTAAGGGATAGGTTATAGGAGGGAATTGTTCTTTTTCTTTAGGATTTTTTTTTTTTTCATTTTTTTCCCTTGGAATGAGAATAATTAGAAATTTTCAATACTTTAGTTTAAAATAGGTCATTTCCCTTTCACATTGTCAGAAAATTCGTACTTCCCTAAATTGGGTGATTGGGTGTATTCAGGGAGTTCCTCTATGCAGTGTAGCTGAGTTTCAAAATCAGTGTCATTCTCGGTGTTTGAAATGTATGGTGGAAATCTGTTGGGCTTGCTTTGTAAATGCAGAGCTAGGTCAGGTGAAGCCCAAAGGCAGTAGGCCAGAGTGGGCCCCAGGAATACCTCCAGCAGAGAAGCAATTCAAATGGACAATGAGCAGGTGCAGGCAGGTTCAGATGCTGTGATAGAAAGGTCAAGAAAGGGGATCTGAAGAGAGGAGAAAAAGGACAGAGAAGGAACTTTTCTATGGTGGCAGGCCTTGTAGCTGGGACTAACAATCTGAGAGAAACTCTTTTTTCACATACTAGACGAATTCACCAAGAGTATAGGAAAGTGCCTAAGAAAGAATGGCTCTGAACTTCTGCTAATTCATTGAAAATAAATTTGTGCTATTCATATAATATAGGTAGATTATATCCTTAAATTTTCCAGTGGTATTTTAGATGTCCCAACCATGTGTGCCACTGTGAAAGGCCGAAGTCAGAGACAAAGTAAGTCAGGGAGGGAGGAAATTGTTTCTAAGTTTTTTGTCCCCTGGGTCTTTAAGGAGGTGATTACTGAAAAGCAAAGCCAGATTTAATAGCAGGGACTTCCGGGGTAGAGTGTTCCAACCCTGGCTTATTCTCTATTAAACACCTTGAAAATTAAAAGCATGACTTTGTCACTTGGTATTCCCAATGCCCAGAAGAAATGTCCTGTAATCGGTAAACAGTGGATGTTTGTTGACTGATTGCAAAAACACTCACATGTCTGACTCCTCCTGTCCTTGTGCTCCTAGATGCACCTTAGCAATAATGGACACAAGGGGACTGGGCCTTGCCTGGACCACCCACCTGGCTTGGGCCATGCCAGCTGCTCTGCTGCAGTGTGTGGTTGCTCAAGTTTAGCTACAAGGCCATATAAGAGTCCTTCCAAGAGGAGGATGGGGCGAACTTTCCAGCTAGAGTTTGACCTAAGGAAGGATTTCAAAACTTACCCCTGCAATGCTTTAACAGCATTCAAGTCAAATGGAGGCTTTTCATACAGTGAAATCCACAGTAGCTCTCTGTGGTATGTAGGGCTACTAGCCAGATATACCTGAAAGCAAGCGCTTGCCTTGCTCTCCCTCTGCCACAGAACGATGACACAGGGATAACAAAGGGAAATACCAGGGAATGTCAAGTCAAACAAATCGTAGATCTTCTCTGGCGGCTTCTTTGACCTTGTTCTGAGGTAAGTCACACCAGCAGGAGGGGCATTCAGGATAAGCGTGTTTGTCATTTGAGGCTTCTATCTGCTCCAAAAGGAACTCTAAATCTTCCTTATGAAGGCACTGACATTTAGTTTGGCACATTTTCAGATACTAGAAAAAGAACCATGACTTGACAAAAAAAAAAAAAAAAAAGTTTAGTTAATACAAAGCAGAAGAGGCAATTATTTCAAGCCATTTAGAGAATAATTTGAACATAAATGTGCAAATATATAAGTTTTTAGGTGCTGAGATTTCTTTTTTTTTTCCTGTCAGTGAACACCGTGTACATCAAGGAAGATAATTACAACTTTTTCAAGTCTTCTAAAATCGAGTAAGTTTTCTGTTTTTTTTTCCTTTGCAGTATCCAGGGATTTTGTTTGTTTGTTTATTGCCACATATGGTTTCTGTTTCAAGGTCTAAGAGCATCATATCAAGCTTTATCACATCTGAAGTTGAAGGGAGTAGTTCTTGCAGACAATCTATAGCATCCATTTAAGAACAGATAGAAGTCTTAAATTTGGCATATGTTTATCTGATGAACCTCACTGTTTTTGTTCCAAGTTTCAGTTAAATCTCATCTGAGGGAGCAAACCTATTTGTTGATTTGATGGGGGTTTTATACTCTTTTATGTGACAAAATAACCCAGAGATTCTCATGACTTAAATGTAAGGGATCCAGAAAGCCTGGAGATACAAAAACATTTTCCAAAATAGATGTGCAGTTTGTACTTGTTTATATACTTGCTGAGTATTTTGCTTTCTTCTTTGTTTTTAAAGGGACACCTAATTCTATGTTCCCACCCTTTTCTTTCTTCTCCAACTTGTACATTCTGTAACTTATATTGTCTTGACATTTTGAGGCAATATTCCATCCCTCCAAGTCTTTGATATCATTTTACTCATAAAAACTAGCCCATGAATGAAATCAGAAGAGGAAAGTTCATTTTTGTAATTCCAGCAACGAGACATCTTCCACATTCATTACCACCCAAGTATCAGTTATTTGAAGGCAGATTTAAAAAAAGGCCTGATGTCAGAAACATTAGTATGTCATGCCCAAATCATATGGAGTCTCTTGAACTCAAAGGGGAAAAAAAAGGCAGCCTGCTTTTAGACCTTCTGCTTTCCTTATTAACTTTGACCTTAGCTATTTCTCAATCAGCTGCTTACACATCCATTTTATACACTAGAGGTGTAGAAAATTTCATAAGAAAAGCAACCAGCATAAAAATGACTTTTTAAAGAAAGTTCAGTAACCTCCATATAGATCGAATATGACATGTTCAAGTCACTGACTTCATTTATTAAATGCACTTCCCTGACGTGTTAAATAACTCTTTCTCCTAAGTGCAAAGGGTTTGTGTGGCTCCTCCTGCCCCCTCTCTTCCCATCTCCATGATTTATGATGTTCTCCTGACAGGCTTCATATGTCTAGGGCCCATTAGGTAGGAAGGTAGTTTTGTCTCTGGGTGAGTCCTGCAGTCACCCCGGGGTGAGCATTACTGTTTGGCAGTCTCCCTGGAAGTTTACGGAGGAACAAACAAAAAAGAGACTCACCCGGAATAGAGGTTTTAGGGAGAGATGGCCCCTGTTTGTGAAATAAACTTTAGAGTTTTGTTTCTGTGTAAACTTTTTTTTTTTGAGGTGGAATTTTACTCTTGTTGCCCAGGCTGGAGTGCAGTGGTGCAATCTTGGCTCACTGCAACCTCTGCCTCCCGAGTTCAAGCAATTCTTCTGCCTCAGCCTCCTGAATAGCTGGGATTACAGGCACCCGCCACCATGCCCGGCTAATTTTTCGTATTTTTAGTAGAGACGGGGTTTCATCAGGTTGGGCAGGCTGGTCTCGAACACCTGACCTCAGGTGATCCACCCGCCTCGGCCTCCCAAAGTGCAAGGATTCCAGGCATGAGCCACCACACCCAGCCAACTTTTATTATTATTATTTTTGTTGTATAAATCCACAATGTTCTCTTTTTTAAGAGGATGTGGAAACTGTTTGAAAAAGATTTGGGAAAAAATTGGAGCTGCCTAAGTTGTAAATTGGGGCCACTTGTCAGAACCCTGAGGACTGAAAAGTATGTCTTGAATTAAAATATGGTCTTGTGCCTGTGAATCAGTAAAGGATGTTTATAGATGTGAAATGTTCTAATGTTATCTGGAAACAGCTGCTAATCTTGGATGAATATCAGGTGTGTGTGTATAAAATAGACCTCCATACACACAGAAAACTGAAGCTGCTAGGAAGGATCAACTGTAAGTTAAGTATATGAATAATTCAAGGTGCCTATCTTTTCTAAACTTCTTTCCTGTAGAGTTTGATGTCTGAGAATACTTGGGAACACTACCACCACTTCTCTAAGAATTGTTACTTTTAGGGCTGATGTTTAAGATGGAAATACTCAGATAGATTAAGATTTAGTCTGCAAGTATTTTGCATGAATTCCTTTAAAATGGGGTTGCAAATTTTTCAGTCTTTTCTCTTTCCTTTGAATGGATTTTATTACTAGATCAAGAGCTGCCAACAGCTAGGCCCAGTGAAATGTGGAAATCACTCATGTCTTCCTACCTTGTAATAAGGTGAGGTTTCTGAATACCTTTTAGTTAAAGGAATAATAATAATTCTTAAAAACATAAAAATACTAGTTACTGATTGTTACCTGTGTCCCGAGGCCTAGTTGCTAACACATTGTCGTGAT
This sequence comes from Homo sapiens, assembly GCF_000001405.40. NCBI lineage: Eukaryota > Metazoa > Chordata > Mammalia > Primates > Hominidae > Homo > Homo sapiens. The sequence goes on along the minus strand of NC_000021.9, from coordinate 15,441,658 downwards.
GAAAGAGCTCAGATCAAATCTAAATTTTGTGTTAGAAGTCCATTGCTGTATTAATCATCTGGAATAAAAATGTCACAGTTATGATTTTTTGGAAACTGCTGCACTTAACTTCCAAACTGTTGCTTTTTAAAAGGCTAATTCGGGGTTGGGTACATTAATGTCAATGTCCTATAAAACTGCCAGCTAAAAAAAATGTCAGCAGAGACATTTTTTCTAGCCGATGTCAGCACAAAAGGGTGCCTCAGTTGTTTCATCTCCAAACAGCTGCATGCTTTCATTGACATTTGGTGACCTTTCTTTGTGCACCCAGCCTAACCTCTTAGGTTATTTCCTGGCCTCCCTTCTGTGACCTTTGACCAAGGCCAACCTTTAGCTGGAGAATGTGACATTTTGTTCTCCTCTGGCTGACATGTGATGCTCTCATTATTCAAAGGTATGTGAAAATAATGACCCCAAGTGACCTTTGAGTTTCCTTTCATTTATTGGTTGTTTTTGGTGCTTGTTCAGCATGTACTCGTCTAGGTGAAGGGGGGTGAAAGTGAGGACTGGGGTAGCCTTAGACGGCCCATATCTCATTTTGTTTCATTTCTAGTCTCTTTCCTTCCAGACATGCTGCTTTACTGTTTATGACTAAACCTTATTGTTTTCTGTATACTGATCAAGGGACAAATTTGACCTGTGAATAATGGGTCTTTTTGAAATTTAAGAAATTTGGTTTAGTGAGTGAAGCTCGTTGTGCGTTTCTATCTTTTTCCTACCAAGGACATGTCTGCATTTCTGAATATAATTTTCCATCTAGTAATGGTAACTCTTTTATATTTGGAAAATGAATAACATATAGAATGGTTGTAATATGTGACAAACAACTAAAAAATTTGTCATTCATGTTTTATTTATATAATTCAGTTGGATATTTGAAAGAGTCACTGTCTAAAAAATAATTTGCATATTTTATCACATAGTTATAATTAACTTGGTTATGCTTATAGATTTAATGTTACATTAATTTAAATATGTATGTATATTAATATAGAAATGTGTACAGTGGGTACTAACTATGAAGAAGGAAAATTAAATTTAAGCACTGATAAAATAGTGGTCATAAATTGCTTAAGTTAGATTTGGCATTTCAGAAACAAATTAGAGGACATTTATCTATAAGAATTTAGAGATATTTAAAATTATATTTCTCTCAAAGTATTTCACTAATTTGTGACATCTGAGACAAAGTATATTTCCATTTAAAAAATAGTAAAGCGAGGAATTATCATGCTCTTTATATAACATATATTTGCATGTATTTTGCTCCTAGTCAATTCTCTTCTCTAAGGTATTTACCTCTAGAATGGATCCAACTGCTGTGGAAAATTGAGGATAAGAGTTTAGATTGCTTGGCCAAAATTTAAGCGTGGTCATTAACTCCGGGATTTCATAACTTTCCAAGGCAAGCTGTTTAGGTGCTGATGATGAGTGACTAGAGAATTATTATAAGTACACTAACAATTACAGTCTTCAGCAAAACACAGGGCCCTCTATCTAGACACATTCAGATAAAGAAAAGGCCATCATTCCTGAATTATGGTACCCTCTAATTTAATATCCAAATACTAGAAGAAACTATAATTACACCATTTTACCAAACTGTTATTTATTTTTTAGTACAGTAAAAAATAAGACCTTTAATCCCATGGCACATTTTGTACTTATGATTCAGTCCAGTGGTTAAGCCTGAATTTAAGAAACTTTGACACAGTGCATTACTTTCCTACAAAAGACCTAACATAAAACTATCCCTTCTCATTTCTGAATTCATGTGATTAATTTCAAAAAGGACACAAGAGAGGCAGGTGCTTTAAGAAACACGTTCTGGAGAATGCATGCTTTTATTTCTAATTTGCAAAAGGATGGCATATGGGTTCTGCATTCAACAAATATTTGATAGCTAATTTATAGAGAGAAATCTACTAGACACATGGAGATAATATGAATCAGACATGGGTCTGGCCTTCAAGGAAGATGCAATCTGGTAGAAGAAAAAATCTTTATAACACACTGAAACTTCTAAGTACCACAAGAAAAAAAAATTCCTATAGTTCCATGAATAATAAAGAACTCCAACTTAAATCAACTTGTTTCACCTATTTTTATAGCTCTATTTAAAGCATTCTAAAATTCCATTCACAGATAAGTTTTTGATGTATCTGTAAAATTCATCTCTCATGTCGTTGTCCTTGTGGCTAATTAGTGTATATTGCTTTATCATCTACCAATCATCCAAGCAAACTTTACAAATAATTAGATTTAGGCCCATTAACTACTCTAGGATGAAAGTTGAAGCTAATGCCAAAGACGAATTTCATATTTCTCAAAAAATAACACATTTAAACTCCTACATTAGGGTTTGTTTTTGTTTTTGTTTGTGTTTTTTGAGTTTTTTTTTTTTTTTTTTGCTACAAAACAAACTGTAGAGATAATAATTAGAGTATGAGATTAAGCTCATTTAATTAATGTAACCAAGAACACAAATAAAAAAAAAAGTGGGGTACTTATGGAATGGCTACATGTGTACTCCCAAGTTTTATCAATACATTCTGCATGAATATTTGCTTCATAAAATTTTTTTTTCTCTGCCTAATACTGAAAATTTAGTCTTTTTTCCTTTTGTAACCAATGATATGCTTCAAAGACTTAGAAGGAAACCTCAAAAGTGACCCCAAAGAATGTTTCTTGTGATTTGCTGTGTGCAGACATGATCTCTCAGAATTGTAATGGCTAATTTCTTTCCATTCAAATAGGTTTAACCCAATAAAGGAGCAAGTTTAAAATATTTCATGGGTCCTGTACTGAACTGAAGAGAGGGTATTGCATTGATTAATAAACAGAGATGTATGCAGAGTAGATGTGCTGCCAGGGTAAAAACAGTCAACGAAAGGAAACTTTAACAGGAAAACAACAAAAGCAAATAATTGATCAGTATTTTAATAACTGCATACCTTACATTGGAGGGAATATCTTCATTCTGTTATTTTGTAGGGTTTTAAAAATAAATTATTAAATTAGCTTTAAAAATGTTTTGAGTTTCCAATTTGGAAATCCCTGGTGCATTTATCTCCTTTATTCATTTGTTATTTTTTTATTTTTAGAAGCAACATTAGAAACTTATTTTTGCACTTAGCTCATTTTGTTCTCTGTAAAGGTTCTAACTTGTTGGGCATTTAATCACTATTAAAGACAAATGTTTTCACTTGTTCAAAAAAATTTTCACCTAATAATAAAATATAACTTGCCACATAAATGTCACCCTTCATGCACAAAGTGCTTTAAAGTGATAACGGGAAACCAAGTTAAAAATGTTTAAAAATCATGTCTGGCAGGAGGCATAAGTTTCCCTCTCCAAATCCCAATAACCTAAAATTGAAGAGAGCCAAGGCCTGTTTCCTGCTTTGTGATACTGCCTTATTGTCATTCAGTTGTATTTAACCACAAAGGCCCCATGCTCCATGTGGTAGATTCCTAAACAGTCATAAATCTACCTCTTGACCAAGTATGGTTTTTCAGCATGTGTTTTGTTAAGCAACAGAAACGTGCACACAAGAACAGTAGGAAAGAATTACTCATATCTAGGTTCCCCTAACGGAATCCCCAGGTCTTTTGATACCTAAGGCCCCAAACATGGCCATGATTTCTAGATTAGTATAAATTCCAAAAGTAACACAGCAAACTCTAAGAGCAGAAAAGATGTAGAAGATTTCAGTTTTGTGCAGTTTTTAAAAAATGAATGTTTCATGGGTTGTCTGAGTAAATTTCTCTATGGTTCTTTACATAACTACAACTTTGTCTCCTTTTCACCTCCAGAGTGAGACATATTGTAATTCTGGCTGATTTCAATGAAATTTCCTGTTGCTCCTTGAGAAGGAGTCTAGATATCACCAATACTTTTGTGCCATTATTAATTTAAAGGCACATATACTTCTTTTATCTCCTGGAATGAGGATTTATTTTTATTTTTTTAATCTAAATCTACTTAATTGTTAATGATTGCTTTGTTTTGGATCCATTAATTCCAATGTAGACTATTATTTAACTTTGAGGTGACAGAAGAAATGATTTATAATGGAAGCTGGAGAGGAACAAATAGATTAATTTTCTAAACCATTTCTAGTCAAAACGACAGTCTCATAAGCTATCAAAATTCACTGTATTTTGTTAATAGATCTCTTTATTTTAAAATGAGTAAGAACATATTTTGAATATCAGATTTTTATCCTCTCATATCCAACTGATTCCTTATTTTACTGATATGAGTGAGCATATATTCCCTTAAGAGTGAATTTTGAAGTATTATTTTAAAAATTAACAGTAAAATTCTTCTGATACTATACTGGAGGTTTTTGTTCCCAAAGATCAATAAATTACTCTATAGGACATAATAACTCAATGTGTATCCTCAAATGAAATTGAAATTCCTTCCATATACATAAAATCTGCAAAGGAATTTATTTCAGTAGGATAATAGTTAATTTATAGTGTGAAGTTCAAAAAGGCAGAAGAAGATAACAACTCAATTTAGGTAAAGATGTAGCACATATAAGCTGGAGGAAAATCAATGTCAAATAGAAAACCATATCTGAAATTCAGATCATATTTAGATGCACAAAAAACTGTTCAGAGCAGTAGGGGGTGATTGTATTCCAATTCAATTTCCTTTACTCACATCAACCAGTCTTGGTTTGAAAGTCAATCATATGACTTACCAGGCTCTTGAAAGAGTAGAAAGGGGGCAGCCCATGAAAGGGACAGGGAACTGATAACATAACATTTCTAAGACCATGAATTACAAAGTTTGGGCTTAGCATGCAGTTTGGGTAGGTTAAAAGAAAGTCATTAAAAAATAAAAAAAAAAAATGCATTTTGTTCTTTTTGTGTAAGTGATATCATTCACTGGAGATTTTTTTTTTTCCCTGAAGAAAGGGAAAAGCCAGATAAAATATTCTAAGTTTTATACAATCCTTTAAGAGACTATAACCAGAAACGAGAGATTTTCTAAGGCTTGGAGTTGTTTGTCAGGGGTTTCCTGTGAACAGGATCAGGGTGGGCACAGCAGGGCATGCATTTATTGCAGTCCAGCACAAATGTCAATATATATTTTTTGGTTATGGGAAACTCAAAGAAGTTGTCTGCATCAAACTGCCTCTGGGTTTAATTTTGAGGAAATAGTACTGTTACTAGCGAGGTGAACTTGGAGAAGTAAGAAAGCATCACAAACTTGGGCCTGGAAAAGAAGTAGGTTTTGTTATGTGGTTTTTTTCAAAACCCAAAGGACAACACATAATCTGAAGAGGATTATAAACTGGAGACTTGGGGACAGGTCTAATGAGTTATTTGTTGTTCCCAAAGGCACTTGACATGTATGTGGGATTGGACTACTACCAGCTTTATAAAACCATGATAGCTTATAGTTGACTCTGTAAATATTGAAAAGCACACAGCAGACTCATATGTCCACAGATTCTTGGAAAATTTTGGGTTGCTATGGTGTCTTTAATTTCCTCTTCAATATGACAACTAACAAAAGCCATATAAGTTGTTTTGGCAGACATTTAAGATACTAGGAATCTTTTATTGTAAACTCTTCTGTAATTTTCTTTGAATTTTCTTCTATTCACAATTAGGAAAATCACAAAAAGGAAGACAACTAAATATCTTTATTATAGAGGCATTGTCACAGCCTTAGGTGACTTCCAGTGTATTTGTTTATGCAATAATATCTTTTGATATTTTCAAAGTGTTGGTCTTAAAAATATTTCTATCATAAAGGAGCATAAGATGACATTAGGGACAGAGATAGTTATAAAGAAATCACTAGGAGTTATGCTGTAAATATGTATATAAGATCTTTTCGTAATGCAGATTACATAAATTTGAATTAAGTGACTTTTAAGAACATTGATTATTGATCTGTTAAACTATTGGAGCCATTAGGCCCTTTTGTGTAAATAACTATTTTTAAAATTCATGTAGCTTTATAATAAAAATTCTTATGAAAAACACTTATGGTCTCTTGCATGCTGAATAGGCACTTTTCAACATTAAATGTCTTGGCCAAAAATGCATTTTAAAATTAAGAATCATTTAAATTATACAACCACCAAAAAAAAAAAAAAAAAAAAAGAAGACCTCCTGGAATTACTCAGCATGCACTTTAGCACTATATTACTTTAAAATGGTTAAGACACTCTGTTTTAAATCCCTGTAAACATATCTTACATATTTTTAAAGCCATTTTATGTTTTACTGATTACAGTATATACTCTGCCAAAAATACCTATATATACTTTTTATTGTAGTGCTAATTCCTATTTTTGAACATTCAGAGTTCTCAAGGAGCCCTATGTAATGATAGCTGTATTCATCAAAACACATCATAGAAATATATCATCACTGAAATGAAATATGTTTAGTCTATGGATGAAAATTGAGCCTGATTCTTTGTAGCTCTTTGTGATATCTCATCTTAGTGTGACAGAGAAAACTAGAAAGTGAACTTCCACTTGCAAAATTTTCAGTAAGGTCTATTAATGAATTAATGACTTATCTTTGCCTAGACTGTAAGCTCTTTGAGGACAGGAGCTACAGCTTATTTGTTTTTAAGTACCAGCAATATTCTGCTTGATTAATTTGTGGTGAATGCATGTATATAAAAGGAAGAAAATCCTTTCTCTATCCAAAGGAAAGGATTTTAGGTATCAGAGAGAAAATACATCTTTTCAAGGAAAGATATTACATAGAATGTGTCTTAGAATCATAGAATTTCAGAGTTGGAAGATACTCCTGAAAGTAAAAGTGATTATATATACACATTCAATGCCACATTCATTCAATTTTTATAAATTAGAAAAATTTGGAGATTCTCTTTTTTTTTTAAGCTTCATTCTTTTGGGCTAGTCAACAGAAAATGATACCCCAAGGTACGGCACTTTTGCATGCTGAGCACTTTGTATTAAAGGAAGTTGGAAGGACTTAGAAGCTGCCCCAGAATTGAAGTTTCTCTGGCCCTCCCTTAATTTCTCCCTCCAAGCACAGGCAGGAGCTCTCTCTGAAGTTTTCTTATCTGACTAAGGGAAGTTCTTCCAAAAAACACAATTGCCTTCGATCCCCTGTTCCCCTCACTAACCAGGGAATATTAATCATGGAAAAGGAAACTAAGACCATGACCACACCCACCCAAACAGGCTTTTTATCTATTCCTATGAGAACTGTTACCTGAGGGACTTTATCTCCATAATAAGACAACCTCTGTTCACAGTGCAGTCCTGCCCCTTACCTTTCTGTAAATTGTAACCATGTACCCAGAGCCTGGAGGAAAATTATCCCAGGCAACTGTTTGTTCTTCAGACCCATTAATCTCCTCTAGAAATCATTTTCTCTTCTACTACAATTGCCTATATCTACTACTTTCCTCTTTCCTATAAAGAGGACATTTAATCTTCAACCTTCTAGCCCTTGAGTTTTATACCTTATGTGACTCCCATGCACTTATGCATTATAAATTTGTTTAACTTTTCTCCCATTAATCTTTCTATTGCCAGTTTACTTTGGCAGATTCCGTTATCAAACTTGCAGAGGAAAAGTTTGAACTTCCATCCAATTTTCTCCCTCTCGACCAATTTGCTACTTTTCATCTTTTAGTGTAAAGGAAATAGCTCTCTACTTTTATTGTTTACCTTATTTGGCACAAAGTACATAGATAATTTTTACAGATTAACATTACTTGGGCATTGAAAGGGAAATTGTTTCTCTAAACCTTTTGCCTCACTTGGTTTGAGCACTGTGTTAATGAGGACAGAGCAATGTATTTTCTCTCTGTAGCTACTCTTTGGCCTCTTAACCTTTTTCAGTGTTCTCAGTGAGAGGTCAGGAGAGAATAGAAGAATCTAGCACCACTGAAAAAGCAAGTCACTGCGTAGCCCTACTCTCAGTATTTCATATACATCACTGTTTTACAGGAAAAACAGTATGATAATAATTCCTTGCAGTTCAGTCCTGAGCACTGCAGTACTACTATTATGGGATGCATAATGTCAGACTTGGCCTTTGAGGTGTTCCACCTCCCCATCCTAGTTCCCATTCAATAAATGTTGGCGAATATACAGAATGTTAAGGGTGGGGAATTACTATTATAAAATCATCCTAAATCATCACAAATACATCCATATAGGACAATTTCAACAGGCCAATACCCCAAGTTTAAATATGTTTTTAATGTCAGGTGAACTCCAAAAGATGCTTACCTTTCTTCGAGGCCAAGATAAACACCCAGTATTTTGTAAATGTTTGCACTGGTATGAGAGTCTTGCTAGAATTTAAACCAGCCCTGGGCCCCCAGCTGGCACAAACACGGGGGTGGGAAGCATAGCTGAGGCAAGCTTGCTCACCACCAATTCTTCTCAGGTCACTGAGCTCCGTAATTACTGAAGAATCAACATTCAGTGCCAATTGTCAGGGCCTCTCTTGAGATTCCTTGGCCCTGCGCTATTTTAATGCCATTTCTTCTTGCCACCTGCTTTACATAGAACCTGATGGTTTTGTTGTTGCTGTTGCTGTTGTTTTGTTGTTGTTGCCATTGCTTTTGTTGTTGTCGTCTTTATTAGAGCATCATTTTGTTTCACATTGTTGTATGCTAAAAATAATTTTAAACCTATAAGTATCTGATGTATATTAGATGCTTAATAGAAAATGGGATCTATAACACTGGAGAGAATATCACTTAGTAAGAGCCCAATAGATAGGAATTGCCCTTTAAAAATGGAATCTAATAGGCAAACACAAAGCATTGCTGCACAGTAGCCCAAAGTAATTTCTTAGCCCAGTGGACTTCAGTAAGACAAACACATCTCAAAAATCATATCGAAGAGGCCATATGTGTTGGGGACTAGAATCTTAAAGGTAAGTCTGGTTTTCACCCAGTAGGCCCTAATGGTACAGCTAGACCAGAGTTTACAGCTGGACTTCATTGAGATTGTCCAGAACCCAGGCAGTCCCACTTCTTGAATATTTCAAATTATCAGCAGGTCTAAAAGGATTTTTGAAATAAGTGCTTGCTTGCTGTTAAATAATACTATACTAAATACTGACTAGCTTATTCTTCCTAAAGTTTCACAGCCACACTGGGAAATAAGCAAGCAGGATTCATTATCCCCACCTGAGCTATGAAGAAATAAGATTTAGAGAGATTAGAGAGATCTTGTTTTTGTGTTTTTCCCACACTAGTAAACCATTATTCCTCACTGTCCACACACGCATAGCAATGAGTTCACTCCCAGCACTAGAGCTCTATTCTGTTTATGAGTGAAGACCAAATGACTCTTCTGAGGCAGAGGCACTATTTTATACTTTAAAAACAAATACCCTGTCTGTGCTGGCAAAGCCCCTCCAGTTCTCTGTATGCTTGCATGAGAAGAGGCAAAAGGGAAGAGCTCAGAGGAGGAGACTGTGTTCCGTCCTCACCAGTTGGAGGGCTCTGCCTGGGCCACCTCACTTCTTGGAACCTTGGTCTCCTCATCTGTAAAGTGAGGAGATTGCTGATATGGTTTGGATGTTTGTCCCCTCCGAATCTCATGTGGAAACGTGATCCCCAGTGTTAGAGGCGGGGCCTAGTGGAAGGTATTTGGATCATGGGGGTGGATCCCTCATGAATGGCCTGGTGACCTCCCCACGGCAATGAGTGAGTTCTCACTCTATTAGTTTACTCAAGAGCTGATTGTTTAAAGCAGCCTGGCACCTCCTCCTCTCTCTTGCTCCCTCTCTTGCTGGATGACACACCTGCTCCCTCTTCATCTTCTGCCATAAGTAAAAGCTTCCTGGGGCTTCACCAGAAGCCAAGCTAATGCTGGTGCCATGCATATATCGCCTGCAGAACCATGAGCTAAATAAACCCCTTTTCTTCTTAAACTAACCAGTCTCAGCTATTCCTTTATAGCAACACAAAACACATTACACTAATGTAATGGCCCCACACTAAGGAGTGGCATTGGTTGATGCCCCCACACACCCAAATGCACCATGCTCTTTGGCTGCTGTACCTAATGCCTTCTTGTTCCTTTTAAAACTTTCTCATGGGAAAGAAAGGAAGCTGTTTCACCAAGAAATTGATAGTGGGTACCAGCTTAAAGGGTTACTTCTCAGAAATGTTTGCATTAAAATTAATATCTGGAAGGTGATATTTTAGTAGCCATCATCAATATGTGTATGGTAAGGAAGAACATTTTTGTGGAGTAACATGGGAAGTGTGTTGGTCACCTAGATGTCCCACCCAGATCCTCCTGTAGGGAGAGATGTGGTGCCCAGCTTCAGGGCATGTGGTCAGCAGACAGCCTCCAACCAGTGCCCCCTTGAGGTTGACCTCAGCTACAGAGTGCAGCCTACCTCTCCTGAGGTCCCACCCACTCCAGGGCACCTGCATCCAGCGATAAGCAAAGGTGTGTGTGAGGGAAAAAGAAGACCCTGCTACATGGGGAAACCTGACAGGTAATTCCCTCTTCAGAGCTCCCTTTTGGGATATCTAGGGCTTTGGTTCACCTTTAATATTGCAGGTCAGTTTCTCTCCTACCTACCAGCAATGGATGCCCAGGTGGGACTGGGGGAAGGGGGAAGTGGGAAGAGGTGCTGTAGAGAAAGACAAGACATCTCATTGTCTGTTTTCAAAAGCTTCATTTAATGCAGAAGAATGGGGAAACACATGTACAAAGGACCATAGTAAGAAACAGAAAAAGCAGGAAAACAAGGAATCATGGATGTTTTCTCAGGAAAGTACCTAATTGTGGAGGTCCCAAGAGACAATGATGTCGTAATGGCTGAGATTCTTCCTGGAGGACTTTGGGAAGTGTGAAGCTCAGAATAGTATCTGGCTCACTTCCTGTCCTCCCGTTTCTGTTTAGGACTCTCCTGAGGAAGGTGCTCAGTTCCACTGAGTGAAATAATAGTACATTTATGGCCACAGTCTTGACTTCAAAATGACTCCCAGATTTCAGTTTTTCTGCAGATCCTTTCAGGAAACTGCAAGCTATGCTTGGCTTTCTGTCGCCATACACACATCTATCACACCAAAAACATGTAACTTATGTCAGGACAAGTTTAATAACAGGATAATTTGATTTCTTAGGTTTTTAACAGAGGACATCATGCTATCTGTTCTTGTTTAAGAGCCACAGAACATGAAATGGTATAGTAAAAGGAGTGGTTGATGTCAGTGGCTAAGCCCTGGATGGCCCACAGAAAGGTCAGATCTTGGTGTCAAAAGTCACAGAGATGCCACATGGCCTCTCAATGAATGCAGGGTGAAGTATTACCCCTAAGAAATACTGGCCATCAGAACAAAGGGAGTTTACTATTGTGCAAATTATTACTGTTTAAGGGATGACTCAATTTTGGTGATTATACTAGTATCATCCAAAAATGGAGCTTTTGAGTTTGCTCCAGATTTTGAAAAATTGATTCTTACTGAAGAGGACTAAAATCTCTATGTCAGCGTTCAGTGTCTTAACACATTATCTTCTTATCTACAGGCAGCTTAAACCAGTATCTTAAGTGAACGGCTGGAAGCCAGGAATTTTGAGACTGGGTACAGCCTAGTAGAAAAAGCATGGGTAATGGGGCACTATTTAAAATCTCTTTTTGAAAGATTTGAAAATCTTGAATTTGAAAATCTTGAATCTCTCTTTGCCAGCTAACCAGCTGTGAACATGGAGCCACTTCTAAGATCCTTCTGAGCCCCAGTTTCTGAATCTGCAAAAGAGGGACAATCCTTCTTGCCTTGCAGAATTATTGTGAAGTTTACATTAGATCCTGTATGCTATGCACAGGATGTATGAGGCTTACAAAAAGCCTTTTCTTATAGCTTCTTGGTGAGGTAGAATGAGTTCATATTGCACAAGAGTTCATTTTCTGAATCTAACTTACCCATCGTATGAGAAATTAATAATTAAATGGTTGTGACATTTTTATCATTATGACATAGCAGAAGAATACTTAACAATTGAAGTAACATGGCATTCATCATCAATCTCATTTTGAGAGGGTCGACTCACAAATAGAACTTCTTTTCTTGCTTATGATATTCATACAGCTATATTCATATCTTTAAAAATTATGACATATCTTTTATATTTTTATATATTTCATGCTTTATATTTTCAAATATAAGTACAGTTAATATACAATCTTCTTTTGCCTTTGAATTTCACTTTCAGAGACATGTTTCTATTTCCCAATATTTGCCTCTTATCTATAATAAAAGTCACCATCCTCTTCAAAGTGTGTTGTGTCAATGTGCAACCTCAGTATACTTAATTCTCTGACACACACCCTCTGAGAAGAGTGGTGAGAGTTGCAAGGTGAAGCTCTCTTCTTTGGGGCACTCATTCAGAATATACGTAGACCAAAAGACAATTCTTGTCTCACTTTCATTATGATTTCCCAATGAGCCTCCTGAAAAGCTTCTACCGTTAAATTGATTATGCGTAAAATATAATTTATGAACTTGAATAATCACATTTTTAATTTTTTGCAGCTGAAATGATATGTGATGTACAGTTTAAAGGGTTATCATCTCCTTTCAGAAATAATCACCTGGTTATAAACCCATTACCAAGATAGTAAATAAGACCAAAATCTTCACTGGCTTTGAAGATAGACTTGGTTTGAAATATTCACCCCACAATAAATTGCTTGTATAAATTTGGGAAAATTTTTTGCCATTTTTGAGCCTCAGCTTCCTCATCTGTTAAGATTGGGTTAGTAATGATACTACTTCAAGATGACATTATGAGATGGTGAGAGAAAGCACATAGGGCTTTCTAGAAAAATTCTGTCTCATCTGAAACTTGAAAGAGGTATAGTGTTAGCCAAGCCAAGAAGGTGGGAAAACTGGCCTTAAAAGAAATGATCAACTCTGCACAGAATATTCTTTATGGTTTTATCATACCAGTGATGGCATCTCTTGTCATATACATGCATTTAGGTCATAAACTACATTTTATTTAGCATTGAACATCTCCAGCATCCCCCTGCCTTTATAGGAATAAGCAACAAAAGATAAACTGAACTACATTGAAAGTAAAAGCTTTTGTGTTGCAAATGATACTATCAAGAAAGTGAAATGACAACCCATAGAATGGAGAAAATATTTGTAAATAATATGTGTATAAGAGATTGATATATAGATTGTTATAACTGTTATAATAACTCCTACAACTCAATAATAAAATGCCAAATAATTCAATTTTCAAATGGACAAAGGATTTGAATAAACATTTCTCCAAAGAAAATATAGAAATGGCCAACCAGAACATTTAAAAAATGCTCAACATTGTTAGTCATTAAGAATGTGAAAATTGGCCAGGCATGGTGGCTCACACCTGTAATCCCAGCATTTTGGGAGGCTGAGGCAGGTGGATCACTTGAGGTCAGGAGTTCAAGACCAGCCTGTCCAACATGGTGAAATCTCGTCTCTACCAAAAATATAAAAAATTAGCCAGGTGTGGTGGCATGAACCTGTAATCCCAGCTACTCAGCAGGCTGAGGCAGGAGAATGAATCACTTGAACCCGAGAGGTGGAGGTTGCAGTAAGCTGAAATTGTGCCATTGCACTCCAGCCTGGGTGACAGAGCGAGACTCTGTCTCAAAAAAAAAACTGTGAAAATTAAAAGTATATGAGGAACCACTCTACACCTACTAGGATGGCTATATTTTAAAAAGAAAGAAAGAAAAGAACAATAACAACTATTGTTGAGGATATAGAAAAATTGAAACCCTCACACATTGCTGGAAGAAATGGAAAATGGTACAGCCACTTTGGAAAACAGTTTGGATGTACCTCATAAGGTTACACATGGAGGCATAGAGGTATCTTGTTTAACTCCACTATGACCTAGAAATTTCACTTCTGGGTATATGCCCGAGAGAAATGAAAATATACATCCACACAATAAACATGTGAAAAATGTTATAGCAGCATATTCATAATAGCCACAATATGGAAATAGCGCAAACGTCCATCAACTGATGAAAATAGGGTATACCCACACAGCAGAATATTATTTGGCACTTAAAAAGAATGAAGTACCGACACATGCTATAACAAGGCCGAACCTTGAAAACATCAAGCTAAGTGAAAGGAACAAATTACCAAAGATTACATATTGTGTGATTCAATTTATATGAAAGTTCGTAAGAGGCATATCTATAGTGACAGAATGTTGATTGGGATAACTAGGGCTGGCGGGGTGGAAGAGGGAAAATCAGATTAACTGTTAATAAAGAGGGGATTATTTGGGGGAGTGATGAAATGTTCTAAACCAAGATGATGAAGATGGTTACAGAACTCTCAGAATTCATTAAACCCATTCAATTTGCTAAATTTTATGGTATGTAAATTATATTTCAATAAAGAGTATTAGAAAAACGAAAACCATACAGGGTTCTATGCACCATTGTCAGAAGGTGATGGAAATTCCAAAGCTCATTCCGTTTCTGAGGTATTTTTGAAACTACAGGTATTCTAAAAATGCATGTATATATGTATTTGAAACATCCCAATGTAGAAAACAAACTACTTTTCAACTTAAGTGAAACTAGATTGAGATAAACTCAAAATAAAGTTAAGTCTGTCAAAGTGATTTGATACCATTACAAAATTATTTGACATTCACTATTTATCATGTTAAATTTTTGTAGCCTCTTCTGAATTGCTCTCTAGGCATGTGGGATTGTGGAACTATTACTCTGGCTAATATTGAAGTATTAAGGCATAATGTCTAGCAGATACAGTAATAGACAGTGTCTGATTTATCTGTTTTCGATCTAACTGATAGTAATAGATACACTTTCATTAACATAATAGAATCATTTCACAATTATTTTAATGCACCAGCTAGACACAGAAAATAACTTTGATTTTGTGTTCAGTGCCCATTTGCCCACTTAAACCTGCCTGCAAACTCGTCTTTTCCTACTGCTTGGATTAAATCTCAAGAATTCACACAATAAAAATTCATCCAGTCACTCTGAGTTACAAATAAGATCTCATTTTATCAACTGAAATATCTAGTACAGAGTCATAATCAGAACTCCAGACCCATGCCTATTTAGTCCTCCTCTTCTCTGACAGCTCAATTCTGTGTTATGTCCGAAAGCTCGTAGCAGGAAGGGAATGGGCAGATACATCCCCGTTGTTGCTTACTCGCTGGCTATGCTTTCTGATCCTTCCACGGTCAGGCTCAGGAGGGCATGAATCACGGACCCAAAACAGGGACTTTGAGATTACTCCGCCAAGGGATTAAGAGAAGACTGAAATTCTGCTCACACTCTGCTTACCAACTCATGTGTCCTGGCAAATGGTATTATGTCCCCCAGGAAGAAGCGATACCATTCAAATCTGCACATGCCCATCATCTGTTCACAAGTCTTTTGCCTATGGGGTGGGCCTGCATCTACTTCAAGAATGTACCATTTAGTTTTTTGTTTTTTTAACTAGCAAAATTTTAACATCGTAAAGATAGAGCTGCCCTATACCATTACCCAGCTTAAAAAACTACCAAATCTTAGAGATGTCTTTTCATTTCAAACGAAGTTGTAGGGATGATGGGAATTTTTTCCTCCCCCTCTGAAGTTTCAAGTCTGCTAAAATAAACTGACAATGGATTTACAAGAGGAAAAGCACACAAATTTATTAACATGTAAGTGTTTACGGGAACCATACAAAATATGAAACTCAAAGAAGGGCAAGGTGGTTGAAGCTTAAATACTCTCTTCATAGGGAAGAGAGAAATGAGAAATGTAGGTAATTTTAAGGGGTAGTAAGTGACTTTCAGGGAGATTGAATGAGTCCCAAGAACAGCCAATGTCCTAGAACAAAGCTTCTCTGATCTCTGAAGGATGTTCCAACAAATTGCAGAAAAGTGAGGGACAGAACTCCACAGTGAGCAAAGGTTGTCTTCTTACATAGGTAAAATCTCCCAGGTAACTTCTCAGAGCTAGTCTCAGAAGAATAGATGAAAAGTGTTTGGCATGGGCATGGTGACAGCATTGTCTTTTCTCTGCGCTTAATCTTCTTTGCTTATTTGATGAGATTCCTAGGGAGGGGGTTTTAAGATAATTGCGTTTCTTTTGGAAGAAGTTTCTACAGCCATACTAGAGAACTTCCAGAGAGAAGCTCTCTCTGTAATAGATATACTTTCTATCTATCTGTCCTTGGTGAGGAGGAGAAACGAGAAGATCAGAAAGTCCCTGTTTCTGAGTCTGCTTCTAAGGCCTTTTAATTTCCTGTAGTTCAAAGTGCTCAGCATGCTGCAGTGCCATACTTTGGAGGACTGGGCCCCAGCAAAGGTATCATTCTATGGACTCCTAGAGGCCTTAAACACACTGCCTGTAAACCTACCTTAGTGACTACTTCATATGGTGCCTTTGGGTTACATAAACCCTCCCCTCCACAGTCCTCACCACTTGTCTAAACCATACCTGTCCTTTCAGTTTCACCTCCTTTATAAGATCCTGCCCTGATTGTCCTGGCATAGCCGTTCCTTCATCCACTGAGAACGCAAAGCATCCAGTACCAGTTCACTGAATACTTTTCTAGTGATATGTTATATTCCTTCCCTCCCTTTCCATTCCTTCACCTTTCTCTCTCCGTCCCTGCCTCTTCCTCTCTTGTTCTTTTTTTCTTTTTTGTCTTTCTTCCTTGTCTTTTATTTCCAATTATGGGCCTTGTTTAGAAAGCCAAGTGACACAACTCCTTTAAGTAAAAAGAATAGTGCCTTACTCCAAACTTCTTACCCACTAGTCCTGTGCCTCAGATTGGTCATTTTTTATTGCTTTGCTTGCTTGTCTCTTCTGCCCTTTAACTTCATGTTTCCAAATAAAATGCATCTATTGCTTTTAGAGCTTTTTCAATTTTGTAAGTTGTCTTTTTACTTCCTTCTAACAAAGACTAGGATTTAGCTGTCTTACGCCAATGCTAACACACATACTTTATCCTTCCATGGTAGTTCCTTGGTACATCTTAAAGTCAAGATTTGGTGTCTGCGTGGTTATGTTTAAGTTAGATTTTTGTTTATATCAAGTCTTGTAGAAAACATGCTAATATTTCTTTTCTTGTATAACTTTTTATTTTTCCTGGATTTAATAATTGCCTCATTTATTTGCTTGTGTCTATAATTAATGTGTCTATAATCTGTCTGACTGAACTGTAAGCCTTATAAATGTAGTCATTCAGACTGGTTTTATGGTTTTCTTGGTGATACCCCTCCTGGAACCATCTGGTTTCTATTCTGATCTGAACTGATTGCTCTGCTGGCCTCAGTGTAGTTATTTTCCTGGGACTTTCCTTCATCTTCATCCTGGGAATTCCCTTAGCTTTTCTTCCCTGTTGGGTCCCAGTTCCTGAATCATTTGTCTTTTTTGATTTGGAGGCTTTGATTTTGGGAACACATACATCAGTATCCTCCCAGGAAAGTCAGCATGCCTGGGAATAGGCGGAGGGATGGATGATTGTTTTGAAATTTTTCTGCATGTCTAAAGATGTCTTTATTTTACCCACATAATTGATTTATAATTTGGATTGATATAGGATTTTGTGTTGTTAATTATGTTCCCTCAAATTTCACAGGTTTTCTCCACTGAATTCTAGCTTCCAGGGAGGCTATCAGTAATTCCGAAGCCATTTTAATGCTAATCTTTCTCTGCAAGCTTTTAAGGTACTCTCATTGTCTCAGGCTTTCCCACTGAGGATTCTTTTCATTCACTGCAATGCCTGCAAGTAAACTCTTTAGAATTTGTGCTGCAGACATTTATCAAGCTCTAGCTATATGCAAGAACTATCTTAAAACTCGTGTCTGGAGTGCTATAAAATTTTCTTTTATTATTTCCTATTTCCTACCCTTCATTTTCTATCTTCTCAATTTATAGTGCTCCTACGATCTGTCTGTTGGATATCAGATTTGACTCTCTAATTTTCTTACCTTTTCTCACTTATTTTCAATTTCAGTTTCTTTTGAATAGTTATCCTCCTACTCAAGAGATGTCCTAAATTATCTTCTGTTGTTTAAAAAATGCAACTTCTTAACTATCTGATTAAATTAATTAAAGTTTTAAAGTTTATTTTTTCATTTATCCTGTTTCATGTAAGTTCATTTTTTTCTGTTTTGGATTTTTTATTTAATAATAGCCGCATGTCTCAAATAATTGGATGTTACTCCACTTCAGAGTATGGCTTTGAGAACTGGTAGTAAGCTACGAGAGACCAGCCTTGTTGTCTGCAACTGTTTTCTCTAGGACTAATAAATTCTGCTAAAGTTGGTCCTCCATTCTCCTGCCAGTCAGGATATAAAGCTAGCATCCTTCAATCTGAATCTTCCAGGGGAAGGAAAGAGAAAGAGTGGATCAGATGTCTCACCATTTAGAATGAAAATGATCACCCAGTGCTGGCCTTCCTTTCATGGTCAGTGTGTCTTCTGTCCACTTATGGAAATCTTGATGATAACGCCTTTCTCCCAGAGTCAAGGACGGACAGCTGCTCAGCTTTGTGGGATGAGAGAAGGCATCTGAGGATATAACTGTTCCCTACAATGTTTCATTCCATTCATCTGGGTCAGCAGCCTCCCACACTCCTCTTTCTGAGCTACCTGGTGCTTCTAGTCCCTGAGTGTTTTCAAGGTTTTGTGGTCTGTTTTTGGCTTCTTTTCATTAGGCGTGTACATTCCCAGAAAGTTCAAATCTGTGTGAGTTACCATTTGGTGATGACTCATCTGCTGTTTTGTCTGCTCTTTGTCTCTATGTTCTTACCATTTGGGGGATTTTGGGAGATAAGCATATATGTTCAATTGGGTGCATTTAATTTCAAGTCTATTTTACTGTTTCGTTCTATCCATTTTTCCTTTGGTCCAAACATTTTCTCTCCTCTCATTTTATTCTTCCCAGTCTCCAAGTACCCTAAAGCAATGATCGTGGCCTGCCATCGTTCTGTGAAGTGGGCAGCCAAGTCATGGCAGGACTGATTTTCAAGAGACAGGAACTAAGAAAGGTGGCCTGACCTCAGCCTGGACTATGGCTTTTGAGGGGGACTGGCAGGGGGTTGCTGGGCTGGTCTGGGGATAGGAGTCAGCTGGTCAGCAATAATTACTACAGGCTGAGAATTGCTCCAGGCTGCCCAGAAAGGAAAAGATGAGCATTGTAGGGATCACCTGGACCTGGTCAGGAGATTATCAGAAACTCTAAGGAGATTCTGGGGTGGTTGAGGTCACCAACTAAAAGGCAAGAATGATTTCAGTCTGCTGCATTCATGATTACAGCTCCATGGTTTTCTAGCTGTGGGGCCCTTAGGAAACTTGCTTAATTCTCTGAAATTCAGTTTGTTCAGCTGCAAAATGGGGTCATTAGCCATACCTTCCTCCTAGAGTTGTGAAGTGAATCCTTTAATATATTAAATGACTAATATAGCTTCATGTAGTGACTCAAGAAAAAAATGGTGTGGGAGGACTAGTCTTATCATGCTTCATGTGTGACACACGGTACCTCCTGTTAATAAACCTTTGTTAACTAGTTGAGTGAAATACATCTAGAGCAAATTATACTGAATTGAATTTTATAGCCAGTTTTCTATGCTAGGCAAGAAAACTAACAAAAAACCGTTTTAGTTGTTGCTTTTAGCTGGAATAATTAGCCACATAGCACTGCAATTGAAAAGATGTATATTTCCAAATCTCTTCCAAATATTCCAATCTACACCGCCAGGTAGACAAATCATGACTGATTAACCAAGAGCTATGCTTTGTTTGGTCCAGTAACAACTCTGCCCCAGGCACGTCGGCACAGTCTTCCAGGGACTCTGACTGATCAGCAAAGAACCAAATGGCTGGTAATTTCTAATTTATAAACACTGCTTGACGTAGGCAGTTGGGCATTCTGCCACACTGCTATGGCCTGAAATGGCCCAACCACTTTTCAGTGCACGAAAAGCAATTTCAAGTGACTTAATAACTCTTTACCTACCCCTCTGTTGGGGTCCACAGACAACATTGGATGGAGATGGCCACCAAGTGGCCTCAGGACAAGGAGCTCAGATTACTGCTTCCCAGGGTTTCCAGCTGAACAATGAATATATTGTGAAGGTCCCATCTGTCAAAGTAATCAAAGTATAAAGAGGGAAATGATACAATTAGACCTTTAAGACACATACATTTATCTTTGGTTTTTCAAAACTGATAGCAATTTGGCCAGGCTTCCCTTGGCGAAGAAGACAGAGATTGGCATTCTTTCACGCAAACTGAAATCTTGCCTAAAATGAATCTCCGAGTACAAAGGTGAGAAAACAGAGAAGCAAGTAGGACTATTGAGGGAGGCATGGAAAAAATCCTGTATATAAACTAAGTGTTCCAACAAGACAGATAACTAATAAGCTTAGGTTAAGCACTATTTTTTTTTTAATGAAACATATCCACCTGCTAATAGCATGGAAGTTTATATACAGAAAAAAAAAAAAAAAAAGAACTGAGATAACTCCCGATGGTAAAAGGCCACTGTCCTCTCTGGTTGCTGTGACCTCCAGCAGTGTTGCTGCTGGAGTCCCGGTTCCTTCGTCAGTTCTCTTCTGTACTGAGGGGCTCATGCAGAACTCTCGCTATCACTTTCAGCCTCCTTGGCAGCTACAGTCGTGTGCTAGACCCCCACTGTTTGAAACTGGTGGGATGCTCCTCCACCTTTCAGATGCTTTCTCTCTGCTCACCCCAAAGTCATTCCTCACCTCTGCCATCAGCCATCTATGCACCGGTTACACACAAGCCCCACTGCTTCAAAGCAGCCATCCTCCCTCAGTGACCTGAGCCCAGACTGCCACACTCAGACTAACCATCTTTGGACCCTGCCTGGGCCACATGGTACTGGTTACGATTTCCCCACAAAAATCATTACCTTCCTGAAGGAGAACTTTTCTTCTTCCTATCTTCCCCATTCCCTTAGACCAAGCTAAGCAAGACTCATTATCCAGGTGCTATGGCCTCTTCTTGCTTCTCTGGTGAATGAATTATTGGGTATTCGGGGCACCTACAACCTTGTCTGGATCTGAAAGGGCATCAGATGGAAGGCAGGCAGACACCCAGACATCCCTTAACAACTCTGAATGCCATTAGGCTGGTGTCCTTCCTCCTGCAAGGTGCCTTAGAGCAAGGGCTCATCATCACTTGTCTAGACAAAAATCCTGATCTGTTTAATGAATCTAGCCTTACAAGAACCTCAGACACAAGCAAGAGCATCACCCCAGACCCAGTCCTAAGAAATGTGTGTTTAAGAACCTGAATGGAATTCCTAGGCCATATTTTGTCCTGCCAACACAAGGGCATAATACTGGACTAAATATTGGTGAAATGTCCCTGAAGATGATTAGAAATATGCAGTAATTTTTGGGGTCCACTGTTGATTACTCCTAACTTGTTCTTCATTTTTCTACCTTGATGATAGAAACAATCTCCTTGGGAAAGGGAAGTGCTTCCCCAGTCCCAGTCACATCTGTAAACTTCTGGCATTTAAAAACTGGG
The DNA here is from genome assembly GCF_000001405.40 of Homo sapiens. Taxonomy (NCBI): domain Eukaryota; kingdom Metazoa; phylum Chordata; class Mammalia; order Primates; family Hominidae; genus Homo; species Homo sapiens. Next base: position 15,420,074 of record NC_000021.9, on the reverse strand, counting down.
TTGATATTTACTGTGGTGCCAGTGTACTCTACCTTACATAAACAAAGGCTTCTCATTTTAAAGGAAGTAGGGAATCCCTTTCCAGGATTGATGTCTTCAGGAAATAATACTGGGGAAAGTCAGTTGACTAATGTTAGAGCTGGACTTTTAATGATCAAGACTACTTTTGGCCACCTAGACTGCTGCTTCTTACGAGAGCTGAAGCAGACCTAGAAATTCAGACTTTGAGGGATTAGATCAGGTTTCAAGGCATTTTATGTCTTCACCAAGTAGGAGCAACCAACCAGGAAAGCATCATATATATCAAGGACAATGGGGTTACTCCCTCCAATTTTACACATTTTCTGTCCCTATAACTTCAAGCCACAGGTGAATGAAATGACCCAGTGAAGCCAGTTCATCACTGAGCTCCATCCACAGCCCTTTAAATCTAACTGGTTCACTCACACATCATGGTGCAAAGAGCATGGAATCAAATTATAAATAACGAACTCATCTCAAATATTTGCCTAACACTCTCAGGCTTTGCCACCTGACCTGTTATTTCCAGCTCCTCAATCTTCTGGCTGTTCCAGCTCCCCAAATTTGGCTTTAAATCCTCTTGCTATTTAGCACTCCATTTGAACCTCATTAATTGGTTTTTAACCTCAACCGCCTGCTATACTCTTGGGATCACAGCAGGGCTGTTTCCCTAAATGTTTTGGCTTTCCAGAATGCTGACTGTCACTCACACCCCACCATTATGTCCAGGTCAGCCCCCTTAAGCTCCTTTTTTAATTTTTGTTAGAGGAAGATGTGATTATTCATTAAATGCCTAAAGAAACATTGCCATATAAAATATTTTAACTGATTTGTTTTTAACTTTTTGAGCTATGTGTATCCCCTCTCCAACCCAAGTACATAATGCTGTAAGTCAACCTAACTCATTTTTGAAGACTTCCATTAGATGTGCTGCTACTATGGCCTCCTATCTCTATATCCACAGCTACATTCACATGTTATTGACACTGAACTAAGCAGTCCATTAATACATACAAACATACTCACAAAAAATTAATCTTCCTTTCATCCCTAATTCCTGCTTGCAAATGGGTAGTCTTTGCCATATCTGTGTTTGCATCTGATTCTGATTCTTGGCCATTATCTTCCCCTGGATTCAGTTAAAGTCACTTCTTCCCATTCCTGCCATTTTCTCCCAGCTGACTACTCAGCCACCTTTACACAGCAGTATGTTCTGAGACAATCTTATGCCAAAAATTCTGTGTTTGCTCTTGAGGACAGAACTAAAATAGATAAGGCAAAATTATAGCAAAAAATGGTATCTTAATATAAGGAAAATCTAGCCATGTGCGGTATTTTGCTAAAGCTGGCTATCTCCAAAGTGATGAACTCAACTGCAATTAATATACTTAAGTCAAGGTTGAAGGACTAACATAATAAAATTTTTTTTTTGGAAAGAGATGCATTAGAGAACTCCAAAGAGTCTTTCTACTTCTAATATTATATAAAAATAATATGTTCAAATAACATTAAACTCAATTTTGTCTGAGGCATCAAAGGCTGAGAGTAAATGGTGACTTTCACATCCCCAAGTAAGCTGAAGGAGCAGACTCCCTGCAAAGCACATGTTATGGGAGTGAAACTGGTTCTGCCAGCATAGGGAGCCAACCAGGAAAAGAGAATTGTTGCGGAGAAAGGGATAACCCCATAGCCTCTGCCATATATAGTTGCTGAACACCATTCTCCCACCTCCTCCAACCAAGTCTAAGCTTTGAAGAGAGAGTTCGACTTGTGTTCTTATGCCCAGGGAAATGCATAGAAATAAAGAATGGGGCCAGACACAAGTTTGAGAAATTTAAAGGTGACAGAAGTCACTAAAGCTGCCTTCCTCATGGTGCAGCAAGATGACACAAGTCCTAGAAAGGGAGCTACGCTTACAATAACAGGCTCAGTTTCCCCATGGGGCAAATGAAGCTGTTCTTGAGCCATCCTGAAAGAGCCTCCACCCAAGAGGGTTGCCTGAATACAAAGGGGATCTTAAAACAATGTGATAGAGTGCTAGGATCCAGGGTCTGAGGAAGTGGGAAGCTGATGCTGGAAGAAGTGTTCAAGTATCAGCTAATACTCAGCCAATCAATACATACCACTATATGTGGAGGTCCCTTGTGTGTTTTGAGGATACATAGAATGAATTGCTTGGAATGATGGGGAGTTTGGGGAACTATCACTGGAGGATTAGATTAGGACCAAACTTTGAAGGTCAGCCTAAATTGTATGATCTAAATCAATACATGAATTCAGCATAGATATTAGGCTGAGAAAGATCATGATGTCAGATGATTGGGAAATATATTCTTCCTTGGTCCCACTTATTTCCCTATTATGAAGCAGATTTTTCCCAAATTAAATTAAACCAATTTCTATTGAGGTTTATTCCTTCATATTCTTTCCTTTATCCTTGTACTCAGCTTTTTGCTTTCCATATGTTTTTTGTTCACCTACATGAAGTCAGATTTAATCTTGTCTTCAGTGCTCTATGCTAGTGTTACATTGCCTGCTAATATCATTCCTACTTCCTGAGATCATTAAACACAAGACATTGATACATCTTATCAGAGTCTTTATTTCAATTATTATACACCAAACCCAAACTTTCTGTCTAATGTGATCCTCACTTCCTTAGAAATGCATCTGACTTGATCATCAAATCATTTTACTTAAGCCTTTCAGAATTTAGTTAAAAAATCAATTCGTCTATAATGCATACAATATTTCTATAGACTCAAAGTCATTATCCCAAAGGAAAAATTCCAAATTAAGGTTATTGAAAACTATATCCATCCTAAAAAAATTCCACTGTGCCTCACCTTACTTCCAACTTGTGTTTAATTCTTATTTGAGCCTAGGCTCTTTCGTCAGATAACGGCCGGGTTTTGAAGGAGCTGTCCACCCTAGCAAATGTCTCAGCATTTCAAAATATTAATTATAACAGTAGTCAATTAGAAATGTTTCTGGCAACTTTCTAGCTCTGAAAGTGTTTTCTAGTAATAACTATTGGTGATATTAATAAAGAATCTTGGGAAAAAGGAACAACTATATAAAATTATATTTCTCAATACACATTACTATTATCTCTTATGTCTGTTGCATATTTTTATTTGTTTACTTAGTGCCAAAATCCTGGAACTGTGCTTGTGGGACATGTACAAAGAAAGTGTCTCTCGTCTCTGAGGTCTTTCCTGATTCATCAAAATGTATTAGGAAAGAAAAGTGACTGTCTTGGCAAAGAACCACAGTATTTTGCTGCATTTGTTTGTTTTTATTAACACAACTCATATTTGAAATAAAAACACATTTTATACCATACTCTTTGGTCCCCTCATTTTACATAATATCACAACTTAAATGCATTTTTAAAATAAGTGTATATAGAAGGGTGTTATTTTTGTTTTCTGACTTTAACAGTTGAGAGAGTGTGTGTGCGTGTGTGTGTTTTAAGAATTCCTTTAGGTCTGTTCAATTTATCTCATTTTGTTTTGTTTGTGTAACTTAAAATCACTAATCATTTTCTTGTTTAATGTTAAAATAGTTCAGATAAAATGCAAAAGCAAGAAATTGCACCTGATACTTGAAAGTCACTATTCCTGACAGCACTTCATCTTTTTTCATGCCCATATTGGCTTTTCTCCCGGCCCATCCATTCCTTAATGTAAGTGTTATAAATTGCTCTAAAGTGCCATAAAGCATAATATACATAAATCAATATTTCTTGGTTAAAAACTTAGAAATTCTGGTCCACCTCAGGTTGGTTATAGGTGTCCTGAATCTATCATGTCCCTTGCTTATTTCCTCTTATCAGAAGTCATTTCTGGGCCCAAGAATGCCTCCCTTTTTGTTTTTCTCTCTGACCCTTGTCCCCTGGACACTTGCAGTGACACATCAAGATGGATTGTGGGGAAGATATCATCCAGCAGCCTTAGAAAAGCCCCATTCTTTTTCCTTTTGGCCTCTGATCCTGGCAACTTTGGAGGAGTGCAGTGATGTTCTCAGACAAAGTCAGACCGCAGGCTGGCAATATGTCAAGCTCATCTGAGGCAAATTCCAGTTTGTCATGGGAAAAAAAAAGTGTTCATTTTCTTCTGGGATTCAATGAATTAAGCAAAAGCCCACTCTTTTCCTTCTGGTTTTTGCAAATGTGTCATCTGATCTAAATGGAACACCTGCAGGCAGCTTAATGACAAAAATGACACATTTGAATTCTGCTATCTTTGGAATTTTTTAATATGATCATATGCTGCACCCTTGGGTAGAAAACCACATCCCTCTCCTGGAAATGACAGCTTGCCCCCACAGCCAACTGACGCTATTTATGTGGCATTGTTGTTATTTATTCCCATCTCAAAGGGGATGATTGAATGGCTTTGTGGTTTCTCCCAAGACTCTGTAGAGCTATATAGTATGAAATCTGCAAGCTCAGGTGATCATCTTTCTTGAGAAGATTTTCACAGGTGGCTCTTTGGAAATTGCATGAAAATGTTGGTAGGACATTAGACAAAGTGATTTTATTAAGCTTATTGACTCACAGTTCACTTTTCTTACTAATTGTGAACCTCTGCACACAGAAGGCAGACTGCCTTCTCCCTAAAACCTCACTGAGTTCCAGCAGAAAGCAGGCTTTTCCTGGATATTAAGAAGCAGCTTTTGCCTGAGGAAGACACAACTACCTAGATTGTGTTTCATGGGAATAAGAATGGGGAGAATGAGACAGACTCCAATCCCCCAGTTATCTCCCTCCCACCTGTCCCAGTCTCAAACACTTTCATTGACATTCATTCCTTAGGATTTGGAAAACTTGTAGATCAATAGAAAACTAAGTGATCTCTAAGTATATGAAAAGATGCTAAGCTGTACTCATAAGGGCAATATAAATAGAAAAGATCCTCAGGTGTCATTTTTTTACTAATGATATTGGCCAAACAATTTTAACACAAGAAGATTTTGTTATGTCATTGCTGGTGATTCAAGACTTGTGGAGGAGCACTAGGAATAGCTATCAAACTTACAAATGCAATTGTTCTTGGATTTCAGCAATTCCAATCTTAGGACTTGATCCTATAAAAAAAACCCTGCATATATGAATGACAAATATATAAAATTATTTCTTGCAGAGTTCTGTAAATATCAAAATTCAAAACAACTTAAACTTCTTCACTAAGGGACTGGTTAAATTAACCATGGTATATCCACACAATTGACTATTATACAGTAGTACAAAAGAAAGCGGCAGCTCTTTATATACTGGAAATATCTCTAGGATGTATCTTTAAATGGAAAAACAAAGACATAGAACAGTACATATGTGTTAATATATGTATACATGAAAGAGGCAAAAAATTTGTATTTAGTCTTGCTTTCTATTTGCATAAAGATATACTTAAAATATAAATTAAAAACTAATAACAGGGGTTACCTGTGGGAACTGATGAAAGGAACAAAACTGATGAGATTGGAGAGAAGAGTAAGAATTATCAATGTATACTGCTTTGATTTTTGAGCTATGTGAATGTGTAACTATTCAAAACATTTTAAAAATAAGAGGTCATATATTTATTTACTTTGTAAAGCATTTTATTGTGGTAAAACATATATAACAAAATTTGCCACTGTAACTACTTTTAAGTTGACAATTAAGTGGCATTAATTACATTCACAATGTTGTGCAACCCTCACAACTTTCGATTTCCAAAAATTTTCATCAACCTAAACAGAAACTCTGTATTCATTAAGCAATAACTTTCTGTTCTCCACTCTCCTCATCCCCTGGTAACCTCTGATCTACTTTCTGTTTCTATGAATCTGCCTACTCTAGAGATTTCATATCAGTGGAATCATACAATAGTTGTCACTTTGTGTCTGACTAATTTCATTTAGCATAATGTCTTCAAGTATCATCCATGTTGTAGCATGTATCAAAATTTTATTCCTTTTTATGGCTAAATAATATTTTATCATATGTATATAACATTTTATCTATTCATCTGTAGATGGACATTAGGGTTGTTCCCACCTTTTGACTGTTGGGAATAGTACTTCAATACACACTAGCATGTGAGTACCTGTTTGAGCCTCTGTTTTCAATTATTTTGGTTATTTACGTAGAAGTGACTTGCTGAGTCATGTGGTAATTCCATATGTAGCTTTCTGAGGAACTTCCAAACCATTTTCCATGACAGCTACCCCCTTTTACATTTCTACCAGCAATATACGAGGGTTCCAATTTCTCTACACCCTCACCAACACTTGTCGTTTTCTGCTATTTTGATTATAGCCATCCTAAAGGGTATGGAGTAATAGCTCCTTGGGGTTGACCTACTCAAAATGTTTAAATTGATAAGAAAGCTATTCATAAATGCCTTCTATTAAAATGTAGAAGACAAAATTGATGGCTCCCACCTGTAATCCCAGCACTTTGGGAGGCCGAGGTGGGAGGATCACTAGAGCTCGGGAGTACAAGGACAGCCTATGCAACATGGTGAAACCTCCATCTCTACAAAAAATCCAAAAATTAGCCAGGTGTGGTGGTGTGTGCCTGTGGTCCTAGCTACTTGGGAGGCTGAGGTAGGAGAATCGCTTGAGCCTGTTATGTAGAGGTTGCAGTGAGCCAAAATTGCACCACTGCACTCCAGCCTGGGTGACAGAGTGAGACCCTGTCTCAAAAAAAAAAAAAAAAAGAAAGAAAGAAAGAAAAGAGTAATACTGTGAAGAAACACCATCTCAAATTTATTACTAAATCAACAAGTTGGCTGACATTTAGCAGACCTCAAGTTGCCAAGGTGTGGGCACTGGGTAGGCCCTATCCTCTGAATGTACATAAAAGCCACTCGTGATTACAGTTGTTATTATTATTGTTGAATGTCTATCAAATGCTAGCAATTTATGCCATTATTTTCCCCTGAAAGTTCTCTGAGGTAGATATTTTTTATCCCTGTTTGATAGATGAGGAAGCTGAAGTCCTTCCAGGATAAGAAAGCCAAAGTCAAACCGCTGGTAAATGGCAATGCCAGGATTTGAATCAAAGTTGTCTTGATGTCTGGACTTTTTTCCACCCAAAACAAGGCCTTTAGGCCCAAGTCTTTTCCTTTCTTTCTGATTTGATACTGTGGCATCTGAGCTAGTTTACACCATTTTCTCTGAAATCTCAGGCTCACAAGACACCACCAAAGAACACAGATCTTTCTATCAGCTTGGCACCTGGAGCTTTCTCCTTTCTCTGAGACCTGCAAATTTGAATATATCTGCAGCCAAATGGCAGGTTCCTTCACAAAAGGAAGTAAGCTGTAATGCACAAGAGATAGGCTGACTGCTTCGCTAATCTGAACTGGGATCTGGCAGGAGAAAGGTGAGCAGACCCAATGGCCAGAGCTTTCCATCCGTGATCTGACAAGTGGAATGAACGGTCAGCCCCTTCTTTATAAATCATGCCTTACTCTGAGCACAGTGCCCTCATCTGTGAATAGCTGCTGCCAAAGTGCTGGATGAAGTGGCCTAACCCACCTAGGAGAGTCTACTGAAAAGCTCACCAATCACCTCTTCACCAGGTCCATGTGTGAGTGGGGTTGTTAGCAACACCCATCTGCACACAGGGAAATATGAAGTCCCGGGAAATTCATGATCTTGCCAACTGTGCCGAATTCTTTCCCATACAAACACAAACTGCTTTTTTTACCACTTCACTGCAACACAGAGAAGATTTTAATATAATGTATTACAATAGGATATATTACAATGGTAATACACACACACACACACACACACACACATATATATATGAAAACTACTCATTCAGGGAAAACACCACAATTCTGTTGTATTAGTCTGTTCTCACACTGCTAGTAAAGACGTACCCAATAGTGGGTAATTTATGAAGGAAAGAAGTTTAATTAACTCACAGTTTGGCATGGCTGGGTAGGCCTCAGTAAACTTACAATCATGGCAGAAGGGGAAGCAAACACGTCCTTCTTCACATGATGGCAGGAAGGAGAAGAATGAGTGCCCAGCAAAGGGGGAAGGCCTTATAAAATCATCAGGTCTCATGAGAACTAACTCACTATCGGGAGAACAGGATGGGAGAAACCACCCCTGTGATTCAATTATCTCCACCTGGTCCCTCCTGCAACATGTGGCGATTATGAGAACTACAATTCAAGATGAGATTTGGGTGGGGACGCAGCCAAGCCTTATCATCTGTCTTGGTAGATTGTTGATTTGAGCTCAAAGGGAAGGTCAAAAGAAAGTGAGATCTGAAGCCTGTTGGAAAGATCTGGAATACATGTTCCACTCGGCTTTTTCCTTTGTTCTACTTGTAGCAGTGTGACTGTCCACCCATCTCAGGAATCTGCAGGACCCTGCTCTTGCCTCTTTTTTTTTAAAATGTGAAATTTCTTTTCATTGTAAACTTTGAAGACAGAAAAAGTGAATTCCCCTTACTTCTCCCCAATCTCCTTCCACATGGATATTTTCTATTACTAAATCCTTGTGTATTTCTCAAGGTCTTTTAATAAACACGTTAGTACATTACAACTCAGCTTTTTAATCAGTAAACCTCTATACAACTAATATTTTTTGAGCACTTAAAGGCTATGGGTTAGGCACAGGGGATATGGAAAGATTAAGTCATAATATATTGAAGACTTTTGCCAGGAATTTTGCTGAGGGGTTCATTTTTGGTATTGTATTTAATCTGCACAACAACCCCCAAAAATGTACTACCATATCAATGAGAAAACTGAAACTCAGAGAAGCTGAGTAATTTCCCAAAGGTCACACAGATGATAGAACGCAGAGCCCAGATTCAAACAGAGGGGTGGCTGTCTAGAGTACCTAGTCTTAAACACACAGCACAGCAATATACTAAAATAATTGTCAGCCTTTTGTCCACTCTGTAAGTCCCTCTTCTCAGGACTTTACATAGATTGGCTTATTTAGTGTTCATGGGAACCTGAATGCAGGTTATTATGCCCATTTTACAGATGAAGATACTGAGGCGCGATGAGGTTAATTACCATATCAAGATTATGCTAGTTACAAGTGCAGAGCTGGGATTGGAATTTCTACAGTCTGGTTCCATAGCTGCTTCTCCTGACTCCCATATTATGATGTCTTTTCTAATGTTATGTGCATAGATGCATACTCATGCTTGAGTACTCTGCAGCTCTTAATTACGTTTGCTTAGAGTTTTTAACAACATTGAAAAATGCTTAGTTATAATGTAACAAAAAATAGACAATTGCATATATGGTATGATTCTAATTATATCAACTATATATAGCAGAAAAAATTTGTGAGAAATTAATTGGTTTTGGTTCCTCCTGATATAGAGTTTTTTTTGTTGTTATTATTTCAAGAAAGTCACCCATTCTCTGTGTTTCCATATCTCATTGGAGACTTTCACATCTCTTTGTTCTACTTGTAACAGTGTGACTGTCCACCCAACCCAGGACTCTCTTTTATCTCTTTTTTTAGGTTTAATTATTTTTAAAATTGTATTATGCCTATAATAAAATTATATTAATAAAATTGTTATAGGCATAATAATAATGGGAAGGTCCAAAGCAGAAGTTTCCTGACACTCCACAGATGCCATGCTCACCTCCACCCCAGCTTCCTAGAAAAGGTTGTGCTAAGTGGGGATATGGAGGGATGGCTGAGAGGCAAGTGTTTCTAGAGTGAAAAAGCAGAAACAGGGGAATTAGCAATGGAGAGATGAGGAGCTTCTCCCATCACTGGGAAGTGGTTGAGACTCTTTTTCCCCCTCAGTTTCCTTCTACATGGTGACAGCCAGCCTACTAGTAATAGAACTTTTGGAGGAATAGTGCAATTGTGTGGTGCCCTTTCATAGGTTTGGGGGAAAAATGGTAGAATATTAAAACTCATGGACTGGGAGCCCATATCAAAGGTTCCTACACCTGGCTTAAAAAAGTTGGAGAACTGTGGTGGCCAGTGTGGAATGGAGAACCACACTCTTTTTCAGAATTCAACTGCAGAAAACCACACACGACTCTTTTGAAAGACACCCTGCCTACCCAATCTCCATCCAAGATAGGAGTTAATAATTACTGGGATTTTCCTCCAACTCAGCTGGTGAGGACTACAATTTAATTTGATTTAAAAACAGAAGGAATGTGACATTCCACATAGAGAAAAGACACAAGAAAATCCCAACAGTTGTCTTCAGGTAGTAGAATCGTGGGTGATTTTTTTTTCTTTATAATTTCATATATTTTTAAGTTTTCTATGATTCTCACTTTCTACTTACAAAATCATAAAACCAATTACTTTATTTAAACTCTTATTAGTTATATCACTTCCCCATCCATCTGGCTTAGTTACGCTTTATTTTCATCTAGACATTTTTACACTGCAAATGTTTGTTACAAGTAGGACAGCTATGATTTTTCTCTAGAATCCAATCCTAGAATTTGCATTTAGATATATGTAAATTAAAACAATTTAGGCCAACATCATTCTATATCCTACTTTTAAAAGAATTTTTGAAAACTAGAGGGGTTTCATCTTTTTGCTCCCTGCCATCCTTTAAATTCAGGATCAGGAACATAACAGGTAGCATGGGCCAAGACAGAGTCATGGAGGAATGAAGCCACACCTTGAACAATGCTCCTCCAAATGGTGATTTTTGGCAACTAATTCAAACATAAAAAATGGAATGTGGGCCAAATGTATAGGCCTAGAAGAGAACCTCATGAGCTGCTTGCAGAGTAACAGCAACCACTTTGCAGTTTCTGCTTGAGCCAGTCACTGGTTTACAGTTGTAGTTATTCACTTCAATTAGATGTGAACTGATACCAAAAATAGATGTACTGTGTCAGGTTACTTTATCCCAGACTGTAGCCAAGTGTACTATAATCCTACATAAAACCTAGTACTCTTTAAAGACCATCTCGAGACAGATCTGTCCTTAAACAGTCCCCCAAGGCTTTAGCACCAGGGCTGTTAATTTCAGGTACAATTCCTAGGTATTCCCTGTTTGTCTCAAACATGTGAGACTTTCAGAGGAATTCCAGTTGCTTGATAGTAATTTTTTCTGTGTCCCATAGTCCCGCTTGTAATTTGCATTCCAGTTTTTTGCAAGAACTGAGCTTTTCCTCAAGGCATTCCACTGTGTTTTTGAGTTTGTTGTCCCATTGTAACGTGGGCTAAGTAAATGCAGACTGGGTCCTAACCCTCAGTCTTGTATGATGTCTTTGAGCCCATTTGCCAGCCTTCCTCATGTTTCCCAGCACCCCATAGGGGTATGTTCAGATAAATGCTTGCTACTTATGGCTTTAGATCTGAACCACCTTTCTTGGCCCATCCCTGCTAAAATATATACTCTTTGGGTCATCATTTCCTCCTAACCCATCTTTCCAAGCAATGGAAGAATACATCATCTTACCATCTTCCTTACTCTCCAACAAATTAACTTTTTGCATCTTCATTCTTCACCACTCATATAATAAAGTTCCATAAACGTTTATTGAGTAACCAACCACCTTATGTTGACCCTATTTCAGGTACACAAAGGTGAGTAAAATGAGATGTTTGCCTATCAGGAAGCTATACTTTAGTGGGTTTATTTTTTCCTAGGGCTGCCGTAACCAAATGCATGACTTAGAACAACATAAATGTATTGTCTCATAGTTTCGATGGTTTAAAGTCTGAAACCAAAATCAAGGTGTTGGTTGGGTTGGTTTCTTCTAAAAGCTGTGAGGGAGAATCTGTTGCAGGCCTCTTGTAGCTTCTGGTACTCTCAGGCTATAACCTCAGTGCCTGTAGCCTCAGGCACTCTCTGGCTTGCAGACAGTGTTCTCCCTGCACCCTGAGTCTTCACAATGTCTTCTCTGTATGAGCATCTGTGTCCAAATTTCCCCATTCAGGGCCCACCTTACACCAGTATGACCTCATCTTAACTAATTACATCTGCAACATCCCTGTTTCCAAATAAGGTCATATTCTGAGGTACTGGGGGTTAATCCCAAAATATGAACTTTAGGGGAACTCACTTCAACCCACAACAGTAGACAAAAATGCATACACATGTGATTAACTGGAATAAAATATGAAAAGCTGAATACTAATGATAAGCACTAAATGCCAGCAAAGCACAAAGAAGGAGTGTTACATTGTGATTAGGGTAGACTGGGCAGAGATTGCAAAATGAAGCACTCATTCAAACAGCACTGTCAAGGATTCTCCTGGTGTGGCTGCCTGGAGTAGAGAAGAATGTCCGGCTGTTGCCGAGCATGTAAAAGCCTTCCCCTTCTCTGGGCTCTTTAGCGCACACCTTTGACCCATGTCTGAGTCCACCACAGAGGAAATGGTCTCCCCACAGCATGAGCTATTCATCTAATATCCGAGTATCAGAGTCTACTGTACTTATCAGATTTATTAGATAAAATCACCTGAGGGCGGAAGTACCAATAAGTATGAGTAATTAAAACACTGAGCAGCAATATTATTAAAGGTATATTAAAATCAATGACATCCATTTGAAAAGATATATTTCACACCCTGTCCTCCACAGTGGGAGATGTGGCTGAGCAGAAACAGGTCAAGCAGGGAGTATTGTTAATGAAAGTCCTCGTGGAAAAGGCTGCCTGAGACAAAATGAGTTAAAATCTTTATTGTGTCTTGACAGCCCACATGAATCTATGATGATGATAAATGTTCTCATTTAGAACTTTTTCTTTTCCTGAGATATTTTACATGTTATCTCCAATTTGCTTTGAATTTCTCAAAAGACATATGTTCACAGAAGAAAGTCTCTGCTTGCTTTTCATTAAGTAAGATCTTATCAGGCTGTTTGCATGTGGCATCACGTTTGAACTATTAATCTTATGACAGGATATTAAAAAGGGGGGAGGGGAATTCCTTAACAGGTTGAAGGCCATTACACTTGAGAAACAGCCCTCAGCACCCAGGAACAAGAACCAGCCCAGGAATTGCAACTGCAATGACTAATAAGACTTTCCTGAAGCCAACACTCTAGGCAAAAAGGTTGCTTCTTAGGAGGGTGTACCCTGGACAGAGGAAGCTAAAATGACTTGTGTGCCGCTTGGCTGGACTGTGGTGCTGCTGGATCATTGACCTGCAGGATCTTGGTGGGGCGCCAGGGAGTGATTGTTAATCAGATTGGTGTCAAGCGATTGTTAACTCTCAGTGACGTTAAGGCTTCTCTGGAATTGAGGCACAAACCAGTAAGGCAAAACACAGATCTAGAGTAAAAAGAAAAATAATAATTCTGTATCCCTACTATGGCAAGTCTATAAAGTACAGAAACACACTAGTGTACACTCAAGCACACACACAAAGAGAGACACAAAAGCAACACTCTAAGAAACCAATAGGAAACTGGCTTAAGAGAAGGCTTTGGGGATAAGTGAGGTCTTCATGACTTTCTGGGCCATACGGCTGGGACAAGACTTTCACATTTGTCCCAACAGTAGTGAGAATCTTTGATGCATTTTAAGCAAAGAAAATACACAACCAGAATTGTATTTTTCAAAGGTTATTTTGACAGTGGTATGGATAATCCATTTAAAATACGGCTAGAGAAAGTCAGAATGCTATAGAAGTCTAGGTGACCACCTTCGCCTATGGCTGGCCTGTGGAAATGATGAAAGTATATAAATTCCAGGAGAGTTTTGAAGTTCAAATTAAAGAACTTGATGATGGCTTAAATACCAGGAATGGGAAAGAGGAGGATATCAAGGGAGATTTCCAGTTTTCTGGGTCTACAACCAGACCAATGGCAGGGAATGAGGCAGAAATGGGGATAGCAGACATGGTGGGGCAGGTCATGAGTTGGATTTTGGACATATTATGTTTGCAATGCCTATGAAGTATCTAAGTAGGGATGTTAAGTTGTTTATTTCCATCTAATGGTTATTAAATGCCATAAAGTAGCCTGATATGTGATCTACTGAATACTGTCTAGATAACTCTCATTCATTTTTCTAAGTCTTTAATTTAAAAAAAATTTGAAATATTTTTGCACTTGAATAAAATAGAAAATCGTAGTATTATTGCAAATTTATAAATTAAGTTGACTCAAAATATCCTGAGCTGCTTTCTCTCTTTTCTATCCAGGAAAAGTGTTGTCATTTGAACGTCAAGGGTTTCTCAGACCACCAGAAAAGGTAGCCAAACCAGGCCAGTGTTGACGAAGGCCTAAGAAAAATTAGGTTTATCATCAGTAGAGAATATGTGTGTTCTTGCTATATGTTAACTAGTTTTTTTTCTCTTCTTCTCCAGATTATCTCCTTTTGATATCTCTGCTTAGAGGAATACAGAATGTGGCCACATGTTACTCTTCTACCAATGTCAGGATAAAGCATGCATTAGGATCCCTCAGTGGAGAACTATGTCCATTCCATGCTCCTTCCAACTAGTTTGAGAAATGGCTCCAAATTTTCCTTAATATTATTCTGAATTGCTCTATGAAGTAAATGTCAGGCATTTTATTTCCATTTCCCTAAAATAGAGAATGGGTTGCTAGGGAAAATGCCTAAGCCAGCCATAAAGCATTTCCAAAGGGAGGACATAGTGAATAAAAAATGTTAATTCCTGTCTTGTTTAACAAGCTCTCATGGCAGCTCCAAGGGGTAGTAAAATTTATACTCCTACCAGGACAGCTCTAGACTATGGCATCAGCATGGGATGGAAAGTAGCCCTGGGAAACAGAATAGTGTGGTTGCCTGCTACCCTTTACTTATCTGAATAGTTTGTCTCTGCTGTGCCCAGGAGGTTTGCACCTCATGGGGTGGGAGGTGGTGCAATCAGGTAAGAATGCTCTTTACTTACTCCTTTGTCGGAAAAAGGATGACTGTAATGTGTGGGCTGGAGTGGAGTGGAACTGAGTTTAAAATCTGCAGTAACATAAAATTAAAGACTAGGTATTAACAATGGCTTTGCACTCTGAGTTGCCATGGGCTGAGAGGGACAGCTGGACAGCCAGAGGGATTCCAGAGGGACTTGGCAGGACAGAGCAGTGTAAGCCATCTTACTGCCTCGAAAAACACAGGTAGGAGCACATCAGACTTCAGTAACACAGGATTTATCTCAGTATCCATTTTTTCTGATTCTCAGTTTTCTTATCCATAAAATAGATTAAATAATATATGCTTTGTGAGGTTCTTGTGAAGATTAAATGAGATGAAAAATGCAAAGTGCTGGAGGAACACCTGCAGGAGCTCTATCCATGAAAAACTGTTGGCCGGGCACGGTGGCTCACGCCTGTAATCCCAGCACTCTGGGAGGCCGAGGCGGGTGGATCACCTGAGGTAGGGAGTTAGAGACCAGCCTGGCCAACATGGGGAAACCCCGTCTCTACTAAAAATAAAAATATCAGCCAGACGTGGTTGCGGGCGCCTGTAATCCCAGCTACTTGGGAGGCTGAGTAACAAGAATTGCTTGAACCCGGGAGGCGGACGTTGTAGTGAGCCAAGATCGCGCCACTGCACTCCTGCCTGGGTGACAAGAGCTAGACTCCATGTCACCCAAAAAAAAAAAAAAAAAAAAAAAGAAAAACTGTTATTATTATTGACAAAATAAAAGTAAAGGCTGCATTCGAGACTGTTAAGAAATTGTCACAGAAAATATTTTTATTAGTCATTGTACAGATAAAGAAAATGATTCTCATATAAAGAAAATTTTCTATTTAAACTTTTTATTTAAATTTAAATGTTCTAGTTAAAATGAAAAAATTACGATGCTTCTGCCTTTTATGATGAGAGATAAGAAGTCATGTTAGTAGAAGAATAAATCAAAATATTCCCTTACCTGCAAAAAACTGATGAGTGTACAAGCCACACTTAAGAATTTGTGATCGGCCGGGCGCGGTGGCTCACGCCTGTAATCCCAGCACTTTGGGAGGCCGAGGCGGGCGGATCACGAGGTCAGGAGATCGAGACCATCCTGGCTAACACGGTGAAACCCCGTCTCTACTAAAAATACAAAAAATTAGCAGGGCGTGGTAGCGGGCGCCTGTAGTCCCAGCTACTCGGGAGGCTGAGGCAGGAGAATGGCGTGAACCCGGGAGGCGGAGCTTGCAGTGAGCCGAGATCGCGCCACTGCACTCCAGCCTGGGCGACAGAGCGAGACTCCGTCTCAAAAAAAAAAAAAAAAAAAGAATTTGTGATCATGTTTAAGGAAAGATGACAATATGAAGACCTTGAATACTGCCTTAGTTTTGCAAAAGACCTTGCTAGGCCTTCCTGTTTAGGTCAAGAAAAGTCCCCAGAGAAGGTCTTAAGGAAGAAGAAAGAGGTTAAGAAAACTGGACATAACCTGAGCCAAAATTTTGACATGGATATATCCTCATAGAACAAGACAAAATACTGTAAGCAGGGTGGATGGCTCTGTGTGATGGTCTTGGTTGCATACTCCCCTTCACTAAGGTCAAACAAAACCCAAAAGTCTCTTGTAAACACCTCTCATTTTCATTGTCCATGTGGAGAAGCTCAAAGCTTTCATTTGGCCCAAGTGACATCCTAACCACTTTACAGCCTGTTCAGGTCCACTTTATAATATTGCACACGTTGGAAATGAAACTGGCGCTTATGACTCCCAGAAGTATAAATTTTAATGAAGATTCTAAAAACTTTATCTTGGCCCTGTGATGGTGCAGATTGAAAAAAATTTCCATTTCTGACATGTCTATAATGAACTTCATTGCTGCTTTTTAAAAATTTTTCCTTTTGATAAGAAATTAAAGACTGATTTCCTCTCTACAAAAGAAAATGCCACTTTATTCCCCATACACACCCTCTCTCTTAGTAAAACAACTCTGATTTTTATAGCTGGGCATCTTGCCACCCAGTTAAAGATGTATTCCCTTGCAGCTAAATAAGGCCAAGTGACTATGCTCTTGCCAATAATATGTAAACTGAAGTGTAGCAAGGTACTTTTGGGAAGTCTCTTTAAAAAGCATCATTTCTTTTGTATTTGTCCCTTCATCTTCCTGCTACTCAAGATGTGCATATAATGGCAGGCACTTCTGTAGGCATTTTGGATCATGAAATGTCTTTGATGGAAACTAAGAAAAGTAGAGAAACAGAATTGAAGGTTTCACAATTCTAAAACCTTTGTAAAAGTTTTGTAAAAGGTTTTACAATTGAAGGTAATTAATATTACACTATTAATTATAGTAAAGGTCATGCTTCTGTGGAAAAAAAAAAGAGTCCCTTGACATGATGGTTCAAACAAGTTAGGAAAGGCAGACTGTGCTTCTCAAAATCAGCCAGAGAATCAGACTGGCTGAGCACACTGCCATCCTCAATGCATGGCTTCTAGATTGCTTTAGCCTTTATCATTTGAAGCCAATAGGAAGCAAGGAGAACATCAAAGCACATAATTAATGACCGAAAGCATCCATCACTTCTGCTCAAATCATTTTGGGAATGTCATAGTCTTCTTGATCACACTTGAATGCTGGGGAAGCTAAGCAGTGTAGTACAACTGGACAATCAGTTCCTGTGTCCAAGAACTTTTTAAAGACAGTAGGGTAGAATGCTTACTTGTAATCAAAAAGCAGTCTCCACCAAAACTGTAGGTCTTCATATTCTATCCAGATGGTAAAAAGTTAACTTTTCTCTTGTTTAGCTTACTACACGCCGGGCCTTTATTATTTATAGTTGAACATCATCTTCATTGATATACCCCTTTTATGTTTTTTCAATGAACCTCATCTGTAAATCATTAACTGGATTATTAGATAAGTGCTAAATAATCCCCAGCTGTAAAATTCTAAGAATAATTAAAACTTCCTTTCTTAACATTCTTAGTGAACAACTTACAGGTTAAAAAACAAACCCAAAGAGATTATTTCCTGCAAAGAGCCTTTAGTATGGTAGCACCTACTTCTAGAAGGCCTGTCATAAACTGTCATCTAGTGAAAGTGATGAAGAAGAGTGGCTGGGAGTCAATCTTATCAGGAGCTGGAACAGGTGAAGCCCTCACCAGTGAAAAATCTTGACAGATGCAGCTACTAAGATTTCCTACTACAAAGAATAACAGCAGTTAGAAAAGCAGGTTAGAGAGTTTTTTTTGTTCAACAATACTTCATTATCTTACTTATCCCAATAAAATTTACTCCCATAGGATAAGAGACTTATATTTGTTGGAATACTTTTACCTTTGGAGGTGACTGGCAACTTACATCAAAAAGACTTAAGTAATGTATGACATATATCTAGAGTTATATTTGTTTGAAGAGAGAGAGCAAGTTGTTTAGATAAGAGCTTGATTCCTTGTTCAAATGATGTCAACAGATTCATTTCTTGGTTTTGCTTCTGAGTTGGCTCCATTTATAGGTGAGCCAGATTTAGGCCCCCAGCAGCACAAAAGAGAGAGTTTGCTTCCCCATTCAATAGTCCCAGAATTGTGCCTCATTGTTCTGATTGCACAGACTTGGCTTATATCCCTGACATGAACCCAAACACGATGACCAGGCAGTGAAACAAGCAGGTTGACTTAACCTTGGTCGTACACCAAACCCTCGTAGATTGAGAGAGAGTTAGCCTCATGCTAAGCACATAAGCTGAATGTGGGGAAGTCAGCACACTGTGTTCCAAAAACAGAGAATAGATAATGAGTGTCAAGGACAACAGATGAAACCTCCGTGTATTATCTTTGTTTTGTCCAAAATGTAAAACCTCAAAGGGAGACAGTTCAAGGTCTCATTTAATTAATGTATCCATCTTCAAGTCTAAACTCTCTGAGGGATGTGCACCCAGTGAGATTAGGATACAGGTCCCCATGGTTCACTGATCCATGGCTAGTAAGTTTAACCATCCCTACATACCCACTGTGCAATGGGGAGGAAGGACCCAGTACCTATAACCAAAACACATATAGAAAGGATGAGGGGGAGTGGAAAACAATGCACAATGAATCCTACTTCATAGTACACACCTATCCCATGGGCAGGAAAAGCAATGACTCACTGCTCTGGCCAGACAAAGTCCAATGTGGCTGACCTTGGCTCTGACCTCTTAAATCATTGCCCATTTCCATTTATTTCCCCATAGCTCCTGGTTCTCGTCTGTGGAAGGATCCCCCCTTGAGTATTGTCCTACTTAAGAGCTGGGTACTGAGGATGATGTCCTTTCAGGGAGCTGCACCTTTTTTGAAGCCCACTTCATTTTGGTGTATGTCAGGAGCCCTGATAATTATTTTAGACGTTGACCAGAAACCTTTGGTGACTTATCTCCTCTTCTCAGAAATTTCACATTCTAGGTTCAAGAGTTTCTAATACAACATTCCAGAAGTTAATTTTAATACATGTAGTGCCCTTTTACTTGAAAAAGATAAAAAGCTCAAATCAATCTGGCTTAAGCAAAAGGGGAATTTTTTGGTGTAGATAACCGAGAAGTCCAGGGATAGCATTGGCTTCAGGTAGAACTTGATTTCAGCTGTGCACAATGCATGGTCTATTGATCTGCTTCCTCTATGTCTATTTCATCCTCAGACTCCCTGTGGTGGCGACCAGTATCTTCAAACTCATACCAGAGTAAAGCCTTGTAAGTTTTGTTTCTCTGAATCAAATCAAGATAATTTTGCTACCAGAAAATAAACCTATTCTAGATAGCATGAAACAAACAAACAAGCAAAACCCACCATACGAATCTAGTTAACGTGTGGACAGAATGGTGGCGATTGCTCATGTTTCCTCACATTCCACATTTGAGAAGAAACCTATCCACATTCCCTGAGATAGAAAATATATAGTTTAGTCTAGCTCTAACCAGCTCAGCAGAGGGTACGGTGCAGGAAAAATATTGCCTAAATAACTTGTATTTATGGCTTTGTTCCTGTGAATACTTTTTGTTCCTGAGAATTTGAAGAAAAAAAATGTACATCAGAGCAGTAAACAATACAATGTCTGAGATGATAATAGCTGTGTAGCACCTCTCTGACATGCTCTGATGGTTAATTTGATATGTCAACATGGCTAGACCATGATACCCAGAAATTTGGTCAAATATTCTTCTGGATGTTGTTTGAAGGTATTATTTTTAGACCACGTTAGCATTTGAGTCAGTAGACTGTGTGTAAAGCAAAGAATCATCTGTAATGTGGGTGGGCCTCATCCTATTAATTGAAGGCCTTAAGAGAAAAAGACTGAGTGAGGTCCCTCTAGGAAGAGGGAATTCCCCTCCCAGACTATATTTGAACATGAAATGTAACATCAGTTCTTCTGTAGGTCTCCAGCCTGCTAATCTACCCTTGCAGATTTTTTGGACTTGCCAGACTCTAAAATCATGTGAGCCAATTCCTTAAAATAAATAATAAATATCTCTCTTTCAGTCTTTCTTTTTCTCTCTCTCTCTCTTTCTCTCTCTCTCTCTCTCTCTCTCTGGGTGTGTCTCCCTCTCTCTCTTTCTTTCTCCCTCTCTCCTTTTCTCTCTCTCTCTTTGTCCCTCTCTCTCTTTGTCCCTCTCTACATATAAAGAAGTAATACACACACACATACACACACACAGAGAGAGAGAGAGAGAGAGAGAGAGAGAGAGATGCCCTCATGACTCGGTTTCTCTGGGGAACCCTAGCACATACACTAATGTAGACGTGGTGCTAATACACTGGGAAGAGCCAATATAGCACTTGTATTAGTTTCCTCTTGCTGCTATAATAAATTACCATAAATTTAGTGGCTCAAAATAGCATACATTTTTATATTGTAGATTTGGAGGTCAAAAGTGTGACACAGGTCTTGGCTAAAATCAAGGTAATAACAAGGCTGCATTCCTCTGGAGGCTTTAGGGGAGAATTCATCTTGTCCAGTTGCCTTTACCGGCTCTTTGCGTTCCTTGGCTCATGACCTTGGCTCACTTCTTCCACCATTGGAGCCAACAGCATAGCATTTTCCAGTCTCTCTCCAACTCTGACTCTCATGCCTTTCTCTAATAAGAGCCCTTGTGATTAGAGTGGATGTACTTGGATAATCCAGGATAATATTTCTCAAAATATAATTATATCTGCAAAGTACCTTTTGCCATGTAAAATGACATATTCAGAGGTTCTATGGATTAAGGCATGAACATCCCGAGGGGGTATATTATTCTGTCTACTGCAGACCTTTATAAAGACTGGTATTTTGTGATACATTCAGTCATACATTCAACAAGTGCTTACTGTATAGTATGAGCTGAGACTTCTTTGTGCTACTCTAGAGGTCAACATATTAGCCAACAGCAAAGAAGATGAGTCTGATTCTTATGCCCGTGGAGCTTACATCTAATAGGACCAGTCAAAAATAGATAAGAAGATCCTATGGTCTGAATGTCTGTGTCCTTCCAAAATTCAGTGTTGAAATTCTAATTCCCAAGATGATAGTATTAGGAGATGAGGACTTGGCAGGGAAGTGCCCTTATGAATGGAATTTGTGTCCTGTAAAAGAGGCCTGGGAAAGCTAGCACTGTAGTCCCTTCTAACATATGAAGTGACAGTGAGAAGACATCCACCTATGAAGAAAGTGGGCCCTCACCAACACCCACCATGCTAGTTCTCTGATCTTGGACTTCTCAGCATTGAGGACTATATGAAACAAATTTCTGATTTTTATAAGCTACCCAGTTTATGGTGTTTTTGTTGTAGCAGCCCAAGTGGATTTAAACAGGAAATAAATGTGTAAATAAGATAATTTCAAATAGTGATAAGAAAGTTGAAAAAACAAAATGTGATGGAGTAACTGGATGTGGGATGAGGTAGCTTCTAAGGTGAAGGCTTCCAAGCTGCCACTTGAATCAGCAGTCTCCATCCATGTGGAGGTCTGTGAGAAGAGCGTTTCAGGCAGAGGAAATACCTGTTGCTCAGGCTTGAGGTTGGGATTAAGGTGATTTTTTTTGTCTTGTTTTGTTTTGTTTTCTGAGATAGAGTCTTACTCTGTCACCCAAGCTGGAGTGCAGTGTTGCCATCTCAGATCACTGCAACCTCTGCCTCCCAGGTTCAAGCAATTCTCATGCCTCAGCCTCCCAAGCAGCTGGGATTACAGACATGCACCACCATGCCTGGCTAATTTTTGTGTTTTTAGTAGAGATCGGGTTTTGCCATGTGGGCCAGGCTGGTCTTGAACTACTAGCCTTAAGAGATCCACCTGCCTCAGCCTCCCAAAGTTCTGGGATTACAGGTAAGAGCCACGGTGCCCGACCATGAATTAGTGTGATGTATTTGAGAAAACGGTCATGCCAGAGCACACTGACCGAGGGAAAGAATGGTACAAGATAGTGTCAGAGAGACAGGCAGAGCCATACCACGTAGGACTTTGTTAAAGGGTTTGGAGACTGTGTTAGTCCATTCTTGCATTACTATAAAGAAATACCTGAGACTGGGTAATTTCTTAACAAAAAGAAAGAAAGAAAAAGAAGGTTTAACTGGCTTACAGCTCTGCAGGCTGTACACACATGGTGCCTGCGTCTGCCCGGCTTCTTGGGAGGTCTCAGGGAGCTTTTACTCATGGTGGAAGGTGAAGCAGGAGCAGGTGTCACACTGCAAAAGCAGGAATAAGAGAGAGAGAAGGGAGAGGTCCCACATGCTTTTAAACAATGAGATCTGTGTCAATGAGAGCTCATGTATCAACAAGAGGATGGCACCAAGCCATTCATGAGGCATCAGCCCCCATGATCCAAACACCTCCCACCAGGCCCCACCTCCAACACTGGAGATTACATTTCAACATGAGATTTCAGGGACAGACATCCAAACTGTATCAGAGAGCCCATTATTTTTCCCCCATGAGATGTTTCTTGGTAGAGAAAAATTTAATAATATTAAGAATCTGCTCACCACATAAACTGTTGATCACCCTTTTCTGGCTAAGGGATATTTGTCAAGAATCCTGCATTCAGGCCTTGTCCCTGAGAGCAGTCTTAAAGTTCCCCCAGAATACTTCCTACCAGACCATCAATTTGTCACAGCTAGTGTGCCTGCAGAATGTAAGCAGTTAGTAAAAATTATTTGAGCTTACATACAAATATCTGGATTTACTGATCATTTCCAAGTGCATTTTGCCATGGGTATGTGGAAATATTCCTGGAATATTCATAGGAAAAAAAGGAAATGAGTTATGTTGTCTCCTAGCCAACAATTTAGTATAGTTTTTTTATCACTACTCAATAAAAACATATAGGTGCTCCCTGCTTCTCCCCCATCACAACATAGCTAGGTTTGAAAAAGATCTATTTTAGGTTTCTTTACTTCACAATAGGAGAAAGTCTGTGTTTCTCAACACTTATAAAGCTGCAAGAAAAAGAGCTGAAAATAAAAGGGAGAATTGCTTTGGTCATTTTGCAGGATAATTCAACTTGAAAAGAATAAATGTTACGACCTTATATTTAAAGTCCAAATAAAAAGAAAAGTGTCCTATGGTGTCTGGGAAGACAGGCCAGAAATCAGGAGCCTAGATAATTAGCAATTTGAGAATCATGGTCAGAAAATAGCAAATTAAACAAAAAGCATTATGGTGGAAAAATAACACGACAAACTAAGGCTGGTTCAATCCTTGATAAATATCTAGTCTTTCTCTCTCTCTCTTTTTCTCTATCTATAGCTCTATCCATATCTGCATTCTCCCTTCCCCATATTTCCATCCATTTTCTTAAATTTATTGCTTATTCTTTCTGTGTTTCTTTTAGCAAACATAAGCAAATATATAGATATTCTTATTACCTTGTCTTTCTTACCAAAAAAATGGAAGCATAGTACCCCGTGTTTGGCTTTTGGTCCACATATCTTTGTAAAAAACCTTTGTATCAGTTGATTTCTTTCTCTCTCTCTCTGTGATTTCACAGTACCTTGTTTCATGGCTCTACAGTGTACTCAGTCTCCCATAAATGGTTATTTGGGCTGTTTTCTATATATTGCTATTATAAATAATGATGCATGTGTAACTTGGTTTTGTTATTTGTGGGAGTGTATCTTCAGACATATTCCTAGAAGTGGATTGTTGCATCAAAGGATAAATGTGTGTGGAGTTTTGTTGGACACTGTCACTTCCCTTCCATAGGGATTGTATCATTTTGCACGTGCACCAGCAATTTGTGAGTGCCTTTTTCTCCAAAGCCTCACTGACAGAGTGGGTTCTTAAGCTTTTTAATTGGTGCCAAACAAGCTAATAGGTAAGAAATTGCATCACACGGTAGCTTTAATTAGCATTTCTTTGAATATGAGTGAAGTTGAGTGCTTTCCCCATGTTTTTTAAATGCCATTTCTTCTGTCAGATTTTGATATTTCCTTCCTTTGACAGTAAAGAATTCTTTATGCATCCAGGAAATTGGCCTTTTATCCATGACACCTCAACTATTTTATCACAGTGTTATTTTCTTTATATTTTACTATGGTTTATTTGTCATGCAATTTGTTTCTATTCAGTAAAATTTACCAATCTTTTTTTTTTGTTATTATTATTGCAACTGGATTTTGAGTCTAATTATGAAGGTTTTCCTCACTCTAAGTTTATAAAAAATGTGCCCATGTTTTCCTCTTGTACATATCTCTCTCATTGTTTATACTTACATTTCAGATCCATTTGGAGTTCTTTCTGATGCATTATGTGAGGTATGAGTACAATTTTCTTTTTTTTTCCAAATGATTATCCAGTTGTGTCAAATTCATTATTAAATGTCCATGTCTGCCTCAGTGATTTGATGTCTTACATATGCTAAGTTTCCACATGCACTTCAGCTTGTTCCTAGGCTCTCTATTGTGTTTCGTTGGTATGTCTGTCTATTATATCCCAGTATCACATTTTAAAAAGAGAACTTAATAGTGTATTTTAATGTCTAGTAGGGCTAGTTCCCCTTTATTCCTCTTCTTCTTAAGGGATTTTCAAGCTATTCTTGCATGTTTATTTTTTTCATTCAATCTTCAAAACAATTTATCTTATTCCAGAAAAACAAGCAAACAAATGAACACTTATTTGTATTTGAATTGCACTAAATTTATACATGAAACTGAAAAAAACTGATATCTTTATGAAGCTGCATAATCCTATCCAAGGACAGACGTCTCCTTCCATTTGGTAAGTCTTTATCAGAAATGCTTTCAAGTTTTCATCATATATGTTTTGCCCATTTCTTGTTAAGTTTATTTCTCAGTATTGGAAGGGAAGGGCAGAATTATAAGAGATTTTTCCTAACATTTTCCAATGATTTATTCTATTTATGGAAATTATTGATTTTTATGTAAATTTTATATCTTGTTGCCATTCTTAAATGTTGTCTTAGTTTTACTTTAGGTCTTGCTCGTTTATATTCTGAACTTAATTAAGGTGCTCTTTGACACATAATATATTATTAAATTTCATAAAATTTTAATGGATGTTGGAAAAATGCATGTTCACTTTTTAAAGTAGAAAATTCAATATATCCATGAACTGGTGCTCAAGAATTCTGCCAGTCAAATTTTCTATGTTAGTTTTGGCAGATTTGATCACAACGTCTGTTGATATTTGTTAATGTTTCCCAACTGAAAAAGTTTTATTTTAAAAAATTTTTC
Organism: Homo sapiens; assembly: GCF_000001405.40. Taxonomy (NCBI): domain Eukaryota; kingdom Metazoa; phylum Chordata; class Mammalia; order Primates; family Hominidae; genus Homo; species Homo sapiens. The sequence continues at coordinate 15,394,523 of NC_000021.9, read as the reverse complement.
CCCTTTTTTTCTAATAGCTTTTGCTTTACTAATTTGAATCTATGTTATTTGGTAAGTGATAATTTGTACTATATCTTCATTGTGCATTATAATAATCAATTTAAGTCATTCATATATTCCTCAAATTAAGGTTATCATTTTGCTTTATTTTTTCTGTTTCAACAAAGACATTTTTGCTCTTTTTAGGTTAAGTTTTCCTTTTACCTTTTGTTTTACATGTATTTCTTCTAAGGAGACTCTTATTTTTGCGGCTATCGTGTAATTTTACTATATGTTTTGAAATATTATAGAGACCACCAAACTGTTCTCCCAATATATACCTAGTGATTCATACCCCACCAGCAGCCAACGAGAGTTCAGATTGCACCACATTTTCACAAGTCCATAATTTTTGCCCAAATGATGGCTGTAAAATGGATTTACATTGTGGCTTTTTAAAAATTTTTTCTTTTCTTTTATAATTTCAATTTTTAGATTCAGGGGGTACATGTGCAGTTTATGTGATTACACTGCATGATGCTGAGAATGGGGTATGGATCCTGTCACGCAGATAGTGAGTATAATGCCCACAAGGTGGTTTTTCAACCCATGGGTCTTTATGTCCATGAGTACCCAATGTTTAGTTCCTATTTTCTTGTTCTCCACTTCTGCACAATGCTTGTTTAGATACTTACTTGTATTTCCCTTATTAATTTGTAGTTCTCCGAATATTCTGGATGCCAGTCATTTCTTTGTATGTTCACTGGGAATTTTTGTCCCTTTTTTATTTATTGATTTTTTTTGACCAGTTTTTGGTTTCAATTTTAGTTTCTAAATGGTGTCTTATAATGAACAAAAGTATAGTTTAATACAAATAGGTTATTAATCTTTGCTTTCATGACTTGTGCTTTTTTTGTGTCTTATTTAAACATCCTTCTGTGAGTCCCAGCCAGAGCAATCAGTCAAGAGAAAGAAATAAAGATCATCCAAATAGGAAAATAAGTCAAAATATCTCTCTTCACTGACTGTATAATTCTATACCTAGAAAATGTAAAGACTCCACCAAAAGTCTCTTAGAACTAATAAATGACTTCAATAAAGTTTTAGGACACAAAATTAATGTACAAAACTCATTAGCATTTCAATACACTGATAACGTTCAAGCTGAGAGCCAAATCAGGAACACAATCTCATTTACCATATAGCCATGTACAAAAATAAATATCTAGGAATACATCCAACCAAGGAGGTGAAAGATCTCCGCGAGGAGAACTACAAAACACTGCTTAAAAAATCACAGATAACACAAAAAAATGGAAAAACATTTCATGCTCATGGATCGGAAGAATCAATATCTTTAAAATGGCCATACTGCCCAAAGCAATCTGTAGATTCAATGCTAGTGCTATCAAGCTACCAATGTCATTTTTCATAGAACTAGAAAAAAATATACTAAAATTCATATGGAACCAAAAAGGAGTCTGAAAAACCAAAGCAATCTTAAGTAAAAAAGAACAAAGCTGGAAACATAGACAAATGAAACAGAATAGAGAATCCAGAAATAAAGCCACACATGTACAGCCATCTGATCTTCAAGAAAATCAACAAAAATAAGCAATGAGGAAAGGACTTCCTATTCAATAAATAGTACAGGGATAGCTGGCTAGTCATATGCAGGAGAATGAAACCGGACTTCTACCTTTTACCATATAATGAAATTCACTCAAGATGGATTAAATATTTAAATGTAAGACCTCAAAGTATAAGGATCCTGGAAGAAAATCTGGGAAACAGCAGTCCGGACGTTGGCCTTAGGAAAGAATTTATGATTAAGTCCTCAAAAGCAATTGTGAGTCCCTGTCTCTACAAAAAGTGAAAACAATTAGCTAGGCATGGTAGTGCATGCCTGTGGTCCCAGCTACTTGGGAGGCTGAGGTAGGAGGATAACTTGAGCCCAGAAAGTTGAGGCTGTGGTGAGCCATGTTTGCACCATTGCACTCCAGCATGGGCAACAGAGTGAGACCCTCTTTCAAAAAAAAAAAAAGCAATTGACAAGTGGGACTTAATTAAACTAAAGAGCTTCTGCACAGCAAAAGAAACTATCACCAGAGTAAACAGACAATCTACAGAATGGGAGAAAATATTCACAAACTATATATCTAACAAACGTCTAATATCCAGAATCTATAAGGAACTTAATTCAAGAAGCAAAATAACAAATAACTCCATTAAAAATGGGCAAAAGACAGCTGGGCATGGTGGCACATGCCTGTAATCCCAGCACTTTGGGAGGCCAAGGCAGGCAGATTACCTGAGGTCAGGAGTTCGAGACCAACCTGGCCAACATGGTGAAACCCTGTCTCTACTAAAAATACAAAAATTAGCTGGGTGTGGTGGCACACACCTGTAATCCCAGCTACTTGGGAGGCTAAGGCAGGAGAATTGCTTGAGCCCAGGAGACAGAGGTTGCAGTGAGCCAAGATCATGCCACTGCACTCCAGCCCAGCTGACAGAGCAAGACTCTGTCTCAAAAAAAAAAAAAAAAGGGGGCAAAAGATATGAACAGATACTTCTCCAAAGAAGACATGAAAGCAGACAACAGACATATGAAACGTTGCTAATATCACTAATCATCAAAGAAATGCAAATCAAAATTACAATGAGATACCATCTCACACTAGTCAGTTGGCTTTTATTAAAATGTCAAAAACAACATGTCAAGGCTGTGGAGAAAAGGGAACGCTTATACATTATCGATGGAAAGGTAAATTAATTCAGCCACTGTGGAAGGCAATTAGGGAATATCTCAAAGAACTTAAAACAGAACTACCATTTGACCCAACAATCTCATTAATGGGTGTATATTCAAAGAAAATAAATTGTTCTGCCAAACACACATGCACTCGTATGTTCATCACAGCACTATTCACAATAGCAAACACATGGACTCAATCCAGGTGCCCATCAATGGTGTGTTAAAAGAAAACCTTTAGCCAACTTAAATTTAAAAGAGTTTAATTGAGCAAAGAATCATTTGTGAATCAAGAAGCCTGGTGAGCCACAGTAGGCTCAGAGACTAGACTCCAGTGCAGCCACATAGTGGAATAAGATTTATGGACAGAAAAAGGAAAGTGATCTACAGAACATGGAAGTGAGGTACAGAAACGGACTGGTTACAGCTCAGCATTTGCCTTATTTGAACACATTTTGAATAGTTGGCCATCTTTGGTCAAAACTCGGTGATTGGCACAAGAGTAGGTTACAGTCTATTTATAATTCAATTTAGGTTACAGTTTATGATGTACAGAGAAACATTTAGGCTGAACTTAAAATACGTAAGGAGGCAGTTTTAGACTAAACTTGATTTAACAGATGCATTGAATACAGAAAATGTGACATACATACACCATGAAATACCACACAGCCATAAAAAGGAATGAAATCATGTCCTTTGCAGCAACATAGATGCAGCTGGAGGCCATTTTCCTAATCGAATTAATGTAGGAACAGTAAACCAAATACTGCATGTTCTCACTTATAAGAGGAAGCTAAACACTGGGTATTTATGAACATAAAGACGGCAATAATACACACTGGGGACTACTAGAGAGAGGAAGGAGGAAGTGGAGCAAGATTTGAAAAACTATTGATACTATGGTTACTACCTGGTGATGGGATCATTCATGTCCTAACTTCAGCATCATGCAATATACTCATGTAGCAGACTGGCACATGTACCCACAAACCTAAAAATTGAAATCACTTTTAAAACTTATAAATAATAAAAAATGTTTATAGAAAATAGAAACAGAAAAACCCTTCTTTGAGGATTTTGTTTCTTTTCCTTTTTTTGTTCTCTTTGAGGTTTTAAACTAACCTCTATTATTTTCTACTGAGATTTTACACTGTTTCTTTTCACTTTTCAGTTTTGGATACATCTGGAATTGACTTTTTTGCATGGTGTAAGGTAGGTGTAGAATTTAATGTTTCTCTATATGAATAACCAATTTTCCCAACTTATATTTAATAGTCCATACTTCCCATACTGTTCGAAAATGACACCCTGCTTTATTTCAAACTTTCTTTATTTATGGTTCTATTTATGGACTTTCTATCCTGTTGTACTGGCCTCTTTGTCTTTACCTATCTTAAAATTATGAGGCAGTACATTTTATAGCTTTATAATAAACCTTGATATCTGGTGGAAAATTTATGTGAGTTTTCTGGCTATTCTTTGCCTTTCATGTAAATTTTGCAATAAGCTTGTCAGGACATGAAAATCCTTGTTAGGATTTTTACAGTCATCCTTTGGTATTGGCAGAGATTCGTTCCAGGAATCCCTGAAGTTACCAACATTCATGAATGCTCAAGTCCTTTATATAAAATGGTATAGTAGTATTTGTATATAACTTACACACATCCTTCCATATACTTGCAAATATCTCTAGATTACCGGTAGTGCCTAATACAATGTAAATACCATGTAAATAGTTATTTTACTGTATGTTTAGGGAATAATGACAAGAAAAAAAAGTTTGTAGGTTTGTACATGTTTAGTACAGATGCAACCATCCATTGTTTTCCAAATATTTTACATCCACAGTTGGTTGAATGCATGGATGCAGAACCCATGGACCACAGAGGGCCAACTGTATTTAAAATGCTTTCTGTTTATGCATTAATTTCTTGTAGAATTAATATTGAGTCACCCTATCCATGAATACGGCCTACCACTCCATTTATTTCATTTGTCTTTAATGTCATTTCCCCATAGGTTGGATATTTTCTCGTATTTGTGCTATTTGTTCTTGTTATAGTCAACTATCTTTCAGAGAAATTTTAAGAGCGTGAAAAATGTCTTTTATATCTACAAGCATATTTAACATTTCTGGTGCTCTTCTCCTCATCGGGCAGATTTGGTTTTCCATCTGTTATCACCTTCCTTCAGCCTGAAGAATTTTAACATTTCTTGTAATGGAGGTTTGTTGGCAATAAAGTTGTTCATAATATTACCTTATTATACTCTGCATGTGTGTAGTATTTTTTGTGATTTCCTTTCTTGCATTACTGATATTGGCAACTTGTGTTTTCTCTTAATTTTCTTGATTAGTATAGCTAGAGGTTTGTTTGCCCTCTGCGGTCCATTTGTTAACTTGATTGATCTTTGCAGAGAACCAAATTTTGCTTTTAATTACTTACTCTATTATATTCCTTTTCTATATCTTTGACTTCTCTTGTTTTCTTTATTACTTCCTTCATTACTCTTACTTGTTTTCTTTGCTCTACTTTTTTTAACTTAAGCTGGAAGCTTATATAATTTATACCATTCTTTTTTACTAATGTATAGGCATTAAAATAATAAATTTACCTCTAAGTATTGTTTTTATTTCACAAAGTGTGTGTGTTGTGTTTTCATTATCATCCAGTTCCGAATGTTTTCTAATTTCACCGAGAATTTTCGTTCTGACCCATGAGCTATTTAGAATTCTTTTTGCTCTTTTTTTGAAAATTTCTTTTTTGCTTTCATTTTTGGAGAATATTTTTACTGGATATAGTATTCAATAGTAATTATTTTTTCCTTTCAGCAGTTTAAAAATGTCAGTTCATTGTGTTTTATTTTGCATTGTTTCTGATGAGAAACAATGTCTTTTTTCTTCCTCTTTGTAACCTGTCTCTTTTTCTCTGGCTGCTTTTAAGATTTTCTCTTAATCATTATTTTTTATAAATTTGATTACAGTATGTTTTGTGGTTTTTCTTGGGCTTCTTTTCTTGAACTTTATTGACCTTTTGGATCTGTATGTGGATAGCTTTCATTAAATACAAAGAATGTCTGACTCAATATTTCTTTAAATACATTTTCTGACTTCTGTGGTCTTCATGGGAGCCAATGACATGTTTGTTAGACTGTTGTTTCATATTATCTTATAGACTGTTTCATATCATCTTACAGACTGTTTCATATCATCTTACAGACTGTTCCATATCATCTTATACACTGTTTCATATCATCTTATACATGGTTTCATATCATCTTACAGACTGTTTCATATCATCTTATACACTGTTTCATATCATCTTATACACTGTTTCATATCACCTTATAGACTGTTTCATATCACCTTATAGACTGCTTCATATCATCTTATAGACTGTTTCATATCGCCTTATAGACTGTTTCATATCATTTTATACTCTGTTTCATATCATCTTATACACTGTTTCATATCATCTTATACACTGTTTCATATGTTATACACTGTTTCATATCATCCTATATACTGTTTCATATCATCTTATAGACTGTTTCATATCATCTTATAGAATGTTTCATATCATCTTATATACTGTTTCATATCATCTTATAGACTGTTTCATATCATCTTATAGAATGTTTCATATCATCTTATAGACTGTTTCATATCATCTTATAGACTGTTTCATATCATCTTACAGACTGTTTCATATCATCTTACAGACTGTTTCATATTATCTTATAGACTGTTTCATATCATCTTTTAGACGGTTTCATATTATCTTATAGGTCAGTGAGGCTCTGCTTTGATTGTTATGTACTACTTTTTATTTTTTAGAATTGGGGGGTCTCACTCTGTCAACCAGGCTGGGGTGCACTGGTGCAATCAAAGCTTACCGCAGCCTTGAAATCCTGGGCTCAAGCAATCCTCCCACCTTAGCCTTCCATGTAGTTGGAATTACTGGTGTCCAAGACCACTTAGCCTACATTTTTTTCTATTTGCTTGGCTTATATCATCAAGTTCCCCGATCTTTTCTCTTGCCATATATGTAGTGTATCTTAGCCTATCTAGGAATATTTTTTCTTCTGATATTTTATCTTTCAGCTTTTGATGTTCTATTTCTTAATGATAGAATTTCCTTTTCCCCATTAACCCCCACCTCACTAATCCTAGCTTCTGGTAACCATCATTCTACTCTTGGCTTTTATGTGTTCTCTTTTTTTTTTTTTTTTTTTTTTTTAACTTTCACATATAAGTGAGAGTATGTAGCGTTTATCTTTCTGTGTCGGGCTTATTTCACTTAGCATAATGTCCTCCAGGTTCATCCATTTTGTCATAAATGATATAATTGCCCTCTTCTTTAAATGCTGACTAGTATTCCATTGTGCATATATACCACATGTTAAAATCAATCCATCAGTTGATGGATGCCTAGGTTGATTCTATAAGTTGGCTATGAATAGTGCTGCAATAAACATGGAAGTATAGATGTATCTCTGACATAGTGATTTCAAATCCTTTGGGTATGTACCCAGAAGTGGGACTGCTGGATCATACTGAAGCAGGATAATTTCTTTGACCCCTATGCAGGAGTTGTAAAGGGATGGCTCACTTACTCAGTCCACAGCACTCAAACCCTTTGTGGGAGGGGGAACATACAGGTGAGCAGGTTCAGGAGCCAGGGAGAGTGCCTTTGGGTGCTGGCAGGAGCAAAACCCCATACCAGCCTGTGGCAGCATGTAGGGGTTGCCTGCGAACCCTTGAGGCCCAGGGGGTGTGTGTTACAGTGCACTCCTTTAGCTTTGCTGTCCATGGATGGCCTGAGTGTTAAACAGCTCAGTGGAGGGTCAGTGTGACAGCCTCTTTCACCTGCACCTGGGTCCTTGTCTGGTGTCCAGGAGGAATGAGATTGTGCAAACAGATTGGAGGGTGGTTAATGCAAAGCATTTTATTGAGTAGTGGAAGTGGCTTTCAGTGGGATGGGGAGCTGGAAAGGGGATGGAGTGGCCAGGTGGTCTTTCCCTGGAGTTCAGCCATACCTGGCCGAACTCCTTTCCAACCATAGTCTCCAATGTCCAGCTGCTTCTTCCCTCTTGACGTTCAGACACTTCTCTCTTTAAGTTTTTACTAAAAGACAAGTTTAGTGAGCTTAATACATGAGCTTCTTGGGATTTCTACTGGATGCCCAGCATACTGAGTAAGCCCACTTAACTCTGGATGGTTGGAACTTGAATGTCTCCCAGTCTTCAGGTCTATGGATTTCAGTAGTTATCCAGTTTATTATTACTCAATGCTTTGTCTTTCTCCAGGAGTTATTTGTTCTACTTTGTAAAATGCTCAGAAATCTGCACAGGGGCTATCTTGAGTCCCTGGAAAATGCTAAGATTTCTGGGCATCTTTCTCTGAATAATTCCCTTCTTTTCATTCAGCCCTACAAATTCTAGACAACTAATCCTTCCCAAGTTCTGATCAATGTTTCTTTAATTCAAAGAGAACATTCTGCTCTGAAATGTTTTCCACTTCCATGCACCAGTCTGGAACATGCCTCCAAGCAGAAACCTGGGGAAATGATAGGGCTCATCTCATTTGTTTCCTTTCTTTCAGAGATTATAGTCTTGCAATTTTTTTCCCAAAGTCTAGAAATAGTTATCTTTCATAAAATTTTTTCACTTTTAATATCGTTTACATCAGAAGTACTAGTCCAGTACTAGCTACTCCATCATAGCTAGAAGTGGGAGTTCTCTGCATAGCACTTTACTCTTCAAAGAAGTCAAGACTATTACACTTAGAAAAAAAAAAAATCTCTTGCGTCATCAATAGATCAATCCACCCCAACCCCATAGGACTTGAATTTCATTTCCTCACTATCCAATAAATGGCTATTTAGGCTATACCTGGTTGCTTCTAGTGATGATGAGATCACTATCTCCAAGGTAGGCATACATTTCAGGCTGGCAAGATCATCTTCCTTTTCATGTTCAGAACTCCATCTCTCTGTAACTCATCCTTGTCTTATCTCTTGATTCTGTATATGGAAGAGTCTACTCTCTCTTCCACTAAACAGTCCTACAAATAATTGACAGCAGCATCATGTTCCCACAGAGCCAGCTCTTCTTCAGGATAAGCATGCCTGGTTTCTTCAACTTATTCCACAAGAGTGAACAAGTAAGGTAAAAAGACAACTGCTTTGTTCTCCCTGCCCTTAAGTATATGCCCTAAGACTTTTGAAATCTCAGGAGAAAATTCCTTTTGAAGCCCTCCTGCACTCTTAGCTTGAATCAGACATGCTTAATTTGATCATTTGATCAAAGGATCACTCAGCTGTTGCAAACAGTCTATGTAGTTAGCATCTTCCGCATCTCCTAGGACTATACCTATAGAGCCTCTTCCTAGTTTTATGATACAGAAAACTCCAGTCCTGACCATGCCTTCTAATGGAACTACTGAACTATTAGATAATTGCTTCATTTATTGGGGAATGGGAACTAGAAGAGAGCAAAGTATAATTCTATTGAAGTACATGTTTCTATTTTCTAATTGATAACTTTAAGACTAAGATTGAATATAACATTTCAGGCCCCAAATGGTCAGTTAACATATCTGAAGATTAGGCATAAGTTATGGTCCTAATATTATTTGTTGCTCAACTTTTTTTTTTTTTTTTTTTTTTTTTTTTTTTTTGAGATGGAGTTTCACTCTTTTGCCCAGGCTGGAGTGAAGTGGCGTGATCTTGGCTCACCACAACCTCCGCCTCCTTGGTTCAGGTGATTCTCCTGCCTCAGCTCCCAAGTAGCTGGGATTATAGGCACCTGCCACCACACCCGGTTAGTTTTTGTATTTTTAGTAGAAACAGGGTTTCACCATGTTGGCCAGGCTAGTCTCAAACTCCTGACATCAGGTGATCCGCCCACTTCGGCCTCCCAAAGTGCTGAGATTACAGGTATGAGCCACCATGCCCAGCCGACTTTTTATCCTAAAATTGAGCTTTCAGCACTTTGTTTTTACTCCAAAGTCAGGATTAATCTTAATAACTGTCTTATAGTGAAGTTAAATAAAAGTCCTGAAAAACATGTTCACCTGCACCTCTTTATTCGTAATAAGAACATGTTTGGGGGCAGTGGGCCTCGTAGACTAAACCTGACAGTTTGTTTTAATTGGTTTCTGATTCGTTTCTTTAGGCTATGCCTTATTTCTCTCAGTCTCCAGGTCTGTACTAATCCGCATAACAGCATTAACAGAACATTGTGAAACGTAATTCTCACTCGTTAAAAAAATGCAGATGCTAAATGTCACGCGTTTACATTTTGAAACAGTGATTTCCTTCAATCTACTTTATCTTATTTAACTTTTAAAAAATGATTTCCCAAGGGCTATAGTGTAGGAAAACCTTGGTAAGTAACTTCACCTCAAGCATTTTTTAATCACGTAGAGAGATAACAGTTGCACCAAAGCGTCTCCTTATTAACATGTAATGTCTCTTATGGCGCGATGGGTTCTGCAGCTGAGGAGTAGCTATAAACATTTTTTGTTGCCTAAGACAAAATGGTTGATGGTTAATACTTGCTTTCTCTTAACAGGCTCTTTATTTGCCCAATTAAACTTGTCTCATAAACTCTCTCATTTTAATATAATGATGAGGCTCTGGGGTTAGATCTGATGCTAGAGTCAGATATTTAGCTGTTCACCTTTTCTATCCCCAGAGAGGAAATGTTTTTCAGTACCTTGTGATAAAAAATAAAAGGGAATAATAGATTTGAAGTGTCTGATATTTTGCAATCTGTTACTTTTTCCTTGTCGCTTCAAGACGTGGCTGGAAAAAGAAAAGGAAGTGACCAGAAGATAGGCCTAGAAGTTGGTTTCAAATAGAGGAGTTGGACAGATTCTGCACTGCAGGCTTTGCCAGTCAACGAACTGGAGTATGAACAGCAAGGAGTAACCTGCAACTTCTATCATTAGGCTTCACCTTATTTCTAATACTAAGTGACTGTGGACCCATAGGCATTTGTCACCACCTAACAGCGGTCAAGAGCTCTCTAATTTTAGCTAATTACTCTGGCCCCACTCCACCACCAACATTCTTTTTTTAAATTCACCAAACTACATTTCACTCCTACGGTGAGCCAAGCCCAAATCTAGGTGCTAGAAATGCAAAAATAAATGTCAAGTTCCCTGCCTTAAAAGGAATTCACAGATAAGACTATAAAACACGCAATTCAAAAACAGTTTGATAAGGCTTACAACCAAGATTGGCCAAGTTCAAAACTAAATTTTAGTGGGTCAGAGAGAATTTCTTGAAAGAAGTAACACATGAACTAAACTTAAGTGGTTAGCTTAGACAACGCAGGGGTAGAAGAGATGGAAATGTTCGGAATGAAAGAGGAACGAGGCTTCAGATACCATAGTGTGGAAGTCTGAAGGAACATGATGGCCTCAGGTAATGATAATTGGTTTAGTGTTGTGGGGACATTAGGCATTTGTATGTTAGCCCCTATTTCTATTATTAGTATTAATCAGTTGCCCAAATGAGAGACCTCTCTATGCATATGCCTTAGTATTACAGCCTTAGACACGGCTTTGAAATATACTTCTTCTCTCTATCCTCACTATCACTACCTTAGGTCTCCCCTGGACTATTGTGTCTTCTACCTGAAAGTCAAGACTTCTTGCTGTCTTCTCTCCATTCCAACCTCCATGGGAAGAAGAGATAATAACATTTTCTGGCTGTATAAAAAAAAAGTACCAGGAATTTTTTGTTGATTGCAGGTATATTTAAAACCCTTTATCTTGCCATACAAGTCTCGATCTAATTGAGACGAGCTCATCTTACCAAGCTACATTCTAGCCCACTCCCACACCATACAGGTTATTCCGTAACCCACCACATATTTTTAGAATTCTACTTTGAGGTCTTCCCTGAGATTTGAACATACAATTTTTTCTTCTCTTCTTAGACAAATACCTACTCATCCATCAGAATCCAGCTCAAATGCAATTTTGCTATGAATCTCTCCGTGGCTTTACTGATGAAATTAGTCAGTTTATCATTTCTCTTCTCTTAGCACACTGTAAATAATTCTATTAAACATCCTATATTATGTGGTGATTATGTTTTCATATCTATAAATAGATTGCAAGGTCTAAGCATATCCATTTTGTGACTCTTGGTGCCAAACTCTAGAGACTATAGTGAGTTGAATGATGGCCCCCAAAAGGATATGTTCATGTTCTGATCTTGGGAACCTGTGAATGTTACCTTATTTGGAGAAAGGGTCTTTGTAGATGTAATTAAGTGAAGGATTTTTTAGATAAGGTGATCATCCTGGATTATCTATAAAGGCCCTAAATCCAATCACAAGTGCTTTTATAAAGGTGAGACAGTGAGATATTTGACACAGAACAGGAGGAGCCAATGTGACCCTGGCGGCAGAAATTAGAATATGGTCCCAGCCAAGGAATGCCAGCAGCTACCAGAATCTGAAAGAGGCACAAAAAGGATTTTCTGCTAGAGCCTCCAGAGGAAGTGTGGCCCTGGCAACACCTTGATTTGAGATTTCTTACCACCAGAACTGTAAAAGAATAAATTTCTGCAAATTTAAGCCATGCAGTTTGTAGTACTTTATTAAAGAAGTTACAGGAAACTAATAGAGAGACCAAAAGGTGGTGACTATCACTATTATTATCATTAATAGAATACAAATCCACCAGGATATAAAATGTATACATTACATTTCAGGTTCCTTTTTATGCCATAAATATAAATAGCAAGATTCACCTATATCATTCATTCATTAATTTATTCACATATAAATATTTATGGTTTGATCCTTTTCTATGTGCTAAGTACTGTGCTTAAGACCTTGAATATATTATCTACTTGAATATTCACAGTAACATTCTTAGGGAGAAATAATTATTACAGCTTTGCAGATGACTTGAAAGAGACTTACAAGTATTAAGTAATTTGTTCAATCATGAGGAAGTGACTGAGGCAAGATTTAAACCAGATTTTTCTGAACCTAAAGTCTATACCCTTAACCCTGATGATCCACAACCATATGATTTTAAAACATGCAGCCAAAATTAGGTATGTGACAACATAAACAGTATTTGTTTTAATGACTCTTCTTTTGCCAAAGTCCAAAGTTAGATGTCAATTAAAGGCATATTCTTAAACATTCTTACATTGGATAAAACAAATAGACTTCATTTCACTATTTTTATTAATGGAACTAAGTTGCATAGTCCCATTCCTATGATAAATATTATTTATCTAAAACTTCAAGCTTAGAATTTAAAAATAATATAGGATTTCACTCTAATAGTTTCTATTAGTGAAACAAGAGAGCTCCCTGACGCCCTTTGCAGGATGTGCAACAGGGGTGTGGCTTGTGTGTTCAGCTGCTATGCACTCAAACCCTTTACAGAAGGGGGAGCATGCAGATGGGTAGGTGCAGGAGCTTGGGCAAGCACTTTGGGGCTCCAATCCCACAGTAGCATCTAGGGGTGGGTGTCTCCAACTCCTGAAGCCAAAGTTGGCATGGCATGTGTTACAGTGCACTCCTTTAGCTTTGCCATCTGCAGATGGCTTAAGTGTTAACCAACTCAGTGCCCTCTTGGTACCCAGGTCCTTGTCTGATGTTCAGTAAGAATCAGGTCATACACGGACTTGAAGGATAAATGCAGGGGTTTTATTGAGTGGTGGAGGTAGCTCTCAGTGCGATGGATGGGGAGCTGGAAAGGGAATGGAGTGGGAAGATGATCTTCTGGAGTTTGGCTATCCAGCAGCCAATCTCTCTTTGACCGCCCCCAGCCAAACTCTTCTTGGCATTTGGATGTTCCTTCTCTTCTCTCTGCTGTGCTGTTCTGCCATTCTTCTACTCTTCTGTTCGTCTCTGCCTTGTGTGCTTCTGGAACCTGGGATCTGGGGTTTATATGAGTACAAGATGGGGGGGCATGGTGGGCCAAAAGGCAACTTTTGGGTGCAAAAACAGAAATGCCTGTTCCCATTTAGGGTCATGGGTTTTCAGGCTTGAGTGTGGGGCCTTTGCAGGGGAACTGCCCTCTTCTACACAGTATTTTCCTGTCTCATTTCCATATAATTAATAGCAGTTTAATTGCAAAGATATACTTGAATCAAAGTAATAATAGGATTCCACCAAGGTAAAGAGAGGAGAATTTGAGCTTCCACTCAGAAATACAACTCTATTCTATAGGAAAATAATTTTGTCATCGACTGCCTTAATCTTTACTTGGATTACCTTAATTACATTTTGTTAATTCTACTCTCAGTTTCTTCAGAGACTGACAGGCACAGTTTTGTTATCATATTTTATTTAAGTGGATCAGATTTGTAGACAACTTGGTTTCAAAAACATCAACAGGATTATCTTCTGTATCAAATAAAGGATGGTAATCTGTTTTTAAAGCTTATAACAGAATAGTTCTGAAAGCAGTAATGGAGTCTAGGAAGAGATGAGGTAGAGACGGCAAAAGGCCATTGATTGCCCAGAAGTTTTCTTCCAAAATCTTAGACCTTACACAAATATACAAATACCATTTACCTAAAATAATTGCATTACTTTAGCCTGAGCTATATTTAAGCTAGGTCATTTGTTAGTTTGCTTATTTGTTTTAAGATCAGTGTTTCGTAAGTAAAATCATGTTTATGCTAAGACAAAAACTAAATCCACCCTACTAATACAGAGCTGCAAATACCTACAAAGCCACTTTTGTCTTACTTTTTCAGGAAATAACAGATATAAAAGAGACTATTTGTATGGCATAAGCCTCATATTTATCAGAGCTTAGTCATGGATGTCTGCCAATTTGGTGCTGTGAAAGAGCACTGGACTGAATTGGGAGACGTAGGTGCTAATCCTCTTTCATTACTAATTGTAGGAACCTCAGATAGTCACTTTTCTCCCTGGGTTTTAGTTTTTTATTACAAAGACAGTGAATATGGCAAGATGCCCCTAAAGTCCGTTCTAACTTTAGAAGTTTACCATTTCAATCCCAAAAGAAAGGAATTAGGTGTAATATTTTTATTTTGTTTCATCCAAGATCAAATGATACTCATTTACAGTGCAACTTCTAAGAGGCTCCATTAGCTTCATATTGTTTCACAGAACTTCAGGCTTTGCCTTACATAGATATTTTATAAAATTATGGGCTTACCATATATTTTGGAGGTTGAATTGCAAGATTTTATGGTGATATGAATACGGAAATAAAGGAGAAAAAAGTGTTAAAGATGAAATGCTTCTTCCTGGCATAAACCACTGGGTGGTTGCTAAAATCAGAAATACTGGAAGAAAACTAGATTGGAAGGAAAGGTCAAAAATTTCATTTTGAACAACTCTAATCTGGGGTGCTTCTAAGAATCAAATGTGTATGTAGGTAAATATTCAAGTTTGGAGTTTAGAAGAGAGGCCGGGAAGGGAGATATGAATATGAAAGTAATTAGCATATAAATGGTATTTCAAACCAGATGTACAGATGAGATTGTTGAAGGAGAGAGTATAGATTGTGAAGATGAGGGCTTGGAGAATAAGCCCTAAGAAACTCCCACATTTAGAGTTCTAGGATAGGAAAAGTGAAATAGCAAAGGACCAGAGAAATAGCCCTGAAAGCAGGAGAAAATGGGGATCATGTGGTGGAATAGAAGCCATTGCCAAGAAAGTGTTCAGCAAGAAAGAAGAAGCCAACTGTACTGAATGCCTATGAAAAGACGAGGTCAAGATGGACTAGTAAATTTATTCCGTCACATACTTCTGATTCAAGCACATGCACAGATAAAATACAAAATGGAAATCAATTACACAATCATGCTCACAAACAAGGTAAACAAATATTTCTATGTACATAAATGGAAGACAACACAAAGTGTTAAGTGGGACTAAAGCTATGAATAGGCAACTGGGCTAAAGCCTAAGAGTGTTTATATAAAATGGTCTAAGGGTTTAGGAGGCTGGGGTGGGCTTGAAAGATATTACTGATTATCATTGTTTGGGGCTGTGGCTCATATCAAGCATTTAATCTAGGGTTGTAAAAGCATACAGACATCGTCATGTGACTAAGACCTAAACTGATATCTTACTATGGGGCGTATATCCCAGTCTACCCTGTAAAATCTGGTTCCGGGCTGACTTTCGAGAACTAGGTAGACCTCTAAATATTGCAGTGGTCCAGGGCTCAGTCTTCCAACCTCTCTCCCATTACATTGACTCTTCAGTGATATAGTCCATGCTTATTTTTTAAAATACCATCCACATCCTGATGACCCCTAAGTTTACATTTTTAGCTTGGACCTCTCCTTTGACCTTCAGATTCACACATCAAGTTGATATCTCCACTTGGATGTTCCAAAAACATAAGTCACAATTTTACTCCCCACACCTTGCTCCTCTCATAGTCTTCCCCACTCCAGTTAATGACAACTTTATCCTTTCCATTTCTGAGACTAAAAACTTTGGTGTAATTCTGGGCACTTGTTTCTCATCTCACATGCAAATCTCGGCAAATCTTGACAACTTCACCTTCAAAACGTATCTAAAATGTGACCACCTCTCATTAGCTCCACAATTACAATGGCTCAAGATGCCATTATCTCATACCTGAATTACTGAAATTGCTTAATGCCCTCCCCCACTCCCCACCGTTGTACTACTGCTCTGCTGTTGTCTAATCTCAACATGGCGGCTTGGGAGAGCCTTTGAAATATGTCAGCCTTTTCATATCACATCTTGGCTCAAAATGTTTTAAAAAGTTTCTAGATCTCCAGAGTAAACGCCAAAGTCTTTATAATGCACTGCACAAACTGCTGTCTTTCTGACTTCTTTTGGTAAACTCTCCCCTTGCTAACTCCACCCCAGCCTCACTAGATTCCAGTGTTCCTTGAAAACAAACATGCATGCTTCTGTTGCAGAAATTTCATTTGCTTTTCTCTCTGATTAAAATGTTCTTGCCCTAAGGAAACACAGGGCTTGCGCCCTCACTCCCTGTAACCTTTTATCAAACTTACCTTTCAGTGAGATCTTTTCTGATCATTCTATTAAAAATTGTAAACTCTCACAGATGTGCCCTGCCTCTTTTCCTTGCCATGTTTATCTCCACAGCAACTTCTATCATTTGACTTACTAACTGTTATACACATGTATTTCTATACGATCTGTCTCTCCATCACCAGAAAATTTACTTCATGAGAAGGTTATGTGAACCTGATGCAATGGAAGTGTGACGTGTGACTGGCCACTTGAGCTAGATGGATGGCAGTTGTGGCTGCCACACAGAATTTTTCCTGAGGGTCTCCTCTAAATGGTTTCACCAGTTTTGTGGGACACTTAGCAGTGTTTCTGAGTAAGCACTGGCCTTTGCACTTTCAAATCAGACAACTGAGCGTTTCTTCCAGGTTCCATAACCCATCTCCAGGCCTGAGTTAGGAATAATTTCATAGTAGTTGAGTATATACCTGGCGCATGCATTACCTATATCTTGGACATTGAGTCCAGCCTTTCAGTTCAAAATCTCTGTTTACATATAGTAAGTTTTCTATTAGAATTTCCGTTATCATTTCTGGCTTTGGGACAATAGCTATTCCATTCCATTGACATGTTCTCCATGAATCTCCGAGTTGGTCAGAGGTCCAATCCCTTTACCTGTGTGTGACTTCTCAGCTTCCTGGGTTGGTTAATTAGAAATCAGTTTCAGGCCACTTTTCAGTGGCCTCCAAACCCAAAAGTGAATGAATATGTTGGGGAAGGGGCACATGAGTAGCTGTTTATGGAGCCAGGAGGGTCATCTCCCCTTATAAATATTTTCCAAAAGTAGGACCCTTTAAACACAAAATAACATAATACTCTAGAATATTCCTTGTGCTGGCTATGATAAAAATATGTTAATGGAAGCAGTGTGAAAGCAAAAACCAGACAAAGCAGGTAGTCACAGGGCAGGGAACTCTTACAAATTTCCTGTCCCTTCCCATCACCACTGAAGAAGCCTTGCTTTGCCCCAGGGATGGAGGAGGAGGATGTCTTAAGTCACTTGCCCTTGGTAGCTATGCCACAAGTAAAATGTCCTATTACATCTTTATCCCTTTTCTTTCTTCATCTAGAAGGACTTTCTTCCTTGTATTTCCTAATAAAATCCTACTAATTCTCCAAAAAAACCATTTAAATGCCTTAAACCTTCCTTAATATCCCCAGATCCAAGTTGCCTTTATTTCTTCTGAGTTCAAATATTCCTTGTCCTTCTTTGTTAATACATTTTATTTTTATAGGATTTACTATCCTTATCAGACTGTCAATCCCTTCATATCAGGAACCAAGTCCTATCACTTTTGCTCTTAGCAAAACATTTTAAGTAAAGACTTACTACCTACCTATTGAATTGAAACAGAATATAAATTGTTGAGGTATATTGTTGTAATACAATGTATTTCATGGAGGTATAATGTATATTTTTGAGATTTGTCATTATCTCTTTCCAAGTGAAATGAGAGAGCTCCCTGACTCCCCTGACAGGACATGCAACAGAGGCACGGTTTGTGTGTTCAGCTGCCACATACTCAAACCCGTTATGGGAGGGGGAACACACAGATGGGCAGGTGCAGGAGCCAGGGTGAGCGCTTCTGGGCTGTGGCCCCATGGTAGCATCTAGGCGTGGGTGCCTGTGACTCTCAAAGCCCCAGTGGGTGTGTTACAGTGCTCTTTTAGCTCTGTCATTCACAGATGGCTTAAGTGTTAGCCGGCTCAGTGCCCTCTTGCTACCTAAGTTCTTGTCTGGCATCCAGGAAGAATCAAGCCACATGAACAAATTGAAGGATGGTAAATGTGGGGGATTTTATTGCTGGATAGAGGTGGTTCTCAGCGGGATGGATGGGGAGCTGGAAATGGGATGGAGTGGGAAGATGATCTTCACCAGATCAGCCTTCCTGCTGCTGATCTCCTCTCTGAATGCCCCCAGACAAACTCCTCTCGATGTTCAGATACTCCTTTTCTCCTCTCCTTCTCTGCCACACCACTCTGCTACTCTGCTGCTCTTCTGCCCCTCTTATCTTCTGCTCATGGAGCCTGGGGTTTGGGGTTTATATGGGTAGAGAAGAGGGGAATGGGGCGGGCCAAAAGGCAACTTTTAGGCTTGAAAACAAGAATGCCTGTTCCTAATTAGGATCATGGGTTTCCAGGCTTGAGAGTGGAATTACAATGGCTCAAGATGCAATTATCTCATCCTGAATTACTGAAATTGCTTAATGCCCTCCCCCTCTCCCCACTGTTCTACTACCGTTGCTTTTGCCAGGGAACTGTCCTCTTCTACCCAGTATTTCCCTGCCTCCTCTCCATATCACAAGCAAATACCTCCTTGAATTTAGGTGTTTCCATGTGACTTGCATTGGGCAACAAAATGAGAGCAGAAATGGAGGGCGTCCCTTCTGAGTTGAGGCATGTAGAGTGGTGTGTGTCTCCCCACACTCTTCCCCGCTGTGGAAGCCCCTGTAGATGTGGAGGTGCTTTACGAGCCTGGCAGCCTGCAATGCGGAGCCTCCACATGGGGACAGTTGCCTTGGAGAGTTCCTGTAGATGTGGAGGTGCTTTGCGAGCCTGGCAGCCTGCAATGCGGAGCCTCCACAAGAGGACAGTTGCCTTGGAGAGTTGCTGGGTGATGAAATTTTGGAGCTGTTTGTTCCCCAGCGTAATGAAATTTATCTTGAGGTAAAAGAAAATCAAGTTTTAAAAGAGAAAGAGAGAGGCCAGGCACGGTGGCTCATGCCTGTAATCCCAACACTTTGGAAGGCTGAGGCGGGCGGATCATGAGGTCAGGAAATCGAGACCATCCTGGCTAACACGGTGAAACCCCGTCTATACTAAAAATACAAAAGAATTAGCCGGACGTGGTGGCGGGCGCCTGTGGTCCCAGCTACTCAGGAGGCTGAGGCAGGAGAATGACGTGAACCCGGGAAGCGGAGCTTGCAGTGAGCCGACATCGCGCCACTGCACTCCAGCCTGGGTAACAGAGAGAGACTCTGTCTCAAAAAAAAAAAAAAAAAAAAAAAAAATAGAGAGAGAGAGAGCTGAATTCAAATCTTGAGTTTGCCACTTTACAGTAATGTGACTTTTAAGAAATTCAGAAAAATCTTATACCTCAGTTTCTTTGTTTGTAAAATGGAAGCTGCTACTCCCTCTACCTTCCACATGTAACAGAAGGTTATGGAAAATATCATAAGTATTGATCATATAATAGATGCTTAATAAATAGTATCTATTCATCTATCTATAATATCATATCATATATATCTTACATTTATGCACTTTCTGGGTCACCTAGCACAATGCCAAGAAAAAGACCATGGCCTGGGTAAAGTTGGCTGATTAATCTGAATGTTTATAATAGAGTACCTATACACTATACAATGAGAGGCTTAAAGAGGTACTCAAGAGAACATTTCTAAATTAACAAAGAATGCAAATGAAGTCTGGTATAAAGTTGACCCCGACCTTTAAAGTATTCAGAGGGCAATGGGTTCTTAAATAATGAACTGTACTTGAATAATATCTTCAATGTGTTGGTTCCAGCCCTTCAGCATACATTGCATACCAGACCTCCCTGTTCTCACTGCCTTGTTCCTAGATGATTGTTCTGTAATTAACCTTGGAAAACTCCCACCCTTCATTTTTCCTCCTCATGTATCCTTCAGAATATATCATTTAGCCAGTTCAGGGGTTTGGCTTGATTCAGCTTCTGAGGTTTTGATTTCTCAGACTCATTACACACTGGCAACATGCCATGATCATCAACACTAGCCATTTCTATTTAATAGAAAATTATTTATTCTACTTCATAACATTCATGTTTTTTTTTAATTTTTTAACTGCAATTCTGTTTGCCTAAGAAAGATTTGAGATTTAAAAAAAAACTTCTTGTTACAAAATGGTATTTTGTTCTAAACATCTAAATAATTTAAACTCAGTCATAAAGATTTAAAGGATAGTTTGGAAGATGTTTGATATTGTCAGGGAAAGATCATGGGCTTTGGAATGAGAGGAGAATCTGAATTTTAGCTTCTCCACTTGATAGCTCTTTCTTTAGGGTAAATCTGGCTTTTTACAACTTCACTGTCTCACTTCCTTTATCTGTGAAGTTCAGATAATAATAATATTTACATCTTAGATTAGTAAGAATGGATGAAATAATATTAAAAAATCCATGTAAAATCCATAGACGTGCCTACTATAAAGTTAGCACTGGATGAAAATGTGGGTTCCATCACGGAAGTTACAGTTTACTTAGGAGATAAATGGAAACATTTGAAATTGAAGAAGGAGCTCTGTAAAATTTATCTTGAATGAGAGCATCTTTATCCACAGAAAGGGCAATGAAGGACTGATTTCTGTGATAAGAACTTTAGGTGCACCAGCAGGGCATAGGAGAAGAAGGCCAGTGAATGCAGAAGTTGAGAATTTTAGTGCTCAGAGAACCTCAAAGAGAAACAAATGATATGATGCAGGATTTGAGATTTTATCTGAACTCAAAAGTGTAGATACAACTTGGATAGACGAAGACATTAGGTGGGTGGTAGAAGGCACAGCTGAGCTTCTATGTCACGACAACAGAATTTTTTCATATATGGAAAAGAACAAGATGACCAGCTCACTGGAGCTACGAGTTTGCCTTAGGAACCAGCATAAAAATTGGAGAGAAGGATTGCATTCATTTAGGGAGAATCTGAGATCCACAGTTACTTTCACTTTACCTTAAAGGAAATTTGGAGCCATTTTAGGGTAGTAACATGACAAAGCAGTGCTTTAGTATGATTCTCTCTGGCTGCTGTGTTTGCAAGATGATATCAGAAGTAGGACACACTGGGGCAGAACGGCATGTTAAACAGATGATGAGAGTAATACTGATTTGGGAGATGGAGACTTGGAGTAGTGGCAAATGTGAATAGAAGATAAATGGTGACCTCCACAGCCATTCTCAGGAAAACATAGGGTTTGGCAGTAGATTCCTAACAGGAAATTAAGAAGAGGTAATAATTATGAATGACCTAGATGAGTGTTTGTGCATCAGACTCAGAAAGTCCATCCCACTCATCAAAGAATCTTTGAAAACTCCCTATTGTGAAGCATTCATTGAACTTTGCATGATGAATTAGAACAAAGTTGTATGTTATTATATTTTAAGGTGGCCTTTGTGTTGACTAGTTTATTGGGAGAGACAAAGTATCAATACCAGTCTGCTTTGCTTGGTATCTAATAGACCTATGGGCTCAAAATGGAAAGATGTGGATATCTTGTATTTTATTTGTTTACTCACTTTTGCGTGATGGAGCTAGAGACTCCGAAGGCAACCTGGACAAGTTCTTACTCTGCTCTAAATGTGGAGATGGCTTCTGTTTCAAGAAAGGGCTTGTTCCATTATATCAATTATCATATAACCTGAAAACTCCTCATGTGGTTGGCTTTCACCACCTGTGCATGTCTGACCCTAATCTTTTCCTTTTATCCATGGTGGTCCATGCATGGACTCCTCTTTTGTTAAAAACAAGCTCACATTTAGTTAATTCACCACAATGGGAAATTAAAATGCCACAAAGTCAGAGGAAAAAATGAACTAAACTGAAAAATGTGCTAAGTGGGAACAAAATTTAAAGAACTGCATCAAGAGAACAGATCTGGAGAGATCATTTAGTCCATTCAAATAACTTCAGCAAACGTATTGGCTCTCAACCCTGACTGTGTAGGATAATTTTACAGGAACTTCTGATAGATAGCAGTCTCATCCCCAGAGATCCTGTTTAATTATGTATAGAGGGATACCTTGAGATCAGGACATTTTGAAATCTCCCTAGGAAATTGTAAAGTGCAACTAGGGTTGAGATATATTCTTCTGTACCCTGGCCTGGCTGCTCTTTAGGATCAATTGGGGAGTCTGTAAAAAATATGCCCGGTTTCAACTCCCAGAAGATTCTCATGTAAGTGGTCTTGGGCAAAACCTGAGCATTGATGTATTGGAAAGTTCTCCACGTGATTCTTCTGTAAAGCCAGTTTGAGAATCAATGAGCTGAGGAGTAACTCCTAAACATCAAAATCCCCTGAAAAGGATGTTAACACAAAAGATTACTGGATCCCATTTCCACAAACTCTGCTTCAGTAGTTGTGGGTGGAACCAGAGAATTTACATGCCCAACAAGTTCCCAGGTTCGGTTGCTGTTGCCAGTATGGGGACTCCATTTTGAGAACCACTGAAGTAAAACTCATCTATATTAAAAATATCTCCAAAGTAGATTAGTCTTCTTTGTAAATATCCTCCAATACTTTAGCCTCACCTTAATACATCCAATTTATTTCCTTAACAAGGTTTTAGTTATTTGAAGTTGAGATGGTAAGTGAATTCATATGAACACCACTAGTTACCAATTAATTCCTTCACTTTTTATCCCTCTCTCCCCCCAAAAAAGTGATTTTTTTTTGTAATTTCAGTTCAGAAGAAATGTAAGCAAATAACTGCTAACCACTCAAAATTTGATTTTTGACTTCTAAGGGTTAAGGTCCACTGATCCACAGTAATTTAAAAAAATTATATAAACACAAAAGAGTAGGAGGCACGGATAAGACACCATTGTAGGTATCACATAATAAAACTCAAGTTAAGGTCATGTTGACCCATAGTGTTAGAGAATGCCATCTACCAAGCACAAAGGAAAACAAATTGTCACATTTTTTTTTCTGTCAGTGGTTGTAAATGAAAGAAGATATTTTGAGGAACAGGATTAATAAAACATTAAAATAACTAGGAAAAAAGGCTGGTAATTAAGCATGTACTGTAATTCCAACCCAGCCTGAACAATGGCTCTTCTCTTCTGATTCTGCTTCTTTTTAATTACAGAAATAACAGTTCTTCCTGGATCAGCCCTCTCCCGTCTGTCATCTCCAACAGATACAAAGCCAGCTTTAAGAAGACCAAACCTACAAAAATCATTCATGCTTTCTGCCTCCATGTTTTTCTTTCCAACCTAGTTCCTCCAGAAAATGTAAAAGAGCAACCGAACCGTCAACTGGTACAATGACTTCTACACATCAGACCTCGGCCACGCCACAGTCATCAGATTATTCTATCACAGGGTCTCTCAACCGTGGAATATGGTCTCCAAGGGAAACAAGCCACAGAGGGCTCAGGAGCATTGCTATAAAGAGTAGGCAAATGGAAATCTTTCCCCAAAGGGCACACTGGGATTGTTAGGCGAGGGCTGCTCAATCCATTAAAAGTTTAAACTCGAAAAAAAAAAAGAAAAAAAAAACCTTTTGAAAAAATACAGAAAGCAACCTGTTCTAGATTTTGTGTATAAAAGAGAGTTTATTCAGGGGACTGAAATGTTGACAGTGAATCAACTGGGAGGATATTTTCAATCAGAACCGTCTGACTGACAGCTTTCATATTATTAATGCACATACTAGGAGACATCAAATTTGAAGGGCAGGCATTGTGCTAAGTCAGACTTCTACCTTAAAATGCATTACATTTTGTCTGTAAATCAAGGTCAGTTATTAAATTAAGGTGCTCTCATCCCTAAATACTTTATTCCATCATCGTGTGTAATTAATCACAAACCCCTTACTTGGGGTTCTTTAGAAAGTGATGAGCAAAACCCATAAAAAATTAAGAGAAAAAATAACAGGTATCTTTTAAAAAACAGGGAATAAGTGCAAGGAAATTTAAGTATAAGTAAAAAAATTTGCACGATTCTTTAAATAGATAATAGATATAATAATAATAATTTTGCAGCCCTACAATTCCACAGCATATTAATCTTTTCAAATCTGTTATTTTTCACCATTAAAACAATCATGTAAAACAGGTGGAGTACTTCAATATTCCAATTTCACAGATGCATACACTGAGTCAAGGAAAAGTTAAGTATCTATTAAGTCATCCAGCTTACTGGATATGGAACTGAGACTTGAAAGCATATCTTCTAAATCCGACCTCTTCTCTAAAGATAGTGTCACCTTTCTCCAAAGATAGTGTCAGGACATAGAAAGCAGAAGTTAAACTGTATGCGCTATTCTGCCTTCCATACTTATTTTTCCCAAGAAGTAATTTAAAAAACACATTGGAGATAATGCTTGTGAAGCACTTTGCTAAATGCTAAATTGTCCGAACACTTTGGAAAAAAGTGGCAGTTTCTTAAAAAATTAACAAAGAATTACCATATGACCCAGCAATTCCACTCCTAGCCATGTACTGAGGAGAACTGAAAATATATGTCCATGTAAAAACTTAGAGTTAAATATTTGTAGCAGCTTTATTTAAAATAGCCAAAAAGTGGAAACAACCCCCCAAAAATGTGCCTCAGTGATGGATGTATAAATAAAACATGTTGTATACATAACAATGAAATATTATTTAGCCACAAAAAGAAATGAAGTTTCTTTTTATATTAGTTGGCCATAAAAAGAAATAAAGAGTTTTTTGTTTTGTTTTGTTTTGTTTTTTTGTAGCATGTACTGACCTGGAAAACCTCATGCTAAGTGAAAGAAGGCAGTTACAAAGGACCACATATTTTTGATACCATTTATATAACATGTCTAGAACAGGCAAATCTAGAGAGATGGAAAGTAGGTTAGTGGTTGGCTAGTACTAGAGTAAGCAAGCAGGGATTGGAGGGTATTGGCTAAGGAATACAGGGTTTCTTTCTGTGGTGCTTTTCTTAAAAAGTTCTAAAATTGATTGTTGTGTTGTTTGCACAATGCTGTGAATATCCTAAAAGCTACTGAATGATACACTTTAAATGGGTGAATTATATGGTAGGTAGATTATGTCTCAATAAAACTGTTAAAAAACACAAAAGCATACTCTGTTTCAAATGTTGCCTAAGATCATCTCTGCATTCAAAAGAGGTAAAAGAAACCCTCTTTCTTTACTTCCTTTACTTTTTCTTCTATTAGTCTTCCCAGTTTTTAGGATCCAGAACTCAAGTTCTTGTGATAAGTTATTTGCAAAGTACGAAGGAGTTTGCTCCACTTTGATTTGCCTGAGATCTAAACCCAGATGTAGTATTTTGATGGGCATTCTGAGTTTTCAACATCTTACTGACAGGAAGACTGGCTGGAAGGACACAATCCTTCTGTACAAAGGACACTGAGTATTCTTTAATCTTGTATCTGTTTTTGTTTCTGTCTCTTACCTGGATTCTTGTGTTGCATTATCCACACTTACACATAACAATTCATAACACTTCAACTCCAAGCCATTAGATTGGGGAGGGTTAAAAAACCCTGTAGCCAGGCATGATGCCTCAGGCCTGTTATCTCAGCATTTTGGGAGGCCGAGGTGGGAGGATGGCTTGTGGTCAGGAGTTCAAGACCAGCCAGAGCAATGTAGTCAGATCCTGTCTCTACAAGAAAATCAAAAAACTAGCCAGCCATGTCACCATATGCCTGTAGTCCCAGCTACTCAAGAGGCTGAGGTGGGAGGATCGCTTGAGCCCAGGAAGTTGAGGCTGCATGAATTATGATTAAAGGACTGCACCCCAGCCTGGGCACACAGCAAAATGCTGCTTCTAAAAAAAAATTTTAAAAATGAATAAAGAAAGAAAAATTTAAAAATAAACACTGTAACCACTATTACTTACTTGACTTCCCAGCTTTCCTTTTTCTAGCTTTTAGAGAAATGGCTCTTAGTATCTCTGCAAACCACCTACCTAATCACTAGCTTAATCTGATATAATAAAATAAAATTTACATAAAATCATTCCCATAGTAACTACCTACACAATTAGATACAATAGTTCTCTAATTTTAAGAGGTAACTGTTCTCTTTTCAGGTGCAAAGTTAACCTAAAACACAGCACAATGTTTTTTTAAAAAATACATTAGTCAAATCTAAGCAGGCATATTAAACAATAAAAGGAGGTGATTTCATCACATGCACAAGGCTGAAAACTTTTTTCTCACTTAATTATTTAAAGATTGTGAACTCTTTGATGTAAGAATGTGTTTTTTAATTCATTTTTATGCCTTTACATTTCTTGAATATCTTGAATATTTCCTACTATATAATGGGTGCTTAATGTGAATGAATGAATAAACAAATGAGTGAATGAAAGTCTGAATTAGTCACATCTGTTTTTAGCAGACTGGAATCAAAGAGCCCTGAACCCAAGACATGATTTTTTCAATTACTATTTTTGTATGCACGTGTAATTTGATATCGGTTAGACTTAGTTTTCTCATCAGCTACATGGGGTTGCTGATGTGTTGTGAGCATAAATAACGGTGTGAACCCAGAAAATCTGAGACAGGTCACAGTTAATTTAGAAAGTTTATTTTGCCAAGGTTGATGACGTGCCTATGACACAGCCTTGGGAAATCCTGACAACATGTGCCCAAGGTGGTCGGAGCACAGCCTGGTTTTGTACATTTTAGGGAGACAAGAGACATCAATCAATATATGTAAGAAGTACATTGGTTCGGCCTCGAAAGGTGGGACAACTTGAAGCAAAGGCAGGAAGACTGGAAGTGGGGAGGGAGCTTCCAGGTCACAGATGAGAGACACAAAAGAATAGGTTGCATTCTTTTGACTTTCTGATTAGCCTTTACAAAGGAGGCAATCAGATAGGCATCCATGTCAGTGAGCAGACAGATAATTCTGAATAGAATGAGAGGCAGGTTTGCCCTAAGCAGTTTCCAGTTTGAGTTTTCCTTAGTGATTTTGGGGGCCCAAGATATTTTCCTTTCACAACAGCATATAGTTTCTAAAAAACAGGTAGCATTGAAAACATGTGAACTATTAGCTTACAGGCATTACTTTATGTAATAATCAGGTTGGTCACAGAAAAAGTCAGAATTTATAGATAATCAGGAGAAGAAAGGGTAAAAGAGGATGAAACCAAAGCAAATTTACTAGCTGAATATGATTGTGATCAGCCTGATGATTTTGAAAAACTACGAGGAAAGAATCCCAAATTTGTTGCAAATCATCATTATGGTTTGTTGCAAATCATGTCCTCCACTCTGTGAAGCAGACATTTTTCTTACTGTCCTGAAAACTTTGATGGTGGGGACTTGTAAAGAAATAAATTATGACTTAAAGAAAGGTCAAGAATAATCTATTCCAGCTGTGGCTTGAGGAAGCTAATTTGAATTTAAAAGAAAGCAAAGATCCTTTTTTATTTCCCTCTTTCCACTCAAGATTTTTAATATTGTGGACTCCTAACAGATATAATTTCATGGCATCAATAGAGGACTCAAAAGGAATATTCAAATGGTGGAAAATCTACGAATAGTTTGGAGAAGAATCCCAGATACATTTACTGAAAAAGTAAATTATGTACAGTAGCTGTCAGGCCCAGACAAAGGTTGTTCTTGTTAAATATAGTGAACTCCAAGTTTCTCTTCAGAGAATCAGTATGTCAGTATGCTCAGCTCTCTTATTATCTGTTCTCCATTTTAAAGTTTAACTTCCTGATTCTCTTTGCCCCCTTGCCTCTAGTTTCTGTAAACAACTTTCCCACCAGTTCTAATCGGTAGTTCACATCTGTTCCCCTGGTCACCTGCTTTGACCTGAGTCACCCCTGTCACCTGCTCCATCCTGACTCATCCTGAGTCACCTGTTCTGTAACCGTTCTTCCTGCCAAACTACTCACCCCACCACTCCAACTCATACCTCTGCTCTCTTTAAAGCAGCCAACTGGAATTAGCTTAGACTGTGTGGTCCAACCGTAGCCAATAGAGGAATGATGCAGCAGTAGGGGCTACCTGCATCAGGAATAAAAACCCCTTTTTTTTCCCTCCCTTGTTCAGGTGTGCTCTTGCCATTGCTCCACCTGCAAGATGCACCCTTCTATAGAAGTAAAATTGCCTTGCTGAGAAAATTTATACTTGAGTGCTATTCTTTCATTTTTGCGGCACTGAAAAATTTGCTTCTAACATTCTTCTCCCAACATGGCATCCAAACCGTTCCCTGCTGTGCTGCCTCATTCAACCTCTTCCCATTGTGGTCACTTGTGATTTTTGGCTAGCACATAGTTTCATTTTATTGTCTAATAGCCCGCCAGAGTTCACTGAAATCCTGCTACCTGGGAGTGTATACTTGGCTAGCAAGTAATGGAGAAGACATGGTCTCATTTCCCACAAGACCGTAAAATCTGCTGTAGAAAATTCATCCTTCTTTCTACCACTCATTATTTTTTATAATCTTATTTCATCACTGAAGCTTTGGGAATTTAGTAGAATGCTCTCTTAACCTCAAATTGTTGCTACTTTTCAACTATTTTGGTGAGATAAAACTTTTCAGTTATATAATAGCTGATTTTCCTGAAATTTTTTCTTGACATGGAAAGAATTTTATTAAAGATTATATGAAATAAACATATTTGACCAGCTCCCAACTACTCTGGTCAGATAAGCTTTCTTTTGGGCTCATATTGTTTAAAACTTCTGCCAAATGTTCAGAATACTTCTTTTTAAAAGAGTTTTGTGAAAGACAGGTTATTTGGCAAAGTAATACTACTAAAAGATGTGAGAATAAAGCTATGTATTCTCCAAAAATACTCACATTTTAATGTGAGATTAGACTTGGCAAAGTCCATTTTGTTGATTTATTATTCTGAGACAAATCTTCAAATATTTACTATATATTATGCTATTTGCAAGTTAATTTCATATTCTTAGAATTATTAATACATATGAATTTAGCAAAATTTTAATTTCATGCTGTGTCATTTTATACAGGGTTAGGCATCCCTAATCAGACTATATGTGTAAGGTGTATATGGAACATAAATGAATTTTGTGTTTAGACTTAGGTCTCATCTCCAAGATACCTCACTATGCATATGCAAATATCTCTTAATCTAAAAATATCCTAAATCCAAAACATTTCTGGTCCTAAGCATGGTAGATAAAGGATACTCAATCTATAATTGATATTTCATATTGAAACAAGTTTATCTACTGGAAAGTTGAAGAAAGATTGAGATTTCTTTTTTTTTTCTAGTCTCTTTCTTCTAAGATAACATTCACCAAGATAGATAATATACAGAGCCATAAAAAGCCTTAATATTTCAAATCATTGAAACCATATGGAGTATGATTTCTAACTACAACAAAATCAATCTAGAAATCTAGATGAAAAGATATTTTAAACATTCCTAAACTTTTGGAGCCCTAAAAACACACCACCAGGTAAGCCATGAATCAAAGGAGAAATAACAAGTTAACTACAAAGAATAAATTGAATATAAATGACAATGAAACATATTAAAATTTAATGCATACAGTTAAAGTATTGCTTGGAGTTTTTGCTACAACTTTTAGAAGAAATACGGAGCAAAACATTTATATGATTGGATAGGCAAAAATTTTTAGGACAAAAAATGAGTCTTAAAAGAAAAAATGATGAATTAGATTTCATTTAAATTAAAAACTTACAGTCTTTGCAAGACACCATTTAGAAATTAAAAGGCAAGCCACAGATTGGGAGAAAATATTGACAATACTTATTTCTGACAAATAATTTATAACCAGAATACATTAAGAACTCCTACAACTCAATAAGGCAAACAACTTTTAACACAGCCAGAAGATTTGAACAGAAGGCTCACAAAAGAAAATGTACAAATGAACAATAACATAAAAAGTTGCTTAACATCATTAGTCATCAGGAAAAGGCAAATAATTGAAATAATAGGTGGTGCAGAGTGTCGTTGAAGATACAAAGCAACTGAAAATATTCTTGCTACTATTGGGAAAAGTAAAATTTTGCAACCACTTGGGAAAAAATTTGGCAGGTTCTTTTTATGAGCTTAAACATTCACTTATACAACTCAGCAATTCTACTCTTAGGTATTTACCCAAGAGAAATGAAAACATATATTCACATGAAGACTTATGCATGAATATTCATAGGAATTGTGGTCATAATAGGAAAAAACTAGAAACCAACAGTCTATCAAGAGATAAATATAGAAATAAATTGTGGTCTATCCATACAATGAAATACTTCTTGGAAACAAAAAAACCACAAATCTGTAATATATACTACAACATAAGTGAACATCAAAAACATGCTGAGAAAAAGAAGCAGACCTAAAGGAATAGGTACTGTATGATTTCATTTATATGCAACTCTACAAAAGGGAAAACAATTTATAAAGATAGAAAGTATATTGGGCCAGGCACGGTGGCTCATGCCTGTAATTCCAGCACTTTGGGAGGCTGAGGCAGGTGGATCACTTGAAGTCAGGAGTTCAAGACAAGCCTGGCCAACATGGCAAAACTATTTCTCCACTAAAAATACAAAAATTAGACAGTCATAGTGGCGGGTGCCTTTAGTCACAGCTACCCAGGAGGCTAAGGCCAGAGAATCGCTAGAACCCAGGAGGAGGAGGTTGTAGTGAGCCGAGATGGTACCACTGCACTCCAACCCAGGCGACAGAGCGAGACTCCATCTCAAAAAAAAAAAAAGAGAGAGAGAGAGAAAGAAAGCATATTGGTGACTGCCAAGGGCCAAGGATAAGGGTGTAAAGTTGAGTTCCTAGGAAAATGAAGGAACTTTTTGCTTTGGTGGTGGTTACTTGCTGTACACATTTATCAAAAACCATTGAACTATATACACTTAAAAGTGGTGCATTTTATTATATGAAAATTATGCCTCAATTAAGTTGATTTTTTTTCAAAGCTGACAAAAAAACCACCAAGATCGGCTTTGTATTTATGAAATAAAGTTTTAGGATTTTCCCTTTTTTAAAATTTTTTTCTTCTCATTCCTATTGTTTTTAATGTGCAAGTATTTCTTCTATAGCAGAAAAATATCAATATTCTTAAAAGCTCTTATACAAATTTCCATGCAGGTTTGCTCTCTTGTATTTCATCCTGCCTTGTTACTTCTTTGCTTTTTAAAAAGACTGGAGTACTAAGGGAGTATTAAAAAGGATATCTCACTTATTCCTCAATTTTCAGGCCACATCGTTTTAAAGTAGAATATTCCTCTCACACAGGTCTTCTACATCTTTTATTTGCTAGAAAATTATGTGGGTTGAAGAGCTCAGCAAAGCTATTGTTTATGATCACTCTGCTGCCTCATCTCGAACTTTATGTAGTAAAAGTTTAGCTTCTGAAGAACATAAGGAAGAGTGTTTCATTTAGCATTTCCAGGGTACTACTGCCGACTCTTCCTTGTTCTCTGGTCTTAAAGACACCTTAGCAAAGTTAACATTGGAGACTCCCAGTTTCTACAGGCAGTTTGATTAAGGAGGTTGTTGAAATGGTACCAGGGGTACGTTTGTGTACACTCATTTAAAAAGTAAAAAGGAATACCCTGGCACAAGGCCATGTTGCCCTCTACTACTTAGTAAAATTAATTAAATTGGCCTATTCCTAGGAGAGGTTTTCTGCTTGAGTTTGAATAGTTAGTGCAGGTAAGGTTTACAAAACTCTGTTTGGATAGGTGTTCAATTAGATTTTCCAATTTAGGCTGTGCTGAGCTGATATACATTTTTGAGCCATTCGGTGCATTTTGATTTTCTAATTTTCTGGGTCATGTTTTCTAGCACTACAGAGGCTAAAAGAACATACTTGATGAATGAGTGAAATCAAAAAGGAAACAAAGCATTTCTAATACATGGAGAGAACCCAAAGAAAATATTCACAGGCCTCTTCATTTATCTTTTAGTGGCAATTCTTACTATTGTCATTCATTCACTTACTCATTCTTATGTGATCTGTTATTTTTTTCATTTATTCTGTCATTTGTTTATTGAGTCCATACTAAGTACCCAGGCCTCAAAGATGCAATGATAATAACAGCTACCATTTTCAGAACATCTTAGGTTTGAGGCATTGTACGTACTTCGTTTCTAATGTTAAAATTATTTTTGAAAACAAGGTCTAATTATCATTTTTCTAGATGAAGGCAATGAAACTGAACCAGGATTTGAACTCAAATATCATCAATGGAAAAACTCAGACCCATTTCACAAAACCACCTTGGCTTCCAAGTCATATTCTAGAGATAAACCGAAAAGGTTTAATAGTAATCAAGAGAGCATGCAAAGCTGGAGAAAGCACAAGTCTAGGAGGTAAGAATTCGAATCCTATCCTTGACAAACTAGACTTGGGATCTTGGAGAGACACTTTATCTATGGGAGATGGATGTATAAATCTATAAAACAGGAAGCGCATTAAGTTATTTTTTATGGTTGCTTCTCTTCCAATGGTAAACATTTCTAATTCTGTCAGTTTTGCCTTGAAAATTATAAAGAGTTGACTTGAAATTTCAGTTTTTAGAGATTTTGTGATTTTAAAAATTATTCTGTTTTCTGCTTTCTCTCCTTTCTAACTAGCTCATCAGTTAAGCTCCAAAATGATAAAAAGAGGTATTGGGTACTTAATTTTTGGGGAAACCAGATATTGAACTATCAACTGATTCCAAATTATGTCAAGCAACTTGTGAGCTGGTGGCTCTTAAGCTCTAGTTTCTCACATTCTTTTTGGCATTGGTCCTCGAACATGACAACATAACGATGTTCTCAATTTGGTGATTTTTTAAATATTTTAATCTTAATGAATGAATACAGAATAAGTTGTGTTTGCTGAGCTCAAATCTCACCAAGTGTGAGAAAACTATATTTCAGTTGTATGTCCTGTTACACAATGTTCTTGGAACTTCTCATATGTCATTCTGTCTGTTCATGTGCAATCTGATAACTAACTGCAATTAGCAAACGAAATATTTATATATGCTGCCACATAGTCAGTCCATATGTGCAAAATATTGCAAGTTCCTCAGTAGCATTTAGTATCACCCGTTGTTATGTTAGTTTCTTGAAATAGACCTTATGGTGCCTTACAAAGTATGTCCAAAACACATGCAATTTTCTTGCTTTGCATGTTTATAGTAGAGCTGAAGTCAGCCTCGGTGAGGTTTGTTCTCTAACAAAATTCAGCAC
The DNA here is from genome assembly GCF_000001405.40 of Homo sapiens. Classification (NCBI taxonomy): domain Eukaryota; kingdom Metazoa; phylum Chordata; class Mammalia; order Primates; family Hominidae; genus Homo; species Homo sapiens. The sequence goes on along the minus strand of NC_000021.9, from coordinate 15,360,848 downwards.
CACCAACACAGAGTTATCTTCTGTGTTACTCATATCCTTAACTTGTAAGTTACTCCATGTCCCACAGAGCAGTACATCCACATGGCCCAACCAGTTACTATTTTATTTTAAAGAATTTCTAGTCATTGCCCCAACAGAAATAATTGAAGGTCACACTGAGAATCTCAAAAAGGAAATTTAAACCTTGAACAGAGACACATTCTCTATAATCAGCACATGAACAACAGGAAGAGTTTGTTGACTTTTTAAAAACTCTTCCTGAAAGTGGAAATTCATAAATGGAAAGAAAACATCCAGCCTGGGCGACAGAGCGAGACTCCGTCTCAAAAAAAAAAAAAAAAAAAAAAAGAAAACATGCATTGGATTGACTTCTGAATTAAATTAAAGGACATTCAACAGTTGAAAGAATACTCCGTAAAGTATCGGTATTTGTAGGCTTTCTCCCCTCCTAAGTCTGATCACATTACATTGAGTAGTGGAGAGTGTAAGGAACTGAGATTCCACCTGCAACCTTAGGTTTGTGTATAACCTTATTTATTAAAAAGGTTCAAGCGATCCCAAGTAAATCACAACACAAAACAGCGAGGGAGAGGGAATGCAGAAGAGACGGAGAAGAGGGAGAGGTGAAGGAGAACATGAGGTGATTGACGTGCCCCTTGTGAGGGGCTACTGAACTAATGATACAGCCAATCGAAACTGCTGAAATGTGGTGAGCAGAGAAAGGTCCTGGTTATTAGACCAATATAAATAAGAATGCATCTAAACACAGCTAAGATCTAGTTCCAGGGGATATTGATGCCATTAATTTATGACCTGTATGTTTTTTATAATACAAACCTTGTTAATAATGCAGTCTCTTGAAACGTACAATTCCACAGCTCTTAAGAACAACCTTGAAAAAGAAGGTACTTTATGTTACAATAATGGCATCATGTCACTACAGTTTGAAGGAGGGAGGGATGCATTATTTCCTGTCTTTTTATATTGTAAGAGATTTGTGGTGGGATGGTTTAAGAGGCTTCTGCTGTCTCAAACTGTTCCCTTCAAGTGCTGACCATGAACTGGGCTCAGAGATGATTTGGACACTTAACATTCTCAAGGACAAAAATTTCTCCCTATGTGGCAGAGAGAGCAAGATGGGAAGAAAAGATTATTTTATCATTCTGTTTTACTGCCACCAAGGCAAACTTAGAGATGGGGGAAAGACTGAAAAACAGAGACTCCAATACTGAGCTTGCAGTGCCTAATTGCATACCATATAAATTAATGGCATAAATGCCTACAAAGGAATAAAAATACACAGTGCTATTTAAGCAATGGTTTAAACAAATACAGCATATTTTCAGTTAGAAATGCTAACTTGGCCACTCACTGCCAAATCTCTTTGCAAGGCCTGCCGGCCACACGGTTTCCCCCACCGTGACAGATTGGACTTAATTGAAAAGTTTCTAGTTTAGAGCTGTCACTGAAAACTTGTATCATGAAAGAAAATCGGCCTGGTGATTGTCCTTCAGTCTATTTTTATATAGGCTCTTCATCCTGGTCATCATTTTTTTTAGGAATTAATATGAATATTTCCCAAAGCCATAAAAAATATTTAACCCAGAGGGGAACTATATTTTAAAACGATCAAAGACTCAGAGATCATTACTGCTCCTGATTCTTGTTTCTTGACATCAGTGAACTTTATGTGCCATGTTTATTACATGGGATGCTTTTTAAACAGCCACTTGTAACCTAGTTAGCTTGCTCTCAAAATGAAGTGAAGTGAGCAAACTGGAATAAATAATCTATAGGAGAGGGAGTAACATGAAGGTAAATAAGGAAAAAGGTGGGAAATCAAGGAGTTAATGAGTCTAACTGTCCCAGTTGGTAACACTCACTGCCATATTTCTTTAAGTCCTGTTTCCTAAATTTCTCTCCAATGCCTATTGCTATATGTGACTTAGAGCATCCTCATGGACAAAATCAGTTTCAGTGAGTTGCCATGTAATGATCTATCTTTCACAAAAGTTACCAGGAGTTTTCTGTTGTCCAGAGCTACACTGCAGGCAAGCTTTATGAGTCTTTTCAAAGGAAATAGAAGGCGTGGTTGCTACTCAGAAAGTAAAAACTTAATCGTACCTCAGTAAACATCAGTAAGTAGTTATCACAGTGGCTGTGATCCTAAGGAGCCCCCGTGCCTTGCTACTCAACATTTGCTCACGAATCAGCATCATCAGGATTACCTGGGAGCTTGTTGGAGATGCAGATTATCAGGCCCTGCTTAAATCTGCAATTTAGCAAGATCCTACAGTGATTCAGTATGCTCTCAAAACTCCAGAGGCCTCTCCCCAGTGAATATGTATGGGACACCTGTGTGAATTTCCTTGAAAAATTCTTTAAGTTTAGAAAGTATCCTCTACTTTTCTTATTCTCATTTTTAACCACATAGACCTGCAAAACAGATGGCTACATTTAGAATTTAAGAAAACAGGTCCAGGAAAGGCAGCCTGATTTTTGACATTGGAGTTTCCACCATCCAGGTGCTTAGTCCATTTGGAGACAGGAAACAACACCCAAAGAGTGAGGACTAAGGACGCTGTGGGTTGATGGCAAACTCAATTGCACACAGGTGCAGAGGATACATTAAGTAGCTACTGCGCTGACACATATTAGCATCAGCTATGTAAGCATAATTATTGGTCAAGGGCAGATTGTTGTAAAACAGCTAATAAACAGGAAACATTAACTTCCCTCACACTGGGCCTTTGCAAAACCAATATTAGGCCTATGTGTTCTGTACACGTATTTTCTCTGAAGCCAATTAACCTCTTTATTGGAAAACAAGAGCTTCGTTATTGTTGAACATGGCAGCTAATCCTTCACAGTAGATAACTTTCATTGAGCAAGAGCGGAATAAGTTGTGTTTACTTCACTGACTGACATTCCTATACAATTAAAAGAAAGATTAATTGTTTAATTTCCTCAACACTGGTGCTGGTGAAGGCTAGGAGATCCATAAAACTAAAAACTATAGTTTTTCATTTATCCAAGGCCAAGGGAGCAGTGGAAATTAATTTTGGTATGGTATATATCTTTTTATTATCCTGACCATGTAAGGAAGGTTGAGGACTTGAACATCTTTGCAGAATCAATTTTTATTATATTTCCTCCATATAACTTTGAAGGTTTAGAATGGAACAAGATATGAGCCTGCAGATCTGTCAAGTCATTTTGATGTTTCAGACTTAGACTATTTGGCTGATACAGAGTGCATGGAAGATGCCAACGGAGAAGAATAACAAAAAATATGAGCAATGACCACTTCAGTAGATATAAAATGCTGAAGGTATACTTAATAATAATAACTCGTACCATGACAGTGAGTCCATCTAAACTTACAGGAAGAAATTTCCTGAGCAATAATGGTGCAAACTCATCGACCTTGCTAAATTTACTTGGAAATCAAATATATGAGATTTGCAGTATAGGGCAACAAATCAAGACGATAGGAGCTCCATGGTGTGTGTGTGTGTGTGTGTCTACTGTGGTACTCTTGTTATTTTGCATTGATGTTTCATCAACTGATCCATCCTCTTTGTTTTCTGCAGTCACTTGATTCCCTACCTCTATTGCTCCCCTTTTTCCTCTTTCTTGAACTTTCTTCTCCACATATGCAAGTTAAAGTCTATCCTTCCTTATTTCATTTCTTAGAGTTGAAATCTCTTGTTTCCTTTATTTTTTTAAAGTGACTTCAGTGCCTAAAGTTATAGAGATACAAATATCTAAGACTGGCTTCTAGGTCAGAAACATAATGTGGGCAACCTGTGCAACTTTAAATTGTAATATAAAATTTTTTCTAATAGAAATGTTAGAAAGTAAAACAAATTAATTTGAATAATGTATGTATTTAACCAAATATGTCCAAATTATTATCATTCCAACATGTAATCAAAATAAGAATATGATTGAGATACTTTACATTTTTTTTGTGGGGGATTTGAAATCCTACATATATTTCACACTTCATAGCACATCTCAATTCAGACTAGCCACATTTTAAACGTCTAATAGCCACATGTAGCTAGGGGCTACCATATCATCAGATGACAAATCTTATATCACAAAGGACTGAACGTTTTTTCTTCCATGAATGGAAAATGCCATTTATAAACAGGGAAAGTATACCTTTCTTATTAGACCAAGGGAAGGCCCATCTTCATCAAGGGCAATAACATATACAGGACTTTAGAGTACTCGTTGAACAACTGTCAATTTGAAAACGATTACTTTGATAGGTACTTTTAATCTTATTCTCTCTTGTTAAAAACCTAAACACCTTAACATAACTACATGTTATTTTTCCTCATTCATTTTTGGTTGGGGATAGTATGGAAGAGGACATAGACTTCCTTCTCTGGAAGGGTTCTTGCACATACCTCTTTTCATTTGTAGTCTCCCAGAAAAATCAAAGGACTTGGATAATTCACATTGATAGAATGTAATAATAATTTCATCATTTATGTTGATGTTTTCTATTTTTTATTACAGCTTTGGCTGTCCTTAGCATGTTTTTATAGTCTCTTTAAAATATTTGTGATGACTATACCCCATCCTCTTTCCAAAGCTTTCCTCTGCCTCCTGAGTAGAGATATGTACAGCATGTCTTATCAGTCAGAAAAGCCCACGGGATGTCCTGTCTTTCAAGTACTTTAAAAAAATCTCTTACGTTTGTTCTGCCATTTCTAGCAACCTTTATCAAGGGGAAGAACATAATTCTCAATGTCAACTTTGTGATTCAGATCACAGAGCAAGCTCTAAAATGGGTTTATCAAAGACAGCTCATATTATCTTTTAGGGCACAAGTTAGGAAAACTATAAAGGAATAGAGATGGCCCCAAATTTAAGACAACCTGAAGTATGAAAACCCAAAACGGTTAAAGAGATGCTGTGGAGGGAGTTTCCTCTATAGCTCAAAATGATTTTTCTTTTCACCATTAGGATTGCTTTAAATCAAAATCTCTTCATCTTCCTTACATTTAAGTATTTGTTTATAAATCAATAACTACTTGAAAGACTAAAGAAAAGAGAAAATGAAAGCTGAAGCATTGGGAATCAGTGCCAAATTGAGATTAATAAAAAATGAAGATAAACCATCTTTAAATTTACCGAAAGTCAAGGGGAAAATAAGGTCTACCATTTAAACTTTCAATTGTGCTCATTTTCACCTTAATGTGTGCCTGAAGAAATTATGAAATAAAATTCTACAATTATCTATACTCATTAATGGCCTTCTTAAAACTAATGTCCCTGAGCGTCCCTACACACAACCATGAAATACACACCCAGACAGGCATATTTCCAATTTCGTTCCCAACAACTCCACGATGCCCTTGTGAAATTATAGCCACTGATTAATGTTTATCTGAGGAGTATAACTGTAAGTTTCCAGAGCTGCTGGAAAGCCAATTCTTACCCAAAACAGCTGTGAAACCAGACTGACTTTTAACCTCCCCTGTTGAATACAGGAACTCTTGGCACAATTACAGTGCAAGTAGCACAGAACCTATGGGGTTACCATTATAGAAACAGACTTGGCCAGCAGGAAATGTTTATATCCTGCACGAAACCCTGATGTTTGACATAAAACCGGAGCTGCTCACCATCATTTTATAAAACAAAAGTCTCCCGCTTTGAACTTGCCTCGTGGCCCAAACGAACAAATACTCCCATTTCCTTTCCATCAAATACCTCAATCCCAACTATTTCTTTCGTTGAACCATTTTTGTACTCTGTAGATACAGGAAATAAACAGCCCTGCAGTGCTCTGCCTATAATGGAATAGAAGCCACTTCCACCAAGGAGAACACTCAGTAAGCAACAACAAAGAGAGATAGACTCTGGGTTGGTCCTTCCAATTCCTCAAGCATCTCCTAGGTAAGGCAATTATATTTTAATAAAAATGAACTAGGCTTCATACTACAAAAGCAACACCACCAGATTTCTCTATAACTTACTGAATTTGAGCCTTAGAACTCAAGAGGTAATATCTACATGCTGACTTTCACCAGTTTCTCCTTTATCAAAGATAGACATGTGAAGACAGGGAAATGAAGAAAGCCTGGGTTAAGAGGTTGAGCCGGCTGAACCCAAGGATCTAGAAGAGATAAGTTAAAGCCTTTTTACAACTTCCAGCAGCCCTCGGCAAAGTTACAGCACCAGAAAACCACCTGGTCACCCAGTTTCCTGCCAGTAACTGGACAAAAGAGGGAGGCTAGCGAAACTCCCCAAAGGACTGTTAATTAGTTTAAGGGGCAACCTACACCTGATGCCCTTGATTATTTCTCCTCCCCTGTTAGCAAAAAATTAAAGGGACAGGAAAGACGAAGAGGGCACCGACTATTATCTTTCACTGTGGCTGATAAATGCATCTTTCTCTTTTTTTTTTTTTAAAGCAAATTACTGGTATTGCTGTTTTCTTAGGTGTAACGCAGAGCCTCTCAGAGGTCAGACAATTTTGTTGTGACCTCAGCAGGCTACTATGATTAGACTATATTGGTTTGTTCCTTTCATGTGTTAAGATGACCATGCAAATGCGCGGACTTCTTAACTGCAGAAGGCCAAAAGGAAATCAGGCAGCCAAAAGGAAATTGTGCGTAATCATCCCTCTTCCAAATTTACTTGGATTTCTTAAGCATATATATTTCATATATATGAAAGCCTTTGAGGCAATGTGCGGGGGGGCAGGGTGGAAAGTGGGTTTCAGTGCTGGATCCATTCTGTTATTTGGAGTATCTTATAAATATATTTAATATCTCTGTTTCTTCATCTACAATGAGGGAACAAACATCGCCTTCTCAGGACATTCAGGTATAGTGGGGAAGGGTCCAGGCCACTCTAGACCCGTACCTACACTTCAATATGAGGGAAGGAAACTGCTTCTCATTTGAAATCTTCAAATTCACCATTTTGGTTGTTTCTTCATTCAACTGAGATGATCATCTAAAACAAAATCATGACACTATGTATTAATTTTCCATTGCAGCTGTAACACAGTGCCACAGATGTTGTAGATGGAAACCACAAATTAATTTTCTTGCACTTCTCTAGATTAGACGTGTGACACAGACCAAACAGGGGTAAAATCATAGTGTTAGCAGGGCTGTGTTTCTTCCTGGAGAATCTGTTTCCTTCCATTTTCCAGCTTGTAGAGGCCACCCACAAGCCATGACTCATGGCCCTCTTCCTCTGTCTTCAAAATCAGCAAGATTTCATCTTCCTGACCATAGCCAAGATAGTTCTCTGATTTTTAAGGACCCATGTGATCACATGGAGCTCACCTGGATAATCCAGAATAGTCTTCCTCATCTCAAAGTCCATTACTTGATCACATCAGCAAAGTCTCTTTTGCCCTGTAAGGTAACATATTCATAGGTTCCTGGGAATAGAATGTGGAAATCTTTGGGGATCACTGATCTGTCTATCCTACTCTGGAAAGTAGCAGAATCTTATAAATGCTCATTATTTATTAGAAAAGATCTTTGCAGCCTTGACCCTGTTTTTAGGACACATATGGGCAATTCTAGAACTTTCCACTCTCCTCCAAATAGTTTGCTAGTGTCAAATGTGATAATATCAAGTAAATTGAATAGGAAATAAGATTTAACTGCATCTAATTTTTTGGTCAGATTATGTACAAGATATGTTTTTGACCAACCTATTTTGAAATGTCATTTTTTTTTACAGAAAAATTAGGCCAAAACTGTTTAATAATCTAACAACTAAGTTGCAGGAACTATACATTTCAAAAATAGTAAGATCAATATTATGTCTTAATCACCATCAAAATGTAGACGTCAATATTTCTGTACCTTTTAAATATTCCCAAGGTCACCAAAAATATCAATACTCTCATATTCTGATCATTTTTCTCATTATGGCTACAGGCTTCTTTGACCCAAATTGTTTTCAATTTACACTACTCAGTTACACTCAATACCCACCAGAATCCTGCTATAACACATTCTAGTCCTTTTTGATCTTTTTAGCTGAGTGCTTCCTTCCTGCATTATTAAAGTTTAAATGTTAGAATTCCCAGGAGTCCATTTTAGGGTAATGTTATTTAGTTACACTAAATCCTTGCCTAATCACATCAGGTCCCACAGCTTTATCTGACATCTGTATTCTAACAAATGCCAAAGTTATATTTCCAGGCCCAACCTCTGCCAAAATCACATATGACATCTCTACCTAGATGCCTAATAGCCATATGAAACCTACACTTTCAGAAGTCTTGCCCATCTCAGTAAATGGCGAAATGGCAACTATATTGTTTATGTTGCCCAAACTCTCCAGTGTTCCTTGACAATCTTCTGTCTCTCACAGTCAACATATGTAAACTATGACAGCTCTCTTCTTTCCAAATGCATCCAGAACATGATTGCTTTTCTCACTGCCAGGCTCACTATTTTTCTAGCCCGTGTCACCATCATCTCTCACCAGGATTACTGCAATAGTTCCTAAATGATCTTCTTGCTTCTATCCTTGCCTTCCCCTTGGTTCAAAAATGCCCTGTGACTTCCTATGTCACTCAGAATAAATTACAAAGTCCACATTATGGAAACAAGGCCCCACATGATCCAGCCTCTACCTCACTGCTCTCATCTCCTGCTGTTCACTCGTTTGCCTACTAGGCTCCGGGCACTCTGGCCTCATGGGTCCTTCAGACTTGCTGTGATAAAGACCTTCCATTTTCCCCTGAAGATCCACTCTCCGTGCTTCTCTTTTCTGTGCCCTGAGAGGGAGAACGGCGTGGACTTTATCAACAGGTGCCTTAGCCTTCCGTTTTCAGCCAATAGCGGGCACTGTCAAGAAATCAGAGGGAGGACAAGAGTAAGATTAGAGTGTATATTCACTGTCTCCCTCTCTACAGGTTCTTTGCTGGCAGGACACAGGCATCCTTTGTTTAAGGGGTTTACTCCTACAAAGTAGCCCTCTTTACACATTTCTCTCTGTCTCCGGTTCCTACAATTAATCTCACCCCTCGCCCTTTTGGGCCTAACCAGTAATGGAGACCTACTGTTATTAGCCCTAGGTACTGTATTTTTCCCAATGACTTTCTTATATTCTCTTTGTTCTTTATATAGAGTATTGATTAGACTCTACGCAAATTATTTTGCTGGGAGCCAGACTGATATAAATGCCAAGCACACTCCTGCTTTAAGACCTCAGGTATTTGCAGTCATTCTTTTCTTTTTTTAAATAATTTCAACTTTATTTTACGTAGATTCAGTGCATACATGTGAAGAATTGTTACATGGGCATATTGCAAAACGCTGAGGTTTAGGGTATGACTGATCCCATCACCCAGGTACTGAGCATAGTACCTAACAGTTAGTTTTCCAACTCTTTCTTCCTTCCTACTCTCCCACCTCTGGTAGTTCTCAGTGTCCACTGTTCTCTTATTTATTTATTTATTTTTTTTTTTTTTGAGACAGAGTCTCACTCTGTCACCCAGGCTGGGTTGCAGTGGCACAATCTTGGCTCACTGCAACGTCTGCCTCCCAGGTTCAAGTGATTCTCCTGTCTCAGCCTCCTGAGTAGCTGGGACTAAAGGCGTACGCCACCATGCCCAGCTAATTTTTGTACTTTTAGTAGAGATGGGGTTTCACCATATTGGGCAGGCTGGTCTCCAACTCCTGATCTTAAGTGATTCACCTGCCTCTGCCTCCCAAAGTGCTGAGGTTACAGGTGTGAGCCACCACACCCGGCCCATTGCTCCCACCTTTATATTCCTGTGTAGTCAGAGTTTATCTCCCAGTTATAAGTGAGAACATGTGTATTTGTTCTGTTCCTGCATTTATTCACTTATGATAACGGCCTCCAACTGCATTCACGTTGCTGCAGAGAACATGATTTCATTTATTTTTATGGCTACATAGTATTCTGTTTTTATGGCTACGTAATAGTAAACTAAAATATATATATATAAAATATATAACATTTTTAAATCCAATCCACCATTGATGGGCACCTATGTTGATTCCATGACTTTGCTATTGTGAATAGTGCTGTCATAAACAGACAGTGCAGGTATCTGTTGGTAGAATAATTTATTTGCTTTTGGATATATACCCAGTAATGGGATTACTGTGTCAAATGGTAGTTCTAAGTTCTTTTTTTTTTTTTCACAGAGTCTTGCTCTGTTGCCCAGTCTGGAGTGCAGTGACATCATCTTGGCTCACTGCAACCTCTGCCTCCGAGACTCAAGCGATTCTCCTGCCTCAGCCTCCTGAGTAGTTGGTATTACAGGCATGCGCCATGATGCCTGGCTACTTTTTTGTATTTTTAGTAGAGAGGGGGTTTTGCCATGTTGGCCAGGCTGGTCTCGAATTCCTGACCTCAAGTGATCCACCCACCTCAGCCTCCCAAAGTGCTGGGATTACAGGTGTGAGCAACCATACCCAGCCTGTTTTAAGTTCTTTGAGAACTCTCCAAACAGCTTTCCACAGTGGCTGAACCAATTCCCACCATTGGTGGCATTCCCACTAATAGTGTATAAGCGTTTCCTTTTCTCGGCAGCCCTGCCAGCATCGTTGTTTTTTGAGTTTTTTTTCTTTTTTTTTTTTTTTTTGAGACGGAGTCTTGCACTGTCACCCAGGCTGGAGTGCAGCGGCACAATCTCCACTTACTGCAACCTCCGCCTCTCGGGTTCAAGTGATTCTCCTGCCTCAGCCTCCCAAGTAACTGGGATTACAGGTGTCTGCCACCACGCCTAGCTAATTTTTTGTATTTTTAGTAGAGACAGGGTTTCACTATGATGGCCAGGCTGGTCTTGAACTCCTGACCTCGTGATCTGCCTGCCTCAGCCTCCCAAAGTGTTGGGATTACAGGCGTCAGCCACCATGCCCTGCTGTTTTTTGACTTTTTAATAAGAGCCTCTCTGACTGATGTGAGATGCTATCCCATCATAACTGTGATTCACATTTCTCTGATGATTGGTGATGTTGAGCGTTTGTATGTTTGTTGGTCACCTGTACGACTTCTTTTGAGAAGTGTTTGTTCATGTCTTTTGTCCATTTTTTAATGGGATTATTTGTTTCTTGCTTGTTGAATTTTTAAAGTTCTTTGTAGATTCTGGATATTAGACCTTTTTCAGATTCATGGTTTGCAAATATTCTCTCCCATTCTTTAGGCTGCCTGTTACTCTGTTGATAATTTCTTTTGCTGTGCAGAAGCACTTTAGTTTAATTAGCTACCACTTTTCAGTTTGTTGTTGTGATTGCTTTCTAGGACTTAGTCATACATTCTTTTCCAAATTTCTTGTGGGATTTTTATAGTTTGAGGTCTAACATTTAAATATTTAATCCATCTTGAGTGAATTTTTATATATTGTGAAAGATAGGGTGTAGTTTCATTCTTTTGCATACATCTAGACAGCTACCCTTGTACCATTTATTGAATAAGGAGTATTTTCCACATTGCTTATTTTTGTCAACTTAGTTTGTCAAAAATCAGATGACTGTAGGTATGTGGCTTTATGCCTGGGTTCTCTAGACTGTTTCCTTTGTCTATGTGTCTGTTTTTGTACAACTACTAAGCTCTTTTGGTTACTGTAGCCTTATAGTATAGTTTGAAGTTGGGTAATGTGATGCCTCCAGCTTTGTCCTTTTTGCTTAGGATTGCATTAGCTATTCAAGCTCTTCCATTATTCCATATGAATTTTAGTATAATTTTTTCTAGCTCTGTGAAAAATGACATTAGTAGTTTGATAGGAATAGCATTGAATCTGTAGATTGCTTTGGGTAGTATGGCCACTTTAATGATATTGATTCTTCCAGTCCATGAGCATGGACTGTTTTCCCATTTCTTTGTGTTATCTATAATTTATTTCAGCATTGTTTTGTAGTTTTTCTTGTAGAGATCTTTCAGCTCCTTGGTTAGATGTATTCCTACGTATTTTATTTTCTTTTTTCTTTTTTGCAGCTATTGTAAATGGGATTACAGTCTTGATTTTGTTCTCAGATTGAATGTTATTGGTGTATAGAAATGCTACTAATTTTTGTACATTTATTTTGTATCCTGAAACTTTACTAAAGTCCTTTATCAGTTCCAGGAGCCTTTCAGTGGAGTCTTTAGGGTTTTCTACACATAGAAGGTGGAGTCTTCAGGGCTTTGTATCATATAGTCAGTGAACAGAGATAGTTTTTCTTCCTTTCAAATTTGGATGCCTTTTATTTCTTTTGTCTGATTGCATTGGATAGGATTTCTAATGCTATGTTGAAAAAGAGTAGTGAGGGTAGGTGTCCTTATCTTGTTCTCAAGAGGAATGCTTTCAGTTTTGCCCCTTCAGTATGATGTTAACTGTGGGTTTGTCATACATGGTTCTTATTATTTTGAGGTCTATTCCTTTAATGCCTAGTTTGTTGAGGGTTTTTTTTTTAATCATGAAAGTATGTTAAATTTATCTAAAGTTTTTTTCCACATCTATGGAAATAATCATATAGTTTTTGTTTATAATTTTTTTTCTGTCGTGAATCACATTTATTTATTTGCATATGTTGAACCAATATTGCATCCCAGGAGTGAAGGCTACTTGATCATAGTGAATTAACTTTTTGATGATTGGGTTTGCTAGTATTTTGCTGAGGATTTTTGCATCTATGTTCATCAGGGATATTGGCCTGTAGTTTTCTTTGTTTGTTGTGTCTTTTCCAGGTTTTGGTGTCAGGGTGATGCTGACTTTGTAGATTGAGTTAGAGAGGAGTCCCTCTGCCTCAATTTTTGGAATAGTTTTGGTAAGACTGATACTCCCTCTTCTTTGTCTGTGTGGCAGAATTCAGCTGTGAATCCATCTGGTCCAGGACATTTTTTTGGTTGGTAGGTTTTTACTATTGATTCAATTTTGAAACTTGGTATTGGTCTGTTCAGGGTTTCAATTTCTTCCTGATTCCATCATGGGAGACTGTGTGTTTCCAGAAATTTATCAATTTCCTCTAGATTTCCTGGTTCACAGAGGTGTTCACAGTAGTCTTGCAGATGCTATAATGCTATAGTACTTCTGTGAGATTGGTTGTGATGTTTGATTTCATGCAAGAAGAATTCAAAGAGCAGTGAAAGAAAGTTTGTGTGTTTCCAGAAATTTATCTGATTTGTTTTTTCTGATTGTGCTTATTTAAATCTCTCTTCTTCATTAATCTAGCTAGATGTCAATCAATCTTGTTTATCCTTTCAGAAAACCATCTTCTTCATTGATCTAGCTAGATGTCAATCAATCTTGTTTATTCAGAAAACCAACTTTTGATTCTGTTGATTATTTGCATGGATTTCAAGGTCTCAATTTCATTCAGTTTTGTTCTGATTTTAGTTATTTCCTTTCTCCTGCTAGTTTTGGAGTTAGTTTGTTTTTGTTTTTCTAGTTCCTCAGGTGTGATGTTAGATCATTAGTTTGAAATCTTTTTAACTTTCTGAGATAGGTATTTAGTGCTATAAACTTTCCTCTTAACACTGCTTTTGCTCTATCCCAGAGATTTTGGTATATCATGTGTCTGTTTTCATTTATTTTATACATTTTCCCATTTCTGCCTTAATTTTGTTGTTTACCTAAAAGTCATTCAAGAGCAAGTTGTTTAATTTATGCATCAATTATGTGGTTTTGAGGATTATTTTGGTATTCATTTCTATTTTTATTCCACTGTGGTCCAAATGTATGTTTGACATTGTTTCAATTTTCAAAAGCGTATTCATTCTTCCTTTATGTCTGAGCATGTGGTTGATCTTGGAGTATGTTCTGTGTTTGCACTCATTCTTTCCCATGCTGGGTTCATTCATTGCACTGATAGTCCTATGGCTCATTTCCTCCTTCATATTCTGTTCAAATATCACCCACAAAGGGAGGCTTTACTTGACTATTCTATGTAAAATAACACAATCTCCTCCATCTCCCCATCCTATTGCCATGTTAGGTTTTTTTTTTTTCCTAAAACCATATTTCTCCCACTGATGTGCTATGTATCTATTTGTTTATTGCCTGTCTTCTCCCATAGGAATACAAGAAAGGCTTTGTTTGAAAAGGAACTATGTTGTGCTCTGTAGTATCCCTCAAGCTTAGAACATGACTGTCCATATACAAGGCACACAGTTATCGTATGTTGAATGAATAACTGAATTGAATCACATTTTGAGTAACATGGGCAGAGGTTGTAGTTAATGAGAGCCCTGGGAAGACTCCATAATGATGTGTTGGCATTGCATCTGGAAAAGGACATTGTATCAAGTGTCTGGTGTTTCTCCCACATGACCTCTGTATTGTTTCTAATCCTGCACTCTCTACTCAAACTTTCTTCCACTGCTCTTTGAATTCTTCTTGCATAAATCAAATGAAGGGAAACAACTGTGGAAGATATAAATGTAGTTTGAAGATAGAATAAAAAGAGAACCAATTTGAAGACTGTGATGAGCAGAAATAGAGTTGAAACCTGCGAAGTTTAAGCACAATATGAATGAGGGGAACAAGGATGACTCTAGATCTGGCAAGAGAAAAATATTCTGCCTTAGAGACACCTGGGATTGACAGTTCATCTATTGTTCCTGATTTATTTTCAGGAACAAAATGGAAGGGTGGGTTGGTAGTCAAAGTAATTGTGACTTGATATATGTTACCTACTTATTATAAGTTATCTTTAAGGCATCAGTAGTGTTTATTGAACAGTTTATTTTCAAGATTATGGAATAAAAGTGGAAGAGAGTGGACCACAGAAGCAAGTAAATTTTCAGGAAGTAAAGCTACATTTCTCTCATTTTAATCATTAGAAGTTGCAAACAGGCTGGGTGTGGTGGCTCACGCCTGTAATCCCAGCACTTTGGGAGGCCGAGGCAGGTGGATCACCTGAGGTCAGGAGTTCAAGACCAACCTGACAAACATGGGGAAATCACATCTCTACTAAAAATACAAAAAATCAGCCAGGCGCGGTGGTGGGCGCCTGTAATCCCAGGTACTCGGGAGGCTGAGGCAGGAGAATCACTTGAACCCAGGAGGCGAAGGTTGTAGCGAGCCAAGATCATGCCATTGCACTCCCGCCTGAGTGACAGGAGCAAAACTCCATCTCAAAAAAAAAAAAATGTGCGAACAAAGTGAGTAATACCACCTAAAATCACTGTGTAGCTTAATAATAACTGTGAGTTTCAGGAACTGGTAAACATATTTCATCTTTTGGTCAATTTCCCATTAGTTTTATAAGTAGAGTCACTGAAAATCATGCATTAAAATATGCATGCCTTTTGGGTGAGAATCACCTAGTGTTGTATATTTAAAACATCTGTTTAGTTGTTTAACATGAACGTTAGAAGTGCAGTTTAATTCCCCCCAAATGTTTCAAGTATCTTCTATATATTAATCATGTATTCATATTCTAAAGAGACATAAATAAAGAAAACTCCTGGTTCTTTCCCCGAAGAAATTTACAGTCTATTAAAGGAAACAAGCATTTTACAAGAAGTGATCATTATCAAAGGTGTTTTGCTAGCGCACACATAAAATACTGTAGGAAACAGAAGAAGGGAAAGGGTAATATCTCATGGAGGATGATTAAACTAAAAGAATAAAAGTTTTAAAAGGAATCACATTGGAATTGAATCCTGGAAATTATTTTTTTATAATAGTTTGGTAAGAAACATCACTCACATAAAGAAAACATCAGGGGCAAAGATAGGTTTTCAGGAAACAGTGAGAAAAGACCAAAAAGTGAATAGGCAGAGAAGAATTCATGACATTGAGACACATTAAGGACAGGATGAAAAGTTAAGAGAACCACTTGTTTTCTATATATAAAACTGTAAAGAATGAATAAGATGTGACAGACTCGAAAAACATTTCAGAGTTAGATTTAACAAGACACACTGACTGATTGAATTTGTGTGGAGAAAATGGAAGAAGTCAAAGTTGGCTCCTAAACTTCTAGTTTGGGAAAATAAATGTGTGAATAATAACCCAAATATTGAACAAAGTAAGGATATCAGGCTTCAAGAATTGGATGATGGCGGCAGTTTGGAACACAATGTGGAGAGGAATCTCTGTAACTTTGCTTGTACAGGTAAATTTATACATGAGGCTAATTCATGGAACAGATTAAATAAACCATGGGGAAGAAGTCAAGGAAAAAGAACTGAGTTTCTAGACTAGAAATAGATGGAGAACAATTATGTATGGGTTTGGCCATGTAGATTTTGCCCTGTACAACTTTAGGAAGACAATTCATTTACACTATGAAGTGAATGGTGTTAGTGGACTTGTTCAATCCTAAGCATCCTGAGATTAGAAAAAATAAATCAGATAGAATATCTCAAGAGAAGAGACATGAGACTGAAGGACAATGAGGAACACCAAATGTCAGGGGTAGACGACAAAAAAGGATCAAAATATATGAATGAGAATTGTCAGAAAGGTAAGATGTAAATCGGAAGTATTGTGCTTGGAAACAGAGAAGCCTTGATTCTCAATTTTAAATTCTATGAAATGATCAAGTAAGATGCAGAATTTTAAAAGTTACTTTTTCTTGAAACTAAGGAATGATTGCTGGTGCCAGTAAGATCCAAGATTAAGGCATAGATCAGAAGTCATAGTGCAGTAGGTAAAATAATGACTTAGAGAAAATAACATGGAATTAATGCATGGACATTATATCTACAAAGACATTGGCTTAATATTTTTGTTATTTGGGTGTACATTTTATCTCCCCTTCTAAATTCTTTGTTCTTTCTATTCAGAGATTATTTTTTTTACTCTCACATAGGATCCAATGGTGTTCTACAGAAATTATACATTTTAAATTAATGAATAGGCATTAAAGTTTTGCTCTTGTTTACCTAACTCTGCAAATTATAGTTTACTGATTGACTATTAATTTACATGTCTATCTGTTTAACTGTAGTGGAGATATCTATCTCTGTGCTATTTCTAATAAATAGAGTTTTTGCTTTGAGAGCTGTATTCAGAAGGATTTTGTATCCGCTCAACTCAAAAGTGCAAAAATATGTGTCACAAAAAACTGAGGAGTGCCCCATGCTCATTTTGAGAATAACTACTTTATCTGTTTTTATAGCCCTGACACCTTGTGCAATTTCTGTTCCAGGCAATGAATAACTGTTGAGTGAATGAATGAATATAGTCTGAATTATAGTTGATTTGATTTGAGTCTTAATAAATAAACAGGATTCAATTTGACTTGATCCGTGCATTTCAATCAATGCCATGATACACTTGTGGCATGGGCTATAGATAATTCGCTGCTAGAATAATTTGCAAAGCCTTGCCAATTATTTCATTTAAAACAATAGATTTGATTCACGGTATGTAATTCTCACTTACATTCCAACTTTATTTCCTGAATGAAAGATGAATGGGGAGATTTAGAGCTGAATTTCTAAGAAGCATAAGAGGTGCTGGTTACATGCAGTTATGGTGGTGTTTCCCAGGCATGGGCTTCATCCATCATAATAATGAGGTACATAGAAAATCATTAAAAGTGCTGAGTCACTATAGACAAGGGAGAGAAAGAAAAATGTCAGACGGAAAGAAGATATTCCAGGTCATGGGAATGTTAGGAACACAGAGTCTGGAAAGAGCTTGGCACAAGCAAGGACATACACTAGCCTTGTTCAGCAGGATGGAATGCTCTGCAGAGATGCTGTAGAGATATGAAAAAAATAAGGTCTCATTACAGTCATACATGAGGTTAAATATTGGGAAATATGTTCTCCCTTCACCTGGAAAAAAAGGAATTGGATTTCTACTTAATGAGAGAGTCAGTGTGGTTTATTACCAAGGCCAAAAAACATGGTAGAAATAAAAAGCCATTCAATACAATTGTAGATTCTGGTTGAAAGAGGGCAATGCCACAGAAACATTTACTGGTCAAGTTTTTCAGACTGACCTTCAAAAAGTGAAATAACCATTATCCTAACAACACATGAAATGCATACAATGTAAGTAAGTAAAATCATTTTGTCATTTCAGGTCATGTTAACCTTCTTGAAGATAGAGCCAAGTACTCCCTAAGTTAATCATCAGTTACTCTGGAATTGGTGGCTATTTTGGCTTTAAGTTTTGTTTAGAACAAGCATGTGAAAGACTGTTGAATTGCTATATTTGTTTATGTAAGGTCAGACTAACCTAGAGGTCTTCGAGTATTATAAAGTGGAAAAAAATTTAGATTAGTCCACTGTCGTGTTTGATTGTGCAAAAGATAAACCCTTCTTTGCCACCCTACAAGGTCATGCTACTCTTAATGCTAAGTGCACTTTACTGAAATAGTAACCATTCAACTGACTGTGAAATACACTTGATGCATAGACTTATCTAGAAAGTTGTGTCACAAAACATTTTTTTTCAGTGTATAGAAGGAGCAAATGTAGACATTGAGAGTAGTGTCAAATCTTGAGAATTACTTTAAGACATCACAAAAGAGAGCCCTCAGTTATAAAGTTTAATAATTCACTGACTCATGTCTAAACAATCAGCATATTTTTTGGTGAAGAGAAGACTACGGGTCTGAAAATTAACAATTAATTTTATATTAAGTTTGGCAGAATGGGAACAGCACAGTCCATAGTGCTAGCAAACACCATGATTTATATATCACTTTTAATTAAGCATGAATTCTTTAAAGTTATTATAAAAATGAACACATTGAATTTGGTTCCTTTATGATCAATATTTTAGTAGGGGTATAATGGCCGCATTTTTATACATGTGTATTTTTTTTACATACTATCTGTAATACCTGTCTAAATGCCAATATATGGATGAAAACAATGATTACAAAGATAAATGACTCAAAGGAGACTTTCAGAACAACTGATAATGGAGATGAGATGAATCTGATATTTTAAGTGATCTTTCTCAAAGAACAGTGTGTTATTTGGAAGCAGCCATTCATTTTTTTAGCATTAAATGTTTTCCAGCTATTACAATTGAAACTTGAGCTAAAAACTTATGACTAAGTAAAATTCAGGGGGAGAGAAAATGTTTCTATATGTTAAGCTTGGAAAAAAATCTGGAATAGGAAGGCTGCCATTTTTCAAAAAATAAGCATTTTCTTTTCCTTAGTAGAGGTCAGTTTAGAAGTCTTTAGAATGATTTAGGATGACTGGCTTTAAACTGAGTAACTTCAATAAAATACAGATACGTGATCTCAAGTATTGCTTTTCTAAGAAGTATAGTGCAAGAAATATTGTGGCAAAGGAAATATGAATGAGAACACAAATGAGAGCGAAACTTTTACCTCCAGAAATCTATTGATAAACCACAAAGTTGAACAATGTGGAAAAACAAAGAGAAATCATACAGTAAATATTTAACTTTAGAAATATATGTATAATAGCCCTCTAAATCTAAGTCATATTCTGTGAATTATTTGATGAATGTTTTATTTAAGAGCTATTAATAGACTATTCATTAATTTCCAGGCACTGTGCTGGGAAACAGCATAGAGCAGGAAGTTAAGAGATAGATTTGATTCCTGATCACCCAAAGCTTACAGGCTACTGAGGGTGACAGAGACTCGTAAAATCACACCAGCAAGTATATGATTACAACTGATGCCCATAGGCTGTCAAAAGAAAGAGAAAGGATTCTCACAAAGAAATCCAGCTTTCACTGAGGATTCCAAGAATGTCTGAGCTTTGGTTTTAAGTTTGAGTTGAAATTAACTAGGGGAAAGGGGAACTCTCAAGTTATATTTGTTGAATGAATAAAAATAAATCCCAGATAGTTGTCCTGTGGCAATAGGTAGCATAGTAGCATAATTCACCTGAAAAATTTAACAAAAGTCAGTGAGGTTAGAGCACAGAGAGCAGAGTTAAATTGGTCAAAAAAAAAAAAAAAAAAGAAAATGTAGGCAGAGACCAATACATATAGGGACTTGGTCTTTGAGGAAAAAGAATGTACTAGTCCGTTTTCACACCACTATAAAGAAATGTCCAAGACTGGGTAATTTATAAAGGAAAGAGGTTTAATTGACTTACAGTTCCATGGCTGAGGAAGCCTCAGGAAATTTACAATCATGGCGGAAGTGGAAGTGTGCACCTGCTTCACAAGGTGGCAGGAGAGAGATCCTGTGAAGGAGGAACTGTCAAACACATAAAACCATCAGGTCTCATGAGACCTCACTTACTATCATGAGAACAGCATGGAGGAAACCACCTCCATGATCCAATCACCTCCTTCCCTCGACACATGGGGATTACAGAGCCCTCCCTCCACAGGTGGGAATTATAATTCAAGATAAGATTTGGGTGGGGACACAGAGCAAAACAATATCAAAGAAGAAGCCATTAAAGGATTTAAGCCAAGTGAAATTATCAGTTTCTGTTTTTAAGAATTCCCTCTAGCTGCAGTGTAGAAGATGAATTCTGAAAGGATATGCATGGATATGGGTAGAAGAGGTCAGAAGCCATTGCCTTAGAATGAAAATAGGTGCTTTAGCTTGCACTTTCATGGTAGTAGTAATGAAGATTGAGACACATGGAGAGTCTCCAAGATAATTAGGAAAGAAAACTGAAAGTCTTTAGCAATTGTGCTGATCAAGATTCTTGGTTGAGAATAACAGAAGCCAACCCCAGCAGATAAGGAATTTATTGGAAAGATATCAGGACACTAACAGAATTGATGCGAAATGGGAAAATTGATGTTGGAAAACACATGAGAACAAAAGAACAGTAGGTAGCCAAGAAAACAGCCAAAGTCATTCCAGAGGAATAGGCTGGTAAGAACAGCACACTGGACTCTCAATCTCACCATGTCAACTGTGGACAATCACAAACTGTTTTTGCATCTTTGCATCTTTACATCTCAAGAGTCAAAGACCTAGCTGGGGAATCCATGTTCCATAGCCTAATTTGTGAGCCAGTGACTTGATGGCTCTGGAAGAAAGGAAAGAAAATATTTGCTCCTGCTCAGTTTCTATCCTTCGATAATGGGCTCTGTCTCCCACAGTGACCCAACCAATCAGGGAATACACTAACTGTTAGTTTATTCATACTATACCTAACAATAAAATTGCAATGAATGCACTAGACAGTGTTGGATTGGATATGGCTGATAGTGGAGAACAAGACAGGAGAGATGACTATGGCATGCTACGTCCTTAGGTGGGAACCCTGAAAAAGTGATCGGTTTCATTTAGGTTTAGGAATTTTTTTCTGAGGAAAAGGGGGACTCAAGAGGTTTTTTTTTTTTTTTTTTTTTGGACAGGTAGATGCCTTTGGGTAAGACTTGGATCTAAATTTTATTATCTTATTCCCTTTGCCCCAAAGCATTCAAATATTGATATCTCTAAGGAGGGAACTCTGTCTGCTGTTAGTTAAAATGAGCAAAGTTGAGCCATTATTACTAATGGAGTATTTATCTTTTTCATCTTAATCATTTAAAACACTCTTTCTTAGATAAAATATTTTTCATAATATTTAATGTAAAAAAAGAGATGGTTCCCCTAATTCTATCACTCTATAGCACACTTATTTTATTAGGGCTTTAGGTAACAGACATGGATGAGAAACAGTTTACTGCTGATTATTATAGGTACCTACCAGAAATCATCCAGAAAATTAATTCTATGTATCGCTGAATTTTTAGTTAGTAGCTTACAAATGTTTTGGACAGGTTAAGAGAACCTGAGTCTGTATTCACATAGTTTAGACTAAGAAAGATATTCTCTGCAAGTGAAGAATGACACTCCATGGGGAATTGGTTTTAAATAGTGTGTTTTGAGGAAGGACCATTCTTCGAAATAAAAAGGTGCTTTAGCTCTCAATTAGTTTAAAATATTCATATACAGAGTGGCAGAAAAGATTACTGGAATTAGTGTATAACTCAAAATAAATGATTTTTAAAGTTCTTTTTTTAACTCAGCTATAATTTGTATAACATAAAACACACCATTTTAAAAATAATGTTTAACTGAGAAAGAAAAATTGTATATACCTCTTGTACAACATGATGGTTTTAAATATTTATACATTGTGTAATGGCTAGATCAAGCTAATTAACGTACGCATTACCTCACATATTTATTTTTCATGATAAAAGCACTTAAAATCTACTCTCTTAGCAATTTTCAAGAAAATATTACATTGTTGTTAACTATTGTCATCATGTTATACAATAAATATCTTGAACTTACTCTTTCTATCTAATTGACATTTTATATCCTTTGACCAACACCTTCCCAACTGCCTTCTTTCCAGTCCCTGGTAACCATCATTGTATTCGCTGCTTCTGTGAGTTCAACTGTTTTAGATTCCACATGTAAGTGAGATCATGAGGTATTTGTCTTTCTGAGCCTGGTTTATTTCACTTAACATAGTGTTCTCCAGATTCACTCATGTTGTTTCAAATGACGGGATTTGCTTCTTTTTAAAGGCTGAATGGTGTTCCATACGTTCTACATGTTCTTTATCCATTCCTCTGTTGATGGACACTTAGGTTGATTCCATATCTTGGCTATTCTAAATAACGTTGCAATGAAAATGGGTGTGCAGATATCTAGCATACTGATTTCGTTTCCTTTGGATATACATGCACTAGTGGGATTGCTTCATCATACAGTAGTTCTATTTTTAATTTTTTGAGATATCGCCATTGTTTTCATTATGACTGTATTAATTTTTATTTCCACCAATAGTGTGCAAGGTTTCCCTTTCTCCACATCCTTGCCAGTGCTTTTTATTTTTCTTTTTTCTTTTTTTTTTTTGAGACGGAGTCCTGCTCTGTCACCCAGGCTGGAGTGCAGTGGCGTGATCTTGGCTCACTGCAAGCTCTGCCTCCCGGGTTCACACCATTCTCCTGCCTCAGCCTCCCGAGTAGCTGGGACTACAGGCACCCGCCACCATGCCTGGCTAATTTTTTGTATTTTTAGTAGAAACGGGGTTTCACTGTGTTAGCCAGGATGGTCTCGATCTCCTGACCTTGTGATCCGCCTGCCTCGGCCTCCCAAAGTGCTGCGATTACAGGCGTGAGCCACCACGCCCGGCCCGACCATGTTTGTATTTCTTTTCGGTATATAACTAGGAGTGGAATTGCTGGAGTATATGGTAATTCTATGTTTAACTTTTTGATGAACAAAACTGTCTTCCATAGTAACTGCAATATTTTATGTTCTTTCTAGCAGTGTATTAGCATTCCACTTTCTCCACATTCTCACTAACACCTGTTCTCGCCCTTAAAAAAATTATTATTATTGCCATCTTCATAATTGTGGTGTGGTTCTCATTAAAGGTTTAATTTGTGTTTCCATAATAATTAATCATGGATGTTTTTGTATCTTTTTTTTCCCTAAAAATGTCTCTTTTGATCCTTTATTTTTTGATTAGGTTACTTGTCTTTTTATTTTTGGGTTGTAAGTGTTCTTTATGTATTCTGTATACGAGACCTCTTAACAGTTGTAAAATTTGCAAATATTTCCTCCCAATCTGTGGGTTGTCTTTTTGCTTTCTTGATAGTGTCATTTAAAGCACAAAAGTTTTAAACTTATTATAGTCAAATTTATGCACTGTTTGTTATTATTACTTATGCTTTTAGTGGCCATATCTAAGAAACTATTCTCTAGTCCAAGACTTTGCAGATTTACACCTATGTTTTCTTCTGATAGTGTTATGGAACACTATATATTTAGCTCTTTGATCCATTTTGAGTTAATTCTTTTGTATGGTAGGAAGCAGGGGTCCAATTTCTTTTTTCTGCAGGTGGCTATTCATTTGTTCCAGCACTATTTGTTGAAAATATTATTTGTTTTTCCATTGCATGGCCTTGGTACTCTGTGGGAATCAGTTGACTATGGACATACGGATTTAGTTTTGGACTCTCAGTTCTATCCCATGGGTCTGTGAGTGTGTCATTATGCCACTACCTCACTGTCTTAATGAATGTAGCCTTGTAGTAAGATTTGAAAGTGAGATGTGGGATTCTCCCAACTTTCTTTTTTGTTTTCAAAATTGTTTTGACTATTCAGGGTCCCTCGAATTTCCATATAAATTTTAGAATAATCTCGTCCATTTTTGAAAAGAGAAAAGAAGCAGTTGAAATATTGATGAGATTATGTTGAATCTTCAGAAAAAATTTGGAATTGTGATTGCCTTAACAATATTAGGTCTTCAAGCCCATGACCCAGGATGTCTTTTTATTTATGTAGACATTTAATTTATTTCAACAATGTTTTATAATTTTCAGTGTACAAATCTTTCACTTCTTTGGTTAAATTTATCCTTATGGTGGATAAAGAAAATATGCATACACCATAGAATACTATGTAGCCATAAAAACTAATGAAATTATGTCTTTCCCAGTAACATGAATGGGATGGGAAGACATTATCCTAAGTGAAATAACTCTGAAACATAAAATCAAATACCTCATCTTCCCTCTTATAAGTGAGAGCTAAATAATGACTACACATGTTCATAAAGACGGAGACTCCAAAAGATGGGAAAGTAGGAATGGGTTGAGAGTTGTAAAGCTACCTATTAGGTACTCTGTTTACTATTTGGGAGACAAGCTTACTAGAAGCCCAAACCTCAACATTAGACAATATACCTATGTAACAAAACTGCATATGTACTCCCTTGAATTTATAATTTTTTTATAAAAAAGACAGAAAAATTCTCATGTGTTTTATTCTTTATGATGCTATTATAAATGGACTTGTACAAATTTTACTTACAGGTTGTTAATTTCTAGTGTTTAAATATCCAACTCATGTTTATATATTGTTCTTGTATCCTACAACTTTGCTGAATTCATTTATTAGCTCTAATATTTTTCTTCTGTGGACTTCTAGGAGTTTATCTATCTAAGATCATGTCATCTGCAAATACAGGTACTTTTACTTTTTTCTTTTCAATCTGCCTAACTTCATTTGTATTTCTTTGTCTTGTTGAATTGACCTAACTGGAACCTCAAATATAACGTTTAATAGAATGACAGGAGCAGACATTCATGTCTTAATCCTGATTTTGGAAAGAATATTTTCAGTTTAATAAATAATATTTTAGAGTAGATTTTATTCTTGTACTTGCTTTTGAGCACTGGTGTACATTTCTTGGGAATTTGCAATACTTAAGTAAAATATTTTTAAAATCCATAGTGAAGCCCTGAATCAGTAGAAGCAGGAAAGTAACTCACGTTTTGCCTCTTGGTCTTATTTATTTCTTTGCCAATTCAATTTCACATTCAAATTGTTCTATGACATTAGCTTTAAATGAATTGTCCTTTTATTGAATCACTTGCTTTTCAGCATTTTTACTGGCAAAAGTAGCTGCAGCTCCAGCAAAGTGGGAGGTGAGGCCTCTGTACATACCCCTAGGAAAGAGACTGAATCCAGGGGCCTGAGTAGGAACACCTGGCAGGCCCCACTTTGACAGTACCTCACAGGATAAGACCCACTGGCGTGCAATTCTAGCCAGCCACTGGTAGCAGCTTTGCACCTCCCTGAGA
This sequence comes from Homo sapiens, assembly GCF_000001405.40. Lineage (NCBI taxonomy): Eukaryota > Metazoa > Chordata > Mammalia > Primates > Hominidae > Homo > Homo sapiens. The sequence continues at coordinate 15,335,380 of NC_000021.9, read as the reverse complement.
GGGAGCTCCCCAGAGGGTGGGCCAGGTTGCCATCTTTGCTGTTTGGGCAACTTAGCCACTCCAGCCTTCAGGGTTTGGAGAGTCTGAGCTGACTGGGGGCAGAAATACCCCAGTACAGCACTGCTGCTCTATGAAAACATAGCCAGATTGCTCCTTTAAGTGGGTCCCAAATCCTATTTCTCCTCACTGGGCAGGACCTCCCAACCAGGGCCTCCAACCACCCCGCTGGTGTTCTCCAGCTGACAGAGATTTGTAACCTCCCTGGGATAGAGCTCCCAGAGGGAGGGGCAGGCCATCATTGTTGCTGTTTGGGCGACTTAGCCGTTCCAGTCTTCAGGCTTTGGAGTGTGCAAGGTGACTGGGGGTTGAAGTGGACCCCCAGCACAGCACAGATGCTCCACTAAAACATGGCCAGACTGTTTTTTGAAGCAGGTCCCCAATCCCGTTCCTCCTTACTAGGAGAGATCTCCTAACTGGCGTCTCCAGCCCCCTCCTACAGGTGTGTTTAAGCCAGCAACAGGGATGAATGTCCCTGGGATGAAGCTCCCAGAAGGAGGGGCAGGCTGCCATCTTTGCTGTTTTGTAGGCCTCACTGTTGATATTGCCAGGTACTGAAAAATTTGAGGTGACTAGAGACTGGAATGGGCCCCCAACATACTGCAGCAACCCTGTGGAAAATTAGCCAGATTGTTAGGTGGGTGGTTGTTCTTATATCTCCTCACCACGCAGGTCCTCCAGGCCTAGGCCTCCAGCCGCCCCCTGCCAGAGCTATTGAGCCAGCAGCAAACTCACCAACTCCCTGGACAGAGCCTTCAGGGGCAACTGAAAGCCTCTCTGCTACTGCCCTTGCCACCCTTGCACTAATGAAGAGGCAGAAAACCTAAGTGGTTTATCCACATCTCCAATAAGTTGCAGTTGACCCAAGGAAAGGAGGCCAGTCCATCTCTCATGGGTCACACACATCCTACTGCCTATCAGCAGACCCCTGGCTTGGGACCACAGCACAGACCCTCCATCCTGGGCTGATTACACTGAGTAATTAATGGCCTGAATCTCTCTGGGGTGGAGCCCTCAGGAGATAAGCAAATGACCCTTGGCCACAACCACTACTAAGGTTCCTTCCTCTGTTGCCTCCAAATTGGGGAAAGAATATAACCACTGTGATTGCCTCAGAGCTGCACTGGTCAACCTAGGAGTGCTAAGCTGGGATCTACAGCCAGCACGCAAGGGAAAGAAGAACCCACACTTTCAGAGCACTGAGAGGGAGCACAGCTGCAACTGTGAAGAAACATAGGAGAACCACAGAATCAAGCAAGAGTCTACCAACTGAACAATAAGCCTAAATACCACCTGCTGGATTCCGCAGCTTCAACACCAAAAATACCTCACTAACATACTCCATTCTGAAACAAGAGACAGAAGTCAGCTTCAAATAAAAACCCTGCACAAAGCCTCAGCTCAGTGAAAACATCCAGAAAATAAGTCTATTTACTATACTTAATCTACACTGAAGTTAAAGGAACACCCACATGCAGAGATGAGAAAGAACCAACATAAGAACTCCAACAGCTCAAAGGGCTAGAGTGTCATATGTCCTCCAAACAACTGCACCAGTTCTCCAATAAGAGTTCTTAATTAGGCTAAACTGGCCGAAATGACAGAAATAGGTAGGAAGAAAGATTATTGAGATTCAGGAGGATGACAAAGCTCAGTCCAAGGAAAATAAGAATCATAATAAAGCAACACATGAGGTGAGGGATAAGTTAGTAGAAAAAAGAATCTAATGGATTTCACACAGCTGAATAACACAATACAAGAGTTTCACAATGTGATCACAAGCATTAACAGCAGAATAAACCAAGCTGAGGAAATAATCTCAGAACCTGAAGACTGGTTCACTGAAATAAGACAGTCAGACAAAGATAAAAAAAAATAAAAAGGAAGAAACAAAACTTCTGAGAAGTATGGAATTATTTAAAGAAGCCAAATCTATGAATCATTGGCATCACTGAAAGGGAGGGAGAGAAAGCAAAAAACTTGGAAGACATAATTTAGGGTAACACCCATGATAATGTCCCCAACCTTGCTAGAGAGGCCAACAGTCTAATTCAGGAAATACAGAGAACTCCTGCACGATTCTATACAAGAAGATCATTCTCAAGAAACATAATCATCATATTTTCCAAGGTCAAAGTGAAAAAAAAAAGAATGTTAAAGGCAGCTAGAGAGAAAGGAGACATCACCTACAAAGGGAACTTCATCAGGCTAACAGCAGATATCTCAGCTGAAACCCTACAAACCAGAAGATATTGGGGACCTATATTTAACATTCTTAAAGAAAAAAATCTTCAACCAATAATTTCACTTTAGCCAAACTAAACTTCCTAAGTGAAGGAGAAAGATCCTTTTCAGATAAGCAAATGTTAAGAGAATCTATTACCAACAGATCTGTTTTACAAGAGATCTTGAAAGGAGCACTAAATATAGAAAAAAGGTTGCTACCAGCTAATACAAAAACACACTTAAACACACAGACCAGTGTCACTATAAAGCTGCCACACAAACAAACCAACATCATAACCAGCAGACAGCATAATGACAGGATCAAATCCACACATATCAATACTAGTCACTAGTGTCTCTTTTTAGTCATTCTCTTCCTGCCCACAAGAGGCAACTAATATTTTAAATTTTTTTCCACCACAGATTTATTTTGCTTGTTTTCATATAAGTGGAATTACACAACATGTACTCTTTCATAAGTCTCATGCTTAGCAAAAAAGTTTCGAGATTAATTCTTGTTGTATATATCAGTAGTTCATATTTTTAAAATTTCTAGTAACATTTCGTTCTACAGTTTGTCTATTCTGTTGATGGACATATGGGCCATTTCTGGTTTTCAGCTAATATAAATAAAACTGGCATGAACTCTCCTGTAAAGTCTTTTTGTGGACCTGATGTTTCATTTATCTTGGGAAGTAACTAAGAGTTGAACTACTAGGTGATAAGGTTTAGTTTCATGAGCAACTGCAGAGAGTTTTTTTTTTTAGAGTAGTTGTAATATTTTATTCTCTTATGAACAATGTACGAGAGTTGTGATTATGACAAAAGATTGAGTTACACAGGCTTATGAATTTGTCAAAACTCATTGAATGGAACAATTGAGAGATATGCATTACATCGTATATAAATGTTGCTCAGTAGGAAAAGCAGTAGACAAATATTAAACTTTATTTAGTAAAATATGTGCTGACCTGGTTAGTGGGAAAGTGTACTGAATATGTGCAACTTATTTTGAAATGCATAAGATACACACAGTATGCATAAAAGGATAGATATATGCACAAACAACTGATAACACAACTAGAAGAAATGTTAATTGTAGAATCTAGGTAGTGGGTATATGAGTATTCCTATACAATTCCTTCTACTTTTGTACATGGTTAAATTTTTTTCAATAAAATGCTGGAGAAAACATAGTGAAAGATGAAAAATGTCACAATTCCTATTATCAAGCCTGTGTAACCCTGACAATGAAATCTGGCAATGACACGCACACGTACATGCACACAAACACACACAAATGTGCACATAATGCAACGAAAGATCTACAGACCAGTCCTACTTGTGTGAAGAAAGGGTTTTTAAACTTAAAGAAAACACTAGAAACTCTAGAAGATTTTATAAAACAAAAATTATGACCGAATAGATTTTATCCTTTAAAGGCACCATTGGTTTAATTTATAAAAATGTATTAGTGCTCTATGTCATGTCTATGCATCAAATAAAAATGATATAATCATCTCAATAGACCTTGAAATGACCCTGTAAATTGAGATCTATTTCTAATTGAAACAAAATGTTTTCAGTGTGTTAGGAATATATCACAAAGAATAAACAAGAAAAACAGCCACTTCTTACAAATTAAAAATAATGAGGAACACTAAAAGAAAATTAATTGGCTTGTAAATAACTTAGGAATACATGAGAATTAAACCACTGCTCTTAAACAATGTACCTGCAATTATTCATATATAGTTTAAATCCAGATTCAGTAGAGCTGGATGAAGTCTAACACTCTACACTTCTAATAAACTCCTAAGTGATTCTAATGGTCTTGCTCTCTGGGACATATTTTGTATAGTAAAGCACTATATGATAAAGAGGACATTTTAAATAAATTAGAAAGGAATAATTATTCAAAACTTATTATTTACATGTAATCAATAGATACATATTGGGATATCTAATTAAGCAGTTATAAAGAATAACATGAAATTGCCACCTCATGTGATATTTTAAAATAATTGTCAAGTAAGGTAAAATTAATTTTAAAATGAGCAAACATTGTTTCAATTTCATAAATATGAATATCTATGCAGTTTTGGTAGGGAGGCTTTTCAATGACCATCAGTTATGATAAGAAACATAAAAGGAAGTGATTAAAAAGTTTGATTATTAAATTAAGTTCTTATATGCCAAAAATACTTAACATATTAAGTTGAATGACAAATTATAAAAATATTTGAAATATATTTTATCTAAAATTTAATGTCTTTAACATATAAAGAGCTCTTACAAATAAATAAAATGGAAACACATTGAGCAGTAAAAAAATAGGTAAAAATATTTACAGAAAATAATTCATAGAAGACACTTTATGACTGAAAAAAGAATGTTTTCAACTTACTAACAATTAAGAATGAAAATTTAAGATATAAAGTATTTTTCTTATCAAATTGGCAATAAGGTAAAAATTTTGGAAAGAATATAGAGAGGTTGACGTTCTCATGATTGGCATAACAATTTTTTGGTACAACTGGTCAATATAAATAAAAAGACTTAAAAAATGAGCATACTATGATTAGTAATTCTATTTCTAGAAATTTAACCTATAGAAATCATCAGTGTTGTATGTGAATATTTATATCTAAAGATGTGCACTGTAGTACAATTTATTGTGGCAAAAATATATGTATATGCTAGAGTCAAAACATATAGATGTGAAATAAGCAAGTTTAAAAAAATGTGTGCTGAATGTATAAGGTAGAGTTTTTTGGTTGTAAGCACAAAACCCAGCTTTGGCTCAAGTAGGCAAGAGAATATAGACAAAGAAATCCAAGAAGCAGGGTAAGACATAAATCAGGAAATAGAGCAGAAAACTACTCAACCATGTTTTCCATCTTATCTGTGGAGACAAATGAGCCCCCCATGTTTTGTATCCTCCACCTCCATCCCACCCATCTTTCTGTCACTTCACTCAAGATCCACAATCTTGGGAGAGACTTAATTGCTCTGTCTTGGGTCAGTTGTCAGTTCCTTGGTTGGGGATGGAAAAGGCTTCTTAATTTAGGATTCCACCAAGACAATACACAATGATAAGGTGATATTGAAATAGGAAATTCAGACTCATTAGGAAGGGAATAAATGGCAAATGAATCCAAATAATTCAAAATATCCATTATTTACAGTGTCCCCCCAAATCCATAAATTATTAATGTATATATGTGTGTACTATAGACAGAAGAAAAAATACTATAAAACAATATCATAACTTTATAGTAGTGCTCTTTCTGTGTCAGAGTATGTTTAAATTTTACTTTATACCTGGTCCTTTTCTGTGTTGTCCATATTTTTGTTTAACAAAGAAAACCATTGCTTTTGGATTAAAATATAGAAAAAATAATTTTAATACATTTTACAACACATGACTTGGTTTACTTTCTATTGATTTTCAAACTTCGTATATTAAATAACCAGAACTATTTTTCCCAAGAGCTATATTCCTATTCCAAATATTAGTATGTTTGGAAATATAGTAAAACACAAATTTTTCTTGCTTTACATGAAGTACCTAATGCAGTCTCATCTTGATCCTGCAGAATGCATTATCTAAAAAACAGACTCATGGAAAATCCATATTGTGCCAACGAAATTGCTTCAGTTTTTATTCAAGATCAGGACTTAGTATCACTCCCCAACAAATAATGTTCCATTTCGTAATAATGAATTCTACAGAGAGATGATCTGTCTACTACTCTGTTCTAAAGGGAGCCCTGAATATCATGGCCAAGATTTCAAACTGCCACATAAGAGATCACATACTTCTTGAAACATCTCCACTTTACATGAATGTGATTTTGTTTTTACTGCATTAGGATGTTGAATACTGAATCTGCTTGTGTTCATAACACAAGCCCATGCTTCAAGTGATTGGGATCCAAATCAAACACAGAGCACATGCAAAAACAATTGCCATTCCCTTTGTCAGTGTGCTGCTTCAAACTCAAGTCCTTCAGTAATCATAGTTTATAATAACAAAGGTACATTACTAGTGGGATATGTGAATAGAATTCTCAAAATGTTAGCAAGAAGAGCAAACACTCCTGTTTTTTCATTATTAGCTGAATAATGAATGTATTTTAAGTAGAAATTATCATGTTTCACAAAATTTCACTCTTCTTAAATTACAGTATCTTGAACAAATACAATTAATAGTCATATGAAAAAATGATTGAGTTTCAATTCCCAAAGATTAAGTTCAATGATATATGGGGATAATTGCCAATATAAAAATGCTCTCTTTCAAGGATTGTACCAAATAGTGACTCTGAAATAGAGTGAAGGACACTTAAAAATCCATGCCATTTATCTACCATCTAGAAAATTCCAGAATAAAAATGAACAAGTTAATCAGCTTTAAAGTGGCAATAGGCAATCAAGTAAGTTGTGACTTGTGTAATGCAAAAGTGATTTTTATTCTCTTTCAGATGGAATTACATGGTTTGGGGCTTTTAGGCAGTGTTTAGTAAAAATAATTTTATTAGTCTTAATACGTTAATGTGGTCTCTAAAAATATCTAACAATAAACAAAGGGCTCCAAAGACTTATTTAAGCAGATGTCTCAGTGAAATGTAGAAGAAGGTGAAGACATAAATCTCAGGGAGAGTCTACAAATAACATATATTAATAAATATAAATTATCACCATGAAAATTTGGGAGACAGGAGCTTCATCAATCATGGTTTGCCATAAAAAAGTTTCCAGAACTTTAATTTGACAGAGGAAAAGTGGATGTTATGGAGGAGTTAAGGAAGAATTTAATGTAAGGTTGAGTTGTTTGTTTTATAGTGACATTGTTATGGAATCTTTGGGGTGTCTCTTTTCTAGCCAGAAACCTGTGGCCGATGGCACCTTTGCCCCAGTTTTGCTCAGGCTGGCTGGACTAGTTCCATCCACTCACCCTAGCAGGCTGCACTCAGTTCATGCTATCAGTTTGGATCCCACACCTCCAAGGGAGACTGGAGTCAGGCATGGAGCAGCACTGGGTGTGTGTGTGAACATGGGGTCTGGCCACTGTGCAGCAGACATGCTGCTGCTGTGGGGTTGGCAGATCCAGGTCTCAGCATAGAAGCCAGCTCTCTATGAGGCTGTGGCTGGACCAGGTGCACCACAAGCAGCTTCCCAATCTGGCCCCAGGGAATGCAGTGGCACCCAGAAGCTTGGAGGCACCCGGAACTACAAAGCCCCAAAGAGGGAGTCACAGCCTTGGCTCAGGGATCTCCCAGGTCTGGGCTCCCTGAAGGACTGCAGCTCTTCTCTCCTTCTCTTCTTCTGCAGCATGGTGAGCAAGGGGCATGTTTAGCTCTGTTTGTGTTACAGCTCTGTTAGTCTTCCATTTGGAAGTTCCTGAGTTCTTGTCCTGTAACCAGGAAGAATGAGGTACACAGACAAGTGGAGGGTGAGCAAGACAAAGAGGAGCTTTACTGAGCAACAGAACAGCTCAGAGGAGACCTGCAATGGGCAGCTCCTTTTTATAGCCAGGGTGTCCCCAACAAGTGTTCAGCTCATAGCAGACAGGGTAGCTCCTCTCTGCAGGCAGATCACCCAAACAAGTGCTCAGTTCTCAGCAGAGAGGATAGCTCCTCTCTGCAGCTGATCATCCCATCATCTGCAGTTCTTTGCAGAGAGGAGGCCCTAGAGTGGGTGGCTCACCTCTGCAGGCAAGTCGTCCAGTCATCTCTGCAGCTCTCAGCAGAGAGGGTAGCTCCTCTCTGCAGCTTGTTGTCCTGTCCTCTCTCCACCCTCCACTCAGCTCTGGCTGAGCCTGGGGCTTTTATGGGCCTCAGAGGGGAGGAAGTGCATGCCAACTGGTCCATGGGAGGCCAGACGCAGGCCTAGTAAAGGCACCGTGAGTTCCCACTTTGTTCCACAGGGCTAACAGCCCAGGCCCCAGACTTCAAGCCCTACCTGGCCTGAAGGTGGGGCTTCACTAGGGACCTACCCTCTTCTGCCCAGGAGCCTGTCTAGCTCCTGCCCCCATCCATGGCACCCACACTGCTCACACCCTGGGGTGCCTGAAGGCCAGTGCTGAGCTGCCCTTAGTTCCCCATTGGCTTGCCCTGCCTCCCCTGCACTCATCAGTGCTCAAAATATGGAGGGAGTCTAAGATGGCAGGGACCTGGCATGTCAGTGCTGCCCTGAGTGTGTGCACACCTGGCCAGGCTGTGACAACACCCGGCCTTGGCCCCAACTTTAATCCAAGTTTGGTGCAGGTGCCAGGAATGGGGAGAGCCAGGCAGAGGGAGCAGAAACACCCAAGCCTGTGGGGGTAGCAGGGGACCTTCCCAGGCCCCCAGGAGTTCAGACTGCAGTGAGGCTCTGGTCCTGCCTGGCTCGCAGCCCTGCCATGGGGCACCTCCAAGAGTGGATTGCAGGCCTCAGGCCTGGACATCAGGAGTATCAGGCCTGAAGATCACCCCAATGCCAGGTGGACCCTGGGGACATGGCCCCAGGTGGCCCTGCACAGAGCCTGCTCCTGAGATGGAGAAACCCAGAACCCTTGGAATGGGCACAGTGACTGCACCACTGGCCAGGTCCCCCAAGCAGGGCATATACAGCCCAGAGAACCCACACTCTTTGTGCAAGCAGGGCACTGTCCTGTGCCCAGCTTCACCTCAGGGCCCCTCTCTGTCCAACCTGCTGCTTCACAGCTGGTGGGCAACTCGACCCAGCCCCATTGTGATGGCCCCCAGGGCAGTGGGTTCCAGGAACTGTCCACCTCTTCCGACACCCTCCCTGCAGTGGCAGCAGGTGAGATTGGCAATGCTGGGCCAGGGTCTGGAGGAACTGAGGCTCTGGGCCTGGAGGTGGGTCCCGCCTGGCCACACGAAGGTGGGGGCAGCCCAGTTGGCTGCCTTGGGGATGCAGGGCACAGGGGACGCAGGGCACAGTGGTCCCCCCACAGCCGATCCCACCCCCTATGCTTGCACCTCTTCACTGCAGCAGGCATGGTGGTAGCGGCTGCTCCAGACAGCCTGCTGCTGCCATCAGTATGTTTGTCTGCAACTTTAAGGCCAGTCTATGTAATATGATTCACAAATTCAGTGACTGATGAAGAAAAAAATGAGTTTATTTATATGAGTATATATATAAAACAAATATTTTAAACCATCTTTTATTCAGGGTTTTTCTTTGATTTTTTCTAAACTATTTTAAATCAGATCTTTAAATTGCCAACACATGTGAACAATAGATTTGCACTTACCAATACCCAAACCTAAAAACAATGTAAGACGTTTTTGAAAGCAAATTTATTTTTATTTTTAATTTTATTTTTCATGCTGACTTGAATAAATTAAAATTCATTTTACCTATTTTCATGTTCTCCGATAAATGGTGATGACTTGTCCAATAAAAAGAGACTGGTTTATTCTAAAATTACAGTAGAGTTAATCTTTGTGGGGCCAATCAGAAATTCAAATTAATCAAAATATTAAAAGAAGTTCATAGTATTTTTATAAAAGTGTACTTTTTCAATGATGAGTTAAAAAAACAACTGTTTTTCCTCATTTCATAAATTGATGTGATCTCAATGTATTAATTTTTTATTAGTTATATTAAGCAATGTCAGGTTTAATGAATATTTGCCAATCTCCACATTGATGCTTAGAGAACCATCTCTTACCACAGATACAGGATTCTAAGTTTTTTCACTCTTATCTAGTTTATTCTGCTTGCCTATATGCCAAAGATGTGATCTTGAGGTTTTATTAGATATTTGATTGCTTTGTTGGAAATGACCTTCAGCCTCCACATGAGATGACCCTCCAGATACATCTTTTCTTGAGCATTATGTCTTATTTCAACTGATCAGCACCAAAGGTTAGGTTGTCAGGGATGAAGGAGAGTATTTTTCCTTTTTATTCTGAAACCACTGGTAAAATCCCTGATTAGTTTATGACTGAGTTCAATAGTCTCACAGGGCTGTTGGGGGAAAATCCAGCTTGTTTGATTCAGTAAAGGGCAATGCCCTATATACCCGTTTCATTTTATTGCTTATTGATTTGATGGGCAATGATGTTCATGTGCATCTTTTACTTCTATGACAATTGATTTTAATAACATATTGTGCAGCACAACATTTCATGCTAAATATGGTGGAACTGCAAATTAGGACATGTGGAATTCTAAGTTGTTATTGTGTTAATAATTTTTATTAAAACGGCAAAGGACCTGTTTATAAATTTGGAATACAATGGGAGCATTAGGACATCCACTGTCCCATCCTCCCTTTTGGAATAAAAGCAGGATTAGCTTCGTGGGGTTAAAAGGTCAGAACACAAGGTCATCCTTTTTGTCAATATTCAAATGGAAAGCTGATTCAGACAGAAAGATACAGCTTAATGGACCAATGAACTCAGTCAGTATTTTGCCAAGAGTATTTTCAAAGTTGAAGGCTGATCTCTGAAAATGTTAACACCTTCTTTTCTAACATTTCCTAATTCAAAACAGGCTACATTTACTCCCTTGATGAGCACCTTAAATAGTATTATTACAAACCATGCCAGTTTAGTAGTGACTGCGGAATTGACAGTTTATACCACACATTTCCAATGATGAAAGTTACAGAAGCCAGGGTAGATGAAAAATTTTTGAAAGTTGAAACCTCCTACCTTCAATTTCAGATTTATGCAGTGGATAACAAAAGTCATATTATAGGCCATATTTTGACTCTACAGAAGATGTGTTGAAAATTGCATAGACTTAGGTACATATTTTCAAGGACTTCAATCACTGAAACCTAAAACTGAACAGCAAGATCATAAAGGTCACCCAGGAATACTTTAACAGGCATCATTAAATGCAAACAAAATACAAAAAGACTATCTGAAACATAAATACCCTCTTTTACTGTAACATTTTCCATAAAGCATCCAACTTTCATCTGGGAGTAAATGACTAAGTATGAAATATTTTTGTGACAATTCATCTATTCTTTAAAATTATAGAGACAACATGATGTTTGTTAAGAGCAGACTCTGCAAGCATGAGCAATTTTTATCAAATTAAAACTTACAATAGTCAACAAAGCACATTTAATCATATGCACATTGTTATTGTCAAATGAAAAAACAACAAACTACACAGCATTTACATAAATGACTATTAATTTCATACAGTCAAACCTTAAATTTTCACTTTCCTCCTTTCCACAGTTAGTTCTTCTACTTCTGTAATCAGGATCAAGGTGGAGAGGAAACCATTTAGTTCAGTCGTCACTGTAGGTAGACACTCTCTCACAGACACATGTTGTTCAGAGATCTGACCTCTCTGGCCCCAGGCTGATGGTCTCTGACTCTTGCCAGTACCCTTTCACCTCTCCAGTCCTTTCTCAGACTCCAAGAACCCACTGGGTCCTCAAACAGCTCATGCAGCTGCTCCTTCTGTCCCCTGACCTTTCCTGCTCCCTCTCACTCCTAGAATAGTTTCTCTACATTCTGGAGGGCTTGTAGTAACTAGATATCTGGACATTTAATGTTTTTTTTTTTTTTTTGTAACTCCTTTAGGTAAAATTATCAATTCTATTTATTAAATAGAATGTGGATCATGATATTAGAAGATATAAGCATTTTCTCATGACTAATGAATTGAATAAATCAGACTCACCCTCAAGAACAGCATTCATATAGCATGACTTCATTGGTTAAGGGAAGATCTGACAAATACCCCCTTGGTGGCTGGTGTCTGAAATTACTTTAAGGAGAAAAAGCTACTCTATAAATGAGTTAAAGTTTAAAGAATAAAAATAGCACTATAAAGCAAAAGGACAACTGATTGAGATCCGATCTTCTCTCATGGGCGTAGTAAGGGAGGTAGTAAGACGGAGGATGGCTAAACTACAGGAGACGTTGGAAGAGAGCAACTCTGGAAAAATTTTGGTTCATGGCAGCCTAGTTTAATATTAATCATGTTGGAACTTAGAAAGGGGCATTACATATTCTATTTATTTCTGGGAACAATAGTTCTGCACCATGTTGAGAAGGCCATTCAATATTATTATTTTACTTAACCAGTTGTATAAGGCATCTTATTTTGTGCAAGCTCCAAATTATTCTACACTTTTGGTTTTAACTGCCTCACAGTATTTCACTCAGTTTTCGACAGATGTTTATAAAATACCTACCTAGTGTCAGCCACTGCAACAACAGCTGAGGAGGAATAAAACAAATCACATATGTTAAAGTGTGTGGAGTCTGCTAGAAATTCTACTTTTTAAGAGTTAAAATTTAAAAAAAAAGTGGCAAATGGTATACTGCTGTATGTAGTGTGGAATAGAGAAGAAAGAAAAATGTGCCTAAATTTGACTTTCTGAGGTGAAGGAAGCTAATAGAGGTGCTATATGACATCCTTTATTCATTCAACAAATGAATATATTGGAGGCAAGGTCTTGCTCTGTCATCCGGGCTGGAGTGCAGTAGCACAATCTCAACTCACTGTAGTTTTGACCTCCTGGGTTCAAGGACCCTCCCACCTCAGCCTCCTGAATAGCTGGGACTACAGATATGTGCCACCACAAGCATATAATTTTTTAAAAATTATTTTTTGTAGAGACGAGGTCTTACTATGTTGCCCATGCTGGTCTAGAGCTCTTGGGCTCTCAATCTTCCTGCCTCAGCCTCTCTAAGTGCTGAGATTACAGGTGTGTGCCACCACACTTGGCCCACTCAGCAAATATTTACCGAGTACCTACAAATACCAAGAAAACACCAGTAAGTACAGAAGGTACCATTGTGGGCAAAATGCAAGCAAAAATCTCTGCCCCCATAATACATATCCTCTAGTGGGCAAGAAATTAATCAAGATAAATAATATATGATATATAAGAAGTGAGAATAAAAGATAAAATAGAGATCACTGTAAACAAAAATGAATTAAAAACTTAAAGACCTCGAACTATAAAACCACTAGACAAAAACACGAGAGAAATGCTTCAGAACACAGGTCTAGGCAAATATTTTATGGCAAAGATATCAAAAGCACAGGCAACACAAGTAACAATAGACAAATGGGGCTATACTAAACTGAAAAGCTTCTGCATAGTAAAGGAAACAATCGACAGAGTGAAGAGACAACCTGTAGAAAATATTTGCAAACTATTTATCCAACAAAGAACTAATACCCAGATTATACAAGAAACTCAAACATCTCAACAGCAAAATAAATACATAATCTGATTAAAGGGGGGAAAGAATCTCAATAGACATTTCTCAAAAGAAGATATACACTTAGCCAACAAATATATGAAAAAAAAAGTTCAACATCACTAATCATTGGGGAAAAGCAAATCAAAACCAAAATGAGATATCATTTCACCCAAGTCAGAGTGGATATTATCACAAAAACAAGAAATAACAAATGCTGGGACTCATATATTATTAGTGGGAATCTAACTTTGTACAGCCATGATAGAAAACAGTGTGGAGATTTCTCAAAAAGCCGAAAACAGACCTACCTTATGATCCAGCAATCCCATTACTGGTTACTTATCCAAGAAAAGGAAATAAGTATATCAAAGGGATGCGTGCACCCACATGTTTATTGCAGCACTATTCACAATAGCTAAAATATGGAAAATATGGAATTAAATGTCCACCAACAGATGAATGAATAAAGAAATTGTGGTATATATACACAATAGAATATTATTCAACCACAAAAAAGAATGCAATTCTATCATTAGTGCCAATGTGGGTGAGTCTGGAGGGCACTAATCTAAACAAAATAAGATAGGCACAGAAAGATAAATACCACATGTTCTCACTCATATGTGGAAGCTATGAAAGACAATTTGAGCCCACAGAAGTGGAAAATAGAATTGCGAGTATTAGAGGCTGAAAAGAAGAGGGGAGAGGGTAGGGCGAGGAGAAAACAATTAATGGGTACAAAATTACATCTAGATGTGAGTAATGAGTTCTGGTGTTCCGCAGCCTTGTAGGGTGAATATGGTTAACCATAATTTATTGTATATTCTCGAAAATCTAGAAGAGAGGATTTTGAATGTTCACAATGCAAAGAAATGGTAAATATTTGAATTGATGGATATGCTTATTACCCTGATTTGATCATTGCATACTGTACACACATATCAAGATATCACTCTGTATTCCCCCAAAACATGTATAATTATTATGTATCAACTAAAAATAAAAGGAATAAAATAAAGCAGAGGTGAAGAGAATGAAATGTTGAAATGAGTGACATTTTTTGTAAGATGTTCATGGAAGATTTCCTTGAGAAGATGAGTTATGAGGAAAGATCTGTTTGGGGAGAAATTTGCCAAGTAAATGAGAATTTGGAGGAAACACATTTGGGACAGAGGACTTGCAGCATAATGTATGTTTAGGGAATAGCAAGTTGTGGAGCTGAATTGTGTGTGTGTGCGTGCGTGCCCTTGTACTGTTGACAAGAAAAATAAAGGAAAGGTTGGATTGGGACCAAGGTGTGAGGCACTCTGCACACTTTGTTAAGGAATTTGAGCCTTATCCGGACAATGAGACTACATCCTAAGCTTTAAACATCGTAATGATAAGCCTTATGAATCTGGAATGTTGGCTAGAGCAGTATCACTATGGCATTGGGGCACGAATAGCATTAAATTGTGTATAACCTTAAACAAACCAAGACCCTAAACAAACCAAGATCTACCCAAGCAGTTGTGAGCTCTCCTTGCACTCATGTATGTTGATTTCATTTTGTACATAGATGACAATGGACAGAGTTACTGATGTGCAAGAGAAGAGCAAATGAGAAGGTGACACCACAACCCAAAGAGGTGCTAAATAAGGGAATCTTGTGAAAAGGAGAAAACAGCTGGGTGATAAACATTTAAGAACATTTTTAGATCTAGTCCATTAGTTATTACATACATAGAAATATTGATATTTTTTATTTTATCTACCTGCTCTTTAAAGTGTTTTTGAAAACAACAAAATTGTTTTGTATTTTTAAAGTAGCAGTTCTCCACGCTGGAGTTGCAGACTTGGAGGGATTTCCAAGACTTTCCCAAGGATCCACAAACTAAACACTGTTTTCATAATAATATTATGAAGCCATTTGTCTTTCTACTGTGTTGACATTGGAACTGACGGTGGAAAAGCAATCACGCTGTTACCTTCGTATGAATGGAGGTAGCGGCACCGGACTGTAACAGCAGTCATTGTAGTCTTCACTGCCGCAGCCTCATAGGGAAAAGAAAATTAAAAAGCTGACTTCACATAAGAATCTCTTTAATTAAGCATTATTTTCATTAAACCTTTACCTGTGAATACACTTTAAAAATTTTGTGTGATGAAAATGTACTTACATGGGAAATACATGTAAAGTATGTTTGCCAGTGTATGACAGTTCTCATGAGGAAAATGTCATTTGTGTTACAAGCTGAATGAGCCACTTTTTTTTGCTATGGAACACCATCTCTACTTGTGAAAATGTCTATGGTTATTGAGACTTGCATATTTAGCAGAAATGTTATTTAAAAATAATCAAAATGAGCCGGTTATTTACTTCAAGCAAAACAATTGTTAGGATTTATTGCCAATGATAAAATTTTAACTTTCAAGCAGAAATTAGTATTTTGGGAAACTTCTATCCACCTCCTCGAGCTTGACATCTTCTTAATACTTA
Source organism: Homo sapiens (assembly GCF_000001405.40). NCBI lineage: Eukaryota > Metazoa > Chordata > Mammalia > Primates > Hominidae > Homo > Homo sapiens. The sequence continues at coordinate 15,319,414 of NC_000021.9, read as the reverse complement.
AACAGACTCCTCTTATGAAATTAGTGGTGATATTAACAAATGTGATTTTTTCAATACTGTGTAAAGATCATTGAAAGAACTACATAAATCAATAAACCAGTTGTTTTTCAAATGGCCAATGTCCATGATGTTATAAAATTAAGGCAGGAATAAAAGATCCATTGAAAGCATAAGACAGAGAGATTTTAGTACTAGCAAGTATGAAAAACTCACTGCCATGATTTCAGATGTTTTAAAAATAAGGCAGGAATAAAAGATCATTCAAAGCATAAGACAGACAAACAGATTTTAGTATGACCAAGTATGAAAAATTCACTGCCATGATTTCATACGTTTTATTGCAACTAACCTTTAAGGAACTATTAGTTATTGGCTGGGTGTGGTGGCTCATGCCTGTATCCCAGCACTTTGGGAGGCTGAGGCAGGCAGATCACTTGAGTTCAGGAGTTTGAGACTAGCCAGTCCAACATGGCAAAAGCCCACTTCCAGTAAAAATACAAAAAAAAAAAATTAGCTGGGTGTGGTGGTGTGTGCCTGTAGTCCCAGTGACTCAGGAGGCTGAGGCAGGAGAATCGCTTGAACCCTGGAGGCGGTGGTTGCAGTGAGCTGAGATCATGCCACTGCACTCTAGCCTGGGCAACACAGTGAGACTGTCTCAAAAAAAAAAAAAAAAAGAAAAAAAAAGAAAAGAAAAGAAAAGAAAACAAACTATCAGTTGTTAATTTTGAGTGTAGCATCAAAGAATAATATCCACAATCTTCTGAAAAAGCATTAAGATACTCTTCCCTTTTCTAAAGTATTTATCTGTGAGGCCATATTTTTTTCATGTACTTTTACCAAAGCAACATAATGCAGTACTCGCAGGGCAAACGCAGGTAGGAGAATCTACCTGTCTGTTATTAAGCTAGACATTAAAGAGATTGGCAAAAATGTACAATGCCAATTTGTTTGTTGTTTTAGGAAAAATGAATATTTTTCATGAAGTTGTTACTTATGTAATAGGTCTATTGTTATCTTAACTCAATGAATACAAATTTTTTTTTGTTTTAATTTATAATATGTAAAATACTAACAGATATATCTAGCATAAAAAATGAAATAAGATTTGTCAGATTTACCAAATAAAAATACAAGACACAGAATAAACTTACATTTCAAATAAATATGAATACTTATTAGTATACATGAGTCCCATGTAATACTTGGGACATACTTGTGTTTTTAATTCACTGTTTATTTGAAATTCAAATTTACCTAGTCATCCAATATTTTATCTAGCAAGCCTACTTGGGAGTTCTCAATAATTTGTAATTGTATAAAGGAGTCCCAAGACCGTGGTTTGAAAACCATGCTTTAATTCATTCTCTGGGTTACCCTTTTTCCATTTTCCATTTCTTTTTTCTTCTACTTATTCAGAATCAGTGAGGTCTAACTACAACTAATTACTATACATGCCTTATTACCTCTAGACTTCATTGCTATTGAATCTTTTGTTTTCGCAGTCAGTTCTAGAAACAGCTTATTCATCTATGTATATTTTGCTCAAGTAGAAAATGAATGTGTTGTAGTAGCATAACTGATAAATTTATTTTAAGTTTTATAGCATATTTCATGGAGAACAATGGTGGACCTATATGCATGCATGGTGTGAAACCATGTTGGAGATGCTCTTATTAAAATATTAAATATGATGAAATAGCTCCTATATTCTCTTTGTATAGCAATATAAAAATGAAGTATTTGGTCTAGATGCCTAAAAATTTGTGATTTTAGAAAAATGTTCCAGAAAGAGAGCATGATGCAATGTAATATGTCTCAGAGATATGATATCAGTTTTTTGTTTAATGCTTGCAAGTACCTTGCCTGTCCTGGGTTGACTAAATGACATATTTGCACTGCAAATAGCACTTATGGAAAAACAACAGACTTTGAAATGAGATGCTAGTTAAAGATGTATAAAACTGAACCCATATTTATTAAACAAATTAGTTGTATATGTTAGCATGTTGTATTAGTTCGTTTTCATGCTGCTGATAAAGACATACCCGAGATTGGGCAATTGACAAAAGAAAGAGGCTTATTGGATTTACAGTTCCACATGGCTAGGGAGGCCTCACAATTATGGCAGAAGGCAAAGGAGGAGCAAGTCACATCTTACATGGATGGCAGCAGGCAAAGTGAGAGCTTGTGTAGAGAAACTTAAAAACCATCAGATCTCGTGAAACCTGTTCACTATCACGAGAACAGCATGGGAAAGACCTGCCACCATGATTCAATCATCTCCTATGGGTCCCTCCCATAACACATGGGAATTATGGGAGCTACAAGATGAGATTTGGGTGGGGACACAGAGCCAAACCATATCATATATAGAAACCATACCTGTGTCCTTTGCAGGGACATGGATAAAGCTGGAAACCATCATTCTCAGCAAACCATCACAAGGACAGAAAACCAAACACTGCATGTTCTCCCTCATAGGTGGGAATTGAACAATGAGAACACATGGAAACAGGGCAGGGAACATCACACACCAGGGCCTGTCGGGGGCTGGGGGCCTGGGGGAGGGACAGCATTAGGAGTAATACATAATGTAAATGATGAGTTAATGGGTGCAGCAAACCACCATGGCACATGTATACCTATGTAACAAACCTATACGTTGTGCACATGTAGCCTAGAACTTAAAGTATAATTAAAAAAAAAAAAAAAAAAACGAAAGGAAAGAAAAGAAACCATACCTGTGAAGAAATCAGTGGCCCCCAGTGATTTTTTCAGAGGAAAAATAAACAAATTCAGAGTGCGACACACCCTTGAGTACTACGGCACTGATATAACAAGATCTTATTCCTAAAAATAAAAATGTGACTTTTAAACAAAGCTAAATTCATTTAAAAGTGTGACCTAAAGATTTTATATCTACAGAAAAAAGTATGCATACATACAGAAAAATATTAACTGCAGTTATTGTGGGAGATTAGGATTATAGAGAACTTTGTATTTTGTATGCATCTATAAAATAGATTATTTATCTCTTTGGACTACATTTAAAATCTGAAAGAAGCCGTCAAGATAACGCATTTAAAAAATTACCTTTTTTTTTTTTGAGACAACGTTTCACTCTTGTTGCCCAGGCTGGAGTGCAGTGGCGTGATCTTGGCTCACTGCAACCTCCGCCTCCTGGGTTCAAGCGATTCCCCTGTCTCAGCCTCCTGAGTAGCTGGGACTACAGGCGCGTGCCACCATGCCCGGCTAATTTTTTTGTATTTTAGTAGAGACCAGATTTCACCATGTTGGCCAGAATGGTCTCGATCTCCTGACCTCGTGATCCGCCCACCTCGGCCTCCCAGAGTTTTGGGATTACAGGCGTGAGCCACGGCGCCCAGCCAAAATTACCTTTCTTTTAAAAAGTGAGATCAGACTTCATAAGCTACTCTTTAACTTGTGTTTAAAATGTGTCTTAGATCTCTTTCCATGTCAGTATCTACATCCATATCTTTTAATTGCTACATAGCAGGATATACTAACATTTTTACCCTTTCTCAAGCACTTTTTGTTGCTATTTCTAACAGTGCTGTTATAAACATGATTATGCAAATCTTTATGCCACTGTAGGAAGCTCACAGGGCAGAGGGTTAAAATAAAAAATTGTTTTGGGGTAGTGGCATGGATGGAAAGGAAGCATGCATACAATTATTTTTATTTGTATATCATTTTGTGGCACTTATACGAGGACTTTCTCTTCCTGATAGCTCACGGAAGGTTTGGAAACACCAAAGAATTTGTCTTAATGGAACCTGTCTTTTCGTTATTATGCTGTGTCCAATACCCTAAATTGCTTTATACAACATCCATTCTAACCTACCGGTAACATGAAGCAGCTGGAAAGTTAAACTACATTTCTCAGACACATTGGAGGCTAGAACATGATTTACGTTCCTTCATACTCCTGCAAGAATGTTTAGAATCTGAATCAAACAGACGAAAAAAGCCAAGTTTGAGGCATATATTTTGCTGGCGAGGATCAAGGCCGAGGTGGCAGCTAGCAGTGACTGCCCAATGTGGTAGGTGGATTCCTGATTCAGCAGCTTCCTGGAGCAGACTTGGCATATTTCTGGATCATGGCAGAGTAGCCTGGGACTGAAGTCAGCAGTATTAGCAGCAGATTCATAATCTGTCAGATTCCTGCATCTGTGGTGGTTGTTTACCTGCTGAAGGCAAAGGCAGAGTGTTTCTGGGAGCTACTATTTGTTCCTGAGTATTAAGAATAGAACTGTTCTTCCATTTCTTCCAATAAATTTGTTGGTTTTGAATACTTAAAATTTCTTGTTATTTAAATAATCTAAAACTATGGCCCATAGGCCAAAGCTAGCTCACTGCCTGTTTTTGTATAGCTTACAAAATGGTTTTTACATTTTTTTTTTTTTTTGAGACGGAGTCTTGCTCTGTCACCCAGGATGGAGTGCAGTGGCGTGATCTCAGCTCACTGCAACCTCCTTCTCCCGGGTTAAAGCAATTCTCCTGCCTCAGCCTCCTGAGTAGCTGGGATTACAGTTGTGCATCACCACACCCAGCTAATTTTTATATTTTTAGTAGAGACAGGATTTCACCATGTTGGCCAGGCTGGTCTCGAACTCCTGACTTCATGATCCACCCACCTCAGCCTCCCAAAGTGCTGGGATTACAGGTGTAAGCCACTGTGACCAACTACATTTTTAACTGATTAGAAAAGAATGAAAAGGGCCGGGCGTGGTGGCTCACGCCTGTAATCCCAGCACTTTGGGAGGCCGAGACGGGCAGATCATGAGGTCAAGAGATCAAGACCATCCTAGCTAACACTGAGAAACCCTGTCTCTACTAAAAATACAAAAAAATTAGCCAGGCGTGGTGGCAGGCACCTGTAATCCCAGCTACTCTGGAGGCTGAGGCAGTGGAATGGCATGAACCCGGGAGGCAGAGGTTGCAGTGAGCCGAGATTGTGCCACGACACTCTAGCCTGGGCGACAGAGTGAGACTCTGTCTCAAAAAAAAAAAAAAAAAAAAAAGGAAAGAAGAAGAATATTCTGTGACATGTAAAAATTACATGAGATTCACATTTCAGTGTCCATAAATAAAGTTGTATTGGAAGACATCACTTTGATACATTTGCACATTAGCTATCCATGCTTTCGCACTAAAACAACAGAATTGACAAGCTACAACAGAGACTATATGCCCACAAAGCCTAAAATATTTATTATCTGACCTTTTACACAAAAAGTTTGTCAGCTCTTGATATAGAATGAACACTCTCGATTCAACTGAACGCTGATTACTATAGATGCCACTGTATTAAGGCATGTAAGAACACAAAGGCACAAATTATAAACAACACATTAATTACATTGAAATCGAAGTCGCTGATATCTTTTCTATTTCTCATATCTAGTTATGTCATAAAATTTTCACATTGAAACAATAATCCATAAAGTGACAAAGGGTTTACAAGTGATGGTAGCCATTAGCACTGTTCACCAGTGATTTCTGTTCCTACTCATGGGCTTATGGCAATATTGTACTTCTACACCCGGTTGATATTAGATATGACCATGTGACTTGCTTTAGCAAGTAACATTTGAGCAGAAAGAATACATCTCACATCAAAGCAAAAGTTTAAGAGCCAGTGTGAGTCTTGCTATGTTCTCTTTTTCTCCTGTCATGGTTATTTATCAGCAACTTTGTGAGACTCCATCAACCAAGATCTCTGTCTAAGTCACTATGATGAATTGTAGCCCCTCAACTCTCATGCACATAGCATGAGTGAGAAATTAATTAACTTTTGTTGTTTTAAGGGAACAAGGTTTGGGGGCATTTGTTACTGCAACATAACCAAACTATCCTGACTAATACTTCATTACATAAATTGTGATGAAGTTTTAAAATCCTGTAAGTTGGATATGTAAAATACAAACATGCTTTTTCTATTTCTAAAAAAATGACATGCTGATCAGAAGATCCCATTCCCACAGATAGGGGGAAAATATTAAAACTTGCCAATAATGAGTAACTTTTTTCTGTTATTGTTTTCAATAAAGAAATTAAAAGTGTTTTTGTTGGGTAAAGAAATATTCAGCACATCCAAAATTTAAATCCTTATCAAGGATATTTCATTACTGTCAACAGATGTGTACTTCCCTTCCTTGCCAAGCTGGCATCTAAGTGAACGGGGATTCCTAAGGTTTATAGGGGAGGGGTGGGACTGTAGGTATATGTCCTCTTCCCCAAGTGTTTTTGCTTCAGATGGTTGCCATGTGTTGTGTATTCTTTTCCCTGGGCAGCTGGCAACAATGAGACTAGATGGCTGTGTTCATTAGATCTTGGGGCATGATACTGGCACTTGCTGTTGAACTATGTGAAGGTCACTATATGCCACAGTATTCTTGTCCTGACTCCAGGTTCTCTGATTCACTCAGCTCTTCCTTACTTCCATGTGGAATTCTCAGTTGCTTTATCTCACTCTCACCTGAAGTGCACAGAGCTCAGGGAAGCTTTTTTGAAGGTCATCTTTCTTGGCTTTTTCTAACCTACTGCTTGGTGTCTTGTTGAAAGTAGCCCTCAAAAGACAGCTTCTCTAAGAGAATTGCCATTTTTTCCACGACATGTCTAGGATTCCCCAAAGCCTATATGAGTATTTCTATGCCCTCAGGTCTTTGGATTTGAACCAAAGGGAGGAAGCAAGAAAGCCCACATGTCTTACTCCTGCAGTTACCTTTCTCTGGCTCTCACCCTCCCCTTTATCTTCTGGAGCCAGGGGATCTTTCCACTGCCTCTCCCAGCTGGTAGGAGTTTCTCCATGCTCATTCTTCTTCATTTCTGGGTATTCATCCTTCCCTTCTCTATTGCAGTATAGCTGAAGGGCCACAGGGCATAAATGTGGCTACCAGGAGGAGAATATTACTTCAGAAGGTATTTCAAAAATGTTATCCTTATTATGTTACTATCTGTATTAGGCCATTCACATTGCTATAAAGATACTACCTGAGACTGGGTAATTCATAAATAAAAGAGGTTTAATTGACTCACAGTTCCACATGGCTGGGGAGGCCTCAGGAAAGTTACAATCATTGTGGAAGGTGAAGGAGAAGCAAGCACCCTCTTTACAAGGCAGCAGGAGAGAGAGAGCGTGGAGGGGAAACTGACACTTTTAAAACCATAATATCTCATGAGCAGTCCCTCACTATCGTGAGAACAGCAGGGAGGTACTGCCCTCATGATCCAATCACCTCTTACCAGGTTCTTCCCTTAATACGTGGGGATTACAACTCGAGATGAGATTTGGATGAGGACACAGAGCCAAACCATATCACTTTCCATAGGCCCAAAAATTAAGAAAACACAAATACCATATATGTTTAAATATAAGATTAATTTTTTTAAATTATGGCTTAGAAATAAGAAAGTCATCTGAAAGAATTTTGATGTTAAGTAGTACCCTAGAATTTTAACAATAAATTTATATTTGGGAAAGATCCATTAACCTCAAACACTTATGTGATTAAATTTTTTAAAAGAGGCAAGTAAATAAACTTATTTATACTTAATAATTATTCCTGGAATATGCCATGATAATCACAAGTTTTGGATATAAACATACCTTTTATGTATCACTTTAAAAAGTAAAGTAGTGATGACTAAGTTGTCCAAATAATAACTACCCAGTGAATATTTGTGGCTTGGGGTGAAACTCAAAGTGATCACCTTTCCAGCAAATTGTAAAAAAGCTGTATCTCCAACAACTTATATGGAAGGTAAGGTCATAAGCTCTTTGGTTTAGAAGACTCAAAAAGTCTTCCAGTTACAGCAAAGATGCTGAGGTCTAAAGGATACTTAAAAAAATACCTTTTATTATATGCAGGCATTATAAAGTATTTATGCAAGTGATGAGGTTTCATATAGTTGCTTCCCAGAATGGAAGCAAAAAAATAGCAACAAATGTTCATTAATGTATCATTTAAAATAATATGTGATTTTTAAATTGTGTGCAGCCAAAACAGATGTTCCTTGCCCTATGATGGAGCTATATCCTGATAAACCCATTGTAAGTTGAAAGTATTAAGTCAAAAATGAATTTAACACACCTAACCCACTCAACATCATAGCTTTGCCTAACCTATATTAAATGTGCTCAGAACACTTATATTAGCCTACAATTGGGCGAAATCATCTGACACAAAGCCTATTTTATTATAAACAGTTGAATCTCTCTTGTACACAGTACTTTGCCAAGGTAGAGGCGGATGAAATTTCAAAATTTGAAGTAAAATTTCTTTTGAATGCCTATAGCTTTCACATCATCATGAAGTCAGAATGTCATAGGTGGAATCATCATAAGTCAGACTGCCTGTAATTAAATTTCATAAAAAGATCTTTAAGCCACATCTCTAAAATTATGTATATTCAAGTTAGCCAACAAAACAAAACAAACACACATAAAAAAATCTCCTTTTAGAATCCTCTCTTGGGAAAATGGGGGATCATTTTATACTCAAGTTCGCTTTTGCTTAGTATTCAATACATTACAGAATTTTAATTCTCTCTGACCAATATTTTTCTGCATGAATGTAGCTCCTACTACTTAGGAATAACTATACTTTTTTTCAAAGTTCTCAAATTTCTGTTCTGATGAGCCTTCTGTAGTTAGCAGGTTTATACACATTTTTTGAAGTTTTCATAATATCTTTTATTTACTAAATTCCAAGCTAACATTTCCAGCATCTCTTAGCAGCATTATGAGTAACTATCACCTAATGAAAAAAATCCTTTCTCATTGGATATTGCTATTCCTCTTCTACCTATTCTCAGACCCCAAACTAAATCTCAGGCAATTCCAGTATGATATTCACTGGACCCCAACTGGTCTCTGTTGGACCTGCCTTTCATAAAATTACAGTGACCTCTCTTTTCAGAATTTATCCCAAAGATTATTTTTTATATCATTTGACAAAAACAAAGAAGCTCTTCCGTTTGAAAATAGAAACTATTCTACAGCAGATAAAGAGAGAGGAAAAAATGCAAAAAGAAGGAGAAAAGACAACAAAAAAATGAAGAGTATGAAAGGCCCTGTAGAAAGCTAAGGGAATTTGGTGCAAAACCAGCTTGCAGTGTCTAAAAATGTGATTCCAAGTTTGGAAGCACTTTCATTTTCCAGAAATGGCAAATTTCTGCTTGAAGAGGTCTTACAAAAATTTTTTAAAATATTCTTAATTACCAATCTGAAATAAACCTAGAAGAAAGTAATATGTATTTCCTAAATTCAGGAACTCTTTTTAAAACTGTCCATCCCCACAGTTCTTTCTACTTTTTAAAAGAACTTTCCTATGTTTTATTTTAGAATAGACAAAGGGGATATTATCTCTTCGTTTTCGAAGAAAGCCAAAGACAAAATAGGTTCAGTGACTTGCTCAGGATCGCACAGCTAAGCCAGAGGCAGAAGGAGGACTGGACCAGGCCCAAGATCCTCCCAGCATCACTGCACTGCCAGCTTCAATTATGTAACAAGTCTCCCAAGTTCTCATCTGGATTCAGCAATGTTAGCAGGAGGGATGCCCAGTAACAACCCTCATCTAGTATTCTAAGTCACCAAGGCAAGGTGGCAATAATTTAACCTCAGCAATTTTTTCCTTCTTACCTTTAACTCAAGAGATGAATACATTATTCCAAGAAGCAATTGCCCCATGGCTAGTATTGTACATTACACTCTAAAGGCTGATGGTTGATTACAAGTGGTTGCTAATTTGGGCCCAATGAATGGGCTCGAACCCAGTAATCATATGGTAGTTTCCCATGCAGCAGAATCCAAATCTACTTTCTTTTCCTACCTTTTCCCTCTGTGCTAGTGTGCACAAGTGCACCAATCTAGTGTGCCAAAAGCAATCTCTTTGTGTGTGCTGAATGGATTTCTTACCCTCTTAGCAAGAGCAACTTCTACACCTGGGCACAGACCAAAAGAAAGTTGCCTCAGCAAATTTTTAGTCATTTTGGATTTAGGGATTAAGAAGATCTGATCATGTTTTATTGTGTTCTCTGTGACTAATAGCTAATTTCTGGAATTAACCACAAAGGAAAGAGAAGAAAACGTGGCTCTAGAGTTTTTCATGCCATTGTGGATATGGTTTTGAATGTCTTGACAAGTTTCCGAGGTCTTATTCACATTATAAATCACTCTGCAACAGTTCACGGAGTATGTTGATACTTGTTGGCAGAGAAGGAGAATATTCAGTTACAGGAAGCATTTCCTAGTGATGTGTGAAATATGTCGTGGAAAATCATGACTAAACAAATGTGCTACCTTGGTCACTGAGAGGTGGACATTTGTATCAACTGGGTTGATCAACTTCACTCTCTCTTGACTTCAACAAGGCTACACTCTTCGGGTTGTCCTGCTTCTCTAACAGCTTCTTAATTTCCTTCTATGATTCCTCTTCCCCAAAAGGAGATAGCGTTCTCCAACATTCAATCTTCAGTGGTCTCTCCACTTTGTGTCCCTCATACTTTATCCTCTCAGAGCTGTTATCTGAATGGCCATTACCTTCAATGGCTTAATTTTAAGCCTTCTAAGAAAGCATTAGAAATTTAGTCAAACTTTACTGTTAGAATAATCTCTACATCTAAATTCTCCCTCAAACAATTTTCAAATGGATATTTCTCCTTCAACCGACTGCTTTGGTATTCAACGTTACTAAAATGTATCATTTTTAGACATCACTGTCTCATCTCCTATCCAAACAATTTTCTCCCCAACTTCCCTAGCTCCACTAAGTTGCCTCTCTGCCTTCATTCTTTCCCTGGAAAAGCAGCCAGCATACTGCTGCCAGATTCATCTGTCCAAAGAACAACCATTAGCCTGCTAAAAACCCACAAAATGATCATCTTGCGCTCATAACTAGGACTATTCAGCCTGAAATACAGAACCTGCCAAAATCTGGTCTCATCCTGTCCTTGCAAACTTACCTTTCCTTGCTGTTTTAGGGACTCTCTACTTCTGTCTCCTCAGAGTTTCCAATACATTTTGAACTTTCAAACCCTCTCTCTACCTTAGTTCATCCTGCTCTCATTGCTGGGAACTCCCTTTCTTCATTCTTTCCTGATATTTAAATCTCATCTCTCCCTATTTTTCAGGGCCTAGACAAACCCCATCTCCTTTGTCAGGACTTATTCTGATCATCCAGTACAAAATGACCACCCCCTTCTCTGCCTTCCTCAAATTTTGTGGCCTGCACCTCTTCTCTTTTCTTTTCTTTTCTTTTCTTTGCTTTGCTTTGCTTTTCTCTTTCTTTCTTTCTTTCTTTCTTTCTTTCTTTCTTTCTTTCTTTCTTTCTTTCTTTCTTTCCTTCCTTCCTTCCTTCCTTCCTTCCTTCCTTCCTTCTTTCTTTCTTTCTTTCTCTCTCTCTCTTTCTTTCTTTCTTTCTCTCTCTCTCTTTCTTTCTTTCTTTCTCTCTTTCTTTTTTGGAGACGAAGTCTCACTCTGTTGCCCAGTCTGGAGTGCAGTGGCGTGATCTCAGCTCAGTGCAATCTCCACCTCCCAAGTTAAAGCAATTCTCCTGCCTCAACCTCCCAAACAGCTGGGACTACAGGCATGTGCCATCACGCCCGGAAAATTTTTGTTATTTTTAGTAGAGACAGGTTTTCACCATGTTGGCCAGGCTGGTCTCGAACTCCTGAATCCAGGTGATCCACCCACCTTGGCCTCCCAAAGTGCTGGGAATACAGGCGTGAACCACTGCACCCGGGTCTGCACCACTTTCTAAGCACTGATTACTCATAGCCTCATGTTGTTTGTTATAATTTTATTTATTGTCATATCATCTCCATTAATAACTCATATGACTCCTAAGGGCCTATGGTACCAAACAACTTATGTATCTTCGCATTTATAATTTTTCCACAACAAAAACATCAGCAATTTGTTGATATTCATTATTATTACTATTATAACAAACAATATTCAGAAAATGTGTTATAGACACGCATACATTGAATTATGTGTATACATGGCTGTCAATGAATTACAGTCAGATGAAACCCGAATACAAGCAGAGTTGGCAATTGTATGGAGTGGAAAGATAAAAATTTTAAGGTCCAGCATAATCAAAAGTGAGCATAAAAGAATAAATCAGACAAAAACTATTATTTTACTTCTTATAATGCATATGAAAGAATTACAAAGGGAAGGGGGTGAGAAAGACTTTAAAATGCCTTGGGGTGCCCAGGGGAATTTTCTTGCTAAAATAATGGCAAAGATGAGAAAGACAATGCCACATTCCTAGCAATCAACCCAAAGAAATGGTAAAAATGTGATACTATGGAAGCAATTTTATATTTGTAAAAGTAATAGATGCTTGCTTATGCAGCATGGTGGAAATTTGCAAACTTATAAAAAGTGCATAGAAGTAGATTATTTAGTGTTACCTGTATTTTTCCTCAGTAATATCTATTATTCTGTGATTTCAAGTCTGTATTTTCCCTGCCAATCTTACTGACACCTCTTCTGGATTTGTTGGCTCAAACATATGACTTAAATTCACCTCATATTAGGTCATCAGTCTATTTCACTGGATCCATCTCTTTTGCAAAGTAAATGAAATGTGTACTGTTAAATGTTTTTACTATTGCCATGGAAATTTCAGCTTCAATGCTACTAATGTCTTGTGATTTTTAATTAACAGATCATTTGATATTTATAAATATGTGTATGACCTTCCCAATATCATTTTAATTGATTTTGTTTAAATAGCTTTATTTCTAAAACTGCAATCAATATGGTTCCTAGAAAAAGGAAGCAGACCAAAAATACTGGATGTAAGCCATTTTACAAGATGTCTTTCTGTTCAAGCAAATTATATAGAAGAAAGATGACCTTTTAGTTATGCTATTCAATTATTTTCTACTATACTAAATATATTTCAGTTTTTTATAGTTATAAGGCAGTCTTGCTTAGGTCATTCCAATGAGTTCTCTAACACATGCTCAAGAAATACTTGCAAAACTAACTCGCCCCTGTTAATGAAAACAAAAGCTATTACTGTAGGTGGCTTCGATCCTAAGCACATGGAAAACAGATTATTTTTTAAACATTTTTATTATAGGTCAGAGTCATTTTTTGTAAGTACATTTATCTTAAAAAACAATGCTCATTTGAGTAACCATGTCTGAGTACATACTGGAAAGGATATAAACAGGAGACATCACTTCCAAAGTAAAAATTCACATTTTATAGTTCCTTTTGGTTGGTTTCATGTGTTTTTCATGTCAATGGAAAGTTGTATTTGTGGAGAACTCTAGAAACAATGAATTATCAACTTCAGGTAAGATGAAATGCTGAGAAAATAGCCAGTATAAACATCCCACAATTTCATGGGTTATCTATCCCCCCAAAAAAATTTTCTCAAATAAATCATTCATATTTAGGTCAGGGGTGTGCAGGGAAGACGAGAGAGAAACTTGGAGGGACAGGAAAGAGGAGGATCTACTCATATGACCTTTGGGATACATGGCATATTGATTTTCGGTCAACTCGGGTTAATGGTAGTACACTAGTCTATTGAATACTACTAGCAGATGGACCAAATATTACAGATGGGTAATGAAAAGAATTGAGTATGACTTAGAGGGGTGTTAGGGGTACTGCGAAAATGTAAATGAGTCTAGTACATTTTGTAGACTAAAATGAATTTTGCTGAGCCTCGTGATCTTCAAAAACTATTTGTCCATCTGAAATAAGCAACTTTTTTACACTTTTTTGGAAATATATTTAGGGGCTAAAGTGCAGATTTCTTACATGTGTATATTGCATAGTGGTGAAGTGTGAGCTTTTAGTGCATCCCTCACCCAAGAAGTGAACACTGTACCCAATAAGTAATTTTTCAAACTTCACTTCTTTCCCACCCTCCTACCTTTTGTAGTCTCCGATGTCTGTTATTCTGTTTAAAGATATGCTTTTAAATATCCTTATTTTTCAATGCTATATTAGGTTATGAAAATTTTCTCTATTTAAAAAATCATCCAGTGACAAAAACAAATGAACAATTAAGTCACAAAAAGGTATAGGGTACTGTTACATGCATGGCATTAAGTGAAAGAAGCCAGTCGAAAAGGCCACGTACTATATGATTCCAAGGATATGACATTCTGGAAAAGGCAAAACTGTAGAGACAGTGAAAGATTAGTGGTTGTTAGGGGCTCAAGGGGAGGGAGGGAAGGAAGGGATGAACAGGTGGATCACAGAGGATTTTTAAGGTGGTGAAATTATTCAATATAAAATGATAATGGTTAATACATATCATTATACATTTATTAAAATCGTAGAACTGTACAATAAAAAGTGTGAACCTTTATATAAACTGTGAACTACAGTTAATAATGTATCACTATTCATTTATTAATTGTAACAAATGTACTAGACTAATGCAAGATGTTAATAATAGGGGAAACTCTTGTGGATGGGAAGAGTATATGGAATCCTATGTACTATCTGCTCAATTATTTTGAAAATCTAAAACCGTATTAAAAATAAGCCTATGAATTATTTTAAAAGCTATTCTCATATGTTTAGTTCCCATGACTTTTTGTTAAAATAAGAATGGGGGTTTTTCCCTCAAAGAAAACAAGTATTTTCTCTTTATAGGTTAAAAAAAAAAAGTTTTCACTCTTAATATTGAAAAACATTTAGGTATGCGTTTGTTTTTACCATTAATTCAGTAGTTCAAAGTGACTAATGCTTTTGTTTAATGCGAAATCACTAAATTTTTGTAGTTAAATAAAAAAATAGTATGATAGTATATGTGTAATTCTAGTGAACTATAAGTTGTCTTGGGCATTGAGATATTGAGATTCCAGTAAGTAAAAGGTTAAGACTCCTACGTTGTACATTTCTCAAATATATCCCACCCCTGAAGTATTAGGGATTTCCCAAAAAGGTTAAACTGTAGCTTCCTAGTGGCTGAGGTCAGAGAGAGAAAAAAGCAGCCTTTGAAACAATGTGTGCTCAATATTTAAAGTCTGTTGAGCCAGTTGGCTATGAGGAGGAGGGAAGCGCATTCACCTTTTGTCTTCTTTATGTTATGGCTTCTGATTGTTCTTAGCAATCCCAGATGTTCCTTGCTTTAAACCTCTTTCTCTCCTCATTCCTAACCTTATGTCTTCTGTATTTCTTCTGGAAAGGTCTGTGGAATTGCCTTTCCCATATGTGCTGGGATTAAGTCTTTAATGATGTGTTTCCAAATGACCACAGCCCTTTACTCTAAGACAATAAAAGTGTTTTCCATCTTTCCTAGCCTCACTCTTTAAAAGATTACCTATAATGACTTAATTCATATTCCGAAAATAATTAAAATAAGGTCACCCTAGGATAAACTAATGCTGTGATGTGTGTGGTTTCACTTATAGCATCTCACTTCAAAGGTAATAAATGTATTTTTTAACTCTTAATTTTTAATACACTGTTAAAATTATTATACATGCCAGAATTTCCAATATGGTTTTGATTTTAAATATGAGATATTTCCATGCCTACATAAAGTATCAGTCAGGCCTTCAAAGTTGCAAAATTTTAGCAAATAGTGGATAAGTTACATAAGCTCATAAATACTAAACTAAAAACATGCAAATAAAACAACAAAAAAACTTTTAGCACCAAATAAAGGGAAGATGTGGATATTAGTTATAACATAATTAGTTATAAAAAATTATATGTAGCTGTATAATTATATGTAGTCATATAAGGAACTAGTTTTATATATATGTAAAGGCACAACTGTGATGCTTTACAAAATACTAAGGCTGTTGAAATCTTGAGAATATAAAAATGGTTTATAAATGTTCCAGCAAGACAGCAATATAAGGTGATTAATAAAGAAAATACCCCCAATGTATCATTATAGTTATTGTTTTTACAGTTTGCTATTTATTCAAAATTGCATAACTTAAAATTATTAACATTATCAAAAGTTGTCTAAAATGACAAGACAAAGATCACTCTTGAAGAAATTTTGCAAGGAAAATGAGTAGCTTTTTCTAAAAAAATACAATATTTCCACACATTATTTTACTCTCTATATATTAGCTAGATAAACACTTCTCTTGCTGAAAATCTGCCATCAGTTTAGAAAAGAAGCAGCATTTGCCTCTCAATTAAGTAGTCAAAAAGAATTTTTTAAATAAAAGATAATCCTCTTATCATGAGGTTTTGATTTTATAAAAAGTAGAATTGAACATTATCCTCTGAAAAACAGTTTCAGATTTAAGCATGCACCTTTAGTCTTGTTTTTTCATTGTTTATAACAAAAATTTCATCAAAAATGAAAGCAAAGTAACTGTAAAAAATACATTGCTTCCAAAGCAAAGAAGATTTTTCTGATAGATATTACACAAAATCACTCATCTCATCCTTATAACTAATTTCTCCATCTACAAATATAAAGTAATTTCTATACCAAATTAGCACATACCAAAGTGGACAGGAAACAGATAGCAAAACTCTAAGAGGACATCAGGCATTTGAAATGAACAATAATAGTGGAGGTGGGCAGAGAAGCCATGTGCTGGTGATGGGGTGATGGGGTGACACAGAACATAAATAAAAGACAGTCTACAATAATAGTATAGGGATGCTCCTTGTGAACTCAGAATGTAACCAGAGAGGAAGAATGCAAAACTGTAGCTTTCTGGGAAGTGGGGAAAGTTTGCACAACAAAGAAAGGGAGTTTGAGGTTTTTTGTTTTGTTTTGTTTGTGTTTTTGTTTTGTTTTGTTTTTTGTAAATTGGAGACACTGAGTATGCAGGAACTGTGCCATCATGAAAACTCACACAGACTAATGCTAGCATTCCAAACATTTAAAAATACATTGAAGTGTTCATTTACTGCAATCCAGAGGTCATTTTTATACTGATTACGAACATTGGGGTCCTGGACAAGCCATGGATGCCCAATGGAAACCATTTAATCAATCTTTATAATACAAATAAATTAATAGCGGCTTGCCAAGATATAGTTGATGAAGGAAAGACAAATGGTAATTGAACAAGCAAATTTCTTCAAGGAAGTGCAAAAGAACAATAGAACATCATCTTGAACTCTGCACTGGACAGGCCAAGTCTGAGACGGCCAAGTCTGAGACAGCCTTTCACACATGTACATTCTTTTCTGAGGGAAAACACCTCACCCACCTCCTATTTTCCACATACTAGATACTAGTTCTCACAGCCACTGCTGATCAGACCAGATCAGGGCACCAAACGCAAAGCTGGCTAGAAAGTTATGGTATGGCCTGAGGTTAAACAAAAAGAAGATGGACCAAGAGATTTCTTCTCAGAATATGCACTAAGAATCAGTGATGGATTGAGTCCGTTAAAGTGGGAGTTAAAGCACAAAGGGTGTAATGGACACACAGGAGATGAATCAGAGGGCATAATGGGAAATGTCTGAGGTAAAGTTGTCATGGGAACTGCAAATAAGCAGAGAAAGACAATGAAATAGAGAGCAAAGCAGAATGCTGAGGGAGCATGAGGGTGCTGCGTCTCTATAGCCTACACCTGGGACTTCTTTGGCCTGGATCCATTTCCAGTGATAGATCTAGGCCACATGTAGACTTGAAGTAACTCAAGTATACAGAACCATAAGATTCTGAAGAGAACAATCTCAAGTAAGCTTAGCACTGTTGTTAAAGATTCTGGAGTCAACCTGCCTGGTTCAAATTCCCGCTCATTCACTTTCTAGCCTGTGCCAAGGGCAAGTTACTTATGTTCTCTGTGCCTCAAATTCTACCCCTTTATAAAATGAGTATAAAGATAGTAACCACCTCATAGGTGGATGTGAGGATTAATCAGTTGATATGTGTAAAACCTACATCTACCCAAAGCTATGTAAATGCTAATTATTGTTTTATTAGTTTTGAGTGTCAAAATTCACGGTGCGAGTTTTATATTATTTTGACCTCAAAAGACCAAAGTCTGAGTATTTTACCTATTATTAGGAAGAGGAATTCAGTATTGTGCCTGAAAATAGTGAAGCTATTTCCCTTGATGGCTATTCAGCTGTGAACATCACGTAAGTTTTGTGTAAAGGAAAATAGATGTGCTGTGGTTAAGAATAGGCTGAGGCAGACATCCAGTCCAACATGACTCAGCAAGTTTGGAGCACAGGCGCACAACCCTGCACATTAGGTTACCATGTCATGTGAGGCTCATTAGGTGATCACCCACATGAGCTGGTGCTTGACTCGGAGCCATTATTGTCTATAAAAGGTATAACCTGCTAATGCCATACATACAGCTTGCTCATGCCCAGGCTCACACTTGCTCATGCCCAGACTCACTCAGGCCCAGAGAAAGAGTAAAGCCATGTTGAAACTGTCTGTGATTCCTCAAGTGTTTTTCCAGCTACCCACGAACCCACCAACTCCCCTTGGACCTCAGTTAAAACCTAACCTTTCTATAGCACATCAATTAAATGACACTTTACTGATAATTCCTAGGAAACACTGGGCAACCATACGACTCAGAATTCAGCTTTCCATGAGAACATTAATTGGGTTTGCTTAGAGCTGTAGTGGTAACAATGTTGACAACTTTTCAGGTTAAAATCACCCCTGGCAGTTTTATAACTGTTCTACTTAAAATAGATTAGACATACCTTTGGGAGAAGTGGGCTAAGCAGCATTCAAAGCTAATCAATAAACAAGGTTCATCTTCTTAGAGTTTATTAAAAATACTATCTCTATATTAAAACAAATATATTTTATTGAGATGTGTACATTTTGGAATCGCAAGTGGAGATTTAAAGAAATTGTCAATCTATGGAACAGATCTTTGGGAATTGACCCCAAATCCTGATAGTAAAAGTTTAACTTGACTTTGCCATTAGGAGAAACTCGATGAAAATATTTGAGGAGCTTAGCCGTATTAGATAGCAACCTCTCATTCCACCATCTGTGGCATGAGAAAATTCAGCTCACAACACTGGTTAGTGTTCTGAATTTTCTAATTATAGATTGGCCTTTTACCAATTCATGTGGATTCTAAATCTTACTAATCTGTCTTCATCATAAACATAAAACCTCAGCCAAGGTTGTCACCTGAGGGTTGCCTTGAGCAATTTGCTGTAATCCTGCTCCTAACAAGTAGGAAGTATAAACCAAGAACCAGTCTCAGCATTTCATACCTCCAGGCATTCTAAGTTTACCCTTGGATCAGAATTGAACACATGCTGGCATCAAATTCTCTGGGCTCCTCCCAGAACTGTTTTTCTCCCTAATATTTTAATATTATGGTTTTGACTTTTATTGAAGGCCTTTACAAGAAAGAGCCACATGAGGCCCATTTCTTCATTTGCTCTGAAATGGGCATAAGGACATTGCCCATTACATTACTCAATGTTCCCCGCCTAAGACCCACAAGAGAACTTGGTCTGAGTTTATTACTAGGAAAATAATGTGCCTTGAGAAAGCAGTACATTTTCTTCTTTTCTATTAGTTATGTAACCCATTGTGTATGTGTGTGTGTGTGTGTGTGTGTGTGTGTGTGCGCGCGCTTAACTTTGAATGCCAAAACATACAGCCAGTTTTAATGTGCAATCATACACACTGGACTGGCCTCTGCAGTTGGCATGCTTAATTCTTCTTCTTTCTTCTCCACTTTCTTTCCTCTAACTTATTCTGATACTGTTAGTGTGTAGATCTTTTTCTGCAAGCCAGCTAAAATCTGTATTGGAAAGAGGATGAGTACACCCAAGTCAAATATAAAAATATATTGCTCTACTTAATATAGATTTTTAAATTATATTTTCAGTTTTGTTTCATAAAATATTATTGAATTTAATATAGGATAAACATCTTGTTAAATGTATAATTCAATGTGATGTAATCATATGTCTTTGGCAAAATTTTCTAGACATAAAGTTATAAATCAAGGAAAAAAATCCTTAAGGCAGAACCACAATAGCCATAGTGAAAATCAATTCCTTCATTCATCATTTTAGTAAAGTCCAGCATTCAACAAATGTTTCATAGTGCCAGCTTTGTGTAAAGCAGTATGCTGATCACTGTGAAGAATAAAAACATGGATTAAAAATGGATCACCCAAGATGAATCTATGGTTTAGCAATTAAGAGCCAAGGTGTTTACCAATCTCGCTTAAAGCAGGAATGAAGTATTTCCTGTCTGCCAACATCCTAAGCCACTATGCCAGGATATTTTTTAAAAAATTGAAGTTGTAAAAAATGTCTTGTAAAGATAAAAGAAAATCTTGTTTGGAAGAATTTTGTTACAAAGAAAAGAAAAAGTTTACACAAAAACATTAATAGTTAAACTTCCTTCAAATTGAGTTATCTGCTAAAAACAATTATGAGAAGTAAAAATACTAAGCATGATATTATTGCGATCTGCAAGTAGTTAGACGTGTAGAATTTATTTAATTTATTTATTTATTTATTTATTTATTTATTTATTTATTTATTTATTTTTTCATTTTTTTGAGACAGAGTTTCACTCTTGTTGCCCAGGCTGGAGTGCAATGGCGAGATCTCAGCTCACCAGAACCTCTGCCTTCCGGGTTCAAGCGATTCTCCTGCCTCAGCCTCACGAGTAGCTGGGATTACAAGCATATGCCACCACGCCCGGCTAATTTTGTATTTTTTTAGTAGAGATGGGGTTTCTCCATGTTGGTCAGGCTGGTCTTGAACTTCCAACCTCAGGTGATCCACCCTCCTTGGCCTCCCAATGCGCTGGGATAACAGGTGTGAGCCACCACGCCCAGCCAA
Source organism: Homo sapiens (assembly GCF_000001405.40). Lineage (NCBI taxonomy): Eukaryota > Metazoa > Chordata > Mammalia > Primates > Hominidae > Homo > Homo sapiens. The sequence goes on along the minus strand of NC_000021.9, from coordinate 15,298,623 downwards.
CTTCTTTTATTTTAGTGTGAGCAACATTCCTTCAAAATAACACTTTCTTAAAGGCAGACAGCATTACTGTTATATGCGGGCTGACAATATAAACATTTTATCAGTGTCCTAAGCCCTCACACAGGAAGTAGGGTCATGGGAATATTTTCACAGCTTGCCGTTGGCCTTTCAGGAATTGAGGGTGGAAGGTTGCTACAATCATTTGCTTTTCATATTCTGCTTGTCTTTTTTCATGAGGTGAATAATGCAAGGGTCTGGAAATCCACACTGGGTTGGGGGTTTTGCCTAGAGATCTGTTTAGATTAGCTACCAAGCTTCCCAGCTTGTGGTCATTGAAGGTCACTTGGTTGATGGCTAAAATTTCAATTGGAACCTTGTCATATAATCAGGATTTAAAGCCCAGCTGAGACTTTGTCTCTCCTGTGAAAGGGGAGGTTGTTTTATGATTAGCTTCAGAATGTTAAATTAGGTGTTGGCAATTATGAACCATTTTTGTAGCTAAAATTGCACTATGGAAACACCTGTCCAGAATAGCAAAGTAAGACAGGCTTAAAAAAAAAAGTCATGATTCTCTTATGCACTGATTCTATTATGCATGAATAGTTCTGCTTTCATTATCAAACCCTAGAAGCCACACCTAACCACTCTTGAGAAAAAATACTTTTTGTATCCTTTAACAGTGATTTCCAAGAACAAGCACCAAATTAAGGGTATCTTTTGTATGTGGCACAGAGAAATGATTTGCATAAAGACTCAGTTTTTAAAATGACTGAAATGTTTCCCAATGTATTTCCAATAATGTTTTTTTTCCTTCTAGTAGCAGTCCTCATGTTCTTAGAAAACGTCTATTGATAACCCATAAAATCATGTCCTACAGTGGGCAAGGTTCAATAAATTCTTCTGCTGTTTATTATAAAGGAGACTCAGCACCTTCAAGTAAGAGAGAATTGAGCAAAAAGAGAATCAAGAAGACAGGAAAGAAACTGAATAAATTTCATAATTACTAAAATTGTTCTTATCAAAACAATACATCAATTTTTTTTTTTCACGGACCATGCTGGGATAGGGGCTTAGTACAGAGAGTGAGCAGTGAGAACACCCCACACACACACACACACACACACACACACACACACACACACACACACAGGGTTTATATACATATATACACACAGACACACACATATACATATACACAAACATTTGAATGATATTGAAGTGTAGATTTCCATTTCTGGCTAAGATGGAATCACAAGGACTGAAATCACCCTCCTGCCTAAAACAACAAAACAAAACAATTTAAACAATGGCTTTCAAGAAACTGGACATCGGGCAATGAAGGAAGTGATTTTAAAGTGATTAAGAGTTTCCAGGCTGTAGGATAGACAGGGGGTACCCAAGAAGAGCCCAGCAAACTCCCTGAGTTGCAGAGACAGAGTTGAGAGTCTGGGGAGACCAAAGCAATCAGAGATCACTAGACAAAGAGTATTGGAGAGGAGGGGGATGCCCAGAGTTAAAAAAACAAAAATCTGCCAAGAGTTCCTCTCAAGTAGCATTCAACATAGTACTGATCAGCACATACATGTAAGGAAATGACTGAAGGGTAAGAAAGAACCATCTAAGAAGATTAAGGGAACAGTGTCTGGAATTCACACAGGGCCTGGAATGGTGCTTCTTCTTGTCAAACTGGGAAAATCGCATAATTCTACCATAACAAGGTAGAAAACTCAAAAGGATCTTGATCAGTCCTAGTAAGCACTATTCTGGTGCCTCCTAACAATTCTTAAAAGCAAGACCTGAAAATGACAAACTGCTTCCAAGAAATTTTCTATGCCCCCAGATCAAAATTCAAGAATATTTGTAGGAGTGCAAATCACCTGGGTTCAAATCCCATCTTTGCCACTTACCTGCTGTGTGACCTCAGGCAAGTTACTTAGCCTCTTTGATGCTCTGTTTCTTTATCCTTGAAGTAAGTATAATGATACCTATTTGATGAGGTTGTTGTAAACATAAAGTTAATCTCAATATATGTAAAGTATTTGTACATGGTAGCCTCTCACTAAATGCTGTCCAGGAGTGTCTTTCCAAAAAAAGATAAATATATACATAATATGTAAATTATGTATATATGTGTGTGTGTGTGTATATATATATATATATATATATATATATATATATATATGCTTACACATAACAAGCATGGAACAAGGTAAAATTCACAGTATCTGACATACAACCAAAGATTACCAACATGCAAGAAATGGGAAAATACAACCAATAGTGAAGTTCAGTCACTCAATTGAAACTGACCCAGAACTGATACAGGTATTAGAATTAGCAGAAAAGGGTATTAAAACATATGTGACTGTGTTCCATATGTGCAAAATACTAAGTGGAGACATAGAAGATATTTAAAAATATCTAAGTTGAATGTCTAGAGCAGGAGTCCCCAACTCCTGGGCCATAGACTTGGTACAGTGGCCTGTTAGGAACCAGGCCACACAGCAGGATGTGAGCTGTAGGCAAGCCAGTGAAGCTTCATCTGTATTTTCATCCACTCCCCACTGCTCACATTACCACCTGAGCTCCACTTCCTGTCACACCAGCGGTACCATTAGATTCTCACTGGAGCACAAACCCTATTGTGAACTGCACATGCAAGGGATCTAGGTTGCGTGCTCCTTTTGAGACTCTAATGTCTGATGATCTATCACTGTCTCCCACCAACCCTAGATGGGACTGTCTAGTTGCAGGACAGTAAGCTCAGGGCTCCCACTGAGCTTATTCTACATTATGATGAGTTGTATAATTATTTTGTTATATATTACAATGTAATAATAACAGAAATAAATAGCACCATAAATATAATGCACTTCAACCATCCTGAAACCATCTCCCCCACCCCCCGTCCGAGGAAAAATTGTCTTCCACAAAACCAGTGCCTGGTGCTTAAAAGGTTGGAGACCGCTGGTCTGGAGATGTTCCTGCACCTCTACGATTTGAAAATCACGTCTCTACACTGGAAAACTACAATGTGTAAGATGAAAATACACTGGATAGGATTTATAGTAGATCAGATCCTGCAGAAGAAAAGGCTAGTAAACTTGGAGATATCACAATAGAAACTATTCAAAATGCAACACACAAACATACAGAAAAAAAGAAAAAATGAACAGATCATCAGTGAGTTTGGGAGTAACTTAAGCAAATTGTATATTTTAAAAATATTCAGTCAATTGTATGTCAGTTATACTTCAATAAAGCTGTTTAAAAATAAGAAATTTGATAGTATGCTGAAGAAATTTATAGTCTAGTCATTAAATCAAGGAAGATTTATAAACAACACGCTACATGGTAGTATAGACTGTTACCACCTTACAAACACTAAGGTAACATGCATGCTAAACAATTCTGACTAATAAAATTAAATCATACTTTTTCCATACAGAGAACAGTTTTAGCATCTTATACTTTTTAATATCTTAAACTTTTCAGCATCTGATAGCAAATCTAATGTTACTGAAATAACGTTTGGAATAACCTCTTTTAACCTTTGTAAAGTACATTATCCCAATTCACATTTTCAACATACAATTAATTTTTTAGAGATAAAACTTTTGAGTAGATTTAATTGCCAAAATAACTACCTAGGAAATGGAAATAACCTTCAATTATGAACTATGATCAAAGAGAGCTTTTTCATTTTTCATATTGTTTTGTGAAATGACTTTCATTCCCCCATCACCTTCTAAGTAACTTTGACATAACATTTATTTTTTATCACTAATAAAATACTTTTGGTTGAATACAATTTAATGAGACAAAGCCTTTGGCCAATTCTAACACAAATAGATTTATATTTGGGGAAAAGGGGCAGCCAGGTGCTAAAATGAAGCTCTCTTGTCTTGATATCATCCATGTTTGAATGCTTCAACCAGACTTTGTGGATGACCATTGCAAGGTATGAAGGTTTACTAAGGCTGACTTCTAAATTAGTAACAAGGAAACATCTCCTGTCATTAATTCACTGAGAGTACATGGATCTCCCCAGCAGGATTGGAAAACCAAATTTATCTTATTCTTTCACCATTCTCAAAAACTTTGCCTCATTGTTCCCTAAATAAATTAACTTCTGAAGGATAAAAATGAAGAAAATGGATAGAGAACTTAGAAGCTGTAGAATAACAATGGAAAGTCCTCATCTCTGAGTAATGTTTTTGGAAGAGTAAATAGAATTTTATGTTAGCACATTTTCTTTATTCTAAAAGTACATCAGTTACACAGTGAACCATCAGTTTAAGAACTTGTTACATTAAGTGTCCACCTAGATTGTAAGATGCAACCCAATGTCAGAAACATTTGAGCCTTTGAATCAAGGAAACTTAACCATAATCAGAAGTTTAAAATTTTAATATACTTTAAACAAATATGTATATGAAAAGAGAACCTTGAAAGTAATACATCAGCTTCAATGCAATTTATCTCTATAGATAAGTTTAAGGAAACTTTCAAATATATATGATTTTACACCTGAATTTATTTACCTCCAGCTCTTTCTACGCATTTAAAAATTGTATGGCCATGGTGCAAAAGAAGGAATGAGTTTCTGTAGCCAGGAGAAGTGTGATTATTATTAGGTAGATTATATTTATTTTCATTTTACTTTTAAATAATTGCTTCTAGAAATTTGAATCTACCTGAATGTTACCTAATTCTTCCTCACATGTTTAGCTTAGGGTCTATCTTAAATTGCATAGTGAAATATTTTGTGTATGTACCTTGCTCAGAAAAGTAAAAGAGATAATAAGTTTGAAAATATTTCAAAATTATAAGTACAGTTTATAAATTGACTCCCCTTTCATTAAATCTGTCTCAATCAACAGTCTGCTCATCAATAATTACTCATTGAAACTTAACATATACAAAGTATTTCATTACACTTTCATCAAAGGTGGAAACACAACCAAACACTAAAATCTCTAAAATGGTAATATTATCACATTGAATATGAACACTGGAAGTTGTTTCCTTTACTTAAATAAATGATGTCATTATCACTGGCTGAGTAGCCAACAGCTGGAAAGTAAAAATGTTTTAAGACTAGAGGAATGGAATGGGAATGTGAGGCTCCCTGGGACTCTTGGAAAAGATAGAATCTATGAAGGAGGAGGTTTTGCTTCTATCTGGCTGAAATACCTTAGACATGACTCATTCAGTAGTCAAATAAGGCAGCCTTGAGTGTGACATTAATCTGAGGGAAAACAGTGCCTCTCCCACCATTCATTTTCAGGGCCTGACTTGCCTGCTCCTGCCTGTTTTTCTTGTTCATTAAAGCTCTCTTCATTTCATTACTCTTCTGTTTTCTTGCTTGGTTCCCATCAGTGCTTCGCTTCTCACTAATTGCAATTCTTATGAACTTCCTCCAAAGTAGCTGGTGCATGTAATCTGGAAGCGAGCTCCTAAAATGTTTCTCATTAGTATACTGTAAGAGTTAGAACATACCAGGATTTCAAATATTTTGGAAGATCTCTACCATTAGTCTTGAGTTTGAAAGACTTGCTTTATGCTAGTAGCCACCTGGATCACTTTCTTTTTTCACTGTTTTGAGAAATTCTTCCATATTAATGTATATAAGATTCTGTTTGTGCATTTTTCTGGAAGAAGTTTCATAGTTCACATCACATTCTGAGATATCTTTTCCTTCCCAAAAGGATGAAAATCATGGTTCCATGTGCTTTCTTCACTCAACTAGTGTTTATGAAGACTGTATTATAATCCAAATAGTATGTTTAATACTGAGAAAGAGAGGTGAGTAGTAGCTTCTTTCCTGAAGGAGTTTTTTGGGATAGACAAACATCTAAATTGACCACCGTAGTACAATGTAGCAAATTCTGTAATAAAAGTTGCTGAGTGCTTTTTAAGGACAGAGGAGGGAGAAACTGAGTCTAGGAAAAATTAGAAAAGTGTTCATTCAAGTTGGGACATTGTTCGTGGGTCCGAAAGCCCAAGGAGAAGATAGGTGTTGTTGTTGCATTCCTTGGATCATGCTTGGATAATACACAGCCATTGGGGGTTTAGAGACTGATAATTCAAGTCTCTCACCAGTACTTAAAAGGAGTGTAGCCCAAACTTTAACTGATTTCAGAGATTCTACTGACTTCTCTCCCTGTAAGAGTCTCTTCCACTTCCTAGTTACTTCTAAGTTTTCTGCAATATAATTCTGCATGCATTTTGAAATTACTCTGTCTGGGCATCCCTCTCCGGCCTGCTTATTTTGTCCCCAGGCTTTTGCTCTACTACTAATAACCCTCAGAAAGTCTCTTCTCTGTTGAGCACAGTGGGCTGCCCATAACCACTGGTGATTCCTCTAGTTGGGGCCCAGAAGTCCAAGTCCTGGTATGTCTCATCACTTGGTAGCGGGGCTAGGCATGGCCACTTGAGGACAAAGGACTCCATTACTGCCCCGAGATGATTGCTCAAAAAGCTGTCTCTTCTGTGTTCTACTGTTCTTGCTATGACTGCAGCTGGCAGTAAAAAGGTCAAGGTCTGTGATTATACTGCCTCCTAGCCCGCTTCTCCGTAACCAGGTGTATTGGATACCATTGGTGTTCCTTCACATCTCTGTTGCCAGTTTTTTATGCCATTCCCAGCTCTGTGATCTACTAACTGCTTGCACCTGCAGTTTTTCAGTGGCCTGCTCTTGAGTGCCAGAAGCAAAGCTGGAAGTATCTGGAGTTTACAAATCCTCATTCCTATCCACCTTTCCCAGCCTGTAGCCAATGACTAACTGCTGCTGCAAGCAGATGCAATTCAAGCCCATTTGCCTCAAGGCAGGGCAATGTCTGAGGTGGAATATACACTCTAGACTTCCCCAGAGGGTAGAGCCAGGCTGGGACTTTACCTGAAATTACACCCTTTCTTGGCTTTTTTCCCCTCATGTAACCTGCTTCTCCTGTACCCTTTCCTATTTCCTCTCCATAAACCACTTACATGCAAATCCTCTCACATCAGAATTTGTATTGTGGACACTCAACCTAGAATTCTAGATTAATACCATGCCTGGAAGTCCCTGGTCGTGAGGAAGTAAGATGTTTCTCCAATCCCCAGATCAAACACATACCTTATTGCTTGTCCCATATTGAAAAAATTCCCAAGATGTTTGACAATGATCACATTTTTTTCTTTTTCAGGGAGAAAAGTGTGGCTTTGCCTCAAGGCACCAACAAGGTGATTACAAAATAGACTGATATTAGTATTTTCAATATCTGTATTATACAATCCATGGTCATGAAACTTTTTTCAGAGTTTGAGCTGGGGTGGAGGGGAGAGGCTAACGGTACACAAATATTGCAGAAGAAAAGATTATCATAAGAATTCCAATATGATTGGAGGAGAGTACATGCAGCTATGAATAGTAGAAGATGAGAATCCAGATGCTGGTGGACTTTACACCACACTAAACAGTTTGACCTGTATCCTACAAACATCAGGGGTGTTTAAATGAGGTAGAGATAGGAAGCAGTGCATTCTTTTTATTAATAAAAGATAAAGGTCAGAATGGACTGAAGGAAATGACAACGGGAGATGACTGGACATACAGATTGAGAAGTCATCTGCACGTGGAAATATAGCTCATAATATAAGATAAAGCTGTTGATAAAAATGGGATCATGTACGGCTGCTGTAAAAGAAAAGAAATGAAGATCAAGGATCGTACCTTTATATACTGAGGGAACACCCACACAATGCAATAGGTGAGCCCATTGAAAGGCGGAAAAGCAAATAGAAACTAGAAGAGATTAGTGATGGCAGCGGTGGCCCGTCTAGAGCAGCTGCTGCCATGACTCCAGCTGCACTCGGGGAGGCGTGGCTAGGGCTCTGTGCTGCGTGTAGCCGGTGGGAGCCGGGACAGAAGCCCCACCCCCTTCTCAGTTGACAGGGTGGAAGCTTCGCACTCCTTGGGCGCAGCTGCAGACCCAGGCCTCCCTGTACTCTTAGGGGCCGGGAGCAGGCAGGAGCCCCACCCTACAGGGTGCAGCTGAAGCTGCCCAAGCTGTGGCTGTGGACCTTGGCATCTCTGCACTCTCAGGCCCGGGAAGGTCCCCTGCTCCTGCAGGCTCGGAAGTGTGTGCTCCCGCTGCCTGGCCTTTCCTTGCTCCCAGCGCCGACTCCGATCTCAGAGCAAAGTTGAGGCCAACCCTGGGCACTGTCACAACCCGGCTGGGTGTGTGCTCTTTAGAGGCAATGCTGACACGCCAGCCCCCTGCTGCCTCAGGCCCCCCCAGACTTCGGGCCCCGATGAGCACAGGAGGGAGGCTGAGGTGATGCTGAGGGTAGCTCGTCACTGGCCTGCAGGCTCCCCTCAGCACGAACAGCCTGGGCACCATGAACAGCAGCCGGAGGCAGACAGGCTCCTGGGCAGAAAGGGGCAGGTCCCCCGTGAAACCCCACCTTCAAGCAAGGAAGGCCTGAAGCCTGGGGGCAGGACTGCCTGTCCCACAGAGGAAGTGGTAACCTATGGTGCTTTGTCTGGGCCCATCTACGGCTGCCCATGGACTGATCAGCATGCACTTCCTCCCTCTGAAGCCCGTAACCGCCTCCACCCCGACCCACCCACTCAGCCAGACTCGGAGAGTTGATGGGACCACCAACTGCAGAGAGGAATTACCCACCCTAAGGTCTCCTATCTACTGAGAGCTCGACACTTGTCAGGACACCCTGTCTGCGGAGAGGAGCTAAACACCACAGGAGCTGCCCACTGTGGGTCTCCTCTGAGCTATTCTGTTGCTCAATAAAACTCTTCTTTGCCTTGCTCACCCTTCATTTGTCTACATACCTCATTCTTCCTGGACACAGGACGAGAACTCAGGAACCACCGAACAGAGGGGCTAAAAGAGCTGTAACACAAACAGGACTGAAACATGTCCCTTGCTCATCATGTAGCAGGTGACAAGAAGAAGAGAAGAGAGAAGGAGAGAAGACTTGCAGTCCTTCAGGGAGCCCAGACCTAGGACGTCCCCAGGCCAGGGCTGTGACACCCTCTTTGGGGCTCCGCGGTTCCTGCCATCTCCAAGCTTCTGGGTACCACCACTGTCCCCGGTGCCAGCTATGGAAGCTGCTTGCAATACACCTGGTCAAGCCGCAACCTTGCAGGGAGCCGGCACCCGTGCTGGCACCGGGAGCTGCGTGCCCAGCCACAGCCAGCATTCCTGACTTGTGCGCAGTGCCCGGACCCCACGCTTGCTCATGCACCCCTCACCGCTCTGTGCCTGGCTCATCCTTGGCAGGCATGGGATCCAGGCTGGTAGTGTGAGCTGAGTGCAGCCTGCCAGGCCAAGTGGGTGGAGCAAGCCCAGCAGGCCCAAGCAAAACTTGGGCAAAGGTGCCACTGGCCACAGAAGTTCCCGGCTGGTGAAGTGATGCCCAAGAATCTCGTGACATTAGTACCACAGAATTCCTACAAGAAATAATATCAAGCATCAAATACTGTAGGGAAATTAAGCAATGTGACCAAAAGCAAAAGATTTGGTGATGAGAATGTCATTTGTGGCTAAAGGGAGAACAGTCTTCTTAGGGTGAAGAGAAAGAACACTAGATTGTAATAAGTGAAGGACTGTTTGAAACTCGAGAATATACAGCCAGTAAGTGTGTTCTTTTTTTCTTTTTTTTTAACCTCCCCTCACCCCCTGACAGAGGAATTAATAAGTTGCTTAAATAGGATGTAGGGATAAAATAACATATTTTTGAGGGTGAGGAAGACTCGGGCATATCAGTATAACTCTGGAGGAGGGTTTCAGAAGAAAAACGAAATGTGGAATATTTACAAAAAGGGGACCTAAGTGGTGATCAAGGTCCTAGAGTATGGGGGAAGGATGTTATATCAGTCAGGGTTCCTCAGAGAAGCAGAACCAAAAGGATGTGTATAGGAAGAGATCTGTTATGAGGAATTGGCTCACTCAATTATGAAGGCTGAGAAGTCCCATGATCTGCCAACTGCAAGCTGAATCCCCGGGAAAGCCAGTGGCTAATTTCCGTCTGAGTCTGAAGGCCTGAGATTCAGGGGAGCCGGTGGTGTAAATCTCAGTCCATGGTGTCCCAGCTCAAGCAGGCAGGCCAGAAGCAAAAAGCGACAAATTGCCCCTTCTTTCCCCTTTTATGCTATTCAGGCCCTCAATGGATTGGATGATGCCCACATATATTGGGAAGGGTGATATTTACTGAAGCCACTGATTCAAATGCCAATATCACCTGGAAATTCCCTTTCAGACACACCCAGAAATAACGTTTGAGCACCCCTTGACCTAGTCAAGTTGATGCACAAAACTAACCATCACAGACATCTTAGAGAGAAGCCCCAGGGATACCTTGCTCTAAAACAGGAGAGAAGATGGGTAAGAATGGATTCCGTAAGCAGAGGCCAGCATGCCAGGGAGAGAGGGTCCCAGTGGTCCTTCCCTTGTTTGAGGAATCAGGCAGAGTTGACTGGTCGGGCTTAGAGAGATGGAGTTAGGAAGGCAAAATGAGCAGAATAAAAAAAAATCTGAACAGTAAACACAGGAAATATAAAAGGGCCAAAATTATACACAGGAGAAAGAATTATCTAGTGGTATTGAGGGACCAGTTGGTTTGGGATAGACTTGTGGTGGTACCATTCAGCACCTTTACAGAATTCTAACGTTCTGCACCAAGGACAAATAGTAAAGAAAAAGGATGGTTACAAATAAAAAGAATGGGTGTATTTGTTTTTGATTGGATATTACCATTGTCATGGCTGGGAGTAGATAATGGCTAAAGAAAGATGAAATAGAGGAGAAGTTGAGGGTGCTGATGGAAGTGCATTCATGTAATTGAACCACGATGTCTAGGTTGAGTAGGAAAGAGATCGATTTCAAAAGGAAATTGTCCAATCTGGCAAACCGGTAGGACATATCAGGCAAGGAGGAGAGGATAAAGCAATCTTCAGAGTCAGGACAAGACTTCACAAAGTGTAATGATAGTAAGGGGAGGCCCAACACAGGAAGAGAGTATGTGCTGTGGGATGGAGGTGGACAGCTGGTGGACATTGAAAGCCCAGTGGAGCTGGTAAGCTAACTCCACACACACAGAGAAGGGGCAAATCCCAGATGATCTTTGAAAGGAAAGAATGCAAACCTTAATGGAAGCTGAGACATAGAGAATGACAGTAAGAAGTGAAGACAAAGATGATACCCATATTCCTAATTTCTTGCCCTGAAAACTAGAAGGATAAGAATATCCCTAACAGAACGTCATAAACAGGGAAACAGCTCCAAGTTGAGAGGGAGATGAAGTTAGTGTAAGTTAGTGTAAGATGTGAGGAAACAGGCAAGTGAAAATTTCCTCTAGACTTCTGGAAATACACTGAAAATATGAACTGAAATATTCTTGGGGTCAGGCCTAGAGTGTTCTGTTTTTAGATCTCAACAACTTCTGGCCTTGTATATTGACCTGTTGTCACTAGGACAAACTTCCCCCACACCATCTTGTTTTCTCCAATGATTAACAACTTAAAATGTATACTATGGACATTCAGAATAATTAAAACCTAGCAGAAGCCAAATGCAGTGGCTCATGCCTGTAACCCTAATGCTTTGGGAGGCCGAGACAGGAGGATTGCTTAAGGCTAGGAGTTTTAGACCAAGATATATAGCACAGTGTGATCCTGTTTCTACAAAATATTTAAAAATTAGCTAGGCATGGTGACATTTGCTACTTGGGAGCCTGGGGCAGGAGGATCATTTGAGTACAGGAGGTTGAGGCTGCAGTGAGCTATGATTGTGCCACTGCACTCCAGCCTGGGAAACAAGAGTCATTGAGACCCTGTCTCAAGAAAAAAAAACATCTGGAAGGCAAACATAAAATATTTCAACTAGAACACTAAATCACAGATGGAATTCAGGATACTTATCACTTTTGTAAAATAACTTGACTTGTAATTGATAAGCAGCAGTATGGTGATGTTGGAGCTGGATAGTGATTGATTCACACACACTGAGGTGGGAGTGGATGGGAGTGGAGAAAAGAAGAGCATCTTGCCATGCTTATAAAAGTTATCAAGAATTGGCTTAAATTATAGTTCAGGTCTGCCTGGGGGAGTTATCAGGATACTCTGTATGGACAAATGCATAATTTCTAGCCATTAGGATACTTAAAACTCTAGGCAGTGAAGTGACTTAAAGTACGTATACCCTAAGGGCCTAATGGAGTTAATTCTCCTTCAGAAACCTAGACTTTATTTTTCTCTTCAAAGGCAGATCATGCTCATCATATTGAAAAATAATTATTCATCATAAGTACATATGTATTAGTAATTTATGGCTTACAAATATTGTTTCTAGAGCTCTTCTCTTATCCATAGCACTGTATAAATCGTCTTTATTAAGCTGAGTCCATGAGCTATACCTGCTAATTCTGAGGTTAATGCAAAAGACATGGAGATTAGCCTCTCAATCCAACTAACCAATCGTTCCTTCTTTATATCTCTTTTTTTTCTTTTCCTACTTGAGTATTGCCACTTTGGCACAATAAAGTTTTATATTTCTTATTAGAAAAAGTAAATTTTTTTTTTCAAATTAAAATAATACACTAGTTTGGTGGTTCAATCTTGCATTATTTCTTCCATTCAAAGCACAGATAAAATAGCTTATCCCAAAGGGCATGCAGTTATTATCCAACTTGGTAGACTTAATTTATCAGCTTCCTTCCCAAGTATTTAACGAAACAATTCTATCCATAGCCCAATAAAATCCCTTTTTATCACCAAGGGTGTATCCTTCCGGTGACTGACCAAGCACAGGTGTTGTTCATGAGGACTTGGATATGAAATGCTCTCCCCAGAGTGCACAACTCCTTACAAGAATATTCAGAGTACAGTGTGTTCCAGGCATGCAGCACCTGTTACTCACTTGTTTAAATGTCTCATGAAGGGGACAGAGAAAAAATAGTTTCTCTCTGTCTCTGCGAACATACATAAATTTAGCATACAGTTCTTTTTCGGCCAAGCACAAGTTTGAATTACCTTAAGAAAGGCCATAAGATATAATTTCTTGAAGATGCTCTTCACATTACAATTTATTCCATAAAATAAGAGAGGAGGTGGTGGCCAGGAGAAGGGAGGATAAAGATGGAGATAAAAGAAATGAAAAATAAAATGGAAGGCAAGATGGTAAATCCAGAAATGAAGCTGGGATAAAAAAAGAGAACTCATGAGTTCATCCCGACTAGTAGTGTTTGCATTATGTCAAAGTATTTGATGTTCTAATTCTATTCACTTCTGGTCATGTGAAATCCAGGTAACTGGTTTTTAAATATTGAAAAATCACTTTCTATGTATGAACATGTTATTGACCAACTTGACTTAGGAAATAGACTGAGTTTGTATTATTTTTCCTGTATTTTGAGATGCACTCAATCTAAATAGGAGACCTGAATGTTTTCTTCTCCCATGAGACCAACCAGCCTTAATCTCATTAAAATCATACTGGTAGCTAGGTATGGTGGCTCACACCTGTAATCCCAGCACTTTGGGAGGCTGAGGCGGGGGGATCACTTGGGGCCAGGAGTTTGAGACCAGCCTGGCCAACATGACGAAACCCTAAACTACTAAAAATACAAAAATTAGCAAGGTGTGGTGGTAATCCCAAGGTAATGCCTGTAATCCCAGCTACTCTAGAGGCTGAGGCATGAGAATTGCTTGAAACAGGGAGGCAGAGGTTGCAGTGAGCTGAGATACTGCCACTGCACTCCAGCCTGGATGACAGAGCAAGACTCTGTCTCAAAATAAATAAATAAATAAATAAATAAATAAATAAATAAATAAAATCATACTGGAAAAAACTAAAATATTTAGGTCCAACATTACTTTGTTAAGTTTCTTGTTAAGTGATACAGTTTTGCTGTGTCCCCACCCAAATCTCACCTTGAACTTAATAATCCCCACATGTCAAGGGTGGGGCCAGGTAGAGATAATTGAATCATGGGGGCAGTTTCTTCCATACTCTTCTTGTGGTAGTAAATAAGTCTCATGATATCTGATGGTTTTATAAAGGAGAGCTCCTCTGCACAAGCTTTCTCTTGCCTGCTACCATGTAAGACATGACTTTGCTTTTCATTCGCCTTCCACCATGATTGTGAGGCCTCCCCAACCATATGGAACTGTGAATCAATTAAACCTCTTTCCTTTACAAATTACCCACTCTTTGGTATGTCTTTATTAGCAGTGTGAGAACAGACTAATACAGTACAGTCATTGACATTGCTGAAACCAAGGAACATTGGAATGGAAAGCACTTACTATGTGCATTCTGCGGTGGATAATGCTTATTAAGAGCACATTCTCTCTTAAATCAATATAGCAATGATTGGAAGCAAATCATGATTTGTTACTGCAGAGTGCACATAGTAAGTGCTTCCCCAAAGTGTGTGTGCTTAAGTTGCATGCATACACGGGTGTGTGTGTACTCACAGGCACATACACACACATACCCTGCAGTGTTCAGACAAAGCTGTGGCTGCTGAACACCTGCATTGCTTCAGCATTTCATTACTCTATTGAAGTAAAACACCTGTCTACACACTTTGGACTTCTGTCACTTTTATATGTACCACTGTTTATTAATAGCCACTTTGTGAGTCGTTTTCCAGCCTTCTGGGGCTGCTTTTAGAATTGCAGACATACTCAGAAGAAGGGAATTCAAGGTCAGCAGTCAGTGTTAAGCAAGTCCTATATTTATAAAATTTTTAGAAATGAATAACTTATCATTCTTCATCTCCATCCTTGCTGGGCTCAGGACCAGCCACTATTTTCACCAAATCTTTTTTTAACACAGGGATGAACATCTAGTGGGCATCTGTGGTTCAAGCTCACTCAAGGTTTGTCACTCTGGTGATTGGCTAAGGAATAACAGTATGGAGTCAGCTCTGCCTTCTCTTCCTGCCAATCTGGCTCACCTCAGGACCAGGTGCAAATTTCACGGGAGCATCTAGCCTCTGAAAAACTCTTCATAGTCGCTGCCATTCTTTCCAGGAAAGAGAAGAATGTGCAGTGATGGACGACGTGTATTTTTGTTGGTGTATTTCTGCATATGTGTTTTGTTTACTCTCTTTTTTTTCCTTTTTTCTTTTTTTAATTTGCTTTTCACCAAACTGGAGTGAGGGCTTGTGCTAGGTTTTGGACTCTGATCTGCCTTTGAAGACTCTTCCAAATGCAAAGACTTCATGTTCCTTGTTTATTATGGAAAAATAAACAATGAAGGTTTGTATAATATTGAGTATGTAGTCAATGTATAATATGGGTAAACAAAAAATGTATGCACAGAATTATGAACAAAGTCATAAAAAATCAACAATTAAAATAAAAGCTATAAAATGAATGTATTTGGTCACATGTGAAAGCCTTCCCAGGAAATGATTAAAGCAAATAATGGGAATTCCTTAAATTTCATCAGGAAACCAGGTACTTCCCTGGAATCTCATTAAAAAGACATAAATTTAAAATGTAACTAATATCTGACAAAGAATAATGAAATAATACATATTACCATGTATATGGTACAGAGTGGACACTTCATAAATATTTCTTTATCACTCAAATAATTGTACAATCTATTTTTATAACAAATATTAGTAGGATTTGTGAAGAATAAAGAAAGAAGAATGGAAAGTTGCCTGTGGATTATCAGAACTGTCCAGTGGTAATTCCTGGCTGCCCAATTTAATCATTCTATTTATTTTGGCAGGCACCTACTTACATGAGGGTTGTGGCAACAGGCTAGGTAATGCAACATTAACCATAAAGAACATTTAACTTTCTCTGCTATAACTCAACACCCGTCATGAATGTTTAGATCTTTATTTGGCTTCTGAAGCTGATTCTTTCAGAAGAACAAAACTGCCTTTGGCAATCAAAAGAAATATTCTAATTTACTTAGTGATAATATTTCCAAGTATTAATTAATACATTGTAATTCTCTTTTAAAAATAAATTTCTGACAGGTGTTGTTACAATGAGAATCTATCCCTCAAAATCTGATCACGAGATCTGTGATTTCTAAATTGATGGAATCAAGATATTTCCACTCCTCTCCTCTCAAAATCCAACCCCCTAAAATTCAGGAAAATAGAATAAAAACAAATAAACAAAAAAATTGAATATATTCATTAAAAATTAATAGATATCTATAGTCCCAGGCCACAGAATTTGAAGACTAAAGTCAATGTAAGAATAATAAATAGTTTAGAAGAGTGGAGGAGAATAAGCTCTTGCAGATGGATATACATAGTTGGCCCCTAAAAGTTATAAAAGACTCAGGAATTGGAATTACGCAGAATAATTTGAAGGAATTAGGGAGAGGACTTGAGAAACTGCTAGGGAGCAATTAGCCTCAAATTTCTGGTTCCCACCCACTCTGAGCACCTTCAGATGACTGCCCCACTAGGGAGCAGTTAGCTTCAGATTCCTGGTTCCTGTCCACTCTGAGCACCTTCAGATGACTGCCCCACTTTTACTACACCTGCGAGCATGAGGCATCAAAGACAGCAAAGTAGCATATTGAAAAAAAAAAAGGAATTAATCTAACTGAACTGTGGACCCTGAGCCTTTCTTTTCCACCAAATTCTAGAATGCTGGTAGCCAAGCTAATAACCCCCAGGTGTGTGTAAGAGAGAATGTACTGCCTCCGAGAAAACTCCTGTGGGAATACAGGCATTTGGAGATTTCACAACATAGAAGCTAACTGGCCAGTTGTGGGAACCTCAGGAGGTTTAGCAGTGCAAAACTGCAGCCTACACCCATAGAACTTTCCATTTACTTCTGAACGCATTGATATTAATTAGTAAAGAACAAAAACATCATAGAAAACATCTAAAATTAAAATGAGAAAAGAACTATAGTGAATTCAGGGAGCAAACAAACAAAAAACAAAACAAAAAAACACTGTAATTTGTATCCCTGGAGAGGTAAGAGAGGTATTGAACCCACAGAACAACATGAAAATGCATAAAAAGGAACACTCATGAAACAAGAAATAGATATTTAGAAAATAAAAATTTAACAAAAGAATCGGAAGATCAAAAACATAAAGCGATAACCAATAGGAGGGAAAAGAGTAAAGAAAATATTAAGCAAAAAGGCCCAACATCTGACTAACAGGAGTTCCATAGAGAAAATCAGATAATTCCTCACTCTGAAGGATGTAAGTCTCCAGATGGTAAAGACTTACTACCAAGTGCCTAAAGCTATAAATGGAAAAAAAGAAAAGAAAAAGCAGGAATAAAGAGGAAACCTTCCAGGGAGAAAAAGGGGATACATTAAAAGATAAGGACTAAAAATTGCTTTTGCTTTTTAATAGCAACATAGAAAGCTAGAGGACGGTAGTGAGACAGCCAAGTATAAAGGGCTCCCCGGAAAACCTCCGACTGGCCAGTGCGCTGGGAGAATGCTGTGGAGCCATGGGAAGTTTGTGCCCTTTCCAGTGGGGAGGAGCCTGGCTTCTCCTGTCCCAGGGTGATAACTAGGGTTTCAATCTGTGAGGCAAGAAACCCACACTCAGGACTCTTGCTTTGCTGAGGGTCCCTATTTCCCTTTTTTACCTTTCACCCAATGAAACCTGCTCTTCTCACCCTTCAAAGTATCTGCCAGCCTAATCTTTCATGGTCATGTGACAAGATCCCAGCTTTTAGCTGAACTAAGGAGGAAGTCCTACAACAGTAGCACAATCCATTTCAGATTCTTGATGTAAATGATATCCATTCTAGTAGTTCACGTCCAATGACACAATCAGCCTTACATGAAAATGAAATAAGGATATTTTATGAAATGTTGTCTTAAAAAAATTACCTTTGATCTCTATTTCTCCAAGAACTAGTGGATGCTCTACCCATAATGGAATAAACCAAGAAGGAGCAAGACTAAAGATCAGAAAGCAGGTAATCCAAATCGAGAGAGACAAAAGAAATGACCAGGAGGTACAGAGGGTCCAAGATTATAGTTGAGAAGAAGCTTTCAAACAGAGGAGAGCCATTTCAGATTGGACAAAAGCACCCCCTGCCCCCACCACCGGAAGGATGCTTCCAGGGGAAAGACAGATGAAGAAGAAATGGAGAGATTACCAGGTAGATTTCACTGTATCGGAATTTGAATGAAACAAGATTTTATACAGCTGTTGGAAGGTGTATGATGACTTAACCATAATTTCAAAGCAAACCAAGAAAACTAGAAGAAAAAGTTTCAGTTCTTAACCCAGGAAAAGATACTATAATAATATACTATAAATATAGTGTGCCACCTGGGTTCACTTTGAATAGCATTTACATTAGTCATAATAATTATAATACTGACTATGGATTTTTCACCACACTGTGATAGGGTTGGATAATGTTTAAAATTAATAACCAAAATAAAGCAATGCTATATAGGACTTGAAAATAAGGAGGCAAGTACCAGAAAAGCTAAGAAAGATGACATTTCTCATCTCCAAAGAAAGATCATATTGGTGAGGAGGATAGTTGTGGGCTGGAAGGTAAGGGGGAAGGGGAACACTGTTATAAGCCTTTTAGCAGTGGTTTACTTTTGAACAAATATGATAAAAACATTAAATTTTTTAAAAAGTTTATGATCTTGGTTTTCAAAATCTAATAAAAACTAATTTCCAAACATGCAGTCAATAACTAGACTCCGAACCCCACCAAAACACAGCTGTTACAGGAAATACTGCTTGAAACAGCCCACTAACTTCTCCTTCATTTATTAGAATTGTTGTTGTTGTTAGGCATTCACCATGTCATTGAGGGCTAGGCAGGGAATGAACCAGAAAATGTCCTTGCCCTCATGCAATTTGTATCTTGTCTATAACAGATTAGATATAAAACATCAGTTCCAATTTAAGGGGGTAAAAGCAGAGAGAGAGAGAGAGAACATTGCTTGAAGGTGAGTCAGGAGTTGATGGTATAGATGAGTTGGTTGCAAAATACTTTTTAAGACCCAAATAATTCCTTAAAGTTGAACACATTTCTGAAATGAGTAATATAGAAATATCCAAGTTTTTATATCAATTCCATGGTAACTGCACTAGGGAAGAAAATAACTCAAGCTACTGTTTCTAAAAATCGGCTATGGAATTCAAACACTCTTCTGTCGAACATTATGGGACAACATGACCCTAACTCTAATTGAATTTTCTTTTGGGAGAAAAGAGACAACAGCCCAAAGTACTAATTTATCAATATATTAAGGCTGTTGTTTTTTAAAGCCTATGCCAAAATTATATTTAATATTATACCCTTCTTATATAAACAAGGTGAATTAAAATTCACTGTACACACCCACAAAGAGCAAGAGCTATTATCAGAGCTTGCTCTGCTTCCAAGCTCTCTGTCTGCTGAAAACATCTGAGCTTTAACCAACAATAAAATCTTACATTACCACTCATTGGTGCACACTACGCAGCAGTGATGGTGTGCTGAGGTTGTTATTGAAAAATGTTCATTTCACTTATTCATTCATTTAACAGTTGAGTGCCGCCAGGCATGGTGGCTCATGTCTGTAATCTTAGCACTTTGGGAGGCCGAGGAGGAAGGATCACTTGAGCTCAGGATTTCAAG
Organism: Homo sapiens; assembly: GCF_000001405.40. NCBI lineage: Eukaryota > Metazoa > Chordata > Mammalia > Primates > Hominidae > Homo > Homo sapiens. The sequence continues at coordinate 15,279,006 of NC_000021.9, read as the reverse complement.
ACCAGCCTGAGGCAACATACTGAGACCTCATCCTTATTTTTTTTTTAAATAAAAAAACAGTTGAGTGCTATCAGTAACTGTTCACAAGCTTGGAGACAGTGGGTGACTAGGAAAACGTCCTTGTTCTTAGCCAACTCACCTTGAAAGAGGAGGAAACAAATTATAAACAAGTCATTGAGTAAATACTCCAAAAATCTTCAGGTAGAGAAAACCACTATACGTAAAATACAACACAGAGAATGAAAATGTTAACTTAAATGAAGTGCATCAAGAAAAAACCAAGAGCAATAAGTCACCCGGTAATGTCATTTGACCTGGCAACACCTCTGGTCCCATGATCCTGGCTGGAGAATGTCCTTTTGTTTTTTTCACCTAGTTAGTAATTTGACAAATCATCATTTTATCCCCAAGGTCCAACATCGAAAGCATTTCTTGGCCTGTCTTTTGGGCTTTCGCCTCCAAAAGCCTGCACTGCCGACTCTCAATTTTGCTTTCATTCCGATCTTATGTTTGCCACATTCTTCACCTACAAAGCGACCTCCTGATTTTTGACTCAGCTCACATGTGATTTGATTCTTGCAAAACCCTTTTGGAACTCAACTGTCTAAAGACCTAGAAATGTGTTTCTGTAGGACTGCAAAAAATTGCACTATGAATGGCAGCCTAATAGTTCTCTTAATGCAGAGCAGGGAAGTGTTTCTTTCTTCTACTGCCTCTCTTTGCTGGTACAGAAGACTCACGAAATCTCAACATGGTGTTTGGCCCTTTCCCACATGCGGTATGAAAAGACTTTAATTATTATTGAACTTTAGTCCCCAAGGGACTTGAAAGCATTTGAAAATTCATTTTACTAGCAAAATAAATCTTTTTGTATTCTTTTGGGTTTTATAACATTGATGTTAGATTTAATTAAAAGTGAAGAAATCCTAAAAATGATTCTAGCTAGTGGTTAATTTTATGTTTTTATACAATTACTATAACCTAATAGGTAGCTAGTTTTCTAAAATGTTAGATAACTAACATTTTAAGGCTGCAGCATAACTAATTTTCTGCACAGAAGATGCTAAATGCAAAGGCAAATGAGTGGAATCTTCAGAGCTTTATAAGCTTCCTACACACACAAGCCACTACGAATGCCCAGGCAGTGGCTAAGTGTTGCTCCTGGGCATGTCATCTGCTAATGGGCTTCCTAACCCTAAATTCTTCTCTGTGGTTCCACAGAGAAAATACTCATGATCTCATCTAGGTCTCCCTGTTGTGTCTTTGCCACAAAGTATATTTCCCCATATGGGGTTCTTTTCAAAATGCAAGCCACTACACACTTTCTTTTTACAAGTTGGATCCCAGGTCTATAACACTGTCTCCTGCTGTGTTGAACATATGTTCAGAGTCTTTCTACTTATTTTTCTTTCCCCACTTGCTTTCCCACTGGTTATTTCCCATACCAAATTGCTTGACAAAATGAAGTTAGTAACATTAGCTTGCATGTTTTTGTGAGCCAGGTCTTTTACATCCTAAAATATCCCATAACACAGAGAATAGCATGCTATGCATCTTATGCTTCAACAAATATCTGTTGAAAGAATAAATGGATGGCTCCTTTTTGTAACTTCTGTAAGTGACATTCAACCGATGTGACATTCTCTTTATTAAATAAATGTTTACACTCCATCAACTTATTACATATACTGATTAACAGAAGTGGGGCTTGGGAGTGACTCAATTAGCTAACCAGTTGTCCATAAGGATTGGAAAGGGAAACCAAAATAAGCCTGGAGACAAGTCATTTTCAATAAAGATGTCTTGAATGGAGATAAACTGGACTGATTTTACATCACAAAAAAATAGCAAAAAGTGCTTTAAGCAGGACAGGAAGTACAAGAATGGCAAATGAATGTATTGGCTTTTAAAAAATAAATAAATAAATTCAAGTCATCAAAAAGTTGTTCAGTAGTATGGTGAATCAGTTATTCAGCTGCAAAGGCACAGTTGAGGGAGAAGATAGATAGCATTGAAGGAGTTATTATTCAGAAAAAGATAATGTTTTTCACAAAAAACCTCCTTAAATAGAAAATAGTCATTATGAACATAATACTCTAATTTATGATATCAAAGATGAAGAGCAGTCAATATTTTCCATAATGTATTAAGGATGGGAAGGTTCTAAGCGCCCTTTGACCCATACCTGTGTCTCTCTCTGAAAAGCAAGACACAGAGAATCTTCCCTCTAAGCTTTCCTTTACAATTCATGAACATAAAATATTAGGTTCGATGCAAATTTATTAGGTTTACCAAATCAATTTTTTTTCCTAATATGTGCATAAAATACTTAATTAGAAAAAAATTGTAAAACATTCTTAAAATTAATATCATTAGAATGAATTTACACACTGAATATCCAGACCTGACCATGGGATGTCAACCAGGAAGTCCAAAGGTGAGCCTCAGTGCCCTTCCTTCATTGCCTGGTGATGGACAAGCTATCTTGGAATCCCGCATTTACTCCAGCTGCATTTCAAAACCAAATTCCCACAGGATGGGTGGCTCCCAGGAGAAGATGTTGCAATCTCCCATGGGCTCACTAGGTCTCCAGGAGCTGAGCTGTGACAGCTGGCACCTAACCTATTAGTAACTGAGTCCAAAACATCAAGCCCTCCACCTGAAGGGAAATTTGCATATCATACACTTACTCAAACATCGTTTGTTATTCCAGCCATGAACTCTGATCAGTTTTCTATAAAGGCAATCTGACAATACCTCCCCTCAGGCATTGGATAAGAACCCCTCGATCCTGTGCTAGGACGCCTCTCACACAAAGAGAAGACTGATAGAAATTGCAGAGTAAATTAATGCCCCCTGGGACAATTTTTGGCCATTGAGAGACAGATGCCAATGGGTGAATATTTCCCCTTTTTTTCCCTTTGAGCTGATGATCCCAAGACATGTGTCATACCACTCAGGCTGTTCCACAGTGTTGAGCAACTTGTCAGCCAACTTGTCAGTGACTAAATGGATAACTTATACTGGGTCATTTGCTCTCTTTCTGTGTATTTCTTTGCCCATCTCTTGTTCTTGCCCCCGTGAAATCACACTCCCAAATACACTGCTCAAACATCTCTGCTTTCAGGAAAACTAAGGCTAACACAGTCACCGTTGGGCCATTCTCTGCTTACACTGTAAGAAGTGGAATTACCAGGGCACAAGCTGCACTGCTCATAGCTGGCATACTTCTCTATGGAATGCTGAGAAAAGGGAGATATGCATTGCTTCTTGCCAACCTTTGCAAGGTAATTTTATTTTGTAAGTTTCCCAAATAAAACCCATGCTCCGTGTTGTTGTATAATTTGCCCTGACCTTCCTCACAACCGTCACAATGACAGTTATAGGAAAATTTCAATACATCATTTTTATTTTTCCAAGACTGATAACTATAGTTGTAGAAGCCTTCAAAAAGGTGTTCCAATGAATGTAAATGGATGTGTATGTGAAAATGTATAGATTCGCAGACTCTTCTCAGGGTTGGTTGGTTTGAAAATTTCAACAATTAATAAGTTAAACTGGTAAAGTAGTTTGAGATAGCAGGTTCATTATTAAACCTTGAAATGTCTGTAAACCACATGTTATCTCTTGCTTCTTTAGTACACTTCACATATATCCTAAACTTACCAAATGTGACCATATATAAACTGCATAACACAATGTGAGACCCATGATAAGCCTTCGCTAAACTTTGGTTTCCTTCCCCTACTGCCACAGCAATTTATGTTTCCTTTTTCCAGCTCTATGAAAATGAACTGAAAAATAGAACTCCCTAAATATGACAAATGTTAAGAAGTTTGCGTTACATTTTTGGCAATGCTGTTAATGTCAGTGAGCTTCTCCAGAAACCTGTATTGATGTCGTTTTAATATTTGAAATTGCTCATTTGGCAAACATAAACAGTACCAATAGAGTTGATTCTATGGCCTTTTGCCTGGATAATGGATGTAGACCTAGGTAACTGAATTTTCTGGTTCTTCTGCTTTAGGCTCTTCAAATTCAGATGGCATGTCAGAAAAAAATGAAACTTTTAAGGTTCCTGCCATAGTATCTTCAAGAGCAGGAATGCCCTGGGCTCCCAATTCCTTAGAAATTGCTTGTAACGTTCTCCTTTTCTCCGACTAGTCACTCAACACCTAAGAACTGCCCTCTTCTGTCAAGATCTCCCAAGAGCCAGAGAAGGAATGTTGCTCTGAAGCTCTATACTTTGATGGTGCTTGAGTCTCTCTTCCCTTCTGCCTTTCCTTTCCTAGAGCCTAGAATTTATTTGTATACCTATAACTTGCCTATTTCCATATTCATATCCTTGACGATATGTGTGGCATCTCCATTTTTGTTTTTAATAAGGTTGATTCTCTCCTATGGCCTCTGGGATATAAAGAACCATGAAAAAGTCTTTTTGTTATTTCTTCTTAGATGGTAATTTCAAGTCTAAGGTGTTATCTACCAGTTGACATCTAGTATTCCTCTATAACCGACTTTTCTGTTTGAGGAAATATTTCAGGATTGAGTGACTTTCTGTAGGGGACTCACTGGTCTTCCACTCTTACCCATAATAGCAGCATATATTATCTCCTTCAATTCTTAAACCATTCTTTTATAATGACACCATTGTTAGCTCCTTGTCAGAAAAAAATGAGGTTATCAGTTAGAATGATGTCACTTAGAATATGCTTGTTTCTGAAGCCTGAATATTCACAGCAAGGTGGATTTTGGTTCCGTAGTAATGAACATTATCGCAGTACATGGCCAGAATGAGATCTCAGCATTGAACATACTTCTAAAATCCATATTCTTTGGGAAGTCTTTGTAACACCACAGAATATTACTCTACTAAATCAGCCTATTCTTTTCAGTGTATATAAATATTAGCTGCTTGTTGTATTTATTTTTCTGATGATATGTTTCATTATCTGAATTTCCCTGTGAATAATGTTGTTTAAGAAAAGGATACACCTGACAAATTTAAATATGTATAGCTTTCCATGTAGATCACAGTCTATTAAGTGAATTATTGATTTGGTGATTTTTGTTTAGTCTTAATGACACAATTTGTAATGTTAATACAAAATGGAACAATTTCTAAAAATTAAATTTTTAAAAGATCACATAAATTCTCAAAAATAATCATCCACTTGATTAATTTTAGGATTACTAAAGCTATTAATCAATAATTTATATAAAAAAGACATTGTGTACAAAAAACACAAATTCTTTTATCTCAAAATGAGTATCTCAAAATGCTTCATAGAAACAGAATTATTCAGGGGTGATAATTAAAAATCAATGCAGATTACTTGGTTCCATTTCACACCTTCTGATAAGAGTCCCTGGGGACTAGAAGTCAGGGATTTGCATTTTTAACAAACTTCCTGGTTGTTTCTTCAAGGTACTAAAGTGTGAGAGCCACGCACCTAAGAGCTAACGTAAGTTTAAAACTCTAATTTGGTGGTAGAAGGCTTTCAATTTGTTTTCCACACTAAATCTATTACACTGAGGTACTCCATAAAATAAGAATCAGCACTTTTTTTGCAGAGTAAGATGCCTTTTATTTGCTAAAGTAAATAATAGCAAAATTAAGCATGAGCTATAAATTGTACTAAATGCTGATAACTTGAAATCTCCAAAATGGAATAAATTACTGAGTATTGCACTTTAAATGGACATTAAGAATGTTCCAAATTAACAAGTGTGTTGTCATTTTGATAAATTGGTTTTAATTTTTTATCAGACTATATATAAGTACCCAGTAGTATGTGCCAGAGAGTTCCATTAGGCATTCACAATTGCATTTATTTTCTTCAATGTATAAACCGTATAAACTAAAGATAGTTTGAAGATCATGATACTCAACTCCATTGCACTTCTGGGAATAGTTTCCCCTGGGTTTGGGGCTGTGTTCTCTGTAAGAACCCCAGGAAAAAATATGAAAATATAAATTACAGTGTCTTTTTTCATTGATTTGATTTTGCAAACATTACTCATGAACCCAAAGAGAAAAATCAAAATTGCACCTGATTAAAATGAAAAAATATGATAGGTAAATGGAAAGAGATTTGGACTACTTTATGCAAAAGAGGAGAAAAATGTGTAATAAACTCAAGTCCTGGGCGTCTAAGGCAAGCATAAATAACTCCTTGGCACAGTGAGATAGATTCTCCCCGCATGTGGTTCATTGCCAGTAAAGGACATGCCTGAAACCACTGCCCAAGAAGAATTACAAGCATTTGCTCTTACTTTAAAATATTCATGTTTCAGCTGTAACACTTTATATTTTCAATTGACAGATATGGAAAAAAAATAAACTTATTTTTCTTTTTCCCCTTCCTGGCATAAGAATCTTACATAATTAACTCCTTCATTTAACAAATGTGATAGTTTTCACTGCAACTATGAATTTAGGGCACTTGATATTTTGAAATCAACACATCTTATGAGTTTTGTTGGTTTTTCCTCCAGAATTTGGAGAATGTATTTGCCCACTTAGGTCTGACTAATGCAGAATAATGCACTTTGATTAAAAAACAAACACATTTAAAACTATAGAAATAGTGGAGGGAATGACCCACCCAGGCATGCTCTCTCCCTAAGCTGGAAGTCAAAAATGCACAAAAACCGGCCAGGCTGGGTGGCTCACGCCTGTAATCCCAGCACTTTGGAATGCTGAGGTTGGTGGATCACCTGAGGTCAGGAGTTTGAGACGAGCCTGGCCAACACAGTGAAACCCTGTCTCTACTAAAAATACAGAAAGTAGCCAGACATGGTGGTAGGTGCATGTAATCTCAGCTACTCGGGAGGCTGAGGCATGAGAATCACTTGAACCCAGGAGGCAGAGGTTGCAGTGAGCCAAGATTGTGCCACTGCATTCCAGCCTGGGCGACAGAGTAAGACTCCATCTCAAATAATAATAATAATAATAATAATAATAATAATAATAATAATAACAACCAGTGGTCAGAGCTTTGAAGGCTTTATAGACCTGAAGAACAGTTGCTGACAATTACAGCCTGAAAACAAAGAATGAGATACAGATGGAAAATAAAGATGACAACATAGAAGTTATATGTACCTAAGCAAAAATCATTTTTAGTATTTTCTTTTTTCATTCCTCTGCCTGTTGAGCAGAATTTTGTTGCTTTTTTACATAAAAACTGGAATAGTGTCACAAGAGCCAGATTTAATGCACCTCTGATTCAACATCATGGAAGAAAAGGAAAAAAAGTTATGTATAGGGCTTTTCTGTTAGGTTATTAGTGTATCATTATTGATACTGGGTGCTTTGTGTATCAAGAACCAAAAAGCAAAAATTATTGTTTGCTGCATGAACCATATATTTGAAAAGTAGGCCTGTGCCTGGCAATCAAATATTGCCCTTGAAATAGGTATATAAGGATAATACTCCACTGTTTTTTTGATAAGGCTGTCTTATTCTACCAATTCATTCCTTTCATATTATGCTGCAGATCAATCAATGGACACTGTATTAATCCATTTTCACACTCCTGATAAAAACACACCCAAAACTGGGAATGAAAAGAGGTTTAATTGGACCTACAGTTCCACATGGCTGGGAAGGCCTCAGAATCATGGCGGGAGGTGAAAGGCACATCTTACATGGCAGGGGCAAGAGAAAAAAATGATGGAGAAGCAAAAGGGGAACCCCCTGATAAGCCTGTCAGATCTCATGAGACTTACTCACTATCATGAGAATAGCACAGGAAAGACCGGCCCCCGTGATTTAATTACATTTCCCTGGGTCTCTCCCACAACACCTTGGAATTGTGGGAGATACAATTCAGGCTGAGATTTGGGTGGGGACACAGCCAAAGCATATCAAACACCATTTACCTGAATGTCCCTAAAAACACTTACCTTCCCTATCACCACCAAATATCATATAAAACAATCCAATAGTAGATACACAATAATTTTCTGTTTATGTCCCAGAAGCTGACACAGCACCTTACAGGTGACAAGTACTCACCATATGCAGGTTGAATTGAAATTAAATATCCCTTTTCTGCAGAAATCTGCCATATTAATTTTCATCACTTTACCCATAGAACAAGTTCTTTTTTTGTTTGTTTGTTTGAGAGGGAGTCTTGCTCTGTCACCCAGGACGGAGTGCAGTGGTGCAATCTCAGCTCACCGCAACCTCTGTCTCCTGGGTTCAAGCGATTCTCTGCCTCAGCCTCCTGAGTAGCTGGGACTATAGGTGCCCGCTATCATGTCCGGACAATTTGTGTGTGTGTGTTTTTTAGTAGAGACGGGGTTTCACCATCTTAGCCAGGCTGGTCTCAAACTCCTGACTGCAGGTGATCTGGCGTGCACTGGCTTCCCAAAATGCTGGGATTACAGGCATGAGCCACAGTGCCCAGCCAGAACAAGTTCTTTATTAGGCAGGGTTTATGATTTTATTATAGCCTTAACAAAACTTGTACTTATTACAGATATTTTGTCACCAAATATACTTAAAATGTAATCTATTTTTAAAAACACATTCAGGGCATGTTGAATTTTTCTTCTAAACTTACATGGTTACTACCTCCTTAAAATACAGTACCACATGATTTAAATTCAAAATGTGGTATTGGTCATTTAAAGTAAACAACTCAGTAATAATGATCTATGACATTTCAGTAGAACTTGACAGTTTTCAAGGCTTCAGGAGGATGACTTCCTTTGATGTTCATAACGACCACTTATAACATAAACAACACTATCATCTCCATTTAAAGACAAAATTGCCAGCCACGTAGTGAAATGGCACACTATGAAGGCAACATAGTGAGACCCAGTCTCTAAAAAAAGATTAAAAAATAAGCAAGGCATGGTGGCATATGCCTGTAGTTCCAGCTATGTAGGAGGCTGAGGTGGAAGGATTGCTTGAGCCTGAGAGTTCAAGGCTGCTGTGAGCTGTGATCACACCACTGCACTTCAGCCTGGGCAACAGAGTAAGACCGTGTCTCAGAAAAAAATAAAAGAAGAAGAAGAAGGAGAAGAAGGAGGAGGAGGAGGAGAAGGAGGAGAAGAAGAAGAAATGGAATATTCTAGTGGTCTATAGAGTAATTATACATTAATCTGCCTATGGAAACTGAAAGGAAAATTTACACTGTAAAAATTATTTTAAGAGTTATGCTGAATTCATCTCTATTTTAACTAAATGTGACACTCCATTCTTTGAAAGAACTTCATACTATAATATTTTTGTTTGTTTGAAGAGAGGAAAGGGTCCCTGCTGCAAACATTTGGAAACAATGGGAGTGGTCTAGGTGTCCACTTCTTTACTTCACCACTTACAAATAATTTGGCTAAGTTCATCTTTGAATATAGGCATAATAATGTGACATTTTTACTGATGAGAGTTCTAGTAACAGTTAACTCAAGTTTTCTCCTACAGAAGAGTCACAAACACTGGGGATTCATAATATATTTTTTAAGGAGGGGAGAGATATGAGTTCTGTGACAAGTTTTTAGTTTAAGATTTCCACTTCAATGACTATCTTTAAAAATCATTTTTCATGTTATAAATATACAACACCTTGTTTGACAAGAGAATTTACAGTTTAAAGCTTCTGTCTCAGTCAGCTCAGGCTGCCTTAAGAAAACACCATAGATCGGATGGCTTCAACAACCAAAATTTATTTTCTCATAGTTCTCGAGGCTAGAAGTCAAGATCAAAGTTCTGGCCAATTCAATTTCTGATGAGGGCTCCTTTCCTAGCTTGCAGATAGCTGCCTTCTCATTGAGTTATCAAAAGGCCTATCCTCAGTGAGTGCATAGGGCAGAGAGAAAGAGAGCTATCATCTTTTCTTTTTTTTTCTTTTTTTTGAGATGGAATCTCGCTTTGTCGCCCAGGCTGTAGTGCCATGGCACAATCTCAGCTCACTGCAACCTCTGCCTCCAGGGTCCAAGTGATTCTCCTGCCTCAGTCTCCTGAGTAGCTGCGATTACAGGTGCCCACCACCATGCCCAGCTAATTTTTGTATTTTTGGTACAGACGGGGTTTCGCCATGTTGGTCATGCTGGTCTCAAAATCCCGATCTCAGGTGATCCGCCCACCTTGGCCTCCCAAAGTGCTGGAATTATAGGCGTGAGCCACCATGCCCAGCCTCTAGCATCTCTTCTTATAAGGACAGTAATTCTATTAGATCAGGGACCCACTCTTTTTCACTTTAATTACTTCCTTAGAGGCTCCCATCTCCAAATACAGCCACACTGTGGATTAAGGCTTGGTTAAGGCTTCAACATAGGAATTTTGCAGGGGGCATAAACATTCATTTATGAATTCACTTTAAGAAGTCATAGTTTTTCAAAATGGAGATTCTCACACAATTTTTTCCTCTTAATACCATTGTTTATTATTTAAAAGCTGGAGAAAACTGGATAATTATGTTGAGGACTTCAAGGTGTGAACTATAGCATAGTAGTTAAGAGTATCAGTACTTTGAGTCTGCCTACCTACTTTTGAATCCTAGCTCTGACCCTTCCCATGTGTTGTGGGCAATTAACTTAATTGTCTTTCCTCAGTTCCCTCATCAATCAAATAAGAATAATAGAAATAACGTACATTAAGATTATTGTAAGGATTAAATAAAATAATCCTTAAAAGGATTTAACAAAGTATCTTGGAATATCATAAGCACATGATGCACATTATTAATAATATTATTATCAAAAAGATACTTATATTTATCCTTAAAGCACAGCACCATATTTGTAGTAGACAGGCATGGTCACTCAATGGGTCAGATTTTTGTTTTTATATTTTCCGTAGCTGACATGTTCACTCTCCATTGGAAGTCACTCTCCATTGACTCCACTGATAGGCTGGTTCTCTTAAACGGTGGCTCCTCTTGAAGATGAAGGTGTTCCTTATCTATATAAATATATTTTGTCTCGACACTCTTTTGGTTTTGATATCTGGTTTTTCAGACAAATTCATATTAAGGTGATCGGACATTTTTCCAAGAACTTATGGAATGACTTGAAAAGGTTCCAGTTTATGACTAAGGAGCAAAAGTTGGTTGTAACCCATGAAAACCACACTGGCTTTGGCATTGTGTAAAGTAGTCTTACTAATTTGAGGGTCTTTGTGCAATGCTGTACACATTCAGTAAGAACGTTAGAACACTGGACACTTTGAAAGATTATCGAGCATGTTTCTCCCAATTTAAAGGTGAGAATGATTTTAGTATAGTAACAATAGCGTAGTCGAAATGTTCTTGCCAGTGCTTTGTTTAGCCAGTGGGTATGCTTAGCAAGTCACAACCTGGATGTCTAATTCTTTGACTTTTGGATCTCCTTTCTCTAAACAAAGATCTAACTATTTATCCTAGAGTTTCTTTCTTCTGTTTCCTACCTAACTCTAGCCTATGAAGAAAAATAGGCCAGATCTGATAGGACAGCTTTGAGGTACCAGTATAAGAGTCCAGTGGGTATATGGGGTATATGACGCTTATGCAATGTTGAATTTTATCATCCCTCTATGATGCTGCCACTGGATAGAAAATAAAAAGATGGGCGATTTTTTCCTTCAGACACTTCTTCACATCCAACGTTCATGGCCATCTTTTTTTTTTTCTTTTTTTTGAGATGGAGTCTTGCTCTATCACCCAGGCTGGAGTGCAGTGGCGCGATCTCGGCTCACTGCAAGCTCCGCCTCCCGGGTTCACGCCATTCTCCTGCCTCCGCCTCCCGAGTAGCTGGAACTACAGGCGCCCGCCACCACGCCCGGCTAATTTTTTGTATTTTTAGTAGAAGTGGGGTTTCACCGTGTTAGCCAGGATGGTCTCAATCTCCTGACCTCGTGATCCGCCCACCTCGGCCTCCCAAAGTGCTGGGATTACAGGCATGAGCCACCGCGCCGGGCCTGTTTTTTGTATTTTTTTAGTAGAGACGGCTATCTTTTTTTTTTTTCTAACACTTTCTTCAATTTTTACATGGAGTCTTAGAGGAAATGTTCTCAGTGATTTCTCCTCTGGCAAGGTTTCCCTCCCAGATTGCTTGATTCACTGCAGTATGCCATGCACATGTGAAGTGTAATATACACACTAGGTACCTATCAGAAAGAATGTAGACCGGAGACCAACAAGAATGGAGAAGCATCTTAAGCATATCTAGTTATTTTCTAGTCTCAGGTAAATGATGAGTTACTGGTATTTAAAATTGGAGGGACTTCTTCACCCATCTAATATTTGAATTTTCTTTAATTTTGTGGAAATTTATCTGTTAGGTTTTCACAATCTGAATAAATCAAGGAAATCCATCATAAACCTTCTCTTCTATTTCTTTTTGTGAGCTTCCTTTCTGTTGTCCTCTTCTTCTTTCTGTTGGGCTTGTTCTCTTGCTTCTTAAAGAGTTCCCAATCTATCTAGCATCTTGCTCTATAGAATACTGCTGAATGCCAAAGGCCTGGGTCTCAGTTTCTCCTCCATCTTTTACTGGTATATGATCTTGGCAAATCATTCACTATCATTAGACTTTGGTTGTTTCATTCATAAAAGGAGAACACTTTATTTGCCAAAAGATAGCACCAAATTAATTTCTGACCTCTCTTTAAGATATTTAAGTGATCTTTTGGCACACAGTGACTCTACCTTCAGGCATCTTTGCCTTGATGGATTTTTCCACTCTTTATTTGCATCATCTACATCTCCAAAGCATTCAGTGAACTAATTCAACAAAATTGTACTGAACACCTATATAAAAAACAAGGTCTTTTAAAAGATATGAGAAATTTTTCTTCTCCTCAGAAGCATGCACTCTACTTGAAGAAAAACTATAAAACTTTTGGAAAAAAACACACACACACACACATCTGAAGCAAGTGACATGTGATTTGTCCCAATTGGTGATATAGCAATAGGTGTCTTAAGACTTCAGAGAACTTGGCTGATAACAGAAGTCTTCCAGAAGGTGGGATATGAGTTAGGAATATAAAGTGTAGAATGACCTAGAGAAATGGACAAAAACTATGAGTGTATGCCTGAGCTAGGCAAAGAACCTCAACAAAGTCAGAAGCCAAAAGGTAAGATTTCTTTACTAGTTTGACTGGAGTGCTGCTGTTGTAGGAAACTGATGGAGATGCAGTGTGGGATAGGTTAGACCTGAGTCATTCACTGTGGTAGCTACTAGCCACATGTGGCTATGTAAATTTAAATATTAATTAATTAAAAATAAATCAAATTTAAAATTTAGCTTCTGAGTCACACTAGCCACATTTCAAGTGATCAATAGCTATGTGTGACTAGTGGCTACTGCATTAGACAGTGCAGCTATAGAATATTACCAACACCACAGAATGTTCTACTGGACAGTGTCATATTGGACTTGTAAAACACCTAACAGCCTAGACTTTTATTTGTGCACAGATAACTTTTCTTCCCAATGAATAGTGATAGCTTTTCACCATGAGAAGAACTCCCTCATTGTATCTGTAAGGCTCTGCTAAGGAATTTTCCAGCTGCTGTTAGGGGTCCCACACCTGTACTTATAAAAGGCTCCTTTTGAGGTATCTGCCTTACACGTACACTTTCTTTGAAAAATCTCTCTTTATGTTCCCAAGATAGTGGGTTGAAGACATGTTTGTCTTACAGGATCTTTTCTATCTACCCTTCTATTGCTTTTTGGCATCGGAATGGATATCTGGCCCTTGGCCCATCGGATTGACTCTCCTGGGGATTTGGCATTGGGACAATTAGATATGTAGCTGGGAGCTCTAGATCTGAGACTGTGTAGCTGTTAATCTGGACCTCCGATTCCCAATTTGTACAAGGATAAAAATGGAAGATAGCAAATAGCAGCACTTCTTAAGCTGAGCCCAGGTATTCCTGATCTGGGACAGAATTCAGAGGGCCCATGAACTTGGGAGGGAAAAATAATTACTTTTGGCCAACCACCTACTACATTATGAATCTAGATAAAACTACAGGACTACTGTCAATACCAATTATTTTACTTCCAGTAGAAATTACAGATATTTTCTGTAACAACCTTCAAAATACTATTTAAACCCATCCCCACTTTGAAATTATAATGGTTATTAGACATACCGCTGAGATCTTTTTATTTATTATGTTGCAAAGGAGCATGTAAATGAACACATCATAAAATTTTTATTTTATAATTGTATTTTGATATATTTTGTTTTCCTTTTATAATTCTACAGAATGTATTGTGTTCGTTGAAAGCATTTTCTGAGAAGGGTTTCATAGATTTCATCAAAAAGCCAAGGGCAGTCATAGCACAAAAATGGTTAGTAGCCCTTAGTTCATGGAGAGAGGAAAGATGAGGAAGCTATTAGAAAGGAGTAGAGATGAGAGCCCATTCATCTCTGGAGAAATTTTGATGAATTTCTACTTTCAATTTTCAATGCAGTCTTCATCTTGCTTTTGCTGGGCTGGGTCCAACCATAAGCTGCCTTTATACCGGCAGTGTCAGCTCACATCATAATTACCCCAGTTGTTTCATTGTTGTCCAATGAACATGTTTATCAAGCAAGAGAGATGAATCCGTTGATGTGAAACCAGGTGCAGATTAGACTTCCAAGCCATTACAGCTTTTCCAGGACTAAATAGTAAATCATCAATTCTCAAGTAACCCCAACTCCTTTTAGACCAGTTTCTTGCACTATAAAAACAACTCCCTAGAGAAAATAAATGCACCAGAGTAGGCTGACAGCCAAGATCCATTATGTTTGCTGAATGCAGAGCTGGTTCAAGCTTCCCCAGTTTTTTTTTTTTTTGTACCAAACTAGCTTATAGAAGTTGATTGAATTTTATAGACTTCCTTCCTTGTTTTATATACATCATTATCCTCTGTCCTTTTACAACATAACCATTGAATTCTCTCTTCAGATTAGTATAGAATCTTATCCCCATTTTCTGCCAACAAAAACTGCTTGGTATACTTCTCTATTCACAAATACTCACGCAAGTTTTTATTTCTCATTTAAAATACCCAGTCATCAATTGCCTACTACCTAGACTCTAGTCTTGTAGGCATTTGGATTTACAATTGAGTCAAAGTTCACTACCTAGATATTCTAACAAAAACCATCCTTGGAAAATCAGGAGAGAAGCAATGAGAAGGGGGTGGAGATAATGCAAATTTTCATTTTGACATATTTAAATATTTAATTCTACTTTCCAATATTGGGGCATACTTCTCAGAATGGTGTGCACTGGCCTAAATTCATCTGTCACACACGTTCTGTTTTAACTGGTACAGCAAGGTACGCCTTGAGCTGCCAGTACCTCCCATAATAAACACCTCTGCTTTCTTTTCATTCTTCTTACAGCAAACTGAGAAAACTACGGGAGGCCCTCTTTATTCAGGATTCAGCTTAATTTCTGTTGAGCCTGGAAAAGGGCTTGATCCCTGATGGCTTACACAAAGCATGGAGATGCACACTTGACTATACACAGCTGCAGTATCATTTGGGTTCACAAGCTTGTCTTCTACACAAGAAAATCTGCATCCTTCATACCATCATGTTAAGAAGTGTAATTTGTGTTCCGGCCAGGGCAATTAGGCAGGAGAAGGAAATAAAGGGTATTCAATTAGGAAAAGAGGAAGTCAAATTGTCCCTGTTTGCAGATGGCATGATTGTATATCTAGAAAACCCCATTGTCTCAGCCCAAAATCTCCTTAAGCTGATAAGCAACTTCAGCAAAGTCTCAGGATACAAAACCAATGTACAAAAATCACAAGCATTCTTATACACCAACAACAGACAAACAGAGAGCCAAATCATGAGTGAACTCCCATTCACAATTGCTTCAAAGAGAATAAAATACCTAGGAATCCAACTTACAAGGGATGTGAAGGACCTCTTCAAGGAGAACTACAAACCACTGCTCAATGAAATAAAAGAGGATACAAAGAAATGGAAAAACATTCCATGCTCATGGGTAGGAAGAATCAATATCATGAAAATGGCCATACTGCCCAAGGTAATTTATAGATTCAATGCCATCCCCATCAAGCTACCAATGACTTTCTTCACAGAATTGGAAAAAACTACTTTAAAGTTCATATGGAACCAAAAAAAAGCCTGCATCACCAAGTCAATCCTAAGCCAAAAGAACAAAGCTGGAGGCATCACGCTACCTGACTTCAAACTATACTACAAGGCTACAGTAACCAA
Source organism: Homo sapiens (assembly GCF_000001405.40). Lineage (NCBI taxonomy): Eukaryota > Metazoa > Chordata > Mammalia > Primates > Hominidae > Homo > Homo sapiens. Next base: position 15,262,817 of record NC_000021.9, on the reverse strand, counting down.
AACAGCATGGTACTGGTACCAAAACAGAGATATAGATCAATGGAACAGAACAGAGCCCTCAGAAATAACGCCACATATCTACAACTATCTGATCTTTGACAAACCTGAGAAAAACAGGAAATGGGGAAAGGATTCCCTATTTAATAAATGGTGCTGGGAAAACTGGCTAGTCATATGTAGAAAGCTGAAACTGGATCCCTTCCTTACACCTTATACAAAAATCAATTCAAGATGGATTAAAGACTTAAACGTTAGACCTAAAACCAGAAAAACCCTAGAAGAAAACCTAGGCATTACCATTCAGGACATAGGCATCGGTAAGCCCTTCATGTCTAAAACACCAAAAGCAATGGCAACAAAAGCCAAAATTGACAAATGAGATCTAATTAAACCAAAGAGCTTCTGCCCAGCAAAAGAAACTACCATCAGAGTGAACAGGCAACCTACAAAATGGGAGAAAATTTTCGCAACCTACTCATCTGACAAAGGGCTAATATCTAGAATCTACAGTGAACTCCAACAAATTTACAAGAAAAAAACAAACAACCCCATCAAAAAGTGGGCAAAGGACATGAACAGACACTTCTCAAAAGAAGACATTTATGCAGCCAAAAGACACATGAAAAAATGCTCACCATCACTGGCCATCAGAGAAATGCAAATCAAAACCACAATGAGATACCATCTCACACCAGTTAGAATGGCAATCATTAAAAAGTCAGGAAACAACAGGTGCTGGAGAGGATGTGGAGAAATAGGAACACTTTTACACTGCTGGTCGGACTGTAAACTAGTTCAACCATTGTGGAAGTCAGTGTGGCGATTCCTCAGGGATCTAGAACTGGAAATACCATTTGACCCAGCCATCCCATTACTGGGTATATACCCAAAGGACTATAAATCATGCTGCTATAAAGACGCATGCACACGTATGTTTATTGCGGCATTATTCACAATAGCAAAGACTTGGAACCAACCCAAATGTGCAACAGTGATAGACTGGATTAAGAAAAGGTGGCACATATACACCATGGAATACTATGCAGCCATAAAAAATGATGAGTTCATGTCCTTTGTAGGGACATGGATGAAATTGGAAATCATCATTCTCAGTAAACTATCACAAGGACAAAAAACCAAACACCGCATATTCTCACTCATAGGTGGGAATTGAACAATGAGAACACATGGACACAGGAAAGGGAACATCACCCTCTGGGGTCTGTTGTGGGGTGGGGGGAGTGGGGAGGGATAGCATTAGGAGATATACGTAATGCTAAATGACGAGTTAATGCATACAGCACACCAGCATGGCACATGTATACATATGTAACTAACCTGCACATTGTGCACATGTACCCTAAAACTTAAAGTATAATAGTAATAAAATAAAATAAAGAAGAAGTGTAATTTGTAAATTTCAAGCCTCTGAGGGTATTGTGTTGGTGTTGAATAGAGTGAGAAGATATTCTGTGAAGAGGATAAGGAGTGGAAGAGGAAGAGTGTGGAATATGGAGGAGATGAAGGAAGACCCCCAGCAAATAGAATGAGCGCACCAATTTTCATGAGAATGAGAGATAAGGCACAAGACAAGATTCAGAAGAGAAGGTAGATAGGTAAACTTTGCCCAGGTTGAAAGTTTACTAAGGGCTTTCTTGGTAGAGTATGGATTCAGTTGCAAAATAAGTGAAACACTAATTTGGATTATCCTGTGCCTATATAGTCCTGCTCTTTTTCTGCTGGAGAGAAGAAGGGGAAGTAGCAGGAATCAAAAATCCCAGTCTAAGTTAATCCCTAAATCTGCAGCAGGGAGTACAAACCTTAGCCAATTGTAAGTGCTTTGATATTTCACTACTGACTGACCGAATCAGGACCAATGCCAGTTTTACCTTTCTCCTTTTTCGAATTTAATGCCAGAGCATAGTATATAATGAGAGAGATGGTCTACATCGGGGGTCATCAAACTATGAGTTTTGGGCCAAATCCAGCCTGAACTCTATCTATTTTTGTAAATAAAGTTTTATTGAAACACTGCTATGCTCATTTGTTTATATATCGCTGTGGCTGCTTTCACAGTACAAATGGCATAGATCAGTAGTGGGGAATGAGACCATCTGGCCCTCAGAGCAAAAATATTTACTATCTGGCTCTTTACCAAAAGAGTTTGCTGAATCTTGGTCTATATTAAAGGATTAAAAGTTTTCTTTGAGGTTAAAATAATTTGAGAATTAGAAGAATTTGGGAATGCTTCAGGTTAGGGCTTAGAACAAGAAGAGGACTCTAGTTCTCACTAAGAGGTCTAGAAAAGGATAACCAAGAAGAACTTGGGTGGGGAGGTGGAAGCACAGATATTGAGATGAGTGTTGTCAAAGCAAACTGCTTCTAGATTGTACCTAGTAACTGCTGTGGTTGCTTTGTTCTCTACAAACTGCATATCACCTCTCTCTTTCAGGATTAAGAGAAAAACACCACTAAAGTACAAAAAGGAAACATCCCTAGCTAATATCTGTGTGTTGGGTGGAGGCAACTGCTCTCTGATGAAACTAACCTGTTCTAAGAGAACAGTAGATTTGACCTGAGCCCACAGCCCATCTTATACTGTAGTACATAGACCTAATTCTCAACTAGTTTGATAGGAAGGGGGGGAAATAAAATGAAGTTTTCAGTTACCCAAAAGCAGACTGTGAGTGACAGATCTAGAAAGAATTCTTAGCAGCTTCCTACTCTGCCCTGTCCTCTTTTCCTCTTCATCCCAGATGTCAGAAATACTAAGTATGGCTATGCTTCAAAGTCATGCTAATTTCAGCCATTTATGTGCACTGCTTGTCTGCTATGCCATTATTATCATGTAGCACAATTACAATTATGAATACCATTAAAGATGTATCCATTAACTTGCCAATGATTTTATTTTCCACTTTCTGTGGAATAGCTCAGGCAATATGCAGAGTAGTAAATGCATCGCTCTTAAAGGCAAAGACCTCTATTAAAGAAGTCTCAGTTCTTTCATTTAATCATGTGTCATCTTCATAAGTTAATTAACTTATTTTAATTGTAGTTTCCTTATCTGTAAAATGAGGATAATAATAACTTACTAAATTCACAGGGTTGCTGTGGGTATTAGAAAAGATGATATAAGAGATGACAAATATGAGGTTATTGATATTTTGCTCTTGGAGCATGGTGGGCCATTTCTTCTAAAACAAAGAAAAGAAAAGGATATTTCTTATGAATGAGTAGAAAATAGTTGTAAATGTTATCCTGCCTTCTTTTGCCCCCACTATTCACTCACGTTCTATTGAAACTACCTCCAAAGCAGCGAGGATAATGGTGGGGAAAGACTCCAATCCCTCTCTATCCAAATCCAGTTGCCACTGCCAAAAATATGGACTTAGGTTCTGTAAGTGTTGAATGTGTGAACGATGATATTTTCCAAATGATTGTCAGCCAATTCTTAGATGACTAATTGATGTCAACAGGTATATGCTAATCTAAAATAAGGGAAACAGCTTTAGAGCATAGAGTAACAGTTGACTTTGAAATGAGAATATCCTAAAAATAAGCCTTCTTGAAAAGTCTTACGGATGCATTTTATTTATACTGGCAGCGATTTTTAGGATCCAGGTGCTGTTGCCTTTGTTGTTGTTTTAAGAGGGGCTCTACAATGAGGGTGAATATTTTTACAAAATAGAACTTATCTATATAAATTCTAATAACAAAAACCCAAGTCATTCTATTTCATGTATTATTTAACTTTCAGTTTTTGAGAAGGGAATTTCAAAACTTGGTATCTTAGGGGTAATACAAATTTCAAATTTAATCTTGTAAAGACATTTCTGTATATTTCTGAAATAATCAACCCTATTAACATCCACTTAAAGCTCAATTATTCAAGAATGTTATAGATGACTAAGGGTCTTTGGGGAAAAATCAACAAGACTTTAAGTGCTTATTAGCTAAAGCTAAATGATAGTGAAACACCTAGAAAAGCACATGTGTTATCTATCCATGTGAATACTAAATTCATTCCCCATACTAACCCAGCTATGATAAAACACTAGCAAAACATTTCCTATGGCATAAAAAAAGAGACTGAAGATTGAAAACATAAATACTGTTAGCTATCCTATTTGTCAAAGAAAGAAATATCTACAAATATTTACTGAATGTTAACAAAGTATCAAAGGATCATTTAAAATGTTTAAATTATTGAGAAGTGATCATTCTAACAGAATGTGCGCCTATCATATTGCATAAATCATTAATAGTCGTGCTCTTAATAAGCAACTGGACAATTTTAAAGCAAAGAATAAAAGATAAATACCAATTAATCATCAAAATATATATTTAGCACCTATCAATTTCAAGAAATGGTTTTGATGCTCTAAGAGGATTTAGCAAAACAAGTCAGGCTATTTCCCCACTTTGAAAATTCAACCAATTCAGTCTGGGGGGGGAATATAAATATACATACACATATACATATATACATGTATATACATGCACATTTATCTTACAGTATAAAGTTGTGAAAATAGCATCTGACATTTATTGGGTCCTCATTATAGAGCAGGCACTGAACCAAGTACTTTACAGGGATCACCTTATTTAATCTTTACAGAAATCTATGAAGGAAAATCTATTATTATTTTAACTTTACAGATAAAAAAACATTTTATGGATTATAGAAGTCAAATATATAGCTCATAGTCACCTGGCTGGGAACCACAGAGCCAGGATTCAAGTCCAGCCCTGTCAATACCATGCTTTCGGTGTTCTATAAATTCAATGGAGTGGTTCAAACTGTAGGCTTCAGAAGCCAAGTGCCTTGTTGTGAATTGTGGCTTTCCCCATTCCTTGCTAGGTGACCTGGGGCAAATGTTTTACCCCCCAGTAATAGTCACAGGTTTCAGAGAGTTAGAGGTGAGTTTGGAGAAACGAGGCATGGCACGGAAGTGGTGACAGGAGGAACGTAAGTATGCCTGAGGGATACTGGCTGCTGTAAGACAAGATGCTGCATAGCCGTGGAAACTAAACTTGGAATCAGAGAGAAAGCAGATTGTGGTGAGTCTTAAACACAAAAGCAAAGAGTTCTCATCTCATTCTGTAAACAATTGGGAGGCATTAGAATTTGACCATAACAGCTCTAATTCATATGTTCTATATATTTTTTTAATTATTTAGGCCTGAAAATCTACTACCCTCAAACTTTCTAGGTCTGTCTTAACAGATTTAAGTACTTTAACACAATACAAGATACTGATGGTCTTACTATTAATTCCACAAAGTATTAATAATAACTTGGAGGATAATTCAGAATGGATGTTAAAATATCTAGTGAATAAAGTAGTTATTTCAGAAACAATAAAGCATGCACAAGCTTTCTTCACATTTCCTGCTTCCCTCAACCATCAGCAAATGAGATGGAAGGAAAATATCAAAAGATATAAATTGTCAGTATACTCTTACTGAATTGCTTGCTATTCTAAACTACTTGTTTTTAAGCTAGCTAATTTGATTAATTGTCAGTAGACATGTGAAGACAATCTTTGGCAGGCAGCTCAGTATCCTCAGAAATATATTTTCCATGTTATCCTATATATAGCAGTTAGGCAAATACATTTTTACCTCTCTCATGAGACCAGCCTTTGAAAAGTAACTCAATGTATGTAGGCTGTGAGAAAATAAACTCTCTATATTCTCATGGTTTCCACATCACTCAACCTTCAGTGGTCTTTTTTTTTAAGCTATTACAAAATGCTTGTTGTCTCTCTAAATATTGTATGGGATTAATATAATAATAATAATAACATAATATCTCATATAATCTAATATAAGGGATTAAAACTCTTGAACTCCACCTAAGATTTGAAGAAAACATGAATACTACTATAACGTGATCTTTTAAATGTGCAAAGTATTAGACACCATTTGCTAAAGTCATTTCTGAAAAATAATCTTGTCTCACTCTCCATCTAAGTGGCTCAGGAGGTTTTGATTGTTTTTGTTTTGTTTTCTACCGCTTCAGTAAAGCTTAATTATAACTGCAAATCCTCAAAACAGTGAGTTGTGGCAGGTATTACACCTATTACAGATTGACAACGCAATACCCGAAGATGTGTTATGATTTCCACTCTTAGGCAGCGTTAGAATGGCAAGAATCTTGCCTTTCCTTCTTTATGCTCTATCATCTTTCTTCTAAAGTCCCACTACAAAGTTTTAGGGGGAAACTGTCCTAACAATGAATTAACATGCAGTGTCCCACATTTATATTTGGTTTTATAGGGGAGGAAAGTTTCCATAATGAAACCCGCCCTTGGTAGAGATTTTGTGTAAACAAAGCGTTTAACATGTTCATGTACATTTTAGAATCTCCAAGGTGAGGTAATAGTGGAAGCATTTTGTAACTCATTTTATCACAGGATTTTCTTTCATAGGCTACCTGAGAGGACTAGTGTTCCAAGGAATGCACTTTGGAAACTGCTGAGGTGGAGCCCTAGAGGACACATCCATTTTCTCTCATGGATATATAGTAGGCTGACCTGAAGAACACTTGGTTTCCTGAATGGATTATTTTTTGTTAATGTGACCTGTGTAAACCCAAGGAATGATCCCTATCACAGAATGGGATCTTCGGCTTCCAGCTCCTGATTTTTGACACAAAGCCCCAGGCCTGCAGGTCACCTCAGGCCTTTCTCTGACCTGCCTCCTTGCTTGACTGTGTTCTGAAGGAATTCAGGAGCAGAACTGCTGCCATCTGCAGAGACTTTGAATCCAGGCTTGAAGAAGGGACACTGCAGTTGATTCAGAAGAAGGTTTTTCCAGGCATTATCCCAGAATCTGTCTCCCTGGAGATTGAGGGCCTCCCAGCTGAGCAAAGGCTGCAGCAGCACTCCCCTGCTGGATCTTCTGGCAGCCATTTTACTTGGGATTCAGTCCCAGAAAAATAGAAAGGGAGGAGATGTCTTACAAACTGCTTTTTTTTTTTTTTTTTTTTGAGATAGAGTCTCACACTGTCACCTGGGCTGGAGTGCAGTGGCAGGATCTTGGCTCACTGCAACCTCTGCCTCCCAGGTTCAAGCAATTCTCCTGCCTCAGCCTCCTAAGCAGCTGGGATTACAGGTGCATGCCACCACATCTGGCTAATTTTTCGTATTTTTAGTAGAGATTGGGTTTCCCTATGTTGGCCAGGCTGGTCTCGAACTCTTGACCTTGTGATCCGCCCTCCTCGGCCTCCCAAAGTGCTGGGATTACAGGCGAAAGCCACCGCGCCCAGCCACAAACTGTTTCTTTAAAGGGAAGAAAAATCTTGACATCTTAGGTACTTATGAATGAAAAAGGCAATGAGTCATAAAATCTTCTATGTTGCTGCATTTTGCTAGCCGGGTTGCTTTACCAATTTGGCTTTCATTTCCTGAATATTAAAATGAACAAGTATATATATATACTGTTGATTTGCTTCATCTCATGCTGTGAGGATTTAATGAGGTAATAATATCTGTTACAATTTAAATTTATCCTACAATTTTTTGCCTTCAAGCAAGTCACTTAACTTCTCTAGGCCCATCTGAAAAACATGGTAATAGTGTTTTCCCTGAGCTACTTCTTAAATTGGTAGTGAGGAGTTATGAAGATGAATGTTCTTTAAAAACTAAATATAATTGTATGCCTTTCAAGATTTTTTAAAAATCAAAAATTTTTTTAAAGCCAAAGAAACCCCTTCTTTATAGTGTTTATGGGAATAATTTAAGCCATGTTAGCTAATCTTTCATAGAGGTTAGTTCTGTGTCACTTTCAAATGGGAAATAAAGTTTGTAAGGTTAATTTTAATGGACATTTTTGGGTACAATGTGAGCCTTCATCAACTGTTTAAATGAAATAAAAGTGTAAATATGAAAATATAATTGTTGTTTCTTTAAGCTCTCATTTCTTGAGAGCTCTCATCTTTTATTCCCATCAGTTGAACTTATTTTGTTGATATTCATTAGTGAATAAAATTTTGTTGATTTTCGATTCATTACAATACACTTTTTGGTCATGTTTACACAATGTTGGTCATTTATTTATTTACTATACTAAATACTGCACCCTCCGAATTGCCAATTTTTACATGGTATTTCTGGCAGTGGTGGGTGCTCCTCTCTCTGAATACATAAAATGTCCATTCATTTCATGGTTTTCATATTCCTTTGCTATTCTACCTACTGCTTTAAAATACATTCAAATAAAATGATGTAAGTTACTTGCAGTGAGTGCACACATACAACAGCGAGGAGAGCTGAGAACATAATTCACCAATACTCTTGTGTTCAGAGAATAGAGTCTAAAATCACTGGACTGAAGCTTGTCCCTTAGGGACTTTCTCCAAGTATCCTTGGTGGACATAAAGTTTCTTGATTCTTTGCATTTTCTGTTGATTGAAAGCATTTATCTAAAGCTCTTGTGACATGATGGTATTCAGGGTTGTCATATCTTTATACCTGAGTCACTGTATGCCACAGGTTGTGGAACCCAGCGAAAACACACATCTCTCAGTCATGCCTGAAAATATTCCTGGCTATGCCTGTCTAATGCCGCTTCCTGGTTCCTCCATTCCTGCTCGTAGCTGGTTCCTTCTGCTCCTTGGTGCTGCTCTGTGTTCTGACACTCTGGTGGAGCTGCACCTCAGGCCTCAGACTTGACCGGTGCAGGCCCTCCTTTCCTCTGTTTTCCCTGAGCTGTGGCTTGAACTCCACTGTGACTCTGCTAAGGGTTTGACCTTGACACAATTCCAAAATGAGCCAACAGAATTAGATACACCAAACAGACTTGGTGTGGAGGATGGTGGTAGGTGCGGGAAGGGTGACCTCACGGGTCATGGGCATCAGGTAAAGAGAGGTGTATGGCAGCTGTAGCACATTGCCACAAACTTACTGGTTTATGGTACATATGCTTATTATATGACAGTTCTGGAGATAAGAAGTCTGAAATGGGTCTTATGGGGCTAAAGTCAAGGTGTTGGCAGAATTGTATCCTCTTTGGAGGTTCTAAGGGAGTTTTTCCAGCCTCTAGAGGCTGCCCACATTCCTTGAGTCCTGGCTGCATCACAACCCTGCTTCTGTCATCACATTTCCTCTTCTGACTCTCCTACCTCCTCTTTCACTTACAAGAACTCCTGTGATTACATTGGGCTCACCCAGAGAATCCAGGATCATCTCCCCATCTGAAGATCCTCAACTTCAAATCTCTGCAAAGTCCCCTTTGCCATGTGAAAGAACACATTTGCAGGTTCTAGAACATCACTGGGCAGTGTGGAGCATCATTTGGCCAACACAAAAGGCAAAGAACTAAAAGTGGAGAAAGACAAGTCAGGACCCCAGAACCCAACTGTGATGGTTAATATTAAGTGTCAACTTGATTGGATTGAAGGATGCAAAGTATTGTTCCTGGATGTGTCTGTGAGGGTGTTGCCAAAGGAGATTAACATTTGAGTCAGTGGACTGGGAAAAGCAGACCCACCGTCAATCTGGGTGGGGACAATCTATTTAACTGCCAGAGTGGCTGAAATAAAAGTGGGCAGAAGAACATGAAAAGATGAAACTGACTTAGCTTCCCACCCTACATCTTTCTCCAGTGCCGGACGCTTCCTGCCCTAGAACATTGGACTCCAAGTTCCTCAGGTTTGGGACTCGGACTGGCTTCCTTTCTCCTCAGCTTGCAGATGGCCTATTGTGGGACTTTGTGGTCATGTGAGTCAGTACTCCTTAATAAACTCCCTTTTATTTATAAATCCACCCTTTGGATGTCCCTCTAGAGAACCCTAACTAGTACACCAACCAACCCCACAGAGACAGCAGCACTGACACCATTTCAATGAGTTTCTCCTCCTAGAGGCCTCGCTGCTCCTCTCCCAACCCTGCCTGCTCTTTTTTCCACTGAACGGAAACTCTTCTGAAGTTCATCACAAAGATAATGAGCTAATCTCAGTTAATGTACTCTTCAGACAGGGCTATGTGATCACCATGATCACCGAGGCTTTCTATAGAAGAGGATGTCCCACTTTTATTGACCTCGTCAGTTAGTGAGTTAACTATTGAGAATTTGTGGCCAGATAGAAAGGGAGGGAGACCCCACTGGGAAGATGTTTTACTCATCCTCTCAAGTCACTCTCTGCAAGGAGTTGCCTTAACCCACTTCCCCTTCTGCAGGGATGGCTCTTGAGACAGAATTGTTTTTCCTGCTGAGCAGAAAGATACTCCCAGGCCTTTTCTGGTTACAGTTTCCTCTTATGTTCATGAAGAAAACTGTTCATCTTGGTGTCATCTAATGATTTAAGGGTCACCAAAAACGGTAGCCACATTGCTTGAATCAGAATATGGAAAATGAGGCTGTTCCCAGCAACTTTTCACACGCATGAAATGACCCAGCTGTGGAGAGGGACTTACTCTTCCCTAGCAGCCAGCTTCTCTCACATGGCCTCTGGCCACGCTGCTCCCTCTGCATGCAATGCCATTTCACCTGGCTGACATTTTCCCATTTTTGCTTTTGTTTTTGTTTAAGATTCATAGGCATCGCTGTCTCTGAGAAATCTTCCTTAACTGCCCTGTTCTGAGTGCTTGAATTGGATCTCTGATTCTTATTTCTATCCTGGCATTCATCACATTGCTATTTATGTGGAAGCCTTTCACTAGACTGTGAAGTCCCAAGGCGAATCGTGTGCTTCAGTCATTGTGGGATCCTCAGCGGCACTCAATCACGGTTGCGTGAACAGAAAAAGGAGCTCTCCTAGCACTGGCAAGCCACAGCGGTAGAAGATCACGGACATGGGGCAATATACACGATAGCACTGAGAACCTGGGAAGAAAACCCAGGAGAGGAAGGAGAATTCCAACAGTGACAGGAGAAGGGACACAGACCTGGGAGATGACATCATCCATTTATATGTGCCTTGAAATATTTTAATGAGACACTACTCCTTGCCATGTTCTCTGACCTGCACCAAATGCCTGACACACACAGGAGTACTTCATATGTGTTTACTGATTGACTAATTGCCTAGTTCTGGCTCAATATGTCTCAAGAGCCAAGTCAGGGTTATGTAAAATACATCTAAATGTATTTTATGATGATCCTTTTAAAGCATCATCACATAATCAGAACCTTTTAAAGCATCATGACATGTAGAGAAAGGCTCCACATGTACAGTGAGGGGACTCCAGTAGTAGCTGGTGTGCATCAATAATAAAAGTACAAACAAGATGAAACCTTCCTTCAAGCTTGTCATTGTTAACAGAGGAAACAGAAAAATGTATATACAGTAAAAATGATACAACAATATATATTAAGAGTTGGTCTGCCCTTAAGGATAGTGGAGAACATGCCCAATTGTCTTCCTGGGGTCTAGGTCTGACCACAACAAAACTGGATCACAGGAAGAAGAGATAACATGGTTTCCATCCTCACATCCATTAACATCTCCCTCATTGGGTAGCTTAAGAGGATGTTTCAATGTAATCATCCCCCTTATCAGAGGGTAGCCTAATCAGAGCAAGGCTTAGAAATTTTGTGCAATGGACATCACAAGCTGTTACGTTTTTGTAGATATCTCTCCTGCAACTACAGGGAAGCCTGCCTAGGGTGAAGCTAATATGCAAAAGAAGCAGAGCCAAAAAATCACAAAGAAATAGAACAAGAACTTTATTTGAACTACACCTGAAGCCTTCCTATCTCAGTACTTCTCAGTCCTGTCAACCAACATAGGCTACTTATCTTTTATCCAGCTTGAGTTGAGTTTCCGCTGCTTGCTACAAAACATATTTTGATAGGTACTAGAGAAGGATCTATGTCTCCTTCTCATGTGTCCTCTAATTGGCCTCTTGCACAGGAGTGTGTAGGGAATCTTTTGGGGGCACTATACCGTGGAAAGTATTAAGATTACAAATGTTCATAAGAAATAAAATATATGGAAAAAATAGCAATATTGGCATAGAACACCAGACATGAATGCTACTACAATGCAAGAAGGATTATAAAAACAAAATTCAGGTAAAATCTATGAATCATTCTTCTATAAGAATAGTCTAAGGGTTGAGTGTGACCCTGTCTGGTTGTAGATAAAGAACTCAAAGTGCAGTCATATACTTAGTGGGGGGAACAGGAGTATTTAAGAACCAGTGAAGGCTGAATTGTTCCTCTGATCACTCAGTCAGTGATCATTACTGACAGAGTAAATGTGGAATTTTTACTAAAGAATTACTTTTCATTGAAAGCAAATATGATTCACCAGCATAAATACAGAAAAAGAAACAACAGGTGGTGACTACGACTTAAGACATTAAATTTCCATGAGTCAGTGAAGCCAGATGGCATGGATCTGAAAATTCCAAAAAAATTTCAGATCAAAGCATTTTAGATACTAACAATATCGGCAATTTATCATGTAAAACAACTATCAGAGTTAGGGAGTTTGCCAAATATATTCTATGGCACTATTTGGAGAAGCACAAATTGTTCAGGGAGTTCAATTAATTCAATGAAACCTAACAAATTTATTAAACACCAAGTGCAAACCACTGTTCTAGGCACTGGGTACCGGAAGGTGTTTAAGACAAGGTCATGTCCTCCATAATCGATACTTAATTTTCTTATAAAATTTTTTCATTTGAAGGTGAATTAGTTAAGGATCAGCTGCAGATCACGGAAACCATTCTGGCTAGGTTAACAAGGGTAGATCTGGGGGCTTTAAGATTTGTGGAAGCTCTGGGGGCATAAGCCCTAAGCAGAGTGCCCAGGAACAACTTCCAAAACAACAGTCTAGAGTGAGCCTCCGTGGAAGACACTGCTTTTACCACGATAAGGGGGCTGGAGAAGCAAGAGGCTGCTAGCTCCCCAACCACTATGCCAGTTTGTCCACAACCTCTGCCAGCAAAATGAATGCTTCCCACACTGCCTTTCCACACTATAAAGCTAAACACTGGACATTGGAAACTCTACTACAGCTACTGCAGAAGAAACAAACACCCCTAAAGACAAGCTTGCCAGGGGAAACAGCTGAAACAACAGAAGCATGGAATTGGCCACAGGATGTGCACTTCCATCTTCCAAATCTCAGAGAGGCATACATTTGACAAGCAGCTGCAAATGAACCTGGGAAATGCAGATTTTAGCAGTACTGCATCATAGTGCGGTATCGTACATCCAGGCACGCTGAAAGGGAGTGGAGTGGAGGCTGAGGGAAAATCCATAGTCTCTGTCACCAAAGACTAGATTATATTCCTTCCTATTCACAATCTAGTACTTCTCTACCCACCCCAAAGCAGCTCCACTCCTTGCCTCTCTTCCTTATTATCTTCACCATCCACCCAACTGACTACATGGAAGCCTTTGAGTCAGCATCCGCCTTTCCCTGAATTCTATCTCAGATACCACTGCCTTTGTTTAGAGTCTGTTCGCCTTTTAAATAGATTATTACTAAGTTTCTTTACTAGTAATCTAGCAAATTCTTTTCTTTTTTTTTTTTAATAATTTTAAACTGAAACTATTCTAGCTAGGTTAACAAGAGTAGATTTGAGGGCTTCCATGTGCCCTGACTTCCAGAATTGTCTTTCTAAAATCAAAATCTCATCTTGTCACTGCTTTGTATTAATACAAAACCCTCCCCAAGGCTCCCAATTTCCTGCAAAATACCATCTAAGCTTCCTGCCAGGGCAATCAGAATCCTTCCCTATTGGAAATCAGCCTACCTTAACCTCCCCTCCTTCCAGCACCACATCCCTTTTACCTCTGGGGAGTAACTCTGAACTTCTCATTATTCCTCAGATACAACATACCCATCTATAACTGCTTCCCTACGTATGCCTTGGTTTCCATCCTAGATTGTACTTTATCACAGCGAATGAACCTTTTTCATTCTTCACAACCCAGAGTAAATGTTAGTTTCCCAAAGAGAGTTCATATTTCTTTTCCCTTCATGCTGTAACATATTTCTCAGACCACTATTGGGGTGTGTTTCACAGTATATACATTTTTTTCATGCCATGCATCCTCCACTGAGAGTGCCTTTAAGGCACACAGAGTCTCATCCAGAGCCACATACCCTTCCCTCCTAAATCAACCACAGAGGTTGGTGCATTAGAACATTTCAATGAGCATTTGTTGGATGGCCAAATGAAGAACATAAAAAAGCATTCATAAAGAACATTTTAGGCTGGATGCATTAGCTCATGCCTGTAATCCCAGCACTTTGGGAGGCTGAGGTGGGAGGATCACTGAGCCCAGAAGTTTGAGACCAGCGTAGGCACTATAGAAAGACCCTGTCTCTACAAACTTTTTTATTAAAAAGTTAGCAGGGCATGATGATATAAACCTGCAGTCCTAGAGATTGAGGTGGGAGGATCGCTTGAGCTCAAGAGTTCAAGCTATGATCACACCATTGCATTCCAGCCTGGGCAACAGAGTGACATCCTGTCTGGGTGGGGGATGGGGAGGGGGACATTTTAAAATAAAAGAGAACTCAAAGACTTAAAAATATAAGAACCTGGCCAGACGCGGTGGCTTACACCTGTAATCCCAGCACTTTGGGAGGCGAAGGAGGGGCGGATCACAAGGTCAGGAGGTAGAGAACATCCTGGCTAAACATGGTGAAACCTCGTCTTTATTAAAAATACAAAAAATTAGCTGGGCTTGGTGGCTGGCACCTGTAGTCCCAGCTACTTGGGAGGCTGAGGAAGGAGAATGGCGTGAACCCGGAAGGCGGAGCTTGCAGTGAGCAGAGATTGCGTCACTGCACTCCAGCCTGGGCGACAGGGCAAGACACCATTTCAAAAAAAAAAAAAAAAAAAAATATATATATATATATATATATATATATATATATGAACCTATTTGGTAAAATAATATTCTTCTTCTCTTACCTAACTCCAAGAGAAAAAAGATGTTAGGGGAACAGGTATAGCATTCTTTTTAAGAGCTGTTCAGTCTCTAAAAAATGTAAACTTGGCAGCTTGACTTGAAACAGTCAAGATGAGCATACACGTGCTCATTGGCACTCTACCCAGAGTGAGCCAGCAAAATCACAGACTCCCATATAGGGTTTTTCTTAGACTATGTATATATTTCAATTATAGTAGCTGGATGGCTCTAGGGAAAGCTATTGACTATCATGTAAAACCCAACAGAAAAGAATCTGCTTGATTCCAGAGGGAACGTGCTAAGTCAAAGAACAACTAGCCTCCTTTTTGCTGTATTAATTCAAATAATTGTGAGGAAATTATTAGCTACAAATGCAACAAGGAGGGCCATAGGCTTAGATTTGGTCCCAAAAGGAAAAAAGTAGAGATGTTTGATTTATGTCATTCTTATGTTTTAGAGCATAGTTTCCCAAAATGTATGCTAGGGAATACTAGCTAGAGGGTGTGTGGTTGAAAGAGTCTGGTGAGCACACCATATTGTCTTCTCAGAACATCACAAAGATCACTGGCATAGCAAGCCTCTGAGAAATTCTATTAAATGTTGTTTTAAACAGGATTCTGAAACATGTGGCTTCTCTTGTATTCATTTAACCACTATTAACATCCAGCAGAACTAATGCTCATTACTAATGTAGGAAATGGAGAGAAACAGAAAGGTTTTTTTTTTTAACAGAAAGTTAAAGTTTGTGGTATTGTTATTGGAATGAAAGTTTAGACTGAAGTAACCCTCCAATTATAAAGAAGAATGAGGAACAAAACAAACCATAGAATGCTTAGAAGGATGATCCCTCCCTATCGTGGGTTGAATGGTGGCCCCCCAAAAGATATGTCCAGGTCCTAATCCCTGGACTCTGTGAATACAACCGTGAATGGTGAAAGTGAATACTACCTTGCATGGCAAAAGACATGAGTAAGTTAGAGAACTTAGAGGAGGAGCTTACCCTGGATTATTCAACTGGGCCCTAAATATAATCACATATCCTCACAAGACAGGCACATAGAGAAGATGATGTAAAGACAGAGGCAGAGATTAGAATACTGGGGTAGGCACCAGAAGCTGGAAGAGTCCAGAAAGGGATTCTTTCTTAGAGCCCCTGGAGGGAATGTGCCCTGTCAACATTTTGGTTTCAGACTTCAGGCCTTCAGAACTGTGAGAGAATAAATTTCTGTTGTTTTAAGCCACCAAGTCTGTGGCAATTTGTTCCAGCAGGCTACAGGAAAGTAATACACTCCAGTCAAGCAACTCTCTGACTGAGGCACTAAGCAATGTCGCCCAGCTCCACGATGTTCGCAAAGGTAAGGGATGAGCTCGCCACTTCCACCTCTGGCATCCCAATTTTGTTTAATAACCTGCTATAGTCCTTCTTGAACCTATTTATATATAATAGCCCATATAATACCTTGAGGCAATGAGTTTCATAAATTTACTACTCACTGTGAATAGCATCTTGGTGTATGGGCTTTTTTATGGCGCAGTGCATTTTCATGATGAATCCATTTGTCCCTTTTTTCAACTTTTGCTTAATGCTTCTATCATTAGCTTAAATAAATGTGGGAGACAATTGAACTCCACTAAATAGGACAAAGGTCAGAGAGGAGAGCTTGAAGCAGTTAGACCATATTCATGAGCCACATAAAAGGCAGCTCTTTCTGAAGTTGAAGGCTTTTGTGGAAAGGGCCCTGTTTTAGAGTGCTGAGATTCAAACTGGACGACATGTCGGAGGATGACCTTGCAGGCAAATATTCATCTTGGGAGCATTTCAAGAAAAGATGACCCAGAGGCAAAAATCAGAGTCATAGAAATTACACTCAGCACAGGGATCCACTTCCGTGGTATAAAAGAAAACATTTTCTTTTGGTTTTTAAGAGTAAAATGACCATATCCTTAGATTAACATTATTGCCTAAACCCTGATGAGATTGGTAGAGGAAGGGTCTTAAAGACGATACCCATAAATATGTGTGATGGCTCATTTTGACATGTGTGTTCTACCTGCCACCAAAAGCGTCCAATTTATGAAGAGAAAAAATTAATTTAATGAAAGAATTGAAATTCAGAGTCAACATGTTTAGGTGCCAAATAGGTATTATAAAGTAAGGCATATAAAACTTTGGTTACTCAGTATTAGTTAAACCTTACTTAAGAATCTTGGACATTTATCCATAAACTTTAATGTGTATGAAAATCTAGGCAGTAGGTTATAAGTGGAGGTACCTTGGTACCCCCAGTTTTTCTGATTCAGTATGTGCAGAGAAAGTATGGGTGATGAGGAGGGTGATATGTATTGAGAAAAGTTTTAAGTTGTGTGTACATGTGTGTATTAAATTCTCATAGTGTAGTGGCCAGTTCCCTCCTACCCTCCTACCCTCCTATACATGCTACAGTGTGAACTAGGGTTAAGAAGGGAAAAAAGAATACATAGAATGAGAGAGACAGAAAGAGAGAGAGAGGGAGAAATTCAAATCTCTGGTACCAATAGATAGAGTTGTTAAAAGTATTAAATACATTCATGTGTTCAACCTATCATCTTAATCATTTTAAAAACAATTATATTACAAATTCAAATGCATCTCTTTTACAAATCTTTATACTCTTGAAAGAGATTTACGGACTCAAAAAAAGGTAACGTTAACATTTAGTGAGGACTTGCTGTGTGCCAACACTGTCCCAAGTGCTTAATGCACAGTAACACATTTAATTTTCACAATGCTGTGAGGCAGATGCCATGTTTATCCTTCTTTTACAGATGAAGAAACAGAGGCCAGATTTTGATCAAGTCCCCAAGGTCACACTGCTAGTGAGCTGCAGAACAGGTATCTGAACTCAAGCAGCCTGTCCTGGAAACTTAATAGTCAACCATATCGCATTTTTTAAACATTTGCTTTCCATCACTTCATTTATTGAATTTTAAACCTTGGCATAGGATTTTGCTGTTAAAAGAATTCTACACAGCTATTTTATTTCTCTGTATTATTTTAAGCCGCATTCTAGATGGATGAACTTGGAATTAGGACATTGATTCTCTCCTTTTTGACCTGCCAAGGTTGGATCACTAAATAGCACTGTTTTGAAACTCTAGAAGAGGACAGTTGTCACATTTTCTACAATAGAGCCCTCTAGGCCAAAGACACCCTCATTCCATGTAAGGTGGTAGATGGCCAGGGTACATTCTGGAGTGCTGCAATTTCATTTTCCCAGGTTATTTTAATAATTCCCTACAAAACAGAGCCCCAAGAAATCTCTTCTCACACTTAAAACAGCATGAGCTTCAAACTGCATGGTTATAAATATCTTTAAGACCACCCATTCTTTTCATTAGCAAGAAGGATAATATCTCTATTACAGCTGCAGGAACACACCCATGTTATGCTGTCTTTCACAGAATTACTGATATAACTCCTGGATTTTCTTTTCTTTTTTTTTTTTTCTGATTTTCCCCTCACTTTTAAACTTACATCACCTTCCTGAAGTCTTTCTTTTCACACTGGCCTAGTGCAAAAAAGTGATCTCATTTTAACGATAATAAAAATACTGCCCTTCACCAACGCAAAACTGATGCATGTTGATTATGACGCACCTGTCCCCTTCTGGATCTTTCTGTTTTATCTTCTCTAGGATCATTCTCTATTTTAAAGCTACTGTTGGGCCTCTTTCTCTTTTTGCTCCTTATCAGGATTTTTAATACAGATTCCACAAGTATCACACTACTTGAAAAATAGCTATCTAACTTCTTTTGGGATGAGGACTCCACATCTTCAGGAGGCATCTAATACTTCCCAAAATGAGGGCACTGACTGCTTCTTGGTGGTACCAAGTCTCAACCAAGAAAAACAGCAGATCATCCAATGCCTCCAATAAACAGATGACTCCCTTTCTATATGGAAGAGTATCCAGGTGGGAATAAGAAGAGCTTAGATGTCCTCAAAGCCTTTATGATTTAATCAGGAGGGAAAGTAATTCAGAGGAAATATGTTACAGAGCCAACTACATGTCAGAAGATAAAGTCCTACCCCCTTAGTCTTCATACGAGCCCTTCGGGCTATAAGTCTCCAGGGCCTCTGAATCCTCCTCCAACCACTCTAAATCCGAGTCCTGCATTCTGGCCACTCTGGGTGAAGAGCCCTTACCTAACCTAACGTTTAAAGACCCTTCCTGCTCCTACACCTTTGTTTTGGTACTTCCCTGCACCTAGAAGGCCACTTCCTCTCTCCTTGTTATCTGGCAAGCTCCTTCTTCCCACTTCAAATTCAGCTGTCGCTTCCTCTCATAAGTCACCCTTATTTACCCGTGCAGTTCCACATGTTTGAACATTTATCACATTGCTCTCATGACATCCACATCCTTTCTTCCACCAGGCTGTGAGAAACCGGGGGACAGGCAGAGACTATGCTCTTATTGTCTCCATCACTTAGCTGTGGAATCCGATATCTACTAGGTGTTTAGTAAAGGTTAGTGTCTTGAGTAGCCAGAAGCACAGTAGAGTAATTATGTATGATGTTCCAAATCTGGGTTCACATCCCAGCCCTGGTAATCCCTATGTGGGTGACCTTAATAAACTTACTTAACTTCCTTAAGCTTCAGTTTCTCTTCTATAAAATAAATATAATATCTACCTCAGAAGATTGTTGCTATGATAAAAAATAATATGTGAAGGAATGCAGTAAGACTTGGAAAATGGTAGTTATTAATATTGTCCTATTGTTAAAGAACAGCTTAAAGATAATAGGGTAAAATTTCATATATTTATGTGGAGGATATAATGAATAGAAAGGGGATGAGTCAGAGGTAGGTAAACCACAGCAGAATTTCTGGAGGAAGGCAATTTTAAAATTTAAAAATTGTAATGCAAATGCAACTTATAGCAGAGGCAAAAAATATACACAGCAGAAATAATGACACCAGGAGTAGACAAATAACACTGAAGCATGTTGAAAGAGGTGTCAAAATAATGGGATGTTGAGAGAGAACGGTGGGAGATGTTGAGCAGAGTCAATAAGATGGGACATGGACCCCTGGGGAAGCTCTCAAGTCATAGAATGAGGTGACTGTTGAAGATTTTTCATGCAGTTATATGTAGGATCTTTTGAAGCAGGAAGAGATTTGAAGGCAGGGAGAATAAATAAGAAAGACTGCAGTAATCCCAGGAACTCCATGTAGATAACTGTAAGGCTGTCCCTTACAAATGCTAATGTATTCATGCTAAATGAGTCCACTTTGGAATGTGAGGAGGCGGGAGGCAGAGGAAAGTGTTTATTAACCCTTGTTGACGAAAGCCACTCACTTATTGACTCTGAAGTTGAAGCAACCTGAAAAACAGCTTTATTTGAGAATGTCCAGAATTGAGTTAATGGCCAATCCCAAAGGGGAGAAGAGTAAGCACTTTTCAAGCATGTGCTGATCAAGACTTTTGCATATCTGAGCTCCTGCACTTCAAAGAGGACTTCCTGCTGGGTTTGCTTACTGCTTTAACTAAGTCCTTGAATTTAAGGACAGGAGATATTCTTGTAAGTGGAGAATTTTGAATAGTCAGATGTTGACCAATAGAGTTGCTCTTCCTGTTGGAAAATGATGCAGCTGGAGTGTTATTAATTGATCAAACTACTCCCCCACCTGGACTCCCAAGTGACTTTTCCCTGGTAGTTGTAAATGGGCAGGTATCAGAATTCAATTGTGAAGTGCCTTATGGTTATCCTGAAAGATTGGGATGCAAAGTCAAAAGTCCCCTCACCAAGAGGTCAGGTCACTAAGGTTAGGGTGCCCAGAACTGCATAATAAGTGTCAGAATACTGCCAGTAAGACTGCAAGGCAGAGTGTGGAATTGGAAGAACCCATGGTGAGGTATAGCAAGATGATAAATAGGCTTATCTTCCAGGGTTAAAGAAACAGCACCATGGAATCTGGTGAACCCAAATTGTGTTTGGAAACACAATTTTAAATTCAGTTGTCTTAGTAAGAATTGGATATATTTCAGAGCAAGAAAAGTGTACTTTTCTTCATCTAAGTACCAACATGTTAATTGTATTGTTTGTTGCATATAGTCATGACCTAACCCACCAGTGCCATTTTCCCCATATTGTGCTTAGCAATGATTATATTTGTTAGAAATTGGATCTGAAAAGTGATGACATTAGGATCCAAGTGCCAACAATTTCCTAGCATTGTATTTCAAATATTTGCAGAGACCAAAATGAGGAATTAATTACCTTACAATATTATCTTTAAACATTCATAAAATTTATTTAAAATCAGTTTTGTCTTAAGTTTTAAGTTTCCTCTACCTTTCTTTCAGAATTATTTGGAGAAAAAATATTCTAATGTTAAACATATTTGATTTTATGTCATTTTATATATTGCAAGTTGCAGTAGCATTAGCATATCAATAGATTTCACAAAGACAGTTTAGAATCACTCATTGATGAAATAACCAAATGGAAGTTCACAATACAAAGTACTACACAAATACCACATTTTCCTTTTAAAATACACTGAGTCAAAGGGAGCTATTATTATGAAAACCTTACATTTTAGGATGGTTTTTAGCTTTTTTAATATATATTATCCCATTTGATGCCCACTAGATACACTATATAAATAATGAAGTTGTGTGAAATGTTTTTGGTATTAAATGGCACTTGGCCAAATTAAAGACAATGAACCGTATTTCCATTTTTGGCATGTGATTTCAATTAATTCTGATAAGATTATACATTTCATTCCATGTGCACTGTATAAAAAATGAATTCATATGAGCTAATGTTATTAAAGTGTTTTGTTTGGCTCCTCCTGTCTCTGGAATGTACCAGGCAGCATGCAGAATATTGCAAGTTTGCATAAACAGAATGGCAGTATAATAGTCGAGTTGTATTTCTGTTGTCTTTTCAAGATATACCACAGCAGGACTAATGCCAATATATCTCAGCTTGAGCAAGATCCAATTTTCTCCTCTAAAATAAAAAGTCACTCCCAAGATTTAGACTTTCATTTTATAAAATTATTCCCTTAAAAATACACAAGATATGCCAAGACTGTAAAAAACAAAGACAAAAGCAAAAATGTGTATCTCCAGACACAATTTTTGCCCTATTAGGAAATGATATTTCATTAATCACTGCTTCACTGTACATTCTAATGTGTATGTGACTTTAAGGGTAATATATTGAGTACTGAGAGTTGCATGAGATGATTAACTTGATATTTTCACCACAAGGAGAAAAACCTTCATTTGTAAGGACAAATTAATACCTGATCAGATAGACCTAAAGCTGATGTTTCTAATTTAACAGTCTCTTCTCCAAATGACTTGGAAGAGTCCTAAAACCTGGGCTGTTATCCTAAGAAACATGTTTAAAATACTTGCCTTTAGCCAGACTCTGAAGTTTTTTTGGAGTAAAACCAGACATTTGATATGTCCCCTTGTTTTGTCTCAAAAGCTCCTGGGGTCAGATGTCACCAGTCATAATGCTTAATTCACTTGGGATAATATGCTACCAAGACATTCATCATGATTATACTGCTTAACCCAAATTAGTCAAAAGATTTAAAATCTTATCATTTTGCTGGAAGTTTATGAATTTTTTTTTCAGTTTTAAAGAGTCTAACTCAATTGTATCAATACATTAAATATTCCCCTAAACTCATATTTAATCTTGTATACATTCAAATTATTTCATCTTCCTAAAATAAATTCCTGACTCTTCACCTAAGCAAATCTTAACAACCTGTAAAATACCCATTCCTTTTGGAAATCTAACCTAACTATTCACTTCTATTTAAAATATTGCATGTGGCTGGGCACGTTGGCTCACGCCTGTAATCCCAGCCCTTTGGGAGGCTGAGGCAGGAGGGTTGTTTCAGCCCTGGGGTTAAAGTTTGGGCAACTTTGCAAGAACTCTTGACTCTACCATATACATATACATATATGTGTGTATATATATATATATGTTAGCCCAGTGCAGTGGTGCATGCCCATAATTCCAGCTACTTGGGAAGGCTGAGGCAGGAGGATTGTTTGGGCCCAGGAGGTTGAAGCTGCAGGGAGCCATGATTGCAACAGAGTGAGACCCTGTCTCAAATATATATATATATATATATATATATATATATATATATATAGTATCTCCACTTCTTTGTATCTGCACTTTCTAAGGACTTAAGAAAAATAAAATCATAGCTTTTCCAATGCAATGTAATAGTTAGCTCAGACCCTCTCTTACTGCCATTAACCCAATATGAAAACTAGAGTGGGACATAATTATAAATATGTTGCATGTATCTTATACTGCACTGTATTAGGCCATTATTGCATTGCATTTATATAAATAAATTCTTGAGACTGGGTAATTTATAAAGAAAAGAGGTTTAATTGGCTCATGGTTCTGCAGGCTTTACAGGAATCTTGGGGCTAGCATCTGCTCGGCTTCTGGGGACGCATCAGGAAGCTTATAATCATGCTGAAAGACAAAGCGGGAGTAGGCACATCACACGGCCAAAGTAGAAGCAAGAGATGGGAGGGGTGCCACCTTGAAATGGCCAGATCTCCTGTGAACTCACACAGCAAGCTCACGTATCACCAAGGAGGTGGCCTAAGTCATTAATGAGGGATCCACCCGCATGATCCAAACACCTCCTACCAGGCCCCACCTCCAACACTGGGGATTGCATTTCAACAAGAGATTTGGGCAGGGACAAATATCCAAACTACATCATATACTAATTATATTTCACTAGTTTATGTATATTTCAGATGTGTTAGTCACGTTTCCCCAACCGGATCTTAAGCTCATTACAGAGAATAAGGAAAAAAAAAAAAAACAATATTAACTGACGTGTTGTAAGCAATGGAATATGTTAGAGACTTTATATACACTATCCTAAGCAATCATTTAGTATTGAAGTTCAAAATCTTACACGTCTTGTATGACCTCCAAAATGCAGGGTACAGTTGATGTTCAACAGATGCTTCCTCATTTGAAAAACAGTATTTAAAGTCATTTTCTTCCATAGACGTTATTATTGCTAGTTAATTCTGTTAGCCATTAGTAAAGCGCTTTCCTTCTAAGATTAGCCAATTTTCACATTCATGAAAATTTTAGTCTCATTTTTATAAATGCCAATAATTCAGAGAAAGTATCTTGCAGTAACACAATAACTTTAATTAATGTGTTTTGTAAAGTCTTTCACTCTTCTATCTATTATTTCTGGGACTTAATATGGAAGGATAAGTTTACAGTAAATTCTCAGTCCAATTATTAAGTTATGGACTCTGGACTAAAAATGCTAGGCTCAGATTCTCGCTCTACCAATTTGAGCATGTTATTTAAACTTCAGCGCTCTCTCTGCTCACTGCAACCTTCGCCTCTTGGGTTCAAGCGATTCTCCTGCCTCAGGCTCCTGAGTAGCTGGGATTACAATTGCCCGCCACCACGCCTGGCTAATTTTTGTACTTTTAGTGGAGATGGGTTTTCGCCATGTTGGCCAGGCTGGTCTCGAACTCCTGAACTCAGGTGATCTGGCCTACTTGGCCTCCCAAAGTGCTGGGATTACAGGCATGAGCCACAGCACCTGGCCATTATTTAAACTTTCTAAAGCCCAGTTCCCTTATCTAAAAAGTGGAGATGTATATACCTCAGAGCTATGTGTGAGGATTAAATAAGATAATGTTTAAAAAATACCTGGCCCTTAATAAGCACTCAGTAAATATATTAGCTGTTATTTTATGATTACTTCATTTATAATTTGGTCTTCTTTGTATCTCCACTTTCTAAGGACTTAAGAAAAATAAAATCATAGCCTTTCCAATGCAGTGCAATCTAATGGATAGCTCAGACCCTCTCTTTACTGCCATTAACTCGATATAAAAACTAGAGTGGGACATAGTTTATCAGACCAAAGACCACACTTATGTATGCCAACTTTTTCCATACTTCACCTTGTCCCTCTTCTCTAGGGTCACCCTTTCTCACACTTGGTGCTCCATGGTCCAATGGCTCATGGTCCCAGTCATCCTCCTCACTTTTATTGCTAAAGAGGATCCTGCCAGTGTTACCCTAGTTTCTTCCCATCCCCTACCATCTGATGGGAATCCTCCTTTACCCGATAGGTTCTTCTGAACCTCTGTCATGCAAGTTCAGTAGGAAAATGGTAGGAAGTGGGGAAAAACAGAGTTCAGACTGGGTCAGAGGAAGGAGCTCTAAGGGAGTTTTGGAAGTAAGAAGCATGGATACAATTGCTTTGTGCAAAACAAGAGCAGAAAGGGAATTAAAAGGTAATGAATGCTGTGGGTCTGAGTTCTCTTTGTGGTATTCTAAAAACAGAAAGAGTAAAGCATTCTTATTATTTTGAAATAGGTTTTTAGTTTCTGAGTTTTTCTTTAACTGTGGTACATTCTGAGACTAGACACGTCGCTCATGAAGTTATAACTATCACCCAAGTAAAGCACATGACTAAAATTTATTAAAAATACAAAAATTAACCTGGTGTGGTGGCAGGCACCTGTGGTTCCGCTACTTGGGAGGCTGAGGCAGAAGAATCACTTGAGCCCAGGAGGCGGAGGTTGCGGTGAGCTGAGGTCACACCACTGCACTACAGCCTGGGAGAGAGAGTGAGACCCTGTCTCAAAACAAAACAAAAAAAAAAAAAAAGAAGGAAATTTGGGGATACAAACAGTTGTAGTCATAAAATAGGTTGCTCAAATTGGCTACATAACTTTAAGCCCTGGGCTCCATCAAGCAATGATCAATAAGTCCATTCAACCAGCTGTAAATAGCTGCATTCAATAAGTCACATTACTTTTTAGTACTTTTTATTTTTCTGAAAAAATCAAAAATACTTAAGATTTATTTCCTTACTTCATATTGTAGCCCACATATTTCTGCTTCTGTCTTCAGGATGATCTGTAAATCCATAGGCACTTTTGGGAAAGTAGTATTTTTCCACAGCAATCATTATTAGCCTTTTGAGTCTTGAGAGAATTAATGATCCCTAAGAAACAAACAGAGGGTATAGATGCCTTATTATCTTAAGAGAATTCTAAACTGCTCTTCTTCCCTTTTTCCTTCCAGTGTTTTCTCCACCAGTAGTCAAGTTATCTTCCTAAATGCATATTTGATTGTTGTGCCTCTGTTTAAAACCTCTGTTTTCCAAGTCTTTGCTATTGCGAATAGTGCCTCAATCAAAGTTAAAGGTTGCAGCACACCAACATGGGACATGTATACATATGTAACAAAGCTGCACGTTGTGCACATGTACCCTAGAACTTAAAGTATAATAAAAAAATTAATTAAAAGAAAACCTCTGTTTTCCTCTTAATACCTGTAGAATAAAATCCCATTTCCAGAGATGGCCCTTCCCATCTGAGCCCTATCAAGGCTGCCCCAGAATATGTCGTCTTGACATACTGAGTATTTTAACCCAAAATAATCTGAGAAAACTGCAGAAGCAGGAAGGTTTCTCTGTGATGTTTTTATACCCTTCTCCCCTAAAACAAGCCACAAAACCTAGAAAGGATTTTCTGACCTTCCTCTAAAGCCATCATGAGACCGTCATGTGAGAGGTGCCCATCCTATTCCCTGAGGAAAGGAATGTTCTCATCTCTGAAGACACAGGGACACAAAGAAGGATCTGAACAAATAGACTTTGCTAAGTTCTCCCCAGCATATTACCATCACATCATACCCTGATTTGTCCCATCATACTTCTCCACAACAATTCACTTCTTCATCAAACCTTGCAAAATATACAACTCTAAATGTTTTTCTGGGTCTTCACTTCCTTATGAAGGCTCCTATTTCACAGAAACCTTATACTAAAAATATTTGAATATTTTTCTTCTGTTAATCTGTCTATATTAGTTTGTTTTCACACTGCTATAAAGAATATTATCTGAGATTGGGTAATTATAGAGGAAAGAGGTTTAATTGACTCACACATCCACAGACTTAACAGGAAGCCTGGCTAGGAGGCCTCAGGAAACTTACAATCTTTTAGGAAGGTGAAGGGGAAGCAAGCATTTCTTACACGGCAGCAGGCAAGAGAGAAGACAGCAGGGGAAACTGTCATTTATAAAACCATCAGATCTCATGATAAGTCACTACGATGGGAACAGCATGGGGGAAACGGCCCCCATGATCCAGTCATTTCCCTCCCTCAACACATGGGGATTACAATTCCAGATGCGATTTGGGTGGGGACACAGAGCCAAACCATATCACTGTCTTTGTCAGTTTATTTTCACACAATTCCAGAGTCTGTGTGAGGGTTAAGGAGAATCGTCCTCCTCTGCAGCCCCAACCTGCTTCTTCAACCACTCCTTTCTAACACTGCCTGCAGTGGGCTGTCAAAGCTCTTCCTACTGCAGATAAAGTGAAGACACTTTATCCATTGCCTTCACAACCAAGTAGTTTCTTCTTCTCTGTGTTCCTATGAATTTATGTTACTATAAAACAGATGCTCTTGTGTATGCTGTTTGCTCTTTCTAGAACATTTTTCCCTACAAAAACCCATAGCACTAACTAAATGCTGCATAACCCAGTTCAAATGCTGCCTCTTAGTTGTGTGTTTGTTTGTTTTTTTGTTTGTTTGTTTTTTGACTTCTCCAGGCAGTATTAGTGAATTAGTGAATTAACAGAAAGCATGGCTAGAAGGCCTCAGGAAACTTACAATCATGGCAGAAGTTGAAGGGGAAGCAAGCACGTCGTACATGGCGGCAGGCAAAAGAGAAGAGGGCAGGGGAAACTTCCATTTATAAAACCATTAGATCTCATGATAACTCGCTATCATGAGAACAGCATGGGGGAAACTTCCCCCATGAGCCAATCATTTCCCTCCATATAAAAATATATGTATATATGTCTATACCTTTTTATTACCACCTTTAACTGTGACAAAAACTGAGGATAAAATCCTTATTAGCCTTATTTTACATATAATAAGTTGAGGGCCATAGAACCTAAAGGACTTGCTTAAAGGCAGAACTGGCAAATTTGACATCATTGCCCTCACAGCCAAGCAGCTGCTCCTCCTCTGTGCTCCTATAAATTTCTGATCTTCTCTCCATTGCAGTCTTTAGCAAGTAGTATTGAATATATTTGTCTGTATCTACCTCCTCTGTAGTTCTAGCTGTAGGTCTAACTAAAACCTCCATAGCCCCAGAACTAGATATGGGTCTTGGTATTCAAATATTTTCTGAACAAATGAAGCAATCAATCAATGAAAAACCTACTACTTTAAGAAGGAAAGAGAACATGAGCTAACCATTTAATGAGCACTTACACTATTTTTTAACTTTTAGGATCACAGCTACACGTGCAGGTTTGTCATGTAGGTGAATTGTGTGTCATGGGGGTTTGGTGTATAGAATATTTTGCCACCCAGGTAA
This sequence comes from Homo sapiens, assembly GCF_000001405.40. NCBI lineage: Eukaryota > Metazoa > Chordata > Mammalia > Primates > Hominidae > Homo > Homo sapiens. The sequence goes on along the minus strand of NC_000021.9, from coordinate 15,234,494 downwards.
TCAGCATAGTACTCAACAGGGAGTTTGTCAGTCCTCACCCTCTTCTCTCGTTCCACCCTCAAGTTGACCCCTGGTGTCTGTCGTTCCCTTCTTTGTGCCCATATGTACTCAATGTCTAGGTGCCCGTAAGTGAGAATATGTGGTATTCGGTTTTCTGTTCCTGTGTTAGTTCACTAAGGATAATGCCCTCTAGCTCCATATATGTTGCTGCAAAGAACATGTTCTCATTCTTTTTATGGCTGCATAGTATTCCATGGTGTATATGTACCACATTTTCTATATCCAGTCTACCATGGATGGGCATGTAGCTTGATTCCATGTCTTTGCTACTATCAACAGTAATGAGCACTTACACATTTACCAGATATTGTGCTACATTCTACAAAGCTCATTCAGCATTATTGAAAGAGATTTTTCAAAACTGCCTAAGATTACATAAAATATAGCATAAATTTATGAGGCTTTAACCAAATACAGTACATCTAAATATTCAGGAATTGGATACTTGCTGAAGACTTAATATGCAAATTGTTGAAGATGTATTTCTTATGTATCGATAAAGAAAAAAAATAACTGGAGGCCAACCTAGAATTGCAGTCAATTTGTTCTCTTTACACAGATGTAAACCCAGCAGTCTCTGAATTTCTGTATTCATGCACATGGAGAGTAACAATCTCCCTGTTCTGCTGTGTGCTCTGTTTTATTTTAGGCTCTTTTGGTTTCAAGTAGCAGAACAGCTCAACTCAGCTTAAGCAAAAGAAAGATTTCATTATAAGAATTCAGGTGAACCTCACAAATCCAATGCCTCTAAAGAAACTGGAATCAGTAATAAAAGCTGTTAGGAACCCAGAGCAGGCTTGCAGTCTCTCTCTCCCCCTCCCCTCCACCCCCATGATTTCTTGTCTCTTTGTTTCTCTTCTCTTGTTTCTGTCATTCTTCATTGTCATTTCTCTGCCTCTTTCCAAATAATGGATGATGGGTGGCTTGTCCAGCATCCACAGACATTTTACATGTTGCTCATCTCCAGCCATTTTTAGAAACTAGATGACTCTGAGTATCGGTTCTTTGAGAGAGAATTTGACTGACTCAGAGTGGTCAAGTGTCCATCTTGGACCAATCAATAGTAGTCAAAGTGGCAAAGGTCTTGCAACAAAATAAATAAATAAAGGAACAAATGGAGACATTCAGGGGTGAATTTCTCATAGAAAGGAGGTGAGTGTCAATTGAGCAGATACTTAAATAATTTTATATTCCATACATGTTCTTTTCCAAAATTGTTCTTATACAAAAAACATATTTAAAAAATTTATAAGTTACCATTTTATTAGGTACTTAAAATATGCAATATTGAGCAGAGTCAATTTCTGAATGAGTCTGTAGTAGATTCAATCCTGAAAACTTAGACCACTATTTTTCAGCCACTATAAAATCATTAGGGATGATTGAATCAACACCTTATTTGGTCATTATGTAATTTTCTCCACTTTCCCAGATAGATTGACGTTCTCAGTTCAATGTAACTAGAACTAAAGAAAATCTGCCGAAGAAATGTTTTTTCTTAATATATTATAATCATGTTTGTGTCATAACAGAGTGGCTAAATGAAAGGGACATACTCAAATCACTACAGGACCAAATTAGCAAATTGAATAGTTTTGGTGTGTTCACAGAATAACAGATTAAACCACGTAACCTCAAGAGAGGCAGCTCCAATACACAGAAATGCCACATAGGAAGAGCCTCTGATCTAAGGACATAGCTTCTGTCCTACCCCATGGATGAAGGGGTAGGACAGAAATCATTCACCCCAATTTTTTCTTAGTTTTTCCTAGTTCAAAAATAATCCTCCAGCCTTTAACAACAGAAATAATCATTACATTGAACCTTGTTGTTGTTGGGGTTTTTTATTTTATTATTTTTGAATCTTGTTTTTAATGTAAATAAATTAGTAAAAATGAAATTATTCTCAGATTGTCATATCCAGTTTTCTTAAAAAAAAAAACTACCCCTTGAAAGTAGCTCACTACTTTCGAGCTAGGCAATAAACTGAGTGCACACATCCATCTCTTCCTCCTGTCCTGCCATTGAAGTGACAGTAAGCATGTTTAAAAGGGAATAAATTATAACAGCATTGTAAAAGGAGGTAATAGGCAGGGGCATAAGAAGAAAAAGTAAAAAGATGGGAAGACATGAAATGTATGTTCAGGGTGGAGGAAGCCATAGCCCTAACAGAATATTCATTGAAAGATGCAGCAATTCAGAAAGGACCCCTTCTGCTGGTGAAGATCTGTAGAAACTCCAACCTGAGAACGAGCAGATTAGAGAACAGGAATGGGCTATAAAACTGTGTCAGTCAGGGTTTAATCAGGAAAACAAATGTCTTTATAGATATTCCAAACTGAAATAAATCACTACAAAGGGTTTATTATCCTAAAGATGTAAGCAACTGGCTACTGCCAATAGCTGAAGTTGGTGATTCAAATGCAGAGGTTACCATTAGCAGTAAGGTTCTACCACTCCTGGGACTAGAGGGACTAAAGGACAAGGTAGGGTTTCCAGGTCCTGAAGCTATAGTGCAATCGCCTGATGGGTTCATCTTGCCTGCTGCCCAGAAAAGTTAATGTACTGAGAAAGCAGGTGTTTTCAGCAAATAAAGAGTTAAATAATCACAGGGCTGGCCAAGTAGAAGGACTGGAGTTAATTCTCAACTCCATCTCAATGAGAACTCAGAGGCTAGAGCAGGGGTGTTCAATCTTTTGGCTCCCTGAGTCATATTGGAAGAAGAAGAATTGTTTTGGGCCACACATAAAATACATTAACACTAACCATAGCTGGTGAGCTTTAAAAAAAGTTGTAGAAAGAATCTCAGAATGTTTTTAAGAAAGTTTATGAATTTGTGTTTGGCTGCATTCAAAGCCGTCTGGGGCCACGTGTGGCCTGGTTGGACAAGCTTGAGCTAGAGTTTTACAGGTAAAAAGAGAAGAAGAAGGCCTGCCTGTTTACCCCACTCTTGCACACTATAAAATATATCTGCTCTTCTTTATACACATAATTTTCTAGCACAGAAAACCTATCCTTGCTACTTATATTCATTAATTGAGTCTCATTCATAATATTAAGTGGACAACCAACCACACTCACTTGAGAAAAATCAGAGGGTCAGGGTCAAAAAAGAACCAAAATAAACAAACAGAACAAATGATCCCAGAGAAAATAAATAATTCACTAGCCAGAATTATAATTAGTCTCTTCAGAAAGATTCAGGAGTATGTTGCCCACAAAACATACCCACACTCAAGGAGAGACTACTATGGAAATAGGGCAATTCAAAAATGAGAGCTTTTGGAAATTAAATATGTAACTGGCAAATTTCTTAAAATTAACTAAAGTACTTGATATAAGTCAAGAAATTTTAATTTAGAACATAGAGTCAAAGCCCCCAAGATTAAAATATATTACATATATATGTGTGAAAGAAGAATGAACAAACATGGAGACTCAGATCAGGAGGCCCAATACCCCTAACTAAGAGGAATTTCTGAAAAAGAGAAGAGAACAAAATAGAAGGAAGAAAAATAAAGCTAAAGAAAATGGAGGTAGCAGAGAAGAAAGAGGACCAAATTCTCCAGAGCCAAAGAAATGTCCAAATGCTAACTGGAGTACAGGATGAAAGATCCATGTCTAGGCATTAAGAAGAACTAGACACATCCTGCCAGACAAAGTGGCTCATGCCTATAATCCCAGCACTTTGGGAGGCTGAGTCTGGCAGATAGCTTGAGAAAAGGAGTTCGAGACCAGCCTAGGCAACATGGAAAAACCCATCTCTACAAAAAACACACAAAAAAGTAGCCAGGCGTGGTGGTGCACAACTGTAGTCCCAGTTGCTTGGGAGGCTGAGGTGGGAAGATCACTTGAGCTCAGGAGGTCAAGGCTGCAGTGAGCTGAGATTGCACCACTGCACTCAAACCTGGGCGACAAAGTGAGACCCTATCTCAAAAAAATAAAAATAAATAAATAAATAAAAAACAGAGCTAGAACTAGACACATCCTTTTGAGTTCTCAGCCTGAGGACAAAGAAAAATGTGAATGTAAAATAACGACATTTTCAAACACACAATGGGTTATCCACACTTACCTTTGCTAAGAAAAATAAATAAATAAATAAAATAAAATGAAAAAATAATAAAATTTAAAAAAAGGAATTGTGTTTATTATTCAAGAAAAAAAGAGAAGCCATGGGATCTAAGACATAGTGCACCAACCCAGAAGTACAATGAAAAGAAATCCTCCCAGGCCAGGCGCGGTGGCTCACGCCTGTAATCCCAGCACTTTGGGAGGCCGAGGTGGGCAGATTGCCTGAGGTCAGGAGTTCAAGACCAGCCTGGTCAACATGGTGAAACCCTGTCTCTACTAAAAATACAAAAATTAGGCACGTATGTTGGTAGGCACCTGTAAGCCCTGCTACTCAGGAGACTGAGGCAGGAGAATCGCTTGAACCAGGGAGGCAGAGGTTGCAGTGAGCCAAGATCGCGCCACTCCACTCCAGCCTGGGCAAAAGAGCAAGACTCCATTTCAAAAAAAAAAAAGTAATCTTTCCAAAGTAGGACCTGGGGCATGTGAGAAAAAAAAAAATGGTCAAAACTGGAACATGAGTATAGAGGATACTAACTACAATGTTCTCTAGAAGAAATGGATTAACTTTGACATATAGTAGAGTTAAAAGACGGGATTATTGTGGCACTGAATAAAAGGCTTAAGCTTCTTCTGTCAATAGGGAAATTAAAAAAGAAAACTGGAAACTCAAAGAAGAGCAAAATCCTGTATCAGGAAGCCACGGACCAAATCTGACAAAGACTGCAGTGTGGAATGTTTTGAGCTACTTGTGGAGTGTAAAGAAAAAGGCCCACTTGACCTTCACTCTTAGAACATCGTTTGTCAAGTGGACCAAGGTTAGTGAAGTAGCATTACATCATTCCACTCAGCTCCATGATGATTCTAAATTACTGTAACTGTAATATTGAAAATATTTATTGGTTCTGAATTTTAGAATGTAAATTATTAAATATTTAATTAGCCGTGTTAGTCTGAAATTTAAAGAGTGTAAACTTAATCAAGTTCAAATAATGCCATACCTAATAGATCCATAAAGGTATGGAGCAGAAGGAGGAGAAAAATGTGGAGGAGTGCTAATTTTCTTATCCTAAAAATGGACATAAGGAGTTAATGTCAACTTTGATAAACAAAAAATAACGTTTAATAATAATAATATGATTAATGGCCGGGCTCAGTGGCTCACACCTGTAATCCCAGCACTTTGGGAGGCCAAGGCGGGCAGATCATGAGGTCAGGAGATCGAGACCACCCTGGCCAACATGGCGAAACCCGGTCTCCACTAAAAATACAAAAATTAGCTGGGTGTGGTGGCGTGCACCTGTAGTCCTAGCTGCTTGGCAGGCTGAGGCAGGAGAATTGCTTGAACCCGGGAGGCAGAGGTTGCAGTGAGCCGAGATCACACCATTGCACTCCAGCCTGGGCGACAGAGCGAGACTCCATCTCAAAATAATAATAATAGTAATAATAATATGATTAATAAAAAATTCAGTGGGAAAAATAAAGTAGAAATAAGGAGAGAGTATAGGTCAGCAAATTCATCAATTTCTATATGGAAAAATAAGGTATTTTAAGTTGTAAATTCTGGGGTTTAAATTGTTAAGCAATTTTAAGTTGTTAAATGCCAAATAGAGGTGTGGGCTGGCACAGTGTCTCATGCCTGTAATCCCAGCACTTTGGGAGGCTGAGACGGAAGGATCACTTGATCCCAAGAGTTTGAGACCAGCCAGGGCAACATAGTAAGACCCTGTCTCTACATAATATAAATTTGAAATATTAACTGGGCATGGTGGTACACATCTGTAGTCTCAGCTACTCAGGAGGCTGAGATGTGAAGATCACATGAACCCAGCAGATTGAGGCTGCAGTGAGCCATGATTGTACCACTGCACTTCAGCCTGGATGACAGAGTGAGACCCTGTCTCAAACACACACACACACACACACACACACACACACACACACACACATATATAATAGATGTGTGAGTGTGTGGTTTAGCACAGGGCTTGCATGTACAGGCCAATTCTGCAAAAGAGATCCTTTTCATTTGTCTTTTATTTCTTAGGCAATGGTTGTAAAAAAAAATTAAGAAACTTAACCAAAACATCTAGATTTCTAGTTTTCCTAAAGAAAAATAATTGAAAGAAAAATCTAGCAACACTGAGGTTGCCTTCATACATGGGAGCAATTGGCCAGAGCTAGCATACCGTTTCCTTTGGGTGGAGACTATGCTATTCCATTGACCATAAATCCTCAATCTCATAGCTATGTATCTCCTACTCTGCTTTCTCTGCTTACATTACCTGCCCAGCCTCTACGAGATTGGAATTTATGACTTCATTGAGAGTTACGGAGTTAAATACCAGCTTTACATGTGGTTCAAAGTTGGTACCTCTGGGGGAATGTAATCAAGAGTGGGAAGAGGATAGCTTGAGTGATACTACCCTTCAGTATAATTTCTACACTTCAGAACATCTTGAGCTAGCCCTTTTATTTTTATATTTATACATGCATAGCTGTGTATGTATGTCTATGTCTGTGTCTTGTGTGGCCCTAGCCTGGACACAAATAGATTCAGAAAAAATCTCAAAGACAAATAGAGACCCTATGCTAGTCAGTCAAATATGAGCAGGAAGAAGGCTTTCAAGATGATTCAGCACCAAGGGTCCATGGATGCTATAAAAATATAAATCGAAGCGGGGTGCAGTGGCTCATGCCTGTAATCCCAGCACTTTGGGAGGCTGAGGTGGGGGGATCACTTGAGGTCAGGAGTTTGAGACCAGCCTGGCCAACATGGTGAAACCCCATCTGTACTAAGAATACCCAAAAAACAAAAATTAGCCAGCCGTAGTGGAGCATGTCTGTAGTCCCAGCTACTCAGGAGGCTGAGACACAAGAATTGTGTGAACCTGGGAGGCAGATGTCGCAGTGAGTGAGATTGTGCCACTGTACTCCAGCCTGGGCGACAAGAGCAAAACTCAAAAAAGTTAAAAATAAATAAATAAATAATAATAATAAAATGAAAAATCAAAACAACCTGTCTGCCTGGTGGAAGTAACCTAATGTTTCTCTGATCCTGTTTGTGGCAGATATTAACTCTCAAAAATAACCATGTGATGCTCTACATTTCCCAGCCTTCCTTGCAGTATGGTGCAGTGATGTCACTGATGTTACTGAATTCTAGCAGAAAGGATGTAAGCCATTCCCGAGCCTGCCCCATAACCTCTTCCCAAACAATCCCTTGGATTTGTTTCCCTTCCTTAGCAACTTGAAAGCCAAGTGTTCGAGAGAAGAAAGCAAAGGCACCAAGATATTAATAGACATTATTAATCTAAACATTGAAATCATAGGTGATTTTATTTTATTATTTACAACTTCATGTCTTTCAAATTTTTTATAATAAGCATGTACTACTTTTATAATTACTAAAGTAATTTTCTCCATAGGAAAAGAAAACAAGTTATCTTAACTACAAGATAGAGGGAGCCTATCTGACCCATGTTAGATGGTGATGCAAGCAAGAAAGAAGACTTTGTCGTATTAGGCTATTGAGATTTGTCTGTTACATCAGTTTTTATTAATTACCTAAACCAGTGGTTCTCAAACCTTAGCATATCTAAAATCACCAGGAAAGCTCCTTAAAACACAGATTGCTCACAGGTGATTCAATGTTAAGTACCTGACATACCAGCATTAAAGCAAGAAATGCTTATTGCACCTCGGCTGCACTGAGATGAAGATGTGGGAAGAATTGGTGATGCCAGATTTCCAAGACATAGCACAATGGTGCGCTTATCTGAACCGACATGACTAAAAGCAATGCGGAAAGTAATGAATTAAAGTTACCTTGAAGCACAATTTTAATGGCAGCATGATTAGCATCTGGAAAACTAGGGGGCAGACAGACCAGCCTCCTTTGAGGTGACCTCTGTTGAGTAAAAGCATGGGTCAGATTCCAGGAGAGAAACCATAACCAGACACTGCAAGCAGTGGATCAGTGAGATTGTGGGGAAATCACAAATTATGGCATTCAGGATTTGTGCCACAATCTTACACCTGTATGCCCATCTCTACCAGTTCTTCATTTCTAAATAGAAGCAATAATAAAAAGTGATCTGCCAGAGGAGGGAAAATACCCATTAGGAATCCCACGATTTTCTAACAAGAATATTGGAGAAAAAAACAGACGCATTTCTATCCATGTAGTAGTGACAGACTCAACCCTGGATGTTAAAGGCAGCAATCAGACAAAATTCAATTTTCTTCTTTTCTTTTTTTAGATATGAAAAATGCAAATCTATGTAGTGGTTACTTCTACAGTAGTTTTCACAATAGCAATATTACCATATTTTCACTTTTCCCTTTTTTAAAAGGTAGTTTTGCATCATCTTGAACAACTTTACATTCTTCTCAATATCTTCTATAACAAGTCACAGAAACTAGTCTTTATTTTTATATTTAAAGATATTAAATGGGCCAGGCATGGTGGCTCATACCTGTAATCCCAGCACTTTGGGAGGCTGAGGCAGGCAAATCACTTCAGGTTAGGAGTTCAAGACCAGCCTGGCCAACATGGTGAAACCCCATCTCTACTAAAAATTAAAAAAAAATTAGCCAGGTATGGTGGCGGGTGCCTGTAATCCTAGCTACTCGGGAGGCTGACGCAGGAGAATTGCTGGAACCCGGGAGGTGGAGGTTGCAGTGAGCCGAGACCGTGCCATTGCACTCCAGCCTGGGTAACAAGAGCAAGACTCCATCTCAAAAAAACAAAGAAAAAAAATGCTATAAAACGTATTTCTCTTTTAGGATTTGACTTCTATAATTTAATTTGTTAATTGTCTCACAATAAAATGATAATAAATTATCCATGTTTTCCAGGAACTACTTTTTTTAAATCTCATTTTCTTCTCTTGATTTTTTACATAGCTCTGATCACAGAAATGGCCCTGCTTAAATATCACTGTTAATTTTCCTGAGGAGAACTTTGTTACTGCCAGTTATTAACTGAAAGTCTAATGGAATGGTTTGATGACACTATTTGGTTTTTCCATTCTATTTGCAATCCAGTGGGATTTTCACTCTTGATGTCGTTAACTCTTCATATTTAAATTTTAATCCTCATTTAGTAGCCGTCTGTTGTCCTTTACATGTCAAAAAATAATCTGAATTTTCTCTCTCGTTTTGAGGAAATTGTAATAGAAGAAATAATAAACTAAAATGAATTTCATTAAAGTTTTGATGTTCTAAAATTTTAAATATTTCAGCCTATTCAGAAAAAAGGTATCCTTTATTTGATTTCATTTATGTTGGTTGTGATTCATATTGAGTGTCAACCTGATTGGATTGAAGGATGCAAAGTATTGTTTCTGGGTGTGTCTTTGAGGGTGTTGCCAAAGGAGAATAACATTTCAGTCTGTGAACTGGGAGAAGAAGACCCACCCCTCAATCTGGGTGGGCACCATCTAATCAGCTGCCAGGGCAGCTAGGATAAAAGCAGGCAGAGGTACGTGGACGGGCTAGACTGATTGAGGCTTCCAGCCTACGTCTTTCTCCTGTGCTGGTTGCTTTCTGCCCTTGAATATGGGACTCGAAGTTCTTCAGCTTTTGGACTATTGGACTTACACCAATGGTTTACCAGGGGCTCTCAGGCCTTCCACCACAGACTGAAGGCTGTACTGTGGGCTTCCCTGTTATTGAGGTTTTGGGACTCAGACTGGTTTCCTTGCTCATCAGCTTGCAGACAGCCTATTGTGGGACTTCACCTTGTGATCTTGTGAGTCAGTACTCCTTAATAAAGTCTCCTTTATATATACAACTATCCTATTAGGTCTGTCCCTCTAGAGAACCCTGACTAATACATCGGTTTTGCAATATATATTACTAACCCTCTACTCTCTGCCAAGAATTGTGCTTAGTGATGCAGAGGGATCCACACCCACATGACGCAGCCTCTCCATCTTCAGAGCACTGAGAAGTCAGGTAAAGCCATAAATGCCCATGACACTGATAGTCAATGTTGAGTTCCTTAGGAAAAGTAGGACTTAAAAGCTACACATCAGAAGACTGACTGTAAGATAAATCAGTGAGGGATTCATGGATGTCTGAACTAGTTTGTGAAGAACTGTAGGATATTGACTGCAGGGACGGCAAATGCAGACACAAGGAGGCAGAATCATATGCAGCATATTCAGGAAGGGTGTATAACTTTTGGGGTGGCTGTAAAGCAATATGAAACAATATATCATCAATCAGAAGGCTGACAAAATGTAAGTTGATGCCAGGTTATAGAAGTTTAAACGGTACATCCAATATTTTGGAACTTAGCCTGTGATGTATTAGGGTATGACGGAGAAATGAGAAAATTAACAGTTTTGCCTTAAGAAGATGAAGGCTGTGTACAAAATAAATAAAGGAAAGGGTGAAAATAGAATTGATGGGTTATTGATGGGAGACAAGTTAGGTGGGTCAAAGCAGAGGAGGAAATCAAAGATGACTCTGGAGTTGAGAGCCTGATTAACTGGGTGGATAATGAATCCTCACACGCAAAAGGGAAGTCGGAGGACGGAGCTCATCTGGGGAAAGATGTCACTATAGACTCGAGTTAAAAATGCCAGTGGGATAAACCAGTGGAAATGCAGAGCAGGCAAGTACAAAAATGGACCTCTTGCTTCGAAGAGGGCTGGGAGTTAGTGCTAAAGATTTGGGAAATGGCTAAATCCATAAAGTGGGAGTTGGGGGCGAGGGCGATAGAAATCATCAAGTGAAAGAGTATGGCAAGAGAAAGGTGGAGAGCTAAGAATCATGCAGAGCTAGCATTGCCCAATTTACCGAGACAGCTTCTAGAACACTCATAATAGAGAGAATGGCCAACAGTGTCAAATGTTACAGAAAGAGGTAGATCAAGGAATTTCTGTTTGCATTTGTGATTAAAGTCAAGATTGAACGAGTCTATGTAGATAGTCTTTTGTGTCTTTGGGTCAAGTGTAGATTTGGCAGTCAGCTAGATCATCTGACAAAGCCAGAAATCAAACTAGATAACTCCTAACTCCCCAAATCCACCTGGACTCTGAATTATTTAGGTGGATTCCTGGAATTGACCACATTGCTTATAATTCCATGTCTTCTGGCTAAACTCTAACCTCCTTTAGGGTACAGCTTTTGTCTTACAAGCTCTTGGCCCTTAAAAGAAGCTTAATACTTTTTAAATATAGTAGTTGAATGAAAACTAACCCCAACTGTGTACAGATACTCAACCATTTGCGGGAGCAATTAGGAATAAAAGAGGAGAACCAAGGATTCAGCATAATGTGTGTTCTAGGGCCAGTATAACGCTAAAAAAGGAAGAACTAGGAAAGATAGATGACTTAGAGGCCCTTGGGTGTAACAGAGAGTCAGTCTTCCCATTGCTACCACAGAGACATGCTTCGTGGATTAATTAACTATTATTCTCCATTTACAAATGAGTTCATAGAGGCAAAGAGGTTAAGTCACTTCTAGAAGATCATAATGTGTCAGCAGGAGATCAAAGCCTGAAGGAACAGGCTTACCACTTAGAGCTCCATGTCTGTAACCTAATAGAGAGCTTCTGAACTTCTGTAAAACTGTGACTTCACTTCTTAGATGATGAGTTGTTAAAGTTCTCTCTGAGGTTAGTTTTACACGAGCAACTCAGGGAAAACATGCACTTTTAAGTGACAATAGTGCTGCTATTATCTCTTTAAAAATCATGTGTGGCCTTCCTTATTAAAGACAAAGTGGGAATTATTCTTGGTGGGAAGAGAAAACATATCCTCCCCATTTCCATTTCAGTCTAGGAAATAAACATTTACTGCATCATGAACAAACATATTTACTTGCGTTTTATCCAGAGCTTTTGAAATGATTGGTTGCAGGCATCCACTTGTAAAAGGTTTATTAGACACTGGTTTAAAAGATTCATTTCTTGAATCATAACTATTAAGAAGTTGAGGCAAAGCTACCTGATGGCTTCCTTTTTGACCTCACTGCAATCTTAAAACAGGGCACAGAAGAGTTAACAGGAGGCCCAGACAGTCCCCTGCTGATCCCATAATGAGTGGGAGCTACAGCTGAATGTCAATAGCTCTTGTGAACTTGGGTAACCCAGCTGAGCCCTCTGCTTGCCAGAGCTGGAGGAGGTAATCAGCTTGACCCCTGTGACCTTCCTGAGGCTGTGTTCTGTCCTGCATGGAGAAGCCTCTTTGCATATGACTCCTACATCCTGCTCAGTTCTCTTTTAGGAGAACTAGACCTGAGTCAGCCTCAAGAGGGAACATGATATAAATTAGTCAATGCTGGTTATAGGTTGCACAATGTAGTAGGTGCTTTAAAAAAAATTAATGGGAACACATCCTGGAAACCTCAAAAAGATTTCCAGGAACCACTATGACATCTGCCCTTCCAGTGTTATTAAAATAAATTGAAGGTTATGTAACAGTTCTGTCAGCACTTCACATTTCTTTGTGGAGTTGTGTTTCACCAAATGCTTTCACCTTTCTGGGTTTGGTAAATTGATTTCCTTTTGTTTCATTGTTTACTTGTCACTATTTCCATTGCATAGTCCCAAGGATGTCATATACACAATGTGTACATTATAGATTAAGAGGATATTTTGTAACATTTTCATTGAGTTCCTAAACAGCATTTCATCCTTATTCTGTGCAATGAAAGAACCTTGAACGATACATTAAGCTCCTTTCATTCTATGTGTGTCTAAATATATTGTTATTAAAAGAATGTTATTATTCATAAGCTGAGAGAATGCATGCTAATTGTGCCTTAAACTGCATAATTTATATAACCATGTAGAGTACAGCACAACAGCACTTCCCATAAAAGCAAAAGTGATTTGTACAATAAAGATTAACCTATGGTAGACTCTGCACACCTATAAGTAAGTCCCATAACAAATACATAGTTTATATTTTCAAGGAAATGGGACTTATCTGTAACAATAAGATTCAGTTGGCTTCAACTCATAGTGACGCTAAAGTGCTTTAACTCAAATACGCATAATTCCATCCAGCAACTACAGGCTTCATTTTTCCCCTAAAGCAAATTTACCCCCAAGTATATTTATTATGCATGCACAGTCTTTAGTACTGAGGAATCTTTGATCATGACTAATGGATTTTGCCTGGAAAAAATTTTATATACTGTAATTTGCTTAGTGATTGTAATAATAATAATTTTAAACCCTTATTAAATAATTGCTCTATAAAAGGTGAATTCCTTACCAAGTGCCATCAGCCACCATCATTACTTTTTGGGTTAAAGGGACAAAAAAAAAGATGCAGTTTCAATGTGGCCTAAGGAAACAAGCAAGGTTGGAAATCATAATCTGTGGTCAAATACTATCATTTATAGTGTTTTTTGTTCTTTGAACAGGTACATACAGTTGGACAATGGGGAGGTGGGGAAAGAAAGGGCCTGCTATCAATTCTATATTGTTTAATATTATACTCTCAACTTAGCCCTAAGAGAAACAACACAGCTATGACCCTAAGATGAGCTGAGACGACAGATGGTCAGAATTACTTGAGGAAGATGACACTTTCATATTTTATCATAGCTATCTCTCTCTCTCTCTCTCTCACACACACACACACACACACACACATACACACGCACAGACGCACATGACAATGTAACAATGGCACTGTACTCAGACTTTTCTGTTTCTGGCTCAAGCATCTTGTAACTGAGAGCTTGAACATCTCTGAACAAATATCTTAAGAGTACAATTCCCAAAGGAGGCTGATTTTTCAAAACACACGCCACGTGCCCAAGGAAACCATGTCTCAGGATCAGTTCTGACAAGCACGCTAAACTAACAAAATATATTTCCTTTGCTGCTTTTAAAAAGCCAGTTAAGATCAGATCACATGATAACTAGTTATTTTAACTAAGTCTAAATTCGTATACAGAGTTTGCTCTTAGAAAGTGTCACATTTGTTTTGCCCCTAAAACACTCCTCTTTACAAAGATTTGTGGAATCAATTTCTGTAAACAAATGTAGAGAGCAAATCTTTACCTAGGTAGATCGCGTTATAACAGCACAGAAGAACTTCACGGCTTTGTTAGAAGTGTCCCTTTTTTGCTTCTAGGTCCTGCACCACCACCACCACCCACACTTCCCTGAAGGGAGAAGAGCTTTGTCAAAAGATTTCCCGGTAAATCAAAAGCACTTTGTGGATAGGAATAGTGTGGACCGTGCCTGAATGAGACCTAGTTATGTATGTGGTGCTCTCCAAAATGAGTTCTTGCTGGCGCCAGTCAATCAAATACCTAAACCCCTAAATGAATGAGGAAGTTTGAGAAACTGCTGTAGTAACTAGGTTAAGTTAAACAAATACACCCAAGTTTTGCATAGTTCTGTATTCCTCCAATCAAAATAAAATTTTCACAGCTTAGCTGCCCAAATATACTTGTGGCGCTATCCTTCTTGAGGTCACGAAATGACATTCCTGCTATGTGCTCTGTGCTGTGAATACTGTGATAACTCTACGATTTCACAGACATTTTCAGGGGTTTTATGATTCTGTGTCAGACCCTGTGAAAAGTCAGGGGAAAGAAAGACAATGAAAATAATACATTGCCCAGTCTTTTTTGTTTGTTTGTTTTTGTTTTTTTTGTTTTTTGTGTTTTTTTTTTTTTTTAGAGATGGAGTCTCGCTCTGTCGTCCAGGCTGGAATGCAGTGGCACGATCTCGGCTTACTGCAACCTCTGCCTTCCAGGTTCAAGCAATTCTCTGCCTCAGCCTCCTGAGTAGCTGGGATTACAGGTGCCTGCCACCACGCCCGGCTAATTTTTGTATTTTTAGTAGAGACGGGGTTTCACCATCTTGGCCAGGCTGGTCTTGAACTCCTGACCTCAGGTGATCCACCCGCCTCAGCCTCCCAAAGTGCTGGGATTACAGACGTGAGCCACCACTACCGGCCACATTGCCTAATCTTAAAAAGTTTCCACTGCAGCAGGAGAAGAAGACAAGTAATATTTTATATAAGAAAATATACTAATGTCATAATAGAGGAATTAGCCAACTTCTGAGTACTTAAAGATGGGCAAAGTCTGTTTTATTTGAGCGATTAAGCAAGGACTTCCCAGCAGAGCTGATGTTGAGGCCTTCAAAGACTACATTAAATAGGATCCTGGAGACATTGCAAGTCAGGAGAGGAAACTGTGGGAGGACACAACTCTTGAGCATAGCTCCTGCTGAGAGGTGACAGCATGCTGGCAGTCCTCAGAGCCCTCGCTTGCTCTCGGCACCTCCCCTGCCTGGGCTCCCACTTCGGTGGCATTTGAGGAGCCCTTCAGCCACCCACCCCCCCAATGCACTGTGGGAGCCCCTTTCTGGGCTGGCCAAGGCTGGAGCCCACTCCCTCAGCTTGCAGGGAGGTGTGGAGGGAGAGGCACGAGCGGGAACCGGGGCTGCGTGCGGCGCTTGCGGGCCAGCTGGAGTTCCGGGTGGGCGTGGGCTTGGTGGGCCCCGCACTCGGAGCAGCCAGCAAGCCCTGCTGGCCCCGGGCAATGGGGGACTTAGCACCCGGGCCAGTGGCTGCGGAGGGTGTACTGAGTCCCCCAGCAGTGCCGGCCCACCGGCACTGTGCTCGATTTCTCGCTGGGCCTTGGCTGCCTTCCCGCGGGGCAGGGCTCGGGACCTGCAGCCCGCCATGCCTGAGCCTCCCACCCACTCCATGGGCTCCTGTGCGGCCCGAGCCTCCCCTAGGAGCACCACCCCCTACTCCACTGCGCCCAGTCCCATCGACCACCCAAGGGCTGAGGAATGCGAGCGCACGGCGCAGGACTGGCAGGCAGCTCCACCTGCAGTCCCGGTGCGGGATCCACTAGGTGAAGCCAGCTGGACTCCTGAGTCTGGTGGGGATGTGGGGAGTCTTTATATCTAGCTCAGGGATTGTAAACACACCAATCAGCACCCTGTGTTTAGCTCAAGGTTTGTGAGTGCACCAATCGACACTCTGTATCTAGCTGCTCTGGTGAGGACGTGGAGAACCTTTATGTCTAGCTCAAGGTTTGTAAATACACCAATCGGCACTCTGTGTCTGGCTCAGGGTTTGTAAACACACCAATCAGCACCCTGTGTTTAGCTCAAGGTTTGTGAGTGCACCAATCGACACTCTGTATCTAGCTGCTCTGGTGGGGCCTTGGAGAACCTGTGTGTCCAAACTCTGTATCTAACTAATCTGATGGGGACGTGGAGAACCTTTGTATCTAGCTCAGGGATTGTAAACGCACCAATCAGCGCCCCGACAAAACAGGCCACTCGGCTCTACCAATCAGCAGGATATGGGTGGGGCCAAATAAGAGAATAAACGCAGGCTGCCCGAGCCAGCATTGGCAACCCGCTCGGGTCCCCTTCCACACTGTGGAAGCTTTGTTCTTTCGCTCTTTGCAATAAATCTTGCTATTGCTCACTCTTTGGGTCCACGCTGCATTTATGAGCTGTAACACTCACCGCGAAGATCTGCAGCTTCAGTTCTGAGCCCGGCGAGACCACGAGCCCACCGGGAGGAACGAACAACTCCAGACGCGCTGCCTTAAGAGCTGTAACACTCACTGCGAAGGTCTGCAGCTTCACTCCTGAGCCAGCGAGGCCACGAACCCACCAGAAAAAGGAAACTCCGAACACATCTGAACATCAGAAGGGACAAACTCCAGACGCGCCACCTTAAGGGCTGTAATACTCACCGCGAGGGTCCGCGGCTTCGTTCTTGAAGTCAGTGAGACCAAGAACCCACCAATTCCGGACACACTGCTATGGGTGCTAAGGCTAATCCTAAGTGAATAAAAGTCTAGAAGTTTGGGAAACCAATTCTTTAAATGTGTTTATTATGAAAGATTCCAAGAATTCACAAAAGGAAAGAGAATAATAAAATGATTCCTCAAAGGCCTATTACTTACATTTAACAATTATCAAAATTTGGCGCCAGGTATGGTGGCTCACATCTGTAATCCTGCCACTTTGGAAGGCTGAGGTGTGTGGATTGGTTGAGCCCAGGAGTCTGAGACCAGCCTAGGCAGCACAGTGAGACCTGGTCTCTATGAAACATGAAAAAAAAAAAGTCAGGCATGGTGGTGTGTACCTGTGGTTCCAGCTACACTGGAGGCTGAGGTAGGAGGATTGTCTGAGCCCGGGGGGGTCAAGGCTGCCGTGAGCCATAATCACACCAACGCATTCCAGCCTCTGGGTGACACAGTAAGACACGGTCTCAAAAAAATTTTGGCCCATTTGTTCATCAACCTGTTTTGTTTTGTTTTGTTTTTTCTTTTTTTCGCTTAATTTTTTTTTAAAGTATACTGCAGACATCTATTAGTTTACATCTTCTGATTTTGATGTGTATCTCTAAAAAGGTGGATATTTTCTTATATATCACAATGCCATTATCACAAATAAAATCAATGATAATTTATTAGATGGTCAGATATCATCTAATAGAGGCTCATATTAAATTTTTCCATTTTTCTGAAAACTGCCTTTAACATGGTTTGTGTTTTAAGTTAGAGAAAGATTTTTTAAAGCCCAGCTGCCATCCCGTGGAGTTGAGTAACATCACATAAGCAGGAGGGGCTCCTGGAGGGCTCCTATCATATCTAAGTCCTTGTTGAATTGCTTTGTACCTAGCACAGAGCCTAGCCCTGATATAACCCAAAATATCTGTTTCCTGAATTGCATCGAAACAATCAGTTTCGATGAGTTGAGTGACAGATTTTAAGTAGGGTGGCATCTCAACAGTACTCTGTTTTAACACAACTCTAGTGGCAACTGGGTGGATATTGGAAAACTTGTCCTAACAAAAAGTCTGTGCCCTCAAGGATCTTGTAGAGAGTCAATGTCACAGGTGTCAAAAGGACCACAAACCATGAACTAGTACTTTGTAGACAAGAAATTCTCTAGTTTATAGATTTGCTGAAATGAAAGGCTTTGAGCTTCTGGAATTCGGAAAAGGGCCATACTTTCATTTGACTGTGGGAACAGACTAATACGCAAGTAGATTGATATCAAGGATAGATATTTTAATCAGGCTAACATGTCTCCTCTGATGATTAAAGGACTAAAAAAATATTTACTTCAACATTCTGGGTGAGTTATTAACAAATATATGCATTCTCAGAAACTAAGAAAATAAACCAGTGGAGGAGAAAGAACTCCATCCAGGAAGAATAATACTCACCACCCTTACAAAGATTTAGCACCTGACAACTTGAGATGCACTTATGCCTTTATTCTATTGTTTCTCATTGTTACTCACAATGACCAGTGAAGTGTACAGGCAACCATTGTTATCTACATTTAAGGGAGAAGAAACTGAGGCCCAAGTTAAGCAACTGATATAATCAAGTTCTCAGGTCAAGAATCTGGATACCAGGAAAAACACCGGTGGTTTTGTTTCTTACTGTTTCCTTGATTTCCGTTTTCATTGTTGGCATTTTCTTGTATTCTCTTTGTTTTGTAGCACCAACTTTCCTGTATAGAAGAAGCTTTGTTCAGTTCCCACCTATGAGTGAGAACATGCAGTGTTGGTTTCTGTCCTTGCGATAGTTTGCTCAGAATGATGGTTTCCAGCTTCATCCATATGTAAATGACAAGTTAATGGGTGCAGCACAGCAACATGGCACATGTATACATATGTAACAAACCTGCACATTGTGAACATGTACCCTAGAACTTAAAGTATAATAAAAAAAAAAGAAGAAGAAGCTTTAAGGCAATGAAGGTTCCCTGTCCTTGTGGTTGGGCAGAGTAAATAATGTTCAAGCAATTTGAAGCACTCACTAGAGATGAAAACCTCCTCTTCATATTATTTTTATAGATTCTCCAGGCTCCATAATTATTTTTGATGATTTCTTCAAAGAAATTAACAGAATTCTATTTCTCCCATAGAGTAAACCTCGACTAATAATTGGAGATCCAGAATGATTTGAACTATTTGTTAGGTTAATGGTGGGTCTGTACTTTAATCAAAGATAAAAAAGGAAGTTAAAAGGTGTCCTAAAAAGAGTTTATGTTCAATATTTGTTATAGTATCCATGATATGTATATTGTACATATAGATAAAAATCAGACACTAATACTGAATGAAATTTTGACATTAAATTTTAGTATGAAAATCTTCATAACGTCAGATTATAACACTAACATAAAATGTGTAGAGCAACAATTAGTTATGGTTCAATTCTTCTACAGCAAATTATCTTCAGTCCATTATTATGAATAAATGTATATGGCTCTTGCATTATTAATATACAAGCCACAAGTTGTGCATTTAGCTTTCTATTGTTGTTTCTATGTGAATCATTTGGTTCAGCTAGTGGTCTTATTTCCAGTGAGTTTCCAATTAGTTTTTCGTTTTTCTTCAAACTATTTTATTATAAAAGGTTTTCTTAAGTTTTGAAAAATGGAATTTTTGTGTAAGTTCCCTTAGAAGAGGTTGCATAATAGACAAGTGCCATAATTCCTAAAGTCTAAAGAAATTGGCGTAAGACATGAATGAAGGTTATTTGGATTTTCTTTTATCTATAATAAAAACCCCAGAAATTTAAATGTAGGATTGATTGTTTCTACTTAAGAGCCAAGTTGGTCTCTAGGGGCTATATTTGGTTCCAAAATCTCATTGCAGTGGCTTCTGATTGAGATCACAGTCCATCTTTTCACGCAGTGATTTCTCAAAACACTCCACTGAGATAGGTGCTAATTTCTATCCTTCTTTATTTCCTACAAGTAGAATTAGAGTGAGAATGTTCAACCAGCTTTATTTTTCTTTTAAATTAAACTCAGCACTTTGAATGTTCTTAGACATGAAAGAAATTCATTTATCTAGACCAGGGAATTATGCAGACTTACAAGGCTGAAGTTTTACTCTCTACTATTTTTCAGTTTTTGTTAATTGTTAATGGCAAGGGAGATGTAATTGACACGGAAAATATTATTTCAAGAAATGGAAGAATAGAGTCTACTAATCTTATTGGAGTTCTTGCATTTCAAAACCAAAGAAAATTTTTTAATGGTGGAATTAAGCTCTACACCAATTGGATATTATAGACAATGCATGGGGGTTCACTGGTGAGGTTTGGACAGTAGCAAGCCTGTCTTAAAAAGAGAATTCTTTAATAGTTCAGAGAGCAAATGTTTTTGGCTTCGCAGGTCAGACCACATCTGTTACAACTGCTCAGCTCTGCCATTGCAGCAGGAAAGCAGCTATAGATAATATGTAAATGAATAAGCATGGCTGTGCTACCATAAGTTTTCATTAGACACTTAAAAAAAGATAGTAGTTAGGTATGATGTTGAAAATCTTGCTGTTGGCTGTATCTTGTCCCATTTTGTATTTACCACAGTGCTGAGTATGGTGCTTTGTGTTAAATAGGTGCTCAACAAAGGTTTGCTGCGTGAATGAATGCATAGGCCCAGGTTTAAAGAAATTCACATTCGTATGACATGGTATCTCCCAGAAACACTCAATTTCAACCCCATAAGACTTATAGAAGATGCCAGGGTGATTTTTCTAAAATGCAAATCTGGTCATGTCATTCTTCTATCTAATCACCTTCTGTGGCTCCTATTCCCCACGGAAATAAATCCAAATTCCACAGCATGGCATGGAAGGCTTTTACCCCATGTCAGACTCCAGCTTCATCTCTTGCTCCCACTCATCTCCCCCCTGCCCCTAAATGAAATAGACACATTGACTTGCATGTTCTTTCTAAGCTTTGTGTATGCTGTCCCCTGCCTTATTTCTTTTCATGTACTCGGTCAGTTGCTACCTGTCTTTTAGTACCAACTAGTTCCAAAGCTCAATTCCTCCAAGAAGCTCTCCTTAAAACCTTAAGTCCTGCAGCCTGTTGCATCTATGTGTCTTTTTTTCTTTTCTCTTTTTTTTTTTTTTCCCGAGACGGAGTTTCAGTACTGTTGCCCAGGCTGGAGTGCAAATGGCGTGATCTCAGCTCACTGCAACCTCTGTCTCCCAGGTTCAAACGATTCTCCTGCCTCAGCCTCCCAAGTAGCTGGGATTACAGGTGCCTGCCACCACACCTGGCTAATTTTTTGTATTTTTTAGTAGAGACAGGCTTTCACCATATTGGCTAGGCTGGTCTTGAACTCCTAACCTCAGGTGATCCGCTCGCCTCAACCTCATCTCTGTGTCTTGCTAATGCTCTCTCTCAGTACCTTGTGGAATATGTAGATGGTTTCTCATTTGCCATCTTTCTGGTCTGCTCTCTGACCCTGGATCTTTTTCATTTTTAATTCCAAGGCACTCAGCATCACAGTGCTGGGTACACAGTAGGTACCCAAATATATTGGAACAAAAAGGAAAAAAAAAGGAGAAAAAAAGACAAAAAGGAAGCCAGGCGAAGAGAAGAGAGATGAAAAAGGGAAACTAATTACTATTGGGCTAGATTATTTTTCTAGGCTTTGTACAGCAGAGCCTAGAATAAATTTAATTTCTTCAGTCTCTATGTTTGGGGTAAGCTGGAGGCAAGAATAGGTTTCTTTCTTCCTTTACTCCTAGATAAGCAGGGCCTGTTACTATTTAGATCTATGAATTCTAAATGGAAAACAGTACTCAACATTAAAAAATAATCTACTAAACACAGAATATAAATTTTAAAGAATTAACTTTTACATTTTGTAATTTGTACATAAGGCTTAAAGGTAAAAACTTGGATACAGTTCCTCTTAAGTGATTATATAATTTAATGAACAATAGAAACAATTTTCTTATTAAAGCCTGAACTTTGAAATAAAAGAAAGCATAATAGTTCCAAGTCTGTTGGACTCCAACATTGAGATGAAAATCCAATTCAGATATAACCAAATTCTCACTCTACAATATTTTGTTTAAATACTAAGTAAAATGTTAATTATTTTGCAGCTTTTGTTTTTAGGTCATGAGATCAGTCTATTTTACTTCCTCTTTACCATGGCTGGAGGCTCTTAACTATTTATGGATTTCACTCATCAGCAAACTCGGCTAAACTGCACTGCTCTAAGTATCGCAGGATTTTAATAGAAGTAGAGCTTTCTTTAAACATGGTTTCATCTAAAGATGTGTTTGAATATCTTGATTACTAATATGTACATATAATATTATTTTGAGAAAAATGCAAATAACTAAGCATGCTTATTATAAAATCTAAAATATACATTACAATATATATTCTTATTTAAAAAAAGAGATCAGTTCTAGGGATAGGAAGAGAGGATGCACAAAACAGAAGAAACTATCAATACCTGCCAGTAGATGATTTCTTTTGCTATTCACACATACTCCCACCCATTTCCAAAATGCCTGTGTTATCAGGGACCTCAATAAAATCCAAACACGAACAAATAAACAAATTGTCAGGGCAGGAAAATTGAGTGTTTGGCTCTAAATGTGCAGAAAAAAAAATCCTTGATTTGATTGTTTCTATATAATAGTGCTTCCTTTAGTTGTAATAATGCCCTTCACCCCTTTGCAACATTTCCACTTATAAACATTGACCCTCACAGTTTGAAAACCTGCCTATCTCACATCAGAGATCCCTGTCCAAGGCCATTCAGTACAGAACAGGGAGTCTGAGGCAAAACTGAGATTCCCAGTTGATCAGACCACTAGACTACATTGCACCATAAAGCAAAGACAAACAGGGGGTTGCTCCAGGGCAGCCTAAGTTTGTTTACCAGCGTGCTTGCGGCTTTTCTGAAGCCCGTTTGTCCTAATTTCTTTTTCCTGTTTGCAACTTGTTAAGCATTTCTGTCTTCCTTTCCCGCTACCTAGCCTATTTCTATGATCACTTTCTTCCTTTTGTTTGAAATGAATTATATGAGCAATTGAAAAATCAAAAAAGAATAAAATGATCAGAGGCTAGGTCATCTGGAAGCACATTTAACACAATACTGGTGTAGCGCACATCTTGCTATAAATCATATTGACGAAGTATATCAGTACCAAAGAATATTCTTCAGAAAAAGTGTTTTGATCAGAAACAACTTCTCGCCCTCCCCCCACATACTGAATCAAAGAATTTTAAGGAAGTGAAGAAGCGATGGAAGTTAGATAATCAGTTATACTTCAACCCTAATGCAATGGTGAACTTTGCCCAAACTTAGAATATTGTAAAGGAAACCTTACATTTCTCAAAGCATCTATTTAAATATAAATAGGGTATGTCAAATATCACACAGGATAGATCCACAGGCCATTTTTAGCTAAAAAAACAAAAACAAAACAAAACAAAAAATATGATCAACTAGACAAAACTGAAAAGCCTAGAAATAAAGTAGGGAACCAAATCTAATACATTAGGATCGCATTATGATTACTAACACTTGAGGGAAATAAAGCAGGCTCTATTGAGAGGAGGATAAGGAGATAGGCTACTCTTGAAATTCTAAAGTGAACCCTAAACATCTAGGAAGACCTTAAGGTCCAAGATGCTGGTTTCATTTATATTTAATTTCATTTGACTTTATTCCTTGATATAGGAATTACAGGTTTATCCTAACACCATTATTGAAAGCCATGGTCAGGTTAATATTTGGTTTGGTAATATAATGAATATGCAATATTTTTAGCAGAAATCAAAAACAGATTCTTGTACAGGTAAAACTGTCTATTCTAATCTGTAAATTTTACAGTATTTTTCTCTCTGGATCTCTCTTGTTTGCTAGGTTTTGTTTCTCTTGGTTTTAAAATCTATGTCTCTTAACTGACCCTGGGAGTGGCTAAGGAAAGGTGCTTAGTCATTAGAATGTCCACCTAGTCGCCCAGCCAAACTGGCCCTACAGCCAATAAAGCCAGACCCCTGTGTCCTTGCCCGTGGTGTGTGTCTAAGATCTGTGGCTAGCGGCTCCAGCCTGGGTTGAGCAGCAGGAGAGAGCCACAGTGACCTCTGTTTGAGTAACCTGGCTGTGAGCCCTGACCCCTGGGTGGGGCTGGAGCATTGCAGTCCATGCCCCATTGCCTAATCCCTCTGACTCCAGTGGAACCTAGAAGGAAGGAATAGGATGACTCTAACCTCAAAAAGGGGTGTTGAAGGAAGAAGAGGGAAGATTGCCAAATAGCCCTAGGGTGATGGAGGTTCCTGTTCTCCCTGTCTCCTCTCTTGGGAAAGTCAAGGCATTCCAGCTCTTATAGAGATGGTTAAGAGGATGATAGGATCTTTCTAACTGGAAGCTAATGACGAGCCTGTTAGTTTGTACAAGAGAAAATAATTTAATTAGAGCTAAACCACCCTGAATAGGAGAGGGAAGGGGATCTCTTAGGAGCCCTAAGAATGGAAAGAAGATTGAAATTCTTCTGTTTATTTGTACAATGGAATATTTGGAGGCCAGATCTCCTGTGATATAGACCCTGCTTTTATCAAATTGCCGTCTTTTCCCACTGACACAGGCCAGT
Organism: Homo sapiens; assembly: GCF_000001405.40. Lineage (NCBI taxonomy): Eukaryota > Metazoa > Chordata > Mammalia > Primates > Hominidae > Homo > Homo sapiens. Next base: position 15,209,964 of record NC_000021.9, on the reverse strand, counting down.
CTCTCAAGGTATTGAGAATAGAGAGGAGAGCAGTCTGCTGACTTATTAACTTACGTGAAAAAAATTTTTTTTTCTAAATGTCACCTAGGATATTTTCCAGGTATTTGACCCTTACAGCATTGTATTTTCTTCTGGGGAGGGGACCCAGCAATTGCACATAAAAGAAATTGCATGAAACCTTGTGAATCTGGGCTATCATAGAGTGTTTTTGTGTGTCCTGGTATCCTTGATGCCCAGAAGCCAGGTAACTACACAATCATGAGCAGAAATTCTCTCAACCAAATTATCCGGGTCATGGCCTTTCAGAATATAAACACCTAGAAGAACCAGCTAGTGAAGCACAAAGTTTCCAGTAGTTATAAAAAACAGTAGAGAGGGAAACACTGTTTTCCTAACAGCATTTCCCAAAGGGTCACTTTTCATTGACTTCCAACAGTCCTTGGTCAAGTTATCTGATATAGGTACCAGCCTAATTCTTTGATTTTTCATACTGCCTGAAGGAAGCCAGCACTACAACAAATAAAAAAGAAAAGAAATTCACTTACTCATCCTCTTGAATCAAAGGCTAAGGAATAAAGAAGCCTTTGTGAGTTAGCAACTCCCTTCCCTTCTTCTTCCTTTTGGCTGTTTTGGTGAGGAAGACTTGACCTTAGTTAGTTACCTTCCCAGATAGAGATTGAATTGGAGGGTCTAGTACTTTTAATTTTTCTTTCATAGACTCCAAGAGCTACAGAACCCTTAGAGATTGATCAGCTACCTGGCTGACTGGTTCATTTTCTCTTCATCCATTTAGCAGGCTTTCGTTCAGGGCCCGCTTTGCAGTAGGTGCCTCCCAAAGGTTGAGAATGTGAAGACAAAAAATGTCAGTTTTTGCCCTAAAAAAGTGCATGGTCCAGTAGTGGAGACAGACATGGAAACACATGTTTTGGGTATGAATCATGGCTCACAAATGGAGGTGTGTGTGCAGTAAATGGCACGTGTCTTGATTTTATCTTTAAAGGAGATTCAATGCAACTCTGAGCTCTCAACCTGCTGGGCTTATGGGAAATGCAATCTGTCAGTATTGAGGGTTTCTCCTGGCTTTGTCTCTCTCTCATGCAAAGGTCTCAAGGTCTTTCACAACCCAGAGCATGGAGGAGATCCCCTTCAGTTTTGGCTCCCCACGGGCTATTTCTGGGTGCCTGTGGTCCGTGCCTGGCTGGTTACTTGAGGTCTGGAAACCCCACTACTTCCATGACACAGGTGGACCATTGGATCCTTGAGGATCTGGGATTCTGGTGCGCAGGGCCATCTTCCCAGATACACAGGCAGCTATTCCCTTTCTATGGCCTTGCTTCCTCGCAGGGCTCTGCCAAGAAGTAGGGCCCGCCTGAGTCCTGCTGCCCAAAGCTCCCGGTCAGCTTCATCCTCTTCTCTGCCTGGAGGTAATCACCTCCCTCTCCCTCTTCTATATTTCCTCTACCCCAGCCCAACCGAAGATCATACTTGCAAGGAGAAAATACAAGTTAATATCGCCATGAATTATTCTGCCCCTTGACTCTAAGAACGAGTGCTTCTATAACTGTGGTGCCCCGGGCAACTTGGTGCTTTACTGCAGCCCTACCCGGTGTCAGAGTACAGGTCTCAATAACGTGCCATGGGAAGGAAGAAGGGAGCAACTACCTATTGGGGAATTTGGAACTCAGAGAAGATAACGTTTCCTCCGGGTCATAAGGGCAGGAGATGTGCACAACGTGCATTGGGGCATGGGGGACGAACACCTGGAGTCAAAGAGCAGAACGTGGAAAACGGAGCGGGATGACAGAGTCTGCACGTTCCAGGGAATGTGAAGATCCTGCTATGATTAAAGTATAGGGGCGGGAGGCAGGGAGGAAAGTGGAGATGACAAGAGATGAGGTTGAGAAAGAGTTTGAAGCTAAATCCTGCAGGGACTTAGAGTAAATGTGGTGGGGGTTATGGCGAGTTTCTGATGTAAACAGATAGTTTAAGGTCACATGCCTTCGAGGCATGTGGGAATCCATGGACTGTGGAGTTGTTGACTGTAGCTTTGCAATCCCAACTGTGTCACTGTCTTGCCATAGGGTCCCAGGCAAGTTACTTAGCTTCTTTGTGCCTCAGTTTTTATTATCTGTAAAATGGGCATAGGTGATAATAGCACCCACTTCAGAGCCCTTTGTGACTGCTGAGTGAGACAACATATGTAAAGCATCTGCCCAGTCCTAGACACATAATTCATATTAAATACATATTAGCCAATGATATTATAATTTTACAATGATTTTCATGTCATTATATTCATAGCAACCTGGAGAGGTACATCCAACATGTACTGTTATGACATTCTGTGGCTGTGGCTACATCAAGGAACCAGAATTTGAAGTCCTCTTAACTAAACCTCTAGGTAGACAGAAGATTTGATGTGACATTGTAGATAATAATGACCTCCAGATCAAAGCAGATGGACATAAGAACTAGTATGCAGAGCCAGGACCTCAACAACTTCGCCAAGTGTAAAGACAGCATCTGGCACCCAGATGATACTCAAGTCATTTTGTTTAGAGATTCCCCGAGAGAACATGATAAAGACAAAAATGGGCAATCCAAACGGGTAACGTGGTGTATTTGTTTACTAGGGCTGCTGTAACAAAGTACCACAAACCAGGTAATTTAAAACAGAAGTGTATTTTTGCACAGTCTGGAGGCTAGAAGTTCAAAATCAAATTGTTGAGAGTACCCCGCTCCCTCTGAGACCCTGGGTAGCATCCTTCCTTGCCTCCTCCTAGTTTCTGGTTGGGGCCATCAGTATGTGGTGTTGCTTAGTTTTCCTGTGTCATCACACAGAGTTCTCCATGTGTGTTCCTCTCTGTGTCTTTTTTCTTCTTTGAAGGGTATACATTAGATTGAATTAAGGACACACCCAACTGCAGTATGACCTAATCTTAACTTATATCTTATGTCTGCAAAGACCCCATTTCCAGATAAGATCATATTCTCAGATACCAGGGATTACAGGGACTAGGATTTCAACATACCTTTTTGGGGAACACAGTTCAATCTATAAGTGGTGTCACAGAAAGAGCACAGGGCTCAAAGCTGTGCTAAAGGTACCTCTCGGGGGTCAGATGTGTTATTTGTGAACTCAGGGATTATCTGAGCTTCTCTTGATTCTAAAAATGAAATACGCTGCAAGACAAAAACTGAAGTAACTAATTGAAACTGTGTATTCAAATCAAAACTGCAGTTTGAGGAACGAGGGATTACATAACTAATAACCTAAGCCCTTGCTGACCCTGGCTACATTAGGAAGCATTGCTTATGAAAGAATGCACTCTGTTTGAACAATTTCTTCAGTCGGGCAGAGGATAGCTTTTCTTGTGTAACTGGCGTTTCCCACCCCTCTTAAAATGTGTTTTGATAAATATATTTGGAAGAAACAACACAAAGGATAAGAGCATGGAAATTTTAGTTTTCTCTCTAAATCTCACTGTCCTATCCAATGGTTTGACTTCTGAGTACCAAAGCATACTATTATTTAATAATCATCCCCGTAGGTTAATTGTAAAATAAAGTTCACCACCAATTTACCATCTCTACCGACTTTCCACCTCCCTTACCTCTCATCCCAGGTTGCAGTAATATAATTTTTTGAGGTTCTCCCTGTAATGCAATGAGGCATGGATCATACTTACAGTTGATTCTGTTCTCAAAATATATCACAATTTAGGGCAGTCTTGCCTGGTTGATATCTAGCCAATTACTCTCATATGTATATAGTATCTCATTTTTACATGTTTATACAACTTGATTGTAGATGTGAATACTAGGTTTTCATCTTCGATTGGCCCAAGACAACCTAAATGTTGACACCTGCTTTGTATCCATAGGAAGAATACAACAGTTTGGTAGGCCCTTTAACGGTGGTTCAAACTGGGGGGATAGTATGAGAAGAGAGGTACAGGCTGAAGACCATAGAGTATATCTGGAGGAAACTGATTTATTTCATTAATTATTAACCTCATCATTTCAGACAGCTATAACAAAGAACCTTAGACTGGGTAATTTATAAATAATGGAAATGTATTGCTGACTGTTCTGAAGGCTGGGGAGTCCAAGGTCGAGACACCATCAGATTCGGTATCTGGTGAGGACTTGCTCTCTGCTTCAAAGATGGTACCTTCTTTCTGCATGCTCACAGGGTAGAAAGGGCAAGGGAGCTCCAAGGAGCCTCTTATAAGTGCAGTAATTCTATTAACAAAGGTGGAGTACTTGTGACTTTATCACTTCCCAAAGGCACCACTTCTTAATACTATCACATTGGGTATTAGGGTTTCCAACATATGAATTTGGGGGAGACACAGACCTTCAGACCATAGCAATTATTTATTCCCAAATAAGCCTGAAGAAGGAATGCTTGGCCCAGGTTATGAAAGGGCTTTGCCTCCAAGGCTTACCATTTTGGAATTTATTCTGTAGGCAGCAAGGAACAATTGTAGGTTTTGGGTAAGGTGGTGGGCCTGAGCAGGTGTTTTAGTAAGCAGTCCCATTAGCAGCACAGAAGATGGACTGGCGAGGGAGAATCTGCAGTTTCAGAGCCCATCAGGAAAGTCATGGCAAGAGTGGCAGTGAAGGGTAATGACAAGCCTGCATCAAGGTAGTGGTGGCAGGAGAGCCATGGAAGGTGTAGCTATAGGAGACTGTACAGACACAGAACCAATTTGTCATTGGCATAAAAATGCGATTGCTAGTTCTAGCAAATGGGGGAATGATGTGGCCCCACACAAGTGTGAGGAGGATTGTGTTTCTATTTTGGGTGTGTTGAGTGTGAGGTGACCTCAGGACAGCCCAGCGAAGATGTTCTCTGGGAAGCATGAGGTCACTATCTCTGCTCTGGCGTGTTTGTAAAGGAGACTCTCAAGGGCACACACTGCAGCGCTGTGTCCTTTGCAGAATTCAGATATCCTGCCCTGTGGTTACTGAACACACAGTGGTCACTCAGTACATCCAAGTGAAGATCTTTACATATCACTCTTCGTGGAACACTCAACGTCATTAGCAGCCCCACCTATCTATTCGGCCGTAGATGCAGGAGACCTGTAGTTCTAACATTCTTAATGCAGCAACTTCTAATCAGAACACTCATCTAAAATCAGCTTTTTACTGAGGAGTGAAAAGGGATACAGGAATAGCCTGAAGTCATGTGTTCCATATAACTAAGAAATGGGTATAGATTTCAGGAGCCTGAACTCTCAAATGCCTACTTTTATCAGGCGACTTATTTTTTTTCCTTTGCTAGTTGATTTATTAACATTATGCATTACAGAAGTTTCAAGGGCCCCATCTGAGAAGAATAACCAGAAAAGGCCTTTTTTATCCATAAAACAGGGGTGGGGGGAGAAGCATTGGTACGATGCCAAAAGCAATCATGCGTTTGAGATATGCCCTTGGTTGGTATGCCCATAAAAATAATTTACGGGGGAAAGTTGACATGGAGCCACTTTGTGCCCTTACAACTAGAAGTTTCAACTTCTGACTTCGGTAGAGAGAGACAGAAATGTGAATAGGGCAGAGGTAAAGAAACAACATGCCACGCAGACATGTGGCTGTGCAGTGCCTAACCAGTCATCTAACCCCATATGAGAAGGGCAGCTCGTTTGCCTTTCCACAGCCTCAGGCAGGATGGAGAAGAGGAAGGCATTCTGCACCTAAAGCTAGGACCCACGGGTTCTAATTTTGACTGTGTCCCTAAATGGAAGTTCTGCTACTAACCTTGGGTAAATTACTTCACCCTCTGCGTGGCAGCAGTTTGGCCTGTAATTTTTTCTCCTTCACGCATTGCCTTCTCTATTGATTCTCTACTCTTGCAGTCTCCTTTAAACAATCACATGAAATGAATAAAATACCTATATATTTTTGGATGATGCGCACTTCCTACTGAAAGAAGCTCCTCTTCATGTAGCTGACAATGAAGATTACAAGGGTAGAGCCTGGCTTACTTGTGTCAAGACGATATGAGTTAACTGAAGGTCACTTTGAGCACACTTTATTTACCATGCCTCCCAGGCACTGCTGATAAGAAAAAGACAAAAGGACAAAGACAAAATTAACTTTTAATTTCCCATCCAACCTACAACTGACAGAAACAGAGAGATGGGTAGAATTCTTCTAACATACAATGGAGAATTATATATTAAACATCTTATCTGATTTAACTTATCAGAGAAAACCAAGCATGCAACTATTTAAATCTATATTTATAGGGTAAGGTCCCTCGCTGTGTGCACTGATAAATTTTAGTGACATATTTTCTTATCTTGTATCAGTCCAAAAATCTTTCAGCCCTAAATTAGATGAATAAATAAACAAATCAGATATATTAATTTTCTCTTTGGAATAGTTTTCTTTCCAAGCAATCACTAAAGTTATTTACATGATGATATAAGACAGTACTTAACATAATGAGTAACAATCTTCTCTCCCTCTAAGGTGCCAGCCACAAAACCTTCTTCAGTAATTTATTTTTGCAATTCGGTAGCATCACCAGGAATACTAGTAAAGAAGCTGGTATTTTGTATCTGATTTATTTTATGAAACCAAATCAATAATTAGAGTTGGAAAAGCATTAGCCATACAAGCCACCTAATAATATGAGAATGATGTATGTTAATTGCAGACAATGAATTGATTTCACTGAACGTCGACCCATGAATGAGCTGTGAAGCATAAGGTCAGATGACCAGCACTTTCAAATAATAGATTGAAAACAGTTTTTGAGTATAAGCTTTCCTTACATACACTTTCATCTTTGTGTAGCATATCCTAATTCCAGCCATTTTACAATGAAAAGCAAGGCACATCCTTAGCTTCGGGAAAGTCAAATTCAGTAATGAAGTTTTAAAAGATATGCAAATTAATTGTTACTTTATTGCTTTACAAGTTCATTCTTTTTGTTACCAAAGTAAAAGTTATCCTATCGCATTTCAGTTTACTCTGATTTCTATAATAATGACTGATTACTTAAAAGTCTATCTATTATATAAAACATGTTTTACCTCTGATACATATTTTTCAACATGCAGGATTCCTATTTAAAAGTGATGTAGTATTCAGGAAAAATGTACAGTACTGACTTTAGATTTGACAAGCTCAGAAACTGGCAGGAAAGTAAGCATCCCTCCAAAATGACAATACTTGTAAGCTATGTAATCATTCTGCTTTATCTTAACACAGTTTAGGAATCCACGAAGAAACAGAAACTCCAGAAGAAAATAATCTTGACCTCTAAAGCACATGCAATACATATTGCATATATAATCTGAATATTCAGAGTTTCAGTATCCAAACTTTTCCTTTCTACAGGGAATGTTAAATGTTCTAAGTTCTATGCTTAGTCTTAAACAGTAAAATGAGGTAATATTAAAGATGAATAGAGAAATATGGAAGGAATTAGAAGTATTTTTAGTCAAGTTATTAAAAGGGTATCTGGCTTTCTGAGGCATGGAATTAAAAAATAACTTTTTTTTTTTTTTTGAGACGGAGTCTCGCTCTGTCGCCCAGGCTGGAGTGCAGTGGGGTGATCTCGGCTCACTGCAAGCTCCGCCTCCTGGGTTCACGCCATTCTCCTGCCTCAGCCTCCTGAGTAGCTGGGACTACAGGCGCCCGCCACCACGCCTGGCTAATTTTTAAATATTTTTAGTAGAGACGGGGTTTCACTGTGTTAGCCAGGATGGTCTCGATCTCCTGACCTTGTGATCCGCCCACCTCGGCCTCCCAAAGTGCTGGGATTACAGGCGTGAGCCACCATGCCTGGCAAAAAATAACTTTTTAAAATTGTATTAGTTCCAAGAGTCCATTGCAAAAAAATAACAGATAAGGAAAAAGAATAAAATAAATGCCATCCATAACTCAAAAATTACTGATATACATACTGTCTCTTATGGATTTAATTGTATCTCTCCCAAAATTCAAATATTGACGTCCTAATCCCCCATACCTCAGAATGTGACCTTATTTGGAGATAGGGTCTTTACAGAGATAGTCAAGTTAAAGTGAAGTTTTTACAGTTGGCCCTAATCCAGTATGGCTGAAATCCTTATTAAAAAAAAGCGAGGGGGAGGAATTTGGACATAGATACCCAGAGAGGGAAGAAAATGAGAAGATGTAGGGAGAAGATAGCCGTCTGCAAGCAAGGAGAGAGGCCTGGAACGGGATCGTTGCTCACAGTCCTCAGAGGAATCCAGCCTGCTACATCTTGATTTTGGACTCTTAGCTTCCAGAATTTTGAAATAATAAATTTATGTTATTTAAGCCACCGAGACTAGGGTACTGTTATGGCAGCCCTAGCAAACTAATATGCCCTCCATCTTTTTCCTAAGTTCACATGCATATATATACATAGACATACACACATAATTGGTATCATAATTTATATACTATTTTGTAACTTTTTTTACTTTACATATGGAAATATCTCCCCATGTTTTAAAATATGCTAATAATAATAATAAAGTTAACACTGATTGAGCACTTATTAGGTACCAGGCACTGTTCTAAGTACTTTATGTCTACTATTTTAATCTTTGTGAATTTTAAAAGAACAGTATTTTTAATAGCTATATAGTATTCCATTTTATGGACATATAATACATGTGATGTGTATTCTATTATCAAATATTCAGGTTTCTTTCTTTTTTTTCTGTTTAATAAGCATCTCTGCCATGAACACCTTTGTATCATAACCTAGGCACATACATATTACCTTCTTGGGATGAGGATCTGTGGATGTATAAAATTTAAATGGAATACGGTAAAATATATATATATTTATAACATGTATTATTTACATATATTATATAATATCTTCATATATGTAATATGTACATACTTATATTTAGAGAGTGAGGGAGAAAAATTACCTTCCAGGATGGTAATTTTAAAACTACCAAGTTTTACTCCCATCAGCAATGAACAGAAGTGCCTATTTTCCTTTACCCTCTTATTTTTTAAAGCCCAGTCAATTTGTAGGCAAATGATGACAACTTATTGTCTTTGACTCCTAATAAACTTGCACTTTGAAACTGCATCCTTTATTTCTTCCTGCTGTATTTTTCGTGAGTGTCTTGTTTCTTTGTTGACTTTCAATCTGAGGTCATAGTGAAAGCTTTTCTTCCCTGGATTGTTGTTATGACTTTCCAATCTCCCAACGTCCCTCCTGGTTTAAGAATTACCACCAGCTATTCCTCATTTGGTCACTTATAATCTAGAATGCCTCTTATCTGTCTTAGAATCATATTTCTGACAATCTCAATCAAGCCAAACAAAAGTACAAACCAGAATATAAGAGTCTGTAAGAATGAAGGAAAAATGCAATCATGAAGTCCATGCACACGGCTTCAAAAGAGACCCTTATCGCACAGTTTCTTTATGCAAATTTTAGCTACAGCAGATAGTAGAAGAATCAGACAGAGAAAAAAAATGGTGGCTCTTCAAAGTCAATTTACAATAAATAAAACCCTCTTCCTTCTTGCCTGAAATTTTCCCTCTGCACTGACTCCTTCATCTTTCTCACGCCCTTCTCCAGGATTCAAGTGTTACTATAGAGAAGACTTAAATCAGTGGTTTTCTGCTGTGGCCTTACTCAATTTTCTCCCTATTTCCTAGGTGGTGACTTTTTCATAGGCTAATATTTCACTTTACATAAATCTCCCATATGACACTTGTGTAATATCTCTTAATTATTTGTTCATATATCTGTTTCCCAGACTAGTCTGTGAATGCCTCTAAGTCATCCTGACATTTGTCTTTGTAGTTTCAGTGCTTGGTTCCAGACAAAGCCTGCCATACAGTAACCGCATGACTGTTGATGTCGCTCTCCTGAGGGCATATTTGAATTGAGGGCAGAACAAAATATTTACTCTTATATCTAAGGCTAAATCTTATGAAATTTTGTTGATGTGCATAATTAACCATTTGAAAGGAAACAAATGAACCAGCTTAAGCACGACAGAATGACACATGCATCTGCTTGGATCCCTGATGGGTCTATGCATGTATGCAAAATGACAATTACAAATATCACAAGTCACTATACCTCTGCGGTCTCAGATTCTTGTTTTTGTTTCCTTTCTAATCTGTGAAAATAGAGGGCTGTGACATGGTCTCCAAGGCACTTTTCAGTCCTAAAATCCTGTGATTCGGATTCAACTTATGCAAGGCTGGATGTAAAGCGCCTCCCCTGCTATTCTGAGGGCAGGTTGAGCCTGGTGCTGCTTGTGTCACTGTCTTGGAGTCTCAGAGATAGCATGCTGTTTACAGACAACAGTGCTACCCTGCCTCACATAGCTGATCCTATCACACATGGTTATTTCCAGCTGTCTTCAGGAGCAGACAGCTGCTGTGTCCAAATTTGCCTGCTTCACCACTGGAGAGTGTAGCAAGCAGTCGCACTCCTTGTAGGGCACTTACACTGCTCACCAAATGCTTGAGAGAACGTGACCTTACAGGGACAGATAGCTGCACTTAAGGGCTAACTTGGAACTAAGGCTGTTTCATATTTTCATCAGGTTTGCAAATTTGTTCAGTAGCCAGCTGGGGCCAGAGTTGGGGGAGAGGGTCGACAATTAGTAAAACATTCAATAAGAACAAATGAGCCTAAGGAAGTTAAGAAAAGAGCAAAAATTTATAATCTGCTAATAATACTGTTTTTTTTGTAGTATGTAAGCTTAGAGGTATTGTTTCTTTCTGTTTGTTTGTAAGTATGTAGATATTGTATGGAGCGATGGTTCAAAATGATGATATTACAAGCAGCTGTAAATACCCAAAAATTTGAGAAGTGGGTAAATCAGTGTCCACCTAGTCAGCACAGTGCTGGAGAGACACTTTTGTGACTTGGGTGTTCTTAATGTTAAAACTTGGGCAGAAGGTTAAAAACTTAAAAATGGTTAGGAAAGAGTGATAGTGATATTTGAAAATGGCAAATAAAATAATAAATAATAAAATAAAAAAATTACTAATCATATTTTCAAAATAATTTTCACTTACCAAGAAGCTCCAGTGCATATATTCACTTAATCTAGTGCTGTTTATATTTTTAAAAAGTCCAAGTTGACAATTTTGGAGATGGAACTGAGACCTTTATTTCGTCCTTAGCAAGGCTATGTGACACATATTTGAAGGCCTGTCACTTGTACCCCAAACAGATACTGACTTTCTGGGATGAAAGGGAGCCTAGAGTCCACTTCTTCCCTCACTCAGCCTTCCTGAACAGCTTCTATTTTGTGCCCCACTACAGTAGATTCTTTTGCAGAGAGTGGAAGATCAGAACAGAGATGACCTCATTTCCAACAGGATACCAACAGCTCCCCACGAAGGCCAGATTTCCCCAATTTAAATTGAATTCAGAGGAATAACACACACAAGTCTAAATCATATAGTCTCTTTTACCTGGTTTCTCCTTGAAAAAAGAATTTGAAGGACTGATTTTGATGTTAGCTTCTTGCAGTTGCTCCAAGGCACCAAAGGATTTCTTTACTCAGATTCTAGCAATGCAACAATTTCATTTACATAAATTATTTTAAATGGCTCTTTTGATGTGTGAAGAATCATATTTGGCCTGGCAAATGGCTACCAGGGCCCCAAAGAGGAGTCTTCAATAGAGAAGTCATCCGCTGCTTACCTTTCTAAGAAGGAAAAGATTTACTTTGGGTAAAATACAGATGCCATTATTAAATAAAGACTGACAACAAAATAAAACCCAAGTCTTTGGCAGTTTCTCTAAAGTTTTATTAGAGAAACTTGAGTAGCATTGAATTTTCATAATAAGGTCCAGGAAGAATAAGGATATTTGTGTATCTCCATTGAAACAAATTCCTTTTTTTCATGTGCTTGGGCAATACTTAAATGTAAAAGGTCATAGATAAACGGGAAACTTACATGTTACAAAGAAACCAAATCCTGGGTTTTCAATAAGCACTTATAATAGACACGTAACCTAATGAAGGAGTCTTACTTGGTTATAAATGATTGCAGCAAATTTTGTAATAACCACCACAACATCACTTTAGTATGCCTGCCAAGTACAATGAAGCATCTATCAAATATAATTCCAGCCTGTAGTTGTTGGGGAGATGTTATTTTTAGAGAGTCTTGAGAAATTTATTTTCTCCAGATGTTAGTTTTCTAGCATTCTGAGAAGACTTTGACTTAAGTCACTTGGTAAGGGAAATTACTACAATCAAAGAGACTCCACAGTGCCATGCTGCCCTCCAGTTTTTAAAAATCTCTGTCTCAGCACTAGTCACTAGGGCAGAATGCATCTCTTGAACCAATTTTATCACCTGAAAAGCAAAAGTATTTCTGTCCCTGAACATTGACGTCAACTCAAACCTTATCTGGATTCCCCACAGCAAAATGTATAAATAATAATTAACAATTACGAAGTGCCAGAAACTGTGCTAAGTGCATAATATGTCTAATCCTCAAAAGGCCCCCATCATATGGGTGATAACATTTTCCCCCATTTTACAGCTGGGAAAACTGAAACATAAGGTGTTAACATAAGGATCCCAACCCAGGTAACCGGTTTCAGAGCTAGAATTTCTAACCACTACATTATTCAGCCTCATCTGGGCTCATTAACACAATTAGCAAAAGCTATAAAGAGTCAAGGTTCTATGTGTGTGCGTGGTTGAGGGCAGGGAGGGACATACTGAATATTAAAGATTCTATTTAAGGTCATTTTTGCATAGGAAATAGGCTGTCCCTTTACTACCTTATAACTCACATCCTGAAGTTGAAAATCCAGGTATCATATTTTAACTGTCTTAAAGACACTTAAGTCCAGTTTCACCTGGGAAAACTAAAAACTAGAACTGTATTTGAAATAAATATGTAAGGTAAGCACAGCTTGAAACTTTAAAGGACAATCAGTTTTCTTTAATTTTTTTGGAAACTTTCAAGCTTACAGAAACACGGTGAGAATAGTATACGAAATAACCATTGAACTTTCACCTAGGTTTTTTTTTTGCTGACATTTTGCCGCATTCGATTTATATATATTTTATTTTGCTCAAGTATTTGAAAGTGAATCACAGATATCATGACATATAACCCTAAATATTTAAGTATGCATCACTGTAAAGTAATAACTATTTCCCACAATTTGCCATAATAGCAATATTATTGTTGTCACATCTAAGAAAATCATAATTCCTTAGTACCATATCATAGGCAAGTCATATTTAAGTTCTCCCTTGTACAGAACATGTATTTTATAATTGTTTTGTTCAAGCTAGGGTCAAAACAAGATCTACTCATTGCTTTTGCTAGTTATCTCAAGTCTCTTTTTCTAATTTCTTTTTGAAGTTGCTTCACTGGACACTACAAGTTCCTTCTTAAATATTCCTTAAAATAAGTGATTTTTAAAATTTAAAAACAAAGATTGGTAATTGGAGTTGATATCTTTTTTAGGGAAATTAAAACAAATAAAAATAACCAGTTGTCTTTTTATTATCTTTTAGATATCCTTTTCAAGTTGTCTAGTACAATGACTTTTACCTGCCTCTTACCATAGTCTCATCTTTTCCAGCCTATGTGTCAGATGAAAACCAATGAAAAAAATAAAACCTTAGAAATTCAGGGCTGAATGATCAAAGATGTTGGAGATCAACTGGCATAACCACCTCCCTTAATACATTAGAAAACCAAGTTCCAAAGAGGTTAAATAAATTGTCCTGGGTCACAACTATATATCAGCAGAAAATGGAGCCAGCACAAATGTCCAGTCCTTTTTCCAGTAATATCACAGTAGAAGAAGATCATATTGCATGGCCCCTGTCTTTCTAAAAGATTGCAGAACAAATGACTTTTCAGATCCTATGCTCTGGCACAAAAGTCAATAAAGCTATTCCTGACATTCCAATTTACATCTGTGACAGCACTTTTTATCAAGCTAGTCTGCAGGTGAACTCTCCAAACCCAGTCCAAACCTATGGACATGAGGTCAAAGGTTTGTTGTGAGTCTTTTGTGCTCTCCCGCATGCCTGATAAAGGCCACATACAAACTGGATGGACTATGTCTCTCAGTGGAACCTCATAAACTCAGCCAGTAGCAGTTTAAAGGAGACCCAATGCAATGCCCTCTTCCAAAACTGGTTTTAAATATAGCTTTTCTCTTGCCACTGGGGGAATATTTCTCCTCTTTCTACGTGGTTGTGGTGAGAGTGCCAATCATGACTTGTCTCTACCCAATAGGGAAACATTGTGTGGCTTGATTAATCGTGGAATACCCTTCTCTAATTCACATGGTTTACAGAGCACATGCACAACCCTAGCAGTGACAATTAGACAATTGCACTCATGCAATTCCATATATTGGAACTGGGAGTAAAACTGTTCTCTCTTTCTTTTGGATCATGTTCTGTAGGGTATGAGCTTTGACAACCTTTCCTGCCAATGCACCTGGTGAGAAGCTTCAGTCAATTCTTAAAAAGAAACAAAGTCATGTGGATCTAAGACATAGAAAGAGTGAGCCCTGACAAGAACGCTTAGACTTGGAATTCTCGGTTAGTTAATTGAACTAAAAAATCCACTTTTTTTTTTTTTTTTTTTGGAACATAGGGTCTTGCTCTGCTGCCCAGGCTGGAGTGCAGTGTTGTGATCAATCATAGCTCACTGCAGTCTCAACCACCCAGGCTGAAGCTATCCTCCTGCCTCAGCCTCCCAAGTAGTTGGGACTATAGGCACAAACCACTACACCCAGCTAATTTTTAAAATTTTTTAAAGACAGGGTCTCACTATGCTGGCAAGGCTGGTTGCAAACTCCTGGGCTCAAGTGATTCTCCTGCCTTGGCCTCTCCAAGTTCTGGCATTACAAGCATGAGCCACCACACTTGGCTACTTTTTTGTTTGTTTGCTTTGCTTTGCTTTTGCTGGATTTCTGTAATTTACATCCAAAAACATTCAAATGAGTACAAAGTTCTACTTTGTAGAGAACCGTCATCCTAAGGTTTTAAGACATCTAAAGCTAATGGTTTGTACTTTGTCACAGCTATTTATAATTTTTTTATTTTTATTTTGGAGATAGAGTCTCACTCTGCGGCCCAGGCTGGAGTGCAGTGGTTCAGTCTTGGCTCACTGCAACCTCTGCCTCCCCGGTTCAAGCAATTCTCATGCCTCAGCTTCCCGAGTAGCTGGGACTACAGGCGCACACCACATGCCTGGCTAATTTTTGTATTTTTAGTAGAGATGGGGTTTCCTCCCTGCTGGCCAGGCTGGTCTCAAACTCCTGGCCTCAAGCAATCTGCCCTCACCTTCCCAAAGTGCTGGGATTATAGGAGTGAGCCACTGCTCCCAGCAGCTACTGTTTATAATTTTGAAAGCAGAAGCTACATATGTCCAGGGATGCTGTACCCAACAGTAACCAATCAGAAATGAAGATGTGTTTTTCTTTTCTTTAGGGAAAAAAATGCCCAGGAGTTCATGACTTAGGCCAGGATGAAAAATCACTTTGGAGTCACAGAGAGTAGCCTGATTTAGAAAGGTAGAGACAATGGAACCATGGAATTACTTGGGAACCTTCCTGAAAAGGATATAGCACCTTGACTAAATCACTGAGGATTGCGTCCCTGAGAAAGGTGAGCAAAAGGTAAATGTGAGAGATGTGGGTAAAGGCAGCAAGATCAGTTACTTCTCCCTTAGGTAGCTCACTGAGGAGGAAAAACCACGGGGGTCCAGGACCTTACTCCGGTCCCTTACTAGTAGCTTGCAGTTTAGAATGGACTGTTTGTGTATAACAGCAATTGCTAGGACTTCAAACATGGACAGCCTTTGGCCAACCTTAGAACTGAAGAAGTGAGATAACTGCAGCATTCTGGGCCAGTCATCACTGTTCCAACTGTGTAGGACTAATCTTTGAGAGGCATCAGCTGCAGCAGAGCACTGTTTTGCCTCTATATCCTTCCACTTTCTGGTAGCCAGAATTGGCCTACTTTGGACTGGATGAGCCTGCAGAGGGTAGGGAATCGATGAGTAAGGGAAAGACAGGGAACCTGAAGAAAAAAATACTAGACTTCCAGTTACGAAGACATGTAAGTCTTTGCTATAGTTTGGACGTGTCCCCTAAAAAGCACGGGCTGGAAACTTAATCCTCAGTGCAACACTATTGGGAGGCAGGGCCTAATCACAGGTGTTTAGGTCATGAGGGCTCTACCCTCATGAATGGATTCATGTCAATTATAAGAAAGCTTCAGGCTGTGAGTTCAATCTCCTGCTCCCCTTCACCCACGTGATGCCCTCCTCCCTCACCAGATTCCAACCCCTCCATCATGGACTTTCCAAACTCCAGAACTGTGAGGAAAAAACTATTTGCTTTGTAAATTACACTGTCTCTGATATTCTGTTACAGCAGTGCAACATGCACCAAGATAGTCCCACAGCGGTTAACTGAAAATGAAAAAAAGTTACTGACTGCTTTTGTACCAGGATTTGTGGAGCACTTTATAGAACATATAATTTCATTTACTATTTGGGCATTCAAAGAAATCTTAAATCATATTCTCTCATATTTCATTTGTTAACTGTGAGGTCTTCAAAAGTATATGGCCTCAATTGAGGACACCATGGGGCTCTCTTTTGCCCAATTCTGGGCAGACTTTTTGTAACATATTTAATGCAGGTTTTTGTATGCACATACTGTACACCTCCAAGGGAGGCAATATAGTTTGTTAACCAGAACTGGAAAATGATTAATTATTTGTTCTCACCCATAGGTGGTAGACATCTGTGGGTATCTCTATACATAAGGAAGACAGCATACTGCCCCTATGTTCCCATCTCAATTAGTTAATTTTACTTAGAAACAAAGTTGTGGACTTGTCTTAAAAATTGCTTTACATTGGCCGGGCGCGGTGGCTCATGCCTGTAATCCCAGCACTTTGGGAGGCTGAGGCGGGTGGATCACGAGGTCAGGAGATGGAGACCATCCTGGCTAACACGGTGAAACCCCGTCTCTACAAAAAACTAGCAGGGCATGGTGGCGGGCGCCTGTAGTCCCAGCTGCTGGGGAGGCTGAGGCAGGAGAATGGCGTGAACCTGGGAGGCGGAGCTTGCAGTGAGCCGAGGTTGTGCCACTGCACTCCAGCCTGGGCAACTAAGCAAGACTCTGTCTCAAAAAATTAAATTAAATTAAATTAAATTAAATTAAATTAAATTAAATTAAATTAAAAAACAAAAAAATTGCTTTACATTTTGCTCTTCTAGTTTTATCTAAGTCACTGCCCCATAGCCTGTGTCCCTTGTAATTTATTAGGTGTCTTTCACAATTTGTAACAAACCCCTATTTTCTAGTCGTATCCCTTTTGTTATTCCACCTACTAGAAATGTGTATTAGTCAGCTCCAGTCAGCTCAATCTTCTTCCTTCAGCCATCACTGTCAGGCTCCCAAACAGATTTCTTCTGTCGCCCAACAGGATCTTGCTTCACCTTCTAGTCTGAATGTTCTGGTAACTTTTTTGTTTGTTTGTTTCAACATAGGCAATTAATCATGCACATTTATGACCTGCAATCTCCAAGAAGGCTTCAGGATGTACCCAGTGGGAGAATTCATGGACTAGTAGGCAAAATGCCAGCTCAGACAGGAATACTTGATACTCTGGTATTTCTGGCTCTAGTAAATATTGCCCAAATCACCATAAAAAAAAGACATTTAAGTGCACTGATTTCGGGGGAGGGTAGACTGCAAAAGAGATCATTTTAGGGCTCTGTCACTTTCTCCCTCGCCTGTCCTCCCCTCAAATATCTTTGTTCTTTTAAATCCTATCCCGTCCTTATTCCTTTTCCCTTTACTATTTTCTACAACCTAAAAGTTGGCTCAGCCTAGAAATAGTACCGGGTAGAAAAATCTTAATAGGGTATATGGTCATGGGTAAAGAGATGGTTGCAAAATATATTGTTGGAATGAGTTGGGGATAGGAGCTGAAATCGGGGAGAAGTCCCATTACTCTGGTAACAAAAAACATATAAAGAGTGAGAGAAGGAAAATCAAATCACCATTTATTACAAATACATCTTCAAACTTGGTTCAATAGTTGTCTCTAAAGCCACTATGTTACAAGATTTTGTTAATGATTTTAGTTTTTTCTAAGTTAAACAAGTAATGCTTGTTCCTTGTAAAAAAAATCAAATAATACAGAAGTCTAAAAAAAATGTAAAACCTCCAAAACCTGATTCCCTGGAAGGAAAAATTGATTACAACTCGGTACTTTTTTGGACTTGCAAATTTTTACATACATGTATTTTTTCAACGTATAATACAAAATATATAAAGGGCCCCTTCTTTTAAAAAGAATTACTTTATTCTTTTGTATGAATAAGATAAAAATAAACATACTCTCAGCATACACTTTACTCTTACTCATGAACATCGTAATTGTTCATATTTGAGGTATATAAATTTGACATTTAATAGGCAACTCTCTACAAATTATTATTTATGAGTCAAAATTTAGTTTATTCAAAAAACGGTGACTAAAAAGCATGATATCTGTTCTTATGCAGCTTAAATTCTATTTGGAAAATAAAGCCACGCCAAAGAAATATTAAAACAAAAATATCAGGAATAAATGCTAATAAAATAATGAAAATATCATAACGTGAAAGAGTGACTGTGTATCTACTTTACATTTTTATGGTATCTCTTTTAAGTCTTATCCACCAAGAAAAAAACTAAAGTATGAGTTTTATACTGTAGTTTTGTACAATTAAATTCTCAAGATTCAAAAATACCTTCCAAATGCTAGCAATTAGGCGTATAAACTCTCGTAGGCTTTGTGCAATGGTATCCTGTAAGGCCAGCTCTTTCTAAGTCAATCACTATGGGTCTGATTGACCTTGGCAGTATTACAGGGTCATATTTTTACATGGCTGAGCTGTTCTTGAACAATTTCTACAATGTACTAGGTACAAATAGTCTTTTCTTCAGCACAAGGCATGCGTGTCTTATCTTCTCACCCATTCTTCTCCTCACTGCCACTCCACCCCACCTTTTCTTTCATTACTTTTATGAAAGAAAAACTATTGTAGGACATGTAAAGAAAACTCGTCCCCACGGGCTTTTTTTCTTTCAGCCTGCCCTTTCTTCATGCTATGTTATAGTTGAAATACTGCACTTGTGGACTCCTGGTTTATTCTTAAGATGGATTTTATTTGTGAGTTTATCTGGTTGTTTTGTGGCTCCAATATCGCAAAGAATAACCTCTTTTCATTTTCATCAGAGGAAGGACAAGAGCTGGAAAGGGATGTGGTTCTATCAGCAATTCGCCTAGGAAAAATTTCAATGTTTTTCTAAACTGTTCTACAAAGGAATTGCAATGTCATCACAAAAAAAGACTGAGATTACAGTTCTTAACTATCAAATATCTCCAATAAAATATAATTTTTAAATAAAGAAATAAGACCCATTTCCATGAAGGCAATCTTTTATTTCCTTTATGCTTCAACCCAGCATAGTGTGGGGCGGAGGGGAGAGGAGAAAATATTAAACTAGAAACCAAGGTTGTCAGGCAGGATCAAAGCAGCATCCCCGGTGGCATGTTCAAATAGGTGATTGAGAGTTTAAAGAAAAGGTAATTGACAAAAGTGTGGACAGGCTAAAATGAAGCCAACAAGGAACAGTAAAATATTGAGGGGGCCAGTTTTGCCACTCAACTGGCTGCAATGGCAAAAGAAAGTTGGGCAGCTACGGAGGCTGATGTAGAAAAGGGCGCCGATGGGAGCTGCAAACTTCACCGAAGTACCCAGCCAGCTCACACGCAGCTCGGTAGAGCGAGTTGGGGAAGTAAACATCCCAGCTTCACTCTTCTTGAAGTCTGCATCTCCTGATGGTGCCTCCCATTGGTGGAACTCAACTGGAAACCTGAGGACAAATGAGCTTGTGGGTGCAGCTCATCCAGGTCAACCTCTCAGGGCAGAGAGCTGTGGGGAGAGGAATAGAGAAAATGTGCAGGGCAAAGAAGGTAACCGGCCCATCAGATGCTGCTGCACATGAAATCTCAAGGTCCTTGGGCCTTTCTTTCCTCTCTAGGCAAGGTAGAGGCCAACGGTCATCCCAATTGCCAATATTCTGTAGATTTTTCCTTTATTCTGTATGGCTTATTTGAAGAGGAGGAAGTAAAGGGCTGAAAAAAATAGTTGAAAATGACATCAAAATGCTTTTCAAAATTCTCAACATCTTTCTTTCCTTTCTTCTCTGATATATTCCAGGGGTGATTTTTTTTGCCCCATCATTAAAAAAAGGTTTATGGGTAATTAAAATATTTTTAGTAAAACATGAATGTATCACATGGGGGTAATCTAAGTGTGCCAGATTTAAAAATAGTTTAACTTTCATGTAGTATTTCCATAATATCAATATGAATATGAAATGTTTATAGCATTAATTTGCCATTTTCACATTTTTCCTTATTTAGTATGAGTATTTATCAAAATCCCAGAGCATTGACAGCTTTTGTTCTCCACTAAATTGTGAGCTCCCTTAGAGGAGTCCACATGTATTTTTGTGTCTCCTAGAATCTGTGTAATGGGTTTAGACGTGATTTCATAGAGACTAATTTTAGTCTCATTATTGTATGTTAAGCACTATGCTAAGTGCCTTTTAAACAATCATCTACTTCAATCACCAAAACAACCCTACAAGTTTTCAGATGAGAAAATTTAACTTTAGAAAGGTTAAATAACTTGCCCCAGGTCATGCAACACTATCTTACAGCTAGGAGCTAGCCTGGGTCTGGATGACTGCCATGTTTTTTTCATTTCTAATGAATACATGAAACTGCCACTTAGAAGTACATAAGACAAGGAGGAGTGCAACTTTCTACAGTGCCTGGCAAGACTCACTAAAGACATTGAAGGTGGGATTATAATAAGTATCATTATCATTATGCTGAGGAATATGAAAACATTCCTACACTCACGTAGGTAAATTGTGGTAGGGAGTATTAGATAATTACTCAAATGACTATAATGAAGGTAGAATAAAGAAAGGATCATAAGGCAAGTACAAAAATACATGTGAGTGTGGTGGCCCATTGAACAATGAATAGGATTTCAATAGCTAGAAGATGAAAGAATGTCATTCCAGGTGGAGAGAACATTTTGAACAAAGGCAGTGAGGCTGGAACACCCAAGGTGTTTACAGGGATCAACAAGAAATTTAATGATGGGAGCATGAGGAGGTATAGGGAACGAGGAAAGAAAGGACTGGAAAAGTAGGTTGGAGCCTGGTGATTAACCTACTTGATTGTATTATCATCCAGTAAATATTTCCAGAACTTGTTGACAAGAGAGCTCATCAAGTGCTACGATGAAATCTTAAAAACATTTTTATCGAGTGGATTTCTCTGATCTACTAAATTAACAACCTTGGGGAAAAAAAAGAAAATGAACTCAGTATGATGAAGAACCCCCAGTCCTACTCTCTTCCAATGTGTCTTCTACACAAAAGTGGGTGCGAACATTTTAAGATTCAAATCTGATTATGTCACATTTTCCTTTAAGCATTTTATTTGCATTTCATTTCCTAAATTCAACACGCTGACCTCTTCAACCACATCGTTTACCATACCCCATCTTTAAGAGGTTCCGCCTGCACCATGCTTCTCTCTGTTTCCTAGATGTGCTCTTCCATGTGGGCGGAGCACTCCTCCCTCACACCTCCATGCCTGGCTGAGCTGTCTTTCAGGTTCCAACCCAGCTGTTCCTTCTTTTATGAAGTCGTTCCTGCAGCCTCGTTGGTGGACTCCATCCTGCACAGCTCCCATAGGGCCATTTTTTATGTACCTCCATTTGTGCACTTGCCACATTATTTTGTCATGTTAATTTAAATTCCAGAGGCTGTTTTAGGGGGCGGGGGGGAACAGAGTCTCACTCTGTCTCTCAGACTGGAGTACAGTGGCACCATCTAGGCTCACTGCAAGTTCCGCCTCCAGGGGCTTTTAAAACTTGTTTTGACATTCCCACTTCCTGGAGCAAAGTAGGTGCACAGTAGGTGTTTACTGAATTTAAAAAATAAATGAAATAGTGGCATTTTCCTTGTGAGCAGACTTAGCTTGAAAGTCATAGAACCAAGCTCTGTGCTTAGATAGTGAAATGGTTTGGATTTGTGTCCCTGCCCAAATCTCATGTCGATTTGTAATCCCCAGTGTGGAGGTGGGGCCTGGTGGGAGGTGTTTGGATCATGGGAGCAGATTTCCCCTTTGGTACTGTTCTAATGCTAGAGTTCTTCTGAGATGTGGTTGTTTAAAAGTGTGTAGCACCTCCCCACTCCCTCTCTTCCTCCTGCTCCGGGCATGTGAAGATACCTGCATCTGTTTTGCCTTCTGCCATGTGTAAAAGCTCCCTGAGGCCTCCCCAGCCATGCTTCCTGTACAGCCTGTGGAACTGTGAGCCAATTAAAACTCTTTTCTTTATAAACTACACAGTTTCTGGCATTTCTTTATAGCAATGTGAGAACAGACTAATACAGATGGTAAGACTTTCAGCACCTATGACTGATGGGTCATGATGGGATAGCTCATAACTTCTCACCCCCTTCTATCCAATCTCTGAAATGGTTGTCAAGGTAACTTCTGTATTCTTAATCTGTCTAGATGGCTATAGTATGGTCCCATAATTATAGCATTTGTATACTGTTATTTTTACTTTAAATATTTTCAAAGGTGCTTTCTTCTCAGCTTGTAGATTTTTGAGGAATTCTGTTTTTGAAAGGTATGTTATTTCATCTTTATACTTCAGTCTCGTATCCCAACTCATTATGTTGTGAGATTATAGTTCCTGCTCTTTTTCTCCCAAGAATTACTGGAAATCACCCAAACCACTCTTTTTTGGAATCACAAGTGTAGTTTTCTGTTGTAACAAGTTTGCATTTTTTTCATGGCTCCTTCCCACTCATTCCTGTTACCTTCAGAATTCAGTGCAGAACTACTTGGGGGAGGGCTGTATAATCCATCCTAATCAATTTTTATCAAACTGCGTGCTGTACATGCTATTTTAATATATTTATTATTGATACATCTTCGGGTTAAAAAATAATTTGAGAACTAATTTTAAAATTTTATTTAATGATTCTCACTTAAGAATAGCTTGATTCAACTAATTAAGAATTGAGTTGTATATGATTGCTTATTCGAAGATAATTTCCTCAATAGCCAAATCTTATCTCCATCAGATTTTATTCCCAAATATTGTTTTTCTTCCTGGCATTCAACAAGTTAACTTGTTTTTAAACTCACCTTAATGTAGCTCTGAAATAGAGAGGCATGCTGTGGTTCTGGCTCTTCTTATGGACCAAGAAAAGAACAAGTGAAAAGAGATTCCCAAATCCAAATGTTTAAATCTTATTTAGGCAACTAAGTACTTCTTTAAATGAAGTAGACTACCTAAATCAGACAAGCATACCCTGTCATCCAGACCTTATTTTAAATCATTTAAATAATGAAATCTACTAATACTCATATGTGATTGAGATTAGGGTTCTGAAAAATTATGAAAACAAGTTAAAACATGGGGATGATGAGATGATTGTAGAGAACAGACCACTTCAGGGAGGGAGGGGGGTGTAGGAGGAGTATCCTGTGACATGGACAGTTAGTGGCCTCTCTGCTGCATCTGTCTTCTTCTAATGGGATGGTCACCTGAAGGAACGGACAAGAAAGAGGGGGAGAGTCAAAGTCAAATAGTTGAGTTTAGGATATTGGAGCCGGTTGCTGTAACAGCCTGTGAAGTGTTAGGCATCATACAGAGTGACCCATCAGGCACCCTTCTCTTAGGTCACTTGTTTATTCTTATGACCAATTTTATTTGTTTTGAAGAAAGGAAAGGTTAACATCTTAAGGACCTAGTGCTAGAACTCATGACGTGGTAACCAATTCAGAGACATTGTGGGTTCACATTTGACCTTCTATACTTGTTGAAAGTTAATATGAGTGGAGTACTCAAATATTATTCTTTAAACCCAAGCAACCATGAGCTCCTTCTTATCCATATGCATATGTATGCATGTGTCCATTTGTGCCACTATAACAAAACACCAGAGACCAGGTGACTTATAAACAACAGAAATTCATTTCCCTCAGTCCTACAGGATGGAACTCAGGTCAGGGTGCCAGCATGATTGGGTTCTGATGAGGGACTTCTCCAGGTCATAGACTGCCTGCTTCTCCTTGTCCTCTCAACGGTTGGAAAGAGAGCAAAAGAGCTCTCTGGGTTCCTTTTTATAAAGGCACTAATTCCATCATGAGGGCTCCACTTTCATAACCTAGGTACCTCCCAAAGGCCACGCTTCCAGTACCATCACCTTAGGGTTAGGATTTTGACATATAAATTTTGGAAGGACACAAACATTCAATCCATAACAGCATGTGTCTTTGAATGACTATTCCTCCTACCTTTCAAGCTTTCTTATTTGCATGCTGTGTGATTCAGTCATCCTGGTATGGACCTTTCTTATGGTCACCCCATTTTATTTGACATTTTCCTAAGAATATTACAGGCCCTCTAGATACACCATTTTGCCTGATGGTAGGCACTAAAGACTTACCTCATTGAAAGAAAAATGAATCTATTTTTCTGCAGAAAAACCAGAATTAACCAAGAGGATAATTTCCAACAACATTAATGTCAAATTTAGTGAAATAAAATGTCATTATACAACTAAAAATAAGGTAATGCATATACATGGTTATTTTAAATGAAAATATTTATTGAGTATCTCTCTGTGCCAGGCACTGAACATATGCTCCTTAGAGCTCCTCTGATCATGCTGCAAAGCAGATATTATGAATTTAATTTGTAGATGAAGAGCCAGATACTCAGTGAAACCACGTAACTTGTCCCAGATTTCTCAGCTAATTAGTAATTGGCTAAATTCTGGTTGGTTCCCATGTGTGTCATATTTCAAAGATTCTTTTCTGTATCATCCCGATTTACCCACCTTACTGGATCTCTACAGAATAATAATCTCTTCTCTCCTCATACCAGGAGGAAGGTTGATCTGCAACAACCTTGGTTAAAATGGAGGAAGCTTCTTCTCCTCTCAGTAGCGACTCCTATCAAGTAGCACAGATGTCATATAATAACTGCTTGAGATTACTTCCCTCATTTTTTCTCTCCAAGTTGACTCAACGGTGGGAGCATGGGGTGAGTTAGTTCTAGTTCAGCAGCCCCAGGCCAGACAACTTCAGTAGCCTACTGAGTCTTGTTTTTCTCTCCCTATCCATTCATCCATTCATTCATCCACCCATATTTAATCCCAAAATTTTATGTCAGGAACTATGAAATGTGTTAGGAATTCAAAGAAACAGATCTTTCCTTCGAAGAGATAAGAGTCTAGGAAGGGAGGAGATTGTAAATTGATACAAAAACAAGAACATGTCAAAGCGCTAGTAAAGGTGCAAAGGAGGAAGGGATCACCTCTTCTTGATGGGTCTCAGAAGGCTTTACAAAAGAAATGGTTGAGCTTTCTCAGCAGCCACTAAAACAATGAAGAGTCAGGAATTTTCCCCTACCTGGGCCAACTTTGCCCAAAGTATGTTTTACCCACAGAAGTTGTGAACAATTGAGGTATCACCATGCTTCTTTGTCAGTCTATCATGGGACACAGTGTCGATGCATGTCACGTCTCATCTCTACAATACCAGGGAGGATCTTTGTTATGTGGAGGTGTACATCTTCTCGGGATTTATCATCACTCTGGGAGACAATGTTGACTCTTCAAAGTGATCTATAATCTTTTGCGTGACATCCTGCATGTGTGCTTCAAGAACACAGTCATCATGTTTCTGATGATTTTAGATGACTCTCCCACAAACTTGTGATGACATGCCTAAGCTCAAATTAAAATCAGTCTGTAGAATAATGGCCTGCCAGGACGCAGTGGAGACAAGCAAGCATCCTGGTGCTTTTTAAAGCACCAGAGCGGAGAAGAATGTGAATCTAAGTGGAGTGGTTGAAAATAGCTGTATGTTTTGCCATTAGCAGCTGTGGCTGCAAATCAAGGGCAAATCTCATCTAGGCAGTGTAGACAGGCCTCTCCGACATACATCATTCTTATCTGCACATATACATGCCTGGTTGGTGAAAGAATGATTAGTACTGTTTTCAAATACAAAACCCAGTTATATATGTAAGTTTGCAGTGAGTATTTATAAAATGCCTGGAAAAGCCATATACCAAGTTTATTCATTCTTTTGAGTGCTCTGTTATTCACAGGATATATGCTGTCTATGATATAAGAATGGTTTACATTCTCAGAATTGGTGCTTCAAGCATTATGCTAACAGTTCGATGCAACACAACCCCTATGGTCAATGCATAGGACCACAATTCCTATGGTCAATGATCACCTTTTCTCTAATTGATCTTGTTGCATAGAGTCTAAAATAAACCTAACTTTAAAAATTACATTGCACCATACTCAAATTTTAGCATATTTGAGTTGACAGATTTAACGAAACTGTAAAATTTTCATAATATACTTAATTCTGAAACAAATCTGAAATTTGATGTTTCCATACTGTGGAAAACTACTGTGAAAAACATATTTGCCAATTGTTATTGAAACCATTTGCATTAATAGCCTTTCGTTAGTGAAGACGTATATAAAGCGGTGATATTAAGCTTTCTGGTGTTTTTCTCAAGGATCTGGTCATTATCAGAGTTTCCAAAGTAGTTTGAAGTGGGGGTTCCCAACCGTGGCGATGACTGAGAGACACTGTGGGGTAGAAAAGAGTGGAGTTGGCCCCTGTGCCCACTGACTATCTGAGGGCAAGGGTTAAGCCTCTTGCTCACTGCACACCCAACTTCCAGGATGGGGTATGGCACAAAGAAAAGGCTCAGTATACGTTTGTTGAATGAGTATGTGAGCAAATAAGCCAGTTTATAGTCAACCAATCACCAGAGACGTAGTCAGTCTGTTTCTGGGGTCAATATAGAGAAATTGCATAGACCTTGGGGTTGTGATGACCTCTCATCATGAGACAGTTTCGGTTTATTCATCTCTAAACTGAGCACAGTGCATAATGCGATAAACATATAAAAGTGTCAATAACCAGGCAAGAGAAAGACATAAAGCATATTCAAATAGAAAGAGATGAAGTCAAATTATCTCTATTTGCAGATAACATGATTGTATATTTAGAAAACCCCACCATCTCAGCCTCAAATCTCTTTAAGCTGTTAAGCAACTTCAGCAGTCTCAGGACACAAAATCAATGTGCAAAAATCACAAGCATTCCTATATACCAATAACAGACAAACAAAGAGCCAAATCATGAGTGAACTCCCATTCACAATTGCTACAAAGAGAATAAAATACCTAGGAATACAACTTACAAGGGATGTGAAGGACCTCTTCAAGAAGAACTACAAACCACTGCTCAAGGAAATAAGAGAGGACACAAACAAATGGAAAAATGGAAAAACATCCCATGCACATGGATAGAAAGAATCAATATTGTGAAAATGGCCATACTGTCCAAAGTAATTTATAGATTCAGTGCTATCCCCATCAAGCTATCATTGCATTTCTTCACAGAATTAGAAAAAGCTACTTTACATTTCATATGGAACCAAAAAAGAGCCCACATAGCCAAGACAATCCTAAGCAAAAACAACAAAGCTGGAGGCATCATGCTACCTGACTTCAAACTCTACTACAAGGCTACAGTAACCAAAACAGCATGGTACTGATACCAAAACAGATATGGAGACCAATGGAACAGAACAGAGGCCCCAGAAATAATGCCACACATCTGCAACCATCTGATCTTTGACAAACCTGACAAAAACAAGCAATGAGGAAAAGATTCAAAGGATTCCCTATTTAATAAATGGTGTTGGGAAAACTGACTAGCCATATGCGGAAAACTGAAACTAGACTCCTTCCATACACTTTATACTAAAATTGACTCAAGATGGATTAAAGACTTAAATGTAGGGCCTAAAACCATAAAAACCCTAGAAGAAAACCTAGGCAATACCATTCAGGGCATAGGCATGAGCAAAGACTTCATGACTAAACACCAAATGGCAACAAAACCAAAATTGACAAATGGGATCTAATTAAAATAAAGAGCTTCTGCACAGCAAAAGAAACTACCATCAGAGTGAACAGGCAACCTACAGAATGGGAGAAAATTTTTGCAATCTATTCATCTGACAAAGGGCTAATATCCAGAATCTACAAAGAACTTAAACAAATTTACAAGAAAAAAACAAACAACCTCATCAAGAAGTGGGTGAAGGATATGAACAGACACTTCTTAAAAGAAGACGTTTATGTGGCCAACAAACATATGAAAAAAAGCTCATCATCACTGGTCATTGGAGAAATGCAAATCAAAACCACAATGAGATACCATCTCATGCCAGTTAGAATGGCAGTCATTAAAAAGTCAGGAAACAACAGATGCTGGAAAGGGTATGGATAAATAGGAATGCTTTTACACTGTTGGTAGGAGTATAAATTAGTTCAACAATTGTGGAATACAGTGTGGCAATTCCTCAAGGATCTAGAATCAGAAATAATATTTGATCCAGCAATTCCATTACTGGGTATATACCCAAAGGATTATAAATCATCCTACTATAAAGACACATGCACACGTATGTTTATTGCAGCACTGTTTACAATAGCAAAGACTTGGAACCAACCCAAATGCCCATCAATGATAGACTGGATAAAGAAAATGTGGTACATATACATCGTGGAATACTATGCAGCTGTAAAAAAGGATGAGCTCATGTCCTTTGCAGGCACATGGATGAAGCTGGAAACCATCATTCTCAGCAAACTGACACTGGAACAGAAAACCAAACTCTGCATGTTCTCGTTCATACGTGGGGGTTGAACAATGAGACACAGGGAGGGGAACATCACATGACCGGGTGTCAGGGGCTAGGGGAGGGATAGCATTAGGAGAAATACCTAATGTAGATGACGGGTTGATGGGTGCAGCAAACCACCATGGCACATGTATACCTATGTTAACAAACCTGCACATTCTGCACATGTATCCCAGGACTTAAAGTACAATAAAAAAAAAATTAAAAATAGACCAGGAGCAGTGGCTCACACTGTAATCCCAGCACTTTGGGAGGCCCAGACGTGTGGATCACGAGGTCAGGAGATCGAGACCATCCTGGCTAACACGGTGAAACCCTGTCTCTACTAAAAACACAAAAAAATTAGCTGGGCATGGTGGTGGGTGCCTGCAGTCCCAGCTACTCAGCTACTCAGGAGGCTGAGGCAGGAGAATGGCGTGAACCCGGGAGGCGGAGCTTGCAGTGAGCCAAAATTACGCCACTGCACTCCAGCGTAGGTGACAGAGCGAGACTCCATCTCAAAAAATAATAATAATAATCATAGTAAATAAATAAATAATAATAAAAGTATCGATAACAATGCTTGACACCTAGTAACAGGCTCTTCAAATGCTGGTAGCCTCCATCCCTGCTCACCCCTATTTGTGCTTCCCCAACTCCAATTTTAGCCTATATTTTATCTATTTTTTAAAAGCGTTCTGTTATGGAAAATACATTGAATGGAAACTTGGACTTGGATATTGGTCCAAACCCAATATCACTTAACTTCTGGGCTTTGGTTTCCCATCTGCAGTATGAGGGGATTGGATTCATTCTCTGGATCTCTTCTCTAAGTTTTAGCTTTTAAGTCTCCTAATTTCATTTAGGCAATGGAACAATTTATAATTATCTAAACCAATAAATACAACGCAAAGACTGTTAATTATATTGTTATCTTCTCATTTGGTTTTAGATACCTTTTCTAAAATTCTGTGAACGTTCCTCCCACTCTTTAGGTATCAGTCATATACAGAGTAAATTCTGTTTGCACGATTGAGATTTGGGTATTCTGTTTTCTCAAATCTTAGTCAACTGAGACTTACTCTAACTGAGGCAGATTATCTATGAGTAAATTGATTTCTTGATGTTTCAGAAAATAATCCAGAATCTTCTAAGTCATCATTTTCATTTTAGGGTTGCTATTAAATATTGTGCTATAACATTTTTACGATAGTGTCAGGGGAGGTAGTACAAATAAGTTTTGGTTAATAAAGAGCTTTTACCAATTGGATTCTGGGCAATAAAAAGTTCACTGTAACAAGAGGAAAATTATAACTGTTTGGTAAAACAAATGAAAAACCCAGATGATTTATTATATTTCTCAGATAACTTTTTCCTTAAAACCTACACGAGCATTTATGACAATCTTGAATTTCTTCAACAGTGGCAGTAGTTTTGAAAGAGCAGCTCTTCTCTTTTTTTTTTTTTTTTTTTTTGAGACGGAGTATCGCTCTGTCACCCAGGCTGGAGTGCAGTGGTGGGATCTCGGCTCACTGCAAGCTCCGCCTCCCGGGTTCACGCCACTCTCCTGCCTCAGCCTCCTGAGTAGCTGGGACTACAGGTGCCCGCCACCGCGCCCGGCTAATTTTTTGTATTTTTAGTAGAGACGGGGTTTCACCGTGTTAGCCAGGATGGTCTTGATCTCCTGACCTCGTGATCCACAAGCCTTGGCCTCCCAAAGTGCTGGGGTTACAGGCGTGAGCCACCGAGTTCTTCTTAAATGTAGGAAATGTTTAAAATTCTTCAAGTCTCATCATAATTCTGAGTTACTGGAATTTGTGTTCAGAAAGGGTTGTCAGTCTTCACTCATTACAAATGCAATGAGAAAAATAATGCTTCTATTATTAATTCATGGAAAGTAAAAGAATAATTAAACTCACTTTATGTATTCCTTCTAACTAGTAATGCTGTTTTACTACCAAGATTAAATACGTGACATTGTATGAAAAAGATTTCTGCACAGACTGATTTCAGAAACCAAAGTGACTAGAAATATATCAGATTAAAGTTGGTGTTGGTAGTATCCGATTTTCCCCTTTCATAGGCTGTAAAGAGAGGTTCTACCAAAGACAAATATCTCCATATTGTTACCATTTAATATTTTCTTTCCATTAAGAAATTTAGCTTATGATTAAAAGGAACATAGTAAATAGAAGAGTTGTAAATTATCGATAGAGTCCATTGAGCATAATCCATGTAGTTTTGGTTTAAAAACTCCTTTTCAACATAGAATACAGACAGGGCTACTTGATTGAAAGCTGTTTCCCCATTAAGACACCAATATCAAAGTTCCCATATTCTGCTTAATTCTTTTACTATGTATTGCTGATGTCTTGTAGATGCAGCTATTAAGGGTGGCCTTCTAATTAGGACTTTTGAAAGCAATACTTTTCATGTGAAAATCAGTGTTAGATAAAGGCAATAGAATCATCAAGCAAATTTCATTTCTTGGATTTTCTTTCTCATTTCAATGACTTAAAAGTTATAGCAACTTTTAATTGCTCCCTGAATGGAGAATTTGACCTGTAATCAAACACACAGAGATCCATGTTTCCTGGTGCTGGGAGAGAGTCACATAACAAGTCATTATACATTTACTTTTAAATGATCGCTACCTGAAGTCATCAGTGTGAAGGCATGAATTGCCTGGGAAGCAGGAGAGGGGAAGCATTACATTCGTTTAGGCTTGTGTTTTTCCATCTGGGTGGTGGTGGTTGAAAATGATTATGGAGTTAAGAGACTCAAGTAGTTTTGTGGCTCACTGGAGTTTTTCATATCAATATTTCTTCTCTTCAACATACACTTTAAACTTTCACGAAAATGCTTTCTAGAGGTAGTTTGTAAATGTTTAATTTTCACCTTTTGCATAGTAATGTGTTGTATGCTCCTGCCCAGAATTTGAATTTTTCTAAAACTCTGATAGACTGTCACTTAAGAAAAAATTATTCAGGCTGGGTGCAGTGGCTCACACCTGTAATCCCAGCACTTTGGGAGGCTGAGGCAGGCAGATCACCTTAGGTCAGGAGTTCGAGACCAGCCTGGCCAACAAGGTGAAACCCCGTCTCTAATAAAAATACAAAAATTAGCCGGGTGTGGTGGTGCATGCATGTAATCCCAGCTACTCCAGAGGCTGAGACAGGAGAATCGCTTGAACCCAGGAGGCAGAGGTTGCCGAGATGGTGCCACTGCACTCCAGCCTAGGCAATAGAGCCAGACTCTGTCTCAAAAAAAAAAAAAATTAATTAATTAATTCAAAGGTATTAAAGTTCTGGAGAAAGCTTATGGTACTTCTCCTTCAATTTAGGTTCTAAAGACTTCCTTTATCCTCTGTTACAGGTTTTCCAGAGCTTGTCCATGATTTTGTTAATTGATTGAGTTTTTGATTGAACAGTTACTTGGGTCTTGAAGAAACCAGACTAACATATACACCCAGGCAAATTCTGTTGTCCTCTTTCAAAGAGATGGTGAATGTTATTTTATTTCCCATTACTATTTCAGTGATTTAGAGTTTAGAAAAGGAGACTTTTGCCATCATACTAAAATGAAGTTCACTGTTGTTATTCAGATGAGAATGGTCCAGAGTGCTAAAATGAGATCTGAAAGTAGCCCTTAGCCTGAGTCCAGTCGCATAGAGACATAGTACGGCAACTTTCAAGATTTTACTAACAGAAATTCAAATGTCGCCTGGATAATCCTAGTTTCTAATTATCTTTGGGAGACACAAGGTTTTCAAGGGCTTGCTTTGGATTACATATAACAATTTCTTATCAACTGCTTGGTAAATTATAATCAAATCATAATCACCATATCATAATCAGAATATCAAGCCCTTAGGAATTTGGTAAGAGCTCAGATTTGATGCCATATATTTATATTTTCTTTTTGAAGTTGAACAAGAGCTTATAGGCATTTAGTTGCCTCCCTAACTTTGTTCTCTCATTAAAAAAAAATAAGAAAACAGAAGTTCTCAAAGGTGATTATGACCTTTGCTTGACCAATGTCAAACAGCTAGTGAGTGACAGACTAAGAAATTAACTCAGCTCTCCTGAGTGAAGTGTAACTTCATTAATGCATGAAGCCAAGATTTAGAGCTTGCAGCCTGGAGACCAGAGAAGAGATTTTCTTCAATTTATTTTTTGATAGAAAAGAAAGCAATTCCTATGACCATTAGGAAGGTTTCCTAAATCACATTCTCCCTTGTTTCCAGTTGTAATACCTAGCCCAGGGCTCCAGTCCATCTGAACAGTTTTTTCTTCATAGGTGACTCATTTAGCCTTGATTGATAGAAAATAATCATTACTTTATTCCAGTCAAGTTGTTATGCAGATACACAAAGGGCTACTGGAGTAAGACGAGAAGTCTCAAGAAAAAAAAAAAAAAGAGAGAGAGAGGTAATCTTTGCTAAGTCACTTGTGATAAGACCATCTTCTAAAACCCCAAGTCAAGACATTGGACTTCTGGTGAGGGAAATCTTTTATATGAACAGCTTCCAAAAGGTATAAAAATTAAATCAATTTAGTTAGCTAATTGACTTTGCTGAAAATAATGAAATACCAATAAAATTTAGGCTATGTTAAAGAGTACAGGATGTACCGTCACCATGAGCATAAGAAACATTACAATGTAAGTAAGACAGAAGCCTGGTACTCAAGAAGAGTCTGAAGACCAGCTGGTTAAAAATGCAGAACACCAGGCTGCACCCCAGGCTTATAGAATCAGAATGTGCATTTTCACCTGATCCCTGGGTGATTTGTATGAACATTAAAGTTTGAGAAGCAGTGGCTTAGAAGCCAAGAGAAAGGCTATTTCAGGAAGTCTGAAGTCTAGCCATCATAAGAGGATAAATATTCCAGATTCTTTTATTTTGCTAGTTGCTTTTGCTCATAATTTTCCAGTCTTCAAGATAGGAACCCCCCGGGTAGCTGTTCTTATGTCTTGTAACATTCAGGAAACATTGAAAATATGTCCTATCTTCTTCAGAGTAGGGCCTACTGCTCCATTTTTCCATTTTAAATGGTTATGTTATTGCCATTCTCCTGACAACCCAGTGAAGCAGAAACCACACATACACCTTTTCCTTTTCTCAATATTTCTTAACCTCAAATATGCCACTGCAACCAGTTCTTGATTAAACAGTGCAAAAGGGGAATGGCATTGAAAGGGTCATTTAAACAACTTTTAGTCATGATTTTAACCATTAGGGCCACTCTAATCCCCTCTTGGCTTTTTTTTTTTTTTTTTTTTTGAGACAGAGTTTCCCTCCTGTTGCCCAGGCTGAAGTGCAATGGCGCAATCTTGGCTCACTGCAACCTCCGCCTCCTGGGTTTAAATGATTCTCCTGCTTCAGCTTCCTGAGTAGCTGGGATTTCGGGCACCCCCCCACCACACCCAGCTAATTTTTTGTGTTTTTAGTAGAGACGGGGTTTCACTATGTTGGCCAGGCTGGTCTTGAACTCCTGACCTCAGGTGATCCACCCGCCTTGGCCTCCCAAAGTGCTGGGATTACAGGTGTGAGTCACTGCGCCCGGTCCCCTCTTGGCTTTTATAAGGAATTGCTAATAATTAATAAAATTCACAGATGTTTAGTTTTGCCTTGTCTCCCTTTTGCTGTTTAAATTTCTGACTCATTCATTAAAAGGTGATGGAATTACTAACGATTAGGAAGCTAAGAATATCAAGGATCCATAAGCTGCTGAACTGAAAGCAGTTGTTAATTGTCATTGCTGCTAATATTTATTGAGTTATTCTGTGCAGGATTTGTGGTAGAGGGCTGAATATTTATTATCTGATGTAAATGGCATTTTTCTGATACCACTCAGGACTCCCCATGGACTGGTGTTAGTTCCAAAAGTTAGGTTGTCAGACAACACCAGGTTTATTTTGTTTTGTTTAGTTTTTTCAGATGGACTCTTACTCTATTGCTCAAGCCAGAGTGCAGTGGTGCCATCATGGCTCACTGCAGGCTCTAAGTCCTGGACCTAAGCCTCGCTCCCACCTCAGCCTCCCGAGTAGCTGGGACTACAGGTACATGCCACCACACCTCGCCTTTTTTATATATTTTTTTAGGGACTGGATCCCTCACTATGTTGCCCAGGATGATCTTGAGCTTCTAGGCTCAAGAGATGCCCCTGCCTTGGCCTCCCAAAGCCAGGTTTAATTTTACTTTAATAATTGATTGTCAAATGTAGCCTTCCACATCTAGAAAAGCATGTATATTGGATGCTTTTATTTCTGTTTAATAAGAAGGAATGGAGGTTATTATCTAATGAATCCCAAAATGTAAAATTGGCATGAAAACTTGCTTTGCTACAAAAATACATTATCAATTAGCCATCTTTTCTGTGTTCAAAAGTGGCTTAATAGCATATGTATTCAGGAATTAATATTGGTGTTTGAAAAGTGTAAATACACCTATAATTAGTGTCACATATTTTGATTACATATGAACATGTGAACTTGTTCATCTTCTGGAAATCGATGTTTTGTTCATTAAAATTTTTCTTCTGGGAGTCAATGTTTTGTTCACTTTAAAAATCAGTCTTTCAATTGCCATGCTATTTTTCAAAAAACTAAAAATTTTTGAAAATTGAGAGATGTTAACACACATACAAATTAAGGGCATTGAAAACTAATTTAAGGAAGTGAGATAGATATATTAGTTATAAACTAGATTTATTATTTAGCAATCTTTTTGTCTGTTTATTATTATAATGTTTTCATTTAATTATTCATGAACTGGCTTATTTAAAAATAAAATACAATCAGGCCAGGTGCAGTGGCTCATGCCCATAATCTTAGAACTTTGGGAGGCCAAGGCAGGCTGATGGCTTGAGCCCAGGAGTTTGAGACCAGCCTGGGAAACACGGCAGTCTCTACAAAAACTACAAAAATTAGCTGGGTGTAGTGGTGTGTGCCTGTAGCCTCACCTACTCAGGAAACTGAGGAGGGAGGGTTGCTTGAGCCCGGGAGGCAGAGGCTGCAGTGGGGTGTGATGTGCCTCTGCACTTTAGCTGGGGCTACAGAGTAAAACCCTGTCTCTAAATCAATCAATCAATCAACCCAGGTAATGCCTTCTATGCAGGTAGAAATAATTTTTTACTTTTAAAAAATTGATATAGTACTTAACCTTAATATCTGAAAATAAATGCCAGATTAAGATTATGTTACACATAGTTCATCAGTTATGTGATTTATTTATGTTATCATGAAGTGGCCGAGATGCTGTCTCCTTCCCTCTCCGTCATCAATGAGCCTGAACAGATGCCTGGGACTGTCCCAGTGTTAGGACTCAACCTCCCCAATCCTGAAAAACTCTAGACCAGGGAAATGAGACTAAAAAATTTCAAGTAACTTATCCAACTTTCCAGGAAAGTGGAAGAGGCAAATGTAAAGACAGGTTTGCATGAAACTCTTGAGTGCATGCCTTCATGATGGGGAATGTTAAGGGAGGGCAATTTATATAACATGTGCTCTTTGACCAAATTATCCTGTTAAATAGGCTTGAAAAGCGCTTAGAACCACTGATTGACCTGTTGAAAATCATTATACCTGGGGAGAACAATCAGACAAGTAAACAAGATGTTCAGATGAACAATTGCCCTCACATGTAATGAGTATGCTTATTTTGAAAGGCAGGTGATGATAACTCTGTAAGAAACCTCATAGTGGTTTATTTTAAATTAACCTCCTCCTGTTTCCTATTTGGAAAACGATATCCTTATTTATCATACTGGAGCTGCTTGCAGGCCTCTCCTTCTAATGTTTATTACCAAGAATTGTTTTGTGATGGCTGATTGCCCCAAATCAAGGATGGCAAGATAACCTTGTCTTCAGTTAAAACCGCTTGGGAGATTGGCCCAAGTCAGCAAGATAAACCAAAAAGCAAACACCTCATGTGTAAATAGCAGCTCTGTATAGAAGTTCAGTTTGTCTTATTTAAAAATAATGAAAATACGCTCATTCACAAATATTTAGTTAGTGAGGAGGCACACAGTCAAGGTGTTTTTATTCAAAATCATTGTTAAAACATTGTTAGAACCTAAAACTTTTTTATTAATCTAAATTCACTCAAATCTTAGGTAATGTTTTTGATAATTTACTAATCTAACCTGTTAGCTGCATTGTAAATCACTATAAAAAAGCACATATTTTAAAGATGTAAATCACGAAATGTTTGAACTTAAAAATAATCTAGTCCAGCCTTCTTATGAATGAGGAAAGTGAGTAAGTGTCAGTGTGTAGATGTTAATTGAAGCATTTGATTGCAAGGCAAGTGAGCACTCAGTCTAGAAAACCATGCTGGCTCTCTGAAATACCAAAATCGTCATTTTATTTAGGTAGAAATTGTTAAGCTTCCATATAATTGTTTTTGCAATCAGGAAGATCCTTGAAAATAGGAATTGTATTATATTAGGTTTTGATTTCCCACAGTGCTTAACTCAATTCCACAGTGCTTTGCAATCTGTGGATTTGTGGATTTTACCCAACCCTTCATGAGCACATTATCACATCCAAGATGAAAAGAAGTGTTGGGCCTGGTGCGGTGGCTCACGCCTGTGATCCCAGCACTTTGGGAGGCCAACGCGGGTGGATCACCTTAGGTCAGGAGTTCGAGACCAGCCTGGCCAACATGGTGAAACCCTGTCTCTACTAAAAATACAAAAAATTAGCCAAGCATGGTGGTGCGTGCCTGTAATCTCAGCTACTCGGGGGGCTGAGGCAAGAGAATCACTTGAACCTGGGAGGCGGAGGTTGCAGTGAGGTGATATCTCACCATTGCACTCCAGCTTGGGCAATAGGAGCAAAAATTCTGTCTCCAAAATAAAAAAAAGTGTTGATGAAGAATGTTTTAAGTCCACAGAAGACATAACCCTACATGCGCTGGAAATCTAATTGACTTTTTGTTATATCTTGTATCAAATTAATATTTTGTGACCCCTTACTGAAGAAAAATATTATCTGCTATTCCTTAGGTAGAAAGTTTAAAACATTTGGAAATTTTAAACATTTGTAAATCTTCTCTTGCTTAAACATCAAGATAACATATGCACTGGGATATTTTTCCAAGGTGTTTTGTATCGATAACCGTAAAGTCACTTAAGATGGTATTAGAAAAACTATTTTTCCTCCTTAAATGGACTGTGTAGAGGAACAGAAACCTATAATACCATCTACTAATACTTGTTCTTAAATGGCTCTTATGGACTTTCAACTTAGCACATTCCCAAAGCAAATGGAATTGGGGAAAGGATGGCTTGACACCTTAGCGGTTACTACTCTCCTGTCAGCTGTCACAGCAGCTCGAAGCATCCCAGCAAAGCAGAGCCACTGTTATTAGCTGAAGCACAGTCCCTGCCAGCCTGGGCGAGGAGGGCGGGGAAAGATTGTGTTACTCAGTGACAGCTGAATCTTTCCAAGAGAATTAGCTACCCAATTCCCCTAATGAAAATGTACCTTTTATACAAAATTGGAAGAGAAATAAAAATGGAAATAGTATTAGTGCTTTTACTAAGATTCAACAGGCTTTCT
Source organism: Homo sapiens (assembly GCF_000001405.40). Lineage (NCBI taxonomy): Eukaryota > Metazoa > Chordata > Mammalia > Primates > Hominidae > Homo > Homo sapiens. The sequence continues at coordinate 15,171,528 of NC_000021.9, read as the reverse complement.
GGTTCTGATGCTAAAGCATATTTTTTACAAAAAGATATAACTATTCTTCACACAAAGTTAGCAAGGAAGGCTAAGAATTTATAGCCTTGTGTGCATGTGTTACGTATTCCTCATTTAAACCATAGAAAATTTAGCTGCTATACAATTGTGTTTCGCAGAAGCAATTTCTCATTTCATTTCTTCCTTTTTTGTTATTTGGGATCTTAACCTGACCCTCCCAGGAAGTCCTACAAATAGGGACAAGAATTACCTGTAAACTAGACCACTTGTCATTGTGAAGCCTCATACCCTCTTCTCTACTTAAGAATTTGAGTTAAACTAGATGACTCTTCAGTTTCCTTTACCCCAATATCTTGTGACATTCAAAGCTTAACTTTCATAAGTGTGATACTCAAACTTAAACTTTCATAACAACATATCCACTTTTATGCTTAAAATCAAAATTGGCTCTGCTCATGATCTGTCTCTCAACATGAGTCTTTAATATATCAGTTTTTGAGTATCATTCAGGTCATATTGTTTTCAATTCTTTATGCTAGTACATACAGCCAGTGTCACCATCTTGCTCCACGAATTTAAAAACTACACTGCCCTGTAGAAAGGTTGAGCTCTTGCCTTTAAACACTGTTCTTTGCCAACAATAAAAATTCAAGACCTGTCTAATCTTCTAAAGAACACTTTCTTCTGTTTCTGGTTTAGAGGAACATGTTTGATGTTCAATTTCTCTCCTTTTATCTTACTCTTTCATGTTGCTGTGTATTCTAAGTAGTTGTTTCCGTATCTTGGCATTAATGGGGATTTCCCTTTTAAATAATATATTTCTTTCAGATTAAAACATTACTTGAGAAAGGAGTTATTTGCCATCAGCTTGAATTGTCAAGCTTAACACATTTTAAAGGAGTATGGGATTGAGCCACTAGTGACGCATTTTCTTCTTTTTAAAGACACCATAGGGTGTTATAGATTCTAACAGTGGGGATCTCTTACTGAAATTACCTGTATTTTCCATACTCTGAATCCAAGAATTACAGGATTTAAAATCCCCAATCATGTTCTTGCCTTCCCCATGGATTTGGGGATATATTGTTTTATTTATTCTGTTAACATCAAGCTGGGGAGTTCTATCAGGTTGTAAGCCAGGAGTGTGGACCCTGGAGTGGGGATCCACTCTAATTACTACCTTCTTAGAACAAGAATCCAAGATAATTACTTATCTTATTTTCAATTAAAAAACTCAGCTCTCTTTAGTTCTATAATACCATGGGCCTCATATGGGGCCAGTGGAATCTTATTGTTAACTTCTCCCCCTCTCTATCCACCTGCATTTATAATAAATGATGTGCTTATGAAAATAGGTGAAACTCTAGTCTCTTATTTCCTTATTATTTTATATGGAAGTGCTATAATTTACTTCTGGTAATTAGTGGAACAGCAGGTCCTAAAAAGCTTTTTTTTTTTTTTTTTTTTTGGAGTGATAGACATTCTCACTGTTTTCTTTTGTTGTGCCTTTTCTTAACAGTGTGGAAAAGACTATATTTTCTTCTAGAGCAGAAATATTGCCTTTTAAAATCTTCATATCCATGCTCTAGTCTGAATATCCTTGCCATGTGTTCCCCCAGAGTTCATGTGTTCAAATCTTAACCTCTGAGGTGATGGTTCCCTTGGGAAGTGATTTAGCTCATGGAGACAGAGCCCTCATGATTGGGATTAGTGCCCTTACAAAAGACAATGCAGACAGCTATTTAGTCCCTCCTGCCAGATGAGCACACAGTAAGAAGAAGGAGCCATTCGCGAATCAGATAAAGGATCTCACTGGACACTGAATCTACTGGCACCTTGATCTTGGACTTCCCAGCCTCCAGAACTGTGAGAAATAAATTTCGGTTGTTAGAAGCTACCCAGTCTATGATACTTTGTCATCGCAGCCCAAGTTAAGACAATCCTGAAGTCCTAGTACAGCTCATATTAAATACTCAATAGTAAGTGTGACAGAGGCAGTGACAAAGCTGGAATTTATAAATATTAAAAAATGTCAAATATTCTGAATAAACCTTGTAACAAACCCTATTGGTCATCTGTCCAACATCAATTCATCTCCCCAATTTCTACCACATCAACTTCTTCCTTTCTCATGTATCTACCTTTCTCTGTGGTCATAATTTGAAGGAAATTGACTCCAATATCAGTCTCAGGGGTGGTTCCTAATTGGCCTAAACCAAACACAGTGGCCACAGTACTTTTGCCAATGATTGGTTTCAGCATGACCATGAGAAACGTGTCTTCTGGCCAATGAGCTATAAAAGGACATCTTCTAAGAAATTTTTCTTTCTTCCTGAAAGCAGTATGTGGAAGAAATGGACCCATTTTTCTGACCTTCTGTCATTGCTGTATCTGCATGTCACATTTTGAAGCCTGCCAGAAGCTAGTCATAAGAGAATCTAAGGCACAGAGGGGTTCAAAGCTAGGTCTTGACTATACCATGCCTTAGAGCTGTCGAATCTCTGCATTTCTGGTTACCAGGGTAATTAATATTCTTATTGTTTAAGCAAGTTGAATCAAACTTTTCTGTTTTTCATTTTTTTAAATATTTAATTTAATTTAATTTAAGTTCCAGGATACATGTGCAGGTTCATTACATATGCAAACGTGTGCCATGGTAGTTTTCTGCACCTATCAACTCATTACCTAGGTATTATGCCCCACATGCATTAGCCATCTGGCCATTTATCCTGATGCTCTCTCTTGCCCTCCCCCTCCAACAGGCCACAGTGTGTGTTGTTCCCCTCGCATGTTCATGTGCTCTCATTGTTCAGCTCCCACTTATAAGTGAGAACATGTGGTGCTGGTTTTCTGTTCCTGTATTAGTTTGCTGAGGATAATGGCTTCCAGCTCCATCAATGTTCCTGCAAAAAATATGATCTCATTCCTTTTTATGGCTGCATAGTATTTCATGGTGTATATGTACCACACTTTCTTTATCCAGTCTATCACTATGGGCATTTGGGTTGATTCCATGTCTTTGCTATTGTGAGTGGTGCTGCAGTGAACACAGACGTGCATGTATCTTTACAGTAGAATGATTTATATTCCTTTGGGTATAACTCAGTAATGGGATTGCTGGGTCAAATGGTATTTCTAGTTCCAGGTCTTCAATGTATCCCCACACTGTCTCCCGCAATGGTTGAACTAATTTACATTCCCAGCAACAGTGTAAAATTGTTCCTATTTCTCCACAGCCTCGCCAGTATCTGTTGTTTCTTGAATTTTTAATAATCACCATTCTGACTGGCATGAGATGGTATCTCATTGTGGTTTTGATTTGCAGTTCTCTAATGATCAGCAATGTTGAGCTTTTTTTAATGTGTTTGTTGGCCACATAAATGTCTTCTTTTGAGAAGTGTCTGTTCATGTCCTTTGCCAACTTTTTAATGAGGTTGCTTGGGTTATTTTGGAATGTTTTATAAGTTCCTTGTAAATTCTGGATATTAGACCTTTGTCAGATGGATAGATTGCAAATTTTTTCTCCCATTCTGTAGGTTGTCTGTTCACTCCGATTATAGTTTGCATGTGTGTGTGTGTGTGTCTGGTGCAGAAGATCTTACTTTAATGAGATCCCATTTGTCAATTTTTAGGGTTTTCTGTTACTTGTAGCTCTCATCAACCTAACAGAAAATTATTCCGTATTTCTTTTTATTTTTGGAATGTCTAAAAACAAGACTGTGAACAGTGAATTCAGCCCTTTCTTGCACTATTAGGTCTTGTAGAAAGTTAATGAGGAAAAGTAATGAAAAAGTCAGAACTAAGCTATATTATCATAAGTGTAGCAGAAAAAAAGGACCAAAATATTTAGCTTAAAAAGTCCACCTAATTCTAAAAGATTGGCTTTAGAAAGTAGCACCAAGTAATTCCATTTTTTCCCTGATATCTGTAATTCCTGGTCAAAGACCATGGGGATATGGGATGATGGAATCCTCCAGTCTCTATTCCACATTACCAAAACCACATGTGTGCATCCCATCGTAATGTGGAGAATCAGAAAGCCTTTCAGTGCTATATACACTGAAAGGGTAAGCCAAGAGTCAGAGATTTTAATTTTGTTTTTCCTTAGAATATCACTCACACAGGAAGATGAGTATTAAAGAAACATACTCTTTAGCTCTCATGTGAAAATAGGAGATTCGTGTCACTCTACCTTAAAACACACAGCAGAAAGAACTTGTTGCAATTCCACATCTACTTTTGCAAATCTGCTGGCATGAGAAGCCCTTCATAATGGATTTGGATGAGTCCTAGAGTTTATTGTGCCAACATCAATTGAATTAAGCCTTCAAACCTTTTCAGGGAACTTCCCATTCTTCATTTCACATGAATACACTGACTTTTTTTAGCTACAGAAGTGCTGGCCCCTAAATGAAAAATGACTACCTCTCAACTAAGGTGGTTTGCAGAGACCCACAATATCACATTTTGATCGGGATCCAAAATTCATTTTCTTTTAGTGTAAACAGTTATTTCCACTCTTTCCAAAATTTCACAGTGGGCTATAGTGGAAAGAGCACTGGATTAGGAGTCAGGAATCCTTGACTCTAGATTTCTGTCCTCTATAACTAGGTTTCTTCTTGCCTACTTTAAAATGATAATCATTAGTTTTGCCAAATTGTTTCTAAAAAATTGCCATAAAAATAAACATGATAAACAAAAGAACTATAAAAATATCAGCTACCCTTATTATTATTCCATCTCTTGTCTGTGAGTAGATTTGAAGACATGTCTGAATTGATTTTATCACAAAGGGCTGAGAGCAAACCTTGATGTAAAGATCACTGGGCCTCCCTAAGGATCCCTAGTGTATACTTCCCAAACACTATTAGATTCAGGACCCCTTTTCTTTCTTCTTAAAGTAGCATTAATTCACCAAAACTCCATTAGGTTCTTATTATATCCTGTCCCAGTTCTAGGCACTAAGGATACAAAAACATAGAAGAAGCTTATAGTCTAGTAGGGGAAAGAGCCGAACCAGAAAATATGAGACAATAGTGGGAAGAGAATGGTATAAACAGAGAGTTATGGGAAATTAGAGGCAGAAAGCCTATCTCAGTTTGAGGTTCTTGATCTTAAATGTTGAGGAATGGCATCATCCCATTTCTCCCTAATAAATAGTTCTCATAGATTTTCTCAGGTTTCCCCATATGGTACAGCCACAGTGAATCCCAGCACAGACTCAAGGTTCTGCAGATTCTTCTGACTCCCAGAAGATTTTAAAACATATGCAAGAGAAAGCTCACTAAATGGTTACTTTTCATCTCAACTTTCATTATGTTGATAGCATTTTTGAGGGCAAGGGGTACATCAGAGTCCTCTGAATGCCAGAGGGAGAATGAGGTTGCTGGCGGAGGTTGTGCTGAATAAGTTAGGAGGTTATGGCTGCAATCGCTCTTCTCTTTCCTCCTGAGAATTTGGTAGATGGCATGTTTTGTGGGAGTCTTTAGTTGGAAAAGAAGTTGAGGCAGGGAGAAGGTGCATCATTTGCAAAATTCTAATCATGAGAATAGGTGAAACGGAAGAGGTAATAGAACTCAAGAATCCTGATTTATAGTTTGCTGAATAAACGTTTACTGCTTAAAAGCAAGTTATCTAAATATGTCCTTTTATCATCAGTGGCCTCACAACCAAAGAAGAAGAAATAGAGGGCCTCTTTTTACCATTCATTCTTGCAGTCTGTATTAACATACAGCTATGTAGTTAGGAATAAATGCACAACTACACATATCCCACCTGACTTACTGATCATTATCACTATGCAAATTCCATGCTACTATCTTGGAGGTTTATTTACCTCCCAGAACTGAAGTCAGGGAGGGAATACTTGTTTAGGTGAAAAATTGAGCTTGAGAAACAATTTTTTTAAATCCACTATTTTAGAGATCCCACAAAGTTTAATTCATGGCATGAATAGTGAATGGACTTTTATGGGCAGACTAACTGACTGGTGACCCTAACCTAAGCTTCAGTCAGGCTCAAGTGCTTTCTCCCCACACTGGTGTCCCTCTTATCCTGCTCAGCAGTCAGCAGCTATCCTCACAGCTGCAAAAGGAGCTATTCGTCTATTTCTGCCCTTGAATATTCTGTGATGTTCCCAAGGTTGCCTTAGCTCATTTGACTGATTCTTCTAGTTCTTTTGATGTTTTTTTCTTCTGTTTGTGGTTAAGTCAAAGGGGGCATTTAGAGGAATCTAATTCACTGATTTTAGATATAGGTTATTCTTCATTGGAGGCTATATTATTAAATGGTAGCAGATACACATCTTGGTAGAAATACTTGCTCCCTTCACTTCCCCACTGCAATCAGGTAGTCTGCTCCCTTTAAATGTGACTTGTCTTAGTGTCATCACAGGATTTGGGAAGGAATTCTGAGGGCTCATATCACATTGCAGAGCTCTGGCTCACCATCATGCTCATTATTAACCTTGATACCCCACATTTGTTGCTCAGGGACTCTGCCTAGATGCATAAATATTGTAGCTCAGACTGGCTTGTGATTTCTCCTGTAAGTCCTCACCCATATTTTTGAAATTAAACTCCCTGGACTGTGCACCTGTGGGCCTGTTTGGACATGTAGGACTCACCTGCTCCTCCCTGCCTTTACAACATCCTTGGACTTGACCTCTGGTCTCTGTCCCTGTCTTGTGAAACTCTAGTTCTTGACCCTGGATGAGTCATCGTAGGAATGAGAGTAGGAAACCTATTCATAGTCCTTTCAACAGACTTTTTAAGACTGAATATTATCTTACTCTAAGTTTGCTTCGTGATAACTAAGCACACTATTTTTGAATGTCATTAGAACCTAAGTTCTCTGGAGAGTATAACATGCCGATTAAGAGCTTAGTATCAACACTGGAATATTATTCAGGTTTTAAAAAGAATGGGATCCTGCCATTTCCTACAACACAGATTGACCTGGAGGACATTATGCTAAGTGAAATAAGGCAGACACAAAAATAAAAATATTGCATGATATCATTTACATGTGGTATCTAAGGAAGAAAAGAGGTCACATACACAGCGAATAAAACAGTGGTTGCCGGGGCAGGGAAGAAGGGGAGGAAATGGGGGGTTGTAGATCAGAGGACACAAAGAGGCAGATATGTAGAATGACAATTCTAGAGATCTAATGTACAACACGCGGACTATAGTTCATAAAAATGTATTAGGGGCCGGGCGCGGTGGCTCACGCCTATAATCCCAGCACTTTGGGAAGCCCAGGCGGGCAGATCACCAGGTCAGGAGATCGAGACCATCCTGGCTGACACGGTGAAACCCCGTCTCTATGAAAAATGCAAAAAATTAGCCAGGTTGGTGGTGGGCGCCTGTAGTCCCAGCTATTCGGGAGGCTGAGGCAGGAGAATGGCGTGAACCCGGGGGGCGGAGCTTGCAGTGAGCCGAGATCGCGCTACTGCACTCCAATCTGGGCAACAGAGAGAGGCTCCGTCTAAAAAAAAATGAATAAATAAAAATGTATCAGGGATTTGCGTTAAGTAAGTAAGTTTTAGCTGCTCCTGTCATAAAAAAGAAACTATGTGAGATGATAGATATGTTAATTTTCTTCACTATAGCAACCACTTTACTATCTATATGTACCCCATAACATCATCTTGTAAACCTCAAATATACACAATAAAATTTATTTTTTTTTAATAAACAGCTTAGTATAAAGAATCAGGTCATCTTACATTTGAATCCTGGGCATGCTGCTCCCTGTGTCTGTTTTATCATCTTTAAAACGCAGATCATGTTACAATGTAAAATATAGGGTTGTTGTGAAAAATAAATGAAATAATCTACCTCATTTGGTCTAGGGAGGGCACTTCCTGAATATTCACCTATATTAGTTGTCATCATCCTCATCATCATTTTATTTCAGCTGTGTGTATTCCCACGTTTGTGACAATACTCCTCATATAGTAAGCATTCAATGTTGAGTTAATAAATACACATCTGCTGAATCTCTAAACAGGATAAATTGAATGAAAAAGCATACATTTTATCAAAACCAAAATTATTTTTATTTTTATGAAAACCATCTAGATATAAAAAAATGTTAGTTGTACCAGGATTGGTGTCACTGGGATGATCTGGAACCTCTGTGATGTGGGAGTGAGGAAGTTGGGAGGAAGAAAGCAGCACAACGGTGGCAGGAGGAAGTCCAACCAGACCCCTGGAATGCTGTATCTTCACAGACACAGATAGGCAGGGAGGAGGGTGGGGACAGGCAGCAGTAGCATTCAGCTAAGTATACGGCATCGCCAAAGGCCAATTATGTTACAGGCATGGCACAGGGGAGTGCTGGATGGAGTTTAGCATCTGAGAAGTCTGACCAAGACCCAATCACAATCAAGGACAAAATCCTCATCCCTGGAAAAAGCCCTGAAAAGCCAGGCAAAGCTTCAGTCTGAACACACTAAGTCTTAGGCTAAGTGCTTAGGCATGAGAGAAAAAGGCACAGATCCAGATCTGCAAGGACAGCTTGGAGATTTAGATGCAGGAATAGGACTTATATTCAAATGCTTAGATCAAGACCAAACTAACAGGAGGGTAGAAACCATACTAAGTCCATGCAATATTGAACTAGAGTTCAATAAATATCCCCTGATCAAGGTCAAGATTGGTCTAATTCCTGGGGTAGGACAGAGTCTGCAGACAGAAGCCATATGACCCCCAATGTGAAGGAGGAAGATTTGAGAAAACAATCTCATTTTGAATGAGATTTTTCTTTCACTTAGCATCTGTAGCAAATCTCTGTAAGAGCAGCATTTCAACATTCTCTAGGTAGGAGGATAAATTAAGGTTAAAGTAGGAATAACTTACTTTTGCATTGGCTTCTAGTAGTATATTCTATGTGTTTCCACAGTATCCTGAAGATATCACTTTCTCTCTTTTGCTTTAATTTTTATTTCTCTCTCTTTTGCTTTATTTAATATTTCACATACCACACAATTCATTCATTTAAAATGTGCACTTCAAAGGTTTTTAGTATATTCACAAAGTTGCACAATTGTTATCATGATCAATTTTAGAATATTTCAATTACCCCAAAAAGAAATTTCACACCCATCAGCTGTCCCTCCCTTTTCCAAGGCCCTTCTCCTACCTTCTGACAACTTATGTTTCTGTCTCTGTGGAGTTGCCTATTCTTGACATTTTATATAAATGGAATTATATAATATGTGGACTTTTGTGACTGGCCTCTTCACTAAACATAATGTTTCCAAGGTTCACCCATGTTGTAGCATGAATCAGCACTTCATTGCTTTTGATGTCTGAATAATATCCCATTGTATAGATATATCACATTTTATTTATCCATTCTTCACCTGTATCCATTTGGGTTATTTCTACTTTGGGGCTATTATAAATGAAGCTGCTCTGAACATTCGTGTACAATATCTTTTTGTGGACATATGTTTTCAGTCTTCTTGGGTATACATTAAAAAATGGAGGGCCTGGCACAGTGGCTCATGCCTGTAATCCCAGCATTTTGGGAGGCTGAGGTGGGTGGATCACCCGAGGTCAGGAGTTCAAGACCAGCCTGGCCAACATATTGAAACCCCATCTCTACTAAAAATACAAAAAATTAGCTGGGCATGGTGGTGGACACCTGTAATCCCAGCTAGCTGCGAGGCTGAAATAGGAGAATTGCTTGAACCCAGGAGGCGGAGGTTGCAGTGAGCTGAGATCATGCCATTGCACTCCAGCCTGGGCAACAAGAGTGAAACTCTCCCTCAAACAAAAACAAACAAACAAACAAAAAGAATGTAATAGAACTCACTCTTTAAAATTCTTCTTTAACTTAGATCACTTAAAAATTATTTCAGTAAATATTTGATAACTGTCTCTTCCATCTCTTCCATCCAGGTACTTCTCTGTGTCCTAGGGTACACAAATGAACAAAATAGATAAAGCACCTGCCCTCATGGAGCTTACATTTCTCCCAAAATCTGTAAGTCTTTTAAAGCAAAAACCATATTTCACTCCCTGTCATAGCCACAGTGCTAGCATAGTTCTGTTCACAAAGCTAAAATAATAATTAATTGTGTATTCACAGTTTGTAGGAAAATCTAAACCATATAATAATGTTTAAACAGAGTTTGGTTCATCCCTCACCTGCTGAATTCTAAAAACTCGACTCCCCCTCAAATTCCTCTAATTTTTGGGGGGAAGTTCTCATTTTATGTGTGCACCCAATGCAGCTCTCCTGCCTATCACGGGGCATCTACTACTTCCCCCTTCTACCTTGGAACATAGACTTCATGGAATGTGGGCTCCCCCTTTGCTATCCTGGTGATGAAGAGAGTTGTGACTTCCTGCTCAGGGCTCTCAGGACCTCTCTTGATGCCACTTCCAATGTGTTTAGGCTTCTCTTACTTCTTGTTTTCTGAATTTCCAATTTTTCTAACAGCTACCTCTTCCACTGAGAAAAACCATCTTCCATTCTACTTAGGTTACACACTACAAATGTCATATTCTATTCCTGAGTGTGCAGGGCTAGTCTTCACTCTCAAGATCTCATAGAGATTTTTCTGATCCTGGAGTTTTTCTGTTGCTTCCTTTTCTTCCCTTAGGCACAGGATTGCTCAGGGAGTTTGGATCTGTAGGGCAGACTCACTGCTATTCACCAGGCTACTCAAAAATTCTCTCCTTTGACAACAACTGATTATAGAACCAGTTTTGTGTTCCTTAGAGCTGTGTTTTCTCACAGCAAATTCCTCTCCTTGCTGGTCTTTGGTTGTTCTTACAAACAGACCCTTGACAGTTTCTTCTTGCAAAGTCTCCAGACATCAGCAAAAGATCTAAGTCATCAGGATGGGATGAGTGGCTTCCATCTCAAATTTTGTTCCTGCTGCAGCTGTATTTATTATAAAATGTGATTTAATAACATTTTGCTCAATGTCTTTTCTGACTACCCGCATGTGAGTCTATTTCAATTATGGCTTTGAATTTATGAGTCTGGAAATAGATTTAGGAGTAGGCAAACAGTTCAGATAATTTCAGTATGACCTGGCAGCACTCTCAATCTGGTGATTTAATTTGTACCTTGTGGAAGTCACTAAAATGCTCTCAAATCCAAGCTCCTCTTTTGTAAGAAGGGGATTATTTACCATCTAGAGTGTTAGTGATAATAGCTACTGTTTATTGTACACTTCTGGGAACTAGGTGCCGTTTCACATGCTTCATATCTATCAGCTGAAAGATTTCTCACACTCTGCCCATGAAATAGGTGTTATTATTCTGTAGGGTAAAATCATTCTAACCAAAATACATGGATTATAAAAGAATCATGCTTATTATTTTTAAAATGAGGCATAGACAGGATTTATTTACTTCATGAAACTTGCTATGTGATTCTATAAGTAATTATATAGATAACAAGTCTCTTCATTAGAAAACAAATTCTATCTGTATAACAAACATAGACCCCTTCCATGAATAATTTCATTTAGAACTTAAGGCCCACAGACTATTTTGTCTTCCATTGATCCCACATTTCCTCAGTTTTATTCCACATTTGAATTCTACCTAAGAGATAAAAGTCAGAGCAAAGAGCTCTGACAGTATCCTAGAGTACCACAGTCTATCAAGGTAGTTTGAACTCTTATTTATTTCAAAACGTACAATGACAAACCACTAAGTTCTGCCTAGAACCACCACCTTGTTTCACTTCCCCAGCCAAAATTAGATCTCTGTTCTCACTGTGAAGATAATCCTTTGGAATTTAAGCAAAATAGCAAGTTGAAATAGAATAAACCTTTTCCATAGATGGATGTGATTGTATTCTCTCTTTAGTCTGCCACGAGACTTCTCAAATAGTCCTTGGCCTTTTATTTTCTCTTGATACATCTACCTGCATTATTTTCTTCTTGATAGTAAATACAGAACCACTTGGTGAGTCATCACCTTCTTATCTGCTTGAGTACATGCTTTGCAAGCTGCTCTGAGATATTTGGCTAGGAATTCAGTTTTGATTAACAAATGCTCTTATATGGTTAAAGAAAAGACTAATTTGTTAAGAATTATAAGTAGAAAGTGTTTGGGTTTTTGGGGGTAGGGGGAACAGAAAAATTGTTGATAATCACAAAGTTTTGCATTAAAATTCCAGTTCATTAAGTAATCAGCATGGGAGTGTCTGATTGGCTGATTAGATGCAGAGGCAAATCATTTGTTGCTTTTTTAGGGAAATTTCCATCAAAGTAGTTCTACCTGGAGAATTTAAATTAATGTATTATTTTAAATCCATGTATATTTATTCCAAATTCATTTATACTACACAACAAAGAAGTACTATTTCATCCAGAACACTCATGGCATTGTGGGGGTAGTAGGGTTGAAAAGTCTTTTCCAGGAGTGTATTAGTCCATTTTCATACTGCTGATAAATACATACCCAAGACTGGGTATCTTATAAAGAAAAAGAGATTTAGTGGACTCACAGTTCAATGTGGCTGGGGAGGCCTAACAATCATGGAAGAAGGTGAAAGACACGTCTTACATGGTGGCAGACAAGAGAGAATGAGAGCCAAGCGAAAGGGGAAACCCCTTATAAAAACATCAGATCTCATGAGACTTATTCACTACCACAAGAACAGTATGGGGGAAAGTGCTCCCATGATTCAATTATCTCCCACGAGGTTCCTCCCATAACATATGGGAATTACGGGAGCTACAATTTAAGATGAGATTTGGGTGGGGACACAGCCAAACCATATCAAGGAGTTAGCTTCACATCAATGATATAGTTTCTTTTCTATAGCTGCACTTGCACTTAAGAACTAAGCTTGTTTCTCTCAGCTGCGAAACTAGACTTGTCCCTTCATCCTTGGCTAGGATTTCTTCAAAAGGACTACTGAGTCAGGCCATAGTTGCCTTTTGAGAGGATTCAGAGCCATCCTGCCCCCAGAGGACACTCACTCTTTATCTGTGTATGGCTGAACAATGATCTCTTCAGAGGCACCACAAAAGCTTCCCACCAAGATTCTGTTTGGGTAACTGAGAAAAAAACACAATTTGCTAATATCATGAAGCCTCTGACAACACCCTCTATGGACTGAGCCAACACTGGCACAGAAGCTAATTTGTACCTTTGCTCCACTTAGATCCCAGAAAGCAGCTAATCCTACCAGACCTCACATTCCTGTTGATTCTCAGTCCCTGCCCAATATTCAAGTCCCTTTGACCATCTACCCTCTCCCCTACTCTCAGTCCAAAACCTCACTTTTCTGCCTGTCCATTTCTTCCTGCCATTTCCAGTTGGGGCTTCTGCAACCTGCATTCTATGGCACAAAACCCTCCATTGCAAATCTCTTTACAGCATGCTTCTGCCACCTTCTTGCTTCAGCTGAAAGCTGATTTCCCATGCAGACCTTTCTAATGAAGAGAGGAGTACTAGTATCTCCTGTGCCCACCAATGAAGCTTTTACACTACCCTATTGTTCCTCTGCAAGTCAAAAATTTGCCCTTTGGGGCTGATGTCAACTAGCTGTACATCTTGTTGGTACCTTTTACTAACCTCCAGTTTGGGCACCTGAGTCACATATGTCCTTTCAACTTGTCAGCTTCCCAATTTCTGCTCATCCCAGGTAATTTAATTAGACATCTAGGTGACATATTTGATGTATTTTCCTCATAGTTCCATGATATCTTTAACTTCAGATCTTCCATTTCCAATTGCTTGGCTCATACATGGCTGTGTAATAGACCTTGACATCATTATGAAATGCTCTATGCCTGTTAAATGCCAGTATCCATTCATGGACCATAACCTCTCACCATTTCAGCTCTCTCCATCCCTTACTCACCCCATGCCTACTTTTGACCAAATGCAGGCCTGTACCACTGTTCCATTTTCTCTCAATCAGCCAGCACTCTCCTGCCAAGCTAGCCACAACTTGTCACTCCCTAAAATGTTCAATGCAGTATATCCACCCAGTGAAGCCCCAACAACTCCAGTCATTAATTTATCTCCAATGCCCTAAACACCAGTTGCTGAGTGCTGCTGGAGAAAATCTCACCACTATGTGAAATGGTGCCACCAAGGATTTGTAGTCTCTGTCCTCATTGGGCCCTCCATGCTGCTTGACAGTCCTTTCATGGGACCTTACCAGCAACTGATGCAATGCTCCACCAAAACCACTTCATGCCTTATTAAATCTCCCCCAGGTTTGATGTTCGTGCTTTTTATATTTTCATACTTTCCCCCTCAATTGAAGACAAAATGGTTGTGGTATCTCCACGATTTTCAGGAAAAGGCTTTCATATGGTGGGGTTGCAATGAATTGATCTTCTGGCCTCTTGTATACTGGCCAACTAAAACTCTTCCCACAATGTATTACAGTACCTTCCCTGATCAAGATGAATTCATGCAAGAAACACACATAGTAAAAAAGGCATTTTCTACACAGTGTCTAAGAAATTATGGGAGTTACCAGATCCCAAATCCTGAGTTTATCTATTTTACCAAATATATCCCACGAGTTTTTGATGTTTGACTTTTATGCAGTATATGTCTATATGTGTGTTTATTACCTACGTATTCAACAAATTCATTCAACTAACACTTATTAAACACTTATATGCTATTACTGCTAGAGGGTAATATATTTCCAGTGCTGTGGGTTGGAGCTATGTATAGTTTCTAAAACTACTTTAATTTTCAGGGTCTTTTATGAAACACTGTAAGAGCAAGTAACATTCTTGACATCCTTAGCCTTCTCAAGAGGAAAAATAATAAAAATGAAGTAAGTAATCATGTTGTAGGTTAATTTCACTTTCTCTGTCATCCACACCATCAAGTCAAGAAATCAGAACAATCAGATAGGTAGATCTGAAATTTTGACAAAAAGCCCATATATTTATAATGTCTTAATACTGTGTAGTTGAGTGCACAGAATAGTTCTCTGTTGATCAGATTCAATTCAAATAATGCAATAGAACTGCCTCCAGCAGGCATTGCTCTCTTTGCCTAACAACTTTGGATCTTTCCTCTTGTCACATCTCTTGGCTCACAGTGTGTCTGGGGCTCACAAGGACTGGTCAAGGCCTAGGAGTTAGTAGTCCCTAGAAAAACGCTCTCAGAAAGCAGCCTTAACTTTCTATCTTACTTTCTAAGGCAAGGAACTCCAAACTGTGAACCTTAAAATGTCTTTGTGTCCTTTATGTTATCCTTTGAAGTTAGAATTCATCTACAGCTTGGATATAATGAGCTATTTGCTACCAAGGTATATAGTCATGGGATTAATCTCATACTGTACCCTGACAAGGACCCAGTGCAGTTTCTCCAGGAAGTTATCCATGAGTCTATATTGCAGGGTATTAATAGTTAGTTTACATTAATTAATCCAATGCACAGAAATGTAACAGTGCTATGTTTCCATAGCAGACCTTTGAATCACTCTTTAATCACTAGCAAAATAATAATAATAATATTATGTATCTTTAAGGTAGTTTATCCAATTACAACCTGTTTAAAATATTCTCTTTGGGTTAAAGGTTAATTCACATTTAAGTTTTAAAGTTATTCAATTCATAGTTTAATCTGTTTAGTGTGGCTGCTCTAACCTCTCAAAAGATTTATTTCTCCTTTCTCCTACCTACAGGGTACAAAAGGATCTCATCTAATTCCACAGTGCCACGTGGGGAGTGTGTGTGTGTGTGTGTGTGTGTGTGTGTGTGTGTGTGTGACGGGTCTGACCTTCATTTCTTCCTCCAGATTCTTGTTAGAAGCCCAAACTGTCTCCTGCTGCATGGCCTCTGTGTGTTGGTTATTGGCCTCTGCCCTTGCTACATTTGCTGCAGTTGCTGTAACTAGTCCTGCTTGACCTTCACACCCACAAGCTGCTCTCAGCTTTGGCCTCCAGTCACAAGGTCTGAACATTGTTCCTCCTTTATCTTGATCCCAACATCTTGCAGTCCACAGACCTTCCCAGCATGCTAGCACTCGCCACTGACTGCTGGAGCAGCTTCTGAATCTCTCCTCCAGGCCAGCCATATAACACTTGCAGGGCTCAGGGCAAAAGCACAAATGGAGGTCTACATATGGTAATTCTAAATATTTGCATATTATTAATTGAGCAAACAAATTGTGAAATAAAATACATTCTATACTTTTACCTTGACAAGTATACTTTTATAATGACTTAGGTCATCTTAATTTAGAATTATTAGATTACTTGTCGTTCTATGCTGAAATGTCTTGGCAGGGGGAAAGCAAACCCCAGTTTATGACCCATTTTGCATTGTCTTTCTGATATGGTTTGGCTGTGTCCCCACTCAAATCTCATCTTGAATTGTAGTTCCCATAATCCCCATGAGTCATGGGAGGGACGCAGTGGGAGGTAATTGAATCATGGGGGTGGTTTCCCACATGCTGTTCTCATGAGAGTGAGTGAGTTCTCATGAGATCTGATGGTTTATAAGTGTCTGGCATTTCCACTGCTGGCTCTCATTCTCTCTCCTGCCCCCCTGTGAAAAGGTGCCCTCCACCATGATTTTAAGTTTCCTGAGGCCTCCCCAGCCATGCTGAACTGTGAGTCAATTAAACCTCTCTTCTTTATAAATTACCCATTAGATATTTCTTCATAGCAGCATGAGAACGGATTAATACATTTCCCATCTCTAGTTTTTCTCCCCATGACCCTAAGCACACTTGTGTGGAAATCCCCCCCACACACACATATTTAAGCTCCCATGTTTACCCCATGGCAACCACCTCCCCTCCCCCAACACACACACAAATAACCACTTCTTGGCCACCCCTCAGATCTAGGAGTTTACACACTGGTGCTATGACTTACCCTCCAGCAATAGACCCAGGAAGAGACACACAAAGTCCAGATACAGGCTGAGGGCAGTCTTGGCAGAGTTTCTAGGATCTCAAGTGTCCAGAGCATGGCCTAGAATGGTGGGAGGGAGTTAAGTTCTGTATGGGCAAGTCCCTTTGTTCCAATGGACTTCTGGTCCGGTAGGGCAGGACTTGATCAGAAAAAGACCAATATATACCCCCTTAAAATATGAGGCCCAGTGAGGCCCAGAAAAGATCTCAGGGTAAGAACTTTTCTCCTTCCTTCTACAAAATACCATGCCAACTGAGGTGGAGGGAATATCTTAAGGCCCTGTTCTTTGCCTAACATACCATTTCTACTTTGCTGTGGCTGCCAAGGTGGAAGGGAGGCAACCAACGCTCCCAGTGGAAAATGGAACATATTCTTTCTTAATGACTTAATAATCTTAGTGCCAAGATTCCCAAGCCATCTCATGGTCTCCACCCACCCCCATGGCTTTCAAATATATAGACTGATCAAGAGAATCAGCACCTAGCTGGCATCTCATCTCATTTGTTCTTCCCTTCCTCATTTTTCAGACTCTTCCATCTAGCCCAGAAAGCTTCTACACAGCAAGAAGTTTTCTTTATGTTACATCCTGCATTCTTCTCTATTTCTCATAGTTAACTATTAATGCTGATGATATTGCTTATTAGTTAGGTATGCGGATTTTATTTACACGTACGTAATTTAAAGGGTCGATGAATTCTAAATACTTACTACAATTAAATCAGGCTTCATCAGATCCTTCAATTTTTCTTTTTCCAGAGCTAATTTCAATCTCCTGGATGATTTTTGCACTGATCTATAAATTTCTAGATATTATATATAGTTACTTTTGACTTACGTTTTTAAATATTACTCATGATTTGCCAATTTCTTCCCCATCACCCACCCTTGCACATGCACACTGTTATATCTATATAATAGACTCCTGCTGGCAAAAATTCCTGCTCTAATATATGCCCCCCTTCCAAAACTTCTACTTCCTTTCAGCTTAGCATCAGTATTTATAATAAAGGGTCTGGTAGGATCATGAAATTATAGCCCTGTTGCTTGGGCCAAATAGGTCTCTAAGTTCCAAAGGTTCCACTCTAGGTGATTAAAGACATTGTCCCACTCTGAAAAAAGAATCATATAAAGAGGAGAATGGATGCCACTTCTAAGTTAAGAGGAAGTCACTAAATTTATTTTTATAACAACATTGGCATCTCTGAATGGAAGTGGTGTTCAGGACTGGATACATTAGACAGAAAAGCAGACATCTGAAGCTTGAGTTAATTTGCCTAGAGTACTAGGCGACAAGAGCAGGGAAAAGAAACAGTAAAGGTAACAGATAAAAAATCAGGAGGATGTAAGAACGTTTGAAAAACCAAGAAAGTGACCATAGTGTCAAATCTCCAAATATTAAGGCTTAAAAATTCCATAGGTTCAATGGTTAAATTGTCACTGTTAAACAGCAAGAACAATTTCAGCATATTTGTGAAGATAGAAACAACCATGCAAGAGATTCAAGGTGTGGGAGGCATAGAGTTAAAGTGAGGAGCATAGGTTATTTTTTTGAGACATCTGTTGGGAGAAAAGGAAAGGAAAGAGAAAAGACAGAAAGGAGATGGAGAGACTACGAGAGAAAAGCTTGTGGTAATGGATAGGCAAACTGGTAAGCCGGGCAGTGATATTTGTAGACTCAGTGGAAGGTACCAATAAAAGTAAAAGGTACCAATAAGATGGTACCATCTTTGGAAGATGTAAAGAAAGCAGATAATAAGAGGCTGAAGGTCATAGATACAGTTCGAGGGGCTAGTTTTAAAAAGGAGAACAATCTCAGCCAATGAAACCGGAGACAACCATAAGAAGTAAAGGGAAGGAATGGGGAAATGACAAGTGTAGCTGAGAGGTAGGAAAAAGAGATATTTTAAGGAACAAAGGAAGAAGTTTTAAAAAGAAAGCTGATGTCAGGGTGAGTCGGATCTTCTCCTCAATTTCCATAGTTTAAAATCAAAGATGTGGTCACCTGCTGAAAGTAAGT
This sequence comes from Homo sapiens, assembly GCF_000001405.40. Classification (NCBI taxonomy): domain Eukaryota; kingdom Metazoa; phylum Chordata; class Mammalia; order Primates; family Hominidae; genus Homo; species Homo sapiens. The sequence goes on along the minus strand of NC_000021.9, from coordinate 15,152,630 downwards.
AGGCCAAGCAGGGTGGGACTTAGAAGGTTTAGATAATTTTTAAAGGTTATGGAATATCCAAGGTGAATAATTTTCATAGGAAATCAATAAGAGTTTTAAGCTTCCACAAGAAGAAAAGTTTTGTGGGATATAAACTTGGGTCCTTTATTCTTCAGGGGAGTTTCAAGCTAACCCCATAATATTACTTTCAAATTGTCCCAGATAGTCAAACCTTAGCAGCCAATGTAAACTTGATTCCCCAATACAGCAACCTAGAGAGCTAGACAGACATTCCTCACACTTTCTAGCTACTTTATTTTTTTCTACATTGCTTCAGACTTTTCTGTGACTCCCTTGAGGCCCAAGGGAATCTGTTGTGGTTTACACAGGCATTTCAAAGATAGTTTCAGGTAACCAATAATCTATTTCAGAGAACCAAGAGGATGTGGAGAGGGTCTGTTATTAATCTATTTCAGAAAACCAAGAGGATGTGGGGAGGTGGGGACAGGTAGATATCGCTTGGGGCAGGGATTAGCCTGGAGCATAAAACAAGAGGAGAAAAAGAAATAGGAGATGAAAGATCCATGCCTTATAGATCTAGGACGGTGGTGCTCAACTGGGAGAGATTTTGCGCCTCAGGAGATATTTGACAATGTCTAGAGACTTTTGTGGTGTCACAACTACAGTGGATGCTCCTGGCACATAGGGAGCATAGGCCAAGCATAATGCTAACTATTTTGCAACCTCCAAACAAACCTCCAAAACAAATAATGATCTACCCCAAAACGCACATAGTGCCAAAGTTGAGAAACCCTGATCTAAGGACCCTGGAGGAAAGGAAAATTTTGGCAGACACAATGCCTTTTTTATCTAGTGCCAAGCAACTGACAATGATGGTAGAGGACATTGATTTTAATTCTAATAGAACATAAAACATTCTCATTATTTTTTCTAAGAGACATGATTAAGTAATATTTTAATATTTACTGATCTAATTCAAAGGAATTATTTATTCTGAGATGTGGTGGAAGCCAGTTTTTGCACTCTGTCCATCCTGTGATGTCTTTGGCTGTATACCATATAGCTCATAATACCTGGATGGTAGGCTGAAAGTCTATTGTCTATAATGACAGTAGAAATTGATATTATGACATAATGGCACATCGTGCCTACTGGTCACACTTTGACCTTGTGTTATTATCCAGGTGCTACATTTCTAAGATCAGATCCAGAATCTGATGAAGCTGCCTTCTTGTCCACTACATCTATTGCTATGTCACAGCTACCATAGACAAAAATAAATAAATAAAATTGTAAAATCCAAATACATTACAAGTTTAAACAGAAAGAGAAAAATTATGTTTATCATGGTCCATGACTTTGAGAGATTCAGCTCAAGGGAAAGGAGCTGTGGAATAAAAATGAAAAAAAAATGGGAGGGGGAGAGAAGAGTTTCCATATGGCATGTGAGAAGAGGAGGGGAATTAAAGATTGAGAAGAAAGAAGAAGGGCCTGGCAGTTTAATAACCTTTTCCAGCGATGGATTTATAGAAGTTACTGGAGCTTCAAGAAAATAAAGTAGTGTGCCTGATGCCTTTTGAAACAGGGGTCTGTTCTCAGCTTTTCATCTTCTGTGCCTACGTTATATGTAAATTGGGTTTCATGATGTATTAGAACTGTGAAGATGATTTAATATGCCAAAATGTGTTATGGATCATTTGTGCATCAATCCTGCAGTTTAAACAGCAGTCACTGAATTGAAACATAAAACTACCATTGCCAAATTTCAGAGAACTTCAGGATTAACTCAAATAAATGCAACACCTCTCTCTGAAAAAAGCCATTGTCTTTCCTCCACCTATTCCAGAAACATATCACATTGTTCAGTTTGTTTGTTTTTATTGCAACAAAATGAGCAAGGCTAGAGTATAAGAATTTTCTTCATGCCCTATTGTCAATGTAGTCCCTAGTTCTTTTATTATGTCGTCTTTACCTGGTCATCAGAAACAGAAGTTAAGATGAAATACAGCACCTATGGCTCACGCCTGTAATCCTAACACTTTGGGAGACCAAAGTGGATCACCTGAGGTCAGGAGTTCGAGACCAACCTGGTCAACATGGTGAAACCCCGTCTGTACTAAAAATACAGAAATTAGCCAGGCGTGGTGGCATATGCCTGTAAACCTAGCTACCCAGGAGGCTGAGGCAGGAGAATTGCTAGAACCCGGGAGTGGGAGGCTGCAGTGAACCAAGATCGCACCACTGAACTCCAGCATGGTTGACAGAGCGAGACTCCATCTCCAAAAAAGAAAGAAAGAAATACAGCACCCAACTACACCAACCTTTTCAGGCACAACCTTCTAGAAAATAATTATTCCTGGGGAAGAGACCCATTTAAGTAGAATGCTCCTGATTTATCTATATTATCATATTATCAATCACATCTATTATTGAGCAATTGTAACAAAAATAAGCAAAGTAGTAGTAACTTGTGCTTATTTTAAAACCATTTATTTAGTCTCTCCTTTTTAGAAATAACAGCACTCTGCCACTCTTCTCCATAGATGTTTTTGAGAACAGTAGGTGCAGCCCCACTCTGTGACACTAGCCTGATTTTATGTCAAAGGTTAGATCAAGCACTTCAGTTACAGGAGGGTAAAGTCCAAAGGAAGGAATGTTTGACTGGTTTTTACAATTATTGATACTCACACAGAAGATAATTTGAAAAATCACATGGCTGCAAAAAAAAAAAAAGATTCCGACTAAACATGGTTTTGGCAACTAAGCTTATTTCATGAAATGAATTATCTTATGTTTGCTCACCATGTAATAGCATTTGCGCATACTCATTCATATGTTAGTGTTCCAGTAATTCTGATGTCTCTTTTTATACTTCATGTCCTGCTTCTAGACCCTGAACCCTGACTTTAACCTATAATATTCACATGAATGAGGAAACCACAGTGATATGGGTGGACTTGGGCAAGGCATGGGCTTAGTCCGTCAAAGACTGTTTCTCTTAAACCATCATCTGATTGTGTTGGGAGGCTGTGTAGTTAGAGGAACAGCCAGGAGCAGATATCAAATGTAGACAGACCCTATAAACACATGACCACAACCTAAAGGAAGATGACTTTAGCTAGAACGCCTTGGGGTCAATTCAGAGCTTCTCACATGTACGGAAAAAATTAGGCTCCAAAGTAGTTCCTACCCCCATGGCCATGAGCTCATTAGCTACGTAGTCAGCTGATAGTGGCAACAGCCTTGTTCTAGTTTTTTGACTTTTATTTTTTGGTTTCTTCTAGAGTCATTCTGAATCTTAAAATTGCACTGATGGGGATTTGGAAATTACATAAGCTGTAGGGTTGGGGGACAGAGGCAGAAGGGTCTGGATCTGCATAGTGTGGTAGAACTTTCAAAAGGAAAGGAACAATGGACATGTTCTTCTCTGCACTCTGCAAATGTGGCTATTGAACACTTGACATGTGCTAGTGTGACTAAAGACCGGACTTTACATGTCATTTAATTTTAATTAATTTACATTTACATTTACATTATTACATGTGGCTTGTGGCTACTCTATTGGACAGTCCAGTTCTAGATATCTGCCCTCCTTTTTGAATGCTTACTCACTTTCTCACTAATGTCATCTTGCCTTTGACCCTTACAACTCACTACATTCTTTCAATAAACGAGACATAATCAATGCTCCCAAATTGATTTTGGAAATATATTTATGAGGGCATTTCTGTAACATTTTAGCTACTAGTTAATCATGAGCTGTGTAAATTAGTTACATAAAGCTATTGACAGCTATCACAAATGGATTCCAACACATTTTGAAGATGTGTCTAGCCTTCTTCTGACTGCCCTTGAATTCTGAGTTCTAAGCATACTCAGAGGCCACTTTGTCCTGAGTATGCCCTCAGCTACAAGTCTGGGTTCTATCCTGAACTGAAGGCTTAATTTATGTAGTTCTCATGAGTAGCACTGGGAGTTACTTATGGAAATCTTCCAAGCACCAGTGAGAGAAGAGGTCTCCCTGACCCTCTGGCTTCTAGTGCATCTGCATCGTTAGGAAATCCCTCCTGCTTTATGCCACATCTGAAGTGCTGGAGGAAGTCACGGGTTCAGGAGACACAGCCAGTCAAATTCTTTGTGAATTTGGATTAGTCCCTTTGTTCCTTGACTTGACATTTGTGTCTGGTAATACCCCTCTAAAAAAGATTTAATAAATTCTTGTTCTGAGGCTGCAGAGAATTTCTTCAGCTCTCAACTAAATCTGAGGCAATGTGCTATTACAGCCGCTGTGGTTATACATACCAATACTAAACGAAGTGCTAGTTTGGTATACTTAGTCCCTTGTTCTTGCCATGTCAAGTCATACCAATGTCAATTAAAATTGAAAAATTAGGAAATGGTAGAAATCAAATAATAAACATAAGCATTATAGATTTTTCTCCATATCATAAATGTAAGATCTTGTGTACCTGGGGCTTTCATGTCCTAAATAAGAAAATGAGTTCTTGGCTTCCAGACATCTTTGGTTTCAAGTCTTGAGTTATGCAATGCAGAAGTAGATTTTTGTAAGCATTCAAATGGTTCATCCAAAAAAAGGACAAAAAATGTGATAGAAACATGAAAGAACTACATTCACATTCTTTGAGAATGGGTTTCTGCCTCTTTCCAGGCCCAAAGCAAAGAACAAAGAAAGAAATAGAGAGTTTCCTCTCCCTTCCCAAATCAGCTCATTTATCCTTTGGCTTTGACAAATCCTTCATGCCCTTTTTCATCCCAGAACCTCTAATTCTCACTCTAGACTCTCTAACTGCAAGTTTTCTTTAAAACTCCCTTTCCCCACATCCTTCTTGGTGTCAAAAGACATTTGCCAAGACTTAATCATTCAATTCAGCCTCAAATTTTTTTTTAATGTCCTTGGTCTCCTTTCTGGTTGAAATGAAAGTGTCTTAGATTGTGGCAATTTCTGTATTTCTTTTTTGAAATCATTCTTTTGAGTGTTTACATTACTTTTTCCAGATACTGTTATTCCAACAGTGCTAGGGGAAGAGAAAAAGCATGGATCCATCCATTTAGAATATTAATTGTATTGACAAATGTTCATATTGTTATAGCAGAGTAGGGGCTGAGTCATTCCCCTCAGAGGGCATTGGCTTTGAGGGGAGATCATGTTGATACTAAAAGGTGGAAGGGGAGATAAGAAGGGCAAAACATGGCTCTCACCTCCCTGGTCATCAGGGTGAAGGCAGAGTAAAGTAGGTAAAGTTAGATTCTTCTCAGTTCTCCTACCCTGCTCAATACAAACTTCCCTTGTCTCCACTCAGCAGCCATTGTCTACAAAAGTAGAATTTACTCACTTTCTTAGGTATCACCTGTGCCTGGGAGAGATTTCTCCTACCTACTGCCATCAGTTCATGATGACATCACTCAGCTCTGCCTGCCTTTAGAGGTAGATGGATATTGCCCCTTCTGTCAGATAGAAAAAAACATTGATTAAAGATCACCCGAGCATAATGCAAATGGCATCTCTTTACACCAAGCACTCTTCTGTGAATCCCAGGATGTCAGTGGGATCCGTTCATAAACAACCTTGTGAAGATGCTCTGAGGAAGAGCACCAGAAGGTCTTGCTCCAATAATGTAAAGAGAGTTTTACCTATGCCTTTTCGGAAATCACACTTTCTGCAGTGATTTTTGTTTTTTTTTTTTTTTAATTCCCAAGTCGTTCCTTCTCTCATGCTGGGACTATCAGGCCACAGAGAAAATGATATCACTGTGGGTCCAAGATAGAAATTTTGGGGCTATACCTTGTAGACAGTAAGTCACTTATTTCACACACATGTATGGTTATCCCCATCCAAACAGAACCTTCCATATCAAAAATTGAAGGCAACAAAAACTGAACAAAACATGTCTACACAGACCTCCCACCTGAGTTATTCAGCTGGCTAAACCAATTCCATCTGGCATAATTTTGTCTTCAGAACTTGACGGACAGTGAGGAAAGCAGCCCGAGTCCTTCACATATTATCTGCATATGTTATTTCTTGGCGTTCTTCCAAAAAGTCTGCACGTTTTGTGTTCATGGACCCCAAAATGAGTCCCCCAGAATAGATGCGGCCTCAGCACGTTTACTATTAGGTTGCTGCAAAAGCAGTTGCTGTTTTTGCCATTAAAAGTAATGGCACCGGCCGGGCACAGTCGCTCATGCCTGTAATCCCAGCACTTTGGGAGGCCGAGGTGGGCAGATCATGAGGTCAGGAGATCGAGACCATCCTGGCTAACACGGTGAAACCCCGTCTCTACTAAAAATACAAAAATTAGCCAGGCGTGGTGGCGGGCGCCAGTAGTCCCAGCTACTCGGGAGGCTGAGGCAGGAGAACGGCGTGAACCCGGAAGGCGGAGGTTAGTGAGCGGAGATCGAGCCACTGCGCTCCAGCCTGGGCGACAGAGCGAGACTCCGTCTCAAAAAGAAAAAAAAAGTAATGGCACCATCCTAATACTAGCACCGTGCCCTTACTTTGTCTTCGGGTTATGCTATCCCTCTTTGAGTACAGAACAGAATATCTCTGGCCTTTCTTATTGCCCTATCTTATTCCTTACAAATGGCAATTTAATTTGCTGTCTCCTGAACACCATGCAATCCTAAGCTATCTCATTCGTTCTGATTAATTTATCTTCATCTTTTCTCCAGATTTGGTTCATTTGCATTTTCCCTAAAGTTATGTAATTATGTTATCTCCTTATTTAGAACCTCTTTGGATTGAGGGAAGCAAGAAGATGCAGAGGATAGCAATGGCTTAGTGACATTAGCTGGAGCCTAATTTTTATTCTGTTAATGAATCCCTAGATAACCTCTGGAAAGTCAGTGAGTCTCTTTCAGCCAAAATTTCTTCACCTTGAAAAAAATGAGAGAAGAACAATGCACCCCTTGAGGTGACCATAGGGAATGATTTACAAAATAAAATTAATAAAGTGAAAGTGATTTGTGAGCATTTGTGAGAATCATAGAAATATTTTTCCTTCCTCACAGATTAATTGCAGTATCTCTTGCTTTGGATCTTCAACATCCTACAAAACCAGCTGTTTCCATGTGTCTTTTCCCTTTTTCAATGTTTTAATAAAAGTCAGGGCTGCTGTTATGATTAGGAAGTTTCTACTCCAACCATAGTTATCTTCCACATTCAGATACGACAACGACTTAAATTTTTACCAGTAGAAATTTATTCATTTAGGTATCAGAAGCGTTTGGCTCTTTAGTAATCTCCAAATATATACCTATACAGACGATGACTCAGTGAAAACACATAAAGTGTCATCTTTCATATATGTATGTATGTACTTATACACATGAAAGAAAGATAATTGATATATGAAATGATATGTGTGTGTGCATATATGTGCAAGATAATACTTTATGTAGTATCACTGAGTCACTAAAACACACAGACTAGAGAAACAAAGGCATTAGAACAATGGAAAGAGGTCAACAAATAGCTTGCCTACATTTTACTTTTGCCATTAGTTTATTTTGAAAAATAACATTTTAATGATTTAGACGTACAGAAAAGTTGTGAATATAGTACAGAGAATTTCTATATATCCAGTTTCCCCTAACGTCTTATAGTAGCATAGTATATTTGTTACAATGAATAAACAAATAGGCTAGGCATGGTAGGTAGTTCACATCTGCAATCCCAGCATTTTGGGAGACCAAGGCAGGCAGATCACTTGAGGTCAGGAGTTTGAGACCAGCCTGGCCAACATGGTGAAACTCCATCTCTGCTAAAAATACAAAAATTAGCCAGGCGCGGTGGTACGTGCCTGTAATTCCAGCTACTCGGGAGGCTGAGACCGGAGAATTGCTCAGCCTGGGAAGTGGAGGTTTCAGTGAGCTGAGATTGTGCCACTACATTCCAGCCTGGGTGACAGAGTGAGACTCTCACTCAAAATAAATGAATAAATAAACACTTAATGATGCATTATTATTAAATAAAGTCCATACTTTACTTGGAGTTTCTTAGCTTTTACCCAGAGTCCTTTTTCTGTTCCATGATCTCATCCAGGATACCACATTACATTTATTGACTAAGTTTCCTCCTGGCTGTGGCAGTTTCTTAGACTTTTTTTGTTTTTGAGGACATTGACAATTTTGAGGGATGCTGGTAAGAATTTTGTACAATGCCCCTTACTTGGAGTTTTTCTAATGTTGTTCTCATGATTAGACGAGGGTTTTATGGCTTTGGGGAGAAACATTATGGAGGTAAAGTGCCACTCACATCCCATTATAGCATGACATGATTGTAAGGACTGGGTTAAACCGGAGAGGGAATGCCCCTCTGTAACAGGCAGCTGCTATGGAATTCTGGTGGCTGCTCTGCGGGAGTCCTGCCCAGTGCTGACTGATCTTGATTTCTCAACAGAGCCAGAAATCTCAATGTTTATGTGAAATATTCAACTTTTAAATATTGACAACTAACACAAATTTAAAACACAACGATTCCATACTTGTGTCAGCCAAATAAAATAAATCTGTGGGCCAATGTTGGTCTATGGTCACTAGTTTGCTAACTTTTTTTGTAAAGATATAGGAATTACTAGAGCTTGTTTTTTTGCTTTTTAGAGATGGAGTCTCGCTAAGTTGTGCAGGATGGAGCATCGTGGCTATTCACAAGTGCAATCATAGTGCACTACAGCCTTGAACTACTGGGCTCAAGAGGTCCTCCTGCCTCAGCCTCCTGAATAGCTGGGACTACAGGTGTGCACCACCACACCTGGCTAATTTTTAAATTTTTTGTAGAGACTAGACAGTCCTCTTGCCTCCGTCTCCCAAAATGTTGGGATTATAGGAGTGAGCCACTGAACCTGGCCTCTGCCTTTATTAATGTTTTCAAAGCAAGAGAGAGGCATTGCCAGATTTGACTCCACTTGCTTTACACTTTACAAATCATTTCTAGTAACAGTAGTAATGGAAAGACAGAGCGGAGTATAACTGTGAAGGACAGAGATTAGATCAACCATGCTTTTATCACTACAAGAGATAATGAAGACTTGACCCAAAGTCTCATATGAAAGTATGTCTCTTACACATATGCGATGACATAAGACTATGGTATAAAAATACATAGTATGAGCAGGGGCATTAAGAGGAGGTGATGTATTTGGAGACATTTCAGGGTTAAAACTATGAAGACTGGAGATGTGTTGAATTTACAGAGTGGGGGTAAGAAAGGCATCAAAGATAATGTCAGGGTTGATAACATGGGAGACTAAAGTGGTAGGATGACATGGTCTGAGGTAGGGGATGTAGGGAAGGAACAGGTTTGCAGGAGCAGATATTGGTGTCTCTGAATTGACCAGTTGGACACACTGCATGGGCACCTGGAAACACAAATCAATATCTGAAGAGAGAGATTGTAGCAAGAGATCTAGGTTAGGGTGTGTCTTAAGTAAGGTGATAGCTGCCATCCTCCAAGAATATAAGAACATATACATAGCATGAGAAAAGTACAGTCTTTTTTGTAGATGGGTCCAAAGAACAGGGAGCCCATAAAAGATGACCTTAATAATGCATCTTGTTCGACCCCTTCTCCCTATTGCCATGTATTAAAAGAATTAGGAGTTCACATTCAGAGCTTCCACCATGCTTCCTCTACTTCACCACCCGTCTAGGCCTCACTTTTTAGTTTCTGGCCCCCATGCTTCTATCACACCTACCATCACCCAGAGAATCCCTTCTATCTTGCCATTCAGGATACAATAAAATCTCTATTGTCTTCCTTCCTTTCTAATAATTTGTTTTCTCTTCTTTTCTGACTCTTTTTCCAACATCTGCTTGTCTACATGAAGCTCAGTTGGAGAAATAGGTTCAAACCCACTTTTGTTCATTATAGGTTCTATGGCTTTGGACAAGTGTCTTAACCCCTCTGAGTTTCAATATAGTTATCTGTAAAATGGAGATAATATTTACTCCCTGCTGTGGTTGTGTGGATTAAAAGCCTAAAATAGGTCAAACATTCATTCTTGAGACTGGCCCTAAGTAGGTGCTCAGTAAATAAAGACTCACTTCCTACTCTCACTGCTTTTTTCTATCTCTTAGTGTTTTGCTTGTATCTCTTTGTTGTCACCTGCTATGTACATTTTTGCATTTTCCTTCCTACTACAGTTCAAGCTCTTTGAGGACAGAAGTAGGATGTATCTGAATTTCTATCTATGCCTTCTTCATGGCATACAGTGTGGGCTCAATAACTATGAAAATATTTACGTATGTAAACATCTACAAATTAATAGTAAATATCTGGGACATTGTAGGCCTTAATATGTATCTGCCAATGGAGTCAAACCTGCAGCCAGGTGTGGTGGCTCATGCCTATAATCACAGCACTTTAGGGGGCCAAGGCGGGAGGATCACCTGAGTCCAGGAGTTCAAGGCCAGGCTGGGCAACATAGTGAGACCCCGTACTCTACAAAAAAATATTAAAAATTAGCCAGTCACAGTGGTGTGCGCCTATAGTCCCAGCTACTCAGAAGGCTGAGGTGGGAGGCTCGATTGAGCCCAGCTTGAACCTGGGAGGTTGAGGTTGGTTGCAGTGAACCATCATCACACCAGTACATTCCAGCCTGGGCAACATAGCGTGACCCTGTCTCAAAAACGAAACAACAACAGCAACAAAAAAAAAAAAAACTGCTGATGATTTTTCAACTCTATGCCAATGTAGAGAAAATATGAGACAAGGAAATCTTAGTTTGCTTTTATGCGTCATAAGCAAGTATTATTCTAAATTCTAAGCCCGTAGGGCACTCATGTATCACCAATGAGCTATACTCCTTTCTGAGGTAAAATATTAATCTATGCTATCTCCAGAAGGAGCAGCACCCTGAACGACCCACTGGGCAACTAGCTGAAAATCCTGCCCCCTTGGCACTTGTGGCCAGGAGAAGCAGCATGAATAACAGGTGCCTGGCACGAGGCCATCACAAAGTCAAGCCCTGTTTCCCTAAACCTTACCTGGAGTGCTTTTTCATATCACATTTCCCAAACTGCCTGCCTCTAGTGTTTTACTTAGACTCCGTTCACTTCCATAAAAGTGAGAAATGAAAAAGAACTACTGCCATTCAAATAGAATTGGTGTCAGGACTTAAGAGGAAGCAGTGGGCTTCTGAAACAAGTGCTGAGAGGAAAGGCTGAAGAGATGGATTGTGGTCTTGGTTTTGTAAGATTAACTAACTCGAAGACCCTGGGCAAATTGCCACTCTCTTTGAGTCTGTTTCCTCATCTGCATAATGGGAATACTAATTATCGGTTTTCCACCTTCCTGTGGCTTTTGCTAGGATTAGGTCGAGCAAAGCAAACTATTTGAAAAAAGTGAGTTTCCCTCTGAATTTTTAGTAGACAAATAAAAAGAACAATTACAGAGGGAGACTCTATTCAGAAATGAATTAACACTGATCTACTGTTAAACAAGGAAAGGGTTCGCTTGATTTTAAAGGGTAAATCTGGTATTTATTTGATCTTTGATCATTAGAGACGAGAATTCTTTGACCTGTCTTGAAATTGCCCTCACGAGTCCTTACTTCAAAGGACCTTGGTTTTCTATGTCTGCTTGGAGCATAGTTATTCCTTAGAAATAGATTTTTTTACCTAGTCTTTCACACATCCTTATCTCGATTACTTTTGTACACACACAAATCCTCAAGAAATTATAGTTTGGGACTCGTTTAAACTTGCATATGAAGAATAAGTGCAAGAATCTGGGAAAATAATCTGTCAGTTGTTTGTAATAATCGCCTTAAATAAGCAGTCCCTGGCTTATCAAAAGCTTGCCCAAGTTAAACAAAGAAGGCAGTCAGCAGAGCCTCAGACGCTGAACTGTGAACCCTGGCTGGACCTTGCACTAGGCAGCCTAGTAACAGGAAGGCAGCAAGACACACTTTGAACCAGGGGTTCTAAGGCTGCCGTGGGGTTATAGACAGGGTGACAGCTGCACTTTGCAGCCTGAACTTTGTACCTCGACACAGGAGCATTTAATCTCCATAACAGGCACTTTGTTTCATTACTTATTAACAGTTCCTCCTTGAGTAAAGTTCTTTGTTAATGGAGCTTTAAAATATGATCCCTCTCCCCCTTATGCCTGCCATGGGGATGGGCATTTGTGCTTGTTTGCACTATCTGCCGCTACCATGGGCTCATCGTCCCTGGGGGAGGGCTTTCTCCTGTTCAAAATTGGCCCTTGCAGAGATGTCACTTTGTAATTGTGACTCCAGAGGTGGCACAGTGCTCTCTGGTTTACCCTCAGAGAAGGTAACCGTGATCCTGATGCCATTAAATGTCACACCAGGCAGCGACTGGTGTCACTTCACCTCTCCCCACCATGTCAACTCTTCTATTTTTTATCTTCCTTTTCACTTACTGCTTTTCCTTTACCATTTTTTTCCTTCTCTCCTTATTTTTTTTCTGCACGTTCAGCCTCACAGTGGCACTGGAGTTAACTGATGGTGCCCCCTGTCACACACATCATCCCCTCAGCCAAAGAAGCCAAGACGTGTTTTGTTGCAGTTGGAAGTCAAAGCAATTTAAGGGCACGTTCAAGTAACCTCCTTCCCAAATAAACACACTGTAGTTAACTTCAACAAATCAGTAACTGATACTCAGTAAGCCTGAAGGGTTAGCTATTTAAAGAGAGGGTCTGAGCTCTAGAAAAGGGAGAGTGAGATTGTTAGTGAGCTAAGCATTAGGGACCACCTGCAAAATCCATACTAGTCCTAGTGAAAATACTCAGACTTCCATCCCCCTCCCCAAAACCAGATAATATATTGCTACTATTTCAATTGCCAAATTTTGTTCAATACTGATCAATAAGTAGTCTTTGGTTTCTGGGACCCAGGAGGTGGTGACTACAGGCTATTCATTTAGTAACCAGCAAAGATCAAAGGGGCCCCCTCTGAAGCTTTGCTTCAGGGTCTGGGGGCCAACAAATTAACCTTTCGCCACTGGGCTATTTTGTCTATTTTAGTAGTTGAGCTTAGTTCAGACACCAAGTCACCCTCTTCTCATTTTTCTTTTAATCTTAAAAAACGCCTGTGTGTCTAGCTTCTCATTCAGCAAGGGGTCAGTCCTGGAGCCCAGTCTAGGGTACCATGCAATAAATACCCCTAATTCTCTCTGACAATTCCTCATTCCCCAACCACATCTAGATCTTCCAGAGTGGTTCAGCCCCCCACTCACCTATCTGCTTTATTTCCCAGGCACCAAGTCCGTTTATGCCAAAGCCGGTTGACCAAAACGTACTTTGTTAGCCAACCTAATATTCCTGCCTCATTTTCCTCTGGTTTTTGCCTAGTGTTTTTTTTTCCTCTGTTCTTTTGTCATTTTCTCTCTCCCCTTCTCTTTTCTTTCCTTTGCTCTTTTCTTTTTCATTAACATGCTCAAATACGTAGTTTAGAAATTCATCACTGGAGTACAAATGACAAGGTACAGGAGCAGGTCTGTCTTCTCTGTGCACATTGCCCTCCCTCGTTCCTAATATATTTTTGCAAGCCTGCCGTGACAAGGGGATGTGATCCAGTCATTTATCCTAGTATCTGGATTTGGGTTATTTATAAGAAAAGGAGGGAAATTTAAAACAAATATAAATTATTTGGAAACATCACATCTCCAGCTTTTATGTTCAGCGTCATCACTGGATGATCCACAGACTCTATATATCTAGCTTTCCTGTGCTGGGCTTTCCAGGGACCACCTCATTTTACAGCAAGATGGCAGGGAGACAAAAAAGGCCAGGCCATGCATTTCATTGTTTCTGTGCCAACGATCTTTTTGGTACTGAAACGTTGCACTTTTGGCTCTTCCCGCAACAGTCTTCTTGCTTCCTGCTTTCCTCTGGAAGCGTGCCAGCACCCGCAGCTGGGTCTCCAGCAGCTCCTCCCAAAGCCTTGGATTAGGGCTGCACCTGTTCAGGATTTGCTCAATCTGAAAAGTAGTAGGGCTTCTCCAGAACACATAATTACCTTTGCCCTGAAAGCAATGCAGTCGGATGCTTTGGCAGCACACTCAGGACAGCCAGGGCTGCAGACATGGCCTCCAAATTCAGTCTCAGTTACCCCAGGCAGAACACGGGAATTGACCCTTCCAACTCCTCCACCTGCCTCTCGATCCCAGAATCTTGCCACCTGCTCCAGGTAGGTTTAACAAAGTGCAAGCAAAGGTGACTGTAGCTTACATAGCTAATTGCTATAAGATACAAGAATAAAACTATGTCATATCTACTATAATAATCTAAGCTTACAGATGAGAAATGCAGGGTTTGTTGAATTTCTTTTTTCGAATAAGATGAATTCGATGAAACAAACATGATTACCCCATTTGATTCTTAATTCCTGACCAATGAGTGAAAATGTATAAATATGAGTTCAGTGTTTCATGGACATCCTAACAACAATTCCTTCTAATTTTCCATATTTTTTTGGTCTCTTCTCCCTGTATACACACACACACACACACACACACACACACAGAGGAACAGGAGAGAAGAGATGGGGAAACCAGACAGTAATCTTGCTGTAGAATAGAAGGAGCACAGGACAGGATCAGCAAACACAAATGTCTGCAGAAAGATATGTACCAACAACCTGAGTGACAGAGACTTTCCCTTAGACTTCCCGGGACCAATATTTTTATCTTTTATGCTTTGGAAGAAATAGTCATTAATTCCCAGAGTGAAAAATTGAAGAAAAGAAGTGAAGAAAAGGAAAATAGCAAGGACAGAGGCATTGCCACACTGAAAGTAGGGAGGTGATAAAGAGGGGCAGAAAGACTCTTTAAGAAAGTTGCTGTTGATTAGCTTTCTCTGGACCATCACACCAATCTCTCCTGCAATTTCTGGTCAAAAGTCCTTTCCTCTAATCACTTTTGATTTCTTATTTATAGTATTACTATTTAAAAAAAACAGGAATGGAGAATAGTGGTAAATATGGCCTAATATTAAAATATTTAGATAGAGTTCAGTGTCAGATCAACGAATTATTGCTCGATATAATCAATCAACTGCAAAACCTTCTAATTTCCACCCACAACTTCTTCTTGGTGATAATTTTGCATTTATCTTTGGCACAAATTAAGGTTAACTGCCTTTGATTATCTAAGACGAATTGCTCTGGATGAAAAGAGTAACATGACTCTTTTAATGTCATCTAGTTGCTGGTTCACAGTACTGATGCTTGCATGAATGTCTAGTTACTGGTTATCACATTTGGGGTTTTTTTTTTTTTTTTTTGAGACAGGGTCTCGCTCTGTTGCACAGGCTGGAGTGCTGTGGCACAATCATGGCTCACTGCACCCTCACACTTCCCTGGCTCAAACAATCCTCTCACCTCAGCCTTCTGAGTAGCTGGGACTATAGGTGTGTGTGACCATACCTGGCTAATTTCTTTTATTTTCCGTAGAGATGAGGTCTCACTATGTTGCCTATGCTGTTCTCTAACTCCTGGACTCAAGACATCCTCTGCCTTGCCCTCCCAAAGTGTTGGGATTACAGGCATGAGCCATGGCACCTGGCCAGTTATCACCTTTTATATTTCTTATCCTACTCCTAAAATAGCACTCCAGAACTATTTGATCTAAAAGGTCCAGAACTGATGTATGTGTAGTCATCTCTTTAACTATTCACACCTTATCTATTTATGTTGTTTTCCCCATCCTCATTCTTGAGCTGTCTATTCTCTTTCCCAGATGTTTCTTCCATTTCTAAGTTCTGTAAAGGTAGGTCATAGCTCTGGTCCCTTCAGTGCCTCCTTTCCTCACCTCAAGCCCTCAAAACATTTACTTGCTGATGTAATTCTTGGAATAGTTTTATCCTACTTCCAAATGTAGGTTGAACTCTTCCACTCCATGCTGGTAGACATTGATTTACCTGAGATTCATGGGTCCAGGTTGCAGTAGTAAAAGTCCCTTGGCTCAGGCTTCCTCTGTTGCTCCCAGTAAGAATGCAGAGAAAAAAAAAAATCCGAGTTTTAGGCTGTTGTGTCTGGTGAAGAGAAAAGATGGACCATTGACCAACTTGCTCTGCAAAGGCCTCTAAAGGGAGGCACAAAAGGAGGAATTCAGTCCCCAGAATGAAAGGAAATGTGGCATTTAATAAGCACATTGTAAATACCAGGCCCTGTGCTAGACTAAAGGAGTTTATATTTCTCTTTTGCCCTGGAGACAGAAAGCTGAGTCAGAAATCTGCACAGAGCATATGATGTCGACCAGAATTATAGATTTAGCCAACAACCTCTTGTGGTTCCTTACTTCTTCATGGAGGCTATCTAAGCTTTTTGTCCTGGCATTCAAATGCCTCCACAATTTAGCTCCCTATGACCCATCCAAATTGACTGTCCATTAGTATGCCTAAGGTATCTTCTTCTGAAGCCAGCTCATCAGAAAATTTTTATTCCTGTGCTTATTGCTATTTTATGGTGGAAAAATGTAGTCTTTGGAGCTGGCTGTGGTCTGTGTTTGAATTTCAGCTTTGTCATTAGTTAACTGTGACATTTTAAGCCTCAGTTGCTTCATCTTTAAAATGGGAATGCAGAATAAATGTGTCTTAGATATAATACCCATGAAGGACATAGCCTCGTAGCTGGCACGCAGAAGGCATGCAGTGAACTATTATTATGTCATTATGATCAGCATTGAATATTTCCTCCACATCCACCCTCTCCTCAATGTCACTCATCAACCAACAGTTTAATATCTAAGTTCTCTTTAAAACTATCTTTGCACTCCTAGTTCAAAACTACAGATTTATTTTCTTCATATGATTTCATACTTGATCGTATACTAGTTCGTGTACCACAAACCTGATCTTAAGTTATTTGAATGCATAGGTCTCTGCTAAAACACAGCTCTCAGGCTACAATAAATGAGCACTAAAATAATCATTTCTCAGCCTTTTGGCTACGATCATGTGTAATGAACAGTAAATCGCTGTAGGATTTTAACCTGTCCAGAGCATTTGCGCTTATTGAACTTCCTGGACTCTGGGACCTTATTTTCTAAAGTTAAGCCACATTCAACTTGCTACAAGCTCTTAATTTTAAAGAAGCTAAAATTGTGTGTAGTGCAGTTACCACAGAAAATAGAACATTGTAATATGGCAACTCTAATAAACTGTTTTTTAAATGCCAAAAATATGAATTTATATCTTATAAAAACTTTCTAAGCCTAGAATTAAAAAACACTGGAAACACACTTTTCCATTCCTTTGACCAATGCAAAAAGCCCTATGATTATCATAAAAAATGCTCCCCATGCATGTTTCCCTCCTGTCACTGAAGTGAAATGAACTAACTGAATGTTCTGGGAGCTGGTCTCGTATATAAACAACTTGTGGTTTGCTTTTGGTCCAATATAGTGATTTACACAGCACACGCAAGATAATAAATTACATTTGGTGAGATATACATTAACGATTTAAAGTGTGGGCTATCTTACACCCTTTAAAGAAGTATCTAGAAATATTTTTATTTCTGCTGTGGGAATCTTGGGAAAAGCGCAGGGCAGTGGCATGGAAAGTCCAGAATGTAGATGAGTCTTGACCCACCTGCTTAGAGATTAGCAAACTTTCCTGCCTGAACTTTATAGACTTGTTCTGCACCCAAGAGACACACCCAGCTCTGCCTCTGGGACCTGCCCCAACCAGCTTTCTCACCCAGG
The DNA here is from genome assembly GCF_000001405.40 of Homo sapiens. Taxonomy (NCBI): domain Eukaryota; kingdom Metazoa; phylum Chordata; class Mammalia; order Primates; family Hominidae; genus Homo; species Homo sapiens. The sequence goes on along the minus strand of NC_000021.9, from coordinate 15,134,939 downwards.
ACAGGCTGTAGGAAACTCTTTTGTTCCTCTTTATAAGGATTAATTTGTCTCGCCACTTCCTGTATTTTTCAGAAGTTATTTCAATAGATTATTTTTAGGAACAAGTTGGAAGTAGCTGGTAGTTATCTACAGAGCCCAGAGCCAAAAAGTAAAGTGTAAAATTTACCCGCTAGTGTCAATCTTTCTAATCTATATAACCAAATTTCTATTAGTCATCGAGGCAATTTCCTTTATTTCACAGTGTTTTGAGTTTCTTTTGCTGTTTTTATCTACATATCCTCTGCTATTGGGCAAATTTAGAGGGTGGTGGAGATGATTGATAGGATTAGAAAGTCTGAAACTTCTCTGAAATACAAAAATATTTACATCAAAAATCTATTACAGAGGTAAGAAAAACCCCAAAATAAATTAATCTGAATGGCTCATAGATTCCAGATGGATAATGTTTTGGTAGCAAGTTATGGTTAGTACCCTCACCTGATTGTTCTTGGCAAAGTCCCAAGTACGTCCACAAATGATGGACTTATCAAATGACAGGATAGCCTTTAGAGTATTTTGCAATTGATAAAAAATATTGCATACCTTTCGGACATCCTGTAAATCAGAAGTTTCTATTTTACCATATCTGTTCTGGGGGAGGGGGGCAGGAAAGGGCAATGGACTGAATCAGCCCATCAATCAACATGTATTATTTACCATATACTCTTCTGTGCAAGCAAAACAACGCACGCTTGGCCTGGGGAACATCCAGACCATTGTAACACCCTATGCCCACACGAGGCAGCTGCAATTAGGAAAAATAACACACACCTAAAATGTAGTAATGCACAAGAGAAATGGATGGGGACACTGCACGGTGAGGTTTTGGCCTTAAGTTCATCTTCCTAAGAAAGACATGTAACTTCTCTTGTCTCAATGTCCGTTTTTTTGTTGTTGTTTTTTGTTTTTGTCTGTTTGTTTGTTTTGTTTTTTGTAAAAACTAAAAGCCCAAATAGGTAATTTTGTACATTTTCTTGAGGTTTGAATTTCTATGATTTGGTGAATCAGAATATAAAAGTGTTTATAATAAATGCTAAAACTTTGCTGTACTTAAAACTAGAAAATTAGACTAAGGAATGGCAACACCGATTTACTATTAATCAAAGGAGCTCAGAAACCCCAAAGGTTGAATGTCCTCACCCATCCTGTGCCAGTATCAGAAGTTTGGGGAAGTCCAACTGAACAGTGAATGGCGTGATGATGGCGATAGCATTTACTACTGCCACTGGAAAGTCAGAACTTATCCCAACATACTCTATTTCACTACTACATTGCTACCACACTGGCTCTTTCTGTCCCTCAAATAGAAAACCTCATTTCCACCACGGTAGACAAAACAATAGCTCCTTAGCTGTTCACTCCCTCATCCTCAGAACCTGTGAATATGTTATCTTCCATGGCAAAAGAGTCTTTGCAGGTATAATTAAGTTAAGGTTATTAAACAGGGAGATTATTCTGGATTATCCGGGTGGGGCAAATGTGTAATCATAAGGGTTCTTATAGGTTAGAGAGAGAAACGGGAGTGTCAGGTTCAGAGAGAGAACTGAAAATGCTTTACTGTAGCTTTGAAGATTCAGGAAGGGGCCATGAGCCAAAGGAATGCAGGTTGCAGGTGGCCTCTAGAACCTGGAAAAGCAAGGAAACAGACTCTGCCCTATAGCATCTGAAAGGAAGGTAGCCCTGCCAACGCTTTAATCTTAGCCCAGTGAAACTTGATTTTGTACTGCTGGTCTTCACGATTCCAATATAATAAAGTTGTGTCGTTTTAAGCCGTCAAGTTTGTAGGAATTTGTTACAGCAGCCGTAGTTAGCGAACAGGGTCTTTTTTCACCTTAGGGCCTTTCCACTAGCTGTTTCTAGTACCTAGAATGCCCTTTCCCTGGAATCTTTAGCTCCTCTTTGTCATTCTTGTCTCTAGATGTCATCTTCTCTGACCATGTAATCTACAGAGCCATCTAGACTTTCAGCTAATTCTCTGCATAGCGTACGTGTCATATTTCCAGTTTATTTGCTTCTTGACTGTCTTCTTCTCTATCAGGTCAGCTTCATGAGAACAAGAACCTTGTCTTTCATAACCACTACTCCACTTTCAGTAGTTAGAATAGTGCCTGGCCTAACCAACAGGTATTGAATAGAGGATTTAGGGAACCCAAGAAACATTCAGTGGATCTGAATCTTATAGAAAGGGGCCGCAACATATATACACTATATACACTTACATCATCTTTTAGTCATTGCAAAAGTCATTTGTTGCCACCTGTATTAGTCAGTTTTGTATTGCTATAAAGGATTACCTGAGATTGGGTGATTTATCAAGAAAAGAGGTTTATTTAGTTCACAGTTCTGCAGGTTGTACAAGAAGCATGGCACCAGCATCGGCTTCTGGTGAGGGGCTCAGGGAGCTTTTACTCACGGCAAAAGACAAGGAAAACTTGCATGTCACATGGTGAAAAAGAGAGAGCAAGAGAGAGGGGAGGAAGTGCCAGCTTCTCCCCTCTCTCTTGATGTGATAACAATCAGTTCTCACATAAACTAATAGAGTGAGAACTCACGCATTACTGCTGGGAGGGAACTAAGACATTCATGAGAAATATGCCCCCATGAACAAAACACCTTCCAATAGGCCCCACCTCTAACATTGGGGATCAAATTTCAACGTGAGATTGGAAGGGGACAAATATCCAAACAATATCACCACCAAACAAATGAACAAACAAAAACAATAAAAGTCTGTTCCCTCCATTTTGACCCTCTTTCACTGTCTTTACCTAACTCACAGAGCAAGGCTGAGAAAATGTAAGAGAATGTGGTCTGGACATCCCCAAAATGTGAACTATGGGATCAGGACAGTGCCTAACATATGTAAAGGTCTTTGAGTTCTTCAGGAATAAATGGCACTTTATAAATGTTAAACTACAAGTTTCCTCATATTGAAGATTCCACCTTTACAACGTTTCCACCAGCAAAATTCTGTTGCAGCAAAAAGAAGAGCAATCTTTCCCCTCCCTTGAAATTTGTTAAAATGGCATTTCCCTTGTGTTGCATTTCCTTAGACCTGTGCAAAAACATCTCCTCCCAAGATAGAAAGCAATGCACAGCTGTAGCCCTGGGAAGAATAATGCTGTGCTCAGAATATCAGATTTTTAAATCTACCAAAGCTGGAAAAGAGATTAAGAATTAAGGCTGAAAGTTTGTCTTTAATGTGCCCTATTATGCACCAGGAATTACAGATAATATGTCCCTTCAGATTCTGATGACCTGCTTTGCAGAGCTTATAGATGCTGCTGCACACAATTAAGGACAGCAGTTCGGCAAGGGTTGTGAATTCCCTTGCTTGCGTTGATTTGACCCTCACACCCCTGCTGTTGTGGTGATGTGTTGTGTATGAGGTATAAAGAGAGAGATGGTAAAGAGATGGTGAGGGAAAGAGGGCAAGATAAATTATTTTGTACTTATATGATCCCTATAAATAATACAACATCGAAAGGGGAAAAAGAAGAAAGAGTTTTAAAATTTGTCTGCTATGGTCTGAACCATACATTCATTAGTTTCATCTTTTAATATTTTAGCAATTTTTCTCTTTAACTGCATTTAAATTTTCCAGTGGAGCTCTTTAGGCCTTTGATTTTATTTTTTCCTTAACTAGAACTTGCAAACTGGCAGCTATTGGCCAACTGACGCTTGTAGACCTGTTTTGTTTGGCTGCTCATTGCTTTAAAAAAATGTTTTTAACTGGAACACTTTTAGGTGGACATATCTGTTTCCCAGTAGATTCCAGCACTTTCTATTCTCTTAATCTGGCTGCTTTACACGTTTACTTTTTCCATTCTTTTTGGCCCTGAATGTGATAGACTCTGGTCTGATTTATACCTGGTTGATATGGGCAACTTGGTACATCCAACTCTAGAAGTCTCCATATATGGATGCCACACTGTTTGTTCTGTTGTTCCCCTGGAGGAAGAATATGACTCACCAGTGCAGCTACCCTGTTTCTCACTCCCCAATCAGTACTTCTGATTTATATATTTATGTACTGGAAGAAAACTTTACAAATTTAAAATTCAAATCACAATTAGATGTACTTCCACCTTGTCTTTTTTTTTTTTTCCAGAAAGGATTGAAGATGGCTATTAGATGAAGTTATAAAATTGATGATGAATTAGTTTCATTTAAAACCATCAAATGATATATAAATCTGGATCATCTTCAAAAAATCCTGGCCATATTGGTACCAGGTGCATGGCAGAAGTCAGGCACAGGGGACTGCTGTTTTGTGGAATTTGTTAGACATCCAGTTTTGAAGGAGGAAACAGATGTTCCATTTTCAAAGCATTTGACACAATTGACAGACGTAAGATTTCACTCTGGGTGGGGGAAGGGCTCTGCGGATCCATTGAGCAGTGATTAGCACATGTTTCCAACGTGAGTGTCACTGAGCGGAGGAGCCCACAAGGGCCGATTCTCAATACCAAGTGCAGAATGGAGGTAGAAAGGTGGGTGGAGAAGGTGGAAGAGGTGTTGAGGCCTGTCTGGTAACTACCAACCAACACAGAGTCAGCGGTGACTCCTGCATACCAGGAAAGAAAGGAGGTGCATTTACAAGAGCCAGAGAATCCTGAAAAAACACAACTGTCTTTCTCTGGAGTTCAATTATTTTTTCTGCTTCCTCTCCACATCTATTTAATTCCCTTCTCAGCTCAAAGTTTAGGAATTGTTGGGGTATACATTTTAATGCAAGCCTGGTCCAAGCCAACCTCGTCTCTCACCTGACTTTTGCAAAGATCTACCAGCTGCAAATGTAATCACATCACAGCTGTTCTTACAACCATCCCCTGGATTGCCCTTGTTCTTATAGTAAAGCAAAACACGTTTAATCAGCCCTTCAAGATCCTGCATGATCTATCCATCCCAGGGCTTCTCAACCTCAGCTCTATTGGCATTTTTAGTGTGATAATTCTTTGTTGTGGGGGCTGTCCTCTCCATTGCAGGATGCTTAGCAGCATTCCTGGTCTTGACCCACTAGATGCTAGTAGAACCCTCCACTCCCAGTTGTGACAACCAAAAATCTCAACCAAGCATTGCCAAATGTCTGCCCTGGTTGAGAATAATTGATCTAACTGGACCCTGCCCTGCCTCCAGCCGAATTCTGCACCACTCCCCCAATATGCCCCAATCACATCCACTGCTCTCTTGTTCTTCAACCACACTGGCTTCCTTCCATCTATTCACATGGATTCTTCTACCATTTTTACATCTACTTGTCTTCTACTCCACATCCCCAACCCCGCACTATCTCATTCCTACTCATCTTTCAAGGTGAATTTTTTTCCTAATTCTTGTAGTCTTCCTCCCCCTAAACCATGCATGCTTCCATAACACCTGTTTTTCTACAGAACTTATCATCATTTATCATCATTGAAATTTCTTTTGTAATTAGTTCTGTCTGTTATCCCTTCTGCACAGAAAGCTTTTTCAGGATAGGAGTCTTATTTGTGTAGCTTGCGGCAGTTTCTAGCTCCTAGCATAGTGCCTGATGCACAATATTTCCACATAAGTAACTACAGACAGAAAAATGAGATGACGTACTAAAGCCAGGATACTCAGAGAGAGATGTGACCACGGGTAAGCACTGAAGCTACCCACATGGGGATTCTCCATTGGATGTTGATATAGTGCACAGTAATGGCTACACCTGCAGTAATAACAAATAATTTATGCCAGGTCCTGCACTGTATACTTATTAGGTCAATGAATCCTTAAAACCATGTGATGAGGTAATAGCATGAGGGTCCTGATATGGTTTGGCTGTGTCCCCACCCAAATCTTATCTTGAATTATAGCTCTCATAATTCCCATGTGTTGTGGGAGGGACCCAGTGGGAGATAATTGAATCATGGGAGTGGTTTCCCCCATACTATTCTTGTGGTAGTGAAGAAGTCTCACAAGATCTGAGGGTTTTATAAGGGAAAACCCCTTTCACTTGGCTCTCATTCTATCTTGTCTGCCACCTTGTGACATGTCTTTCACCTTCTGCCATGATTGTGAGACCTCCCCAGACATGAGGAACTGTGAATCTATTAAACCATATCCCCATTTTACAAAGAGGTTAAGGAAATTGTCTAGGGTCATACAGCTGGCAAGTAGCAGAACCAGAATTCATACTCCAGAAGTTGGACCCAAAGGTCTTTGTTCTAAATTCCTATACTTTATTGCCTACCAAGAGTCAGGGAGCAGGGAGTTAAATTCTTAGCACTTCTTCACACCATATTTTAGGAGATTGTTTTAAGAATGTCTGAGGTCGGCAGAGTCTTGTTAAGGTCTATATTCTCATGAATAGGGATAAAGAAAGCATTCAGAAGTAGAATACCCATTGCCAACTAATTCTTCTTAGTATTGTTTGGAAGGTGAGTTAGACATGGGGACAGTAGGGCACAAACAAGGGGACAAGGAAGTGAAACTGTCTCCTCCACATGTCACACCCATTTAAAGTTCATTTTAATGAACAAACTTCTCTTAACATCCAGAAATTTTAGCATAAATGATCTTGGGCCTATAATAAGAAAGCTTTCCTTCCATTGTGTGTGTTTGTGTGTATGTGTGTGTGTGTGTGTGTATGTATTTATGCAGCTGAATATAACAACTATAGACCTATATACCAATTATAACAACCCCAGGTCATTCAGTGCAGAGAGATGAGTAGGATTACTCTGAGAAGAGTTTGGAAAGCCATAAGCCTTTGATAGGGTTACCACATACTTGGTTCCAGAAAAGTAGGTGGGAGAAGAACACTGGACATGAAGTGGAAAGATGCCAAAAGTAATTGCTACCCACTTTGCAATTACTCTCTGAGCCCAGAGGCTGAGAAAAATCATCCTGAGGGCTACCTTTGGCACTGTATGCTTGCAACAGCGTTTTCATGAATAATTCACTTTGCCAAAGTAGAAGTAAGCATGGTTTGTAGTTCACTTTCCTTCCATTAATTTAATCTATGACTTTCATTTTGTCCATCTGTAAAAACAAAAGAGATACGAATATTTAGCTGTGAGCCAGGGAAGTGATTTATTAGACAACATTTATAAATCATTATTTATGGCACACTAATAGTTTAGCAAATGTATTTTTTAAAAATAAGATATTTACTGAATACAAATTCAGGAGAATAATAAGCATTCTGTCCATAGTAGACTGAATTTTATCTCTTCTCCTACAGATAAAATTTCATCTACTCAATTTTGATCCATGTACTCAGTGCCAGAAAAGGCTCAAAGTATAAAGTCCATCTGCCTAATGGAGGTTTTGTCTATCAATCAAATTTGTCATGACTTGGATTAAGTTGTTGAAATGATCAGCTTTTTGTAAAATAAGGAAGGTGGAAATGACAGAACAAATTATGGTAAACTATAGGGATTTAGGGCAAATGACCCTTTACCAGTAGAAATCCAAGATCTTGTTACTTAGACTCCCTTCAGGACTGGTAGAAAGAAAATATTCTCATAAAGGTAGTGTCTTCATCCTTTTGGCTTCCTCCTGAGGCACCCACCCTGTTCATCATGGTACTGTCCCAGTGTGCTGGCTACCAGTGACCTCACAACTAATTAAAAACTTGAGTAGCAGCAATGTTCAAGGGCTGGAAGTCCTTTCTGAAAGCAGGACTTCTGGCTCCAAGTTTTGGACTTGGTGATACTAAGCTAATTCCGCAGCATGGACACAGGCTATTTTTGGGCAAAGCCAACTCCTGTGTCTCCCTCCCTACAGTGGGAACAGGAGCTGACCTTGTCTGACCCCTGGTAGCCTGGGCATGGTGACTTCTCTTAGGAAGTTATCAAAAAACAACGTGGAGTGTTGCCTGCAAAGGGCATGGCATTGGATAGCCAAAATACATCTGGAACCTCTCAAGAAAAGTATCTTCATATCCTGTTAGGACGAAAACTCTTTACTTCTTTTTTTCTTTTTTTCTCCCTTTCTCAAAAGTGAAAGAGGTTGGTGAGATAAGTGAGGTGGCAAAGTTGCTCCTAAGCTGATGCATAATGTGAAGAAAACATCCTGATCCTTTTAAAAATCAGTTTAATTACTGGTGTAGTTCTCTGGGAAAGGCCCGGGTGTCCCTGTTAAATAATCTTTCTGAGATGGAGAGCATCTTAAAAGAAGAGAATTATATACCTAACTGTGTATGGATACCTCTCTAACTAGGTCAGTATTCAGTATGTGAATATAAATTATTTTGTACCCAATGAGTAAAAAGAAAATTAAATTTAATTTTGAATCATTTTATATAAACATGTGATATTTCCATGAATGGAAAGTATGTGCTATTTTTCCATGAAGGACAGACTATTAGAGGAAAGAAATGATGAAAGGGAGCAGTAAGCTATCACCCAATTATTTCCTTTTCTTTCTTTTGGTGGGGAGGAAAAGCCGTCCTGCAATTCTGCTCCAGGCCACAGCCCCACTTTTGACCCTGGCCTTATTTCAGGGGCACATAGACAGCCAGCCTTTCCATTTGTGTCTGCAGAAGAAATTAAGTGGGATACAAGGCTGTCCTTCCCAAGTACATTCTGGAATTCCTAAATCCCCTCTCCTAGCGTCTCCTCTCTCTCCCCTTACCTCTGTGGCAGCTGGCTCCATTATCCAGGTCTCAGCACTTCTAGATTAACTGTTTTCTTTACCTGGAGCCCCAAAGAAAACCTAAAGTAAGAAGTTAGGGGCTGCAAAGATGACAAGAAATTCCTGAGGGTAGGATGGTCATGCAAGTTTCTTACTTTATTTTTTATGTTTCTTGAGGAAGGAAAACAAAATTGTGGGTGGTGGTTGTTATTATTGTTTGAGACAGAGTCTCTCTCTATCACCCAGGCGAGAGTGCAGTGGTACGATCTCAGCTCGCTACAACTTCCGCCTCCTAGGTTCAAGCAATTCTCCTGCCTCAGCCTCCCGAGTAGCTGGGACTACAGCCATGAGATACCACGCCCTGTTAATATTCACATGTTTAGTAGAGATGGAGTTCACCATGTTGCCCAGGCTGGTCTCGAACTCCAGACCTCGGGTGATCCGCCCACCTCTGCCTCCCAAAGTGCTGGGATTACAGGCGTGAGCCACTGTGCCCAGCCACTCAAATGGTTTTGAAGAATAGCAAAAAATAATTGTAAAGAACTTTTCAACTATAATCTAATTTGTAAACGCTACCAGGGCACTAAAAGAATATCAGGATTGGAGTGATTATTTCCTAATTGTTTAGAGCCTAATGGGTTTGAATTATCAGTGAAAACATGCTCAATAATGTTATTGCACATATTGTCCTTATATGTTAATTGCCTGTATTTTGAAATTATTATATCACTATGTCATTTCAACAAATATTGCTGAGCCCTTCCTTTATGTCCAAAACAATGTAAAGCACCGAATGAAATCCAAGATAAAATAAAACATGATTTCTACTTTTGATGAGCTCAAACTCTGATACCAAAGAGAAGATGTGACATGATATATGCCTCTTATAAATTCTATAAGAAACATAGTTCTAGTAGTACTACAGGAATTAAAAAAAAAAAAGAAAGATTACTTTTCATTAGCATAATTATGGAAAGCTCTTCAGAGAAGATAGCATTTAATACTAAAGCATAAAATAATATTTTGACCACTAATTATTTTGTGTGTATGTCTTATCTTCTCAACTACACCATAATCTTCTTGTGGTTGGAGACTGATATAATACTTGTGTTTCTATTCCCTATCTTTTATTCTCTTAGCAAGGATTAGCTGCCTGGGAGGCCCTTCATACATAATTGTTTTTTCAATACTTGCTAAAGACAAGTATCTTACTTAGTAAGACAAAAATCAGAACAAATGCTGAAAACCCCAGCTGCATGCTTTAGCTGACCAGATTCCAACAAGGAAATTCTCTATAGTTTCCATGAGGTGGAAGATACTCCAATGTCTTTCTTCTGTGTTGAAGAACTGGGAAAACTGGATTCCAATTCTCACTGTTCATTGCAGAAGAGTGGGGTGGCTCAGCCTTCAATGATCTCACCTAAAAACGAGCGTGATAGCAATTTGAAGATTTACTAAGTATCACTTTATGTCACAAAAGAGTTGTAAAGTTATTGGGAAAGACATTATACAAATGCAAGATGCCGTTATTACCAGCACCACTTTTGTGTGATGTTAGGTTCATTCATGACAAGACTGCAGAGATTTTTTTAGAAGCATGTCATCACTTTAATTTTTTATTTCACTTTTATGTTTCATCTGGCTCATCTTTTTGAAGTCATTTTCCTTGTTTAAATAGTTTCTATTGTACCTTTTCTCTCAAACTGGTTTTATTTTGACGGATTTAGCTTCCCTGGAGAAAGCTGCATATGGAAAAACCTATGAACCATTGAGCTGCTAATAATAATTATCCTCTGCCCTTTTAGAGCCTCTTTTATCTGAGGATATCAAAGTACTTCTCAAACCGGTATCTATAATTATCTCCATTATACAAAAGAATAACTGCAAGTGAGGCTGAGTGACTTACAGGAGGTTGACAAAGGCAAGAAGAAGAACCCCAAATTCCCTTCCCCCTCCTTCTTCCCTGTCTCCTGAACTTCTGGACTTTTAGGAAGAGTGAGATCTGGCTTAGACTCTGAGGTAAGGGAGAAAGGGAGAGAAAGTCTTCATAAGATGTAGCTCTAGTGGAGGCTTACCCTCTGTTACCGTCTTACCTCTGTTTACCCAGCTTACCCTCCGTTCATGCATCTGAGGATGCATGAACACAAATGGCAAAACAATGGTAAGTAACAAACGAGTGGAGGGAGAGGCCACTTTGGGGTGGTTTGGCTAAGAAAGGCTTTGTCAAATTGAATTTCCATCAAGCTGCGCCAGTGAGTGGGAAGTTCACCACGCTACCTTGCCTTTGCAGTTTTCTTTCTTATCTAGAAAAATAGAGCTTATATGTGGTTAAAAAAAAAAAAAAGTCCATTTTTTCCTCAGCAAGTCCATTTGGGGGACAGCAGGATGAATTTATGGGTTCTCCTTAAGGGTGTAACTGAAGCCCAGTGTTTGCTGAGATTCAAAGGGCTTTCGTTATTTGTCATTCATTCCTTGAAACATTACCAATGTTTTCTTTATAACTTTAAGGTCTTTGTTTCTGGGTTCTATTTGCAGATAACATGTTTCAAAGTGGCAAATTTCCCCTAAGAATTGGAAAAATGGATAATACGGACTGGGGTTGGAGAGCCCGGGATTCTGATTAAACATGGAATCTGAGAACTGGCAGAAAGCCTGGAACTGATGGAAGAGAGGGCTCTAGGGCCTCCATACTAAATGGTGAACTAGGAACTATAAAAGAGATAATGTGGTGAAGAGCTTCAGCCATCAAGTTATTCTAAAAATGAAGTAGGGCATTTTATATGTGGAGAGAAGGGCACTGATTATTATCTGACTATTGCTAATATGTCCCATAGAACTTATTTGGAATAATTTTTTACTATTAATTTGAACAACAGCAGTGAGACTCTTTATATGTATAATAAAGCTAATTTTACATTTAATAGAGATGATTTTATTTTTTAATGTTAGTAAAATCAGAATCTTATTAAATTGTAAAAGTGAATAAAACTTTTATAACTTTTGGATTTTCTTTGTGGGTTCTATTTGCTGTTTAAAATGCTGTTGCTTCAATCCCTTTAGATTAGGTTCAATTTTATGGTGCTCACTTCTTTTCTTTTAGACATATCTCAATTGTTTGAAAAAATGTAGCATTTTTATGGCAAGCTGTTTAATACATCCATTTTCACATTAGCTCTCATGGTTTTAACCAAATGCTAGTGGTTTGTTATTTTTCTTATCAACAAGGAATTGAGGATGCTTGATTTAAGATATATAATAGCTATCATTTTATGAAGCGTTTACTGTATGCCTGGTCCTGGGTTATGCTCCACGTGCTATCATTTAATCCTTAAAACAGCCCTGAGGCACTACTATTATTTCTATTTTATATTATAGATGAGAAAACAGAGCCTTTGAAATTTAAGTTATTTGACTGATGTCCCACAGCTAGTAAATGGCACAGCTATCATTAAAACCCAAGTCTTACTGCCTCCAAAGCCACTCTCTTATAGACTGCAACTTTAACCTGTTTCATAATTGATTCTTAAGTTTCTAGTTCTATGACCTTCACTGTGCCTAGCTAAGCCATCACAGACCATGTGCTATTACTATCCCTCAAACATCTCAAACATCAGCCAGCCTGTGGGCATATATATTTAAGCAAGTTGGAAACAGCCAAGTTGGGTACCCCTTAACAGGCATGTTCCTCATGCCTTATTTGAGGTTGATAAATCACCAATATCTTTATCAACTTAAATGATTGCAATGTCCTCTCCAAAAGAGATGACCTTACTAAGTGTCATTTCTTGGTAAATAAAGCTCTGCTGCTGTTGACTTTTGATTCATCATCACACTGATATTTAGTGTCAGTGAGGAGTATGCTGGACGGGGCCGCAGTCTTGAGCTCTTACAAAAGGAAACAGGTGGCTGGTCACTTTGGACATATTCCCTCTGGCAGAGGTAGGGAAACTGCAACTTGTACTTAGCATTTTAATTGAGGTTGGCGGTCGGCAGAACTATTACACTTTTCTCTTTAAAACTCTTTTCAAATGAGTAGAAACCAAAATAGAAAATATTATAACTTTTTCCTGTGTCATGTACATTTAACTTCTTCTGATGAGGCTTCCCTTTTTTTACTCAAAAATAGCATTCCCATGCTCTTGAGCTAATAGTCATCAAAACTAATGCACACAGGTGTTTAGCAGATCAGGGAGAGTAGATGTTTTTGTTAACTTTTTAAACAACTTCCCCCCACAATCACAAAGCTCTCCAAATAGAATCTGCTGACTTCAATGGCAGGGTCAGTGTTACAGTGACTCATTGCCAGATAGAACAAACAAGCTCAACAAAGCCTGCTTCAAGATGTAAATGCTGTTTCCTTGCTGCTGGGAAAAGCTCTGTTTTTCACAAAATAGAGCTAAAAAGTCTGTATTTGGATCCTGCTGAGTCTCAGATATCCCTGGGTCTCAAGAAATCCCTACACCCTCTAACAACTGTTTCCCCACCATTCCTCTCCCAACTCCTAGAGTGCACCAGATGCATTCAGTTCCTCAGTGAAAACGCTCCTGAACCTGATCCAGTCCTGCTCTAACCCACGCCACTTCCCAGAAGCCAGCCTTGCCAAGGTCTCCAGTAACATACTCACTGCCAAAACGCAATGGCACTTCTCCATCTTGATGCTCCTTGACCTATGTACAGAATTTGACACGGCTGATAACCAATTATACAACTCTCTCTTCTTGGCTTCTGAGCCTCTTTCCTCATTTAGTCTCTGCCTCTCATCTCATGTGCTTTCGAGGCCCTTCCACCCCTCATTCCATTGGGCTTCCGCTTTCCATGGGGCTACCCCCATTGCCTTGCCACTTAGCTGTTTACTGCATGGCTGCCTCACTGACTGCAGAGGCCATGCTTCACTCATGTTAGAACCCCATTGCCTAGAGAGTGTTTGCAAAATAGCATGGACTCAAAAAAAAAGTTGAATGAATGCACATATCCCATAGGTCAATTTCTCTATTCACCTCAGACCTGCACTTGCATCTGGCTGTGAGACAAGTTGCATGACCAACTCCTATTACACAGAAATTTTTCCTCTGTCTTTAACTTTTACCACCTCCAAATTCTACATGTCGGCAAAGAACACATAAATAATGAAGCTCCCAAATAAAACTCCTCATGACGCTTGGTTGTTTTTCAATTTCTATTTACAGTTCCCAATTAAATCTGTTTTTTTCACTCATGACATTTTTTGAATCTGACTTGCCTTCCTTTCAACACTTCGATGGATTTTTGCAATATTTGTGCAGAATAATTTTTTAAAGTACTCTGTGTTCAACTGGTATTTTGTATGGTAACTATTTGTTCTGATGTATAGCAAAGAGTAGCCAATTAATATTTGTTGAGTGATAGCTGTACAAAAGAATTTGTGTATTATTGCTTAATTTGATCATTAAGGTGGTCCAACAAGTGAATTTGTTGTTTCATTGTCTGTTTATTTTTTGTCATTTTCATGACCAAATCATACTAACTTGGAGGATATAATTGGAAGTAAGGCAATGTATTATTGCAATGTATTATTTCAATGTAACATTACAATTTGACTTGTTAAACTGTGAATTTTGTCTTATGATGGTTTATGTGTAATCCTCATTCCCTGTTTGGATATGAATCTCCCTAGAATCCCAAGTTACAGCATTTATTTCCTGTAAGTGTTCAGTTCTTCTGCCAAAGTTATCTTTTTCACCTGTCATTTTGTGTATGCCAGATTTTTTTGAGGCCATATAATTTTTTTAATTTGCCCTATAATTCATATGTTAGATTCTCTCACTCAATTGCAAAGTATTCCATTATAATATTTTTAATGCCATACTATAACCATTTTCTCCCTTCTTCTTGAATACCCTCTGAATGAATCACAGTCATGTCTGCTGATGTACAACAATTCCATTTATGCTTACTCCCCTCTTCCTATGGCTATTTCACTTTACATCTTCTCCCATTGGATGGATGGATAGATAGATAGATGATAGATAGATAGATAGATAGATAGATAGACAGATAGATAGATAGATTCACTTGTCATATATATTTAAGAATTTTTCAATATATTATGTTAGCATCGAGAACTTACTTCATAATAAGAGTTAAGGTATTTTCTTTCTATCCTCTCATTATAAGTATATATCTTCCACATTTGTAATGGACCAAAAGTACTTATATTTGAACATTATTTTATTTGTGGTTTACAACATTTTCATGCATTTGTCTGTATCATTGTCATTAGCCCCTTATTTTAAGCTCCTAAAAAGAATTAATAATTTGTTAAACATATCCTAAACATTGTCTAGCACTGTACTATGGGGATATAGGCAATTAAAACATTATTTCTGAGCCTACTAACAAATTGTCTAAAACTATGTATATATCTAAAACTATGTAAGTATCTGAAACTATAAAAATCCATTCTTCCATGTTTCACTGGCATATTTATTCAACCTTGCTAGAGGGAGTAACATATAAAAATGGACCCCTTTCATTATTCAACGGATCTTGTTAGATCAATAGTATTTCCCACTTAGTAAAATGTGATGTCTCATGATTTTTCATAGCAATCTGTATAATTGGAAGAGATTCACTTGATTAACATAGAAGAGTGTAAGTCATGTGAGACATCATAATGAGATACCCGAGAAATCTCTGTTGATATTTCTAACCCATCTGAGTTTCCAAAATACATAATTTTAGGAAACGAAAGAGAACACTTTAAAAAAAAATCCTCCTGATGCTTATTGTTTCTTCTAGTTGATTATTTCAGTTATAAACCACATACATTCCAAATTTCTTTCTGCTTGCTACAGCCACACTCTTTTGCCCAACATTTTAAATCTTTGATAAAATATAAATGAGCAACAGCTTCCTGCAAACCACAAATTCTCCTTCTTGTTTTGCTTTGTCTAAATGTTCTTTTTGAATGCCCAAAGGACTTTCTCTTCCTGCTTGGCACAGTCCTAAATTAGTTTCAATCACATTATTCTTACATTCAGTGTATGTACCTGCATTATGATTCCGAGGGTAATCGTGCCCTTTAACCGTAGTGTGCTTATCATCAATGCTTCAAGAGACTACAGTCTGGCCTTGATCTTGCTCAGTTCACCAAGGTTGTTTGGGGGTAGATCTATTCACTGGCACAGTATTGGTTTCATGCCTATGACAACTCAGAAATCTATTTCTCAACCGAGCCAGTGATTTCTAACAGTGTTTTGTTTTGTTTTAATCATATTTGCAAGTTGGTGCTGATACAAAGGTGTGCATCCATTTTTTTTTTTTTTTTTTTTTGAGACGGAGTCTCGCTCTGTTGCCCAGGCTGGAGTGCAGTGGTGCAATCTCGGCTAACTTCAACCTCCGCCTCCTGAGTTCAAGTGATTCTCCTGCCTCAGCCTCCTGAGTAGCTGGGATTACAGGTGCGCACCACCATGCCCAGCTGATTTTTGTATTTTTAGTAGAGACAGGATTTCACCATGTTGCTCAGGCTGGTCTCAAACTCCTGACCCCATGATCCACCCACGTCGGCCTCCCAAGCATTCATTTTTTTTTTAGACAGGGTCTTGCTCTTTCACCCAGGCTGGAGTGCAGTGGCGCAATCATGGCTCGCTCCAGGCTTTACTTCCCAGGCTCAAGTAATCCTCCCATCTTAGCCTCCCGAGTAACTGGGGCTATAGGCACACGCCACCATGCTGGCTAATTTTCATATTTTTTGTAGAGATGGGGTTAAACTCCTGGGCTCAATGGATTTGCCCACCTTGGCCTCCCAAAGTGCTGGAATTATAGGCATGAGCCACTGTGCCTAGCCATTTTTTGTTAAACTATTCCGTTTAAAGCAAGCAATTCTTTCTACCAGCTCGTCTATTGTGACCTAAAAATTCAACCCATGAGCATCAACTAAAAATATTTTTCTGCCTTTATTTTTAAGGTTGTATGTCTTATTTTCAATGTCTCATTAAAATATTACAGTGTTTTGTTGAAATAAATGAGTAAATTTTCACCATGCTTATGGCTTGTTCCTGCTTTCATCTTCTAGCTAGGAGAAGATACCCTAGTGCTAGGTTGATTGATCTGCAAAAAGTCTGATTATAAACCTTTGTTTTGTACAACATCCCCACTGTCTACAGGGAGTAGTGCAGAGACACTCAACTGTTCCTGAGCTATTATAGCATTACTATACTTCTTTTGTGAACAAACAGATCTCCTTTAAATAATTATTTGTGATCCACAAGTTTGCCTTTATAGCTGGAGCCCCAACTACTTTCTATGCAGTTTGTTAGTTTTTGTTTTTTGTTTGTATATTATTATTATTATTATTTTAGAGACAGGATCTCAGTCTGTTGCCCAGGCTGGAGCACAATAGTGCAATCATGGCTCATTGTAGCCTCAACCTCCCAGGATTAAGCGATCTTCCCGCCTCAGCCTCCCAAATACCTAGGACCACAGGTGCGTAACACCAAACCTGGCTAATTTTTAAATTAGACCCTGTGTAGAGACAGGGTCTCTCTATGTTGTCCAGGATGGTCTCAAAGTCTAGGCCTCAAGTGGTCCTCCTGCCTCAGCCTCCCAAAGTGCTGGGATTACAGGTGTGAGCCACTGTGCCCAGCCTATTTTCCGTGTTTATTTCAGGGCACTAGCCTAGTATCTATCCTCTCAGCTGAAAGTCACTGCCACAAACACAGCTGCCTTAACACCAAAGATAGCTAATATTCTCCTATGTTCTTTGAAGTTTCTGGTTCACAGCGTCTTGCCTTAAGTCTATGTAAATCTGAAACAACTAATTACAAAGTAAAAATAAAAAAAGTATCAAAGCCTTAATTTCACATCATGTCTGGGAAAAATATGTTTTCATGAATTCTACTTTTTATAGGCTAAATTCACCCAAGACAGTTTTCATGTGAAGACAGCACCACAGAAGTAGAGAGGTTTTAATTCAGAACGTGTAAGTGACTAAGTGCAATCACCTAAAACAGTGGAGGCAAGGGTTTTCTTGACACCCATCACAGGTCTCACTGCCTTATCTAGAAGCTTACATCTCAAAACACTTCAGTTCTATATCAAGTTTTGCTACTTTCTAATGAGCTGGATGACAGAAGCCAAGTCAGCTAACCTCTTTTGTCTCAGTTCTCTTTCAGTAAAATTGGGGGATTAGACCAGAGCAGCAACCGTCAGTTCCATCTGGCATGACTCAGGGCAGAGTATGGCATTCCAATTCTGGCACAAAGTGCATCGCCAGACCCCTAGGTTATATCTTTTATCATGAGCTGCAACAGCCAGAGAACGTATGTGGCACAAACGTGTCAACCTTCAGGTGTGTTACAAGATATAAAGAGGTTGAGAAGCTCTGAAGAAGATGACCTCCAAGATAGCATATAATTCTTCCACAGAAAGAATAAAACATTTGAATAAAAAATTGAATGTTTTTTTTCAAGAGACTGAGATTCTAGAAACTAAATCTGGGGTTATGTCACATATCTTGGTCTGTAAGCCTGTTTACACTGCTATAGCAAAATACAATACACTGGACAGCTTACAAACAACAGAAATTCATTGATCACAATTCAGGAGACTGGAGAGTCCAAGCTCAAGACACCAGCAGATTCCGTGTCTGGTGAAACAACCATCTTTTTGCTGTAACCACACATGGCAAAAGTGGTGAGGAGTCTTTTTTTTTTTTTTAGACAGAGTTTCGCTCTTGTTGCCCAGGCTGGAGTGCAGTGTCACGATCTCGGCTTACCGCAATCTTCACCTCCCAGCTTCAAACGATTCTCCTGCCTCAGCCTCCCAAGTAGCTGAGATTACAGGCATGTGCCACCATGCCCAGCTAATTTTGTATTTTTAGTAGAGACAGAGTTTTACCATGTTGGTCAGGCTGGTCTCGAACTCCCGACCTCAGGTGATCCGCCCGTCTTGGCCTCTCAAAGTGCTAGGATTACAGGCATGAGCCACTGTGCCCGGCCAAAAAGTATATTTTTACAGAACAAACTAAGGAGTCTGGGTTTTATCTGATAGGAATCATTGCCATTGTTTATTTTTATAGTATTTATTTTTAAGTTCATGAATGTTCTCTTCTTTATGACTACATCTGCTTTCTATAGACAGAGGAGCAAATCAAATGGAGAGCCACTTTGTGCCTTGATGGGCTTTATTGCACACATTGCATGGGCTTTGTTGTACAAGAGACAGGAGAGAGGTTTAGCTGAATTACTCTGAAATATAGGAGAAGAATTGGGAGTTCTTATTTAGGAAGGAGATCAGAAACAGAGAAATGAAACACAGGGAAGACCCAACAAGATAAAGAGAAGCAAGAAGTAGGTTCATAAACAAGAATAGTGAATGTCCACGGTGTAAGGGAAAAGCAAGGCTATTTTAAGAGTAATTATCTCTCTGCTCCTACAGGTATATTTAAAAGCCTGGGGGAAGGTTTTGGTCATGAGCAAGCCATGGAATTGAGGGAGAGGAAGAGTTTTTGCCAATTTCTCCAAGTCAAGTGTGTGAAAGGAGACACCTAATCTCTGCTTATAGTAAGTTTTCTAAATCAGACATTGGCATGACCAAATTACTTTTCGACAGAGAACTTAGCAGCATGACATTTGACACTGGGGGGTGATGAGGCCATCATCACTTTGAACCTATAGAAAGTATTGTTTGAAGCGAAGATGGGTGTCAGGAAGTGCACCTACGTATTTGGGTTACTAGATCTGGAAAATGATGCTTGCAATAGACAATAGAGAAGGGCAAGGAGGGAGCAGGAGGGGTGAGGAGCTGGTTTAGGAGTATGCTGACTTTGAAGTCATTGAGCTGGAGCCCGCTAGGAGATTGTGTATATGGCTAAAGATGGTTTGTCATCAACAGTATGAGATTTAGTAAGACAAAAACATAGACAGTACACATATTGCCTTTTATTGAGTTATGTGGTTCTCTTCCACTCTCCTTCCACCTTTCCTCCCTCCCTTTCTTCCTGCTTCCCCGCTTCCTTCCTCCCTCCCTTCCTCCCTTGATCTTTTTCCTACTTCCCTTTCTATCCCTTCTTTTTTGGCAATCAGTTATTAAAGAAAGTAAAAATGTTCCACTGTTTGCAACTTTTTCTAAAATATATATTTTATTATTTCGTACACACACACACACACACACATAAATATATATATATATTTGAGATGGAGTCTCACTCACTCTGTCGCCCAGGCTAGAGTGTAGTGGCATCATCTCGGCTCACTGCAACTTCTACCTCCTGGGTTCCAGTGATTCTCCCACCTCAGCCTCCCAAGTAGCTAGGATTACAGGTGTGCACCACCATGCCCAGCTAATTTTTGTGTTTTTAATAGAGACAGGGTTTCACCTTGTTGGCCAGGCTGGTTTTGAACTCCTGACATCAAGTGCCACCAATCTTGGCCACCCAAAGAGTAAAATATATTTTTAGAAAAATATTTTACACCTTAATGTGAGACTTGATGAAAACAATTTGCTCTCATGTATATTAAATGAGTTGTTACAGTTTTGATATGGTGATATCTGTCTCAGTTTATAATTTTTATTGTTAATATTAAAAGAAAATTACTTCTGTCATAAATATTTTATAAACATCATATTTCTCATATTCTTTCTGTCTTAAGGAGAAATTATTCTTAAAGCTATTCCTCTAACCTTATCCACTGATGTTATTTTTTTCCCTAAAGCTGTCTTCTTTTTTTTCTATTCTATTTGCTCTCCCCATGTGAATTAGGGCTTTCCCAGGTCCTCTTACTTTGAACTACACAAATGTAAATTGCCGATTGGATGATGTCACTCTGCATTTATGAAGTTTTAATTACTTTTTGGCTCTGTTATAGTCATTTTAAGGTTATGTAAATGCTCCATTAGGATCATTTAAAATTTAATTTATTAAGCCAGTTATTTTCTATACTTAGAGAAACATGGAAGAGTTTATGAGAACCATTGTCAAAAGGAGTTGAAACATACAACATAATTATTGCTCCTTTTTTAAGTTATACAAGAAAAATCTTTTATTAACGTATTTTAATGAAAACTTTTATTGAAAACATTTGAATTTGCAAAAGCAATTAGAAATCATTTTAAATTATCTTTCAGAAATGAGATTATTTCAAAGACATGTTTTTTTTTACATATGATATATACCTATTGGAAAGATAATAAAATTATGACAATTACTAGTAACCAAACTATAATGCTTTTATTAAAAACATAGTAATGTTTAGTGA
This sequence comes from Homo sapiens, assembly GCF_000001405.40. Taxonomy (NCBI): domain Eukaryota; kingdom Metazoa; phylum Chordata; class Mammalia; order Primates; family Hominidae; genus Homo; species Homo sapiens. The sequence continues at coordinate 15,114,060 of NC_000021.9, read as the reverse complement.
AAAGAGCTAAAATGCAGAATTTGGTGGCAGACAACAACGATTAAATGTTGTTAAATAAAAATAAGGCTCACTATCATAGTATTAATGATTGATTATGGATGTTAATGTTACTTCCACAGAAAGTTTGACTTTTAAACATTACATGTCAATACTTTTTTCAAAAATTTTATTTCAAAGTACGCATTCCAAACATTTTTAATACTAACAATTCATATTGATTTTTTAAAACCTGAGAAGACATAGGGTTTATTACAATATTTTTTCTCTCTTCAAATGTCTAACTAAAATGTTTTTTAATTATGTAATTGAATCAAAAATAGGAAAATGGATTATTGAGATAATTTATTGTAATGTAGATTTTGAGATGAATTTATTCTGAAAAAAATAGAAAAATGGTAGTCACTGCTTAGAAGTTACGTTTAACCTTAGTTAAAGTTACCATTACCTTAGAAGTTAATATCTTTAGAATAGCTAAATTTTGAATGTCATTTATTTGCATTATAGATTTCATCTGAAGAACTCAAGGGTTTTTTTTAATATACATAACATACACGATATAGAAATACTTATTGAGACAACAGATACTCACAGAATACCCAGAGATAAAATAATGGAAGTGGTTATTCCCATTAAAAAAGGGTCTTCAAGAAATTTTCCCAAAGTCTCTGTAGTACAGATGAAGCTAGTAGTTGAACTAAAAAAAAGAACATATGCAAGTAGTCCAGTAGAGTGAGCCATTTCTAAGACCACACTATTTTCAAAAGTTTTAAATGATATCTAAAATTCATTTTGGATATTCTGGTAGGGAGGTCTCACCTGTTGCTCAGTGGTGAACAAATTCTCCAGAATGCAATGTAGTGTCTTACAACGATTACCTCTTCCATAAACTGCTCCGGAAAACGTCACTGCCATTGGAGCTCACCCTTCCTTCTCACTTATATATTTATATGTGTCACTCAGCATCCTTCCTTCTGCTTGGAAAGCTGTCAAGAATTTTTATCTTAGGAGTCAGTTGCCAGTTCTGTTTAATGAACAAGTCAGCAGGATTCTTGAGAATCATGAGAGTACGGTTGTCAGTGCCCTTCTTCTCAGATGAAGAGTGCTGTTACCTCAAAAGCTAGCAATTGGGAAATAGAAGTGATACAGCCTCAGGGCCCAGCTGGCAGCCTATATACCTGGGTACCCAGACATTCTGTTTTAACTATTTATTTAAGTCTATTCACATTTATATAGGTTTATTGATACCACAGAAATCACTGAAAACATTTCTCTTTTGACTTTTATATTCTCTACTCCAGAATGTGAATACTGGAGGTATTGAAATGTTTTGGTTAGCCTCCCAAGTGAAGAACATAAATTCACAGTGCCTTCAAACATCTTCTGTTGTTCCATTCTTCCCTCTCTCCCTCCCTCAGGATATTAGCATATTTGGCAAGATGGGGTTCAATTCCACTTAAAATGATGGGATTAAACAGTCAGCCCATCTAATGAGTGGAACCTATATGCTCTTAGAAGCATAGTTAAATTTAATCAGATATTAAGCCATAAAATTAATAGCTCTACATTTGGAACTAAAACAGATTTTTGAGTTTTATTTGACATTTTAAGAGTGACTTAAAATAAATATATAGTAGAACACCAGGCCCATTAAACCAAAATATTTTGTAGTCATATATTACACTTTATGGTTTTACAGTATTACAAACTGCCAAGCTATATTTCAATTTTAGAGTATTTGCATATTATATGTAAAATGATAGGAAACAAAGAAAAGAAAGCATTTGGAATATAGGAAGAAGTGATTATGCCACGAATAAAATGTACTGCTTATGAATTAAAGAAAATATATGAAGCATAGAGTTGATACTGTGGTGAAGCTTTTTGGAGGTCAATCATCTCTTAAATTATAGTAAGAAATTCTGGATTTTTCTATATCGACTTCCTAACAAATGGAATCTGTATATATTCAGATGGGCTATACCTCCAATTCTTTCTATGTTATATAGAAATACCTATATAGTAGGTATACCTATATAGAAATGTAGGTAGAAATATAGGTATACTATACAGAAATACCTATATAGTAGGTATTCATATCACTGCTTTGCTTCCCAACTGTCAACGAAAACTTATTCATACCTTCACGGTTTTCTAGAGCAATGTAGACTCTACCTTACATTTTTTAATGGTCTCTGGAGAAACGTTTTTGTTTTGTATTGTATTTCATCATAGCAGTGTGTAGAATTATCATCTGAGGCTCCATGATTCTCTCAGACATAGACTGAGAAAACAGTGTAAGAAAGATGTAAAAGGAGTCCATCTTTTTCTATTCGGATCTAGGTGAACACGCATTGCTTTTCACTCAAGCTCACTCCGTACAAATTGTTCTTCAATTTGTTATTTTCACTTACCATAATATCTTAGACATCTTTCCATTTCAGTACATACAGACCTAATTATTTCTTTTGAATGACTAAATAGTTTTCCATTACATGGCCACACCACAGTTTATGCATCTAGTATCCATTTTAAGTTGCAATTATTTTTCTCTATTATAAAGAATGTTACAAAGAACATCCTTATACATAAATCTGTTCACATTACAAGTATAATTGTGGGATATTTTCAGCAGTAGAATGGCTAAAGAGAGGCTATATGCATTTTAAATTTCGGTATATTATTACCTAATTGCCTTCCAAAAGAGTTGAACCAATTTCCATTCCCACCAACAGTATTTGACAATGCCTGTTTCCTCACATGCTTTGCAACACTGAACGCTCTCAAACTCTTAAAACTTTGCCAGCCTGATAGGATCTCATTTTATCCACAAGCATTTTTGCTCACTAAAACAACCTGGAGGGAGTTCAGCAGAAGACATGTCACCAATTACAAAAGGATATGCAATACAGCAGGAGACAAATTATATGCCATGAAGTCTCACAGTCAAAAAATATATCTTGAAAGGTCCTTAGAGGTCATATGCTTCAAATTTTTAATATATTATTAAAAACTTACATCTTATGAACTCAACAAACACATAAATAGCCATTGGAGGATGACAAGCCACTTATGTTCATTTCACAGTTAAGAAGACAGAGATCCAGAAAGCTAAAAAGACTTTCTAATGTGAGAAAACTGTGTCCAGGAAGTACGTGAGCTATAACAATTACAGATACACCATGATTTTCAAGGCAACATGCAGGAAATGCAGGAATAATGCAGCTTTATATACAATATGATGTTGACCCTAGTACAATAAAACTGGCTAATTTATTACTTTACCAGTGGAAATCTCTTCTAACTAGCACAGTAATAATTGGGTTATATAGCTGATAAAACATTAACTGCTGTTCTTTCTAGTTTTTAGATTTACAGGTATTTGGTATTCAATGTATTTTGTTCTAATTATTAGAAATTAATCATAAGTCTCCATTAGATTTGGAGCCCAGGATGTAAATTTCCAAAACAATCCCCCATTTTCCCACATGCAAACAGTTTATTGCAAAAATACTAACAGATGCAGGAAGGGAGAAGGAACAGAAAAAAGCCAGGATTCGACAGTCTGATTTAAACAGGGTAAGAACTGTTGCGGGTCTTCTGCATTCCCATTTTTTATTACAACATGAGTATTTTCTGATGTTGTTAAATATTCCCTCAATATTTAATTTTAATGCCTGCAAAGAAATTTATTAATTTATTAAATTCCTCTTCAGATCATTTCCATTTTTCTATCTCATAAATAATGCAGCAAAGAATAATCCTGTATGTAACTTTTTGTCTACATCTCTAGTGAATATTTTAGCAGAGATCCCTAGAAGTGGGCTTATTGGTTCCAAGGATATATAAAACTTTTAAGAGGCTGGGTGCGGTGGCTCACACCTGTAAGCCCAGCACTTTGGATGACCAAGGCAGGCAGATCGCTCAAGGTCAGGAGTTCGAGACCAGCCTGGCCAATATGGTAAAACCCCATCTCTACTGAAAATTCAAAAATTAGCCAGGTGTGGTGGCACACACCTGTGGTCCCAGCTACTCAGGAGGCTGAGGCAGGAGAATCATTTGAGCCCAGGAGATGGGGGCTCCAGTGAGCAGAGATTGCGCCACTGCACTCCAGCCTGGGTGACACAGTAACACACCATCTCAAAAAAAAAAAAAAAAAAAAAAAAATCTTTCTTTTAAGAGTCCGAATGGCTTTCTTCAAAGATTAGTCTCAATTAAAATACCTATCAAGACTGTATTGCCATGTTTATTTCACCTGAACCCTCTAAGGATTGAGCATATTTATTACATTGAAGAGTTTTTGGAAGAAAATATATGGGTAATGATATTATGTGTTTTTCCACCCCACCACCACCCCCCACTTTTCAAGCTTTATATTTTGTTATTTTACTTTTACATTTAAGTGGAAGAAATTTGCTTGGACATCTATGATTAAGGAATGCAATAATTGCACAGCCAATAAGTATTAAGGGTACTGTACTACCTAGGGTACCCTTAGCTGTACTACCCTAGCTCTATGACAGGAAATCAGTCAAGAAATGTATCAGCGTGAGGGCAAGTTTCAAAGAAGAATAAGCTCTAGATTATACCTTGAAGGATTTATAGGATTCTGATTGGCAAAAAGGAACTGAGACAGCAAACTAGGAACAGGAAAACATAGGCAGAGGCCCAGAGGTTCAAATGAGTATAATATCCTGTAGGAAAAACTGTATTGATAAGCTGGGTTAAATCGGATAGGGCTGATTTTATTCTAAAATCGCCTTGGTGGTTTCCCCCTTTCACTTCACGTAACGTGGAACTCACACCTTGCATTGGGTGGCAGACCTGTGACTTGGATCAGAATTCTCACAGCCCGTTATGCTATATGTCTGCTGATTTAAAGAAAACCCAGTACACTCATGCTGTTTTTCTTGATTTGTTTTTCTACGTTCTTCATCAACACACCAGTAGGCAGAATCTTCCTTAGATTGCAGAATCTGAGCTGACAGTTTTCAATTTGGTGCTTCCAATAACATTCTTATGCTAAATATAAGTCTTTTCTGAGTGAACAGAGGGAAGAAAGTTTTTACAAGCCTGTTTTTAGAATTATGTTTTAATTAGCTGTCTCAAGTATAGAGTACCCCCAATCCATCTGCAAACTAGTATTCAAATCTGACCACCTCATTATGTGCAAACAGTTAGATTAAAAAATGGAAAATAAAAGGCAGCCATCTGGATACTGATATAACACCAAAAGTCAGAGTCCTTAAAACACTCCGTGTTTACATTCAGTTTCCTCTTATTTATTCATTCATTTTTGTACTTTTATAGTGTACACCCAGAAAGGATTTGTGGCTTTGCATAATTTGGCCCCCAGCAAGCCTCATTTTGTGTGTCTTTTTTCCCATTCCTTAAAATGCATTAGGGTACAAAAGTGTTAATGTCAGCTTTAACTGTAATAGCCCTAAACCAAAAGTAGCCCAAGTGTCCAGAAATGAGTTAAACACGAAGGCACCCATGCAATGGAATACCACTCAGCAATAAAAAAGGAACAAACTATTGATAATACACAACAACTTGGATGGGTCTCAAGGACATTATGCTTAGTGAAAAAAGCCAGTCTCAAAAGGTGGCATACTGTGTGATTCCATTGATATAACATTCTCCAAATGACAAGAATCCATCTCTATGATAGAGAACAGATTCGTGGTTACTGGGGGATAGGGACAAGAATGAGGGGTTGGTGCTTCTCCAAAAAAAAAAAAAGCACAAGGGAGATCTTTTGTAGTGATGAAACAGTTCTGTACCCTGATTGTAGTGGTGGTTATATGAACCTCTACAAGAGGTCAAACTGTATAGAACTATAAAAACACACGCACATGCACACACACACACACACACACACACACACACACAAGCACATTGCATGTAAAAGCTGATCAAAACTGTGTAAGACTGTGGTCTAGTTACTAGTATTGTATCAATGTCAACTTTCTGGTTTTGATATTATACCATAGTCATAGAAGATGCCACCATTTGGAGAAACTGGTGAAGAGTTTACAGCACTCTATGTGCTATTTTTGTCATTCCCTATAAGTTGATACTTATTTCAAAATTAACTGTTTTTATCTTAATGCATCAGGGTCTTCACCCATGTTTTCCCCTCTGCTCGGACCATCAGTCCCTTGCCTCACCCTTTGACCCTTGCCAGAAAAGTATTCCTTGTCTCCCCAAATTAACTTTGTTTGCCACTGCTGTATGTTCTCAAGGTACTTCACATTTCTTCTTCTGGTCCATCACAATGGCTATTACATAATTCCACTGGTGTAACATAAGATTTAACCTGCCCTCCCCAGACTAAATTTTAAAAGGCACACCTTTGTGTTCACCACTGTGTCATTAGCGCCTGGTGAATTCTCTAAAACACAGTAGGTGCCCAGTCAATTTTTGTTGAAATAAAGACCAAGAATGACAGAGCACATGAGCAAGCATTTCTGTAAGTCATAGGTGGAGAAATTTTAGTTGGAATATGAAGATGAGATCATGGAGAAAGTCAGCACATAGCTAATAAGTAGTTCATCACATTTATACAGATGTCTGGAACCACAGAGTATAAATATTAATGCGCACCATGCAAGACAGTCAGTTCATTTAAAATCAATCAAAGGTGGTTATTTGATTATTTCCATCTTGTCAAGAACATTTTGACTGCTTTATTTGGCACTGGTAAAATGCAGTCTACATCCATCTTCTCTGTTCTCTGGGGTATTTCCCCAATAACACACATTAGAACAAGTTTGATCATGAGGACATTTCATGTAAAGCTACTTGGGAGTCTGGTTTTCAGTGGCTGTTACTGCCACGGAGGCCTAGATAAAGCATCAAAGAAACAAGTGATCATTGATAGTCTAATGGTTTCCTTTTTCTTTTCAACTTCTCTCCTATCTTCTTGTGGAACCTACATCTATCAACTCAAAATATTTTATTCTTTAATACTTTCCTCTGGCTGTTAAATACCTTCACTGTGCCATGCATTCATGTTCTCTCTCCCTTCACACACACACACACACACACACACACACACACACACACACACTTCTCCCTCCTTCCTTTTCTCCCATCTCCAATTCCTCCGTGTTCAAGTAAACCTATAGCAGGAAGAATCTGACTACACTGATTAAAGTAGTGAAAAGCATAATTCCCTAAAACAGGGCAGAGAAGATATTTTTGAATAGAGGTGGTGGTTATCTAATCCATCTCACTGTCCACACTCCCCCATCAGACACCAGAAGAACAGGAAACGTGGGAACATGGCAGCTCATTTCTGCAATTTTTCCGACCCTTCAGCCACAAATCAAATGAGAAGTCTAGGAGACATCTGGACATGCAAAGTTTTGCAATGCTAATGTGCATGTTCTGGAAGCAGGCACACAAAAAGACCAGTATGTGATCTCAGTCTCTTTCACGAAATTAGTTCAAAGATACATAGTGAGGATAAGGCTAGTAGCAGAAACCAAATGCCAAACAGACCTGGGGAAATTCTATAGGAAGCCGAAGTCAAGGAGGGCATCAAAATATTTTTAAAGTAAGTTCTTAAATAGGAAGATTTTATTTTACTTTATTGGTGGTTTAGAGTAATTAGATAACAATGGCCATTACATACTACTGCTTTCTCAGATATCATTATTTTAACATCATCAACTGAGCATTTTGTGATATATATTTGTTTTGTTTATGAGAATTGTACAATATTTTTATTTCCAACTACTTGCATAGTCATTTCAGACAGTAGTAGAACCTGGTAAAGGCTAAAGTTAGAGTTACAACATTGTTGAATCAAAACAAATTTGCTGGCCAGGCGCCGTGGCTCAGGCCTATAATCCCAGCACTTTGGAGGGCCAAGGTGGGTGGATTACTTTAGACCAGGAGTTCAAGACCAGCCTGCGCAAGATGGTGAAACCCCGTCTCTATCAACAAAAAATAATAATAAAAATAAAAATTTGCCAATTAAGATTTTCCAGAAAATTCTTTTTCCTCCTGGAATAAAAAATATCCCTTTATGTTTCATTGTTCCTTGGCATTTTTCTTCTGAATGTGACAAAGATTACATTTGAAAGTATTGCCATGTACTGACCCACTGTGGTAGCAAATTAAGGAGAAAGGAATAGACTATATTCCTCTGTTTTATTCTCTGCTTTCGATTATATGCAAACCTCATCACTCCAATTTGAAGGCACATACTATTCAAGCAAATTAATCTATTTTCAAATATAAACCACCCATCTGTCCCTTTTGCTCTCCTTTAAGTTGTTTTGGAACTTACTATGGAAAACAAAGTTACTAGCTTTAACCTATGTAATAACTACCCAGGAAAAAGTAAGCGTCGGATACAAAAAGAAAACGAAATTTCAACATCTGCTCTACTGCATTCATGGCACTCATTATCAGAGCCAGAAAATTATCACAGCAATAATAAAAATACAGACTCCAACAAATGGATTGTGCTCTAAAATTTTATTTGCCAGTAGGTTTGTTTAGAGTATTAACACTTATAATAGAGATAATGTTCTATGTCATCGTTAGGGCCCTCACGCAGTCTGTGGATGCCTATTTAGTCCACCTCGAACAGAATCACGGGAATCATTTTACATAAATGTGGTTTGGGTTCCGGGATGAAGAGGGAAGAGGAAGAAGAGGGGGTGAAAAAGGAAAAGTGTATTCCCATCTATTAATATATTACAGGCCTGAGCACATTTTAAGCAAGTTCACCTTTGACCTCCTCCCACTGCCCTTGGGGCAGCCTTTGCCTGCACATTGATAACTTTAGTTTTCGGTTTTCAGGCACTTGCACCCTCGCAGTTTCATGAGACCCACATTAACGAAAGCTGGACAGATTTGTCCTCAAGAACCACATGCTCCATGGAAAAATATTACCTACCGATTGATTAAAAGACCCGTTCTTTCAGGTAATGTTTATTCACTATTATATCCCCTGGCATATATTAGGTGGTCAATAGATATTTGTTGAGTGAGTAAATGAGTGAGAGATCGCTGGTAAGTCCATGTGAAAGAGGAATTTCTAAATTAGGGGGAACCTACATTTGCATTGGTTTGGAGTTCTTAGCTTCATTGGAATTCATCCATAATTAATTTTGCTTTCGTTGCATTGTAGGGAGCTCGTATACAAAGCTATTAATATTATATTATCCACATTTTAAAGTGGAAATTTAGTGGCTTTCTCAAATTCTTTTGTCATATTAATAACCGTAATAATAGGTAACAACACATATATCACTTTCTAGGTACCAAGCTCTTTAAGTGCTTTTTATATCTTAATTTATTTAATCATCTCATTAACCCTAAGTGTATGTACAATTACTATTCCCATTTTAGAGATGAGCAAACTGAGGCACAGAAGATTTTTCAGACTTTCCCAGAATTCACACAGCTATGATGTCTAGCAGTCAGACTCAAGCCTGAGCTCCAGGTTTCTCTGCTATCTTTAGGGTGATCCTTTCCCAGTGACCATTATGTCAGACAAACAAGCTGTGTTCCATCTGTCAGAAGCGGCGGTGGTGTAACCACTGTAATTTTGACAATCCCCAAACAATAAGAGAAGTAAATAAATAAATAAACTAACAATAAGAAAAAAGAAAGTGGTAGAGTCGTGTGCAAAAACGATTGCTGTCATGCTTTTTAAATTTCTTAACATTTTTCTAAACACCAGACAGAATTAAAATTTTCTCACCTTTACAATTGATAATTAATATAGGAAAATTTCCTTTGAAGTGATTTTTTTTTTAATATTGCCCACTTATGTGTCATCAAAGTAAGCTGCTTGGAATCATGACTGTAGTTAATTTTTTTCCATACCGGTTATATCTGCATGCTTGGTCTAATATTGAGATAACTGATTAGCTTTGGACTTGACTGTCAAAACCAAATCTAAACTTGCACCTGACATTACTACATATTTTTCAACACGTATTTTTTTTTCTTTTGTTTTAATCCCTGGTCACTTGCAGGCTACATAATGAAATAGAATAATCGTTTAGTGGAATCTTTCTTGAAAATAAAATGATTTGGTGACAAAACCCAGAAACCACAAATGCTATATATTTTTTCTGCAACAAATTCCTTTATGTTATTTACCTCACTACATACCATCTAAGTCAACTTTTCAATAATCTTTTGGTAGCATCCGTAACCCTCTTACTGTCAGTATATCTTTTCCTTTTTTAATTTTGGTGTTCTACTTTCTCTCTGTATGAAAGAAAAATAACTATCCACTCAAGCCCAAACAATTATATTCAACATACTTTTTTTTTTTTTTGCTATTTAAAAAACACTGTCTATTCATTTTGGAACCTGGTCTTACCTGTTGGCTTAATAATTAGCTTCAGTGCTTCCTACCTGATACTTTTTCAAGTCACAGCTCAATTCCACATCACACTTTTTCTATCCTGAGAGATTCATATCAGTTTGCCGATTTTCTTTTTAGAGTTTAATTTTTTATGACATATAATAAATCAACTTGTGGACTTTTAAAAAGAATCCTAAATGCAACAATAAACAAAAACAACGTATTCATAAGCGCAATGATGACCTAGCATAATTTCATAAACCTGAGTTCACAGAGCTTTAAAATAAGAAAGCAAGAAATTGCATAATTTCTCACTGGATTTAGAAACATTGGCCTACCAGTAATCACTCTTGAGTTATCCAAATATTAGTGTGATCTTCAATTTAGGTTGTACAGTGATGTCTCTCATTTCTCTTTTTGCCAGTTTAGTATGAAAACCAAAAGCTATAACAAATTGATTTCGTTTTCACCAGTTTTCCCCTTTACAGCCTTAGAAAATGTAATGTATAATCTGGAGAAAGTTTCCTGAAGTGTTTTCTAGGATAAAAAAAAAGACAGGAAAACCCATGCTAAGAAAAGGAGAAAGGAAAATTGTATTATACCCTGTTTCCACTACCTTCTGTCTCTTAAAGGCCGATGAATGACATAAGGAATGCACCTTATACACTGAAGATCGAGCTCACAACCACATATAGTACAATGTGGATAACTGGCATTTAGTTGATGAATTAAATCAGCGTAGATACATAATCTAAATGAGTCCAGTGGCTCTTGGCTAAGATGTTTATTGCTTGGAAATCTGCAAAATTTTCACTTCACCTGGTCTAAAGGAAAACAATCAACGAATTTGACCTCTTCATCAAGTGAGATGCTCATATAATGGGTTATTCCACTTTGTTTACTCTCTGGACTCATGGATCCTTGAGCCTTTCTTTGATTGTGCTTAGTTGGCAGCACTTTTGCATCACTATTCTGAGCAACAATATGTATTGAACACCTACCGCAACAAATGAAGGTGCGGAAGATTAATCTAACTATGGACTGATCACAGTATATGACTGAAATGGCCTCACTGGAGGGGCTTAAAAAATAAATTGTTGATAACAGCTTGTTTTACCTGTCAAGTCTAGGATACAAACTCCTCCTAACTAAGATTTCTAATTAATCAATTGTGTGCTTTTTAACCCTAAAATGATATGTTGGGTGCCTTCTATTTGAATGGATGAATCCTTGGCATTGTTTCAGTGTTGGGTCTGTTTAATGAGTAAGCAGTGAAATAGCTTTGGCTGATAGTGTCATCTGTGGGTTTTTTTTGTTTTTGTTTTTGTTTTTGTTTTTGAGGCGGAGTCTCGCTCTGTCGCCCAGGCTGGAGTGCAGTGGTGCCATCTCAGCTCACTGCAAGCTCCACCTCCCGGGTTCACACCATTCTCCTGCCTCAGCCTCCCAAGTAGCTGGGACTACAGGTGCCCACCACCACGCCTGGTTAATTTTTTGTATTTTTAGTAGAGACGGGGTTTCACCGTGTTAGCCAGGATGGTCTCGATCTCCTGACCTCGTGATCCGCCCACCTCGGCCTCCCAAAGCGCTGGGATTACAGGCATGAGCCACCGCGCCCAGCCTGTTATGGTATTTTAAAATGTAATCAATAAGAAATAATGAATCACATGCCTCTAAAGAGTAACTATAAAATAAACAAAATTTAAAAATCAAATCAGAAATTTTCATGTCACTAAAAGGTTAGCGTGGAAAGAGCTTGAACTCAAATTAAAGCATCTATTTAAAAGTAGGTGTAAGCACTGAATGTTGTGAGAAAGCACTGAGTTTTTGTTGTGGCCCACGGGACAGGTGGACCAATCTGTTGGCCTGGATGTTGACCTAGGCCCCAGAGGACTCATACACCATATGTATAACTGTTAATAGTGAAGTTTGAGATTAAAAGAAAAACACCATAAATGAAAGTCACAAACTGAGGGTGTTGAAGAAAAGAGATGTGTTTTTGGAGGCAATGACTTTTTCAAGTTCGAGGATTTGTTTATGTGTTTGTTTTGTTATTACTGCCTCATATGTCAATACGCCACATTCAAACAAATGTTTTAGTACTCAAAAGAGTGCTTAGTGAAAGATGAATGGTGTATGAGAATTCATAAATTCCTCATTAAATGCAAAAAAAGCAGCCCAACTTTTGAATGACAGTGTTTATAATACTGGACTTGTATAACAGTAAATCTTTTATTCCTGTCTTTTGGGTTTTAATTCTTAGTCTTGGTTATGAAAATGTAAACTGGGCAATTTAGAAGTCCTCAAAGGAGTAGTTTTGTTTTTTCCCATCTCTGTTTTTCTATATTTATATAATAAAATGGAAAATATTAATGTGAAGTCTAATCAAAGATACAGCACAAAAGTCTTCCTAAACTGATAGCCATAAAATTCATTTCATTAGCTACAGTTTAATTTGTGAAACATTTTCGTTGGTATCTTGGGCCAGTCTTCTTAGTATTTGATCTAATGGAAGTAAGTGGACATTGGATCCTGCAATGACCAAAACTTTTAGGCTCACGGCAAGACACTGCATCATGTATCTAAGTTTTGTAAATGAGTGCTGTTGTTTGCAAGGTGAAGTTTGGAGAATATGCACAGCTCAGAGTGTCTTTGCATGCATGAGGCAGCCTACCAAAGGTATGTAGCAGGTGGTGAAAGCCATCCACATTTTACTATCCAAGTGTCAGCCCAGAAGGCAAGTTGCCTTTTTCTAATTCATCCACCCAGAGAGGCCCTCTTGCTCTGAATGATCTGTCCATAGGTCAAATGTGGTGCCTTTAATAATGCATACACAAAGATATTTTGCCAATCATGGCCTTGGATGGATGCAAATAATCATTTCTAATAGAAACACAGTTCAAAAATGCATGTCATAAAGATAACAACACCTTCTCCTTTGCATTGAAAATATGGCAAATTTTACTTATTATTGAAAATGACAAAATAAATTTTGGGGTTTACAACTATTTAAATCTATTATATTTGTCCATATGAGATAATATAACTAATAATAATAACATTACATATTAACAAAATGTAATTGACATTTTTATGTAAGTTTATAATTTGATAATTTTAAAGGTTACTCTTGGGAGATCAAAGATACAATGACCAACAAGGGAGGCAATTAAGAGTAAAATCCTGAGAGCCAGGCCTGGGTTCATATCCTGGTACCACTTCCTGCTGGCTTGTCATCTTGGACAAGGACTTAATTGCCCTAAGCCTGATTCCTTATCCAAACATGGAACTCACAACAGCACCCACTTTAAAAATACTATAGATGTTAAATAAGATAATCCATACAAAGCACCTAGCAAGCACTTAACAAGCACTGAATCAATGCTGGCTTGTAGTAGTAGTAGTAGTAGTAGTAGTAGTAGGCAGGTGATAAGCAGAATATCTAAAATGGTCCCCAAAGATACCCTGTCTTCATCTCTAGAAAGGCAATGAGTATTCACTCCCATGATTATGCTATATTATATGGCACAGTTGACAAGGAAGGGAGATGATCTGGGTAGGCTTGATCTAACCACATGAGCCCTTAAAACTAAAGCACTTTCTCCAAGAAGTGGCACTTAAAAAGGTCAGAGAGATTCAAAACACGAGAACTAACTCATTGCAGCATTGCTGGCTCTGTGATGGAGGGAAGCACATGAGAAAAAATCTGGAACAGTCTCAAGGAACTAGAGTAGCTCCCAGCTGAAAAGAGAACTGGAGAAATGGAGACCTGAGTCCCACAACCACAAGAACTAGATTTTGTCAGCAACCTGCATGAGCTTGGAAGTGGATTCTTGCCCAAAAGCTCCACGTAACAGCCAAGCCAGTCAACACCTTGATTTCAGCTTTGGAAACCAACCAAACAGAGAACCTAACAGAGTCTACCTGGACTACTGAGCTTTATAAATGTGAGATAATAGATAGGAATTGTTTTAAGCTGTTACGATTATGATAATTTGTTACACAGCAGTAGTAACTAATACAGGCCGTCTGATGGGTGGCTTGATATCTGGAAAGGATGACTGTTCTAATTGCTGGGATGGATTTTCAAAAAGAAAGGACATTTTTGTGTTCACATGGACAGAAATCTTATAGGAGAATTTTAATCCATAAATAGGAGTACTAAAGGGCAATATTTTGATTTTCCTAACAGCATAATACAAAGACCATTTATTATAAAAATCAAGTGTCAACCCTTCTGAAGATAGATGGCTGTGCTATCAGTGGCCAACAAGAATAACAATAGGGATTACCACTAGAAATCACTTTTCAAAATAAGGGCATGGGATAAAACTTCACTCTGAATCCCTATGAAAAGAATCAATTCTTTTGCATTTATATATTGTTTGTACTTGTCAAATATGCTAAAAGATAGAATAAGAAAGTTATTACACTTGTGGTAACACCTAGAAAATTACTTCTCAAGTATACTTCGACACAGGGAACAGCTAATACTTTTGATTTGCATAGCGCTTTTTTTTTCTTTTTGGGAGCTGCCCATCTCCCTGATGGCACAGCTTACAGGCACAGTCTCTTCTGCCAAAGGGTTGACACATGGGTTCATGCTGGCCAATCAGAATGCCCCAGACTTCTACAGAGAGTGACTTCTGTGCATGGAGATTGGTTCAGAGCTATTTAGAGTGGCAAAACACTGTCAGCCAGGGGATTAATCAGAAAGAGAGAAGAAGCACGTAAACAAAAGAGAAATATCCTTAGTCTCTGTTGGGTAAAAGTTGATGGCATCATATATCAAATTCTTAATTATCTATCCACTGCTTTATCTAAGTTATGTTCTCTTTTTAAATTTTTTTCCTGCAATTTGCTTTTTAGGATTTCAATAAGCATTTATCAGTTTACTTCCTTGTGAGGTTGGGAAAGGACAGAGAAAGGGAAAAATGTATATTTTTTGCATGGCTGTTTTTGGAAGGGTGGTAGATTGGGGAGCAATAACTTGGGAATTATCTGTGGATATTATACCCAAGTATTATTTGTACATCTCATTTCAAAGTAACTTGAACTTACCAGGTTACCCCTTCATTTACTAAGTGAAAAGACTCTTCAAATTATGTATATTCCAGAGAGCAAAAACTTGGGGTTCAGCATCTCTGTAGGATGTGATTTGGTCACAAGTGAGGTGACTAGCTAATTTGGCAAATTGCTGTTTGAGCTTATTTTCAGTTGAACTTCTGCTGAGAGAAGAAAGAACAAGCAGGCGAGCAGAGAACATACTATATGCATCACTGAAACTTATTGCTTATCTTTATTGCATTTGAGTAAATGCTCTTTTTTTTGCTGTTGCCAAGTAAGTCATCATATTTTAGTTCTGCACTGAATCCCTCGGCAGGAGACGAGATTTGAATAGATCCAGAGTGCAGGAAATAAAAAGAATGCAAACTCTGGCTAAAACACTCCTCTCCCCAGGCCCTCTTCCACTGCCTTCATTGGTAATTTGCACAATTCATACTAATCCATGTAAAACATGTTATAGACACAATATTAGAATTTTATGTTAAAATTTTTAGCTAATCAAAAACATACCTTTCTCTGTTCTTCTGATGTAAAAATAATGTGCTGATTGTAAAAAAAAAAACAAAAAACAAAAACGTGAGAAAAAGAAAAAAATTTACCTAAGGTTGCACCTCTTGGAAACCCATGAACATTTCGGTAACCATCTCCTAACATTTCTGTGTTTATATAGACCTATCTATATGGTATTATTTAAATATGATCATAGTCACATGATTTTTTTAAATTTCATGAAAAATTTTATTTTTAGATATTATTTACCTCCCCTCCCTTTTCCTTCTTCCTTTTTTCCACATCTTTCTCTTAATTAAACATTTGCAAATGTATATACTTGCAAGTATATAAACATGCTCACTTGCTACCAAAAACAATGATGCAATCAATACCTTTATATGTTGGTGCTTTCATTTCATTTTTATTTTATTGTATTTATTTATTTATTTTGAGACACAATTTCACGTTGTCGCTCAGGCTGCAGTGCAGTGGCACAATCTCGACTCACTGCAACCTCTACCTCCCTGGTTCAAGTGATGTCCCCCTGCAGCCTCCCAAGTAGCTGGGATTACAGGCTGGCAGCACCACACCCAGCTAATTTTTGTATTATTAGTATAGACGGGGTTTTGCCATATTGGCCAGGCTGGTCTCGAACTCCTGGCTCAAGCGATCTCGCCTCGGCCTCCCAAAGTGCTGGGATTACAGGCATCAGCCACTACTCCTGGCCAGTGCTTTCATTTTTATAGCAAACTGTCTCAAAGTAGGATTATTGAGTAAGAAGTTCATACAGCAAAGTGTCTCAAAGTAGGATTACTGAGTGAGAAGTTCATACACGTAGGTCTAAAAACAAATATGTTTGATGTGAATTGATAGTGCCAAAGTGTTTCCCAAGATAACCGAAGCAGTTCACATGTCTACAGCAATGTCTAAGGGTGTCCTTTTTCCCACAACCCAACTGGCAACTGGCCGTAAACCATTTGTTTTTATAATTTGATGATGTTATCTCCCTTACTACTAATTTGGTTCATGAAATATATTTTCCCAAATTTGTTGGTCATTTAGATTTTCTAATCTGTAAAATGCCTACTCATTTCCTTTACATAGTTTTCTCTGGGCCACCTTAATTTTACATTACCATTAAGACCCACAGTGATGGTTATTTGATGAGCCTGAAGGATACTGTGATTCCTATGTTTGTCTTTCTTGATGTTATCTTGTGTTCTCATCACTCCTTACACATGGCACCATTGGCCAATTGCTGTCTTTTCAACTACGTTTATTCGTTCACTGAGGGCCCTGCAAACCCTCCTATTGGGACAGCTTGTTTGGGTGAAAATGATTTTCGCTTCCCTTGGCTGTGGAGACTTGCTCTGTACCAGTAGTCATGAATAGATTACAACGCTTTTGGGAAGTAAAGGATTATTTGCTGTTTTTAACATTATATTTCTTATTTATCTGACTATGTATTTGTAGTACAACAGAAAAATAATTTCTTTCCTCGAAGTCCTAGAATAAGCGGTGAATATTTCCTTGATCCATTCCCAGCCTGGTGGTCTTCGGTACTGTCAGTTTGTTGCAAATAGACTGTGTAGAAGACATTGCATGACCCAGTTCTTTTCATTTATTCCAGGTCATTGGTAACTAGATGAATTCTAGTTCTGTAGAAAGTTTAGTATTTGTGTAGACATGGGTTATGCTTCAGGTCTATAGCTTTGTTTGAAAGTATTAAGTTTCTCAGCAAAGTAGGTGAAGGCTTGAGGGTTATACGGGCAAGAGAAATATGTGTATATTTAGCTCTGTTTGTACTGGCAAACTTCAGATCACAGATCTGGCTATCTCAGCTCCTAGCAATGTGTGGCCAGCCTTTACCTGGGCCTATAATCATACTTGAATTTTTGTTTATCTGTGAAATAAATGACAATCTGTGCCTATAATCACACTTGAATTTTCATTTAATTTCATTATCAACAGCAAAACAGTTGAGCTCCTCTTCTGGGGAAGAAGCTCACTTCTTATCTCTCTCTCTTTGTCTTTGTTACTACTTTTCTTATTGTTAAGATTGGGGCAAAACCACTGCTTGTTCCTGTGCCTATAATCACACTTGAATTTTCATTTATCCGTCAGATGCCTCATTCTCATCATTTCATTCAAGATGGGCTTCATACCCACTCTCTTACTGACATAACTAACAACGTGGCTGATAAATATTCAGTCTAAATGCCAGATTTAAAACAATATAGCTAAGACAAGTACATCAGAGCTGGAAATACAATACGCTCTCTCTTTCTCCATGCTCTCTTGCAAAAGGTGGTACACACATACGCTGACAGTGGAGTAACTTTTAAGAAACTTGGAGTTCTGCACCAGAAATAAAATGAGACTGGTTTGCCTCTGAAGCACTCAGGTGTGCCTGAGTCACAGAAGAGCCTGCACTCCTAGCTACATACAGCATGTGGCACCTGAATCCTGAAGCTCTCCTAATTTACTCATGAATCTTGCTTTTCTTGAAGCTATTCTTTCCCTTGAAGGGATCTTTTAATTACCATCTTCTGGACTAACCAACCAAGCTGCAAAACCCTTAAAGCAGCTGAGAGAGTCCTCCTTCCACAATTGTCCTGCAGCCTCAGCAGGTTTCTCTGCCTATGGAAGCAATTTCTTTCAGCTACTTCCTGCCAAAGCACCGAACTGAATGGAGTATGTTGTTTCAGATGCCACTTCATTATTATCCATAAGAACAGAAAACTTTAAAGGGAACATTTTCAGAATCTGAAAATTGACATAAGGCTTTTATTTAACACAAAACAGAAGATACCACAGGCCCTTTTGGGTTAATGATATCCTTTTCTTCTGAGAGATAATCTTTTTTCTTCTCTAGCGTGGTGTGATGTTACTATAAGAAAAGCCATAATGTTATTTGTTACGCACAAGCAACCATGAGTTTCCTGTGTTCTGTCCACACTCTTGCTGTGTGCCCCTCCTAAGTAAAGGCATAGTACAATCGTAAATGGCCAAAAATAAAGTAACAATGCCCAATATTAAACTTAAGTTCATGAGCACCCTACTCTGACCTTCCGAGAAACAACCATGTTGCTGCTAAGTACAGATAAACAAATTAAAAAATTGTAAATAAATGTGATTGTGTTTTTTCATGGTTTCGTCAGTATAAGCTGTTAATACAAGGCTGTATTGTCTCCCAGTGAGATGTAGTCTGCTGAGTCCAAGTCTCATTCCCATTAAAAAAGTTGCACCAATCACTTGGAGGTTTAAGCTTGGTGAAACGTGGTGATTACAGTTTCTAATGAGTCACTGCACCAAACTTAGTAGTGAAATAGTAGAGCTAGAAGAGGCTTGTAGATGAGATCCAACTTTTCTGTCTCCATGTTAAGTGAATGAAACCATCTAAGGCTACATTTTTCCAAAGTATATTTTACGAAACACAAGCCAAATGAGATACTCTGCCAAAAAGAAGAAAGATTCTGGAAAACATGGAGCTTCACAATAAATATTATAATATTTAAAGTTTTATTATGACCTTTAGTATAGAAAATGATTTAACTTGGTTTAACCTCGTGTTTCACAAAAGGATTTGACCGCAGAGCCCTATTTTCCATGTGATCCCTGTTAACATTCCATGGAACCACTTTGAACAATGTT
Organism: Homo sapiens; assembly: GCF_000001405.40. Classification (NCBI taxonomy): domain Eukaryota; kingdom Metazoa; phylum Chordata; class Mammalia; order Primates; family Hominidae; genus Homo; species Homo sapiens. The sequence continues at coordinate 15,094,511 of NC_000021.9, read as the reverse complement.
GGTCCTATGATTGTAATTGCCAGAACTCTCCGCAGGAAATTTTAAATTGTCCTTCGGAGAGCTATGTCATTCTCTCAGAAACATTCAGCATTAGTTTTGTTTTCAAGAGAAATCTTCCTTTTGGAAAACTGGTTTATGACTGAGAAAATGGAGATCCCCCGGATCCTGTTGTTTTGGAGGGAGTGTGATGCTTGTTACACAGCTGCCTATTATTTCTGTAGACAGCAAAACAGCTGAGCTCCTCTGCTGTGGAAGAAGCTCACTTCTTATCTCTCTCTGTCTTTGTCACTACTTTCCTTATTGTTAAGACTGGGGCAAAATCACTGCTTGTTCCTGAGCTGCTCTCTTGGTTCTCTCTATTCCTTGAACCACATGTGAGGCAGACTACAAGCATGCACGGGCCAGTGGGTAAGCATCTCACCTGCTAGACCCAGCTCTCTCCTTGATTGGGTCCTGTATTAAGATCTGTGGAGTAGAGTAGCAGAAGCAGAGCTGTGAGTGGAGAAAAGGAAATAAGCAAAGTAACAGGAAACCTTACTTGGATCTCAGGCCCAAGTTGTACCCTCTGACATAGAAACCATGACTCTTTGGGGAAGGAAAGTTGATTATATCCTTGATTTCTCACCTGGTTGCTTTGACCTGTTTTGAATTTGGTTCTAGAAATTTGGAAACCAGAAGTCAGGAGAGAAATAATGAATCGGCTCCCTCAAACCCCAGCACCTATTATCCTTATGATACCCTTTTATCCGTTGAAAGTGATTATGAGGTCACCCTGCAGCAATTTCTTCTTCAGCTCAAATAATTCCAAGTTCTTTTCCCTTTTGTTCCCCATAGGTCCATTTGCCAACGCTAATTATTTTTGTTGCTCTTCCCTGGTTCATTTCCAACTTTCCAAATCACTTAAAAAATATAGAGCCCCAAATGGGACAAAGCCTTCTGTGGACCTGGCTTAGTTTTAGCTTCTAGATGGTTTGCTGGCCACTGCAGGATGTTATGCTTAGTAGTATATCCCCATGTTATATTAGCTTTCATAACAGTAGACTGGCACCAATGACCCTATTCTGTGGCTTCCTATAATCTGTACTCCTGTACTGTGAGGATGCTTAACAACCATGATATCATGACGGTGGTGCCAGCTAAGCCTTTCTCACTAAGTAGTATTGATATTGCTCATCTCTATCTAAATACTTCATATTATATGCTATTCATATTGGATCCTAGTGGGTTTCTTTTTAACCATATCTCAAAAATATTGTTTTTTTGACTTTTCCTTGTAGTGTAGCCTAGGAAAATTTCCTGTTCATTTAAACACCTCCAGAAGATTTAGTCAAATTTACAAATTTACAAATGCTCATGATAATCTTGAGTTTGTTACTCAATTCCTACATATTGCATTGCATTGCTAATACATGCTTAATGTTGAGATCTTTGCACGTATGAAATAAGGAATGCTTACTTTACAGCACTTTGCAGTTTGCAAATTGCTTTTACAATACATATTCTCTTTTACTTATGCACTCAACAAATATTTACTGATGATGTGTCAGGAATTGTGCTAGGCACTAATGGGATAAAGGAGAATAAAACATAAACAACCTCAAGAGTTCACAGTCTAGTGGATGTGATGGGAAAAATATATTGCAATACCAGAGGCGAGTGCTGTGAAAGAGGAGACTGTGCTTTTTACATAGTTGGAAGTGGGTTGCAGGAAAAGGAATAGGTGAATGAAGTTCATGGAAAAGGCAGCCCACTGGGCTGCAATGGAGGGATTTGAAGGAGAGCAAGCCTAAAACAAGAAATAAGCGCAGATTTCAAAGGCCTTCATATGCTGATTGCTAATCCAGCATATTAACTCACTAGGTAGGGTATGTATTATGGCTCAGTTTTACAGATGACAAGTTTTGGGACCAGAGAGACATACAAAGCAAATGTTATAAGAAAGAAAAGATCTCGTATTTGGACTCCCAGACCAATTCTCTTTCTACATAAAATGTCTGTTATGAAAGTGAATGGAGGACTACAAAATGTTTATTATTTTAGTGTCCAATTGTCTTCTGAATTTTTTTATTAAAACATGTTTATTATAGGACACATGCAAAATATAAATAAATGAAGAATAAATAAAAATCATAAGGTAATAACTTTTTGAAATATTTCCTCTGTCATTTGTACATATAGATATGCAAATATATTTTGTTAAATTTTCATTGTTATGTATATTCCATTTTGTATTGTGATTTTTTTCTTGAACAAAATATATCGTGAATATTTTCCTCGTGTAAATAAATATGTTTCAATATTATGCCTTCTAGTTTTTTTAAGAGACAAGTTTTCACTCCATCACCCAGGCTAAAGTGCAATGGTGCTATCACAGTTCACTGCAACCTCAAAGTCCTGGGCTCAAGCCATCCTCCTGCCTCTGCCTCCTGAGTAGCTAACACTACAGGTACATGCCATCACACCTAGCTATTTGTTAACATTTTCTTGTGAGGATGATGGTCTCACTATGTTGCCCAGGCTGCTCTCAAGCTCCTGGTCTCAAGTGATCCTCCTACATTTTCCTCCCAAAGCACTGGGATTATAGGCATGAGCCACCACACCCAGCCCAATACTATAATTATTAATGGCTGCAAAGTATTCTATTATTTGTAACAATTGTAGAATGTTCCATTGTATTGCAGTAATGACAATAATTTGTTCATTTCAATATTGTCGGACATTTAAGCTGTTCTAAGTCTGTATTATGAATAGTACTGTTGTGAACAACTCCTTCACATTTCTGATTCTTTAGAATAAGGAATCACAGGGTCAGAAAGTTTTGTGCTTTTAAGATTCATGACACTTATTGGCAAATTGTCCCAATTTGCAATCCCACTCGTAGTGAGCAAAGTGCCAGTTTTACCACTGTTGCCAACATTGCGCATAAAATGAGCAACTTCTTTTTTGCCAACAAATAACATTTGTCTTATATTCTTTGCTAACTTTGTGTGGGCATGTGTGCCAGTGGTAACAGGTTTGAAAATAGGTGTCTTAGGACCCAGAAGAATGTAATTTCCAATAGCATTTTCATGAAACAACCTGGGCCTTTCTATTTCTGGCCATCCTGGGGCACTATGGGAGATGTCCACCTGGCATAGTCAGACAGACAAAGACTAAGCAAAGTCCGTGCCATTCACACCTGGCTTTTGACAAATGAAAGTGTCAGTACATACGTACTCTCCATTCCTGAAGAGATGCCAATTTCCTGTGACAGACAGTAAAGCTTTTCCCCACCATTTCCCAAGTTTTCTCAATTTCCACCTTCCTACCTTCCCCCCTGGCACCCCAAAACAAATGCTTAAGCTCTTCTCCCTGACATTTACAGTAGAACTTTTAAATAATATTTAAGCATTTTAAAATCATAAAACATTTCAAACATACAGAAAACTACAGAGATGAATATAACACATATTTGTTTACCCACCACCCAGATATAACAAATGTTAGTATTTTGCCAAATGTGCTTCTGAAATTGTATTCTTTCTAAGAACTAGAATGTTAGAGATATTATTGACACCTCTTTATATCATCCCTCATTCTATTCCCATCCCTCTGTGCTTCCCTCCCCACCTCCTCAGGGATAACCATAATCCAGAAGTGATATTGTTTTTAAACATTACATGAATGGAATCATTGTGCATATATACTTCTGCAATTTACCGTTATCATTCATCATGACTTTTTAGTTTTGTCCATATTGTTGCCTACACATCTAGTTTATACCTTGTAACTGCTGTATGGAATTCTATTATACAAACACATCATAATTAGTCTATTCTCTCATTTGTAGTTACTTAGGTTCTCCAAATTTTGCTATTATTTATTTTTTGCTATTTTTTCAATTTTTTGTTATTTGTTATTTGCTATTTTTATTGTATTTCTTATTTATTATTTGCAATAATTTTTTTATTATTTGCTATTATTTATTATACAATGCTGAGATGAACACCATTAATATATTTGGCTCCTTTTGTACCTGACTGAGAATAGGATTGATGGTTATAAAGAATGTATACCTTTAACTCGAATAGACATCATTAACTTCCAAAGCTGTTGTACCAATTTATATTCTTCCAATGGTGTGTAAAACTCCCATCTTCCCATGTCTTCCCAACCCTTGTGTAATGTAACCTGATGATTCATTAAACTTGATACCAGATCATAAGAAACTGAGAAATTGCGTTTTCCTTCTCTTGAGGGGAGGGAGGGATTAAACTTCCAACAACAGTCCCAGAAAAGAACCACCACATTTGATTTTTCTAATGCAGAAAAAGACAAAACCATATATATATATATATATATACTGCTTCCATATTAAAATAGACTAAACTATCATAGCCTTTGGCAGATGTTTTAATGTTCTATAAACCAGGTAACAGTAAAGGAAAATGCTAATTCTTTTTTCCTTTTATGGGTCAATCCACTTACTTCTCTCTTGTATAGTATACGCAGATTGAAGATTCTTTGTTGGGCACTAAAGAGAAAAGAACGTTTTGCTTGGAAAGAAGAGTTGTTTTCTTACTGATATATAGAGTCATCAAAATGAAATGACATTAGAAAGTCCTCTCACTCTGGTCCTGGCCAGATGACTACAATTAAGGAGACAATAGAGCCATTAAATATAATAAATATGAAGATTAGGATGTAAATATTTGGTTATGGCTGCAGAATTATCAGATATGTAACTCTGGAGCAGTCTTCAAAAATGATGTGAATTCTAAATGGAAATGCTAATATTCGATAATAAATACGTTAAAAATATCGTGAATACTTTGATGATATTACACAGACTATATAATTAGATTTTTGAAGACTACTTAATAAATATAGGGACACGCCCATGACACTGTATTGAAATTTTTTTAAAGGAGTAAAAGAAAAATAATAAACTATATTCGTAATACAATGCATATACATGCACATACATATCCATGTATGCAAACAGATAAACATGCATAGAGAAATGCGATAGATAGGAGACGTTTGTTTGTATTTACATGTGTGTGAATACGTTTATGTGTTAGAAAAAGGTTAGGATAAAAAACAAAGTAAAATATTAATGGTTATTTTATGATTACAAGTAAATTTTGTTTTTTTTTAATTTTTCCCAAAATTTGTATACAGTTGTTGTATTAGTCTGTTCTCATGCTGCAATAAAGGAATACCTGAGACTGAGTAATTTATAAAGAAAAGAGATTTAATTTACTCACTGTTCTGCATGGCTGGGGAGGCCTCAGAAAACTTACAATCATGGCGGAAGGCAAAGCAGAAGCAGGAACCTTCTTCTCAAGGTGACAGGAGAGAGTGCGTGCCAGCATGGGAAATGCCAGACACTTATAAAGCCATCAGATCTCGTGAGAACTCACTCACTATCATGAGAACAGCATGGGCGAAACCATGACACGTGAGGATTATGGGAACTACAATTCAAGATGAGATTTGGGTGAGGACACAGCCAAACCATATCAGTTGTGCAGATATTACTTTAAATAACTTTAAACATGTGTATGTAAGAAAGAAATGAAGTTACAGATAGATTGAATGGTTAAATGTAATTTAATAGTAAAGGCAATTTTGCATTTCTTTGGCAATCTGAGAGAAAACTAGCTTACCTGAAATCTGTACTCTATAGTCTGCAGTCATGAAAACCAGAGACATTTTGGTAATTTAAAATGAATGGATGTAAAGCGTACCTTTGTCCTGTGTTTATATGAAGGAAGACCCATGGGGAAAACAGCTGACTTTGAGATTTTGTGGTCTTTTCACTGAGTCATTCATGTTGAATAAGTTACCAATGTGATTAGCTGGTCATGACTGAATGATCAAGATGGCATAAAAAGAGATTTGACTAAAAGTAATTGAACCAGTAGCCACCTATAGACACAGAATCAATTTCAGGGTGAAGATAATGAGAAAATCAAGGGAATACTTGTGTAATACCTATTTAAATATGCTTGGGAACAATAATAGACAATCCTGATTTTTCAATATAGCAACTACTTTATTTTAAACTGGCTATTTGTTTATAATACTTCGTGGTAGTTAATGTATTTTTATAGTTCTAATTTTGACAGGTGGCTTTAGTTTCATTTCTTCACTGATGAGTGGTTGCAGATTGCTAATTACTTCCGAGCAAATAGCATCTCTCCTCTCTTCCCTCCCTCACTACATAAACCAGGAGAATTCTCAGCTGGGTCACAAATGCCATGTCTTCAAAAATTTCTTGTAAATAAGGGAAAAACTATTGCCCTACATTATTTTACTTTTATTGACATTGAAATAATTTTTGTTCACAAAATTTTCATTTCTGCCAACTTTAAGTGAAAGATTACATTAGCCAAAACTGAGTCAAAATAGTTATTCATAAAATGAAACAGGCTGAAAGTCATGATAAAAGTTATCTCACCTTGGATGAGAAAGAAAATGCCTCAACAGATGAACACACATGAACTATTGTCATCAGTAACATATTAACAAGCATTAATATGCATTAACAAAATCACAGCATCTTAGAGGTAAGAAAGGAATTAGACATTATTAATTCAATTCCCTCCTCATTTTTCTAGATTAAAAAACCCAGGGTAAAAAAAGTGGCCTTCTCAGATTGTGGCCAATAATTTCTAAATCCCAATCTACTCTTTAAAAAAAAAAAAATCCATTTAAAAAATTGTGGGTGGCTATCTATTTTGTTCAATTTGCATATGAAATCCTGGGCACTCGGCACCAAGCAGATGCCACAATCACATAAACCAACAGGGCTTATTGGAATAGACACCTCTCTGAAAGATCTTCTAACCTGGGGACTTTCTGGCCACCCAGTCCACAGTGCAACTGACCGAGACAATTTAGTTTGGACAGTAGGTGAATCTCATGATGTTAAAACAGAGACCACTTTAAAGTCAATTGCTTTCAGAAGGGCTTCTTTAATATTGGAGCCCACTATAAAATTGGTGATTATTGTATGTCATTATGAGAGGCCAACTTTTATGTGAAAGATCTATTTTGTTGATTAAATGAAATTCTTTTTTGTGCCATTGGGTCACATATAACATATGTCCAGCCAATTATTTTAGGAGTAGTTGAAGATTTCTCTTTTCACAGTAATAGTTTTTTTGGCAATCAATAGAGCTTTGAAGAACCATTTTTCTTAATAATGACCTACATCTTTTCTATAGCTTTTTTTTTTTTTTTTTTTTTTTACCTCCAAGATGGATAGAGCTGGGTCATGGAAAAGGGTGATCAAACATGCCTAATTGTAATTTTTCCAGAAAGATCGATGGTTTTGCCTTCCAAAATGATAGCATAAAACAATAGTTTTTAATAACTTAGAATGACTAAAAACAAGTATGGGTTTGACTTGACAGATGTCAAATAAAAATATTGATACTAAAGAAATAGTCATCCTTTTTCCAGGAAATTTCATCTCCTTTTATCTTACTCGATCAATAAGATAAATTTAAGCTGTATGATGGTCAATAATCTAGCCAGGTAAAAGACTCAATATTGGATATTTGGGGGTTTAGTTTCAGGTCTATTTCTGATGCACTAATTTTCTTAGAAAAGTTATTTAACTTTTAATAGCTTTATAAGTAAACTGTTAGCTTTTAGCTACTAATGTGTTTTATGAAAAAATACATTTATGAAAATAAACACTTGTACTTACAGATGATTTTTTGCTTCCAGTTTGAGCTCAGATTAAAATATATAATTCAGGGGGTCTGTTGACCTGCTCTTTTGTCCTTAAATGCAATTTACTCTGAGTGGTATTATCTCCTGAAATGGTTGAAGAACTTGTACCGAATGCTTACCTAGCAACCCGTTGTTGACATAAATAATACTTAAATTAACAATTGGATTAAACATCTCTGCCAATCCTGTGTGAGCATCATCACCCATTCTGTCCACAACCACTGAACATTGCTGACCTACCCTCTCCCCAGCCTTCCAAGATACCTGAGGTCATAGCCAGTCTTTATGCCTGGTACCTAAGGACTGTGGCTCTAGATAACAAAATTGAAAGGTTAAAGAGTGCTGGCTGCATGCAATGTCTAAGGTAGAAGGGGTAAAACTATGATCATGGGCATCTTTGTATGCAGGGGCCCAATCTAACAGCCACCCAGCCCGCTGAAGAAGAGAGCAGGCTAGGCTTTGTTTATATTCTGGATGGGGGTGTGGTGGGGGGAGGCAAATGTTCTGCACCCTATGGAATTAAAGGTGGAGTGGAGTTGCATCCTATTCTGATCCTTGATAGATTGAAAGGCATCAGATAACTGCTTTTGCCAAACACTGATCCAGTAGACCTAGCAACTGCTCCAAAACCAATCCATTCCCATGTGATAGGCAATATCTTGGGGACTCCAAGGTGGAAAACCTGGTAACACAAACTGGGAATCAGGACAACTCTGTGCAGGTTCTTTTGCCCATATACAAGTGCCTGTTCAGCAAGTATCTTCACTTTCTAGGTACTCAAGATTATATAGAGACATATTCTGTATTGAAAACTCATTAGGCCCCATGGTACCCCTTTTGAAAAAGAGCGGAAAAATCTGTTTGTTTTCCATGTCTGCCAAACCATTATGAGATCCTCTTTTGAGGGTCGTCACCTATACCAGGATTATCTTTATAGAGGTTGGGATCATCTGACTCCATCTGACTTTTGAGTCTTTGCAGGCTAAACATTTGATATGAGAGCACGGCAAATTGACAACAGTTTTCCAAACTTTTGAATGCACTATAATTCCATTAAGTGTCCCAAGAGGTGATTCTACAGATTCTGAACCAAACAGAATCATAAATGTTGACATCTTCTTGATACACATGAGCTCATTTCGTCAATTCTAAACATCAGGACAGTTCTAAACATAATATGAATATACGATCTCTGCACTAATGCCAATAAAACATACTAAGTTTTGAGGTGCAATTTCTAGAAACACAAGTATCATGGAAAGGAAGGATGATCAAGGATGTTTAACAATTTCTATGATTTTCTGCGTACAGTGGTTCATGCCGTACTTTTTCACTCTGACCACCCCAGTAAAGATCTCAGGAATTAAAATGAGTAATCTGGTCCATGAATGAACCTATAGCATCCTAACAGTTGAAAATTCTGATTCTTATGTTGATATCACCATTGAAGCTGATACTTAAAGAGCATCCTAGCAAACAAAATCTCCATGCCCATATCTCTAGAAACTTTGTTTCACTTGAAATCAATACTGCTCAAGGAATAGACAATTCTGGCAATCGATTCCAAATTTCAGTCAGGTCTTCAGGCAAGTGATGACAAGGCATCTAAACACTGCAGACTAGGAGAGCCAAACCAACCAGAATACATAGGTGAAATGGACTATGTTCTTCAAATGCTTCAACCTGCAGAAGGTCTCAGTCCTGAGCAGTCAGCACCAAGAAGATACCAGATCACACAAACCAGCATGGCTCAGTAGAACAGACACCTCTTTAAAAGCTCCTCTGACCTGGCAACCTTCTCTCCAGCCAGGCCATACTGCAGCTGACTGAGACCATTCAGTTTGAGCAGCACATAAATGCCTAATTATGTCAGTGCCCAGCAGAGGTACTACCCAGAATCTTTCCCAGACTTTACAGGATCCCTATTATCTTAGAGAAGTGGCAGCATATCCCAGCAGAACCATTAACAATAGCTCCTTATTCTAGGCATGTCCTGGATTCCTGCCCAACCCCTGGTCTACTGTTCTGCTCTTTGTCTCTCTGGCTCCTTTTTCTAGGTTTGGTATCTGTAACCCTTATCATTTGGCAACTCTCCATTTTGGCCTGAGGTTCCTTCTCACCGTAGAAAAATGAGGGAAAGAAACAAAAAGCAAAATACAAATCCCACCTTTCCTTTTGGAGATAATCACTGTAAGCATTTTAGTGACATAACCTTCTATATACATATTCCAAGTATGTAGATCAGTGTTTGGAAAAAGCAGCTATCTGATGCCTTTGAATCTACACACACACACACACACACACACACACACACACCCCCCTCTGGATATGCTATACATATGACATCACACATGTAAGGTGTGTATCACAGTGAATGGCATACACTAAACAGTCAGTAAACAGGACCTATTGTTATATTTCTGATTTGTAACTTGCTTGCACCACTCAGCCACATATAGTGAATATGCTCTGTGTTAATGAATATTTTTCTATACCATTATTTTTCATGGATACATAGGATGCGCCGTAATTGAATACTCTATTGTGGGACGCATTGTTTACACTATTCTGCTATTATAAACACAGTTACAATAAACTTTATTCTAGCTAAATTTTCATATTCCAGGATAAGTTTCTAACAATGAAATTGCTGGGTCAAAGAGTTGGCAAAGTTAAGATCTTTGATACAAAAGTGATAAACTCACTTACAGACAATGAGCTTACACCAGTTTACATTTTCCCATAGGCAGTAAATCCAGAATATCAATTCATTTATTTATTCTTTTATTCAACAACTGAATTTCAGGACTATAATAAATGTCACAGGTATTTTGGGGACCAAATACACAAGATTCTTACTCTCTGGCGTATGCATTTATAAACGAGATAATAAATATCACAACAATCAATGACAGAGTTTAAAAAGTACCATAACTAAAAAAAACAAGGTGCTATTAAAGGTGTATTGGTTACATATCATAGTGAAACAAATTAGCTCAAAGCATGGTGGGTTAAAACAGCAAATATTATTATCTTACAGTTTCCGAGTGCAACTCAGCTATGTCCTCCGGAGAAATTTAATACGTATACTTTAGAGGATGACATGGGAGGCCTTAGTGAAAGATTAAATGTGGATGAAGCAGAGAAAGAAATCAGAAATGATGCTGAGGTTTCTGGCTTCAGCAATTGGCCATAGGCATTATCGATTTTATATTGAAATAACAACTATTTCATTGTTGTTATCATTTGCTTATTTGATAGGTAGCAATGATTTTCTCATTTGAATTTGAATTTACATTTCTTTTCATATGTTTATTCCGGGGGCCAAGGGGGTGTTTTGGCTTATTTTATGCCTACCATCATAGCAATTACAATACGACTCTTCAAAATGTCAGAATTTATATTAGAAACCTGGTCCTCAACATCCTTGTTTGTAATTTAACCATTAGAGATTTCTGACATATGTTAATAAGTGAAAAAGTAAGGTGCTTAATAATGTGTTACTAGGTATGTATATAAAAATTCATTTATGTTTGTAGAGGTACACATGTTTGCAAATGCTAACATTGTCTGTAGTAAGATACATAAGAAACAGGTAACAGCAATTTTCTGGAAAGGAGAACTGGGTAACTGAAGGACAGAGAAAGACTTACCTTCCCTGTATGCCTTGTCTGTCTCTTGAATGTAGCACCATATGCAGACATTATGGGTTTCAAAAACTGCATTCTACTAACAATAGGTATATATGATGGTTTTGTTGAAGTAAATACATGACAGATTTTAGTATCCATTCTATTGTTGTCTAATGGCTATTTTATCAAGTGAAAAATATATATCCAAAGGCTTCCAGAAGAAGTTATTTTAGAATCTGCTGGCTCAAAAACATGGACTGTATTATTGTAAGAATTGATTATAAAGAGTCATTATTGGTGAAAGGCAGCTGCTAACCTGAGACTATTAGTAACAATAGTGTTTTTCCATGTGTATCAGTGTCCTGTCTGTGTATTGTATACACCTGTGTATCAATTATTTAGCGCTCACTATTGAGCTTGTGCATTATCTAGCCTCTTTGATTCACATCCTTCGCTCCTCTGCCACCTGCCTCTTAATCATTTTCCTACTCAGTAACAGCTCCAGTGGGCATGGTCATAAAGAGGAGGCAAAATTCAAATACATTTATTGGTTATTAATTGCACAAATAAAAAGGTTTTATGAAGAAAAGGTTGAGTAGAGTAATTAAGATGTTTCAATATTTTTAATTTATTTTTTTCTTTTCATTCCTAATTCTTTCACATCTGTGCCCTCTACTTACTACAAAACACTGACTTTTCTCCTTTGCTATCAAAAAAATAATATTGTCTGCGTAAAGGGGTACTTAGATGCTAACTGGCCACTCATTCAACTTTTCAATATTTATCCCCAAATCCAGGCAACATAATATGAAGAAATGAATACATTAGCAGATGTTGAAATTAGATGTTTCAGGACAGTAACCAAAGAAAACAATGATAACAAAATTTAATAATATGTAAAAAGGACAAAGCAAAATGTAGGCATGACCCAAGAGTAAATATAAAAAAGCCAGATGTAAGATGACAGCTTCAAAGCAAACAGGCCCAAAGAAAAACAGAGACCGAGTGTTTAATATGCTTGTTAAAAGAACTAGAAAGAGAAAGAGAAAATATCCAAACGTGTGAATAAGTAGGATGAATAACTGAAATGGTGCTGTTTAGTAGTTGCCACTATCCATTCATCCTATTCTCATAACTGTATCTAGCTGATCTATTTGGGAACTGGCTCCTCCAGTTTCGGTTCTCATGGCCCCTGTGGAGAAAACACTACCATGACTCCAGGGATGGCCTGTAATCCAGAACTGGCCAATCAGAGCATCACACTTTCCTGGCCACAGTAATTGCTTCCCAGTGAGCTCATGGCCAAGTCAGGCCAATCAAAGCCAGTGACATTGATTTTGGGGAAATTTTATATTGTCCTTATGAGGAATATCATTTGTCCTTTTCTGCTGGTCTAGGAATTTGGGGAATTTAAAGGCTGGAGATTCCTGCCACTTGTCTCTGTGAATGAAGCTGAGAATGATGCTAACATACCAAGGGTGGAGAGCTAAGTCTACCACCAAGAGGACTGAGAAGAAGCAAAACCAGGGCACTGCTGGAGCTCTTGCCTACACCAGCCCCACCTGAAGCCATCCCTGAAACTCCTGGACTTCTCACTTAAGGAAGCAAATCAGTTCAATTCCCATTCCCCAAACATCCAGACCAGTTTGAATTGTTTGGTTGTACATAGAAGAGTCTTAATTAATAGGTTTTACTCACAGAAGGCAATGAGGGAAAGAAAGATGGTCTCATTTTTGCCCAACTAACCAGTAGATATAGGTAGAGCTAGTGTCTTATGGAGATAATTTGCCACCCATTCTCTATGAAGACCCAAGTTAGTTCTGGTAGGGCCATGAGGAGCATCCTCTCTTATTGGGCAGGAAATGCCAGTGGTTCCACTTTTGAAACTTTTGAAAGTGGTACAACTCAATTATTTGTATGAGATCTCCAAGAAAATATCTGACAATAGCTTATCTAAAATTCTGTAACGAGAAAATATTAACCTGTAAAAGAATGTAGATTGGAGACAATAAAATGATGAATAAATTTGGGGGGCAAAAAGATGGGACAGTGAAATTAAGAGTAGAACTGTAAGAAATCCAAAATTATTTCCATCCCTAATATAATTGAAATCTCTCTCGAACTGGCAGTGTAACTGATTCCTGGAAAACGTGGTAAATTTCACTGTGACATTGAAACTCACTGAACTGAAACACTTCGCTTCCATCACACTTTGAAATCATCATCCTAGACTCGAACTTTTGGGAAAAGTTGAATAAAATAAAAAACTCTGAGTCACTAGCATGATAGCTCAATGCCAGGAAACGATGACCTCTTCAGAAAAATGGGACAGTGATATCAGTTTGCAATGGATCACTAGGTTTTGCTCAGGGTGGCAAGTTTTTGTGCACTAGCCTGTAAGCAAGATGCTTCTTGCTTGAAATATGATACCAGAACACTAACAATATTATAAACAAACCTATGCAATTAAGGCCTAGTGCATGACTGGAAGCAGAGATAAGCTAATAAGATTATAAAGCAGCTAAATAGATCCTGAAGCCATACAATGACATCATGAAATTTTAGAAGATACAGCTGGCTTCCCATGATATTTTTGCAGTTGAAAATATGTAGCATCTGGTGCTTCACTTATCATTCTTTGCTGAAATAGTTGTCATCTTAAGTTTCTTTTTATCATGTAGATAGGTTTAAAAATAATGTTTAAAAAATTGATAGCGCATTCCATCCCAAGTACAAAAATAAGTAAAAATTAGTTACTGTTACCAAAACAAATTGTTTATAAGAATGGGCAGTGCCCTGCATCTTTGTACTCCTAATTAGTTTTTTATTCTTGATGCACAATTAACTCAGAGAATGATTGTCTCTTATCAAGTATGGGACATTCAGTCATTCATTCCTGCATGTTTTCAGTATTGGGAGATAATGTAGTATACAGGTTAAGAGTTATGGCACTGCATGTAGGTTTCTTTGGTTCAAATCCTAATTTTCCCACCTACTAACTATGCAACTTAGAACAAATTATTTACACTCTCAAGGTCCAGTTTACTTATCTATCAGATAGGAATAACAGTACTATTAAATGACACAATATCTGTAAAGTATTTTGTACCATGTCAACATGCATAAGCCCCAAGTAAATACTATTTATTGTTAGTCACTCATTTAAATATTTATTGACACCTATATGTGTGGTCGGAACTGTGCTAATCACTGAGAATACTTGGTTAAAAGGAGAGAAATAGTCTGTTAACAATGAACTGATGTGTAAGGATATTCACTTACATGTTACTTGTTTAATAGCAATCTGCTAGAGTTCCTTACCCTCAACTAAGAAGATTCCTGGGAGACTATTTTCCTAGAATTCAGTGTTAGGGATGAGGAAGGATTTACCCAGAGAAATAATATTAAATAATAAAGTTTACTAATAAAGAATACATCCTAAAAACACGCGATTGCTGTTACTGTCAAAAATTTAATTCTAGGTGGTGGCAGTGCTGTGGGAAGAGGCATGGGAGTGTATTTTAGCATTCGAGTCTGCTCCTCACGGAAGGACCCAGGCCAATGTCGCTGACTACTCCTCTGACTTCACAACTATTACATCTTTTCTGCTTGTTCAACACTTGCCACCGTTATGGCTGCTAGCAGTGTGTCCTCGGCTGTAGCCCGTGCTCCTCCTGTCATGGGTCAGCGCCTCAAATGCCGCCTCTACTGACACTGCCTCTTTAGCTGCTCCCAGATTTGTCAAAAGTCCCTGCCTTCCAGGACCTGACAGTCCAACCGAGAAAAGGGCATCTGGAAATGTGACCATATTCAAGCCTGGATGAAATACTAACAAAGAAGTATAAGAGAAATATTATACCGGAAGAAAAGTTTTATGTAGAGAGTGGTATTTGGCCTGACTCTCCAGGTGGATAAGAATATTTTTATAGACAAAGAATAAAAGGAAGCCCATCTTGAGCTATGGTAATGGAATAAGAGACTAAAAAGGTGATCACTTTGCTCTTCTTTTAATAGTGCAAAAACTCAAAACTAACGAAGGGTTGCAACATAATGATCTAGACACATATGTCTTCTGGAAGGGCATTTCAGGTCAGTTCTTCCAAGTATACATGGACAACTAAGGCTTTGGTTTTGCAGGATGCAAGACAAAGCTGTAGGTATACTTTGTGTTTGTGTGTGTGTATGTCCACTAGTTACTTGCCTAATTGACTATGAGTAGAAAATGTTAACACGAAGCACATTATGTGTGTGGAGTGCAAGAGTGCTGTGTGTGTGTGTGTGTGTGTGTATTGTATACATATATTTGCAAACATACACGTACATAAAATTTAAAACAGTAATTTAGAAACAAGAACCAATTTGAATTTGAAAACACTTAGTCTAATTTCTATAAAACAATAGTATGTCGTGATAAGTTATTTCTATTTTCTACTGATATTACCTGCTGGATTTATTTTGTTTCACATGCCAGCAATATTATGTTTCACATGAACTCCCATAGGCTAATCAAAAAGCATTTCTACAGTTTTTATAGATTAATTACTAACTCTGTTTCTGGTGACTTGACTAATACCACTAATCCTCATTCCTCACCTGAGCCTTATGGCCATAGTGCCTTTGATTCAAAAGATATACAGAAATGAGACATGATGAAATGAGACAGTTCAGGCTCATGGTATTTAGATATGTCAATGAGAAACCTTTAATGCCATCAAAATAACGTTTCTTATCTCTCTTCACCAGAGGAGAACACAACCAAGCATGAGAAATGCATATGTCCAGGTTTTAACAAAGAGCCCATTACCATATTAGACTTAGCTGTGCTCAGTTAACTCGGAAGCCTCAGAATACAGGCAAATGATCCAATGAGTGCACTTTATTGCCAAATGTTGTCCAAATTAAAGAGATTATTTTAGCAAATGTTTCATTAGTGTTTGACTTAACAGACAAACCACTATTTTCCCTGTGAGCATGTTTTAATCAAAATGGAGAAGGCAACAGATGCTGTTTGATAGTTTTCAAATCTATACTAAAATTTCTCCCACCATCAAATATATTTCAAGTTCTTTTAAAGGTGATATTAAGAATGCTTATGCCCAAATTATATAGCTCAGTTCACTTCAGAGCTTTCTTGCTATTTTATGTCAATTCTCTTTCACTTATCTTTCAAACAGGATTAAATTATACATGCTTTAAGCATACAACGCGTTGAAATAATGAGCGTCAGCCTGGCTTCCTGGAAAGATTAATTAAGTGCATCAGCTCTTTCCTGGGTAGAAAGAAGCTGTAAATTTGATTCTTTGATGCAGGATTGACCTACTCCCCCAAAAATTAGCTGGAAAAAGTGTTGGTCACAGGTAAGGCTGTCCTGAAATTAGAATATCTTGTTCACATTATGTAATTAAAGAAATTTGAAAAAGGCTGACTGGCAAAAAATGACTCCTTTGTCTTATGAAGTGTCTCAAATTCCCAATCTTCAATTCACTCTGTATGAATTTTCTAAGGACTCTTCTGAGGAGTCTGACAAAGTAACTTGCCAATTAAATAGCACAGATCCGTGTATTTGAACCATTAGTGTATCTGTGTATCTGGAAGACAGCAGGCTTCCAGAAGAATGAATAAAATCAAAGGTTTTCATATTTGTTCAAGAAATGTAACATTTGTGGAAAATTTTTTATAATACCTTGAAATGTTGCTGTGGTAAATGAAAAATGATCATGTTTTGTGTAAATTCAATATCATATGAAACAAGATTCTATTATCATCAAATGATAGCAGAAACTAGGACTAAACAAAAAATATGGAAAAATTTTGATTTAGAAGACCATTTGATAGTTGAATTTTTCCTGCAAATTGAGAAAAGATGACTGTTACTTGATTTAAAAACAGAAAATCTTGAAACAACAGTATTTTGGGGGACATAGTTTGTGAACTGTTGGATTAAATTTTTCAATCAGCAAGGATAAGTGACAGGTAGAGAGATTGAGAGTTGCAGTGTAGGTTTATGAATATCTAAGAAATATGATGGGAAATAGTATAAATTGGGGTGCCCCAAGGGTGCAATTGGTTAGTGTGCATTACTTTTATGGCAGAAATAGCATGAATTGGTGGAAAAAGCCTTGGATTATAAATAAAATATGCCAGTACTATCAAGCATAGTACCAAATCTACTATTTGTTTTCTTTGTGTCATTGGGAGCAGATTACTTAATTTGGAGGACATCCAGTACTTTGTCTGTGAAATAAGAACCAATGACTACCTAACTTGGCTTACATTATGATAATGATAAAGAAACATAAGGTCTGCACTAATACTTTGGAAGTTATCAAGTAGTGTCATATCTCTTTAATTGTATGTCATATGCCATTGATTCATCATTTGATATTTTAACATCTCGGAAATGGGAAGGTGTCTTCGTGTCACTGTCTGTGGGTGTCATTTGCTAGTGCATTTACATCAAAGCCTGTACAGTGGAGATCAGCAGCTTGGAAAAAAATTTACAGACATAGTAGCGGAGCACTCTTTTAAGGCATGCTGCATCAACAACACTGCTTGATGGCACAAAAGAGTAAATTGCGTTTTGTTAAAAATAAACCTTGATGATGAAGTCAAAAAGTGATTCTTGTGGGACAAGCTCAATGTGAACATGTTTAGGAATATCTTAAAGAATGTGATTCACTTATATTGTCCTTTTATTTATATATATGAGTGATAGAGGATTAAAAATCTATGTATAAATAAGTTTAAAAGGGCCCTTTCAATAGTTATAAAATTAGAATTCTATGTCATAAGAAAGCATTGTGCCATTATTTGGTTGGTTCCAATCTTCTTTCTTAACAGTACATGAAACAATTGATGGTGCATTAGAGGAAAAAGATTTGGTCCCTAAATATACAATGTTATTATGCAGTTACTGGGCATTGCACTAAAAGTGTGTTAGAGAAAGGGCATGTATTGGTACCAAAGGTATGGTTGGCACATTTCACAACATTATTTAAGGCTGGCCTTGATACCAAGGAAGAGACTATGGAAATGACAATCACCACCACTACTAGACACCTGAAAAATTCTCACGTTCATGAAAGCTATGTTATTAGAAAACGATTTTTCAATGCCTATGAAAAGGGAAAGAAAATTACAAGAAGAAAGAAAAATAAAACAATTTTACCCCATGTGAGGGAATCTGAATTTACTTTCAATTGACAAAATACAGTTCTAGCTCTATATATTGACACATTGAGAATCAACAAAACTTCCCGAAAGGGAAATACCACCTGTAAAATATGACTTGATAATAAGATGTTATAGTAAGTATATAAACACTAATCAGCAATGACCATAAGAAAAAAGCACACTGGTAAATTCATCATTCATGATCTAGTTCAAAAATCATTTCCTTGAAGGAAGGAACCTTCCCTTCAATCCCCCATATATGAACCAATGCCTCATTTCCCCATAATATTCATCTTTATGCCTGTATTAAAAAATACATCACAGTAAATATTAGCTGTCTCCTCCTGTGGTGCCTCAAAGAATGTATCCATGGTTTGTTCATTTGGCATCAAGAGAACTTGATACACTGTGCCACAGGGTACTTGTAGGCACCAGTAAATAATTAGTGAAAGAATGAATATGTTTAATGTATTTTGTATATAAGAATCACAAGCATTAATTTGCAAGCGGTTTGTAAATAAGATTAATGATGCTGTTACAATATTACAAGTCTTAATTTATGTGGTGTAAAAGATAATAACTGTACTGGAGTCATTAGTTTATTGATCTACCACACTCGTCTTACCCTGCTAGTTTTACCAGCCCTATTCACAGGCTTGGGAATGTCAATCCTTTGAATTAAGTGAACTTGCCCTCACCTCCATTCAGTATCACTGGTTA
Organism: Homo sapiens; assembly: GCF_000001405.40. Classification (NCBI taxonomy): domain Eukaryota; kingdom Metazoa; phylum Chordata; class Mammalia; order Primates; family Hominidae; genus Homo; species Homo sapiens. Next base: position 15,075,258 of record NC_000021.9, on the reverse strand, counting down.
GACAAGGGCTGGACACCTGACCATAAAAGAAGTAGTCCACTGGCTGGCCAAAAGTCAATCAAATTTTCTCTTTGGAGAATTGGACCAATAGGGACTGAATAAGGGGAGAAAAAAGGCACATTATTGGTGGAGCACCAGGATGAAGAGCTATGGTCTCCTGAGGATTGATGGGACAGCACTTCCTTGGATTTTATGAATTAGAAGTTCCTTTTCTCTCAAGTTAATTGGCATAAGTCGCTCTTCCTTACAACCAAAAGTGTTTTATCTACTTATCCAAGAGTAAGCACATTTTTTGTATCCCAACAAAATCAATATATGATATACCAGTTAACAGTGTTAGCCTGCTTTCCAAGAACTAGAATACAGTGAAATACAATTAATGCAAAATTTACCCAAATTTAATGATCATTGGGTGAGTTATTGTTCATTTTACAATCTACAATACTTCCCGTGCTTCAGAAACTTGGGTTTTGCTCTCTTACTGGATATTTGACCTTTCCTGCTCCCTTAATTTCATGCCACTTTTAGCTCCAGCTGATATTTTTCTCTCACCACTGAAGAGCTCTGATCCTCAGGCATAATTATTGCCATACTTCACTGTTCACTATTGCCCCACAACCATGTTCCACTTCTGTGTCTTCACCAGGGAAGGGCCTGGAACAAAGACATGCACCTGACTATGAAAAATTGTGGAGATGAACTGAGCAGTTATTGATTTATCTGCATATGGAGATATATATCAAACATTTCTGGAATCCTATTAGTGGCTTTAAAATAGACAGGTAGGCCAAACAAACTACAACAGCAAGAATGCTGCTATGGCTTAGATATGGTTTAAGTTTGTCCCTATCAAAATTCATGTTGAAATTTGATCTCTAGGCCAGGCAAGGTGGTTCATGCTTATAATCCCAGCACTTTGGGAGGCTAAGGTGGGCAGATCGCTTGAACCCAGGAGTTCAAGACCAGCTTGGGCAATGTAGCAAAACCTCGTCTCTACAAAAAATACAAAAAAGTTAGCGGGGTGTGGTGGCATGCGCCTGTATCTTAGCTACTTGTGGGGCTGAAGTGAGAGGATTGCCTGAGCCCCAGAGGCTGAGGCTTCAGTGAACCGTGTGCCATTGCACTCCATCCTGGGTGACAAAGTGAGACCCTGTATCAAAAAAAAAAAAAAGGAAGGAAGGGGACAGAAAGAAAGAGAGAAAGAAAGAAAGAGAAAGAAGAGAAGAGAAGAGAAGAGAAGAGAAGAGAAGAGAAGAGAAGAGAAGAGAAGAGAAGAGAAGAGAAGAGAAATTTGATCCCCAGTGTAGTGGTGCTGGGAAGCAGGGCCTAATAGGAGATGTATGGCTCATGGCAGCAAGTCCCTCTTGAATAGCTTGGTGCCATTCTTTTGGTAGTGAGTTTTCCCTCTGGTAGGACTGGATTAGTCCTCCTGGGAATGAATTAGTCCCCAAGAGAGTGCTTTGTTATAAAGGTGAGAAGCTCCTCGGGTTTTGTCTCTTCACACGTTTTTGCTTTTCCTTTGACCTCTGCCATGTTATAATGCAGCATGAAAGCCCTCTCCGTAAGCCAGGGCCATGCCCTTAAACTTCCCAGCCTACAGAATTGTGAGCTAAATAAACACCTTTTCTTTATAAATTACCCAGCCTCAGGTATTCTGTTATAGCGACCCAAAACTGACTAATACAAACGCTCAAACCAAGAAGAATCCTACAGAGAAAAGGAAACATAGTAAGTCAATGTAATTCATGCTATTTATTAATTTTACTATATATTTCATCATGACTTTCCTCAAATTTTAGTATGTCAGTTAAAATATAATGAAAACTCAAAAATAAACCTTTGGCCACTGTGCCAGATACTGTAGAATGACACACACTAAATACTACTCTAATCTCTTCCTAGTATATTTTCCAGGTTACTGGAAGGCTGAATGTGGCATTTCTCAGACTCAGATGAAGCTAAGGTTTCACATGTGACCTGGTCTCCACCAACAAAATGCACCTACATAAGACATGGAAGCCGGATATGAACATTGTAAGGCAGAATCTATAGGGCTGCTTGGCAAATAAAGTGGTTGGTTGAAGTGTATGGTTATTCTGTAGAGTTCTAATGAAGGTTCTAGTATTTAGTCTGTATCCTTATTGGTTCCATGTGGCAGATGGTAGGTGAGTGGAATTTCCACACGGCAGTCCCTTTGTGCAACTGGAAGTTTCTCTCATGTATTATCCAAGCCTGGTTTCTGGGTCCTAGAAGAAATGTTGTTAATTATTTTGTTATATAAAAACACACACACACACACACACACACACATTCTGCCTAAACTAGCAAGAGTAAATTTTGTTTCTGTAACCAGGAACCATGGCCAGTAGGTACCAGTAATGGTATGCTGCATGGTACAAGTACCACTGATTTAGCAGAAAGATTTGGGCAGTGTGTGATAGGGCTCTGTTTTTAATGTGGTAGCAAACTATTTGGTTAAGCTGCCAACTGCTTACCTTGAAAAGCAGACTTTTTGCTGACTGAGGCCATAATGTTAAGGGAAATAAAAGATAAATTCATAGTGTTTGTAGGTGGTGGTATAGTTTTGCTATTTTCAGTAAAGTCTTTTGAGTTAGGTGAACTCAGACTAGAATCAAACATTCTGAAAACAGAGGTGGAAGGAAGCAAAGATTTTCTAAGGGAGACATTCTCTGCCGATACTTGCTAACAACTGATGAAGAGTCCAGTGATATGGGCCTTGCAGTGTTGAAAAAGTCATCTACTCTGTACTTGAAATTGAAGAAGTTTTAAGCTGTGGCCATGTAACTGCTGGCTTAGCAGGAGGTAAGACTTGTGCTTTGTCATAATGCAGCAGTGATATTGTTAGCAAGAGGTGATAAATTGTATTGCCTCCCCACCTAAAGCTATTATTTCAGATGATCTCAAGGTAGACACCATTAATTTAAGGGCCAGAGGGATGGGCAGAGTACAGAGCCCAGTAAATAAAAACTGAGAATCTGCAGCCTTGAAAACCATGTCTGGGCAAGACTTTTGGCTATGGTAACCTGTACATGGAATGGAATGGAAACAAATCAAGCCTGCTAAGTGTCTGAAGAAATTAACATCCCAAAGAAATCCCCAACTTGGTTTGCAATAATCTCATTGTTAAAACTTTAAAATAATCCCTGTGCTGAAATATTTCAAAATCCAAGAGGTCTCCAAGAAGGACAACCTCCCCCGTGTCTGTCTCAGATACATTTGTTGAGGAAAACTGTCAAATGTGAAACTTCAAAGGCAGATCCAGGAACAGCAGAGGGCAAGGCACGAGGGAGAACATTCAGGAGAAAGAATCAGAGGCTACCAGGTTGGTCAATCAAGGAACTTCCTGTATTGCCAAGGAAAGGAGTCCTGGCTACTCCTGCTTAGTAGGTTTTGATAATTACTATGGAACGGTGACCAATGTGTGTTCCTCATTCTTCCTTTTCCAAATGGACAGATTTATTGCAATGATCTTGTTCCTTCTTCATGGTTGAAAATGTAAATGTGCTATGGCTGAAAGCACGCCCGTTTACCAGCCTTCAAGGGGCCTCATCGGGGCATCCTGGGAGTGCTGCATATCACCCAGAATTCTTAAGCAATAGATTTGATGCAGTAACCAGAAGACGCTTAAGTCTTGTTCCCTTGAGGGAGGCAGTGAGCCTGTTCAGTGTATGGAAACAAGGACATGCAAGTTGGTTTAGGAAACCAAAGAGGCAGACCACAGGCAAAAATGTGAATTGCGTGCTGTGGTGGTTTTAAAATCTGTTCACAAATTATTTGCTACTCCTCCCTTCAAGATGACTTTCCATTTTGAGTGTGGAATGAACTTAGGGACTCACTTCTAATTAATAGAATAAAATGGAAGTAACCATGTGTGAATTAGGAGACCGGGTCAGAAAGGACACTGTGGCTTCGCTCTCGCCCTTTCTTGGACGGCTTGCTCTAGTGGAAGTTAGCTGCCACATCATGAGGATACTCAAGCAGCCTGAGGAGAGGCCCATGTGGCAGGAATCTGAGGCCTCCTGTCAACAACCATGTGAGGGTGCCTTCTTGCAATTCGATCCTCCAGACCTAGGCAAGCCTCGCATGACCACAGGCCCTGCCAACACCCTGACTGCAGCCACATGAGAGACCTTGTGTCAGAACCATCCAGCTAGGCTGTTCCTGCATTCTTTGCCCCCAGAAACTATGAGATAATAAGTGTTTCTTGTTTTAAGCCACTAAATTTTGAAGCGATTTGCTATGCATCAATAAGGAATAACAATTGAGTGTTCCAATGACTCTACATGCTCACCAACACTTGTTTTCATCTTTTTTTTTTCTATTATAGTCATTTGCCTTGAGTGTGAAGTAGCATCACACTGTGATTTTGATTTGCACTTCCCTAATGGCTAATCCTATGGAGTAACTTTTCATGTGCTTGATGTACATCTTCTTCGGAGAAATGTCTATGCAGACACTTTGCTCATTTTAAAAACTGGGTATTTGCCTTTTTATTATTGAGTTGTAAGAGTTTTTTATATAGTCTAGATATGGGTCCCTTACCTGATATATGATTTGCAAATATTTTCTCCTATTCTATGGGTTATCTTTTCATTTTCTTGATGGTATCCATTGAAACACACAAGATTTTAAATTTGACTTCAGTACAATTTATCTATTTTTTGTTATTCATGCTTTCAGTGTCATAGCTAAGAAGGTTTTGCCTAACAGAGGTCACAAGGATTTACTGCAATATATTCTTCTAAGAGTTTAATAGTTTAGTTCTTACATTTAGGTCTACATTTCATTTTGAGTAAATTTTTGTATATGATGTGAAGGAGTCCAATTTCATTCTTCTGCATGTAGATATCATAGCACCATGTGTTGAAAAGATGATTCTTTCCACCATTGAATTGCATGCAATTGTGTGTGTGTGTGTGTGTGTGTGTGTGTTCAAATTCTTTGTGAAAAGAAAAATTACACGAGATTTTCATGTTTCTTAAACTAATCTAAAACAGATAGGTCAGTGTCTATGTCTTCTTTTGAGAGCCAAACAATTATACAAATAGTAAGCATACATCATGCTTTCTTTGTATCTTTCTTCCCTTTAGAACCCTGAATTATTTGGAAAAACAGATGTGTTCTTCACTTTTCTTTAGTTGAAGTCTATCTAAATATATCTCTAAAAATAATAGGATCATGTTTTTACTGAATTGATTCATAACATGGTCCTATGTTTGTGAAATCCCTTAAAGGAAACTTTCATATGCATTTACGACAGGACTGCCTAATGAGAGCTGCATACGCCATTTCTACATAAAAGGAAAGATTTCATGTGATATTTACTCTCAATCATTTAGACATATCAAACTGACACATTATTAAAACTGACAGGTTTTCCTTGCTTCGTTGGGACTTCTTGGTTTTTCTAACCCTGTAACTATACTAGACATTTTCTTGTTTTGAGAAGGAATGAGACGGCATCAACCACATATGCATTTCATTAAAGTATCTGCCTTTTCCTTGCACAGGTTTGGCTACTTGTACACAATCATTCTCAGACTTTTTTTAAAAAGATACAGTTTTCAAGATTCATTTTAGTGTAGAAAATGAGTGCCCTGGATTTGCCAGTCTTCCACACTCAAATCCCAATGAAACCAAAAGGGCTCCAATCTCATTAGGGAAAGCTGCACAGTAACCTGCAGAGAGGGTGTCTAAGCATCTTCAAGTCAGCTCTTTAGACCTTTCTTGGTACTCAGGGAGCTGCAGCAAATCCTTACTGCAGCTTCAGGTAGGCGACTGCCTCAAACAAAGGTCAGGGTGGTTTTTGTCATCTACAAGTAACTGGGCATAAAAGAATTAGAGAGCAAAATCCTGGACTTCTACAGCTAGGAAGATGCTTGGCAGTAACTGCATAGAAGAGATAGCTTCATACTGTAGAGAGAATTTTTTTTAAAGCTTAGTCAACCCCAAATCTATAGCGTTTTATTTCTGCCATAAAGACAGTTTACATTTACAGTCCACCACCATAGTTAATAGAGATAGAAGTAGTTGTAACTACAGCATCGTTAATGAAGACACAGTACATAAAATGCAAACTTTGCTGATTCTCTAAATTGGCGTAAAAGTCTAAACACAAGAAGGTGGTCTTTATAACCTAGCATAATTCAACACTAATAATCGGCATAAGCTTTTAGAGTTAACAAGATTTAGATTTTCCTCTTAAGAAACTTTTCTTAAACTATATTATTAAATATTTCCTACATTCTCTGGAGCTGCACTACCTGATATGGTAGTTGTTAGCCACATGTGGCTGTTGAGCCCTGGAATAAGACTAGTCCAAATGAAGATGTGCTATAAATGTAAAAGACACACTGGATTTTGAAGACTGTAAAAGATTGTAAAATATCTAATTAATAATTCTGTATGTTGTATAGACATGAAATGGTAATTTTTGATGTATTGGGTTAAAGTGCATTATTATAATTAATTTTACCTGTTCCTCTGTACTTTTGAATATAACTACCAGAAAATTTAACATTCCTTATGTGGCTCACATTTGTGGTTCACTTTATGTTTTTATTGGTCAGTGCTGCTCCAGAGGCTAAGGGACTGTGGCTAATAAGGTAACTGCAGTGGGGTTCCATTTGTCTGTGATCTATTATATTACACATATTTCTCCCTACTCAGGTGTCATAGTTCACTCCATAGTGTAAATATGGGCTCAATACTTCTCAGTGCATATTTTTGTCTTCTCATACCTCTCTACTGTTGAACAGTCTATGTCCTCTCCTGAGAACCTCTTTTCCCACTTTGCCTACATGGCTAATTCTTTTAACCTTTTAATGGCCAGCGGAAGCATTATTTTCTCTGCAAAATGTTCTCTGAACTCCCTTACATCACAGCCAGGACCCCAAGAGAAAGATACATTCTGTCCTCTGGGGTATGACAGTATGTTGGCCAATATCTACTGAATGTCTATTGTCTGCTGGGCACAGGGATGGGTAGCTGGAAGTCCCCAAATGTGAATGAGAGGGATATGGACCCTGTGCCTGTACTGCTTGCATTCTACAGTGGGATACGGACAAGCAAATACCCACTAACAAAACGGTTTTTGAAAATGCTATAGAGGAGAGATTTAGAGAACACACCAAAGGCTACAGAACCAAAGGCTAGAGAACACACCCAGACTACATCTTTGTGGCGGAGAGGTATACTGAGACTGAACTAAAGGCATGTGATCCCACAGGAACCCTGGACGTAAAACAATAATTAGGTGTTTAAGTATATAAACCCAACAGCATTGTTTTCACATCACAAATGATTCAAATGAGACTTGACTTCAAAGTACAAATTACCAAATAGGCATTCTTATATTACATATAATGCCCTAGTATCCTTGCAATGACTCTGTTAGCCAGGAAATTTAGGTATTGATTTACTTAAAAAAACAAAGAACAACAACAAACAAGTCTCCACATAATTAGCATGATTAAGTGAAAATGAATTCCACAAGAGGTGTGCAATTTACTTAACACTCATGCCACTATCAAAAGAGTTCAGGATTTCAGTGATTGGATTTTTGTGGGGTTGAGAAAACAGAATAAGAAGAAGTAGTGAGCAGCTTTGGGAAGTCACCTAACATACAGCAGTGGACTTTTTAACAACAATGTTGGAGGGCTGGAATATTCTCGGCTTGCTGGGCAATCTCCATGGTCCAAAACCTGGTTAAGAAGTAAGAGGAATGTATTTAAAAGATAGACTTGAGTAGTCCAAATATCTTTCCCAAAGTCTATGCACTAAGGTGTGTGTGCGCCCTACTCCTTGGTGAGCCCATTAGTCCCTTACCCAGAACCTATTAAGTTTACTTTAGACAGAATTGTGACAAGTGAGGCTATCTGGATTCCCAGTCCGCACTAGACTGGAAGTTACCCATCAGAAGATGAGGAGAATGTTAGTGGCAGCTATGCTAGTAACAGTAAGGACAATAGATTGTCAGTTAGTGAAGGGGGAGAGAGAGAAATTACAAAAGGCAGAGATAATCACTAAGTCATAGCATCCTAGAGTCCTTCGGTGCAGCGACTGATAGCTTTTGTACCTCCTGGGAGCATTCCTAACACCTAGAAAGAATATAGAATAGGAACTGGATATATTTACTGAATCCGCTACAACCTACTACAATAATTACTTTTAATAAAATTAACATTGAATTATCAAGAAAATGCTAAATGACGTTCAACAAACTGCTTAAGAGAAACATTTGCAATACATTGTAGAAAAATCTGTATAATGGTTAAAAATAATTTTCATAAAAAAAGTTTGACCCCCCACTAAGGGCCAAGCTCCAATTATGCTGGTCATCATTGAATTGAAACGGTTTGCTTTGTATCAATTCTGAATAAATGATGCACTAAAAAACAGCAGACTTTATTTTGCCTAGAGCAGATTTTGAATTGTGGTATATGCAAATAATATGGTATTATATTATATGAGGTTTAACTATATAAAATGGCAACAGATTGCATAGTTCAATCACTAGGGTGATGAAAAATAATTGTTTTAAAATGTGCCATTGCCACTAAGGAAAACATTGGCACTATGTGCCCGGCACTGTGCTGGGTGCTGAATTTATTAAGCATTAATTTGAAAAATTGCTTTCACTTTCAAGACTGTGACAGTATTCTAAAACTCTCATTCATATTGTTTAAAGGTTAAGTGAAATTTGCAATACACAATACAGCCATTACATAACAGGCACAGAATACAGTTTCATGACTTGGATAGTTTTTGTTTTTTAAGCGCATTAGCAACTTCATTTCCAAATGCTATCAAATTCTTCAGGATATGAAAACCTACATATAAGAATGGAGTGCCTCATCGGCTCATTTGTCTTATGTAATAAGTGTTTTAACACGGGCATGCCGTTTCAGAATTTCGGGTGAGACTAAGCTGTACTTTAGCTTTTTTGTGTCAAGCAAAAACAATTTCAGCAACAACACTCGCTTCCCCTGGTAATTTTTTTCATGGCGAATTACTAAATGCTAGATGCTCAAGTCAAAAAGAAACCTGACATCTGGGGAGGTGTTGAGGGGGTGTTAATAGTTCTAGTGAGATGTCTGGGGAGCGTTGAGGATACGATTTTTCAAACAGCAAATACAAGGATAAGGGGAAATTATGGTTTCGTATGACTCTCTCCTCCTTCCACTTTCTCGTTTCACCAATCTGTGGCCCCCCCAATTTAGAGGCGGGTTCAGTGAGATTAGGCTGCAGGAAACCGAGAGGCTCCACCGCGCTGCCGCCCCGGCCTCGTGATGTAATTGTTATTTCTTATTCGGAGACCGAACCGAGGAGAGCTGCTGAAGAAGTAGCAGCCCTGCTCCTTTTCCCTTGTCTTGTTGGGTCAGATCCTTCCCGGGGATGATGCAGATTGGCTGACAGACTCCGCTGGAGACTTCGCAGTGACAAAGCAGCCGAGGATTAACCCTGCTCCTGGGTCCTACGTCTGTCCAGGGAGCTGAGCGGGGCGCTCCTCAGGTCTCCTTCCTAGTTTTCCTCCCAGAGTCGCTCCACACGAGTGCTGGGCGCCTACTACGTGCTGGGCGTGGGGTCAAAGTGACCCAGAGTTCGCGCCCGTGCCCCCCAACATTAAAGCAGGACACACAGATTACAAGGAGATAGAAATTGGGGGTGGGTGGGTGAAAGGGGGCCCAGAGAGCGCGTGTTGTGGGGTGAAGGGGAGGAGGTAGACGCTTAAGGCAGGCGGGGACCCTGGAGCGTCTGGGGCGCCCCGGCCCCCAGGCTGTGCCCAAACGGGAGCATTCGGCCTGGGTCCCAAGAGCGCTTTCCCCGGTCCCCAGGAGGAGCTGTCCAGGCGCCTGCAGCGGTCGCGGGCGGCTGGACAGAGCTGGGAGCCCGGGGGACGGCCCGGGCGCGCCGTGCAGCCCCTCTCTCGGGGACGCGGTCCTCTCGCTGCCTCCGGGTCTTGCAGCCCCGTCTGGGACACCCGGAGAGCAGGCGAGAAGGAAATCCACGAAACAGAGGGGGTTCCGCAGCTCCTGTGAGCCGCCCGGATCCGCGCGGCTTCCTCCTGACCGGGTGACAATGGGAGGGAGGGGGAGAAAAGGGTTAAGAAACTTGGCTGAAGAGCTGAATGGCGTGGGGCGGCGAGGGGAGGGACTGGGCCGCGGCGGACTCGGCGGCGGAGGGAGGAGCGCGGCTGCGGGCGGGCGGTGAGCGAGGCGCTCAAAGTCAGCCTCGCAGACATTGCAGCAGAGCCCCGAACTCGGGAGGCGGCGGCGGAGGAGGCGGCGGCGAGGCGCAGGGACGACCCGGCCCCACGCCCGCCCGCCACCCGCGCGCGCCCGTCCGCCCGTGGCCTCGCGTCCGCCGCTGCGCCGTGAGCGCCGCTGGTCGGAGGGAAGAGCTCGCCGGGGCGCCGGGCCAGGACGGGGCGGCAGGCGCCTTCGCGGACCGAGCCTGACGGAGCCGGAGGCTGGGAGCCGCGGCGGCCTGGGGTGAGTGACGGCCGCGGCCAGGGCGCCAGGAGTAGCGGCCGCCGGCGCCGCCGGAAACGGCCCGGGAGCGCGGCCCGCGTCGGCTCTCGCTTGGCTGGCAGGGCCGCGGGGGCGTCGGGGCGGCGGGGAGGGCGCGTTTCCGGGGAAATCCTGCCTCTGCTGCCTGGTTCGAGTCTCCGGGTTCTCGCGGGGGGCCGGGGCGGCGGGCCGGCAAGTTGTGGAGTGGCCCCGGGTCGGCCCGCCCGTCCGTGCCAGTTCTGGGCAAGGGGGCGGCCGTCGCGTGGCCCCTGAGCGGGGCCGGACTCGGGGGGCCGGGTCGGGGTTGCCCCCGCTCGCTTGCCCTCTCGGTCCCGAACCCCGGGCACCGCTCGCCTCGCCGCTCTCCGTCCTGCTGTCCAGCCGGATCCTGGGCGGCGCCTTTCGCCTGGGTGCCTCCCTGCTCCTTGCTCGCTGGATACCCGGCTGGGAAAGTGAATAGGAAAAGGGACAGCTCGCCCGGCCCCCACCCGACCCCGGGCCGCTCTGCCCGCACTCGCGGTCCCCTCCCGATGGCGAGGCTCACGGACCCGAGGCCTCAGCCATCATTTTACCAGGAGCCAGGGGCCGGCCCCCATTTAGGGTGAGCCCGGTGGAAGTCCGGGAGGCTGCCTTTTCTCCCTTCTTCTGTGTCCACCTTATTACGATTGAATATTGTTTTATGAAGGTTTCCGTGGATGTATTCTGCAGACCCTCCCATCCCTTCCAAAGTAGTTTCCCAATTTTGATCAGGAGTTGGTGTTCAGTCAGAAGGAACAAAGGAACCAACTGTGTCTTAGAGGCGGACAGGCTGGGAGTCTGTGACACATGTTGATCTCTGAAGCATTCCAGGAGTTTCTACCTTTTATCACGTCAATAATTGGCTGCTGAAGGTAGTAAAAGAAGTACGGAATGATAAGCACTTTTGCGTTTTAAAAATATTTTTTAATGGCACATTTTACTTTGGGGAAAAAAGACGTTCTTAGGCACAAGGATTTTTAAAAACCCAGTTGGTGGAACTGAGTTGGAGTTTGTTTCTGGTATTGTAAATGATTACATGTGGGATTGTGAAGGAAATTGTGTCCTTAGAGGAAGAGAAGCCATCTGTAGGTGTCCATAGTAAAAATGGTTGTCGGGTTATATGTGATGAATGCTCTTTCTGTTTCTTGGGGGAATTTGTGAAGCAAGGGGCTTCGGTAATTCATTCTTTAAAGTTATGAATTGCATTGAACCTGCTTATTAGTGAATCATAGGTTTAGTAAGTGGGTGGCATTATTCAGTGTTTAATCATCAGTTTTCCACCTTTGTTGAAGAGACAGTGAAATAATAGACTTTTTAAACAAATGGTGTTTCATCTGCCTGGCCCCTAAGTGTCGGTTGCCGCCTGGAGTATGTTGAAGTGTTTTTCACCTTCCAAGTAAGTGAGTTGCTCTGGTTTTGCCCGGCAGTTCGGTAACGTCGATAGGGTTTATTTGGTTCAGGGAGCACTGGCTTCATCACCTACAGTAACTTTTTTTCTGCCTGGGCATAGTTCCTAGAGACAAAGAAGGAGAATCAATTAGTGGAGCGGCTACTGCCCTGCAGGTTGTAGGATTGGTTGTTCTAGTCTGTTTCATACTCTGGTGGAGAAAGACCTCTTTCCAAACTTACCTTTAAAAGTGCCCTAGGAGTGTGAGTAAAATATACATCAGAACATAACAGAAAAAAAAAAGGACTGTTCGTTGTTGATTTTATTCAAATGAGTTAGTTGAAAAACCAGGTTTAATGCCTGTGGGAAGTTAGTTGAAAACCAGGTTTAATGCCTCTTTTACATGCATTTCTAAACTCTGCAGAACTTGGATTTTGCTAATTTTAACACCCTAAAATATTGTTAACTTTGCACTAAAGAAGTGTGTGAAGAGACTAAAGGCTTTTCTGACTCTTGCAGTTATAAGTGCAAAACATCATGATAAAAAATAACCTATACCACCACCTAGAGTCTGTTTGTTAGTTTATTGCTCATGAAGTTTGCTTAAATTGACATGTCTGTTACAGTTCTGATATAGTCGAAAATGATTAAGAAGTACTAGCTTTCAAAAGCCCGTCCAAGAGAACAATTATTTAAGTAATAAATAGCAAGTGCCACTTTAAATTATCCGTGCCACCTTTAGAATTGAAAATTATGACATATCAAGTTGAGTGGGCTATTCTCCAAAAGATGTTAATTCAGAAGATTTTAAAACGGAGTTTTCAGTTTGTGCGCCAAGGCAGTTCTGATTGCTTAAAGACTTCTGCGTTGTTATCAGAGATTCAAGAAATCTTCCCAATCAGATGCCATTAGAACTTTTTGAAGTCCAGATGAAACAAAAGCAAAAATACAGGAGAGCATTACAACTACAGAAATTCTGGAAATTCAGAAGTTAAGAGAGAACGCAGCCCATGACAGAGTTGTGATTCAGAGATATGAAGAGTAAAATCAATGTGAATTAAAGTGATAATCTGTTTTGCTGGTAGTTTATATGTGGTAAAGCAGTCTATTAAATGAGAGACCTTAGGGAGGCAGCTTTGTTGCCATGTGGCTTATCACATTGTCCATGGAGGAAGTAATGTTCCTCCTTTAAGTGGTGTAGCCTGAGAGAAAGATGGCCTCCAAGATCTTTAATTAAATACCAGTTGAACAGAAAGAACTAGAGCACTGTATTAATTCTGTCAAACATCACTATTTTAGAACATTGAGGACAACTAAAAATGAATTAACGCATATCTGAAAGCAGAGTTTGATAGAAGGTGACAGATGAGGCAAAATATGCCAATCTAATGGAACAAATAAGATAAGGAGATATGCCATCCTTGACTCTAGAAAGATCAGAGGGAAGAAGATTATTGTTAATTGCACAGATTCTATTGCAGACCAATGCTAGAAGACAATGACATAGAAGTAATTTTAAATCAGAGTGGCTTAGGATATATGAGGTTAAAGGAATTTGGCTTTTAATTTTAAAACGTAAAGAATGTAAGAAACTCAAAAGCTCATGTTCTAACTGTTGTTTGGGAAAAGCAGTAATAGTTTGGTGTATCAGGTTAAAAGATAATTTTGCTCAGAATGAGTTTAAAATACCGAATTTTTGTCAAGGAAAACATTATTCACTTTAAATTGTGCTAGGGTCAGTTTTGCTTTTCGCATTTGAGATTGCTTGATACAATTAGTTTTTAATGTAGGTTAGTAAGAGGAAATGGTAGTCCCTTCCCTACCATTTCCCTCCCTCCCTTGCTCTCTTCCCCTTTTCTAAAATAAACACTGTCTAGATCTTTGGATATTTTCTTCCATGAAAAACTGCCTTAGTTGCAGCGTTCCTTCTTGGCTGTGGGTGGGGAGAAGTTTCTTCACTCTTGTACTTTTCCCTTCTGCCCCTTCAGGTGATTGATACACAATCAGAGTGGGTTTTGTTCTGTGTGTTTGTTTAATAACGATTTACTGTTACACGGATGAAGACTGGGAAAAAGCATTTGCCGTTCTAGCAAAGTCCTGTATACCCATGTCTTCCAACTGGAGAAATATTTTCATTAAAATAATCTTGACTACTGTTGAAAAGTCAAAGAAAATTTTCAACAAGATATGCTAGGGTCTTGCAGGATATGAGTTTGAATCTGTGAACTAAAAAGGTTCAAGTTGCATTTCCTTAAGTTGTAGTTTTTTCAGGGACTTTTGGGGGAGGGGGAATGAGCAGGCTCATCCTGTAGTATTTAGATAACACAACAATTAGAGAAATGTAACACCACTATGGCCACTAAGACTTGAGAAGGTAAAAACCAGGAGTGTCAGATGGTGAAACAGGCCATTGGAATGGAACTGAAGATTATGTCGAGAGGTTGGAATGAACAAAAAGTAAATGGAGGAGAGAGATCTAGTTTCTGTATCCTGTTTGCATCTGATGCTGAAGCAGAGACATGAATTGCTGATGGTAATGGATTCTATTCTCTTTTAGGAGGCCAGCAATATTATATAAATAGTGGTTGTTTGAGGGAGAGAAACGACAAGTTCCCCTTTTGTGCATGTTCACACTTTGTTTTGAATGTCTCTGAGATATCTTTAAAGTAGAGGATCAAAATTGGGTACCAGCATGGAATCAGGAGTTATACTTTGGAGGAAAATGAATTAATATTAGATCACATTTTCTTTAATCTTTTAAGATCTGGAATTTTACAAGGGTCTTCATCAACAGGGAAAACCGTGTTCTGAGTGCTAAAGTTTGGGTGGTGAACTGGATAATTCTTTTATAGGATCTCTGATAAAGATAAACATGTAAATAACTGCAGAAATAATGCTTTATTTAAGCACATTACCTATGATTCATGGTAGGGGGAAAATAGAGACCACAGAAACTCCTGAAGTCTTATCAGGGTTTCTTTGCAAACTATTATATGGATGCCCATCTGTTGTTTTTTCTTGAAATTTAGTGTTCAGGTTGATGGATACTGAATGTATAGGATTCTGAAGGTTGGAGTTTATTTAAAACAGAACTTTCCTTTTGTTTTACTACGAGTTATGAAATGCAGTTTTAATTTGTTGCAATAAATATAGAAACTGAGATGAGTAGGAATTTATACTAACTTTTCTCACTGTTATGGTACATACTCTATATCATGAACCTTGAAATTCAAATTGATCCCTACACTATCTTGCAAATATTACAAATGAAGAATTACAAAAGTTGTGGTATTTTAGCTTATCAAAATGCACCCGAAACATAAAATATTTTTCTTTAAGTTCTTAAATCAGAAGAATAGGAAAGAGTTGAAAATAAATGTGATACATTTTATCATTATATTAGTATTTTGTTGAAATTAATACCTTGAATCATGCTATGGATAAACATTTAGCCTAGAACTCTAAAAGTAGTATAATGTGAATCAGATTTAAAGAATTGAGAAGGCTGGCAATTCAAAAATAGAGGAAGAAAACACTCTTTGGGGTTATGAAAAAAAGGATCCTCTTAGTATTAAGATTTCTTAAAAAGCTATACACAGTTTTAAGATAGATTGTTCTTGAAGATAATGGGGCAAATAATTACCTGCTAAACAAATTATGAGTCCTGTGATTCTTTTTTTGGTTGAAATAATTTCAAGAACTCCAGCATATGTTGCAGTTTTGGCTAGAAAGGTGATTGTGACATACATCCATTCATCCATTCTCCCTCTCTCCTTCCCTCCTTCCCTCCCTTCCTTCTTTCCACTTTCAATACATAGGGCTGGGGTAGCAAAAAAAAATAATAATAGTAAACAGTTTTGTAAAACTTGATAATAGAATTATCTGACAGGGTTAATAGTTGTGTTTGAAATTCAGAGCTAGTATGGTTCACTCTCCCCAGAAAATAAAATTTTAATTTCTTACACCTCAGGGAATAAAAACTCTAAATTAAAACCCATCTTGCCTCTTTAACTTTGTGTCACTTAGCAAAAATATCTTTAAGGATGGAAAGAAGAGACCCCATGTGTCTTAAATTCCAAGTCACTGTGTGACTAAGCTCGGAGTTCCAATAAATATTAAACTAGAATTCTGCTGGGAATTTGAGTCATCCGCTTAAGCTACTCCTGGGACCAAGACAACTCTGGTTGACCTGATGTTGATGTTTATTCAGAGCTTTGGTGGAAAGGAGCCTCTCACCCTTGGACTTCTAATTAACAAAGTCATTCCTTAGTCACTTGTTAAGTGATAGAGCTACTCCTTGTTTTCAGGCCTGTAATTTGCTAAAGGATTGAGCACAACAGAGAAACTAAGGAGTTTGGAGCTTCTGCTGTTTAGAGTCTGCTTTCATTATTTTACTTTTACTTTCTTATCTAGCTATGTGAGGGTACTATGTAAAAGTCTGGTGATTTGCTTTAGATACTTAAGAGAAAAGCTTAGCTGTAGTCACATATAGTGTCTAAGATGGCTTTCCTTATAGTTACATGTTTTTAATAGTTGAGTTTGCCTATACTCTTCATAACATGTGCACATGTTAAATATGTTACTGCTTTAAAAAAGCATTTCATTAGTAAGATGGGGAATCGTTTATGTACAATATTGAAATGAGAGTAGTAGTATAATGGTGTGTTTGGTAACTAACAGGACACAATCAAAATTTGAGAATTAGAAGTTCAGAATGAAAAAAGGACTTCTCTCTTGAGGAATCTATCTAGAAGTTGAGAGATAGCAAGTGTTTAACAGAGTGTAATGATTTCTGAGAAGCATGCTTTTAAAGATTTTTTTTAAATTCCTGAATTTATGAGTTTATATTATAATAATCTATAATAGAGCAATAGATTTATACACTGGAAAAGAAACAAATTAAGGGAAGGAGAGAATACACAATGACATGGAGGACATCAAGAAAATATGTTTGGAAACATGTGAAACTCTCCAAATGGGAAATAAATATTCTTGAGAGAAATTAATCACAGTTGCAGTTTTTCTCCTAAAGGGACTGTTTGCACAATGGGTTATGTAGGCTCAGGTTTGATTTTTGAAAAACATGTTAAAAAATAGTATTCCTGTTATTCCACGTTTATTTTTCGAGTTTAGGTTCTGCTACTAAATCAAGATGATACAGATAAAAGGAAAGCCCTTTTATCTCCCCCGGCAGCATCTGTTGAATAAGGGGGTTATATTTGATTTCTAAATTCTAAAATTCTGACTGTACAGCAGTATATGCCGTTGTTGACAGTAAACAGTAAAGATTTCAAGCCTGTGGTTTTAAAAGAAGAAGAGATGATTGGGTAGAAACTTGGAATATTAAGAAGTTGTTTAGTTACTTGGCTGTTGCCTTTTCCTGTTTTGTTGGGAGGGGGAGCAGGGAAAGGAAGAGTATTGAACTTTTTGGGGCAACCGTTTTGTGCCAGACATTGTGCTGGAAGCTTTACACACATTTTGTCTTTTAATCCTTCCAGTTCCCCTGTGACATGTAGGTATCATTTTCTCTAGTTTAGAGATAAGGAAACCTAGTCTGAAAAATGCAAGAATAGTTAACTTGCCTGTGGTCACATGGCAAATTTCATTGATAATTTGATTTTCTTAAAGAATATGCCATTGTTTGAAGAAAAAACCAGTTGCCATCTGACATTCAGGAAGCCGTTAAAAAACCTTGCTCCCAACCTGGTAGCCATAAAACTCATGCAGCATTTGCAAGCCTCATAGCCTGGATTCTCCAAGACCAGGCTCTCTGGGAAGGCACATTGTTGCCAGTCGATGATTCTGCAGCAGCTTATGCTAGTTCTCAAAGCGCTGATGTCCTGCTACCTGCATTGCGCTGGAGGGAAATGTAGTCACCAAGGGCTGCCGCACAGGCTCTTTTCCCTCCAGTGCTAACTCTTCTGAAGTGTATCACAGAATTACTGCGGTGTTATTTGAGGCAGTGAAAGCAACTATGTTTCTTTATATAATTCATTGAAATAGCTTGTCATGGTCTTAAACTGAGTGTTCCCAAGGCTAGTTATGTTTGTCCACTTCAAGGAGCAGTTGTAGCAAATTCAGAACCATAGCTCTTCCTGGTTGAAAAGTTACAACTCTTGACTATTAACAGTTCTTAACATGATTTTTTTTTTAATTACCCTATCTTCACTCACAACAATTTTGTTAAAGACTATCCTGTGCTGATAAACTGCTCTCTGAAATGCAAAGAGGAAATTAACAATGTATTTGTGAATTGGAAGGAAGTGGAAGCAGAGAGATGAGGAGTAGTTGACTTTATTTTGAGGGTAGACTGTGTCAGGAGGGAGATTGTTGAGTGGGGGAGCTTTGTGGCACATAGTACATTTTTAAGTACATACCAGGTACGTTCTTTTATTGTTAAAGCCATAAGAAATGGAGTTATGAGCTTCTCCACCTCCTTTTACTTGCCTCATTTAAAATTTATGGAATTTTTGAACCTAAAAGATTCAAGCTGAGTGGTTCCCTATACACTGAAAGGTATAGTCAAATTGAAACTATATTGGAGACACAAAGATGAATAATAAGACGTGTAAACATAATATTTTCTAGGGTGCTTTGGATTTTGAGTTGCCAAATCATGTTGGAAAAGCAAGAGATTTGTATAAAAGCTGCAAAGGAAACATCTGTGTTTTGTTTAGAGAATACGTTATATTTTGGCCAAATAAGAAAAAAGAGAAATTGTCAAAGTGAACAATATGGGGGGAAGAATGTCTTCCTAAAGATCAGAATGAACTTATATTATTTCCTTAACTGATCCATGCTTTTTAAAAAAAAATGAATTAAAATACACTGAATCTATGTGAAGCCAAATATAAGGATTGAAAACAGTCTTTTTTAAATTTACCATCTGATTCCTTTCCAATATCTGGATGTTTGCTATTATTGTGGCAAGACCCATTGTTAACTGTATTGCTAAAAATCTACTTTTATCTATCCTGGTAATACTTGACTGACCTGAGTCAAAGTCACATTTTCTTTTTTTTTTTTTTTTAACTTTGAATTTCTTTTGCTTGGGCTTTCACAAATTGAAGTTATTTCATAGAATCGTTAGATTTTTCAGGTTGGAAGAGAATTTGATAAAAGCTACGGCTGCTCTGGATTTAAGCACACCTATCTTAGAGGCACCTTGTCCTCCCCCCATTTATCAAACAAGTTAGTTTTTAGATGCATCTTTTGTATGGAAGAGCACACAGTTAGTGTAGACTATAAATAAAATAATGATAAAATGCTACCATTTAGTGCTTATGTGCCATTTTCTTTCCTTTTGGGTTTCCTTCTTTATTTCTGTTTTGTCTTTACTCTGTTTTCCTTTTTATTTCTTAATATCTCATTCATCTTTTTTTTTAATTGCCAGGGGATCCATGTGATACAATGGGGTCAATAATTACTTATCTTCCTGTAGTTTTTGTTATTGCTGTTAAGTTAAAATGCCCAAAACAGTTACTATCTGCATTTTACGGAGGAAGAAATTGAGTCCTTAAGAATTTAAAGACGTTTTGAAAGTCATTCAGCTAGCAGTTGGGTAGACCTAGGATGGTCAGTCAAATCTTGATTTATTTCACACTTTTTTGTTTATTTTTGTCAAAGCAGTCTCAGAAAGAGGGGTTTGTGTACCAGGTGTTAAGGAATAGTTAATAACCTTTGGTGATGGATCCCGCAGTAAAATCCAAGCTAACCCCACAAAGGGATCTATAATAATAAGAACTGGGTCTTGAGACATGAAACGAGAATTGGCTGGCTGCATCACTTTTGTTCTAGTACCTTATTTTCTTCTCATGGTCTTCATAAAAGTCTTAGGATTTGTTGAATATTCTAGTACTTGAAATGTAATTTCCAGGCTGAGAATTTAAAAAAAGAATAGTACAGTTATGTACATGTTCATGCAGTGGCATTGTTTTACATGTTACGTACATTTGGAATTTTATTTAAAAAGAAGTAGGGAGACTTGCTATTTATTTGCAGACAAAGAGAGCCAGATACCTTTAGTTGACCAGAACACTCACAGGCCAGCTCTACTTTTTACTGATGAGTAGTATTCCAACACCATTAATGTAGGTGGTTGGGTCTGTTGGTTCAACTGGAAACATATCTCAAAGTTTATGGACCCCATTCCTCTATTCTCTTGAGAAAGGTAACAAATAAGATGAGGGGGCACTGTGTGGACCAGTGGTGATAATGTGCCATGAACCAAGTGCACGTTGGTCTACACCCCTAGAAAAGAGAGCAAGAGAGAAGAAACCTATGTGTAGACCTTTTCATGGACCACACACTGGCCACGTTCCTGATGTTGGTGAAACAAATTGGAAAGGAATATTCTCCCTCATGGGACAGTGGGCAAGGGAGTTTGTAGGCTTACTTCTGTCCCCAAGCCTCTAACAAGATCAGATTTTCTTTCACAGTTTTGTGTACGCCCTGATTGTAAAAGTTAAACTTGTGTTATAGCTGTTTTCCTTGGTAGAACTCCATGAATAGGAGCTTATTCATCAGTGTACTGTTGGTCCTGTAAGTGTCTGGCACACAGAAGGATGTCTATAAGCATTTGTTAAATTGAACTGTACCAGTCCCAACCACTGGCAAAATTTGGCACAGCAGTAGAACCTTTATGTATTTATGCATAGCAGTTGTTAATTATTATGTGTAACTTATGAATAATGGAAGCTCTTCCACGTTTTTTCTTTAGTCTGTTTAAATTAGGACTTTTAAAAGGAACAATATTTTTTCCTTAAAATGTATCTTCTTCTTTCCAGGCATACTAATTATGAGGGAAAAAGTGAAACTGACTGTTATTGACATTATAATTAATTGGTACTTGAAATAATTTGTTTTGTAATATTACATTTCTTCAGTAATACGCAAATTATATTAGAAAACGTTTAGCAAAATCTTTGGGGGCAACATTTTTTTTGTAAGGAAATGAATACAAATATTTCTGGAGCCTACTAGGCAGTTTCCTTAGCATCACTTCCTGTAGTCAAAGGGACCCGCCAGCTGGGCACACTTAACTGCCTTGGATTTGACGGCTTGGTAAGGTGGAAATCTTAACATTTCACATCCAGAGTTCATTTTGGTGTGCAGTAACCTTAAAAGTTAAGAGGGTATCAAGAACAGTTGATGATTCAGAACTTGGTAAGTTATGGGATTAAGTAGTATATGAAGCCCATCTATGTTTTAAAAATTAGGATTTGCTCTTCACTGAAGGTGAATTTCCTGACTCTTTTCTAAGAGTCATATTCAACTACATTAATAACTGCTGGTAAGAGACAGAAAATAAAATTATTTTGAAATGGAGCTCAGAGATTTCTAGACGAGAAATTTATTTTAAAATGCTAATAGAAAATAAATTATATGGATATATATTTATAACACTGATTTTTAACAGATGCTCTTAAAATAACTTTAACCTAGTTTCTTGCTTTGTGAAGACAAAGTTGTTTGTTGTTTCTTTTTTGTTTAACAAAGGTAACTTCATGAGTATTTGACAGTATATTTCTTTTGGCTCATATTTCTGTGTATTCACCTGCTTGTAAATCATAGCAAAAAGGAACAAGCTAATGGACTAATATATGAAGTAAAAGGGCAGAAAAATGAGCACATTTACTATTTATGCACTGTGTTCTACTGTGTGCTTTCCTCCAGTGCTTACTTATCCTGAATTCCTGAACAATTTTTTCCCTCATTGTTCATTAGTGTCAGTCGGTATGTTATAGAAATGTGTGAATTTCTATAAATTAGTTGTGAGTGTGAATTTCCCACTGTTGGATTCCTCAGCAGACACCCAAACTTAATTTTTATTTCATGAACTAAAAGTTGTAGCTAAGGCATGACATCTGATCAAAATTAACACTATTATCCTTTGCAATGAAAAGGGTGAATAAAACTAAAGTTCCTGGTAGTTGCCCCTGATACAAGTGTTTGCTTAGCTTTGACCATACATCTATCTATTTATTTTACATTTTACACATCCATGGGTATTCCTCCCGATAATGCCAAGGAATGCTTTCCTTTGCAGGCATCATTCTAACAACACAAACACATTCACTGTGAATTTTAAACTCTCGTTCTCTTTTTTCCTCCTTTAATAAATTATCTCATTGAGATTATTCATTGTTTTGGCAGTACTCTAAACGATCTTGCTTTTGCAAAATCATTGTATATTCTGTTTAATGGCATGTTACTTTAAAACTGTAAAGTTTAGGGTTGCTAAAGGCAAAAGCTGACAATATTTGTTAATATTGAGAATAGGTAAAAATGGGCCTTTGGGCAGTCAACAAAAGTAAAATTAAAATCTGACTTTAAATCTTTTGAAAATCTAAAATTAATATGGATTTCTTTATACCAATCAGAAATTCAAATTTTGTTTTATGTTACTGATCTTTAAGTTGTTTATGTGTCACAGTGAGAGTGGTAGGAACCTTTTTTTTAATTGTATGAAGTAAATGGAAGGAAAAATAACAGTATACATCACTGTGGTAAAACTATCTTTAATGATAGCATGTTACTTTGGACTACGTTTTGTTTTATTTTACAGTGAATTAGGAAGTGTTTTTCATTGTGTTTTTTGGAATTCTGGTAAATGTGAGCAGCAATTCATATGCATATAGGTGTAAAAAAGACGTATTTGAAAAGATATGCTGCGTGAATTTGTCCAGTGAGGATAAGTAGCAAGTTGTAATTACCTTCTGTAGTTTAAGTCATTGGCTGTATTGAATACTTCAGTGAAGTATCGCGGGGGAAAACTGTGGTTGTACATACTACCTTGTGAGTGTTGCAGGATTTAGTAGTTCTCAATGACCATTGTTACTTTTAAAAAGGAAAAAAAGTAGTGAGGGGATAGGATAGGAAGTTTTGATGTGTGGGAGGGGAAAGGAATCATTACTTCTCAGCTGCTGAAGTCGCAGTTTATTTTGTTTTAGGCCTCTTTGCATAGCATATTCTAGAGGATGGCGAAGGATAATACTTCGGGGTGAAAATGTTAGTATCCTTAACATACTTCCGGGTGGTTTAACTATTAATCAGAAGCACCATGGAGATTAAAGAATTGGAGCTAGGGATTAGATAGGTTTTAGTGAGGCTTTGCCACGGAAAAGCTATGAAATGGGTGAGTCATTCAACATCTCCTTGCTTCAGTATCAGCGTTACTTCGAAAGTGAGGTTTTACTTTCAAATGTATTGAGTATCAGGGTGAATAGAACTTAGGGCTGAGAGGATGTCCCTTATGATTTTTTGAGCTTGGCATTTAATATTTTACAGCAAAGTTTTTAGCTTAACATAATTGAACTTGTACTAGATAGGGTTAATAGGCTAGAACAAAAGGTCAAAGCATAAGGCATTAGGCTTAATTAAGGGAGAGCAGGAGTGGCAGGAGTGTGTGACAGTTAAATGGGTTTCCCACAGACTAATGTCGGTTACAGTGCAACCATGCCTCAACTTAAGTGGGTTATTTTGTGCAAAGGGCAGCAGTGATTAGCAGTTTGACATGCCAGACACTTCTGGCCAATCCCATCTGTTTTAGAGGTTAAAAAAGCACACCTTTATGAGCTGATGGATTGATTTGTGTGCCCGTCTGGTAAAGATTAGAAGTCCAAGGCCAATGCAGTAAATGTCAGTTATAGAGTATTATACTTTCTTGGTTGGCTCATTGTTTTAACCGTCAACTGTTTTATAATGGGGGATAAGTGCTGTTTATGGTGTTGAATGCAAGATAGGTGGGGGAACAGGTGAGGGAGGAAGAAAAATATTTCCTAGATGGACTTGTGAATCAAAATATTCTGTAGCAGGTGTTCACATTTTAAATGGAGTGTTTTTGACCTGTTCCTTACAGTTTCAGTCACATTGTTCTTTTCTGAGTGTTATCTGAGCAACACTGCCAGTCCAGGATTTAATTTTGCATACAGAATTGGTAGGTTTGTTTATTTAGGTACCTCTTTTTAAAGGTGTAATAATTTTTTATTGACCACCTGAACAAGGGAAAATAAAATGAAAATGACACACACACGCGCACACACACACAGAGTTCTGTGTTCTTTTATGTGGTCAGTCAGGTGCATGTGAAAAGGAGACCCAGGAGGGGCTCAGGAAAACAAAGTTTATTATACTCATGAGTTCTCGGAGGCACAGCATGCCATTCAGGGCCACATGAGAAAGCCCCAGTGTTGGTCTAGGGGCCAAAGGGGCAGGAGCTAGAAGAGAGACCGGGCTGCAGCCGTTTCTGGAGTATCTGTGGGAAAGGCAAGGCAGGGCGGGTAACCAAGTTTAGGATTCGCTAGTTTGCATTAGCTGTAGGTAAATGCTACTGCTACTACTACTAATAAGCTATAGGTGTGTAATAATAGTAGCTTTGAATAAGTTATAGGTATACAGGCTCTAAACTGTAAGAGTGATCCCTAGTTTGCCTGGTAGATACCAGGCAGGGGAATATTGCCTCCTGGGTGTATGGGTCAGGTAGAGGAGGTATCGCTGTGGATTGTTTAGTTTGCATGTGAAAGGCACGCTGAGTCCTTTGCCTTCTCTAAGCGTTGGCTGGCCCCTAGAGGGGCAATCTCTTCCCAGCCAGAAAGGAGTCAAAACCATCATAATATACAGAAAATAAGAAACATAAACAATACACACATATGTACTTGCTTTAAGGGTAGGATTTACTGTGGTCACGTGAGTTTGAAGTGTGTTTGAACTTAGACTCTAACCTATTTCTTTCTTCATTGAAAGTTGTTAAGTGCGATGCCATTAGTATAGTTCATTTTCAGTTCTGGATTGTAGCTCATTTAAAGATACACAAATACTACGTTTTGGTTATAGAAATTGGCTCCAACATATTCTGAAATTCAAGGAAAGGGAAGATCCCAATATTATGTGTATGAAATCTTCAGACATTGTCCTCATAATCAGTGAACTTAGTAACATAAAGCATTGATTGATTCTTTTGGGATAGGCAGAGAGAGAATGTTTGAGAAAAACAAAAGTTATCTTAACAGATTATATTCTTCCTGAGGTTTGAGTTTAAGTAGAAATGTAGCCAAGAACATTGGAAACACATTGGAAGGTTCTGATTGGTCTCAATAGCTTATCCTTGTCAAAGAATAGGAACCAAATATTGCCTGTTACCTAGTTACACACATATATTTCATGTCTGACTCTGAATTGTTTCTTATAGAAAGAAAATTAAAATACCAAGATGTGGTCACTGAAAGTTATATGTAGATAACAATAGGAATTAGTATTTTATTATGTATATGTATGCATTTATTTTAAAACTAAGCTAATCCAAAGTGAATTGGCTTAACTTATAAGAAGACATTGAGAAATTTTATTTCTCATTTACAAAGGACAAAGTGACATCATGTATTGAAGTTTTTTAGGAATATATTAATTAAATATATGTCCATCTGTGTGTTCTTTGTGGAGTAGCATCTCTTGAAATGATTTGGATCTAATATAGATTTACGTAAGAAAAGTTTTGCCCTTCTCTATAGGGAGAGAAAATGAAGAAGCATGAATTTTATAATATCATAGCTTTTTTTTCATTAAATCATTTGTAAGTTGCAAAAGATTGGCTTGAGTAGTGTAAAAGTGCTTGGATAGTAAATTAAATGTGAGAGATTTACCTAATTTAATGTGTGGAAACTGTTTAAATGAATCTTTTGGTGATGTTGTATTAAACCTGAAACAAATACTTCACAGTCTGCATATGTACTAATATTATAAACATTTAAAAAGTACCCTAAATCCTATTCTTTTGAGTTCCTTCTCTTTTCTCCAGTAACTTCAAGTGCCAATAATACCTTGTTTGTGTTACAATTGCATTTTACAAAGCTAAAGGGAAATAATTTGTAGGGTTAACTTTTGTGTGTGTGTGTTTTGATATACTCTTGAGGTTTTGGAGAATACACATTATCCCCTGTAATCTATGATTGTTAATCTGTCAATCTATTGTACCTCTTTTCTTTTATTAATATAGTATTATTGGATTTGAGACATGTAAACTATGCTTCTCTAAGCAAATTAGTTGAATATATTCGTGTTTAGGTTATAAAAAATGAAAGCAAGAACTCTTAACATACTTGGCATCCTGTGTTTTAAATTCTTTTCCTAAAACTATAGCTTTGTAACCTGAATATTAGGTGTTAGAAATTTTATAAGACAATGGGAAAATAATGGCCCTATATTGTATTTTGCTTCTAAATGCTATTAGGGTATAGAATTGTTCTTTATTTAGGCAGATTAATTTTAAGAAGAAAGCCATAATATATGATGGACTTATTCAAATATATATTTTAGTGTTATTTATATATTTGTAAAATGAATACGTGTGTGTGTGTATGTATTTGTATGATATATTTTAAATGGAGATGTCTACACCTGTTGATTGCATTAAGCATTTAGTATCCCCTAATGAAGGATGGAAAAGGTGCTGCCACACTGTCTAAGTGGATCATTTCTCCTTGGTAAATTACACACATTCTACTTTTTTGTATTCTGTGACCTTGCGGTCAGTGACTTCAGCCCAGAATAGTTTCAGAGTCATGTAAATGAATGCAATTAAGGTATTGCCTATCATCTTACATAGTTCAGATGGAACCTTATTGGATAGAGAGGTTTATTTGCTTTATGAGAAAGGTCAAAATAAGGTTAAATTTTATTACATAAAATGATTTGGTAATGTTTTTATTTAGCTCCTAAAAAAGTAATGTCCTAATAGGAAATGATAATGCTTTTTGTTTTTCCTTTATCACCTGGAGGTCTCTTCAGGTTCTGTTTGTTTTTGTCTGATTATAAACTCTATTTTGAGGAGATGCCTTCTGTCGACTAAGATTTTGGGAACATCCTGCCTGTAGTTAAGATTCTAGATATCTTTGACTTATACACTTAGGTGACATACCCTGTTAATGATGTAGGGTAGCTTTGGTGTTGCTGATGTGTAGGCATACTTCATTTTATTGTGCTTCACTTTACTGCTCTTTGAAGATAATTTTGTTTTTTACAAACTGAAGGTTTGTGGCAGCCCTGCATTGAGCAAGTACCATTTTTTCAACAGCATGTTTTCAGTTTGTGTCTTTGTGGTCATGTTTTGATAATTCTCACAATATATAAAACTTTTTCATATTATTATATGTGTCATGGTGATCTGTAATCAGTGATCTTTGATGTTACTATTGTGATTGTTTTGAGGTACCATGAACTGTGCCCATATCAGCCGGCGAACTTGTTCAGTGTGGTCTGACTGCTTTACAGACTGGCTGTTCCCCCATCTCATCTCCCTTTCCTTGGGATTCCCTGTTCCTTGAGACACAACAATATTGAAATTAGGCCAATTAATAACCCTATAATGGCTAAGTATTTAAATGCAAGGAAAAGTTGTAGGTCTCTTACTTTAAATCAAGAGCTAGAAAAGGTTAAGCTCAGTGAGGAAGGCATGTCAAAAGCCAAGCTCTTCTGAAAGCTAGGCCTCTTGTGCCAGTTCACCAAGTTGTGAATGTAAAAGGAAAAGTTCTTAAAGGACATTAAAAGTGCTACTCCAGTGAACACATGAATGATAAGAACACAAAGCAGCCTGATATGGTTTGGCTGTGTCTCCACCCAAATCTCATCTTGAATTGTAGTTCCTATACTCCCCATGTGTCCTGGGAGGGACCCAGTGGGAGGTAATTGAATCATGGAGGCAGTTACCCCCATGCTGTTCTCGTGATAGTGAGTTCTCATGAGATCTGATGGTTTTTTAATTTAATTTTAATGATTTATTTATTTCTGAGAAGAAGTCTCGCTCTGCCGCCCAGGCTGGAGTGCAGTGGCGCGGTCTCAGCTCACTGCAAGCTCCGCCTCCTGGGTTCACGCCATTCTCCCGCCTCAGCCTCCCAAGTAGCTGGGACCACAGGCGCCCGCCACCACGCCTGGCTAATTTTTTGATTTTTAGTAGAGATGGGGTTTCACCATGTTAGCCAGGATGGTCTCTGTCTCCTGACCTCGTGATCTGCCTGCCTCGGCCTCCCAAAGTGCTGGAATTACAGGCGTGAGCCACCGCGCCCGGCCGAGATCTGATGGTTTTATAAGAGGCTTTTCCCACTTTGCTTGGCACTTCTTCCTGCTGCCTTGTGAAGAAGGTGCCTTGCTTTCCCCTCACCTTCTGCCATGATTTTAAGTTTCCTGAGACCTCCCCAACAATGCGGAACTCTGAGTCAATGAAACCTCTTTCCTTTATAAATTACCCAGTCTCGGGCATTTTTTCATAGCTGTGTGAGAACGGACTAATAGACAGCCTTATTGCTAATATGGAGAATATTTTAGTAGTCTGCCTAGAAAATCAAAGCAGCCATAACATTCCCTTAAGCCAAAACCTAATCCAGAGCAGCGCCTCACTCTAATTCCACAAAGGCCGAGAGGAGATGAAGAAACTGCAGAAGAAAAGTTGGAAGCTAGCAGAGGTTTGTTCATGAAGTTTAAGGATAGAAGCTGCCTGGATAACATAAAAGTGCACGATGAAGCAGGTAATGCTGATGTAGAAGCTACAGCAAGCTTCCAGAAGATCTAGGTAAGATCATTGATGAAGATGGCTACATTAAACAGCAGATTTTCAGTGTAAATGAAACAGCCTTCTGTTGGATGAATATGCCATCTAGGACTTTAATAGCTAGAGAGGAGAAACCAATGCCTGGCCTCAGAACCTCAAAGGACAAACTGACTTTCTTGTTAGTGGATAATACAGCTGGTGACTTGAAGTGGAAACCAATGTTTGGCCATTCCAAAAATCCTAAGCCCCTTAAGAATTATACTAAATCTCTTCTACCTATGCTGTATAAATGGAAGAAGAAGCCTGGATGACAGAACATCTGTTTACAGCATGGTTTGCTGAATATTTTAGGCCCCCTCTTGAGACCAACTGCTCAGAAAAAAAAGATTCCTATCGAAATATTACTGTTTATTGACCACGCACCTGGTCACTCAAGAGCTCTGATGGAGATGTACAAGGAAGTTAATGTTAATTTTCATGGCTGCTAATACAACATCTATTCTGTAGCCTGTGGATCAAGGAGTAATTTCAACTTTCAAGTCTTACTATTGAAGAAATACATCTTGTGAAGCTGTAGTTGCCATAGATAGTGATTCCTCTGATGGATCTGGGCAAAGGCAATTGTAAACCTTCTGAAAAGGATTCACCATTCTAGATGCCATTGAGAACATTTGTGATTAATGGGAGGAGGTCAAAATACTAACATTAATAGGAGTTTGAAAGAAGCTGCTTCCACCCCTTATGGATAACTTTGGCGGGTTGAAGACATCAGTGGAGGAAGTAACTGCAGATGTGGTGGAAATTGCAAGAAAACTAGAATTAGAAGTGGAGCCTGAAGATGTGACTGAATTTGTATAATCTCATGAGAAAACATGGACGGATGAGGAGTTACTCCTTATAGATGAGCAAAGAAAGTAGTTACTAGAGATGGAATCTACTCCTGATTGAAGATACTGTGAACATTGTTGAAATAACAACGAAGGATTTAGAATATCATGTAAACATAATTGATAAAACAGTGGCAGGGTTTGAGAGGATTGACTCCCATCTAGAAAGATATTCTACTGTGGGTAAAATGCTATCAAACAGCATTACATGCTACAGAGAATTATTCTGTGAAAGGAAGAATCAGCCGATGTGGCAAACTTCATTGTTGTCTTGTTTTAAGAAATCATTACAGAGACCCCAACCTTCAGCAACCACAAGCCTGATCATTTGGCAGCCATCAATATGGAGGCAAGGTGCCCACCACTGAAGAGTAAAACTCTCTAAAGATTCACATGATTGTTAGCATTTTTAGCAATAAAGTATTTTTATACTAAGGTATGTACATTGTTTCGACATAAAGCTTTTGCACACTTAATAGACTATAGTACAGTGTAAACATAACTTTTATGTGCACTAGGAAACCAAAAAACTTGTGTGACTTGCTTTATTGTGATATTTGCTTTATTTTAGTGATCTGGAATGGAACCCACTATATCTCTGAGGTATGCCTTTATGTGCTTAGAGACTTGTATTAATAATGCCTGAGTACCATGCTGGTTGGTATAGGACGTCAGACAGCGACACTAGAGTCCCAACTCATCTGGGTAGAATGGACACCTACCACCCAACCAGGCTGATTGTCTGGGCCGGGGGGATTAGGAGAGCATTGAAATAAGATACTGGAGGAGTCTTACTGATGAAGAACTGACAGTGAATGAGTGGATGAGAGAGAGAATGTGCATGTGTGTGTAGTAATTAAAGGCATATATTTTTCATTGTAGTTGGTCCATATAAAACTACCGTCTTCTCTTTTATATTTTTACTTAAGCCTGGCATATTAATTGATTAAGGCTCTGTGATTAATTGATGTCATTTATCAGACATTTACTGAGTACCAGCTGTATACCTTGCACCATGCTGGGTATTGAAGGCTCACAGACACAGGGAGAATAACAATAAGCAAGATACAGACTAAGTGACCTACAGGTATAGTGGTGAAGAGCTGGATTTTGGGGAAGTATTACTTTAAGCAATTTGTTATCTTTAAGTGGTTTTAAGGAGACTGAAGGGCCCCCAGTAAAATGAAATGAAAATGAAAAATAGCTACTTTATTTTGGGAGGTTAGAATTCAGGTTTACAGATGTATTTTTATTCAAAGCTATAATCTGTGAGAACTGATCATAGGTTATAGGCTAGGAATTGAGAGTTCTAGAAGTATAAGTCAGATCTAAGTGGCGTGGCTGATAGAAATGGAATGCTGCTATGGTGGTATCAGGGAGTTCGCATGGTACCTCCCTTATCACCGCTAGCTTCACTGTCCATTGGCCTGTTGACCAAAATAAAGTTTCCTCAGCCACCACAATGTTAAATTGTTTGCTACATCTCTTGCTGGCCAAAAACTTTGATCCACTCTTTTGTTCCTGAAAGTATGAACTTTTCCACGTCAGTGTCATTCTATATCTAGTATGGTTCTAATTCTGAGTTTAACATTTTCTGTTCCTAGTGGTACAGAAAAGAAATGAGGTGTTTCAAACTCTGCAATGACTGTTAAATAATTCTAATACTTTTTCTCCCAGAATCCTTGACTGAAATTCCTCTTTATCTTTGACATTAACTTTTTACATCATTGACAATAGGGACAATCTTTATAGTAAAATAAAAACAGATGAGTAGTGGGCCGGGTGTGCTGGCTCACGCCTGTAATCCCAGCACTTTGGGAGGCCGAGGCAGGTGGATCACCTGAGGTCAGGAGTTTGAGATCGGCCTGGCCAACATGGCGAAAACTCGTCTCTACTAAAAATACAAAAACTAGCCGGGCGTGGTGCTGGGCACCTGTAATCCCAGCTACTTGGGAGACTGAGGTGGGAGAATCGCTTGGACCTGGAAGGCGGAGGTTGCAGTGAGCCGAGATCACGCCACTGCACTCCAGCCTGGGTGACAGAGGGAGACTCCACCTCAAAAAACAAACAAACAAAAAAACAATTGGGTAGTGTATTTTGGCAAATAATTCTGTAATGAAAGCTGTTTTGTTACATGTGGTCAACAACTATGTCCAAAGAAAGCATGTATCATGAAGAATATGAATACTTTTTTTTACCTTGTAATACATCTTTTTTGTTGTTTTTTGAGATGATTTAGTTAGTAGTTAAAATTCCATTGTAAAACAAATCTTTGAGATAAGGTGCACTTGAAGTAACACTTATTTCTCTTAATTTTCAGGAAGTGTTTGGATTGTGAGCTATTTCAGAACTGTTCTCAGGACTCATTATTTTAACATTTGGGAGAAACACAGCCAGAAGGTATTGTCTTTTGTCTCATTGCCCCACTTTTAAAAATGTTATCAAGCCTTTCCAATTGTAGAAAAGTAAGACTGTTATGCCACATTTTGTTATTTTTCTTTAACTTTTAGATATGGATAAACTACCTTGCCATTTGTCACAAAGAAGGTTATATTTCAATTTTGGTAAATCAAAATTTTGTGTAAGCGAATAAAACGTCTGGTTTAGAGTAAACCAGTTTTACCTATTTTAAACACTGAGGTATTTACATTTTACTTTACTACTATAGAACTATTTTAAAGAATGTCTTGATTTGAAAATGAGATACATAAAGTTCCTTTTTATCTAAGACAGTGTGAAGTATACCTGAAACATTCAGGCAGTCTTAAAAGTCTTCCTGCCTGTGACAGCTCTACCTTCTAGTGTAGGGATCAGCTGCCATCTGCATTTGGATCAGTCTGTCATCAGAGTCCGTGGACAGACTCAGCCAGGCCACCTGGTTTTGCCTCCGAACATCCATTTGCGAAATTCTCTCTTTGCATTATCATTTGTGGATAGATTGGTATAGCATAATAATTTATCTGCTTGTAGGCCCAGAGTGTCAGGACATGTGACATATTACTAGGAAGGAAGGTTATGTTAAAATCATCTGTTGAGAAACTTACTCACTTTGTGCTTTGTCTTTTGTACCTTATCTTAGTCCATTTGAGCTGCTGTAACAAATACCATAGATGGGAGGCTTATACACCATAGAGGTTTATTTCTCACAGTTCTGGAGGCTGGGAAGTCCAAGACCAAGGTGCCAGCAGATTTAATGTTTAGTAAGGGCCTGTTCCTCATAGATGGCTGACTTCTCACTGTAACCTCACATGGGTGGAGGTGGCCAGAGAATTATTGGGACCTCTTTTATAAGGGTACTAATCCTGTTCATGAGGGCATTGCCCTCATGATCTAATCACTCACCAAAGGCCCCACCTCCAAATTACCCTCACATTGCAAATATGGTTTCAATTTATGAATTTTGGGGAGACACAACATTCAGGCCATAGCATACCTCATAGATCACATATGGATATGCCAGCCAATTTGACTAATGTCAGTGGTGAACATAGTCTTCTTGATCTATATCCAAGGCATCCTTCTTAATATTCGACCTTATACCTCCTCTGTATCTTGTGTTTTCCTTCTCAAAAACTTTTGCCAGCTGTCTTGCTTGGGATAGAAACAGATGAAGGAAGGATGCATAAATACATGCAATAAAATAATGTATTTGTTAAGATTATAGTGAATTGGCCACCTTCTTTTACTATAATACAGATGTAACTTTATTAGCTGAATATTCATGATTTTTATTCATATGAAATAATACAAAAATTGGTTTTTACCGATTTTCTTAATCACTGTCAAGCAGTGTGAATTTCTAGGGTTGGTTGAATACAGTCTTTTAATAAGTCTCCCCAGCATGCTGCATTGAACTTTTAAAATGGAAACTCTGTGTTTAAGATTATTATTTATTGGCAAACCAGCATATTCTTCCTCTTTTTGTCGGTTACGGGGGAAAGGCAAAAGCAAATAAGAAATGTAAATAAGCAAATTAGGTCTGTGAAAGAACTTGTAAATGAACCCAAAAAATTAAATTTAAAATATACTTTATCAGTAAAATAAATTATATGATCAGAAACTGGATTTTATGGAATTCAGAGTTATCTTTTCAAATTAAAGATGAGAATGAACTATTATAAATATTTCGTATAAACATTCACACTTAGCTATAAAGATGGAAGTTATAATTTTAATGCTAATATGAATTATCAATTCATGAAAGGTTATCATATCTCAAAATTAAAGGTATGTTTCAATAGAGTTGATAGTTATTCTTATTAAAAAGAAACTGCAAAGAAATTGAAAGTTTAGCTGAAGGATTAAATCGACAAATTCCCATGTATATTCAAGATAGGAATTAGTTTTAAGTAATTATTTTGAAAAGAAATCATAATGCATAAGGTCCTTTTAAGAAGAAGTTTCTTATTTTTATACAAAACCTCCTGAAGTGTAACTTCATGTAATCAAATAGACACCCTTATTTGCTAGCTTGATTGTTGTTTATGTAAGTATAGTCTGAGTAACTAGCACCCTACTCCAGAAGGCTTATTGTAATTTGTGTATTTTCTAATCGATCCTGCCTCTACCTAACAGGAATAGTCTTTGGCGTCTTTTACTATAGATTAGTTTTGCCTGTTTTAAACTATATAAAGTTGGAACCATGTCGTATGAACTCATCAGTGTCTTTTTTTATCAACATTATGTCTGTAAGAGTCATCCATGTTGTGTATGTTATTTGTTTTTTCCCCCTAAATTGTCTATGTTCTATTCTATGATTATACCACCATTTATCCATTCCACTGTAAGTGGACATTTAGTTTTCTTTCGAGTTTGTGTCTGCAAATAAGGCTGCTGTGAACTTTTTTGGGTCTTTTGGTAGAAATAAGCCTTCATTTCTCATGAGTACAGTGTAAGCATGGGAGTGGAACTGCTGGGTGGTGGGATGTGCATGTGTTTAGAGTAATAGGTACTTACAGTGCTTTTAAGAATATTTAGGAAATGTCAATCAGTGTGTCTTTTGTTAATGGTAGGTTTTATAATTAGAGAGACTTATTTTTCTTTGACTTAATGTAAACTCTAAAGTTGTTTCTTAGGAGTTATTTAAATTTTCCCATCTATTAAAAAATAAGTTACCTATTTTCTGATTCCATTATAATATGTATTTGGCTCACAAAACCTGGGTTTGTTCTAACCCTAGTGAATGAAACTAGGACACAATATCCTCCTCTATGTACTTATGATCGTATGATTGAAATACTGAAAGTGGATTTTGAAGCAAATCAGGCATAACATGTATTGAAGGCTTTTTTTATTAGTTGAATATTTGGACACCTCTTTGAATATTTAAAGTAATAGATACTTTTGAGTCACAAAACACTTATTTCAGCATTCCTGACAAGCGTTTCTTGTGACCTTTGTGTTTTTATTATTCTGGTGATTAAAATTGATATTATTCATTCTAGCATATAAGTATTTGAAAAATTAATCTTTTTCTAGGTCTTTCCTATAGAGCAGTGCTGTTCACTAGAAGTATAATGTGAGCTACATTATGTAAGTTTAAATTTTAAATGTTAAAGTTTCTAGTAGCTATGGTTAAAAGTAACTGGTGAAATTAATAATATATTTGATTTAACCCAGTATCTGCAAAATGTTATCCTTTCAATGAATAATCAATATAAAATTATGAGATATTTTGCATTGAAAAATAATGTAAATCTGTACTGAATTTTTGAAAGCTGGTGTGTGTTTTGACGCACAGCTCTCTGAATTCTGACTAGTCATCTTTCAAGTGCACAGTAGCCACATGTGTCTAGTGATTGCTGTATTAGACAGCACAGCTATAGAGTTACATTTTGGGTTTTTAAAAGACAGTGCTTTAGTCAAGTTCATGACTAGTTAAAATTACCCTTAAAAATCCAGTAGAAAGGTGCCATGTCAAATGCTGAAGTACCATCTTTCAGTAAGTTTCAAACAGCCTATTTTTCCTTCTATTTTGGAATAAGTAGCATTTTCTTTGGTTGAACATCAGATAAATCAATTAGCCAGTGTTTAGGGGGCATGTTGAATGACAGATACATATCTTTAAACTAAAAAATCAAAATCTGTAACAGTAGATTCATATCTTCCATCTTATTCCAGCTTCTATTATACTAGGTAGAATTTTACTTTTAGGGGAAGTGTGTTTTTCTTTTTTCAAAAGCATGGCTGGCTTAATTGAATGTGATAAATTGCTGTATGCTGTAACTCCACCATATTTAATAAAATAGGGAAGTTTACAGATAGTTTGTATGTGTACATATAGATGTGCCTATGACTTCTCATTACTTAGGATATTTAAAGGTTACCTAAATTTTGAGGGTTAATGTTTCTTCATGTTTATTTTTGCCAAATGGGATAAATCAAGACTATAAACCATCTCACATTAATGTGGGTTTGATTTTGCCACCAAATTGGGTTTTAAAGCTTCTTGGTATTCAAAATTGGGAATGTGGATAAGGGACTATTGACCTGTGAGAACAGTCAATATGGAAACTTATTGTGGAGGGAATAGCCCTTTGAGAAATAAACGGCATAATCACACTTTAGTGCTTGTTTTGGTTCCCAGATCTGGGATACAGTGGTTGTTTTATAGCCCTACCCCCAACACATTTTTGATAATACTACCTCCACACTCTTAAATGAAATTGGTACTCTTGTTGACACTCAATTCTTATTGGGTAGTAAGAAAAGAAAATCATTTCTCTGCTTAAAAGCCTTCACCTCACTTGGTATAAAACTAAAGTCCTTGCATTAGCTGAAAAGGCGTCTTCTCAGTGAAGCCCACCCTGGTGACCACACAATTCAAAACGGAAGCCTCCTCTTTTTCCTCTCTCCTTTATGCTGTTCTCTTTTTCCAAGCACTTAACACCTTTAAAAATACAATGAAATTTGTGTTTCTTTTTAAAGTATAGTTTATTTATTGTTTAATCTTTCTAAAATTGGGACTCCCTGAAGGCAAGAATTTCTGTTGCGTTCGTTACTAATAAATCTGAAGAAGCTAGTCTGAGGCTGAGCATCTAGAAGGAGGACATACCTGTTTATAGACTAGTTATTTATTGAATGCATGGAGAAGATACACATTTTTTTTTATTTCTGAAAATTTGCCTTTATAGGTTTTCTGGGGCAGGGAATATTTAAAGGAAATGAAAACAAAAATTGTAAGTTATAAGCATAAGAATACATTTGGATGATTTGAATAATTTGAAAGTAGTTTTTTTCATCAAACTGACATACACATCCCTTTGAAAGGTAATATGTAAATATGAAGTTTTCAAAAAATAGGGTTTATTATTATGGTCAGGTAATTTTTCTTATAGGTATAAATATGTGTTTTTTTCATTTGGATAATAAAATTATGTTGGTAATCAGTCTGAGAAGTACATTTATAAAAGATTTCTTCTGTTTCTGTAAAATATAGGAGACATACATTATATTTTGGTATCTTAGTATAGATCAGGCAGAGCTCAAAAGGTTTTGGAAAGTAATTTTTCCAAATTTCCTCTTTGGAAAGAGAAGTATAGTTTGGCTTTCATTTTATACAGGTGGTATCTAATTGTAGTTCTCAAAGTTTTATTTTTAGGTCAACTACAATAAATGTTTTTAAAATAGTACAAAAATTTAATTAAAGACATACCAAGTTATGGTATATGGTACCCTAGAATACATTCAAAGGGGACATTATAATGTTTGTTACATTGTAGGATAAATATGAGATGATAAATGTGATCAAAGTCTTTCCTGAAAGTCTGTTGGCAGGTTCTTGGTTTTATATTACACCTTTACATATTTAACATTTGATTGCAGTCAACCCTAATTATGACTATGTCAATAATCATTTTCATTGGAACAGGAAGAATTATGAGTTTTGGTTTCTTTGTCTTTCCACTGCCATTTTCCAAATTCAGGCTTTATTACGTTCTGATTATTAGATAGTTATTAGATAGTTACTGCAGTAACTTTCTATTTGGTCTTTTGCCTTTTAGTTTTTATTACCCAATACATTCTACACAGCAAAGTAAAACTTTCTGCAGAAAATTATTATTACCCTGAACAAAGACCTTTGCTCACAAGATAAGACAAGTCCTATTTCTACCTGGTTCCTTGCATATCTCATGATCAAATATTTGGTTTGCCCCTTCCTTAAGCATGTTAATTGCACATTTCTTATTCTGCCACATTATTTTTGCTATCTTCAGCTCAGATGTCTTTTGAACCCTACTAGTTTTCTTTTACCAAAAGGCCATCCATCCTGTGATTTGTATGATCACTCGGACAGAAGGGAACATGTGCTCCCATCTACTTTCTCCTAGTGGTTGATGAATGCCATTCACACTGCCTTTATTTTTCATAGCGTTTCATTCATCGCTGCAGCAAAATTATAAACTTCTAGATGGAGGGGGTTGTATCTTTTATAAATTTGTGACTTACAAAGCACTCAACTTGATGCCTCCCACATATAGGGTGATAAATCAAAGTATTGGTGAAACACAACTCCAGAGTGTGTCCTGATATAATTTTAAAGCTTAGAAACGATCAAAAAAGATAAAAGTTCATCTTTGTTATATTACGCAAGTTACTTACATTTGTGCAACAGTTTTTTCATGTGCTTTGTATGAAGACTTGAAATGATATCATGTGTGTTAGAAATTTACAGGTTGCAAAGTGTGATATGGGTAATTATGACAGTACTCAGACTTTATTTTGTTGAATATGTACATTTCTTTGACTTAACTTACTGTGATATGTAGAATGCTCTTTTAATGTTCCTTACCTGAATAAGCAAAATTTATTTAATATGTTAGCTAAACAAATTTTGCTTATTATTTTGCTTAAATTTTGCTTATTATTTCCTTATAAGTTACTATAGACTTAATATTCTTTGCTGTTCATCAAGAGGGAAAGTACAAACGCTTTTGGTGAAAGTAATAAATTACCTGCTTAGAATGTAACAATTTCAAAGATAAAAGTTTTGTTAACTTCCCAAAATTTATCCTTAGTTTTTCATATTTAATTCACATTGGGGTAAAGTATATTTTTAAAAAAGAATCATTTCACAGATTTCCCTAAATTTCTTCAAGATAAACCCAACCTTTTCAATTCTATTTCTTAAGAGTATTTTTTAAATATTGCTAAGTAGCCTGCCTGGCTAGTGGAGATTCTAAATGGGACTGAATTGGGGATAGTGACTTTTTTTTTTATTTGATTAGGGCATGGTTCTCGTGCTAAGAACAGTATCTAAGAATGAAATAAGTTTGACTTTCAGAGATATCCCCCCCTCCAAAAAAACCCCCAAAATCTGAAGATCATGTATATCTGGGTAGTGGGTGTAAATTTAGTTCACAGAAAGAAATGGTAAAAGGTTAAAGGAGGAAATGAGTTTCATAGAATCAGCAGCATAAGCAAAGATGAATTCTGTAATCATACATAGACCCTGAACATTTGGGCTGACTGTGGTTTTATGTATTTAAATGCTGAGATGTTGGTGACACGGAGTAGTAGCAGAAACTGAATTTGGGAGGAGGAAATGATTATAGTTTCTCAATCTTCTTTACTGTAACAAAATATGATGTGCAATTGGGATACCCTTTTGGCAACTGAATAGGTTTGGGAAGTTAACTTTATTGGCCATCTAGATTATGTGGGCAGTATACACAGCCCTTTATTATCTAGGGCATAAAGTTTAGAAAATATTCAGCATTTTTTTCCAGTGTAGGTTAAAAAAATATTGATCTTCTGGCTTTATTCATATCACAAACAAAAATTCTGAAAGACAGCCTGTTTATTGTCATAGAAATGGATATAACCTCACAAGGAGTGTTATTAAAGTTACTTTTGTAAGTGTTTTAAAAACATGGGCATGCAGTTTGTATTAATAGTGATACTCCTCTACTGAGTTACTGCTAATTTGCCATTTTCGCAGTAATTTCAGAAAATAAGAAATCGTTAACATTATTGTATTATTTAAATACTCCCATGGATTTCTATTAAGGATGAATAGCATCATTACAGTATTTGTTAGAAAGTCATATACATCACGATGCCTGTAATCCCAGCACTTTGGGAGGCCGAGGCGGGTGGATCACGAGGTCAGGAGTTTGAGACCAGCCTGGCCAGCACAGTGAAACCTCGTCCCTACTAAAAATACAAAAAATCAACCGGCCATGGTGGCACACAACTGTAATCCCAGCTACTCAGGAGGCTGAGGCAGGAGAAATGCTTGAACCCAGGAGGCGGAAGTTGCAGTGAGCCGAGATCGCGCCACTGCACTCCAGCCTGGGCAACAGAGCGAGACTCTGTCTCAAAAAAAAAAAAAAAAAAGTCATATACAATTTAAACTTAGTCTGGTGACCACAGAAAGCTATTTTCTTAGTTTTAAACCTTTTATTAGTATAACCTCTCTTCATCTTGGTTACTTTAATGTAAAATGAGAATTATACAGACTTTATTTTTATAGCAACATTGTATGAAATGAATAAATGTGAACTATTTAAATTGGCTCAGGCATTTAGACTTGTTTCTGATAAACTTATCACATGAATACTACTTATTACCTTGTAAACTTGTATTTTAAAAGAAAACATTTATTTGAGATATAAGGATTCCTGTTTTCTCTTCAGAAAAAGCAGAGGTAATTGTTATTTTTTTAAAAAAATTTAAAACAAAGGGTATATTTCTCTTTTACCTCTTGAGTAGGCATTAAGAGCAGCTACTGTCACAGCCACAGTTAAATAGAATAGTATGGAAAATGATGGCTTTAGAATCCTAAGATTTATATTTGAGCCCTGCATCTTCACATATACTCTTAGTAAATCAGTTAACCTGAGCTTCAGTTTTTTGATCTGTAAGATGAGGATACATCTTACATCATAAGAATATTATGCAGAATAAATGAGGAAATACATAAAGTGCATCAGTGTAATGCTATAGAAAGATAATGTGTTATGGACAATATTGTTAATTCTAATGTATTTTTCAAAACAAAGAAAATAGGTTTTTGGATGATCACTGTTTTACTTAATCACCATGTCCTTCTAATTAGAACCTTTCTTCCACACATTTTTATTTTTATTTTTTATTTTTTATGTTCATTTACTTTTAAGAGTTTCCACAAACCTCGGTCCATGCTTTTAGGATTCCTTTCAA
This sequence comes from Homo sapiens, assembly GCF_000001405.40. Lineage (NCBI taxonomy): Eukaryota > Metazoa > Chordata > Mammalia > Primates > Hominidae > Homo > Homo sapiens. Next base: position 15,034,731 of record NC_000021.9, on the reverse strand, counting down.
GTTTGAACCACTTAACATCTGCCACCTACTGACCTAGTTCTTTCCACTTCCTCCAGCTCTCCTCTCCTCATACACACTTGTGTATTATGTTTGTTGGATGATTAACCTGTCTTTCATTTCATTTTTGCAAATATCTAGATCAATACTGGGTTAGGAAAAACAGTTTCTGAATTTGTTTGAACTATAAAGCAAGGTGGTACATAGGAGTCAATAATAATATTCATTTTTTCCCCCCAGGAAAACAGTTTTCAGGGGAAACAATTAGTAAACTCCCACATGGACTTGCTTTTCGTTTCATAGTATGGCTGTGATAGGTTTTAAAAGTGATTTCTGCCTACATATCCAGGTTAAAAAAAGTTTTCAGTATAAAGCATGAGTTTGGAAGTGACTCACCACATATGGAACTACTTCAAAATGCATGCCCCTTAACTACTATTTGAATTTTTATAGGTTTGTAGTTTTGCTGACTGCAAGAAAATAAAAGGCTCAGTGCCAGTTCTTACTGGGTCAGGATTTATTTTAAAGTACCAACATTTCCTCAGCTTTTTGATACCTAAAAAGTCCTAGAGATTTTCCTGCAAAAAGTTTTAACAGGCTTTATTCCAGTAAGGGAAATTCAGGGTGTTTATCCTGTGGTAGTAACAAAAGCAAGGGATTTGGTGAATTTGCAATAGAAATTGCCAGAATCTAGATGACCCTAGGAACATATTTTTATTTAAAGAGTCTAGTGGGGTCCAGCAAGGACTTGTAATTATATTTGTGTCTTTAGCATAGCTCCAGGAACAAGAAATTTGATGAATGATTTGTAAACAGATGGTTAATTTTTCATGAAATGATCAGGAGACCAGGTGACCAAGGCAATTGATCTCACACTGTTGAGGTTTACTGGGGAGTGATTGTGGAATGCCTTACTGTGAAACACACTGACTTGAGTTTGAATCCCAGATTTACCCCTTAACTGAGAAAGTCACCAAACTTCTCAGCCTCATCTGTAAAATTGGATAGTATCTATTTTACAATTAATGATTAAGTGAAATAATGTATGTCTTAGCAGTATTGTAACAGGTATTTACTAGTGTCTAATTAATAAAGTTAATAATGATAACTGACAATAACCCACTCGATAATTGTTTTAAAACTTACATTCCATGTTGAAAGTCACCATTACAGTATAGAAGTATACTTGAGGCTACTTAAAATCTTTAAGAAACTGCATTTCAGCCAAAGTAGTGTTTATGGGTAAATGGATTGAAGTTGACACAGGCTGTGATGTGGTGGTTTTGAACAAGACCAGATAATCTAGGTATGAACCCCAACTCTGCCACTTACTTACTATTGTTGACTGTGGGCAAATCACCTTACCTCCCTAAGGCTCAGTGTTCTCATCTGTAAAATGGAAATAAATTCATAGAGTTATTTGAGAATTACCATATAGGAATTAAGCCTACGTTAAGCATTTAACGTAGTCCTGGCACATAGTATGCAGTATTTTTTTTTTTTTTTTTTTGAGACAGAGTCTCGCTCTGTCGCCCAAGCTGGGGTGCAGTGGAGCAATCTGGGCTCACTGCAAGCTCTGCCTCCCAGGTTCACGCCATTCTCCTGCCTCAGCCTCCAGAGTAGCTGGGACTACAGGTGCCCACCACCATGCCCAGCTAATTTTTTGTATTTTTAGTAGAAACAGGGTTTCACCATGTTAGCCAGGATGGTCTCGATCTCCTGACCTCGTGATCCACCCACCTCGGCCTCCCGAAGTGCTGAGATTACAGGCGTGAGCCACCGCGCCCGGTGATCATTTTAATTTTTCAGCTTTCTCAGTGGCCCATTATTTAAAAGAACCATATTTGAAATCAAACAGACTACTTTATATTTTTGTAAAATCATTTTTACATCACACACATCTTTTGGTCCTTCTGTGGCTTCAGACTTTTAATTCCAGTCTTAACTCACCCTTCTGCTGCATCTCCTGCTTCATTTCCTGAATGTAGTGTGACCAGGGGAGAGCAGAAGGAAGCAGGGATTGGATCTGAAATCAGTAGACCTCTGTAGTCAACCTTACAATGAGCAAGACATCCTCTCTGGACTAAAGTCCTTAGTTAAATTGATTCAGTTGCTGCTTTTTGAAGTTTTACCAACAGAATAACTTTAAGCCTTTGTTTACTATTAGAGAATATGGTGAGAAGGTTTTGAAGGAAATACCTACTTTTTTTCAGTGACTTCGAACGGTTTTTTTTTTTAGAGCCATCATTTATCCAAATATTTTTTCAAAAATGACAGCTACTAAAACTACTGATAACTAAACAATTACTGTATATTACAGATACTGTGTTAAGGATAGAGTTAGGTTTATCCTATAGGAAAGTTTTAAAAAATATCTTCTATTTTGTCTACAGTAAGTTACTTGATAGTACAAGGAGTTTATTAGAATTTTCAAAGTTTTTAAGACTTTTATAATGAGGCAGTGTGTGGTTTGTTAGGTGGTTGTAGTGAGAATTTGAAGAGTTCTTGTTTTGGATAGTCATAGTTCTGGCTTTGTTATTAATGGCTTGGCTTTGAGCTAAAAATCAAAACCCTTTGACTCAAAATTACCCCTTTGGGTCAAACTATCACTGACCTACTTCCTTCCTCCACTTTGAACTTAGGATTACTTCAGAGATGAGTGGGAGCATCTCAGATGAATGATGGTGTCCTCCAAGCGCCTTCCAGAGTGTATACACATAGAAAGGGAATGTGGTGATCCTCCAAGCGCCTTCCAGAGTGTACACACATAGAAAGGGAATGTGGTGTCCTTTGAGCACCTTTCAGAGTGTATACACATAGAAAGGGAATGTGGTGAACCTCCAACCACCTTCCAGAGTGTATACACATAGAAAGGGAATGTGGTGAACCTCTGAACGCCTTCCAGAGTGTACACACATAGAAAGGGAATGTGGTGATCCTCCGAGCGCCTTCCAGAGTGTATACACATAGAAAGGGAATGTGGTGATCCTCCGAGCGCCTTCCAGAGTGTATACACATAGAAAGGGAATGTGGTGATCCTCCGAGCGCCTTCCAGAGTGTATACACATAGAAAGGGAATGTAGTGATCCTCCGAGCGCCTTCCAGAGTGTATACACATAGAAAGGGAATGTGGTGATCCTCCGAGCGCCTTCCAGAGTGTATACACATAGAAAGGGAATGTGGTGAACCTCCAACCGCCTTCCAGAGTGTATATACATAGAAAGGGAATGTGGTGAACCTCTGAACGCCTTCCAGAGTGTACACACATAGAAAGGGAATGTGGTGATCCTCCGAGCGCCTTCCAGAGTGTATACACATAGAAAGGGAATGTGGTGATCCTCCGAGCGCCTTCCAGAGTGTATACACACAGAAAGGGAATGTGGTGATCCTCCGAGCGCCTTCCAGAGTGTATACACATAGAAAGGGAATGTGGTGAACCTCCAACCGCCTTCCAGAGTGTATACACATAGAAAGGGAATGTGGTGAACCTCCAACCACCTTCCAGAGTGTATACACATAGAAAGGGAATGTGGTGAACCTCTGAACGCCTTCCAGAGTGTACACACATAGAAAGGGAATGTGGTGATCCTCCGTGCGCCTTCCAGAGTGTATACACATAGAAAGGGAATGTGGTGATCCTCCGAGCGCCTTCCAGAGTGTACACACATAGAAAGGGAATGTAGTGAACCTCCAACCGCCTTCCAGAGTATACACATAGAAAGGGAATGTGGTGAACCTCTGAACACCTTCCAGAGTGTACACACATAGAAAGGGAATGTGGTGATCCTCTGAGTGCCTTCCAGAGTGTACACACATAGAAAGGGAATGTGGTGATCCTCCGAGCGCCTTCCAGAGTGTACACACATAGAAGGGGAAGGTAGTGATCCTCCAACCGCCTTCCAGAGTGTATACACATAGAAAGGGAATGTCGTGATCTATTTTAACTTAAATCATCATTTCCTGAATTTATTTGGCCTTGGGACCTCCCTTCTTCCCTCCTTACCACCTATCCTCCTCTCTCCCTCCTTCCATGTTTTCCTCCCTCTGAGTGAGCACTTATTCTGTAGAACATTGTTAAATATGTAGTCATTGGGAGCATAATTTTACCATTTAACTTATTAGAACTCTATATTTGTACTGCCTTTGCTTTGGTAATATGTTTATTTTCAATTCTTAATTAAGAGGAAACCCTGTTTGTAACATATTATTCCTATGAGAAAATATGATTTCCATTGAAATATCTTGTTTTATTGTCATGTGACATGTTGTCTAGGCATGCAGCATGAAGAAAGGGAAAACCCCTGACTTCTACCAGAGGAATCAATCCAACTTCGTGTTAGTTTGACTTAACCCAGTGTGGGAAACTGTGTGAATATTCGTAAAAACTTTTCTGTGTTAATAAAAATATAAGTAATAGAAGGCCTTACTACAAGTAAAGTAAACAGTAAGGGTGTATCTTCTCACTCAACAAAAAATTTGGAGTATTGGCAGTTAATGAATTGTCATAATGATCTTATTAGTGTCCCACATGGTATTTTCTGTTTTCTACTCTGCCATCTTGAGTGACTTGGTGATGTCACTCCTCATGGTTGAAAGATGGCTATTTTCCCACATTTCCTTGTCAACTTCACTGGTCATAATTAAATCATATACCCATGCCTAAGCCCTGCCTCTTACTATCAGAGTAGACATTATTTGTCACAAGTGGCTTTACTTAATTGGGATTCACCTCCTGAGGGGAAGAGGGTGAGTTTCTACAGGTGGATAAGGAAGAGGACAGTGTGTTTTTGAGGAGGTCACTGCAGTGTTTGTCACAGCTGGTGAGGATATGAGTTTTGCTCATCTCTGCAGACTCTCTGGTGAGATCACAAAGTACAGACATGTTTATTATTTATTTATTTATTTATTTGTTTTCCTTTATTGGAGACAGGGACTCTGTTGCCCAGGCTGGAGTGCAGTGGGGTTAGCATAGCTCACCACAGCCTCAAACTCCTGGGCTCAAGCAATCTCCTGCCTCAGCCTCTCAAAGCACTGGGATTATGGGTGTGAACTATGCACCCTACCCAGTCATATTTATTGAGTGCCTGCTGTATTTCGGTTATTCTTCTAAGTCCTGGGGATAGAACAGTGAACAAAAGAGAAAAAAAATTGCTACCCTCCTGGAGCTTACATTTTATTGGTGAGATAGACAAATAAGATAAAGCAATTCAATTTATGGTATCTTATTAAGTGCTAAATAAAAATTGAAGCAAAGAGAGGAGAATGGAGGGTATTGAGGGCAGGGGCAGGGGAGATGTCCAGGAAGTTTTAGATGACACCCAGGGAAGGCCTTACTCGGAGGGTGACTTGAGTAGAGGCTGAGTCAGCATGGGAGCTAGTGATGCAGCCCTCTGGGAAGGAGAGTATTCCAGTCGAAGTTCCTGTGGCTGGAGTGGGGTGAGTGAGGGAGGGTCACAGGAGATGAGGTCAGAGGGGGAAGCCCCTAGAAAGTTTTGAGCAGAAGAGTGGCCCAATATCATGTTTTAGCAGAATCGCTTCAGCAGTTGTGTTAAGTAGACCAAAGAGGTGTCAAAAACAGAAGCAAGGAAACCAGTGAGGCGGCCATTATGATAATTCAGGAGAGAAGGAGATGACTTGAATGGGGACAGTAAGAAGTAGCTGAATTCTGGATTCTGGATTCCAAGGTAAAGCCTGCAGAATTTGCTAAAAGATTGTATGTGGGTGTGAGAGGAAGAGAGGCATCTCGGATGGCAGCCTGAACAATTGGAAGAATGGAGCTGATCTGAGATTAGGAATAACAGGGACTCAGTTATTGACATATTAAACTTGAAATGCTTGGAGACCTCCAAATGGGGATGTCAGATAAACACTTGTTTATATAAATACTTTTTGGACCAATGTATATTTTTTAAAAGAACGATATTGACCATTAATAATAGGAAATGACTTTTAAAAGTATGTAATTTCAATAATAACAATAAAGAATAGGAAATAGAAAAATTAAGTGTTATATGGAGTGGATATTTTATGTTCCATTGAACAACACAGGGAAACACTGGAAGTAATTTTAAAATAAGAGTATTCAAATAAACATTTGTACACTGTACATTTATTTAGTGCCTACGTTAGTGTTAAAAATTGCATATTAAATCTATTTAATCTTTGAATCAGTGCCTGATTTTTCAGCCCCAAACCTTGTAAAAAATATACATACAAAAAGAAATACAACCCAAGGACTAATGGTGTGGATGTAGTTTTATGACTGTTTCCTCTGTAACGTGAAGCAATGATCCTTCTAAAGGAAATGTGTTATTAAATAGGCGATCTTACCCCACTCCAACTTCCTCAGTATTGTGTAGCCTGTAGTTAATGTGCAAGCACATCATTAAAAAGAAATCCAAGCCCAGAGAAAGAATCAGTACAGTATATCTTATGCAAGTTTATCAGGATGAATGGCTTCTCACTCCCTTTCTTTTGAAGAGGAATTAGTGTGAGATGTCTTTTAACAAGATTATTGTACTCATTTGCATTTAACAAGAATGCAGCACGTAGCTAAGATTTTCAATCCGTGTGCATCACATAAAATGCCAAAAAAGCACCTTATAAAGTACCTTTCACATGCTAGATACTCAAGAAGTATTTGGATAGCAAATTTGATTTAGAGTATCATTCACATTTCTAACTTATTTAAAATATTTTTAAGTATTATACTACATGCAGTGGTTATTGCTTAACAGTGTGTGCTTTACCTGTAATGCAAGGTTGTTGAGAAAATTGAATTGTATTTTTTTTAGATGGAAGTACCATATAATAAATATAAAGAGTTATTTATTGTGCAAGTAAACTTTGCTCTTTAAAATGGATTAAGTATTTCTCATCACAGTTTTGGCTGTCATGGTGAATATATGATTGCTGGCCTGTGTGACCAAGTAGAGAGAAAAAAGCCCGTTTAGATTTAGAGGGAAAATGCATTTTGTTAAGAACCTGAAGTGTATTGAATTACTCCAGTTTACCTATTTCTCATGTTAAGTAATTTTTGCAAAATGATCATCTTTCATCAGACAGTTCTGAAGTTCGCAGTAATTAAGTAAGCAAGCATTTATGTTAGCTTTATTTGAGACCAAAGTGGTGGTAGATATGAATTAGCCTCATTCTTTGATTGACCAAGCTATAAGTTTTTATCTGCCAGTCAGTTTTTCAATTCTTTTGAGTGTATCTCTTTATATACTCCTTTGGTTTTGTTTCTAACAAGGAGAATAAAGAAAATCTGTCACCTAACAGTTAACATTTGTTCATGTGTGAAAATTATTAAGATGCTTACCTAAACAAGATACTTGTCAAAGCTCTGATTTGCCACAATATAGCCACTTGTTTTCTGTTATGTAAGTAACCCTTGGTATAAACAGGAATGTATTTGAATTATGAGGCACAATATGACAGTGATCTGCCAAGAACCTACCATCGAGCATAGAATCAGACTTAACTACCACAGCTGAATCTGTCGATATGTTGCTCTCCTTGCCCCTGGTGTCTTGCAACCGCTTTCTTCAATTTTGTGTTAATCATTTACTGCCTTTTAAATAATACTGGTTTTTACATTAATCTTTAAGTAATATGTTACTTTATGTTTTTGTTTTGCGAAAATGGTAGCATTCTGTATGAAGTCTTCGGATACTTGCTGTTTCAAATTTTTTTTTAATTTAGTTTTTGTGGGTACAAGTGTATATATTCATGGGGTACAGAGATGTTTTGATACAGGCATGCAATGTGAAGTAAGCACATCATGAAGAATGAGGTGTCCATCCCCTCAAGCATTTATACATTTAGTTGCAAACAACCCAGTTACACTCTTTAAGTTATTTAATATGTACAGTTATGAGACTTGTTTTTTCAACTTATATTGGTTTTTTGAAATTTATTTATACTGCTGTATGTAGGTATAGTTCATTTATTTCCACTCCTGGGCAATATTCCATTGTGTGTATTTATTTCTTCCCCTCTGTGTGGACATTTGGATGGTTGCTGGGTCCTTTCGTTTGTTTGTTATTGTTTTGTTTTGTTTTGTTTTTGATATACCTATGTTGATATACTTACATACATATATAGGTGTACTTATATTTACACACATATGTATGACTATTATAAGCATTGCTGATGTCAACGTTCTTTTATATGTGTTCTGAAGAAGATGTGCAAGACTCTAGGGTATATACCCAAGAGTAGATATGTAAAGAATGCTCAATTATATGAAATAATATGAAGTTGTTTCCAATGTTATCAGACCAGTTTACATTTCATTAATAATATATCAGAAGTTTCTGTTGAGCTACATCATTGTCAGATCTAAGAATTGTCAGACTTTTTAACTTTTTCCAAATTAGTAGATACAGTGGCATCGTATTATGATCTTGATTTACTTTTCTGTGTGATAACGAATGAGGCTGAACATCTTTTCATGTGTTTTTTCATCATTGGTGTACTATCTTATGAAATTCTTATTATGTCCTATGCCCATTATGTACTCAAAACTGTTTTTTTATGCATTTGTATTCTACATATTTTTAATTTTAAAGTAACACATACAGAAAAGTTACACGTACAATACAGTGGAACTTTTTTCCTCTGTTGACTTATTTCCCATGAATAAACAAGTGTGTGTTTCCCAGAAAGAAACAAGACCTTGTCCTGGAAACCACAACAAAACCATCAAAATCATTGATCATCACTACTATCTAATCGTCAGAGCTCATTCAAGTTTCCAGGTTGTCCCGATAATGTCCTTTTCAGCAAAAGGATTCCATTTAGAATCACACTTTGCATTTTATTGTCTCATCTTTTTGGTCTCCCACAGTCTGGAACAGTTCTTCAGTCTTTGACTTTAAAGACACTGGCATGTTAGAAGACCATGTCGGCCCGTAATTATGTAGAATATCTTTTCCTTTAGGGTTGTCTTCTGTTTCCTCATGATTAGATCCATGTTATGAATATTGAGCAGGAATATCACAGAAGTGATACTGTGTCTTCTCTTTGCATCCTCTGCGGTGGCATACAATTTCATTTTGACCCATTACTGTTGACTTTTCACTGGGATTACTTGATTAAGATGGTGTCTGCTAATTTCATCTACTGTGAAATTACTCATTTTCCCTCTGTAATTAATAATTATTTTGCATGCAGGTGCTTTGAAACTATGTAAAATCCCTTTCCTGATCACAGTTTTAGTTAATTTATTTGTATCAGTGTGTGCTTATGAGCCCGTATTTTATTCAGTGAGCTGTAATCCGTTACTATTGTAACTTATTTTGGTGCCCATCTTGTCCCTGATTTTGCCAGCAGTACCCCCTTCAGTATCTTTTTGACATGTCATCCCTTGATCATACTGATATCTCTAATTTCATTCCAATCCTATAGGCTTCAATTATATTTCCTTCCCTTTTTGTACCTCCTCTTATAGTGAGAAACCTGACTACCATGATCCTTAGTGTTACTTTATTTGATCATTCTCCCTGTATGTAGTCAATCTGCCATTTCTCCTGTCCCTCACCCTGCCCCTTAGTTTTACTTGAGCCTCAAAGCCCCTTTATGTGGAAGCCGTTCTCACCCCACATCGATTTCTACATTGCACACCACAGTGCATCTTTTTGTGGATGCCCTTCTGCTCCAACTTGGGCATTGATACCCAGTGCTGGACCACTCCTGTGCAAGGACTTCTCTGTCATCCTGCTCACCTCAAACCACCCTTTTCTTAATTTATTGGATGCAAAATGGCATCTTATTGGTCTTGATTTGCTTTTCTGTGATTGACAATAAGGTTAGACATCTTTTCATGTGATTATTCACCATTAGTGTATTCTTTCGTGAAATGCGAGTTCATACCTTTCGTACATTATATACTTAAAACTTTACATTAAATACTTTTATGTCTTAAATTTTTTAAAATTTTAAAATAACACATACAATAACAAGAACAATACAGATCTAGAGCTTGGGCTCGAATTCCCCATACCACATCATTTCTTCCACTCCACAGTGACACCAACCTCATCCTGCTTGAGCTCTCTGACTCCTCTTATTAGGGCTACCCCCTCTCTATTTTGCCCATTTTTAATTAAAATGTTATAGGACACACACACACAGACACACACACACACACACACACACACACACTCTGGATACCAAAGTTTTGTGTGTGTGTGTATATGAGACAGAGTGTCGCCCAGGCTGGAGTGCAGTGATGCGTTCTCAGCTCACTGCAACCTCCGCCTCCTGGGTTCAAGCAATTCTCCTGCTTCAGCCTCCCTAGTAGCTGGGATTACAGGTGACTGCCACCACACCCAGCTAATTTTTGTATTTTAGTAGAGACGGGGTTTCACCATGTTGGCCAGGCTGGTCTCGAACTCCTGACCTCAAATGATCCACCCACCTTAGCCTCCCAAAGTGCTGGGATTATAGGCGTGAGCCATCACACCAACCCCCAATGTTTTTGGCAGTGTATTTTATGGTGTTGTTCATTTTTCATCTTCTGTTGTATTTTTGATGAATGAAGTTTTCAATTTTAATGCATTTGAATTTATTAATCTTAACGCTTTGCATATAGTTAACCTTTCTGTGTCTTAAGGAAACGTTTCCTACTATGAGATCATAAAGATATCCTCTTATATTTTGTTTTAAAAATATTAAAGACATGCCTTCTCTATTTAAACCTTTAATCCCTCTGGAATTTATTGTTTATATGTTAGACATCAGGAATCCACTTTTGCCTCCACGATGGGTAACCAGTTGTTTCAACACTATTGAATGATGTCTCCGTTCTCTGGAGATCTAAAGTGTAACTTTTGTCAAATATTTTCTCTGTGTGATGATCTACTTCTCCAGCAATCAATTTGTTTTTCTCCTTTCCAGGAGCGCACTAGCTTAATTATTAGAACTTTATGATACATTTTGGTATCTGGCAAGGCAAGTTTCCTACTATTTTCTTTTGGTGGTAGGATTTTTTCTCTTTCATGGGCTTTTGCTGCTCCATGCAAATTTTAGAATCAACTTATTAAACCTTTTACATTTTGATAGGCATTGCATTAAAGGCATTTGTTTAATTTGGGAAGAATTGTCATTTTACGATACTGAGTATTTATATAATAAACATGGTGTGTCATTCCATTTATTTGGATTATTTAGGTTTCGTTGTTAATGCCTTCCAATATATTTTATTTATATTGAGCATGCAGTATTTACAAGTTACTTTTCTTCCTAGGTATGCTTTGCTGTTGGATATTTTTTAAATGTTGTTTTCTGTTTGTTACTGGTGTACAAAAATACAGTTGATTTTATTTAAAAAAAGTATTCTAATATTTAGCCAGAATTAATTGAATATTAACAAACTGTTCTGATAAATGTGACATAACTTCAAAAGCACACAAGTAAGATTAGAGATCTAGGTTTTTACCCTGAAATTACTTTTGATGTTTTAATAAGTATTAGGTGAATAGTCATTTTTATAGCTTTACTGAGATATAATTTACATACTATAAATTCACCTGTTTAAAGTGTTCAGTTCCGTAGTTTTTATGTTCACATAGGTGTGTAACCAACACCACAGTCTTTTTTTAACAGTTTCATGATCTTAAAAGGAGCTCCACACCTGTTAGCTGTCACTCTCCATTTCCATCCCTTCCCACCCCAGCCCTAGACAACCACCGATCCTTCTGTCTAGATTAATTTGCCTATTCTGTACATTCCATAGAAATGGGATCACGTGATTTTTAGTGATTGGCTTCTTTCACTGAGCGTAATAAAGTTTGACTATGTTGTAGCATGTGTCAGCACTTCATTCCTTTTTGTGACTAAATAATACTTCACTGTATGGATTTATCACATTTTATCTACTTATCAGTGGATGGACATCAGGTTTTTATTTCCCTTCTGTATATACACAGGAATGGAATTCCTGGGTCACGTCGTAACTTGATGTTGCTTTTTAAGGAACTGTCTGTTCCCCTTAGTGGCTACACTGCATTTTACATTCCCACCAGTAGTGTATGAAGAAGGTGGATAGTCATCTTAATTCTACTTTTGCATTCTCCAAAGAGTAATTGTAATACATTAGGTTTATCTTAAAGTATGATTGTTATTTAAAATAATGAGAGAAGTGGCAGTGTATTTTACATCAGACTCATTTTTTTCTTCAACTTTTATTTTAAGTTCTGGGGTACATGTGCAGGATGCGCAAGTTTTTTACATAGGTAAACATATGCCATGTGGTTTACTGCATAGATCAACCCATCACTTAGATACTAAGCCCAGCATCAATTAGCTATTCTTCCTGATGCTCTCCCTCCCCCCACACCTCCCACCCAACAGGCCCAGTGTGTATTGTTCCCCAGAAATGTGTCCATGTATTCTCATCATTCAGCTCCCACTTTTAAGTGACAACATACAGTGCTTGGTTTTCTGTTCCGCGTTAGTTTGCTGAGGATAATGGCTTCTATCCATGTCCCTGCAAAGGACATGATCTCATTCCTTTTTATGGCTGCATAGTATTCCATGGTATATATGTACCACATTTTCTTTATCCAGTCTATCACTGATGGGCATTTGGGTTGATTTCATGTCGTGGCTGTTGTGAATAGTGCTGCAGTGAACATACATGTGCATGTGTCTTTATGATAGAGTGATTTATAATCCTTCAGGTGTATACCCAGTAATGGGATTGCTGGGTCAAATGTTATTTCTGCCTCTAGGTCTTTGAGGACTTGCCACGCTGTCTTCCACAATGGTTGAACTAATTTACACTCCCACCAGCAATGTAAAGTATTCTTTTTTCTCCACAACCTTGCCAGCATCTGTTGTTTTCTGACTCTTTAATAATCACCATTCTGACAGGCATGAGATGGTTATCTCATTATGGTTTTGATTTGCATTTCTCTAATGATCAGTGATGTTGAGCTTTTATATCTATATTTGCTGGCCGCACGAATGTCTTCTTTTTAGAACTGTCTGTTCATGTCTTTGTTCACCTTTTAATGTTTTTTTTCTTGTAAATTTATTTAAACTCTTTGTAAACTCTGGATATGAGACCTTTGTCAGCACATCGGACTCATTTTAAATAAATTTATGATTTTGTATGTAATATATCATTTTTATTTTTGTTTTTCATGGCTTTATTTAGGTATAATTTACATGTATCCAGCAATTCATCCACTGCAAGTGTTCAGTTGGAAGGTTTTGAGTCAATGCACTCAGATGTTGCAGCCATCACCACAGTCCGGCGTTAGGACATTTTCATGTCTTCACAGAGTCTTTCATGCCCATTTCCAATCTCTGTTCTCCTCTCCTGCCCCAGGAGGTGATCTGCTTTCTCTACATACAGTTCAGCTTTTTAAGACATTTCATATATAAATGGAATCATACAATATAGATATCTTTTTGGAATCATACAATATAGATATCTTTCGTATTTAGCTTCTTTCACTAAGCATTAAGTTTCTGAGGTTCATCCTTGGTGACGTGAATCATTAGTTCATTCCCTTTTTTTGTTGGTTACACTTTATGCTTGCCTTTAATAGTTGATGGGCATTTGTTTTGTTTACAGTTTTTGGTTATTATGATTGATGCTGATATCACCATTTGTAGACAGATTTTTTGTGGACATATATTTTTCATTTCTCTTAGGTACTCCAGTGTACAATTAGTGGGTCATTGCAAGGTTATACATTCATGTATGTTTAACTTTTTGAAAAACCACCAAACTGTTTTTCAAGTGGTTATGCCATTTTTACATTCTCACCAGCAATGGAGGAGAGTTTCAGTTTCTTCCTGTCCTCCCCAACCTTTGAGTTTTTTCAGTCTTTTTTTTTTTTAATATAGCTATTCTAGTGAGTGTGTAATGTGATCTCATTGTGATTTTACTAGTATTTCATGTCTTTAGTGGATGACAATGAGCATCTTTTTATGTGTTTACCAAACATTCACATGTCTTCTTTGGTGAAGTACCTTTAAATCTTTAGTCCATTAAAAACAATTTGGTTAGTTTATCTTATTGCTGACTTCAAAGGGTTTTAATATATGCTGTATAGTATATCTTCATCAGTTATATGATTTGCATATATTTTCTTCCATTCTGTGGATTATCTTTCAATTTGATGACATTCCATTTTTAATTTTTTTAAATGGATTGTGCTTTTGTTTTCTTATTTAAGGAATATTTCTGTAACTTAAGGTCATAAGAGTTTATCCTATTCCTTCTTCTAGAAGTTGTGTTTTAATTTTTACAATTCAGACTATAATCCATTTTTAGTTATTTTTGTATGTTGAGAGATACAGGTTTACACTTAATTATTTATTTTCACATATGGATATCTAACTGTACCGCACCATGTATTAAAAAGACTATTATTTTAATTGCAGTGGCATATTTGTCGAAAATCAAATGACTATGAATGGGAGTTTATTCTGGACTCTATTCTGTTCCATTGTCTATATGTGTATCTTTATAGCAGGACCAACACTGTTGGTTACCATATAGATTTATAGTATGTTTTGAGATTAGATAAGTTTAAGTCCTGCAGCTTCATACTTTTTCAGAGTTGTTTCACTATTCTTGGTATTTTATACTTTCATATATATTTTAGGACCAATTTCTAGAAAAAGATTACGATGGCATTTAGGTAGATCAGTGTAGGGAGAATTGACGTCTTAGTAATATTGGATCTTTCAATCAACTGAATCTTTGTTCCAATAAACAAGTCTTCTTTAATTTCCCTCAACAGTGTTTTGTAGTTTTGAGTGCACATGTTTTACTCCTGCCTCTGCTTCCCAAAGTGCTGGAATTGCAGGCGTGAGCCACCGTGCCTGGCTGCGTTTCTTATATACTGGCAACAAACCATCCAAAAATAAATTCCATTCAGCCACAAGAGTAACAAAAAGAATAAAGCTTAAGAATAAATTTAATGGCCAGGTGTGGTGGCTTATGCCTGTCATCCCAGCACTTTGGAAGGTCTAGGTGGGTGGATCACCTGAGGTCAGGAGTTCAAGACCAGCCTGACCAACATAGTGAAATCCCGTCTCTACTAAAAATACAAAATTAGCCAGGCATGGTGGTGCATGCCTGTAATCCCAGCTACTTGGGAGGCTGAGGCAGGAGAGTTGCTTGAACCTGGGAGGCAGAGGTTGCAGTGAGCCAAGACTGCATCATTGCACTCCAGCTTGGGCGACAGAGTGAGACTGTGTCTCAAAAAAAAAAAAAAAAAAAAAAAAAAAAAAAAAAAAGAAATGCAGTTGTTTGTGGATCTTGTCATAAACCTTTCTGAACTTTTTTTTATTAATTATTTTGGGTTTCTTGTAGAGTCCTTAGAGTTATTGGCAAGCAAGATCATGTTACCTGCATATAAGGATAATTTTGACTTCTTTTTCAGTCTATCTATCTTTATATTTGTTGCACTGAGTAGACATCAGATATCCTTGTCTTCTTCAGATCTTAGGTGGGGAAAGCATTCAGTCTTTCACCATTAGTATGATATTAGTTGTAGGCAATTATCTTAGAAAGGAAAGATTGTTTTAACACTGAAACAATTAATATAGTAATTATATATATTATAAATATAATAATATATTATTAATAGACTAAAAGACTAAAAACCCACATAAAAGAGTAAAAACTCACATGATTATCTCGATAGATACAGGAAAAATCATTTGACAAAATCCAACACATCAGTGATAAAAGCAAACAAAACTCACAAACTACACATAGGGAAGAGGGAATAGCAGCTGTATTATATACTACAGCTGTATAATAATTAATAGTGGAAGGTGGAATTTTTTCTCCGTAAAATGGGGACAAAGCATGAATGTTTGCGCTCACCACTTCTTTTCAACACTAGACTGGAAGTTCTAGCCATATTTTTTCTCATTGTAATGTTTATGCAGCCTATTTTGGAGCATGTGGAAATATTAAGGGAAAATAACCCCAACTCCTTTTCCTACCATCTAGAATATCACTGTTATCATTGTGTTCTCCGTCCCTTCAGTATGGTGTGTGTATATGTGTGTGGGGTAACACATTAAAAAACAAATTTGAGATCATCCTTTATGCTCACATCTCTGACCTAATTTGTTACCATTTTTTTCCTTGCTCATTACTACCTACTTTGGTCATCTCTCAGTTCCTTAAGCAGGCACGTCCTTTGCATACACTATTTCTTTTATTGGAAATTCTCTTCACTTTATTCTTTGTATGACTAGGGCCTTCTCAGCTTAAATGTCATTTTCTCAGAGAAGCTTTTGCTTTTCCTTATCACTTTATGTAAAATAGCTTCCTCTCTACCTCTTGCTTTGTTTGAAATCTTCAATTATTTTATTTTCTGTTTGCTTCTTTCCTGTCTCTTTCCCATGGGAACTGTGTTCGTCTTATTCATGTTGTAATTCCAACACCTAGCATAGTGTCTAGCCTTCTAATTTGTTTAGCAATTTGTTCAACTCAGATGAATAGTATCTTGCTTTCTTAGCATTGTATTGTGATAATTTTACCACATTATTAAATAAATGGATCTTTGAAAACATCCATTTTAAAGATTGTATAATATTTCATAATATAATTATGATGAAGTTATTTAAAATTTTCTTATTCATTAGACATGCTTCTTTTGTCATGATTCAGAACACATCTGGCATATTCAGTTTCACTGACTTGAACTGAAGGCTAATTTACTCACTTATTAATATAGGAAAACTTTAAGTATTAATGTTAGAGTAGTTTATTTTGTGTTATCTTTTGTTGGTTTTATTTAAATATTCTTTTAATTTATCTTTTGTGTGGTCATATATTTGTCTCAGAAGGAGAGTGTCTTAGTAGAGACCAACCATTAACATAAACAATTCTAGAATGTGACAAAATATCAAATACACATTGTGGGCTCGGAATACTTTTAACTTTTTACATGGAAAATGTAGGCTCATTAAGTTCATATGCTAGTACCAAGTATTTTGCATTACCTGAATTGAGACCATTGTAGATGAACAGTAGTAGGGAAAAATCAGAATTTATTTTCCAGAGAACTGTCAAGGCCCTGTCTTTTTCCAAAATACTGGGATTTGAATTCCACCTCAGTCTCTTATTGACTTTGTGATTTGGGGTAACTTAAACCCAGTTTCCTCATCTACAAACTGGGGATAATAATAATCACCTTACAGGGTTTTTTTAAGATTATATCTGTAAAAGGCTTATTGTTATGTTTGAGACATAGTAATTGCTCATTAAACTATAGTTATCATTACCTGTTAAGTCTCTTAGTTCTAGGAGTGTTGGTAAGAGTAGTAGCTGTAAGGATTCCTCATGGTGTCATCAACAGATAATGACCAGTTCATTAATAATGTTCCTCTAAGTTGGGCACCGTGGTGCACACCTGCAGTTCCAGCTACTTGGGAGGTTGAGTCGGGAGGATCATTTGAACCCAGGAGTTTGAGACCAGCCTGAGCAACATAGCGAGATCCTCGTCTCTAAAAATAAAAATAATAATGATAATAGTAATGTTCCTCTAGAGATATTTCCTTTTACCCTTCTCAGGAGTTGGTGGTTTTCTTTATAGAATATGCCAGTTTGTAGGGTTTCTTATCTATATACACAGACCAAAAAAAGATTTAGCCCACAAGTTCACATTTTAAAGTTCCAGTAATCAATTTATAGATTACTAGTTGCAGCATTCTCTTTCCTTCCTTCCTTCCTTCCTTCATTCTTTTCTTTTTCTTTCTTTTCTTTCTTTCTCTTTTCTTTCTTTCTTTCTTGTCTTTCTTCTTTTCTTTCTTTCTTTCTCTCTCTCTCTCTTTCTTTCCTTCCTTCTTTCCTTCTTTCTTTCTTTGACGGAGTCTCGCTCTGTCGCCCAGGCTGGAGTGCAGTGGCGCGATCTTGGCTCACTGCAAGCTCTGCCTCCCAGGTTCACACCATTCTCCTGCCTCAGCCTCCCGAGTAGCTGGGACTACAGGTGCCCACCACCACACCCAGCTAATTTTTTTATATTTTTAGTAGAAATGGGGTTTTACCTTGTTAGCCAGGATGGTCTCGATCTCCAGACCTCATGATCTGCCCATTTCGGCTTCCCAAAGTGCTGGGATTACAGGTGTGAGCCACTGCGCCCGGCCAGCATTCTCAAATATAGTTATGGGTACTTTCTTGTTCCAACTTTAAAATAAAAGGTTATAATCTTTTTTCAAGAAGGAAAAAAGGTAATTGAAAACTGAACAGTTAAATTCTACTGGAATTTCAGTGAGTTGGTAGATAATGTTGATAACGGGAAGATGGGCGTGCCTTGAGTATTACTTCAGAGACTGGGGATTGGAGACTTCAGAAATTCCCGAGGTCCCTACCACATTCTAATAGGAGTACTCATGTAATTACACATATGGTTATTGTTAAGTTGATGTGTGAATCACATCCTTCTAGGTATATATAATCAGGGCAAGTGATTGTTTCCTACTCTTCTTAGAATTCCTATCTGAATTTATAGTCAAGATTTAATTGAGTCCAAGATCTATAATTTGGGGCATATGACTTAACCAGCCCTGCTCAGTATCTGTTGCTCCTCTATGAAATGGAATCTCTGCTCATTTCACCGAGTTGTGAAAATCAAATACAGTCATGTCCATGATAGCATTTTGTAACTGGTAAAGCATTACTCACTTAATGATGCTCCCATTTATGTGTCAGACCTGTCTCTTTCCCACAGCTATTTAGTAGGGTGCTGCTGGTGGCCGTGTGATAGCTCAGAACTACATCTGTATTGTGCACTGCCTCTTAGGAGTTTTATACTTGTATTAGGGAGTGGAAAATTTTAGATTTTTTCCTATTTGCATCATTTTATTTGTGGTGTTTGTTAGAAAAATAATATGTATGTATTTACTGTAGAGAAATTAGAAAATGCAAATCAGCAAAAAGAAAAAATAACAATTACCTCTAAATGCAGAAATAATTACTGCATTTACTTTTGTTTAAAACAAAAATTCAATTATGCTGAAATAATGTTGTTTCCTGTTTTTATCACTTATATAGTATATAATTTCATATAATTTAATTTTCTTGTATAATATTTTAATGACTACATAATATTCCATGATGTAATATACTGTAGTTTATTTAACTATTTCTAATTTTTTCATTTTGACGTTTTATGGCTGTATACAATGTACTGCACAAATATAATAATATGTATTTTGAACATCCTTATGGCTAAATATTTACACCTATCCTCCATGATTTTTTTAATTAGGATAAATCTTAGACATGGAATTGCTGCATCAACGGACATATAACATGTTAAGGCATTTAATTTTTGTTACAGTTTTATCGAGGTATAATTGATGAATAAACTGCACATATTTAAGGAACAATCTGACAAGTTTTGACATGTGTGTACACCTGTGAAACCATCATCACCATTAAGATGATATTTCTTTGTAATCCCTCCCTTGGGCATCCTTCATCCCCAGGCAACCTCACTGATCTATTTTCTTTCACAATAGATGAATTTGCGTTTTCTGGAATGTTATCCAAATGGAATCACACAAAATATGTTTCTTTTTGTCTGGCTTCTTGCACTCAGGGTAATTATTTTGAGATTCATCCATATTTATTTTCCGTATGTGTTGTGTGTATTCTGTTTTGATACTGAGTAGTAAAATTATATTGTATGGATATACCATATGATTCATTCACCTATTGATGGGCATTTCAGTTGTTTCCAGTTTTTGACTATTAAAAATAAATCTACTTTGGGCATTGTTGTGTAAATCTTTTCATGGATATATAGGGCATTTGATATTTATTACCAATTTTTTTGCTGCAAAGATTACATACTTGGTATTTTGAAACTGAAAAAGTTCCATATAAGAAAACTATAGCTATTCTTTTTTTTTTTTTTAAGAAATACACGTTTAGGAGGATTTATAATTTTTTGTATGTAAATTAATTAATTTAGCACAGCACGCTAAGAAATTTGAAATTAACAAAGGTTAATAAACACATCCTAGCAACTATAAACCTTTTTCACAGCTTATTTTGTTGAAGCAGCTACTTTTATCGATTATTACCTAGAAAGCAGAGATCTATTGCTTTCTGTTAATGAACCAGCATTCATAAACAATTGATATTTTTCTGTCAAATGACTACTTTTGCATTGAACTTGAACAAGAAAAGGTAATGGGATAAGTTGAACTTGATCAAAAGGTATTCCAGAATCTGGTTTGGAATAGATGCCAAACTATCTTTTCCCTCTTGTTAAGATGCACACTTGACTGAAGGAGGACAGGGAATCTGAAGACTCCGGATGACATCAGAGCTACTTTTCAACAGCCTTCTCAATTTTCTTTCTCAGAAAGCAGAGGCTCAGAGCTTGGAGACAGACGGTGAGAATATTTTTTTCCTGAGTTCTTAAGGCTTAATCATTATGACTTTAATATATTTCAGACAATTCTTTCTCAGTTATAAATTAGCTTATAATTCAAAATATGTATTATGTACTTCATCTGTGCAAGTTACTTCATCAGGCAATGTGGTTTAAAAAATGAAAGAGCTACAATCCTTCCTTTAAGGAACTTATATGGAAAGAATAAATGTAGATAAATAATGTAATCAAACAGTAAAAGAGGTTAAATGCTGTAAGAGAAATGGAGAAAAATATTCTTGAGAATTCAGTGTGTAGATTACTTCTGGAGAGAGGAATTGGAAAGCTTGAAAGAAGAAATAGTATTTTTGTTGACAACACTTAATTCGATTTATCAAAAACCAGAGAAAATGGACAGTTAATACAAATCCTACAATAGCAATCCCTGATTTCAGATAAAAAGTTAATTACCGTTTTGAGGAAAAATAGAAGCATGTTTGATTATTGTGTGTTTATTATAGTATAGGCCAGTGATTACTTTTGGAATTATTAAAATTCCTCTTACAAAGGAAAGAGCATTATTAGTATTTCTGAGAAATGATAAAGTAATTGGATTAAATTAACACAAGTAGGTGGGCAGAGCAACAAAAAAGACGATGAGCAAGTGGTTAATTCTACTTGGATTAACACTCCTGTTTTCTAGTATAGCTACAACCTAAATGAATTTGTCATGTCTTAAGCTCTTGGACCTTATGCTGCTTATTTCTGGGAAGGAGAAATCCAAGTGAACTAGGTAAAGGCATAATGATTGATTATTGTGCTCATAATCCGTTGTGAATAGTTCAGTTTCATCTAGCTAACTGAAAAACTCTGGTCAAAGAGAGAGAGCAGATACAGCATGCTGAAATTCACCATGTTTTACCTGACCACAGTGTTTCAAAAAGGGAATGGCAACTTTGAGCCAAATTTGCTCTTTACCTGTAGGCCTCATATGGATAATCCTAACTGCTTTTTCTTCACTATTCTGATAATGTTCAGAAAACCTAGTAATGAAGTTATTTTAATCACCCACTTAAATGCTTAGCTTTTCTTGTAATTTCATCAAGAAAATCTTTAAAATGTTATTTTTTAAAAGACTGCATAAAATTACTAATAATTATTTGGTTGCAAGTCACTTTTCGTATATTCATTTATATTTTACTTATAATTGGAATTTAAAATCAATGACGCAATTATTTGTAAATACTAAAATTTTTTTATTCAGATATAATTAGGTGTTAATCACTGGTTGGCAGTCTGAAATCTGCTTTTATATTTGATGAAACAGTTGATATTGAACCCCATTTCTGAACTTCTAATTCTATTAAAATTAACATTATAATCATGCATATTCCTGTGACCGCCCCGCCACAAGATATAATTGGTTTGTTGTTGTTCTTAATTTTCAACACCTTTGTTTTACCACATAGCCAGAATGATAAGCAATGCTCACTGGATCCAACTAGGAGTTGGATAAGTAAATTATAGGTAGCCATCTGGTAAATATACACAGCCAATGAGTTGTTCTTAGAAAATTGTCAAATTTAGATTTTTCTTCCAGATTAAAAAAAAAGACAGCCAGGCATGGTGTCTCACACCTGTAATCCCAGCACTTTGGGAGGCCAAGGTGGGCAGATCATGAGGTCAGGAGTTCAAGACCAGCCTGACCAGTATGGTGAAACCCTGTCTCTACTAAAAATACAAATATTAGCCAGGTGTGGTAGCGCGTGCCTGTAGTCCCAGTTATTTGGGAGGCTGAGGCAGGAGAATCACTTAAGTCGGCAGTCGGGGTTGCAGTGAGCCAAGATTGTGCCACTGCACTCCAGCCTGGGTGACAGAGAAAGACTCCGTCTCAAAAAAAAAAAAAAAAAAAAAAAAAGACATTATAATGTATAGTGAACAACTTTGAAAACTAAAAATTTATAAAAACAAATTACTGATAGTGATTTTCTATATTCCTTTCACATATTTTTAAACGTTTTTAGATTTTAAAGATGATTATGTCAAATGTGTTTTTTCTAAAACGTGTTGTGTTAAATATGTTTTCCTTTTAAATGAACAGTCCATGGTCAAATAAGCTTGGGAGATGTTGGGTCAAAGTATAGAATGTCTTTTCAATATGCCTTTCATTAACCAGTGGACTGTGTCTCCAAAAGGAGGATCTGGTATATCTCAGGAGATGAGTATTTGACAAGTTGAGGATTCTAAACTAATGTTTTATGAGGTTTTTACTATAGTTTGTCTTACCCTGCAAAACACTCATGTTATATTTTTAAGTATAGTAATTTTTTTTGACTGAAAGCTCAAAGATAATGATTGGGAGGAAAAAGGATGTAATTAATTGAATATTGCAAACTAAATAAAGAATGAAGTGTTTAAAAAGCCTTTCAGTGTCTTAGGCCATGTTTCCCTTGCTATTTTGTTAGCTCCTTCTTTTGAAAGAGATACAATCATCATATTGAGTAACTAACAAAATTAATTCACCCTTTTTTATATTTTATAGGACTTTATATACTTTCTGTGCTGTTTATCTCAGTGTATAATATTTATTAGCTAATTTTGATAAAATTGCTGATACAAAAACAGAGAATATTTTCGGTAGTGTTAACTAAATGACCATAAATCAATTTAGCTTAAACACTTGAATATACTAATTTTCTCTAATGGAATTTTTATTGTTATATGTCATGGTTTTCCACTAGGACGAGTTCTCTATTGTACTTTTTTCTAGTTTGATTAAATTTTTGACAACTATGGTAGAATAGATGTCTTGAGTTTAAAACTTTCCTGTCAGACATAAAATATCTATATAAATTTTTTTTTAAAAAAGGGCCAGTACTCTGGGCGTGGTGGCTCACGCTTGCAATCCCAGCACTTTGAGAGGCCGAGGCGGGCGGATCACGAGGTCAGGAGATCGAGACCATCCTGGCTGACACGGTGAAACCCTGTCTGTACTAAAAATACAAAAAATTAGCCGGGCGCCATGGCGGGCGCCTGTAGTCCCAGCTACTCGGGAGGCTGAGGCAGGAGAATGGCGTGAACCCGGGAGGTGGAGCTTGCAGTGAGCTGAGATCGCGCCACTGCACTCCAGCCTGGGCGACAGAGCAAGACTCCATCTCAAAAAAAAAGTGCCAGTACTGATGAGCTGGGTTACGAGGTTGGTAAAGTAGGCTAATTGTATACATGGAATGCCTGTCCAACTTCATAAAACACTCCTCAAAGTCATATTTTTTTTTATTTGTTTAAGAAATAACTCTTTGTAAAATGTGTTTAAACTTTCACACCAGATTTTTAGTAGAAACGTGATGCTGGTGAAAGAAAGATCAATTTATAATCTGGGTGAGTTGTCCTAGTTGGAATTAATTGCCGTAAACCAATTTGGCCTTCTCACTAGTGTTTTCCTGGCCTTGTGGATAACCCTGGTAAGAAAATCTGTATGCTTGGCTCAAATGAATCATTGTTAGTTTCCAGCATTGCTTCCATCCACTCTTAATTCCCTTTCTCACAGCCAGCCATCTTCGTTCAGAGTCTTATCATTTCTCATCTGGAGCTCTTGTGCTGGCAGGCCTGTTTACTGACATCCTTGTTCGAGTCTTTTACAACCACCAGATCTTCCTAAAACTCCAGCTTGCTTGTGTTACTTGTCTGATCAAAAATAATGTAGCAATTGCAATAGCATAATGAACATAGAAAAGTAATAGACCTTCCTTAATCCTAACTTACTGTTACTATGGGAAACATTAATACAATTAACATTTTTTTAATTTGGTATCTTTAAATAATTGACTTTTCCTTAAGTCTTTTACTTAGTATCTTAATTGATATAACTTACGTTGTTTGGGGAGGAAGATCCCTACTAGACTAAGCCTCCATATCAACTCAGATTTTATAAAGTCGCTATATGCGAAGCCTCCATATCAACTCAGGTTTTTTTTTTTTTCCTTTTCCATGAAAGGTTTCAAATGAAGGAATCAAAATAATTTTAAAAGTGTTGATCAAACTGTCAATACACTTTCTCTTCTTACACAGACCCTGGTCTTTTTTCACTGAAATTAACTGTTGTGAACCTGATAGTCTCCTTGATTCTCTGCTACATTTGCCCTTCAACCATGTGGCCTGTGGTTTGCATATCTGAAAATTTTCTGATTCTAACGTCAGAGCTTATGCATTTTATTTAGATAACTAGAATTTCTTCATTCTGGATTAGAGGTATATGAGTAATTTTCAAACCTCGCTTGCTTCCTTTTTGCATTTATTTATTTAAAAAAATGTTCATAGTACAGTCTATGTAAGCTTCTAGCTTGAAGCTTTGTCTCCTGCTGTTGCCGCCCCTCTCTGCACCTCCTCCCCACCTGCCATCTTCTAGCCTGTCCTCCAAGCTAGTGCTTCTCAAAATATCTGCAGTAAAGGCCAATAATTTGTTTGTCTGTTTCTATTTTATTTTTTTTAGTAACTCACTTTTATTGTCTTTTTAAAAAGCTATATGACAGAAGTTTTTAGCAAGACTACAAAATCTAAGTCCACATCTTTCATCATTAAATTTAATTATAACTTTTATAGAACATGCCATCAAATTATTTTGTCATGTTCTATAAAAGTTTGTCATTACTGGCAATTTTTATTCTTGGAGGTGATTACTTAAAGTTTCTAGAACATACTCTATGCCATTGTGCTTCCTGGACTGGGCTTATGGTCCTCCTACTTTCTGAAGAATACTGAAGCTTCTTTTCTAATTGAGAAAGCCTTGTTTGTCCCTAGAGTCAGTTCACATGCAGCCTCTGTAGAGAACCTTCACTAAAAATGGTGTTCCCTGCCTTACCACTCAGTCTTCTTCCAAAAATTGTGTCTTTCAGTGCTTTCTCCACTTTGTCCATGCCATCTTTTTAGTAGCATCTCACTATGTTGTTGATCTGTTTTTTCCCGATGAGATTGTGAGCCCACTAAGGGCTGGTTTATCACTTAGTTATCCTTATAACTTCAGCTCTTAACAACATAGCAGCTTCTTTATAAATATTTGTACATTTGTTACTCCTTGTATGGTAAATTCAGAATAATAACGACTCTAGAGATGGGAGATTTTTCATATCCTCCTTAGTTTACTCATCTTTTTAGAAAGTTCTTTCTTTTCTTTCCTCGTCTTGGTCTTAGGGACATTCTGCACAGAGAACAATATTTATCTGCCATAATTATAGTGGAAATTCTTGAAATTAGAAGAGATTATGTTTGAAGAAAACCAACATTGTACTTTTCAACTATTAATAGCAGCAGCTTTCAAACTTTTTGCTTTCAAGACAACTTTATATTCTTAAATTATCAAGGACCCAAGAGAGCTTTTATTTATGAGATTCATATCAACTGATGTTTATCATATTAGAAATTTAAACTGAGAAAAAATTTAAAACAAGAGTTACACAAGGATGCATTCCATGTATATAGCCTCTAGACAACTCTACTGTACACTTATGAAGGAATGATACCAAAAGCCAGATAACATTTAGTAGTATGAAAGTAGTCTTTTCTTCATGTGCCTCCTGAATGGGTCATGGCCACCCCTGGCATCCTTGGACCACCCTTTGAGGACTGCTGTATTATGGCAATTCACTTGTCTAATTGCGAACAGAATCTTCTATATTTTTATTCCAATAATGTTAACCTTGCTTTTGTGTTTGTAGACTAATAAGTTTTTTTTTAATAACTGCACGGTGTATCATATTACCCACTTTTCTATTAATGTCTAGACCTAGAATGTGCTGAAACTTACTGCCAGCGTTGGCTTGGCAGCTGTAAGACAGAGATGCTTACTCAAGGAGAAGTCATTTTATTTGTGGATACTCAGTAAGGTCATTCCTAGTTTTGCCCTGTCAATTTTCCCCCTACCCCGGCTTTCAAGTCCTCTTTATGATTTGTGTACCTTCTAATACTTCTTCTACGGTGATTCGCCCAACTCTAGAGGTTTGGTCGTTTAAAAAAGTTTCACAAAATGAAGTTGATGTGTTATTTTGCAGGATTGAGTAGGCTTCCCCTCAAGTCTTTCCTTCTCTCCTTTGTGTGACCTTCCCCTCCACTTGCCTCAACCTGATCCCTGATGCTGGCGGTCCTTTTCTGAGAGTACAGTCTGCTCTCTGGCAGATATTTACTTGGCCCTGGTGACTCCTGTTCTGTTTTACTCCCTACTCTCTTACCTTGGCTGATACTCTGTTAAATTCTTTCTGAGGTCTCAGCGGGACAGTCAGTCTCTAGAGTATCTGACGACGCTCTTCAAATTACATTGGTGCTGGGTCTTCCCTGAGGGTTCTGGGAATGCGTTGTGTACCTTTCAGCTGGATCGGAATACCAAGATGGCTGCTAGTTCCGACACTTGATTTACTGACAGCTTCATACTGTTTTTACTCGTAGTGTTTTTATTGTGTGATGATGTCATGCAAGCTGGAATTTGAGGACTTGATATCATTATGAGTGATCATCTAAAAACATGAAGCTGATAGAATGTTGGGTAGTTTTTATTTTTTAATTCTGTGTCCTAAACGTAGTCGGGACTCAAGAAATGTTTGCTGAGTTAATTTTTTTTCTCATTAGCGTTGGATAGAACTCTTAGCTCCAAGAACCACATTATAATTTAAGTCGGACATCTCTGTCTTATAGCCAAGGGAAATACGCTCTCACACTGTTCTGAAAAGGTACATGTCACTGTCTTAGCAAAACCCTTACCTAATACTTAATGAAGGTTGATAGTTCAAAGTACAAAATTCAGACTTCAAACAGGATCTGATTCTGCCTCTTTAAAGCACCCCTGTAAGAATTACTACTTTTTTGAAACTTTGTAGAAATCATTTTTTTAGCACAGTGTTTATCAAACCTAGGCTTGAGATATAGTAATTATTTTTATCGTTTTTATCTTTGATTCAATAAAGTTGCTATGAAATAACACCCTATCTTATAGCACTGTTTATGTTAAACAAATTGGTTTTTAAATATTCAAAGCAGCCTTCATTGTTTCCAGAGCTGTCTTTTTCTTCAACTCTCCTGCCTTTGCCTTATTTTGACCATGGCAGTGCACTAACTGATCTACAGTTTCTTCTTCCCTCCAAGCTATCAACAACTCCCATAGCTTCTGGTTTTGTTTTTCTAATATGCTTTTAATAATACCATTGCTTGTAAGGAAACCCACCAGATAAAGGCCAGCTTCTTGGCATGGCCTTGATTCAAAGTCCTTGGTCCCAGTTGCATTTCCAGCCTAATCTCCACTCCCATTGGACTACCACACTTCCTGTGTCACACTCAGCTCTTCCTTGCCTTTGAGTGCTATTTCTGGACCCTAGAATGGCTGCCATTCTCTTCTGCCTGGCTAGCCCTTACTCATTTTTTAACCATCACTGACTACCACCTGCATGTGTACATATGAACTAAAAACCTGGTTACAGCCTATCTGTGTTCCTAGAGCACTTTTTACATATTTCAGTCATTGCATTTAGCACAGTATATACTCTCTCTCCTTTGGCACAGAGACTAAGGAAGAAAATCACCGGCACTGTGCACTCTCGGGTCTTATTTACTCACTAGGTGTTATTACTCTGTCCTTTTCCTGTCCTGTTCAGGAAAACATACCTGAATCCAAGTGAGTGAAAGTGTGGTTATCACCCAAGTTATCTTGAATTTATTTAGTCTGTTTTTTTAAAAGGGAATAATTTGCAACCTCTTAGACCTTATTAAATTCTGTACTTAACACTAAATACTTACACTAAATACTCTTTAGAACTAATCATGACATACCTTATATCTGATGATGACAAACCAGCATGTTATAGATGGAGACACACTGATTTTAGCATATATTGTGATTTAAGCATTACAGCTGTTTGTTCCACCAGACTATTTATTTCTTGAAAGCCAGGACTATTTTATTCACCTTTTTCCTTTTGTTGTTCTAGAGTAATGATTTAAACATTTGCCTACTTTAGCTACTAAATTAAATTTTGAGAGCATTGCCAGGGAAGAATCAAACACCCTCTACTGGCATTAATACTTTCTCTTTTGGCCCATGCACTGGTAATGCTAAAACATCAAATGTCATGCTGATGTTTTTATAACAAGACCGAGATTGCTTTACCTTGTTTTACTTGTGTTACTCACTATTCTAATGATTTTTTTTTTCCGTCTTAAGAATGTATTCATCATGTTGGGAATAAGAAATTTAGTAAACATGCTATAATGTAATTTTCCTTACCTGTAATTTTAGTAAGCTATATGCAGTATGCGTGAAGTTTGTGACTTAACCAACTAAAACCATGTATTTTTTTTTAAAAATGAAAATTCTAGAGATAAATATTGATGGAAATATTTTTTAGTCTTAACCTGTGACTGTGCTACAAATCTGAAAGATACAAATAGAGCTTTAAGTTTTACATTCACTACACTGAAATATAGTCAAGAAAGAATTCGACCTGAATTCTTTAATAAGCACAATGGAAGGGTTGTTTACTTTTGAGAACTAATAACTGCCCCATTCTTTGTGATTGTCTGCTTACATAATTTGTTATAAAAGAATGCTTCTAGGTAAACCCTCTCTCCAGAATGCTGGTGGTTTGTTCTATTCTGCTTGGGAAGGGTTAAGAGGAGACAACATCCTGTCAAAGACCTTGTTTTTAATTTTGCTTCTCACACTGGCACAGATCCTGCTAAGAGCAGCCCAGATTAGTTCGGAAAACCTTTGAAGAGATTTAAGATGTCCTTCAGCCAGTTTGAAGGTTTTTGTCTTGCAAATCCAGTACAAGGGCGCCTGCAGGCATCTCGACCCTTGCTGTGCTGCTGATGCAGCTCAAGGTCACACTAACCCGCCCTGTGACATTCAACAACAACAAAAAAATTATGCGGTGAAACTGCCTCAGCGTTCAACCAACCAACAACTTCCTTTAGTGAGGAACTGAGGAAGAAGACTTTTTTACCCCCCTTTTTCTTCTTTGGGGGGCTCTGTGAATTTTTGCTGTAGGAAATAATCCCGGATTTCTGGTGTGTGTGATGACAAGGTCATCTCTTAATTAGAACACATGTAAAGAACAAAGCTAAATGGCTTCAAAACAGCTTTGTAGTTGATGGAGAGGATTTAAATTATTTAAAGAGATAGTCACCCATGTATGATGGAAGCTGAATTCTAAAGGCATTAACTCCTTCATTCCTATCTATTTGTCATTGCTTTGAATTCCTTATGTCTGACTTTAGAGGGTTGCATTCTAAACTTAAGAGAATTTATAAATGCCCAGTTTTTAAATGATGAAATATAATTTATAAATCAAATTCTCAGATAAACTTTTCATGGAGAAGTTTTCTCCCCATGACATCTATCTCCTAGAAACATTATCACATGGCTGGACTTAGGAACTAGGAGTTACACACTTTTCCCTCTGGCAACTGTGATTTATTTATAATGTGTTGGAGGTGGGTGAGTAAAGTGCTTCTTTATTGCCTCACCTTCTCTCTTCCTCACTTTTATCCATTTGTGATTTAGAAGTCTAGTTAAGCAATTTTCTCCTGCCTCTTTAGAAATAACAGCACGTATCATTCAGGTTTCTCAACTTTCAAAGAACTGATGTAGGAAGACCATCTTTTTTCTATGGAAAAAAAATTAATCTTAGTTAAAAATGGACTTTAAGAAAGTTGTTTCTGAACATGCATGACATTTTAAGGCACAATGAAACCATGTCCATGAACACTCGGTAGCCATATTGGATCTGCTCCCCTTGGTGGGGCTTGTTTCCCCATGTTCCTCCTTCACTGCCTGCGAATGTTAACTACCAAATAAATTAGTTGGACAAAGTCCAAGTGCATTGGCTTTCTGTGCTTGAGACTTAATGTATATCACCTCTGCAGGATTGGAGCAGAACAATCTAAGAGAGTAATTTTGTGGTTGATATTTTCTTTATGTGTATTATGTATAGAAGCACACATGGCAGTTATTTTTTTATCCACAAAATGACATTGTGTAGAGAAAGTTACCTTCAACATTATGATATTAGCAAAGCAGTTTTCTCAGAATTTATACCCAGTTGCTTTTTGACTGAAGTAGAATCAGGACAAGTACAATATTTTAAGTGTGATGATTTAAACTGATATTTTGGATTTTGTGGGCGACACTTAAGAAATTTGTTTGAGGGGATAACATGTTGGACTGTGTGAAAACAAGTTAGAATGAACTAGACTTATTATTCTGAAGGATTTTTCTCCTATTGAGAAACAATTTTGGGGGTCCATGAAATGAAAAGGTGTGTATATTAAGATACATATTTTTAGGTATGGGTATTTTAAAGATCTCAGGTTTGCAAAAAGAAAATATTGGAGGGGAAATCTATATGTGAGGAAATGGTTAGTGTGATTCATTGCATCCTGCCCTTGCCTGGAGTCTGGTGTGCCCTAAATGTCATGTATGACCCAAGCTCACCTGCTAGTAATTTCTAATTTACTGTCCTAATTCATCGATTTGTTATCACTAATTGTTCTTCATTTACTTCTGTGTAGTTTCCAGTACCTAAAGGGTTGAAAGGTTGCTGTAATTGGCACCCGCAGCTGCTCTTTCTTTTGACAGGGGATAATTTTGCAGCCTATGCTTTGTGTGACAGCTGCCTAATTGGGCATTCTCCCCTTGTAGCAAGCCTGCCTCCTCCAGCCTCCCTGCTGACAAATGGTGGTGGATTATAGATGAGGACACGCTGACCCGTTCGACCTTGCTGAGACAGCGGGGAGGGGCCTCCTGCTACTTGAGGGAAGCTTTAGGTCATTTAGAGGACAAGGTCATGAGCCAGGTGGAGAAATGACATGATATAAGATGACAGTAGCCTGATGACATGGTCAGTGTGTCAAGGACAAATGCATCAGTATCGATTAAACATTATTGCAATACTTCATTGAGTCCCTAGTATTTCTTAATTGTTCCTACTGATTTTTTTTAAGAAATAGAAAAAGTGCAAAATGAGACACATGTATTTTAGCAGTGTTAAAGCAGTTGTTTACATGAAAACAGAACGGCTTAGGATGCCTCCTAATAAGTTTCTTCAGTTATTTTGAGTATTTTGTTCTTAATTTTTGCCTAGTTTGCAGCCCCTTAACTATCAATACTTTTCAAGAGTTATTTGAAAATTAAGGCAGGCAAATTAAAATGTGGCAATGTATGTTGTTAAAAAATATTTAACAACTTCTGTCATTCGCCTACTCAATGACTGGCATACCTTTTCATATTTTGAATAAAAGAAAAATAAGCCAAGTGAAAATGTCTAATTGAAAAGAACACCAGAACTCTAGATTTATAAGATTAACCATACCACCGTGATGCCATAATTATGAAGTGTTAAAGGTGCTTTTTAAATAATTGTTGAGACCTGAAAATATTTTTCAAATAGCTTGGGATTATTCATAATGTAAATACTTCAAGATACATGAAAATCTTTTGTATGTCTTATTACTGGTAATGCACATACTTTTCTTGGTAAAGTAGACTTGAGCTATTACAATATATTTTTAAGTGTAAAATCTGAAGAATCCATGCAGAGTCTATTAACCCTATGTTAATACCTGAAATGATAAATTCATGTAAAACTGCGCTGGATAGTACAATTAAGAAAAATGCCTAGTTTTAAAAATGGTTAACAGTTGAGTACAAAGAAGACTGATCATGATTCTCGTTTCTGGAAAAACAATTGTTGGGCACTGTTGAATCTAAGTCCTCAGTTCAACAGGAGGTAATTTTATGCCCCTGAGATTAAAAAAACGAGGCATGGTAAAGTGTGATGAATTAGTTCACCGAAGTAGACACATCTGTATTTTCATGGCACGTGTGTGTGCGTGGGTGCGTGTGTGTGTGTGTGTTTAATTTTGACCATGCTGTGCATGTGTTTAGCTGCTCTCAAACCCTGACTCAAGCTTGGTGGAGGTTTAATCCTGTGCCCTTGTACACGTATACTTGATTAGTAGTTGTGGTTATCTCAGCAGAAGACATACCGCCCTCCTCCTTGTATTGGTCGGGACCTGGGCATTAGGGAGTCAAGGCAAAGGAGAAAGAAAAGAGATTTTACATTAGTATTCTATGAAAGCCTTACGGTCTGCAGAACAAATTGATTACTCCGGTGTACCTGTGCTTGGCACCACTGCTGTGAGAGAAAGGTAGGGCCGTAATCTGTTTTATTGTATTGCATATTGTGACACTCCAGGAATATTCAACATGCGCTCTTTCTAGGGCACGTGCTGTAAGTCTAAGTAAAGAAAAAGGAAATAAATGAATGGAGAGTATGTGAGAGCAATGGGCTACAGCTTTGTTTACTTCAGTCCAAGAGAGTTCATTTGAATAAGATAATTTTACTGAAAGCGTCACCGGGAACATAACCTGATTGATAATGAAACCCTGTAAAGTGTTCTGAGGCACTAAATCTGCTTCCCTGCTTGAAACATGTGAGGCAGAGATGAAATTCAAGCTAGTACTGTAAGATTTTAACCATCAGATGGGAGCAGTCATGGAGGTGGTTATGGACATAGTTTAGAAAATTATTTTAAATTATCTTCAGTACATTATATTCTTAAAGATCCTATATAACATGGTGCAAAGGAAAGAGATTTTCATGAAAAAAAGAAAAGAGGTGGCCACTACACCACCTTGAACTATATTAAGAAATTAAGAAATGTGTTGTTTACTTTATTCTTCTGCTAGCTTGATTTGCATAAACATTATACTGTTTTATTCGGTTGTAGAAAAGGAAATTGCATATTTCTTATAATTTTTTTTAATTCTGTGATTGTTACTCAAATAGAGACTTGTAGTGTACAATTTGGGTTATTTGAGGTTACTTAATATGAAAGGAATAAATGCTTTAAGATTTTATAAAGTGATTAAAATATCTGTGATAGGGATTAGACTCCTGGGCATTTTTAGGCATTCTTAAAATGTGGTCATAGCTGCACTTTTTCGGTTGTGTATAAATCTGTACTGCAAGGGGAGAAAAGAAATTCCTCTTGTCCAAGCCTCTTGCCACATGTGAACTGCAGGTGCCCTTTTCCCTCTTCTGTCCCCATCCTGATCCTTCGATTACAATCAGAACACTTGATTTAGGAGAGAGAGGAAGCAAAATACCTCATACTAATACACTGATGAAATGAAAGTTGTTTCCTATTGTTTACTTTTGTATTCTTGAAACTAGTATATAGCTTTACATTTTTTAGATTACATTTCACTTCCATTTAAATGTGTGAATAAGTGTTCTGTATGTAGTAATTATACATCCTGAAGACATTCCGGAGATCTGTATAATCACAAGCTATAGACATTGGTCTAGACTGGCTTGCAGATACTTTTATAGAAAATGACCAAGTGAAGAAGCATTTTTAAGCACCTGTTAATAATAAATATATCACTCTGTGACATAAAAACATTGATTAAAATGAACTATTTGAGGTCATATTGTCTATAAAGGGGATGTTTTCAAAGAACTTTGGAACTCCCTTACAAAATTCAGACTATTAAATTTTGTTTCAATTGGATATAGGCATCAAAATTATTTGTACTGTATTTTTGTACACCTAGTTTTGTGGGTTTTTCTCTATTGAAAAAACATATCAGAAATTGTAGAGGAAAAGTAAACTATGGAACTAAAAATCAGAATATTTTATTTTTCAGAATTAAACATGTTCTTTAAACTCTTTTTACTTACAGTTTTTGATTTTGTAATTACTTTACAAATTTTGAAGATTTTAGAATCTTTCACTTTCTCAAAAGAAATACATGGCATGCACATGGTTAATAATTAGCCAAGTAAGATGGGGAAGTTAAAATAGGTTACCAAGTAGAGAAAATTGATATTTTCCTTTTTTTTTCTTATTTATTTATTTTTTGATGGAGTGGAAGATTGTTTTAACAGGAAAGGACTATATTTTGTTTACCAAAGTATCCACAGTGCTTAACACTGTACCTGGCATATAATAACTGCTTAATAAACATTTGTTGAACACATGAATAAGGAATCCTCAACCACCTTCCCCTCTCACCCACCCCGATACATTCCTTTCTTCTCTCTTGGCTATTTGTGGTTTCAATCTGTGCAGTGTTCATGGTAGTGAGTTTTTACATGAGTTGCTCTTTTGAAAGTACTCTAGGTATTGAAGAAACAGGAATCTCTCTGAATGGTGTTTATGGAATTGTTTTCCAGTCAGAGTAGTTCAAATGACTGAGTCTTAAAGTGTACTTCTTCCAAATGTGTGCTTTGAGTTCTTCTTCCCTTCAAATTGCCTCTATTCTTTCCCCTCATATGCAGATCTACTGTGTTGTTGAATTTTGTTAAGCTGTGAAATCTAATTCTTAGAGTTTCATCTTGTCAGTTTAGGTACATTATGCTTATTAACCAATATCAACAAATTATTTTAAACATCCAAGAAAATCACCAGTTAATTTTAGTCAGATATATCTAGGTACATTAAACTATAGAGAAAACAAACATTTGACATGTTATTATGGCTATTAATTTAAGCCATGAAATGGAAGACATTCATGAGAACAACTTTATGTGGGTGATACTTCCCTAAGTTCAGTAAATGAGCATGCAGTGTTACTTGGTATCCAGTGTTAGCTAGGCTTGGACTGGAGTTCTTGAGCAGTAGGAACCTTAGGAATTATTATAAAGAGTTCGTTTAACTGATGAGAACACTGGGCTTTAGGCAAGTTCCTACTTAGCCACTGTTATAAAACTGCTTAGGACCTGAGCCAGGGCTAAAACACAAATCATCTAGCTTTTAAAAAAGTGATTTTTTTTTTAACCTGGTATCAACTCTTTGTTCAATTTTATGCTTCTGAAATAATAATTGTTACGTTTATATTAGCCAAATTTTATTCCTGTAGCTGCAGTAAAGTTTATAACCAAATAGAACATAAATCAAAGCAAACTCATACACACAGAATTTTCAATTGCTCCCTATGGATGTGGACTCAGTAGACTTCCATGCCAAGAATGGGTGACAACATATTTAGTATTATGAAGAAAGGTATTAAAATTTGAGAAGAAAACTTTACATAAAATTACAGTGGCCAGGCATAGTGGTTCACCCCTGTAAGCCCAGCAGTTTGGGAGGCCGAGGTAGGAGGATTGCTTGAGCCCAGGAGTTCAAGATCAGTCTGGGCACCATAGTAAGACCCTATCGCTACTAAAAATTAAAAAATTAACTAGCTACTTGGGAGGTTGAGGCGAGAGGATTGCTTGAGCCCAAGAGTTCAAGGTTATGGGGAGCTGTGATTGAATTACTGCACTCCAGCCTGGACAACAGAGCACGAGCCTGCCTCTCTCTCTCTCTTTCTACGAGAGTTCACACTGGAATAAACTTGTGAATACAGTTGACCCTTGGACAATGTGGGGATTAGGAGTCCCAGCCACTGTGCAGTTAAAACATTTGCATATAACTTTTGACTCCCTCAAAACTTAACTACTGATAGCCTACTGTTGACCAGAAGCCTCACCAATAACATTAAAACAGTTGATTGACATGTATTTTATATGTTATAGGTATTATATACTGTATTCTTATGATAAAGTTAGCTAGAGGAAAGATGTCTGAAGAAAACTATAAGGAAGAGAAAATATATTCACTCTTTGCTAAGTGGAAGTAGATCATAATAAAGGTTTTATCCTCATCATCTTCACATTAAGTAGGCTAAGGAGTTGGTGTTGCTGTCTCAGGATTGGCAGAAATGGAAGAAAATTTGCTTATAAGTGGACCCACACGGTGCAAGCCAGCGTTGTTCAAGGGTCAACTGTAGCACATCACAAACACGTTATATAGTCTGTTGACATTTGGTATCTGTGGCAGTGTTTTCTTTAATAATATAGTCATGGCTTTGCAGAGGAAGGCAGCCAATTGAGTCTCTTGCCATGTGGGGACCACCAAGGGGCAATGCTTGCCTCCTTCAGTGATAATTAAATGCTGACTTTTCAAGAAATTCAAGAAATATTCTAATTCAGATTGTTCATGGAGAGATTAGACTCCTGGGATTGGAGCTGTGGTTTGCAGATAGGTCCCAGCGGTACATGTCAGATAAATATTCAGGTTAAAGACTGAGAAGGTCCATCCAAAATTCACATGCCTAGTTCAGGGTGCTGACAGACTTAGCTGTAGGTGGGTCAGGCCTTCAACCACATGGGCTACTCATGACTTGGTTTTATTTCCAGTAGAGAAATGAACAAGGAACTAGAGAAATGATCAGAAAGCCAAATTGACCAAACACAGAGATACTGGAGAAGCTGCTAGACAGTAGCAGTGTGGTTTGGAGACGTGGCTGTCTCATGCTCAAAATTAAGTTTATAAGCTTACAAGTCATAGGGATGGTGGTAAAGTGTTTCTAACCCTTTCCTTCCAATTACTGGAAAATAAATCTCCAGGCCTGGTTCTTTAGTTCAACAGTTGGGCAAAGTGTGCAAGCAAATTATTTCACCTCTTTACACCACAGTTTCCCCATCTGCAAAATGGGGATTATTTTAGTGTCTTCCTCTTTAGGTTATGAGGATTAAATGAGAAGACAAATGTATAATACCTGGAGTATATACAAATTATATATAAATTGTATATATAAATATATTTATGTGTATATATATAAATATAAAAATATATTTTTTCATATATATTCAAGGATAATATAAATGATATATATAATGATTATTTTTGTGGGTTTGTGTGTCTACGTGTAAGATTACCATGTCTTCTACTGACGTATTTTTTTATCCTGCTGTTAATAACAGACGACTTGACTAGGTAACCATAATATGGGAGCTGTATCCAACCATTTATGTCTATTTTTTACCTATTAATTTATTCTCAGTTTTTAACCTAGATAATGGTCTGTCACTTTAGTCATATTTTTTCCTCTCCCAAAGTATATATTCTTTGTCATGATCAGTTATGTGATTTTTATTTGTACCGAATTTATTAAAATATGTATCAAAAACTGCATACTTGTCAGTGATCACCTTTCCACTTAAAAGTATAATATGTCTGAAGGAGCTGTGAATCTCAGTTTAGAATTACAATAAATGATTTGGAAAATGAGAGTTAAGAGCAGAAAAGGTAAAATTTAGTTTGTTTAAATCTTAACTAAACCTTTATCTTTCTTCAAATATCACTCATAGTTTCCTTTTTTCTCCCTTTAATTGTAAAAATTTATTGGCATTTAGAGATTTTTTGTAGATCTGTAGGAGACTGGGGTGATCTGACTTTAAAAGTCTGAATGCCGAATGAAGAGCAGTTAACACAGTGCTTTTCTCAGGAAGGCAGGAAAGGGAGAAATATCCGAAATGCCTTATGATTTGATTTGAGTTTAAGTGAAGTTTTATTTTTTAACTGGATAGTACTTATAATTTTTAATAAAGTGATTTATTTATCTTTATACAAGTGTCTTGAAAATAAGGATTTTTCAAAAATTATATCATGTAAGCATCTTTATTTGGTTTATAATTTAAATAATTATATATATTTATTTATTGTTTTCTTGTGCGTATATTATGCTCCCAGTTGTTTCTGAATATTATGTTAGAAGTGGCCAGGGAGCAACTAAGAGTAATGACGTGCATTTATTATATTTAGCAAAAATTCGGTATCTCAGATGTGCCCATGGTGAACAGAATAAAAGTGGTCCTTGTTCTCATGGAGCAATAGTTATAGTCTAGTGGTGGAAAACAGGACATAAACAAATATTTGAAAAGCAAGGAAAGCAAGCACAAAAAATGACAGAATGAGAGAAGTCCTAAGACAACTGTGATCTCCGAGGTGCTCTGCTAGGGAATAAAATGGGGAGACTGTTTGCCTAAAGTCATTGGGAAAGACGTATCTTAGCGGGTGATATTTAAGCTGAGTTTGGGGAAGGAGGCAAAGGAGGCAGCCATAAGAAAGCCAGAAAGAACTTTCTCAAAAGAGAGAACCACTCACACAGACGCCCAAAGACCGGAGAGCACTGTTGGTGTTCTGGGATCCAGAGAAGTCTGTGTAGCTGGAGAGCTGTACTGTCCAATGAAGAAGCTACGAGCCACAAGCCACATGCAGCTTTCCGGAATGGAGGTAGTCTGTAGGTGTAAAATACACACCAACTTGGAGGAAGGACTTAGTACTACAAAAAGAATGTGAAGTATCTTAAGAATTTTATAGTGATTTCATATTGATACCATGGTATGTTTTGTTAAATAAAATATACTCAAATTAATTTTAC
The DNA here is from genome assembly GCF_000001405.40 of Homo sapiens. Lineage (NCBI taxonomy): Eukaryota > Metazoa > Chordata > Mammalia > Primates > Hominidae > Homo > Homo sapiens. Next base: position 14,996,112 of record NC_000021.9, on the reverse strand, counting down.
TTTTTTTCAACTTTGAAAAAGTGTGGCTACTACAAAATTTAAAGTTGTATTGGTGGCTCCCATTACATTTCTGTTGGACATCGCCTGGCTGGAGCGTAATGAATGAGCAAAGGACTAAATGATGCGAGATAAGGTTGGTCAGATGCACTGGAGCCAGTTGATGCAGAGCCTTCCAAACCATAGAAAGGAATTCAGACTTTATTCTTAAGTGAAATAGAAACTATTATGAGTTTTTAGCCAAGAGATTTACCTTTTACAAAGAGCATTGGCTGTAGTGTGGAAAATGTGTTGGAGGAGGGCCAGTTAGGAAGTGAGTACAGTAATACACACACACACACACACACACGCACACACAGCTAAACCAGTTATCACAACAGTTGTCAGACAAATTTACATTAAAAATAGTCTCTCTAATCACCAGTGAGTTTCTCAGTCTTATTTGACAGAATTTCCTAGGCTATAGTTTTACATATATAAGAATTCTCTTTCTTTCATATTTATGAAATATTAAAATTCTTACAAAATTAAATCTCTCACTCTCCCAGAACACTGTAATTCATGCAAGTTTAACACGACTTTAAAATCATTTATAGCTTTAAAGATTCTGAAGCGTTTTGACAAACCTACATTTCATAATATTTTGTGGTTCAAGTAACTGATGATTTATTGGAAGCTACTGACAATCTCAGATCCCATAGGCCTACATGTGCATTTCTCAGAAGGCCTTGTATCCCAGGTTTAAGAAACCTCCTCATACAGTCCAGCCTGTAATCTTCCCAACTATTCTCTGCAGTAGGACTCCTTCTCCCTCTTTTGTAAATGAAGAAACTGAGACTTAATTAAATGCAAGCTGCCAAGGTTAATACTGGTAAGCAAATGACAGTCTCTAGGCTAAAACTCAGATCTTTGACATATGTCTTGTGATTTCTGCTTATCTAGTTACTCCTTTTATTTAGTATGTATGTGGTTGTCTGTCTGCATGAATGTGAGTTACATTTTCCATTTGTTTTATTTGGATCAGAAGCTGTATTTGCAATACCATCATTTAATGTGTATGAAATTGGAATAATTATTACCCTTTGGGTTTTTATTGTTACTTATACTACTGAGTGATGGCAAAAGGTTTTGGATTTATTTTGTAGTACTGATAAAATACAAGGCAGGTGAGTGTAGGTTTTTGCTTTTACTTCAGAGGGAAAAATAAAATTTGTTTGCTCTAGAATACTTGAACTTGTTGAGTACTTAGAGGATAGCAGACACAATGTTAAGTGCTTTCATTTTTTTTACAGCCCTGTTAAATAGTTAATATTATCCCTAGAATCTCAGAAAAGTTACTGCCTGAACCTAAGATTCAAAGCCTGGCCACCTGACTTTAAGGCTGGTTCTCTTAGCTTCAGTGTGCTGTCTACTTTTTTAAGGTATCTTTGAAATGAAATGTCTTCACAAAATGCCTGTTGTATATCGTTTGCAGTTGACAACAATGTTTTTCACTGTAAAAAGCAAAGTTCATTTGAAATTCCAATGAAAATTTCTATTTTTAAAAAATTGTTTCTTGAGTGAAATTAAAGTTGATCCATGTCATATCACTCAGAAGGCTGATCCTTTTCAGTAAGCTAATAGTTTTATTTTCTCTAGTCAAATGAAAATAATAAAAAAGTTAGATAGCACTCAAGAAAACTCTCTGTATAGCATAAAAATCTTGCAATTTGCATGTAATCCCAGCATTCTGGGAGGCTGAGGTAGGCGGATCACTTGAGGTCAGGCGTTCGAGACCAGCCTGGCCAACATGGCGAAACCTCGTCTCTACTAAAAATACAAAAATTAGCCAGGCATGGTGGTGCACCCCTGTAATCCCAGCTACTCAAGAGTCTGAGGCATGAGAATCACTTGAACTCGGGAGGCGGAGGTTGCAGTGAGCTGAGATCGTACCACTGCACTCCAGCCTGGGCGATAGAGCAAGACTCAGTCTGCGCCCCCACCCCACCCCCAAAAAAATCTTGCAATTTGCCTTTAATGGATGGTTTTATAAACAATAGGATAGAGGAATCAATACGCTTATTGTGACTAAGCAGTGTCATATGATTGAAAGTACCAAGGCATAGTAAAATATATAAATACATGATCCAACTGTAGATGTCAGAATCTGTCAGGAATTGGAAATACCAGATACTTGGTATGAGTATTATACCGAAAATTGTTCAAGATACTTGAGTATAAAAACATTTTCAAAGTAGTAAGTAATACAAAGAAGGAAAAAGGTGAATTAACATTTCTTGAGGACCTCCTGTGTTGGATTGGACGTTGTATATACACTGTCATTTTTTTTTTTGAGACATATCTCTCTCTGTTGCCCAGGCTGGAGCACAGTGGCATGATCTCACCTCACTGCAGCCTCAACTTCCTGGGATCAAGCGATCCTTCCGTGTCAGCCTCCCAAGAAGCTGGGACAACAGGCACGTGCCACCACACCCAGCTATTTTTTTATTTTTATTTTTTTAGAGATGGGGTCTCGCTGTGTTGCCCAGGCTGACGTTGTCATCTTTAATTTTCATAACTGCTCCATTAAATACATTGTTATACATGTTAAACTGAGGCTCAGACACATTTAAGCTGGGGTTACAGAGCAAATGGTTGACCCTCAGTGTTACTGTTTTTAAGGCTCATGGTATCTTTTAGATATGAATATAGAAGGGATATTTGTATAAATGAAGATCTTTCAGAAGTGAACTGTGGAAAATCTGACTCGTACATTTAAATTGTTGAGGTTGACAATTTGTGGATTGGAGTGGTATCTAGTCCTCTGAGTAACCAATACAGTAAAATAGTTTATGAAGTCAAGTATAGGAAGCTTCTCAGCCCTGATTTTTTTTTTTTTTTGGTCATTACTGGTCTCGATTTTAGTTGGTTATGTGTGATCATCTTTTATCTCCAGACTCACCACTGATAACACAAAGGTATAACTACATAGCCATGCAAAATACAAGGTTTCCCTTTGCAATTGTAGAAGTGCCTTTCATGTCAACATTTTTTTGATAATTAAAAACTGATTATTGAACAGGTATTTTAAGGTTTAACCATTTTTATCCCTTCTCTCTCATAAGTTTGCTGAGATTTGACAAGTATCAGCTATCCAATGACCATTTTTTATTATATAGTTAAAAGTAGAGATGCAAGGTAAATTTTTATTTAGTTGTTCTGATATTTAGATTTTAATGTTTGTATGTGTATGTCTTAATCTTACCATTTATTCTTCCACTTTGCTAGTTATGCAGGACTCCACTTAACCCTTTTATTCTGAACATATGGGACAGCCAGTTCTACTTCATAATGTTTATGTTATTGAATAACATTTTTGGAAGAAATGTATTGCCAAATTTAGGGACTTTTTTTTAGTGCACTGTAGATGTTTTTAGCATATTGAAAGAATATTCTTTCTTTCACTTGTGTCACTTCCTAGGAGTATTCCTACAGTATACGTATTTCTGGGGGGCAGTGAGCGGGAGGACATCTTACTTGGTAAATCAGTTTTGCTAATTATTTTGTAGCAAACCCATCTTTATAGTTAGACTTTTTGGGGGGTGAGGGGAATAGTTTAAGTTTTTTATTTTAAAAGCTTGAATAGCATTCTCTTATGTAAACGGAATGTGGACACTTAACTGTTTTCATCAATATGTTATAAACTACAAAACTCACTCAGACTGAATTGGTAAGTTACATTGTTTAAGTGATATCCTTGCTTCTGTGGTTTATTTCAGATGTAGACTCTGCAGGGGTTGGTGGCTCACACCGATAATCCCAGCACTTTGGGAGGCCTGGTCGGGGGATCACTTGAGTCCGGGAGTTCTAGACCAACCTGGGCAACATTTCGAAACCCCGTCTCTATAAACAAACAAACAAACATGTAAAATTAGCCAAGCATGGTGGCACGCAACTATAGTCCCCGTCTATTCCGGAGGCTGAGGTGGGAGGATTGCTTGAGCCCAGGAGTTTCAGGCTGCAGTGAGTCATGGTCACACCACCACACTCAGGCCTGGGCAACAGAGTGAGACCTGTCTGAAAGCATACAAAACAAAACAAGACTGACTTCCTTTGGGCTGTGTACAATATTTAGAATAGAGGAGAAAATGTTGGTCAGAGAAAGGGGAAAAGGAAAAAAAAGATGAAAGGAACGCAGCTTTTTAATTCTGGATGAGGTTTCTTGCTATCTCAGATGTAAATAGACAACATTTTTAGTCATCTTCCAATTTAATATTAGGAAGTCTTTTGACAAATCTTTATCATATGCCTGGGTGTTAATAATATTGTGGGGAAAATGAATGGAACAGTGACCTTGCTTCCTTTTATTTCTTCCTTTCTATACAAGAGTATTTTATTCCATTTACTTTTTGAAAATTTGACATTATTTATGCAAATAATTTTATTTCCTTTTTATGGCCATGATATTCTCTAAAACTCAATGGCAAAAATTCTGGAGTGACACTTACAAGTCTCCCTTTTTGTGGGTAATAGGGGAGGTGAAATAAGGCATCTTATTCTGTCAGGAGTGGAAATGCATGCTTCTGCCTGAAAGGAACATCAGTCCTACAAGATAGAGCAGAGGAAGAAAGGCAGAGTCATCATGTTTAGCTGAACTAACAACATTCTCAAAAAGGCCTTTAAAATAAGGAGGTAAAATAACTGAAGCCCAGGAAAATGCAGTAGAATCTCAAAGAGGATCTTGTTGAGCTTTCTTTTTTTAAATGAATAGAGTGAGGCACAAAGAGAAAATAACACCTAGAACATTTTTTCTTCTCCTTTATCTCGTAGCCCCAGAGTTCCAAAAGTTGGTTTGCATGGACAGATTCAGAGCAGTCCCACAGAGCCCAGGTCCTGTTAATAAGAAGAGGCATGTTACATGATACGCACAAAGAAAGTAAGTGAGAAGTAGTTAGAACTACAGCAGTGGAATCTTTTGCCTCTTTTTCTTAGCCATCACACCATGGAATAATTGTTGTTCCTGACTCCTTCCTTTAGGCAATTGTTGTCAAGACATTTTGGGCCAGGGCTGTAATCTAGGACCAGGAGCCATCAGAGTTTATTTAAGAAGAAGTAGAGACATGCGGCAACCTAATAGTTGACAGCAGCAAATGAAACGAGAAGCACGTAGAGCCCTTAGGTACAACTGGCCTTACCTGACCTAGGGTAACCCTTCTTCCCACTCAACTTCACTAATGAACTTTGCAGGCAGTGTGATGGCTACTTATTATTAGATGCTATGTCCATTTATTATTATAAATACAGGCATATGATGCTAGAAATGATAGAAGTTAGCTGTATCAGGGTCCCTTTATCTAATATTTTGCCATCTAGCCCTCTGAGGGAGAACCATCTGGTCTTTGTTTGCTGGCCAACTTCAACATAACCATCCACCCAGTCTTTGCATTAGAGTTTCACTTTAGGAATTCATTTTCCATGTCTGTTCACACATATAGCTTGAACACCAGCATCTCTTTTAAGATTTCATTACCTCTTGGCTGTTTCTTACTGTTGCCCTCTGGCTCTTACCTTCTTCTAGTTAATAGTCATAGTACCTAAATTTTGTATTGGGAAAAGACATTCCCTCTACACTGCCTCATTAATTCTCATCCTTACTCAAGTCTCTTCAACCTTGCTCAAGGCTCATCATCTAGGGCTTGGACAGCCCTAGTCTGACCCAAACTTGGGCATTAGTATTTGCATTGCTTAAAAGTAACCCACCCCGGCCCTCCCTAGTACACAGTTCCCAGCATAAGGAATATGGTGGCATTATATCAGTATCTGAATGCCAGCAATGTTCATGAGTAAGACAGGTAGAAATACATTCAAACTTGAGAAATAAAAGATGGAGAAAAGAAGAAAATAAACCATGTAAGAGGAGGGGTGGAGGGAGGCAGGAAGAGAGAATTGTTGAGAGGGAAAGAGTACATGCTCACCTTCTGGAGCAGCTCTTAGGCTAGTGGCGCTAGAATCGTGACTGAACCCACTTGACGGATGCACATCTGATTCTAGAGTATTCATTAGGAAATACTCTTCCACTTAATAGTCTAGATTTATTGTCATATTTACAAATTTACAAAGTAGGAGAAGTGGGGAAAATGGGCAAGGAAATAAGCTACCTATTCTCTTTCATGTTTCTTTTTTTTTCATGATTAATAAGACCAGTATTTTAGTTTCATTTTCATGTGAAAATGACAAGTTTTTGTTTATTTTCTAGTGGCCCTAGTCTAAATGAATTGTTCTTTTTGAATATGAAACGTGTTTCTTGATATCCAAAAATTTCAGGCTCCCCTCCTCCTCACCTCCACACACACATAGACTATATATGTTCATGTATATTCCATGACTTTGGAGTCAGGGAAACTGCTTGGCTAATATGAACATAAAGATTTGTCTACTTTTAATTTTAATGGAATAGAGGGAACATGATAAAGCAAATTAAACTGTAAAGTTCTTCAACATCAGTTAAGTTTCACACAGCTGCAGGGATAACTTGAGGAAAGGACATGTTCAGCCAGATGGCCTATGCTGGCTTCCTTCCCATTCCTGTGAAAGATATGTTATTCACTCCCAGGGTAGCTCAGGGAAGGAGCTGATTATGGAATTAAAACAACCAATGTCCAATTAACCCCTGTTTTGGTCAACGTTTCCTACACAGTTTGGATAATTGGCATACTTTAGTTTCATCAAGGGAGGCAGTTGGTTTATTGGTTAGTGCAGGCCCCTCGGAATAAGAAATATGAAATTCTGTTGTTGGTTCCGCCCCTACAAACTGTAAGTATGACCTTGGACATCTTATTTACCTCTTTGTGCTGTTAGCTTTCCCCATTTGAAATTCAGAGCCACATGTTGCTCTTTGACCATACGTGAGGTAAAGGCACCATAGGAAAAGTGAGAAAAAAGAGCGTTTGCAGAGTTCTTCAGGACCATGGATTAAAATGTGCAGTTTGTCTTACATAATGTTACTGCAGTATCTTAGGGGTGGTGTGATTACAGGGAACAGAAGCCCCTCAACAAAGCTCAGGTACAGGAGGACTTGTTAGAGGCATGCAGCGAACTCTTCAGGAACCTGGTGATCGGAGTACTTTGCCCCTCCTGAAGCTGGAAAGCCATTCATTCAGCACCTCCCTGCTGTCCCTTCCCTCTCCTCTCCTCTCCTCTCCTCGTTTTGCCTCCCTCATCTCTGCTTCTCTCTGTGTGCTTACTTCAATCTTTTCTCTCAGAATACTGACTCCTCTAGGCACTAATCTGAAATGTGGCCTCATGAAGTCCACTCCAAAATGAAGCTTTCTGTCTCCCTCTGAATTCCAGATGTCAAGAGAGGAAATGATTGGTCCATTAGTTAGGTTCCCAGTGTTGTTCCATTCTCCTGAGGTCTGTGGTTTGGGTATAGGTTCTTAAGAAAAAGGTTTAGGTAAGGAAGAAATTATATGCATCTTTTGTATATGAAATTACTTTTTGCTTTAAGTAAACCTGTCACACAAAATTATGAGTGAAAGAATTAATTACCTAGATTATTAAATTATTTTACAGATCCAAATGCTTTTTCTTTAGTTTTTCAGGATATATATATATATATACACACACACACACACACATATATATATACTATCTATCTATATTATCTATCTATCTGTCTGTCTATCTATCTATCTATCTATCTATCTATCTATCTAAAGACAAAAGACAATCCTAAGCCTCAAGGAGCTTTATATAGGGTGACTAGTAAGTCAAAAAAAATTTTGTTTGAGAAAGTTCTCTGGGCTGAAGCTTTGTCTGTGAATAGTAAAACAATTAACATTCATTGAGTGCTTAGAAAATGTGAGATATTATACTGTTTTACATGTACCTTTTATTTAATACAACAGTTTTATAAGGTAAATACTATTATTATTCCTTTTACAGCTGAAAAAACTGAGCCTCGGAACAGTTAAGTAAATCCACCAAAGTGACCCACTACTGAATAGCAGAGTCAGGAATCCAGAGACTGTTCTTTTCACCACAATGCTTTGTGGCCTTCCTAATAAAAGCAAGAGACTGACACTGGCAGAGACAAGATTTTAGAGTGGGAAAAGTAATCCAGAATTCTCAGAGTGCTGCATAAATTTTGCTTTACGAAAAGTTTTCAAATCCACATTTGTTACAGTCTGTGGCAATTGAATATGATAGGAAAGACTGTGTTCCAGAAGACCTTGACGTGGTTTTGGATCAGGCATTTACTGGATAATTAACCAACCACTCAGTTGTTCTGAGCTTTAGTGCCCTGGTAACATGGGAATGAGGATAAATAATGTATTAACCAACCCCGTGAGGAGAATCAAAGACAACTCTATCCTAGTATTTCATTCGAGGAAGGGTGAGTATGGCTTAAAGCACCTGTGATAAAGCAGGGCTTTTAAAATGTAAAATACACTTTGTAGGAATCAACGGTCAGTGACAAGAGCTCCCAGGAGGTTTTATACACTGTTTTGGCCAGTCAAGAATTTGTAAAGAATTGCATCTCTGCAGCACCCACCACAGACTGGCCCCAGGAACATTTGTCTTCCTTTGATTGCCCTTTGCTAAGCCCCTGTCAACAATGGGTTTTCACTATCTTATCTTGGCCTTAACAAGGTGACAGACCTGGTCAGTGGAACCTGGCAGCAGGTTTCTAATGTTTGAAAGGTAACTGATGGATTAGCCTTGTTTTTTGTGTCCCCAAAAAGACCAATAGTCAGACTAAAACTCAACAGATTATAGCTCAGTGCAAGGCAGAATTTCATACTGTTGGAGTTACGCAAGGAACTCTTACTGAGCAGCGACTCTGTGGCTAGGCTATGTGAGCATTACCACATTTGTTCAGCCCAGGGGCTCTATGAAACAGGTATTAGTGCTTTTGCACGTTTAATAATGATAAACTTTCAAGAGTAGCCAACTTTCCTATGATCAAAGAGTTGGTAAATGGTAGAGCCGGAATAAATTGAACCCAGAGCCATCCGTCTCCAAAAGACCACCTTGGAAGATAGTTCATGGTCACTAGAGGTTTTTAGAAATAAGCTAGATATCCAGAGATAGCAAATGGGTTATAAAGGGGATTAAGCATCAGACAGGATGATTGATTAGGCAGATGACTTTTCAACTGCCTCCCAACCTTTAAATTATGATTCTGTCATGTTTGGAGAATTACTTTACATGCCATGCTATTATGAAAACAGTAGCCAGTGGCAAAATTATTAGAGGAAAATAGATTTCACCTCATAAAAATTAGCTGCCCTTCCAATTGGATACAAGTTCTTTAAATTTGTGTAATCTGGTATTATGAAGGATAAGATGTTTGTAAGTTTAGTTTAAGTCGTTAGTTCAAATGAATAAAATATATGCCAAAAATCTCCGTTTTCTAATTATAGACAAGGAAATTTGATTTGATGTGTCATATATTTAAAACAAATACCTAAACAATTGCCTAAATAAAAGAGTGTCTTAACTATGCATTTTAGAACACTAGGTTTCTAAATCTTACCCATTCACAGCAAAGTGAGATCTTTTCTGGACCCACATGACTTTTTAGCCTTCTCAGACCTGAGAAATGTTATTAAAGTTTAATATTATGCCATAAGGCGAGAGTGGATCTGAAACTCTTTGAAAGAGGTCAAAGGAGTGATTTGTCTTGATTTTATGTTTCTACTAATGGTAACATGCTAATATGGTAAAAAGTTGAAAGCCGTGGCAATGACACGTGAGTCGTCTTGCATCAGTATTCAAGACTTATTTGGGTAATGGTTGTTGTTGTTGAATTGGTTTTTAGTTTTTCAGGTTTCAGTTATTTAAAAGGGAATTTCACTACTTTTTTCATAATTAATCACTTTAGTTAAGATACTGTTTTTATTTAGCCATATTCATTGAACATTCATACTTGAAGCTCTTCAACAAATACAGATTCAAATTAAAAAGATCATTCCAAGAATAGCTTTGACCAATTTGATTTAATCTTTATCACACATTTAAAGGGCTCAAATTCTTTGGCATATAATTATTATCTGCTTCAATGATTGATTTTTAAAATGGGCACAGAGAAATAGTTTAATTGTGGTTGATACTGTAAAAAAATAAATAAATAAAAAGCCTTTCTTGCATAAAGGCTTACTTTGCCTATTTCATTGTAACTTATTTTTTAGAATGAATGTCTGGTTTTAGAGACTAAATCTTTTGATGTGATACTTCATTTCTTAATATCTCCATCAAAAGAAAATGTAACAAAGTAGTATTTTAATGTTAACTGGGTTTTCATCTTTATCTAGGGGAGGTAATTTGAAAAGGAAAAATGATGAAAAGCTTGATGGAACTGGTATTTTGAAGCATATACTCATTCTTGATATAACCTAAATCCATACCAGATCTTACTAACCTTGACATGGGAAACAGCAACTAAAAGAAACCAAATTAGTATGATCAGTTCTTCATAAACAAGTGGTAAAATAAAGATCATCTTACAAAAACTTTAAAATACTCTAAAAATATGTATATTTTTAAAATACTTTGCCAGGCATGGTGGCTCACACTGGTAATTCCAGCACTTTGGGGGGCCGAGGCGGGTGGATCACTTGAGGTCAGGAGTTTAAAACCAGATGATAGATGATAGATAGCTGGCTTAAATCTTGTGGGTTTTCTACCATAATATTAGTCACGCATGTTTTCTAAACCCACAGAACTCTCTGTAGGATAAAATACTTTTTTATTCTTTAATTTTGTGCCTTTTTATTAATTTATATTCCAGGGAAAAAGATATATTGGATCTGAAACCATCATTTTAAATAACATTGTCATATCATTTTAATTCTCCTATTTCCATAGAATTATGACAGCCCACTCCTTATTTTGCAGACCAAGGCTCCAAAAGGTTTACTTGCTGTTTACAGCATGTTCTACTAGGAATGCTGCCTCTGCTAGGTGCTAAGATGTAAAGATGAAAAAGACATAATTCTTGCCCATAAGGAGTTTATACTCTCATGGGGAACCAGGCCTTAACGAACCAAAACACAAGCATACCTCAGAGATATTGCAGGTTCAATTCCAGACACTGCAGTGAAATGAATACCTCAGTAAAGCAAGCACATTTTTTGGTTTTTCAGTCCATATAAAAGTTACGTTTACACTATACTGTAGTCTGTTAAGTGTGCCATAGCATTATGTCTAAAAATAATGTGCATACCTTAACTTAAAAATACCTTATAGCTAAAAAAATACTAATGATCCTCTGAACCTTCAGAGAACTATAATCTTTCTTCTGGTAGAGGCCTTGCCTCCATGTTGATGGCTGCCGAAGAATCAGGGGGAGGTTGCTGAAGGTTGGGGTCTCTGTAATGATTTCTTAAAATAAGACAACAATGAAATTCGCCACGTTGACTGACATCCTTTCATGGAATATTTCTCTGTAGCATGTGTTGCTGTTTGATGATAGCATTTTACCCACAGGAGAACTTCTTTCAAAAAGAGTCAATCCTCTCAAACCTCCTACTGCTTTATCTACTAAGTTTATATTTACAGAATATTCTAAATCCTTTGTTGTTTTTTCAACAGTGTTCACAGTCTCTTCACCAGAGTAGATTCCATCTCAAGAAACTGCTTTCTTTACACATGTGTAAGAAGCAACTCCTCAGGCTCGGTGTAGTGGCTCATGCCTGTAATCCCTGCACTTTGGGAGGCCGATGTGGGAGGATCACTTGAGCTCAGGAGTTGAAAAAAAAAAAAAAACCCGCAACAACTCCTCATTCATTTATGTTTTATTATGAGGTTACAGAAATTTACCCACATCTTTAGGCTCACTTCTAGTTCTTTTGCTTTTTCTACCACATCTGCAGTTGCTTCTTCCACTGAAGTCTTGAATTCCTCAAAGTCATCCATGAAGTTGCAAATGTTGATATTTGACCTCCCCTCATGAATCATGAATGTTCTTAATGACATCTAGAATGGTGAATCCTTTTCAGAAGCTTTTCAGTTGACTCTGCCCAGATCCAATCAGAGGAATCACTTTTGATGACAGCTAAAGCCTTAGAAAATGTGTTTTTCCAATAAGATATGAAGTCAAAATTACTCTTTGATCCATGAGCTGCAGAATGGATGTTGTGTTAGCAGGCATAAAAACAACATTAATCTCCTTGTACAACTGCAGCAGAGCTCTTAGTGTACAGGTACATGGCCTGTAATATTTTGAAAGGAATTTTTGTTTTTGTCCAGTAGGTCCCAACAGCGGGCTTAAAATATTCAGCAAATCATGGTGTAAACAGATGTGCTTTCCTCCAGGCTTTGTTGTTCCATTTATGTAGCAAAGGCAGAGTAGATTTATCGTCATTTTTAAGGGTTTAGGATTTTTGGAATGGTATATGAGCATTGGCTTCAACCTCAAGTTCCAGCTTCATCAGCCTTTACCAAGAGAGTCAGTCTTTCCTTTGAAGCTTTGAAGCCAGATATTGACCTCTCTCTAGCTATGAAATTTCTAGATGGAATCTTCTTCCAATTTAAGGCTGTTTTGTCTCTATTGAAAATCTGTTGTTTAGTGTAACCACCTTCATCATTTATCTCACTCAGCTGGATCTTCTGGCTTTTCTTGCTGAGCTTTTCTGTCAGCATTTGCTGCTTCCCTTTGCAGTTTTATTGTTTTCTCCCTTAAATCGTATGAGCCACCTCTGCCGCTTCCTCACCTCTCTCAGTCTTCATAGAATTGAAGAGAGTTAGGGCCTTGCTCTGGATTAGGCTTTGGTTTAAGGGAATGTAATAGCTGGTTTGATCTTAAATCCAGACCACAAAAGCTTTCTGTATGTCAGCAATAAGGTTGTTTTGTTTTCTTATCATTCATGTGTTCACTGGAGTGACATTTTTAATTTCCTACAATAATTGTTTTTTTTTTTTGTATTTGCAATTTGGTTAACTGGTGCAAGAGGCTGAGCTTTTGGCCTGTCTTGGCTTTCAACATCCTTCCTCACTAAGCTTAATCATTTCTAGCTTTTGATTTAAAGTGTGAGACATGCAAAACACACAGAGGCCATTGTAGGGTTATTAATTGATCTAATTTCAATATTGTTGTGTCTCAGGCAATAAAAAGGACTGAGGAGAGGGAGAGAGATGGGAACAGCTAAGTGGTGGAGCAATCAGAACATACATATTTATTAAGTATGCTGTGATATGGGCACAGTTCATGGCACCCCAAAACAATTATAATAGTAACACCAAAGATCACACATCACCGTAGCAGATAGAATAATAATGAAAAAGCTTGAAATATTGTGAGAAATACCTAAATGAGACATAGAGCTACAAAGTGGGCACATGCTGTTGGAAAAGTGGTACCAATAGACTTCCTCAACAGAATTGCCACAAATCCTTAGATTGTAAAAAAAAAAAACAAAAAAAAAACAAAAAAAAACCCCACAATAATGGCAAAGTACAATGAAGCAAAGCACAATAAAATGACGTGTGACCGTACAGTTTTGTAAGCAAGATGATTGAAAGATCTACTGAGTGCCGTGGAGTCACAGAGAGGAACAACTACCCTCAGGCTATGGAGTTCAGTGAAGGCTGCCTAAAGAGAGGATGAGTTGTCAGCTGAGACTTACAGAATGAAAGAAATGTCCTAGTTGTTTAGCTTGACTGTAAACAAATGGGGCTTATTACAGGATTCTGTATGCATTTTTAAGTCTGATGTATTTTTCCTCAAAAGATGAGGATGGTAAGGATGATATGGGGGGAAGGGCACTAAGCAGAAGGTTCTTTATTCTTCTTACTGCCCTGTTTCTCCCCTGCTGTCTTATTTATAACCTCTTGTTTAATGACAAGAATTTCTATAGAACAAATTATATATTTTATATAAATGTGATAATTGAAATCAAGGGAAAGACCAAAACACAAAGCAAAATATAAACAGTGGGAAATTCTGATGTAAAGATTTAAGTAACTTAAGAGTTGAATGAACTAGGACCGAGCATCGTGGCTCATGCCTGTAATCTCAACACTTTGGGAGGCCAAGGCAGGAGGATCTCTTGAGCCCAGGAGCTTGAGACCACCCTGGGCAATATGGTAAAACCCGTCCCTACAAAAATCAAAAGTTAGTCAGGCATGGTGGTGTGTGCCTGTGGTCCCAGCTGCTCAGGATGCTGAGGTAGGAGGATCGCTTGATCCTGGGGAGTCGGAGGTTGTGCTGAGCTGAGATGGCGCTGCTGCATTCCAACCTGGGTGACAGAGCAAGACTCTGTCTCAAAAAAAAAAAAAAAAATCAAATGAACTACTAAATAGTGAAGAGATCAATATAGTATATATGTACTATTCCACACATCATTCTATCTCAAGACAAAAAGCAACAGAAAAATGATGAGAGATTTTCATTAAAGATTTTAGTTTTCAGTGTTAAAGTGATTTAATTTTATTAAATGATGCTAATAGTAGGAAGTAAGTAGTTGTTTTTAATGTTCTTTATTGTTAAGAGAAAAGTTGTTCTGAAACATTTTTGGTCCAACAATTGAAATCACAAAAGCCCTGACCCACATTCCCTAGACCGCTAATCTGCCTCTGTCTCCTCAGCACACCGGAGTCATCCTCTAAAGCCTCCTGAGTCTCCCCAACCTGGGTCTGTATCTGACTATGAGTGGCAGGTGCCATGCCAAGGAGCATGTGTCACTGTCCCTGCTGCACAGGCAGAACGTGCCCTAAACCTGGACAACAGCAGAACTGGTTCTCAGATTAGCATTTACTGGCTATTGTTCCTGAGATTAGTACTTCAAACACTTGGTTGTATGGATAGATGGGCAAATAAGAGATCAGGGTAAAGCACGCACCGCAGTTTCTTCAATAAAAATAAATAAAACCATTTAAAGTAAGTAAGTGGCCTGCTGATGGTGTGCTGGTAGCTTCATTTTCCAAGTTGACAGACATACTTTAATGTTACCTGTGAAAATTTAAAGACATAGAATTTCTGCAGGTACATTGTGCATGTAGTATTTTTGGTTTTGATTCCTTAATCCTGTAGGATGGGACCTAGTCAGATTTATTGACTCTTCACAGGTATCACCACCATGTCTGGGTGCTCATGAATTGTGTCTGTAGTGATATTTCTCTTCCACAGCTTGACTGGAAACTTCTATCTAGATATCTTTGTGTTTGGAGCCTGTAATGACTAGAGTGATGTCATATAAGTCATTTCAATAGTATTTAATTTGATAATTTGACATAATTTTTCTTTTTTACTTTATTTTTGAAAAACTAGCAATCTTTCTAGGATAGTAAATTTTGGGTTATTTTCATGCAAAGGTATTTAATTTATCAAAAATATGAAAAACCACTAATTGAGAACATTTACATGTACATATAGCATAAGTAGTTTGCAAATTGTATAAAGCTACAGCAGGTGGTACTTGATTTAGCAAGGAAAGCTTTTATAGTGTAAATTTACCCCAACAGCTTTATGCATCCTTCAAAATGATTTCTTGACCAGAATGCTTCAGTAAGAACATTGATCACATAACTCTTGGTTTCATAAATGTAACTTAAAATAAATTTAACATCTTGTTTAAACAGCTAAAACAAAAGGCATGATTTTGTTAGATAATTGCATATATGTATGTATTTATTTTATTTTTATTTTATTTTATTTTATTTTGATACGGAGTCTCGCTCTGTCACCCAGCTGGAGTGCAATAGTGCGATCTTGGCTCACTGCAACCTCCGCCTTCCAGGTTTAAGCGATTCTCGTGCCTCAGCCTCCTGAGTAGCTGGGATTACAGGCTCATGCCACTGTGTCCACCTAATTTTTGTATTTTTAGTAGAGACAGGATTTCACCATGTTGGCCAGGCTGGTCTTGAACTCCTCCCGCCTCAGCCTCCCAGAGTGCTGGGATTACAGGTTGAGCCACCACATCTAGCCTGCACTAATATATTTAATAATATATTCCTTTAAGAATCACTTTTTGTTTTTGTCATTGTTGATAACTAAAGTTTCTTTTGATCCCTGTGATTTGAAAATTGTTGTGGAAGACTATGGATAAATTATAAAACTTCTTTTGTTGAAGCAGTGACTTACAAGTTAAGTCTGTGTTTTTGGGAACAAGTGACCCAAGGCATTGCAGAGCATACTACTAATTTCAGTTTCAGATGGGTCAAAAGCTTGGAATTATGAGAGAGCATTATCTATTCAGGGAACTGCAAGTTAAGTTAATTTTAAAATTGTCACATGGCAATGATCAGTTATAACAAGCAAACAAATAAAAGTGCAAGCATATATATATACAGGCACACAAACACATAAAAATTCACAATTCTGGCCGGGTGCAGTGGCTCACACCTGTAATCCCAGCACTTTGGGAGGCCAAGGCAGGTGGATCACGAGGTCAGGAGTTCAAGACAAGCCTGGCCAAGAAGGTAAAACCCCGTCGCTATTAAAAAAAACAAACATACTGGTTTCTCCTCTTATTCTTGATCCAATGCAATATATTTAACAAAACATACTTTATAATAAGAAGTGCATGAAGATCTTGACTTCAAAGATGGGGAACATTTTTAAAACAGAGTATATACTATGTGGGTAAGTGCAGAGTGTCTAAGTGTACTAAAAACCCTAGGAGCTTTGATCAAAAGCCAGCTGGTTACATCAGTTCTGTTGGTAATCTTTCTTGCTGATCTGTGACCTTGACCTTGTGCTTGTGTCTGTATGTCAAATCTATTTTAGGGATGGGGAAACCATAGTTGAGTTTAGTAGGATTGATGCTCCCATCTCAAAGGATATCCCTGCATATATACTATAAACACTCAAGCAATTCCAGAAGAAGAAAGATCCATTTTCCATTACATTTCTTATTTTGATAGAGATTGGAAAATATTATGCTCTTGAAAACTGATAGAAAGCACCAGTTACTCCAAAGAGCTGTTGAGAAAGGTGAGAAGCAAACACTCTCTGTTAATTTTGTATTTACACTCTTTTCTTATACTTATGTGCTGCCAAAATAATTTGTTAATGATTATTTTGTGTTCATTAAGAAAAACTATTGTTTCTTTGATAACAGTAGAAGGTAGTGAATAGACATTAGTACTAATCATAAATAGGTATGTACTGTCTGTCATGTAATAGTTTTCTGGAGCTTTAAAAATTGTAGGTAAAATTAACTTTATTTAACAATTTTCCAGTGTCAGTATTTTCAAGACAGAGTGAAGTACAGCATCCAGAAATGTATTGTGTTTTTGAAATAGAAATTGTTTGGCAGTTTAGCTCTTTCTCTAGCTCCTTTGTCTAGATCTTTGATTTTTAACTTAAAATCTCCAACTTTTTCATCTTAATTTTGTTTAAAAATTAAATGTTTTTAAGATTAACTATAGAGGCAGTGTAAAATGAATAGCAAATTTATTGAATCCGATTCATATACCTAGGCCTTCTGAGGAGAATTCAAAACAAAGAAGCCCTTCTTTATTTTGCCGTATCAATTATGGGGTGTTTCTTTCTGTCACCAGAACGGTTATTTCATCTGTCTCTTTTATTTGTGTCATCAAAGATCTTAAATCTTTGTGATTATCCTCCATTTTATTCAGTATATAGCTGTTATGAGATAAGCAAAAGTTCCAATTTGAATATAAGCTCATATTTAGCTTTTAAATAAACATCTGTTTGCAATTCTGTGACCCTACAGAAGAAAGTTGTGAACATAGATACCTTTTGGGGCATTAGGTGGGTTGAGTGTGTGGCTATTTCAAAACCATTTCCTTCCCCCGGAATTTATTGAAAAGACAGTAAAACATATTGGTCAGGGCTATTTCCACAACTTTATGACAGCATATCATCTTTCTCGTTAAAATGCTTGTCATTTTCATCAGCTATAATTTGACAAATTACTTGGAATCATAGGAATAAAATTTTAGATTTAGAGGGGTCCTCATATACATGTGTCCTTGCGTTGAATGCTTGAGTTACTCCCGCAGGAGTGTCTCTAATGAGTCTTTTTTAGTTGGGAATGTGAATGACACTATTTTACTCCTATGGAAGCAGCTGACGAGCAAGTTAAAGCCAATGGACCTAGAAGTTAGGAGCAAATTTGGCCTTGGGCCAAAAAATTAAGTCCTTCAGGTTGCAGTGGAGAGCAGCCTGGGCAGCTGTTTTCGTCACCGGTGTCTCTGGTGTCCATGCCACCTGTCTCTGAGGAGTATCTGCACCTAAAATGAGAACCCCTGGGAGAGAGCAAGAAACTCCTCAGTTCTCATTTCAAATGTTGAGGCCCTCAGTTGAGCAAAATGTATTTAGATAATTATTTTTGGCATCTGTTAAATTGTATGACCACACATCTACCTTTTCATAAAGATAATACTTCAAAGAAAGTTATTATCTTGGAATTCAGATTCCCTTAAAAGACATATATTAATTTTGATTCATTTTTTTCAAGTAATTAGAAATATATTTTAAGAAATGAAACTTCAGGCATATTCTTTTATTGTCTTATTATTCCCTGCTGTGAAATGTCAACACTTGAATGTTTCTTTTATTCCTTTTTAAATGTTTTTTCCAGTGACTTTTTAATTGATAATAGAGGATTCACTGTTGTCTTCTTAAATGAAACTTCGGGACCCATACCTAAAATGTTACTTTTCCTTTCTTTTTATGTGAAATTAAGTGTTGGGTTTTACGTATTTTAACTTTTCATTGGCCCTTGGTTTGGAAAGCTACTTTCATCCCTTCGGATAAAATGTTTGGAGTTACATCCTGTTGGTAAATTGTTTTTGGCTTAGTGTTTCTCATTCAGCTTTTAAAACTTCCTTTCAAAGCCCTGCTTTGGAGAACAACGAGAGTTCTCCGAATACCTGGATCTGTATTTTTTTTAAATAAAAGAGTCAATAATTAGGACTTTGGAATCTTCTTAGTATGTACTTAGATATTTTTCTTCTAATGTTTAATGAAACATATTAATGTTTTTCTTACCATTTGTATAAAAATACCCCTGAAATTATCCACAGTGGAATATAGATAATAATATTGTCCATTAGGAGTTATTCTTGAATGACATAATTAAGTAGCCCTTTGATTACTTACGCATTTTGAGGAACCAGGCAAAGCCAAGTGTCCTAATGGTCAAAGCTGCATTGTAGAAATCCCTTTAAATTCAGTACTCAAATAGGTATTACTTGATATTGCAGAACAAATTGGGGGAGATCTCATGGACACAATTGGAAGTCATGAGGTAGTCCTTAGATATAATTTAAATGGCATACCAAGTGAACTCGTAGATGTTTAATCATTTAAATGTGTTTTTAATGGAGTATTTAATTGCAAGTAAGATACTGAATCCTTAAAAACAGCTGGAGAAAGACCGTTGTCATTATTTCTCTATTCTCAACCAAAAATAGTCCTACATGTAAGAATTCTGCCAGATGCATTCTTCATTTAACTAAGTAAAATTTTATCACTTGGATTTTATCATTTTAAAGTGTGTAGAAGTTCCACAAAGTTTCCCTTTGTTTAATAAACCATTTCCAAACAGAAAATGTAAAACATATTGCAATGAAAATAGTTTAGCTATTTTAGAGAATCAATATAGCACCCATTTGTGAACTGTTAGTATGCACAGTATTTACTACTGTCTTTTATTTAAAAAGCTCTAAAAAAATTACCTATCACTTAGTTCTGTACTTTTCAGATACTTATAAAAAAAAGTAAATGTAGCTCTTTTTAAAATATACTGTGTAATTCAAGCATTTTATTAGATATTTCATTAAACTAGTTTGTGTTGAAACTTAGATCTTTCCCCAAATCAATCTACGCATATGGTGAAGATTCCATGGAATTTTTTCATGGTTTAGTTTGATTTTATTACTTTCTAAAATAATTCTTTTTCACCACAATGATTTTTTCCACCACATGATGTAGATCAGTAAAATCTTAACTTTATAAACTTTAAAGGATTTTTATGCTTATAAACAATTTTAAATTAATAAAAGGAAGATTCTGTTTATAATTTTAACATTGTTAAGTAGTTGGACATGAATTTTATTATCATGAAATACATTAACCTTTGGTATACTATCAGGGTTCTTTGGACTCAGTTTTAGTTTTCAAATGCTTTTTTAAAAAATATATTTGTAAGTGGTAGGAAGGATAATACCACATTTTTGAAGTTTTAATGAATGTGTCCTTAATAGACTCAAACATAGTACCTTGCTGTTACTATATATGTCCATTGGAACCTTTTAGAAGTCAAAAGTACATATGGAATCTTAGTGATCTTATTTTTTCTGTATCTTTAAGTATTTTGGCATTTTACCATTTTGGCAATGAATTTATTATTTATTCCCAACTGTCCTTTAAAAAAAAGGCTAAAATAATAAAAAGTAAAAATAACGGAAGTGTCTAGAAGGATGAGGCAATACTGAAATCATCACTGTTTTACCGTCATTCTATTCCTCCCCTCCCCTCCCTTTCTTTCTTTCTCTCTCTCTCTCCCTTCCTTCCTTCCTTTTTTTTTTTTTTTTTTAAAGAAATAGTGTCTTATTCTGTCACGCAGGCTAGAATGCGGTGTACAGTAACTCAGTCATAGCTCACTGTAACCTCAAACTCCTGGGCTCCAGTGATCCTCCCACCTCAGCCTTCCAAAGTGCTAGGATTACAGGCTAGCCACCGTACCCAGCCCCATCTTCAGTTTTCTTAGAGCCCATTATACTACATTATCTTTCAAGAATGTAAAAAAATAAAAATAAAACATCTGGAGACACTGTCTTTATAGTCTTTCCCTTTTGTTTTAAGTTTTTATTAAAAATTGATGATTCAGTATTTTTCTGTCTGTAATGTCAAAGAGGAAAGTTGACAAACGAAGATATTTCACTTAGATAAACCAGAAGATGAATGGAAAAAAACTGATGCTAATACTTTACATGTGAATGATTATGGTGCTATTGATTATATAAGCAATACCACTGACTGTTGTCTTCAGATACATCCTAGATGAATGTTTCCTTCCTTCCATCCATTCGTCCTTCCTGTTCTTTCTTTCCACAGGGTCTTGCTCTGTCACCCAGGCTAAAGTGCACAGGTGCTATCATGGCTTACTGCAGCCTTGACTTCCCCAGACTCAGGTGATCCTCCCACCTCAGCCTCCCAAGTAGCTGAAACTGCAGGCTGATAACATCACACCCAGCTATTTTTTTTTTAATGTTTTTGTAAAGATGGGGTCTCGCCATGTTGCCCAGGCTGGTCTCGAACTCCTGGGCTCAAGCATTCATCCTGCCTCAGCCTCTGAAAGTGCTGAAGTTACAGGCATGAGCCACTGCGCCCAGCCAGGTGAATTTTCTCAAACACAGGGAGCAATGAGTAACAATATAGTTCAAAAATACAGTTCTCAGGACAAAAAGTAAGTATAGTATTTTCATACAGTTAGTTATTCATTAGGAAAGACTGCATTGCTCGGTATTCAACACTCAAGTGTTTTGTGGCAAAAACTTCAATGGCTCTGTTTTCTTCAAAGGGTGTGTGACAGTATTCTTTCATCTTTTATGATTTTTGGAACACCAAATTTATTTGACACTGTTCGTAAGTGGACAGATACTTAAGGCAGGTGTTTGATAGAGGAGATTGTAAAGAAAGAGATGATACAGAAATGAAGTAATTCATTGGATTGATCATTGTAATTGCTGTTAGTCTAAAAATGAAATATATTGGGCAATTACGAAGCAGAAATTTCTGTCATCTTTTCAACATCATTATGAGCTATTAAAATTATCAAAAGTAACACATTTTGAATTCTTCAAGTACAAGAAGAAGACCCAAGAGTCCTTTTAAACACATACCTGAAATCTGGAATCAATATTTATAAATATTTCCAGGTTCATCCATGAACCTGTTGATGAGCTGTCAGTTTCAAAGCGCCTTGTCCTTTTCAGATATATACTCCTTCAAAACCAGGAAAACAGGGAATGAAGAATTGAATTACAATGTTATGTTTAAATTCTTATGAAAAAAAATCAGTGAAGTTGTTTTGTGTCATTTCTTTATTCTTATTGTGTAAATTATTCATGAATTAACTTAAATATTAATAAAATGTCTTTTGGACCCAGATGATAAATGATGATGACTGTTTTTCTTGGTGTACTGAGGGTTAAAATGAACTAAAATTGTAAAAGAGCCAGGTGTGGTGGTTCACGCCTGTAATCCCAGCACTTTGAGAGGCTAAGGCAGGAGGACCACTTGAGGCTAAGAGTTCAAGATGAGCCTTGGCAACATTGTGAGATCCCCATCTCCACAGGAAAAAAAAAAAAAAAAAATCAGCTCTGCATGGTGGCACACACCTGTATTCCCGGCTGCTTGGGAGACTGAGGTGGGAGAATCCCTTGAGTCCAGGAGGCTGAGGCTGCAGTGAGCTGTGATCTCACCACTGCAGTCCAGCCTGGGCAACAGAATGAGAACTTGTCTCAAAAAAAAAAAAAAAATTATGCGAGCTGATTTTCACTTAAGACGATAATACTGAAATCAAAATTTAGTACTTCTTGGTATCCTGAATGTTATACTAAATTTTTTGTTAAAATTAACCATTTTTTCCTCAAAATTTTATGGAACCACTCTATAAAAATGACAGCCAAGTTGAAACAAACATCACTGAGTTAGCTTTTATTCTATTATTGTGTAGGTTTTACTTTTTTCTCGTTGTATATATGCATTTTTAGTGTTCATAAAAGATGTTTCTTCACTTTGCATGTCATATCTACCAACCTAATGTTTAAAGGCAGGCTAGTAATATAATCTACTTAGTTTGTAAACTAAGTTTTTCCTTCTGGCACCTCATGAGAGTTGCAGAATTCATGATGCCTTTATTTGTTCTTAGTATTTTTCCCTTTTTTTTTTCTTTTTCTGTCCCTTTAGTATTTTTACTTCCTTTGGTTCTTCTCATCCGCCATAAGCCAAATTCTAGAAAAGTTCTGTTTTCTTTACTTAGAAGTTATTTAACAAGTATATACCATACAAGTAAAGTCTCTCCCTTACTGTGATGCAAATGTTTAATAACTTTAAATAGACACATGCACAAGCTCTAATGAAATCACCATCAAAATTAAGAAAATAACAAACCAGAGGATTCAATATTTTATAAACAATTCCAGTTTCAAAATATACATTAATTGCAATTCTCTGAAGCAGGGGTTCCCAACCCCCAGGCCAAGCCTGTTAGGAACTGGGCCACACAGCAGGCGGTGAGCAGTGGGCCAGCAAGCATTACCGCCTGAGCTCCGCCTCCTGTCACATCGGTGGCAGCATTAGATTCTCATAGAAGTGCGAACCCTAGTGTAAACTGCACATGTGAGGGATCTAGGTTCCCCACTGTTTATAAGAATCTAATGCCTGATGATCTGAGGTGGAACAGTTTCATCTTGAAACCATCTCCACCCCGCTACTCCATGCAAAAATTATCTTCCATGAAACCAGTCTCTGGTGCCAAAAAGGTTGGGGACTGCTGCTCTAAAGAAACCTAATTATTAAATGTGTGTTGACTTTTAGGTATTGGTAACTAAATATACTCAAGAATACACCTGGCAACATTCTTAAGTTATATTTATATAAAACCAGGCAAGAGAACTATATGTTGGAATTTCATGAATAATGTGGTTGTCTTTCACTAAAAGAAAATGAGTTAAGCTAATATTGAATAACTTAAAATAACATTTTAACCTTAAAACGTCTATTTATTAGGTAGTGGTCATATTTTACCTTAATACCCTAAATCCATAGGTCCCAACAAGCTGTACTATTTAGTATCGTGCCTCATTTTCTTTTTTTGCTATATTTCTCAATTATATTCTATACTATAGAAATGAAAAGGCAAGGATTGGGAAAGGTGAGAAGGATTGTTAGTGATTTCTCCCTCTCTAGTTTAAGAGATAGAAAAGGAAGATATCTAAAGAAATTTGGCTCACTCTGCTCCCTGAAGAGCTTTCAATAGAAGGAGCTAAGTGCGTTCAGGCCTTAAGGGGTGTAAGAATTCCTGCTTTCCTAGGATAGACACTTCATTTTCTGCTAGAACAGTGGTAGGTGTTGCTGCTGTGTCACCTGAGGCAGCCTCTCCACGTGACCACAATCTTTGATTTACAGATTTATCTCATTTAAAAAACAGGTCTCCATAAGAAAATCCTTTTTCTCCACTACTTCATGTAATTGGTACGTTTTATAGGATTTTTTTCAAAGAAATTAATGAAAAATAACTGCCTTGACTTAGAATATTTTGGAAGCAATTATTCATCTTCCTTTTAAATCTATTCTAAATGTGTTACTGGTCCACTTCTCTAGAAGAAAGTGTGAAAGCTTAGTGCATACACATAGTGACTTTTATCCATACTATGGTAACCACATTTTCTGAACTAAAAATGTTTGTTTTATAGTTTTCATTTAAAAATCTTAAAACAATCTTTGGAAGATTTTTCATATCACATTTTTTAATTTTTTTGTGCTTGGTGATATAAGAGTCATGTGAAAATGTGAAAAGAAGTAGCATGAGGAGAAGATATTTTTATTATTAGAGATGTTCTAGAAACTTAAAGGTGGATGTTCACCTTGCCTGTTTCTCTAGATGTTGTCTATCACATCCCTTTTTAAAAATGAACATAATTCACCAATCCTAAGACAGATCTTGAAGCAGATTGGGAGTTCAGTAAGAATATGTTGTATTGATTTAAATGAAATAAACAATTGAATATTTAGAATGACCTTCTCCTCGTGATTCCTTCAAGTGATGAACTACAGTGTGTGGTTTCAAATTTGTGATTCGAATTATTTTAGTATCTCATCTATATATTTTTTGAGAGTGAGAGAATGTGTGTGTTTGAATGTCAAATTCCCTTCCTTCCTACTGGGAATTTGGTCATTGAATAACTTAATGTATCCCAAGGTTCAGTTATCTGTTGACTGTGTTGCACTGTAGTAATTATAATTAGCACAGTCCTCAGACCCAAGGAGCTTAATAAAATTATTTGTATATGTCATTTTCGTTCTTGAAGTTAAAAATTGTTTTCATATGTAAGAAATGATTTTCAACCTGAGAAAGCTGATTGCCAAAAAATGGATTATTAAGAGATGATTATTCTTAATATCTGTCATCTACTTTCTCTGTGAAGATAGGAAATAAATGGTAGAGAGGTAAATAAATGGTAAAATACAGTGTTAGAGCTCCTTTACAAGGAAACTGTGATAATTCCTTTTTAAATCAACTTCCAAATCTGCTTTGTAAATTCAGAAATGTGTAAATTCAGTCTTTTTAAAGCAATGAATAATACTTTGCAAATTATATCATGCACAGTAAAAAGTAGAAAGCAATAACAGGAGTAATATGAACTCAAAGATGCTCCTTATTTCATTCTTATTCTTAAATAAAGTATGTTTTATGGCTGTTTACAAACCAGTTTTCAAATGACTGGTATGATTTTGACTTTCTTGAGTCTACCCAAGAGCAAAAAGGTTGGCAGTGGTGTGGAGAGAAATACAGTGGACTTGCATATCCCATTAAATGGTTGTTAAATGTCTTAACTAGTTGAGAATTAATTGTATATTAGCAGTTGTTATTTTTGTTTTGTTTGTTTTGAGATAGAGTGTCATTCTGTCACCCAGGCTGGAGTGCAGTGGCACGATCTCGGCTCACTGCAACCTCTGCCTACCAGGTTCAAGCAATTCTTCTGCCTCAGCCTCCTGAGTAGCTGGGACTACAGGCGCATGCCACCATACCCGGCTAATTTTTGTATTTTTACTAGAGATGGGGTTTCACCATTTTGGTCAGGTTGGTCTCAAACTCCTGACCTCAGGCGATCCACCCACCTCGGCCTCCTAAATTGCTGGGATTACAGGTGTGAGCCACCGTACCTGGCCATATTAAGTTTTTTGAGAGAATTAGAAAACTGGGTTTCCTCAACTCCAAGATGTTATCAGTTGTAAAATGTACCCGTATGTTTTATACCACTAAGAAAGAAAAATAAGCCTCCAATTAAGCAACATGCCATCAATTGTAAAATATAACCAGAGGGGGGAGAAAAGTAGTGTTTAGCTGGGATACCTCCCTACTCCCTGAAAAACAAGTCAGGGTTTTATTAGTAAATGAAAATGGGAGAATGGATATTTGGTGGCAGTCATGATAACCATTTCATTTCTATATCATTATTAACCTCTTAAAATATCCATCTTAAGTACATTATGGCAAAGCTTCTTAAAATGGTGGCATTGGAATCTCAAGAAAGTCTCTTCTCATCCTACTCCTTACACAGTTGAAATTAATTGTTGCTGCCTCCTTTCTGTATCTTTTTCTTTGGCTATCATTTCTTATCCTTTTAATCAATAAATTCAACAATTTGATACAATCAGATAATTATTTCCTAAAGTTTGACTTAGAGTTAAGCATTGTACTTAAAAAGCTACAGGGTAGTCTTTCAATTAAAATTTATCTTTTAAATTCCATAGGGACCAAGGTATTTGTTGATAGCTTCAGGTCTGATAACTTAAACAAAATGTTCTGGCATCTTGAAAAACAAACTGCATGGAATTTATTCCAGCTTCTCTTCCAAAGGTGTCATGGCCCCCCTTCCTTAGGTCAATTTTGACACTTACCTATCAAGTTTTCAGAAATGCAATGAGTTCTTGCTTCTTCTGTTGTGTATGTGTTAGTGATAGGAAATTTTTTGGTCTCTTCTTAGATAATAAATATCATTGGAATATTTTTCAAACTGTGACTAAAATGTCTTTGGCATTCTCCATTGTACTTTTTATATATGTTTATGCCCTCCCTGTCTTCTGTATCTGTAAGGAATGGACCTGACATTAAGACTTCTCCATAGAGCACATGAGTAAGGATTTACTAACGAACTACATTAAACCCTTGATAGCCCTGAACAAGCATCTAAAGAATCACTCCTCTCTGTCTTTAATAAGTCATGGTAAAAAGTATGGGTAGGTAAGTTTATGACTGTATTTTAATGTTTATGAATATGATTAAGATGGTCACACTTTGAACAGACTCACAAAATAATCTTCAACTTGTTAGTGGTTTCATTTTTTTGAAAACGGAAATTCTAAAAATTACTTATGGAATGTCTGGTGTTTGGGGGATGATGTCAGAAATGAATCTGTTCTGTTGGCCTCAACCCCACATCAGACTCATCAGAGTCTGCATCTCTTTTCCTTTTTCTGCACATCTACTTTTGTTTCTTCCTAAGTGCCCAGTAATGTAAGGAAGCAAGTTCTAGTTCCCCTGTAGAGCTATAAAGCTATAAAGGAGACTGAACATTCACATTACTTTGCAGAAAGGTGCTTATGAAAATTCAGAGACTTGGCGGCTTTGGAAGATGGCTATGTAACATTAAAGTATGTTCTCTTCTCTAATGATTTGATCATTTTAACAGTATGCATTAACCCACAGGATTTCCAGTAGACATTTTCAATTGAATAGGAACGGCAATAAAACAAATTACTAAAGTGACTATAATCCATTTATATGTCTATTATTTATATGTAATATATATATACATTTACAGATGCTATATTATTTTGCTTGTAGGTATCATAACGTGATTCTAGTTCTGCCTCCTTAACTATTCTTATTTTTATTTTTTTTAGAACACTGATATTTGCATTTAATGGGGAACAAAAGATGAAGAAGGAAAAGGAATATATTCACTAAGGATTCTATCTGCTTACTGCTACAGACCTATGTGTTAAGGAATTCTTCTCCTCCTCCTTGCGTAGAAGTTGATCAGCACTGTGGTCAGACTGCATTTATCTTGTCATTGCCAGAAGAAATCTTGGACAGAATGTAACAGTACGTCTCTCTCTGATTGCGATGGAAGGTGATAAACTGATACTCCTTTATTAAAGTTACATCGCACTCACCACAGAAAACCATTCTTTAAAGTGAATAGAAACCAAGCCCTTGTGAACACTTCTATTGAACATGACTCATGGAGAAGAGCTTGGCTCTGATGTGCACCAGGATTCTATTGTTTTAACTTACCTAGAAGGATTACTAATGCATCAGGCAGCAGGGGGATCAGGTACTGCCGTTGACAAAAAGTCTGCTGGGCATAATGAAGAGGATCAGAACTTTAACATTTCTGGCAGTGCATTTCCCACCTGTCAAAGTAATGGTCCAGTTCTCAATACACATACATATCAGGGGTCTGGCATGCTGCACCTCAAAAAAGCCAGACTGTTGCAGTCTTCTGAGGACTGGAATGCAGCAAAGCGGAAGAGGCTGTCTGATTCTATCATGAATTTAAACGTAAAGAAGGAAGCTTTGCTAGCTGGCATGGTTGACAGTGTGCCTAAAGGCAAACAGGATAGCACATTACTGGCCTCTTTGCTTCAGTCATTCAGCTCTAGGCTGCAGACTGTTGCTCTGTCACAACAAATCAGGCAGAGCCTCAAGGAGCAAGGATATGCCCTCAGTCATGATTCTTTAAAAGTGGAGAAGGATTTAAGGTGCTATGGTGTTGCATCAAGTCACTTAAAAACTTTGTTGAAGAAAAGTAAAGTTAAAGATCAAAAGCCTGATACGAATCTTCCTGATGTGACTAAAAACCTCATCAGAGATAGGTTTGCAGAGTCTCCTCATCATGTTGGACAAAGTGGAACAAAGGTCATGAGTGAACCGTTGTCATGTGCTGCAAGATTACAGGCTGTTGCAAGCATGGTGGAAAAAAGGGCTAGTCCTGCCACCTCACCTAAACCTAGTGTTGCTTGTAGCCAGTTAGCATTACTTCTGTCAAGCGAAGCCCATTTGCAGCAGTATTCTCGAGAACACGCTTTAAAAACGCAAAATGCAAATCAAGCAGCAAGTGAAAGACTTGCTGCTATGGCCAGATTGCAAGAAAATGGCCAGAAGGATGTTGGCAGTTACCAGCTCCCAAAAGGAATGTCAAGCCATCTTAATGGTCAGGCAAGAACATCATCAAGCAAACTGATGGCTAGCAAAAGTAGTGCTACAGTGTTTCAAAATCCAATGGGTATCATTCCTTCTTCCCCTAAAAATGCAGGTTATAAGAACTCACTGGAAAGAAACAATATAAAACAAGCTGCTAACAATAGTTTGCTTTTACATCTTCTTAAAAGCCAGACTATACCTAAGCCAATGAATGGACACAGTCACAGTGAGAGAGGAAGCATTTTTGAGGAAAGTAGTACACCTACAACTATTGATGAATATTCAGATAACAATCCTAGTTTTACAGATGACAGCAGTGGTGATGAAAGTTCTTATTCCAACTGTGTTCCCATAGACTTGTCTTGCAAACACCGAACTGAAAAATCAGAATCTGACCAACCTGTTTCCCTGGATAACTTCACTCAATCCTTGCTAAACACTTGGGATCCAAAAGTCCCAGATGTAGATATCAAAGAAGATCAAGATACCTCAAAGAATTCTAAGCTAAACTCACACCAGAAAGTAACACTTCTTCAATTGCTACTTGGCCATAAGAATGAAGAAAATGTAGAAAAAAACACCAGCCCTCAGGGAGTACACAATGATGTGAGCAAGTTCAATACACAAAATTATGCAAGGACTTCTGTGATAGAAAGCCCCAGTACAAATCGGACTACTCCAGTGAGCACTCCACCTTTACTTACATCAAGCAAAGCAGGGTCTCCCATCAATCTCTCTCAACACTCTCTGGTCATCAAATGGAATTCCCCACCATATGTCTGCAGTACTCAGTCTGAAAAGCTAACAAATACTGCATCTAACCACTCAATGGACCTTACAAAAAGCAAAGACCCACCAGGAGAGAAACCAGCCCAAAATGAAGGTGCACAGAACTCTGCAACGTTTAGTGCCAGTAAGCTGTTACAAAATTTAGCACAATGTGGAATGCAGTCATCCATGTCAGTGGAAGAGCAGAGACCCAGCAAACAGCTGTTAACTGGAAACACAGATAAACCGATAGGTATGATTGATAGATTAAATAGCCCTTTGCTCTCAAATAAAACAAATGCAGTTGAAGAAAATAAAGCATTTAGTAGTCAACCAACAGGTCCTGAACCAGGGCTTTCTGGTTCTGAAATAGAAAATCTGCTTGAAAGACGTACTGTCCTCCAGTTGCTCCTGGGGAACCCCAACAAAGGGAAGAGTGAAAAAAAAGAGAAAACTCCCTTAAGAGATGAAAGTACTCAGGAACACTCAGAGAGAGCTTTAAGTGAACAAATACTGATGGTGAAAATAAAATCTGAGCCTTGTGATGACTTACAAATTCCTAACACAAATGTGCACTTGAGCCATGATGCTAAGAGTGCCCCATTCTTGGGTATGGCTCCTGCTGTGCAGAGAAGCGCACCTGCCTTACCAGTGTCCGAAGACTTTAAATCGGAGCCTGTTTCACCTCAGGATTTTTCTTTCTCCAAGAATGGTCTGCTAAGTCGATTGCTAAGACAAAATCAAGATAGTTACCTGGCAGATGATTCAGACAGGAGTCACAGAAATAATGAAATGGCACTTCTAGAATCAAAGAATCTTTGCATGGTCCCTAAGAAAAGGAAGCTTTATACTGAGCCATTAGAAAATCCATTTAAAAAGATGAAAAACAACATTGTTGATGCTGCAAACAATCACAGTGCCCCAGAAGTACTGTATGGGTCCTTGCTTAACCAGGAAGAGCTGAAATTTAGCAGAAATGATCTTGAATTTAAATATCCTGCTGGTCATGGCTCAGCCAGCGAAAGTGAACACAGGAGTTGGGCCAGAGAGAGCAAAAGCTTTAATGTTCTGAAACAGCTGCTTCTCTCAGAAAACTGTGTGCGAGATTTGTCCCCGCACAGAAGTAACTCTGTGGCTGACAGTAAAAAGAAAGGACACAAAAATAATGTGACCAACAGCAAACCTGAATTTAGCATTTCTTCTTTAAATGGACTGATGTACAGTTCCACTCAGCCCAGCAGTTGCATGGATAACAGGACATTTTCATACCCAGGTGTAGTAAAAACTCCTGTGAGTCCTACTTTCCCTGAGCACTTGGGCTGTGCAGGGTCTAGACCAGAATCTGGGCTTTTGAATGGGTGTTCCATGCCCAGTGAGAAAGGACCCATTAAGTGGGTTATCACTGATGCGGAGAAGAATGAGTATGAAAAAGACTCTCCAAGATTGACCAAAACCAACCCAATACTATATTACATGCTTCAAAAAGGAGGCAATTCTGTTACCAGTCGAGAAACACAAGACAAGGACATTTGGAGGGAGGCTTCATCTGCTGAAAGTGTCTCACAGGTCACAGCCAAAGAAGAGTTACTTCCTACTGCAGAAACGAAAGCTTCTTTCTTTAATTTAAGAAGCCCTTACAATAGCCATATGGGAAATAATGCTTCTCGCCCACACAGCGCAAATGGAGAAGTTTATGGACTTCTGGGAAGCGTGCTAACGATAAAGAAAGAATCAGAATAAAATGTACCTGCCATCCAGTTTTGGATCTTTTTAAAACTAATGAGTATGAACTTGAGATCTGTATAAATAAGAGCATGATTTGAAAAAAAGCATGGTATAATTGAAACTTTTTTCATTTTGAAAAGTATTGGTTACTGGTGATGTTGAAATATGCATACTAATTTTTGCTTAACATTAGATGTCATGAGGAAACTACTGAACTAGCAATTGGTTGTTTAACACTTCTGTATGCATCAGATAACAACTGTGAGTAGCCTATGAATGAAATTCTTTTATAAATATTAGGCATAAATTAAAATGTAAAACTCCATTCATAGTGGATTAATGCATTTTGCTGCCTTTATTAGGGTACTTTATTTTGCTTTTCAGAAGTCAGCCTACATAACACATTTTTAAAGTCTAAACTGTTAAACAACTCTTTAAAGGATAATTATCCAATAAAAAAAAACCTAGTGCTGATTCACAGCTTATTATCCAATTCAAAAATAAATTAGAAAAATATATGCTTACATTTTTCACTTTTGCTAAAAAGAAAAAAAAAAGGTGTTTATTTTTAACTCTTGGAAGAGGTTTTGTGGTTCCCAATGTGTCTGTCCCACCCTGATCCTTTTCAATATATATTTCTTTAAACCTTGTGCTACTTAGTAAAAATTGATTACAATTGAGGGAAGTTTGATAGATCCTTTAAAAAAAAGGCAGATTTCCATTTTTTGTATTTTAACTACTTTACTAAATTAATACTCCTCCTTTTACAGAATTAGAAAAGTTAACATTTATCTTTAGGTGGTTTCCTGAAAAGTTGAATATTTAAGAAATTGTTTTTAACAGAAGCAAAATGGCTTTTCTTTGGACAGTTTTCACCATCTCTTGTAAAAGTTAATTCTCACCATTCCTGTGGTACCTGCGAGTGTTATGACCAGGATTCCTTAAACCTGAACTCAGACCACTTGCATTAGAACCATCTGGAGCACTTGTTTTAAAATGCAGATTCATAGGCAGCATCTCAGATCTACAGAACAAGAATCTCTGCTAAGTGGACCTGGAATCTTCCATCTGCATCTTAACATGCTCTCTAGGTGTTTCTTGTGTTTGAGAACCATGACTTATGACTTTCCTCAGAACATGAGACTGTAAAACAAAAACAAAAAACTATGTGATGCCTCTATTTTCCCCAATACAGTCACACATCAGCTCAAAATTTGCAATATTGTAGTTCATATATTACCGTTATGTCTTTGGAAATCGGGTTCAGAACACTTTTTATGACAAAAATTGGGTGGAGGGGATAACTTTCATATCTGGCTCAACATCTCAGGAAAATCTGTGATTATTTGTGTGTTCTAATGAGTAACATCTACTTAGTTAGCCTTAGGGATGGAAAAACAGGGCCACTTACCAAACTCAGGTGATTCCAGGATGGTTTGGAAACTTCTCCTGAATGCATCCTTAACCTTTATTAAAACCATTGTCCTAAGAACAATGCCAACAAAGCTTACAACATTTAGTTTAAACCCAAGAAGGGCACTAAACTCAGATTGACTAAATAAAAAGTACAAAGGGCACATATACGTGACAGAATTGTACACAATCACTCCATTGGATCTTTTACTTTAAAGTAGTGATGAAAAGTACATGTTGATACTGTCTTAGAAGAAATTAATATATTAGTGAAGCCACATGGGGTTTCAGTTGCGAAACAGGTCTGTTTTTATGTTCAGTTTGTACAATCCACAATTCATTCACCAGATATTTTGTTCTTAATTGTGAACCAGGTTAGCAAATGACCTATCAAAAATTATTCTATAATCACTACTAGTTAGGATATTGATTTAAAATTGTTCTACTTGAAGTGGTTTCTAAGATTTTTATATTAAAAATAGGTGTGATTTCCTAATATGATCTAAAACCCTAAATGGTTATTTTTCCTCAGAATGATTTGTAAATAGCTACTGGAAATATTATACAGTAATAGGAGTGGGTATTATGCAACATCATGGAGAAGTGAAGGCATAGGCTTATTCTGACATAAAATTCCACTGGCCAGTTGAATATATTCTATTCCATGTCCATACTATGACAATCTTATTGTCAACACTATATAAATAAGCTTTTAAACAAGTCATTTTTCTTGATCGTTGTGGAAGGTTTGGAGCCTTAGAGGTATGTCAGAAAAAATATGTTGGTATTCTCCCTTGGGTAGGGGGAAATGACCTTTTTACAAGAGAGTGAAATTTAGGTCAGGGAAAAGACCAAGGGCCAGCATTGCTACTTTTGTGTGTGTGTGTGTGGGTTTTGTTTTGTTTTTTTGGTTGGCTGGTTGTTTTCGTTGTTGTTAACAAAGGAATGAGAATATGTAATACTTAAATAAACATGACCACGAAGAATGCTGTTCTGATTTACTAGAGAATGTTCCCAATTTGAATTTAGGGTGATTTTAAAGAACAGTGAGAAAGGGCATACATCCACAGATTCACTTTGTTTATGCATATGTAGATACAAGGATGCACATATACACATTTTCAAGGACTATTTTAGATATCTAGACAATTTCTTCTAATAAAGTCATTTGTGAAAGGGTACTACAGCTTATTGACATCAGTAAGGTAGCATTCATTACCTGTTTATTCTCTGCTGCATCTTACAGAAGAGTAAACTGGTGAGAGTATATATTTTATATATATATATATATATATATATATAATATGTATATATATATATATTGACTTGTTACATGAAGATGTTAAAATCGGTTTTTAAAGGTGATGTAAATAGTGATTTCCTTAATGAAAAATACATATTTTGTATTGTTCTAATGCAACAGAAAAGCCTTTTAATCTCTTTGGTTCCTGTATATTCCATGTATAAGTGTAAATATAATCAGACAGGTTTAAAAGTTGTGCATGTATGTATACAGTTGCAAGTCTGGACAAATGTATAGAATAAACCTTTTATTTAAGTTGTGATTACCTGCTGCATGAAAAGTGCATGGGGGACCCTGTGCATCTGTGCATTTGGCAAAATGTCTTAACAAATCAGATCAGATGTTCATCCTAACATGACAGTATTCCATTTCTGGACATGACGTCTGTGGTTTAAGCTTTGTGAAAGAATGTGCTTTGATTCGAAGGGTCTTAAAGAATTTTTTTAATCGTCAACCACTTTTAAACATAAAGAATTCACACAACTACTTTCATGAATTTTTTAATCCCATTGCAAACATTATTCCAAGAGTATCCCAGTATTAGCAATACTGGAATATAGGCACATTACCATTCATAGTAAGAATTCTGGTGTTTACACAACCAAATTTGATGCGATCTGCTCAGTAATATAATTTGCCATTTTTATTAGAAATTTAATTTCTTCATGTGATGTCATGAAACTGTACATACTGCAGTGTGAATTTTTTTGTTTTGTTTTTTAATCTTTTAGTGTTTACTTCCTGCAGTGAATTTGAATAAATGAGAAAAAATGCATTGTCTCTGGTTTGAAATGACTGTTATTTTGTGGGCTTTCTCTGGTTTTTAGGTTTTCCATAAACGTAAAACACATTGCTATGAATATAACAGTGATCTTCAAGGATGTTTTGCCCTTCTTAGAAAAATAAAGGGGACAAAAAAGAAGGTGGCTGGCAAGTTAGTGCACTAGAAACAG
Source organism: Homo sapiens (assembly GCF_000001405.40). Lineage (NCBI taxonomy): Eukaryota > Metazoa > Chordata > Mammalia > Primates > Hominidae > Homo > Homo sapiens. Next base: position 14,961,061 of record NC_000021.9, on the reverse strand, counting down.
GGTAATTAAGGCATAACTCAAAGTGACAATCAGCCTATGGCCTTTCTCCCATGATTCAGTGTGTAACTAGTTGATCACTGTAAATTTTTAAACTAGAAAATAGTTTGTGCAGTATTCAAAATTAATGTTGACTATATGTATATACATACACACTTCATTTTAGGATAAGACTTTATCAGAAGGCTTTTATCCAGTTTTTAATGGGTGTGGTTTATTTTAAATAAAAGAAAAAGGAGTTTAATAATTTTCCAAAAATGAATGTGTATGTATATACACGTGTTTACATGTTTAAATATATGCTGTATGTGTATAGGTAATGAGTAATTGATAAGCAACATACATACTCAATAAGTATTAGAGACCAGTGGATTCCAAGAAAAAAAAAAAAACTTTGTACCCAGGTAAACTTAACAGCTTAGGAATTTTTATTTTTACAAATAATGATAATTTATGAGAAAGACATTTTCCCAAAGAGGAATTCTGTTTCCTGGGACCCAGATAGGTCTATTGTAATCCATGCAGCTTCTCTCTTAATAGGTTTATAAATGTCTAAAAATGTTCAAGTAATAAAAATACTTCCTGCTGTTCTACATTATTAAAATGTTGAAAAATTGCATCTTGCTATTTGTATAATAACAGAATGAGAGATGCACAACCATGTCTTCTTTTATTTACATGGTGAAAAACCCTGACAAGTGCATCAAGTAGTGAATTGCCCAGGAGGGATTTTTATGAAGAGAAGCACCAGTTAGCTATTCTTGATTATAAAATAGTGCCTGTGACTTTAATATGGAGGGTCTTTAAAAATCAATTCAGATTAAAATCACATACTATATAAGGTTCTATTTCAAGCTTGTTAGTGTGGAAAATCATCAACAAAAGTAATTTTGAAATTTATTTTCCTACCACTGGTATCACTCAACTATGACCTGTTTGGCTGTAGGAAACAGGTTTTAAATGTTCATTATTAAGCATACTGGTAATTTTTTTGTTTATTCCATAAAACTTGTATCTAATACTACCTCACCTTATAAGGGTTGGTAGAGGAAGCTTTTGGCATCATTTAGCATCATTTAATACTCCAATTCTCTATAAGTGGCTGGCACAACAATATCTACAACATTTTTCAGATTCCATCTTCATAAATAAGTTAAAGACTCTCACTCTAAAAGCCAAAATTTATGTACTTGAGTTGGAGGCCGAATAATAGGAAATAGAGTCCCATAAATTCCAGTCCTGGGGAGGTGCTGTTGCACTTTTGATGTCCTCTTATGAGTGTCTAAAAGTACGCATATAAACCTTTTAATCAGTAAACCAAATTTTGAAATAGTATACCTTTGCAGTCAGAAGAGAATTTTTGAGACATTCAAAAGTCTTCTTACAGCCTTTATGTTGACACAAAGTCCTAGACAACCACCTGCTTTCCCTCTGTTGCCTTTACCAAACTTCATTGGTATGTGTTCCAAACCTTAAGAAAAGCTGCAATCCTTTTGGAATATTCATTTTCCTCACTTCAGCTGAGAAACATTCACCTCTGAGATCACATCTGGAAAAGAAAATGACCTAACGTTTTATAGTTGTCATAGCCCACATTTTTGGAAAGCTATGTGAACGATGCCACACAATAGAGCCGCAGTGCAGGTACAGTGCATTGTCTGAGATTGTATTTTCCCTTAGCTAATTGATAAAATAATTCAAGAATAGAACCATGGGGTAATTTTCTTATCATTGGAAAACTACAATTTTCTCTAAAGGCCTAAGGGTTGCCTCTGGCAAACATTAATAGCTGATCTTTCCACAAGCTAGCTTCAAGTCCTTAAAAGACTTTTAGCACCAGGTTGGATGTGCTAGCTAGCCTCATTACATTTTACATCGTACCTGGCCATTTTGCTTCTCTGCCCATGTCTTCTGAGTTTTCTTATGTTCTTGTTTGATTCACAGTGGTGTCTTTGAGTATATAGAAATGCTTAGGTAAACTGGGAGAGATCCTGTTTCTCTCCCCTTCATAATTTTGTAGTCACTTTCAAAAACCAAAGTTGTAATACAAACCTTCGCCACTTCCGCAACTTCTAAATCATGGCTTTCTCCTTTCAATTACCTTACTTTTGGGGGGGAAATGTCCATTAGAAAAGCACTTAGAGTGCTGATAGCCTAATGTGGATAAAAACGGGCTCAATCCAGTCTGTGGGAGAGACTAAAGTATGGGAATAATACCAGTGGGTTCAATGCTGTAACACACACTGATCAATAAGCTTTAGATCTCTAGCGAAGGCCTTTCTCTCCCTTTTCCCTGATTGCTTTCCTATAACAAATAAATACTTTTTCTCACAAGACCATACCTTTGAGTTTGCTACCTACTTCCATTACATTTCCGACCCCACTTCAACAGAGAAAGTGTTTCTTTAAAGCTGCAGTGGCCTTTCCCTGTGTCCATAAAAATCTGGGCTTTTGTCCATAGAGCTCTTTGCTCTTTTCTGCTTTTCTAAGGACAGTTGACAACAATGTCGGGGCAGGGGGGAAGCTTCCATTCCCCACCCCCAACAACATCCACAAAGAGATTTTTATCTCCTAAGTGGAGTCAAGAATGGGGACTTACACATGGCTAAACTCTGGGGATAGTCTGACCAGAGAGAGGGTAGATGAATTTAGGGCTTAGTGGGCTCAAGCATGATTACCTGCTCCTACCCACACTTTCACCTCCATAATAAAATCTACCTCACTTTACATAGTTCTGTGCTAATAAAGATAATCATGATAATCTTTCCAAAGTAAGCAGCAGGGATGGTCTTTTAGATCCCTTTGGAATTGCTTGCATCCCAGAGAATTTTGTGCCTTTACTACTAAAGTCAGGTCTACCTGCCAAAGAATAGACAGCCCTCTGAAGGGGAGATTTCCTGCTTGTAGTTCACTCTGGAAAGGCCTGTTCTGGGGAGACTGAGATGCTTAAGGGTGAAGTTCTGGCCTACTTTGACTATTATAGATGATATATACCAAGAGTGTAGCAATCAAAAATCACTCAGAAAACAGGCAGGCCTGAGTCAGAAGCAGCAACTCCTTCTACTTGCATTTCTGGCCTGGGCAAGCCATTGACCCATTTTTCTCTTTGGTTTTCACAACCCAGTGTCTCCTAGTTCTCTTCTTAATGCTAATTTCATCTGGTCTCATAACAGATTTATTTTCCCATAACTGCCGATATTCTGCCTTACAGCTGTCTCTTCCTTCATTACATCTTGAGCAGAAACAGCCATCCCTATGTCTTCAAGCACCTCATACTGTATTCCAAGTTCCTTCTAATTGTCTAGTTGTCTTCTGTTTCCTACCACTCATGAATATCCAGCTTGTCAACCTATTAGCTAAATTTCAACATGCCCCAATCTTGAATTCAGTATACAGCCATTCTCCCCAGTTTGTTCTTCTATCCCTTTGTTGGGAATTTGCTTATTTCTAAAAATGTTGGTCCTCAGCAGATTCTTCTTACGCTAGCCACTTTTTGAAGACTTTCCTAATCTGTAGCTTACAACCCATATCTTTTGCCTTAACCCAGAGCGTTATCATGTCTCACCTCAGTTATTGCTCTAGCATCTACTTGGGCCTGCTTCCCCTTCCCAGTTGTGATAATAGCCACTATTGCTAGAGCAATCATTCTAAAATACAAATCTGTTAAATCTGCCTAAAATCCTCTGGTGACTTTTTATTGCTCATGAAATTGCACACTCACTTGTCTTTAGGGGCCTGGGGGAGTAGTAAAGAATGTAAGGCTTCTGGTGGAATACTGTAGGAAGGGGTGGCTCTACCTTAAATGGAGGAGGTAAAGTTATTCTAGTTCAAATATTTTTAAAACAAGAAAAATCCATGTGTTAGCCGAACAAAAGTGATACAACTACTAGTGTCCAGTGTGAGCCCATGGGGTTAATTCTGTGTCCTCCAAGCTCCTTAGACTTCTGGCTCTGCCTGCATTTTCACCTTTTCAACTCGTTCTCCTACCCTCTAACAGCATTCTGTGCATCATCACCAATCATTCCATATTCAAACATTCCCAAATAAGAACTCACTATTTCCTGAGTGCTCCTGCTTTCTTGGCATCAGTGCCTTCAGTCACGTAACATTCTCTGCCTAAAATACCTCCTTCCTTTGCTCATTCTGAACCTAGTAAACTATTCATCTTTAAAACTTTAACACATTTACTTCCTCAAAGAAGCCCTCCCTCCCTAATTCACTATTGTAGGACGGAGTGTGTTTCTCAGCCCTTTGCAATACCAAATGCTTATTGCACTTATTACAATGGTTAACAACATACTTTGTAACTTTGCATTCCTTTTAAAGACAATAAAGTGTATCTTCTTAATCTTACATTCAGTGAGTGCCCAGTATATATCTCTTTTTTTTTTTTTTTCTTTTTGAGAAAGAGACTTGCTCTGTCCCCTAGGCTGGAGTGCAGTGGTGCGATCTTGGCTCACTGCAACTTCCGCCTCCCGGGTTCAAGCCCGTCTCCTGCCTCAGCCCCTCCAGTAGCTGGGATTACAGGCGTGCACCACCATGCCCGTCTCTGACCTCAAGTGATCTGCCCACCTCAGCCTCCCAAAGTGCTAGAATTACAGGCATGAGCCACCTGGTTCATATCTTGATACATAGCAGTTACTCAACAAATGTATGCCAAATGAGAGAATGAATGAAAGGTGATCTCAAACAAAAAAATGAAAGGCTCCCCTCCCTGTCTGGAAGGAAACTAAGTAATGTATAATGTAGGGGCGCAACCACGTCCCTGAGGCAAGTCCCAGCCTCCCTAGTCACCTCTAGCCTAGGGCTCATGATCTATCTGGGCCAGGTCAGACATTCTCCCTTCTGCCTTCTCAAATCTCCTGCAGAAATATGATCTCTACTAGGAAAGTCCTGATAAGAGAAACTGGTTCTTAAAACGAGAATGGGAACTTTGCAGATTTTGCCAATAAAAACCTAATTACCTGCTGAACCATACCTTCCTCCAAACAATAGCAAGAGCATCTCAGAAGCTTTGCTTTTATCAGGGAAGCTGACGATAGTACTGCGGTGAGCCTGGGATCAGAATTCATGGTCTGTCCTGAAAATTAGCCAATGAATATATCATGTTTCATAGGATTGCATTCTTCTGAACTATCCAGAATCAATCATAGCAGAGAATATACTCTCCTGCTGAGTATGGTTCAACTAATTCCTTGCTGATAATACCCTCACCAGCATAGAAGCTGGAATTAGCATTAGGCTATTTCAGATCCCCAAGGAAATCCGGGTCCGTGGCGGTATGGAAATGCAAGAAACCAGTGTCACTTATGAACTTGGCACGTAGCATGAGTGCGCCTTCAGTAGAGGGCTTTGAGGGTGGCAACTTATCTATGAAGACCAAACCACCAGGTTTTTGGTGATTCGGTGGGTGCTTAATAAAAGTGTATTAAATTGATGTGAAAACAAAAGCTTATCTCTTATATCAACTTTGTATCACTATTTCCTGAGTGCTCCTGCTTTCTTGGCATCAGTGACTTCAGTCATGTAACATTCTCTGCCTAAAATACTTCCTTCCTTTGCTCATTGGGAACCTGGTAAACTCCTGTTCATCTTTCAAACCTAACACATTTACTTCCTCAAAGAAGCCCTCCCTCCCTAATTCACTATTGTCGGACAGAGTGTGTTTCTCAGCCCTTTGAAATACCAAATGCTTATTGCACTTATTACAATGGTTAACAACATACTTTGTAACTTTGTATTCCTTCTGAAGGCAAGAAAGTGCATCTTCTTAATCTTACATTCAGTGAGTGCCTAGTACATACATTTTTTGTTTTTGTTTTTGTTTTTGTTTTTTAGACAGAGTCTTGCTTTGTCCCCCAGTCTGGAGTGCAGTGGTGCCATCTCAGCTCCCTGCAACCTCCGCCTCCTGGGTTCAAGCACTTCTCCTACCTCAGCCTCCCGAGTAGCTGGGGAGCTGTGCTGATAGTTATGATTTCCTTTTATTCTGATGCCAGAAATTAATGTAATCAACATTTTATTTTTTAACTATTGCATTTTATTTGCCCTCCTCAAAAACCTCATTTCCTATCCCCACCCCACCCCAAAGAGAGAAAGTAAGGTCTGGGTTGATATCACTCTTGTTATATTCTAGATCATTCCAGATGGCTCTGAACAATGTAAATATAGAGCATATCCAGGATGAGGAGATCTGTTTACAGTGGGGATGGAATAGTCCCTCTTCCCTCACCAAGAAATACTGAGAAAGAGGACTCATTATGATCTCTGTCCAATATGAGGCCATGCTTCAAGACTGTATTTCTCAAATAAAGGGGGCATTTTCAGGTGGGTATCTATGGACTTACAAGGACCATGGAGACAGCTAGATGTATTTAGCAGGAGGACAGAGAAGTTCGAATTACAATGTCCCTAGCTTTGCTAAGGAAAGGGGGATCTTCCCTATGCTGTTCTCTTCCTATAAGCTCCTTTCTAGCTTGAGGAAACCAAGAAGACTTCTAACCTAACTATATAGAGGATAGTCGTACTTTTTTACTCTCATGGAAGACAGGAAGTTTCTTGTGAGTCTGCATATTTAAAATAAAATTTGTTTTTCTCAGCATCTTTCCCCCTTGGGTAAGGTTGTAAACTGGTAGAATTGGGATTTGAAACTGTGGACTACAGAGAGATAAGAGGCCTTATCAACCACGTTCTCCCCCCTCTAAACCAAACCAAATAGCAACCTAAGAAATATACCATCAAACATCATGCCTAGGTACCCAAATTGCCTTAGCAATTAGAAAAAAGAATATGCCCTTTTGTTCTTATGGCCTGCCACATCCCCTAGGCAAAATTTCTCAGCCACTGCTTGAGATCTGGGGACAGAGATAGTGGCCTACTTCTCGCAGAGTGACACCCCTGCTTTGGAAGCAGGGAGCTGGGTAGAGACAGTTGCCTCTGGTCTTTTCAGCTTGTTTTTCCAGTGGGGAACCTCTATCCTATGAGTGAGCAGAGGTGAAGGCAATGACACTCAAGTATTCTTGGCCTGGCACACCTAGAGTGGAGGCAAGAGAAGGCGGGGGTGGGTAGAGGAAGACAGCCCCTGATTTCCAAAGAAATTTGCCTGGAATTTAGCCCCTGTAACATGGAGCTTCACAGGGATGAGAAATTCCTGCCAATCCCAAAGAGATACCGTCATCCTTAACTAGAGGCTGAGGAGGGAGAACCTCATCTTCCTGGCCACACCCAACTTGAGTGGAGCTTCATCACATTAAACTGTGAGGGAGAGTAGGAGCAGGCCATGGCTCTAGTGCCATGGACTCTCATTTTTCTTATCTAGATTTAAGAAATTTTCTTTATTACTGTTTCTTCGTATGCCATATCACGTTAGCAAAACAGACGGTTTGGTTTTGTTTTGTTTCGTTTAATTTTTTTCAGACAGAGTCTAACTCTGTCGCCCAGGCTGGAGTGTAGTAGCAAGATCTTAGCTCACTGCAGCCTCTGCCTCCCAGGTTTAAGTGATTCTCATGCTTCAGCCTCCCAAGTAGCTGGGATTACAGGCGTGCGCCACCACACCTGGCTAATTTTTGAATTTTAATAGAGGTGGGGTTTCCCTATGTTGGCCAGGCTGGTCTTGAACTCCTGGCCTCAAGTGATCTGCCGGTTTTGGCCTCCCAAAGTGCTGGGATTACAGGCATGAGCCACCGTGCCTGGCCTGTTTTTTTGTTTTTGTCTTTTTAAATAATTTTTACCAGTTATATTGTTGCACTTGAGTGGGCGTTAGCAGGGTTCCTCACACACTGCAAACCTCCTTTCCACTGTGAGGCATTTTGGAAAGATCGGCTTTGCCATTACAAAAGTGAATCTCTCCTACTTATCTCTGATTACCAAATAAATGTATACTGGAATTAACATTCCTGCAGGGTAACTTGCTTAAGCAGTGTTTTGATGCAGTATTATTTCTGTCCATAGGATGGCATATTTCTGGTCATGAGGACAAAATCACTTACAATTACTTCTCAAGACTATTCTTTCTTACCACAGTTTACCTTAGTCTTTTATGCTCTTCTCTCCAAGAAGCTCATTCATTTTTTTTATGTCCTCTTCTGGATAATATCCAAATGTATGACCCTTTGTGTGCGTCGAAGTATTCCACAATTAAGCCCACCAGACCAACCCTCAATTCAACAACCTGCCACCACTTACCTCTTCACTTTGTAATCACGTAAATGGATCTTTGGTATTTTGTTAAGTTAAAATATCCTTTATTTGCTTTTCTAGCTGAATTTTTGAGCAGTTTTAGGTTTACAGAAAAGCTAAACAGAAAGTGCAAAGATTTTTCCAGATACCCCCTCTTCCAACTCCCCTGGTTTCCCTTAAATTAACATCTTGATTAATATGATATACCTATTACAACTGATGAACCAGTATTGATACCTTGTTATTAACTAATGTCCATAGTTTACATTGGGCTTCACTCTTTGTGTTATACGTTCTATGGGTTTTGGCAATAGAATAGTTTCACTGCCCTAAAACTCCCCTGTGATTCACCCATCCCTACCTTCATCTCTACGATAAGCCCTTGACAATGGCTGATTACTGCCACCAGTTTTGCCCTTTACAATACTGTCACGTAGTTGAAATCATACAGTGTGTCGCCTTTTCAGAGTGACGCATCCACTTAGTAATGTGCATTTAAGGTTTCTTCCTGTCTTTTTGTGGCTTAATATCTCACTTCTTTTTATTACCGAATAATATTCCATTGTATGGGATGTAACACAGTTTGATTATCCATTAGCTTATTAAAAGATGCCTCGGTTGCTTCCAAAATTTTACAATTATTTATGAAGCTGCTACTAGTGTTCAGGGTTTTGTGTGGAGATAAGTTTTCCTTCACTTGTTTTTGATACATGTTCAGAGGCTGGAAGCTTACCTTCTAGTAATTTAAATTTCCTGCCCCTCTGATGCTCAAGAAATGTTTAACCATCATTTCTAAGCCCACCAGTTTCACCGAATGTATGAATCCAGTGAAAGACTGTGTGGCAGTATCACACAAGTCTAAACTCTCCGTGACGGAGAACCAAAAAAGTTTATTTAATTTTTTTGATACCTGCCCATCCTGGGTTGGCAGGGGACACTGTTCCACCTCATCCTCTCTCTGGTGCCGAGGGTGATGAAGCCTCCACTATCTGTAAATGTCACTGGTTATCATGGCAGAGGGGAAAGAATGTGGTGAATGGAGCCCTAACTGTTAAAGGACCAAACACTTCTCCTTGCATTGCACTAATCAAAGTACTGGTCTCCTCAACCTAAAGGGGATGGAAATGTAATTACATAATAGGCCTAGGAGAAGAAGAATCAGAAACGTTGGTGAGCATTCATTAAATGTCTTCCTTTTATACTTGATTTTCTGGAGCATAGAACACTGATCTTTTGATCACAAAATTAAATTTGATTATATCTTAATGTTTGCTTTCCCTCTTCAGACTATGGACAATAGGCTAGATGCGAAAATTAAGGGCTTAAGGGCTCAAACAATATTTACCAATCTCAAGAAAAAGGCTTAGTTTGTAAAATAAGCTCTATCTGCATACTGGAAGGAAGATGATGAGGTCTAATAAGGGATTGATGGAGTTTGGTACTGCTGACTCCGTAGGACTCAAAATGAATGAGGATGAGTTCTTTCATCTAGGATCTGTATAGCAACAGAAGGATGCTTGCTTATAGTATCAGATAACTGTATACCCATACACATTTACTGATTTTATTATTTCAGTTTGTTTATATGACTAAGTTCTTCCTTTTAAAAAAATGAGATATTCCACTTAAACCTAAATATATTCTAAAGCAAAGTTCAACTCAAAAAAAAATTTGGGGTTGTTTCAATTCATTTAATTTCCATTGAATTCTTAAGCTAAATAGCCTTTTTTCCCCCCAGATTTAGTGGCAATTTCTGATTTACCAGCACTCACATTATGAAAATCCTTCATTTCTTTATGAACAGCTCCTAGAACTGGAAAATCACTCCTTTACTGCTCTATCCTATGAAACTTCTCCTCTTCCTTATAGAAACGACCATCCTTCTGAAAGTTGTCCCTGCTCTCTTTTTTCTCATCTATCTTATCTCAGCATCAGTGTAGTCAAGGATCAAGGCATGCTTCAATCCCTCCCTGTGCTATTTCAGCCCTCTTTCAACAGAAGCCAAAATTGCCCCTATACTCCTGCTTATGTTTCTCACTGCAAGAGAATTCTCCCAAGCCCTCATCTCAAACTTCTGCCTTTCCCCATTCTCTTTTTCCTGAACCTTTTCAGAAGCTTCTCCAAGGTTTTCATTCTCCCTTTCCCAAGACCTACCTCTAGGACAAAAAAGATGCTATGGAGAGGGAAGAGGGATCATTTATGACTATGGCAATGAAGAGCATGAAGATGGCAGAGAGATTCTCGCCTGGAGGATGACACACATTAGCTGCAATTTCCAATCCATTTAAAGGAGAAACCATGGAACGAGAATACACTAGGAAACAAGACTTTGGAGTCAAAAGCCTGGTATTCGAGGTCCAGATCCACCACAAACTAGCAGTAAGCTTGTCTGAGTCTCAGATTCTTGGCCTGAAAATGAGTTTTGTCTCCTTTGCCCACCAGATTATTGCCAGGATTACATAATATATTACATATAAGGGTGATGTATTAAGTGCTGTTCACATGCTCTCTGTTCTAATAAGTCAGTTTGTATTTTCACTCACAGCAAATATATTTGATGCTAAAATTTATAATGAATTCCAAAAAGCACATGGAGAATAAAAATGACCCATAGTTCTACCACCAAGATAGAAAGAAAATTAGTTATTTATATTTATATAAAATATTACTACTTCCTTCTAATGTGTTTATGTGTTTAGTTATGTGTTTAGTAATTACGATTTTGTGTTTAACATTATCAGAATTATGCTTTGTATATAGCTTGTGTCGTTGTGTGAGAGGCTCTATTTTCCAAAAATGACCAGACAATATTTCTAGTGTCAGAACCTTGCCTCTGTATAAGGGGTGGGGTCATATTTTACCTCCATCTAGAACTGGCCAGGCCTTGGGACTGCCTTGGTGAATGCAAGGTGACAAAAGTGGCATTACCTGGCTTTAATGGTCAGGTCATGAAAGGTGATACGGTTCTGTCTGGCTTTCATTCTTGGGACACGATTCTTGGAACCCAGCCACTGTGTTGTGAGGAAGGCAAGGTCACATTGAAAGCCTAGGTGTAGGTGTTCTGACAGCGGTATCCATTGCTGGACATATGAGTGAGTGAGCCTTCAGATGATTCCAGCCTCTGAGCTGCTGTAGTTGATGCCAAGTGGAGAAGAGAAAAGCTGTCCCTACTGAGCTCTGTCCAAATCACAGATTCACGAGCAAAAAATATTGTCAATATTTCACTTCAGTGTTGTATGCACATTTTCTCATGTCTTTAACAATTTTACCTCAACTTAATATGGTTGCATAACATTCCATCATGTGGATATTCTATAATTTGCATAAACCTTTCCATGTTGTTGCATATTTAAGTTCTCCCTTCTATCTTTTTTTATGCTATGGTACATAATGTGGCTAAAAACATCTTCACAACACATTTTGAGTTTTTGCATTCTGATTATTTCCATAGAATAGATTCTTAGAAGACAAAAGTAAACTATTTCTATACCTCAGTTATGTCTAATTAGCTTTAGTGGCTCACTAGAATCAAAATTGTCTTAAGTATTATTATTTCTATAGAAAAGTGATGTAAGATCCCAACTTTAAACAACCGACTCACAAAATTTTGAAACACAATCCTCTTCCAGAGTCAGGAGCTTATTTTTGCATTGATTTCTGAATTACAGGGTCAGCATGAAATTTTTATTGAGGGCAGTTCTTTCTATCACAGCTTGTACTTCTTATCTTCTGTTTCCCTTGGCTTGCTTGCACCCCAGAGGAAATTTGTTTTTATTAAGACAATGCCTTCACCACCTGTGGTAGGCTGAATATAGTCCTTAAATGGATGTCCATCTCTTAATACCTGGAACCTGTGACTGTTACCTTAGATGGTAAAATATTGTTTGTAGATATGATTAAGGTTAAGAGTTTCAGATGGGAAGATTACCATGGATTATTCAGACAGGTACCAAATGCAATTACAAGTCTTTATGAGAGAGAGGCAGCAGGGAGACTTGACACAGACAGCAGAGAAAAAAGCAATGTGACCACAGAGGCAGACATTGGAGTGATGGGGCCACAAGCCAAGACACGTTGGCAGCCACCAGAAGCTGGGAGAAGCTGGGAACAGGTTCTCTCTGAGAGCATCTGGAAGGAATGTGTCCCTGCAGACATCTTGATTTTGGCCCCGTGTAACTGATTTTGGACTTCTGGTCTCCAGAACAGTGAGAGAATAAATTTCTATTGTTTTAAGCCACCAAGTTTATGGTGATTTTTTACAGAAGCCCTAAGAATGTAATACATTACTTGCTACTACATGGGAAATAATGAAATACGAAAAAGTCCATTTTAATTCTCTAAATTCTGTTCCTCTAAATGTCTTCCTAGGGTAAGTGCAGGCTTCACTAAACATGCACAAAATATGTTACAGATCTTTGTCTTTTTTATGTGCATGTGAAAATTTTAGTATCAAGTATTTCCTGTGGAGAATAATAAAGCAAAGAGAAGATTCTTGTGCTTGAGGTGTGCATATTCTAAGTTGAGACACACACACACACACACACACACACACACACACACACACAACTGGAGCAGAATACAGTGGCCTGTGTTTTTTCAAAGTTTACCTTAAGGTATACACTTTGAAATACATAGGAATTCAGAGCACATAAACATGAAAGTGTGGTGTGAATCTTCCTCCTTTGAAGATGTAATTGCTGTCTTGGAAAGGAAAATAATGAGGAGTCAGAGAAAATAGGACCCCAAAGATCTCAAAGAAATAGGTTAATCTCACTGTGGATCCTAGCATGTCATAAAATATCAGTGTGCACGAGCTTCTCTTTCCCTTCCTTGGTTAAAACTGTCCCTTTATTGTCAAGGTCTAAAAAAAGGCAAGACATAACGAATGAATCTGCAGTGATGTTTGAAAAATATGCCCTGACACATTTGGAACATACCCACTGTTCAAAATCTGCCGGCTAAGAGAAGCTGATGAGAACCCCTGATGGCCCATGGGGAGCCCCGTCCAGGTGCCTGTTACCTGCTGTGGTCAGCTCTGCCTTGGGCCAGCATGGAGCCAGGGTATCCAGTTGACTCTCAGCTTTATGTAAACATCAGACCGGGAGGCACCACTGCTGTTGATGTAAACATGAAGGGAAGGTTGTGCTGGCTGAAGAATATGACAAGCCCTCTTTCTTTCTCATCCTCTGCATTAGACTTTAGTTGGGTCTCTTCAGCAATGAAAGCATCATACTTTTCTCTATGAAGTGCCTTGACTTTGGTAGTTTTCATGTATCTCTTCATTTTGAATCAGAAAAAATCCACTCTACACACTCTCCCCTGAAGCTCTCAACAAAGAGAGACTTAAAATTATCCCCTCTGTTGGTGTGTGGATTTAAAATTGAAAGGACAGTTTTAAGGTTGCCCAAAAGTCGTGCATTCCATCACCCCATGGTGAATTTTAAATGTATTTACACCTCCATTTCCTTCCTAATGGTGGGGAAAAAAAAAAACCTGCCAGATTTTATTTAGCATGCATCATTTTTTATATTACAGTATATTCTGAAATAAATCATTAATGTGATTATAAATAACAAAGCATAGGACAAATTTTCTAGGAATGAAATAAGTCAAAATGGAACAATTGATATTATAAGCCATAGACAAAGCATCCACGATCCATGGTATAGACAAATTCCAGTTAGAGCCAAAGCAATTCATACATACATTCATTCACTTAACAAAAATATTTATTAGCACCCACTCTACAGCAAGGTCCTAGGAATACAATGAGGACCAAGACAGATCTGATAGCTGCTTTTAGAATTTAAAGTCTAATTCGCTTAAAGACTAATAAGGGGGACAGACAAACTGCGATTACCATTTTGTGCTCTGACAGGGTGCAGTAGGAAAGCACCTAACAAATCTGAGAGGCAGTCGGGCTTTCTAGAGGAAATAATATTTTCCTTGGAACATCAGACATGGAAATAGCATTAGCAATGGTTTGGAGACAAGAGAGAACCTGAAACATTTTATTTATTTATTTATTTATTTATTTATTTATTTTTGAGACGGAGTCTTGCTCTGTTGCCCAGGCTGGAGTGCATGCAGTGGCGCGATCTCGGCTCACTGAAACTTCCGCCTCCCGGGTTCAAGCAATTCTTCTGTGTCAGCCTCCTGAGTAGCTTGGACTACAGGTGAGCACCACCACATCTGGCTAATTTTTGCATTTTTAGTAGAGACGGGGTTTTGCCATGTTGACCAGGCTGGTCTTGAACTCCTGACCTCAGGTAATCTGCCCGTCTCCATCTTCCAAAGTGCTGGGATTACAAGCGTGAGCCACTGCGCCTGGCCACCTGAAACATATTAAAAGAACTGAAGTAAGATTACAGTGGCTCAGAGATAAGGCTGTAAAGGTAAAAGGAGACCTCTTTACCTCTGTCTTGTAAATAAAGACTATGGAAGTTATTAAACAGTGCTAAGCAGGTTGGTGATGTGATCCAATTTACTCTTCAGAAAGAGCTCTGTCTACAATGTAGAAAATGACTATTGGAGCTATGCAGGAGAGTGGTGGTGTAGCCAGCGTAATGGTTGTGACAACAAAGAAGCAGATAAGGGATATTTAGGAGAGATATTTGTCAGCCTGGGTGATTGAGAGGCCAAGGGGTGAGGAAGGAAAAGGGTGAATCAAGGATGGTTCCTAGTTTACCAGACCGATCAAGGAGGAGGTGAAGTTAATGAACTCAGTTTCAGACAATTGGATTGGAGATGTCTAAGTTATGTTCAAAAGAAGATGCTCAGTAGAGAGTTAGGTAAACAGCTTATTTCGGGAGAGAGATTTGAGCTAAGGAATAGATTTGAGAGTCGTCAGCATACAGTTGGTTATTGAAGCCAGATCGTTCAGAAGCCTTGTAGGTTAAGAACAGATGACGACCTAGCTAGCACAGAACACTGAGAAATATGATGTTTTCAGGGATGAGGAGGTGTGAACACTGCTGGAGAGACCACTAGCTAGGAAAAAGTTGGGAGAGCATGTTTCATGAAAACCAAAGGAAAAGAGTGTTCAGAGAAGGATGGAGTGAGCACAAGGCTTGTATGCAGCCTTAATCTGTGGTGCACCTGGTGTGGTTGACACCCAGAGCAACTCTCTCCACCTTATGGTGAAACTGTTTTCAATTATCATCATGCAACCATCTTTGTTTTCTTGATTTGTTATTTAATTTTAAAATGAGTACAATTTAAAAAGAATGAATTTCAATTTTAAGGATATTATTCAGATTCAGTACATTATTTCACGTATGAATTAAAATCTGTGCTTAACAACCAACTCAATAATGAACATCTCACAGTTTGCACTCTTTCACTGTTTTCAATTTTAAATACAAATAAAAACTCCTAGTGGTAACACAATGACAGAATTAAAATAACTCAATTTTTGTTTCTTTGTCTTTACAGTCTCTGTGCTGTCATTGTTTATTTTGAATCTCCTGATTAAACATAGCATGTTTACAACAGGGTGTGTAGTACAGAGATGGAAACGTTAACTGCTCAAAGCAAGCTTGACTGACTCTGAATCATTATGAATTTACTTTTGAAATGAACACGCGTGCTAAGTCCATGTGTGTCTGGAGTAGACTATGTAACTGCAAACTCCTGAGAATAGCTTTCAGGTATATATGATGTTTATTAAAGGATAAGTAATACAAGTGTTCTTATTTGAAGTTGGCATACATACCCATACAACATGACATAATATATGCATATAATTATATTACTAAAATGTAACAGTAAGCATAGCAATTGATTAGAACTAAGATCAACCAAAGGGTTTCGAGAGGAGTTTTTTATACTAACATTGTTTGGAATTGCTGGTGCATTGTGATAATAGAAAGCCGATCAATTTTTGTCAGTTTTTATTACTGTCTTTAAATCGTTTGGGGACAATGTACTCCCTGTTGCCTGCACCTGACATGAACTCTCATCTCCCACCCTTTGGTACAATACTAGCCTAGATGATAAGTAAAATGAGGCCTGAAAATTACCCATGTATTCCGTTGTAATAAGGTTTATTGGTAATTTTGGCAAAAGCAGTTTCAGAGGAGTGATGGAGGTGAAAACATATCACCCTTAGACGGTGACTTATTTCACCAGTCTTAATTCTTTCAACCCCCTGGCCACTCCTTGTGCCTTTCCTTTCATCTCTGCCTACTCTCCAGGCATATGGAACTTTCCACCCTTCCCCAAGCATAGCAAGACCTTCAGTGCTTATTTGCCTTCATAGCTACCATTCCCTCTATGTGGAATGCCCCTTCCTCCTGATTAATTCCTGTCTTGTTCCTCTACCACTTCTCAAGGCCAGTGATCCAGTGGAGGCTTCCAGCTCTCCTAACCAAAGTTACAGATAGTCCAGTCTGCCCCCAGTCTCCTTCTCCATCTCTGGCAAGGCAAGTACCACCTAGCTGTGCAAAGCGTTTTATCTTTCTCATCTCCATTATAGCATCATGCCTGCCTTTTCTACTCATTAAGGCTTGTTGGCTGAATAAATGGGGATGCAAGAGTAAGAGATTCAGTGATTTAATAAATGAGTAAGTGAATACAGTTAAAGAAAACCTAGGACCTTCCATTCCATTTGTGTAACCACATGAAGGCCAAGTGGGTTGGTGGCAGTGTGGTGAAGAGCCACAGTCACAGGTAAAGTTGGTCATGGGCAGATGAAGAGCTAAACTAAACCTGAAAATTATCATACCATCAATAAAGCCAATCAATATGTGGTCCTAACTCAGACCTTTCAGCTCTAGGTATGTCACCTCTAGTAGGATTTCTCTAGCCCTTCCACTGGGTTTCTTTTGCTCCATAACCTACAGAGGCATTTCAGTTCTGTAAGTGAAAGGAGGCAAGACTAGATTTCTACAAGAATAGTTTTGTCAGCTCAATCTAGGAAATCAGTTGAGCAAAGCATCTGGTATTGTTGCTTTAATCTCTCCTGCTTGCGCAGGAAAAGGTCTGTTGGGTTTTCAAAATGAATGATTCAGATGCAGCTAAGTATTTACATTTGTTTGGAAAAGGCTGAGATTTCAGGATGCAATTTGATACAAACTTTATCCCCCAGTACCCAAGCCTCTCCTTTCCTGCGCTTTGTTACCTGTTCAACGACATGAAACTAGGTGGCCCTTGACACTCTAAATAGCTCTAAGCAGGTCATTGTGGGCTCTAAAGTCAATCATTTGCTTGAGGTCAGAAAGGAAAACTGGTTTGTTACTTTATTTCCTAATGCTTCAGATTTAGGAAGAATTAGGAGTTTATTATTTTCCTCTACACTCCTCTCACCACTTTCTTAGTACTTTTATTTGTTAAGTTTAAAATGGGACATCCGTATGTCTCAAGCACAGACAACGTGAACTTGGAAGGTGTTCTTGATAATAGAGCTGCTTGAGGCTGGCATCCTGGATGCAAAGTTGGGCTCTTTATTCGGAATATTTGTTCTCAGATTGAGCCAGTGCTGCTCCCAGCCTACTTAGGCTTATTCACTTTGTCTCCAACAAGAGCCATTTAAATATTTACAGTGCAGTGAGGTTCTCTTCACTGAGTTCAACTGAATGAATAGTTGAATAAATAGTGACAGATCAATTTCTGTGAAGCAATAGTAACATTCAATAACATCTTTTGAAGTGTGGTAACCTTTATGACTTTTAAATATTAGAAAGTCTTAGCAATGTACAGCTGGTGAATCAATGTGCCCTTTTGATAATTGAGTAATTTTCTGGGTTAAGAAGCTCTAGACGGAACAGCTGTCCAGTCAACAGTAAAAGCTATGCTCAATTGTGTAAACACTGACTTCTTCTTGTCCAATCCCTACCCCTACCCCCTGTGAGTTTGCTGATACATCTCTAAGCACTATTCTCTACTAGGGCCTATTCAAATCTGGAAACAACTTTTGTTATTTATTAGCAACTCAGGCAGACATGGACACAGTAAGGTCAGGATGAGAATAATGGGATCTTGTTATTTTATGATAAGTATGTGGCAAGGGAGAATATTCATGCTAAAATGAAACTCAGGAAATGCAGTGATGTAATAGAATGATCTAGATTCCAGTCCTGTCTTGGCCATTAAAGCTACCACGTGACCTTAGAGGAATCAGTTAACATCTTTGGGACTCAGTTTTCTCATGATTAAAATGAAAACATTGGATTAGATCAATGGTCTTCAACTGTGCCCCTAAAAGCTGTAAAGTGTTTTAGGACATATTAGGTGAAATATGATTTGTCTTCTCTGTATCTTTTCTGCAGCTTAGCTTCCTTAAGGGCTGGTATAAAACTTTGCCATAATTTTTCTTTACTATGTAACTGATGGACTTACATTTTATCACCATTTATGGTGGAATTGAGGTTCTGCCTTTCACCTACCCCAATACCACTCCCACTGTCAACCTTATGTCTTTCTTATTTGGCTTCTCCTATCCAAGGAAAAACTCAAGAACCACTTCTTTATACCTTTTTTTTTTAAACCTACCCAGCTCATTTAAATTATTTATTTTCCCTGTGCTTCAATGAAATGAGCACTGCATAACCACGTTTATCCTGTTCTACCTCTCTCTGTATTATTTCTGGCTCAAAGAGTAGATTGCAAGTTTCATGAGAGCATGACTATAGCAGCCTCTTAATTTTGCCTCTTCACTATCTTTTCCCCTTAGGTACAACTTAATGGAGCCCCTGGCCATTATCACCAAGTTATTAATAAACTCAAGTTAATAATTTCAGTTTCAAAATATCTGCCAAGGATGGCCACCCTGCAGGCTGCAACCCTTTATAGGAAATAAAGCTCTCCTTTCCAAACTAAAAAATAAAATGAAATAGAAAATTAAAAATTTGCTGGCCGGGCATGGTGGCTCACACCTGTAATCCCAGCACTTTGGGAGGCCGAGGCGGGTGGATCACGAGGTCAGGAGATCGAGACCACGGTGAAACCCCGTCTCTACTAAAAATACAAAAAAAAATTAGCTGGGCGCAGTGGCGGGCGCCTGTAGTCCCAGCTACTCGGGAGGCTGAGGCAGGAGAATGGCGTGAACCCTGGAGGCGGAGCTTGCAGTGAGCCGAGATCATGCCACTGCACTCCAGCCTGGGCGACAGAGCAAGACTCCGTTTTTAAAAAAAAAAAAAAAAAAAAAAAAAAAAAAAAAAAATTGCCAAAAAGTAGGTTGTAGTTGTTTAGATTTGATCTAGAAATTTTGCAGAACAACTTTCAAGATTCCATAGCATTCCATAATTGGTTATTTTGAATTCCCAAGATAAAGATACTATTAAATGTGAATATGTATGTGTGCCCAAGTTTAATGTTGGCATATCAAATTGGGTGACGTGCTACGAAGTACAGGTACCAGTGAGACAAAGGTGCTTCCTGACAAGATAATGCATAAGTCTAGATAGCATTTTAGTTTTCCATTATATTAGGTGAGGCTGGGCTATAGGAGTAAGGACAATGATGCTGTAATAGCACTTTTCTTATGTGCATTAGATACATTTATTGACAACTTTCAGCTTATAATGAATTACATTTAAAACTGCAGGAGGAGAAAATGTTTTTGCAAGCTTTGAAAAGTTAAATCTCTGAAAGAAGGGGCTCATTAGCAGGTCTTTCTCCAAAAATGTCTAAATTATACATTAAATATGTCTGGCTATTCCCCCATTTACTGATCCAAATGTAGGGCTTCTTTCTGAGACATTTAGTTTTTGTTTTTGTGTGTTTACATTTGTGGAATATTTTTACATTTCTGAATTTCAACAAATATTTAAAGGTCACATATTAAATGCTAAGTTTTGCATGTGCAATGGTGTTTAAGATGATTATGGTCCCTATTCTCATGAAGTTTTTCTTATTCTGTTAGAATATTCATGGAATTTATAGAAATGTCCACACAGAATGCAGTGAGCTAGAATATCAGAGTTTTCGATCTGGAAGAAGTCTATAATGTACAGATGATGAAGCTGAGGCACGGGATGGTTAAATGATTTGACCTAGGTCATGCAGTAGCAGACCTAGGGAAAGAATCCAGGATTTTTAACCTTCTGTGCTTCATACTTAACCACAGAGTTAGAGTTGGTTGAGAAGAGAAGAGGGGATGGGAGGAGTCTCTTAAGTTGATTAGCTAATTTTCCAGCAGGACAGATACAGTTTTAAGGATTAAATCAGATGAATATATAGAAATTTAAACGGATCTTGGCACTGATCTTCCTTGTTTTCAGAACCTGTTTCAATGGTGCAACCTAGCAAAAATAATACGCATCTCATGCAGACATGTCCCATTATTGCAGAAGTGTCCTCACCCTCTCTAAGAAGGAAGGTAGAAATCCACATCCTGGCTGTTACTGTGGCACTGAAATGGTGCCCATTACAGGAAAAGCCCAGTCTTAATTCTGGTCCACTACCAAGAGGAAAAAAGTATGAAGTATGTTTCTGTCACTTCACAATCTTGGTTAGAAGAAGTTTCTCATACTGAGAGATTTTTAGATTATAGTGGGCATGAGTATAGACCCTGGAGGCTGCCTTCTGAGTAGAAAGCTTGACTTTCTACTTATTGGTTGTATGAACTTGAATAAGTGACTTAACCACTTTGAGCCTTAGTTTTGTTGCCTAAAAAATGGGAATCATGGGCCAGGAGTGGTGGCTCAAGCCTGTAATTCTAGTACTTTGGTGCTAGAGGCAGGTGGATTACCTGAGCTCAGGAGTTCAAGATCAGCCTGGGCAACATGGTGAAACCCTGTCTTTACTAAAATACAAAAAAAATTAGCTGGGTGTGGCAGCGTGCACCTGTAGTTCCAGCTACTTGGGAGGCTGAAGCAGGAGAATTGCTTCAATCTGGGAGACAGAGGTTGCAGTGAGCCAACACCCCGCCACTGCACTCCACCCTGGGCAACAGAGTGACACTCCGTCTCCAAAAAAAAAAAAAAAAAAAAAATTGAGGGGGCAGTTCCAAGATGGCGGAATAGGAACAGATCCAGTCTACAGCTCCCAGTGTGAGCGCACAGAAGATGTGTGATTTCTGCATTTCCAACTGAGGTACCGGGTTCATCTCACTGGGGCTTGTCAGACACTGGAGGCAGGACAGTGGGTGCAGCCCACCGAGCAGCGCAAGGGGTCAGGGAATTCTCTTTCCTAGCCAAGGGAAGCTGTGACAGATGGCACCTGGAAAATCGGGTCACTCCCACCCTAATACTGTGCTTTTCCAACGGTCTTAGCAAACGGCACACCAGGAGATTATATCCCGCACGTGGTTCGGAGTGTCCCACGCCCACGGAGACTGCTTCATTGCTTGCATAGTAGTCTGAGATCAAACTGCAAGGCAGCAGCGAGGCTGGGGGAGTGGTGCCCGCCATTGCTGAGGCTTGAGTAGATAAACAAAGTGTCTGGGAAGTTCGAACTGGGTGGAGCCCATCGCAGCTCAAGGAGGCCTGCCTGCCTCTGTAGACTCCACCTTTGGGGGCAGGGCATAACCAAACAAAAGGCAGCAGAAACTTCTGCAGACTTAAATATCCCTGTCTGACAGCTTTGAAGAGAGTAGTGGTTCTCCCAGCATGGAGTCTGAGATCTGAGAACAGACAGACTGCCTCCTCAAATGGGTCTCTGACCCCCGAGTAGTCTAACTGGGAGGCACCCCCCAGTAGGGGCAGACTGACACCTCACATGACCGGGTACCCCTTTGAGACAAAACTTCCAGAGGAACGATCAGACAGCAACATTTGCTGTTCAAAAATATTCGCTGTTCTGCAGCCTCTGCTACTGATACCCAGGCAAACAGGGTCTGGAGTGGACCTCCAAGCAAACTCCAACAGACCTGCAGCTGAGGGTCCTGACTGTTAGAAGGAAAACTGACAAACAGAAAGGACATCCACACCAAAACTTCATCTGTATGTCATCATCATCAAAGAGCAAAGGTAGATAAAACCACAAAGATGGGGAAAAAACAGAGCAGAAAAGCTGAAAATTCCAAGAATCAGAGCACCTCTCCCCCTCCAAACGAACACACCTCCTTGCCAGCAGCAGAACAAAGCTGGATGGGGAATGACTGACGAGTTGAGAGAAGAAGGCTTCAGATGATTAAACTTCTCCGAGCTAAAGGAGGAAGTTCGAACCCATCGCAAAGAAGCTTAAAACCTTGAAAAAAGATTAGATGAATGACTAACTGGAATAACCAGTGTAGAGAAGTCCTTAAAGGACCTGATGGAGCTGAAAACCATGGCACGAGAACTACATGAAACATGCACAAGCTTCAGTAGCCGATTTGATCAACTGGAAGAAAGGGTATCAGTGATGGAAGATCAAATGAATGAAATGAAGTGAGAAGAGAAGTTTAGAGAAAACAGAGTAAAAAGAAACGAATAAAGCCTCCAAGAAATATGGGACTATGTGAAAAGACCAAATCTATGTCTGATTGGTGTACCTGAAAGTGACGGGGAGAATGGAACCAAGTTGGAAAACACTCTGCAGGACATTATCCAGGAGAACATCCCCAACCTAGCAAGGCAGGCCAACATTCAAATTCAGGAAATACAGAGAACACCACAAAGATACTCCTCGAGAAGAGCAACTCCAAAACACATAATTGTCAGATTCACCAAAGTTGAAATGAAGGAAAAAATTTTAAGGCAGCCAGAGAGAAAGGTCGGGTTACCCACAAAGGGAAGCCCATCAGACGAACCGTGGATCTCGGCAGAAACTCTATAAGCCAGAAGAGAGTGGGGGCCAATATTCAACATTCTTAAAGAAAAGAATTTTCAACCCAGAATTTCATATCCAGCCAAACTAAGCTTCATAAGTGAAGGAGAAATAAAATCCTTTACAGACAAGCAAATGCTGACAGATTTTGTCACCACCAGGCCTGCCCTACAAGAGCTCCTGAAGGAAGCACTAAACATGGAAAGGAACAACCGGTACCATCCACTGCAAAAACATGCCAAATTGTAAAGACCATCGATGCTAGGAAGAAACTGCATCAACTAACGAGCAAAATAACCAGCTAACATCATAATGACATGATCAAATTCACATGTAACAATATTAACCTTAAATGTAAATGGGCTAAATGCTCCAATTAAAAGACACAGACTGGCAAATTGGATAAAGAGTCAAGACCCATCAGTGTGCTGTATTCAGGAGACCCATCTCACGTGCAGAGACACACATAGGCTCAAAATAAAGGGATGGAGGAAGATCTACCAAGCAAATGGAAAACAAAAAAGGCAGGGGTTGCAATCCTAGTCTCTGATAAAACAGACTATAAACCAACAAAGATCAAAGGAGACAAAGAAGGCCATTACATAATGGTAAAGGGATCAATTCAACAAGAAGAGCTAACTATCCTAAATATGTATGCACCCAATACAGGAGCACCCAGATTCATAAAGCAAGTCCTTAGAGACCTACAAAGAGACTTAGACTCCCACACAATAATAATTGGAGACTTTAACACCCCACTGTCAACATTATACAGATCAATGAGACAGAAAGTTAACAAGGATGTCCAGGAATTGAAATCAGCTCTGCACAACGCGGACCTAATAGACATCTACGGAACTCTCCACCCCAAATCAACAGAATATACATTCTTGTCAGCACCACATCACACTTATTCCAAAACTGACCATATAGTTGGAAGTAAAACACTCTTCAGCGAATGTAAAAGAAGAGGAATTATAACAAACTGTCTCTCAGACCACAGTGCAATCAAACTAGAACTCAGGATTGAGAAACTCACTCAAAACCAATCAACTACATGGAAACTGAACAAACTGCTCCTGAATGAATACTGGGTACATAACGGAATGAAGGCAGAAATAAATATGTCCTTGGAAACCAATGAGAACAAAGACACAACATACCAGAATCTCTGGGACACATTTAAAGCAGTGTGTAGAGGGAAATTTATAGCACTAAATGCCCACAAGAGAAAGCAGGAAAGATCTAAAATTGACACCCTAACATCACAATTAAAAGAACTAGAGAAGCAAGAGCAAACACATTCAAAAGCTAGCAGAAGGCAAGAAATAAGTAAGATCAGAGCAGAACTGAAGGAAATAGAGACACAAAAAACCCTTCAAAAAATCAATGAACCCAGGAGCTGGTTTTTTGAAAAGATCAACAAAATTGTTAGACTGCTAGCAAGACTAATAAAGAAGAAAAGAGAGAAGAATCAAATAGACACAATAAAAAATGATAAAGGGGATATCACCACTGATCCCACAGAAATACAAACTACCATCAGAGAATACTATAAACACCTCTACGCAAATAAACTAGAAAATCTAGAAGAAATGGATAAGTTCCTGGACACATACACCCTCCAAATACTAAACCAGGAAGAAGTTGAATCCCCGAATAGACCAATAACAGGCTCTGAAATTGAGGCAATAATTAATAGCCTACCAACCAAAAAAAGTCCAGGACCGGATGGATTCATAGCCGAATTCTACCAGAGGTACAAGGAGGAACTGGTACCATTCCTTCTGAAACTATTCCAATCAATAGAGAAAGAGGGAACCCTCCCTAACTCATTTTATGAGGCTAGCATCATCGTGATACCAAAGCCTGGAAGAGACACAACAAAAAAAGAGAATTTTAGACCAATATCCCTGATGAACATTGATGCAAAAGTCCTCAATAAAATACTGGCAAACCGAATCCAGCAGCACATCAAAAAGCTTATCTGCCATGATCTAGTGGGCTTCATCCCTGGGATGCAAGGCTGGTTCAACATACGCAAATCATTAATGTAATCCAGCATATAAACAGAACCAAAGACAAAAACCACATGATTATCTCAATAGATGCAGAAAAGGCCTTTGACAAAATTCAACAACCCTTCATGCTAAAAACTCTCAATAAATTAGGTACTGATGGGACATGTCTCAAAATAATAATAGCTATTTATGACAAACTACAGCCAATATCATACTGAATGGGCAAAAACTGGAAGCATTCCCTTTGAAAACTGGCACAAGACAGGGATGCCCTCTCTCACCACTCCTATTCAACATAGTGTTGAAAGTTCTGGCCAGGGCAATCAGGGAACAGAAAGAAGTAAAGGGTATTCAATTAGGAAAAGAGGAAGTCAAATTGTCCCTGTTTCCAGATGACATTATTGTATAATTAGAAAGCCCCATCGTCTCAGCCCAAAATCTCCTTAAGCTGATAAGCAACTTCAGCAAAATCTCAGATAGAAAATCAGTGTGAAAAAATCACAAGCATTCCTATACACCAATAGCAGACAAACAGCCAAATCATGAGTGAACTCCTATTCACAATTGCTTCAAAGAGAGTAAAATACTTAGGAATCCAACTTACAAGGGATGTGAAGGACTTCTTCAAGGAGAACTACAAACCATTGCTCAAGAAAATAAAAGAGGACACAAAGAAATGGAAGAACATTCCATGCTCATGGGTAGGAAGAATCAATATCGTGAAAATGGCCATACTGCCCAAGGTAATTTATAGATTCAATGCCATCCCCATCAAGCTACCAATGACTTTCTTCACAGAATTGGAAAAAAACCACTTTAAAGTTCATATGGAACCAAAAAAGAGCCCACATTGCCAAGTCAATCCTAAGCCAAAAGAACAAAGCTGGAGGCATCACACTACCTGACTTCAAACTATACTACAAGGCCACAGTAACCAAAACAGCATGTAAAGACCACGGAAAAGAACAGAGTCCTCAGAAATAATACGACACATCTATAACCATCTGATCTTTGACAAATCTGACAAAACGAAGAAATGGGGAAAGGATTCCCTATTTAATAAATGGTGCTGGGAAAACTGGCTAGCCATATG
The DNA here is from genome assembly GCF_000001405.40 of Homo sapiens. NCBI lineage: Eukaryota > Metazoa > Chordata > Mammalia > Primates > Hominidae > Homo > Homo sapiens. The sequence continues at coordinate 14,935,084 of NC_000021.9, read as the reverse complement.
TAGACAGCTGAAACTGGATCACTTCCTTACACCTTATACAAAAATTAATTCAAGATGGATTAAACACTTAAATATTAGACCTAAAACCATAAAAACCCTAGAAGAAAACCTAGGCAATACCACTCAGGACATAGGCATGGGCAAGGACTTCATGTCTAAAACACCAAAAGCAATGGCAACAAAAGCCAAAATTGACAAATGGGATCTAATTAAACTAAAGAGCTTCTGCACAGCAAAAGAAACTACAATCAGAGTGAACAGGCAACCTACAGAATGGGAGAAAATTTTTGCAATCTACTCATCTGACAAAGGGCTAGTATCTAGAATCTACAAAGAACTCAAACAAATTTACGAGGAAAAAGCAACCCCATCAAAAAGTGGGCGAAGGATATGAATAAACACTTCTCAAAAGAAGACGTTTATGCAGCCAACAGACACATGAAAAAATGCTCACCATCACTGGCCATCAGAGAAATGCAAATCAAAACCTCAACAAGATACCATCTCACACCAGTTAGAAGGGTGATCATTAAAAAGTCAGGAAACAACAGGTGCTGGAGAGGATGTGGAGAAATAGGAACACTTTTACACTGTTGGTGGGACTGTAAACTAGTTCAACCATTGTGGAAGACAGTGTGGTGATTCCTCAAGGATCTAGAACTGGAAATACCATTTGACCCAGCCATCCCATTACTGGGTATATACCCAAAGGATTATAAATCATGCTAGTATAAAGACACATGTACATGTATGTTTATTGCAGCACTATTCACAATAGCAAAGACTTGGAACCAGCCCAAATGTCCATCAATGATAGACTGGATTAAGAAAATATGGCACATATACACCATGGAATACTATGCAGCCATAAAAAAGGATGAGTTCATGTCCTTTGTAGGAACATGGATGAAGCTGGAAACCATCATTCTGAGCAAACTATCGCAAGGGCAAAAAACCAAACACCACATGTTCTCACTCATAGGTGGGAACTGAACAATGAGAACACTTGGATACAGGAAGGCGAACATCACACACCGGGGCCTGTCGTGGGGTGGGGGAAGTGGGGAGGGATAGCATTAGGAGATATACCTAATGTAAATGACGAGTGAATGGGTGCAGCACACCAACATGGCACATGTATACATATGTAACAAATCTGCATGTTGTGCACAGGTACCCTAGAACTTAAAGTATAATAAAAATAAAATAAAATAAATAAAAAATAATTGAGGATCATGATAAGGTTGTTGTAAAGATTGAGTTAATATACCTAAATCACTTAGAATGGTATCTGGCACATAGTGAAATCTGAGTAATTGCTATTTTTAAGTAATCACCAGGATTTGTACAATATAGATTTGCATGCAGGTAGATATTAATGAGGCATTCTTGTGTTTGTATGTGTGTGAGTATGCATGCGTGTGTCCCTGTGCACATGATAGATCCAGTGTCTGAGACAAAAGAAAATATAAATTCCCAAATGTATTCATTTATTTTTTCTCAAACATTCTCATCTTTCCATCATAGAGCTCTGATAAAGGATACATTTATTATGTACTATTGGCTTACACCACAAATTATTAGGCCTTACTATAGAGTTTCTGCTTTCCTTCTCTGTACAGCAAGGGATCTCAAAGTTTGCTGTTGTCTGAGATATAATGCTGAAACTCCTATTCCCTGGGCTTCTCTGACAGAAAGCACACACCCAAGTCCTCATGTCACCCCATTATATTAGGCAGCACTACTACCTATACGCTCTTGTTCTCTCGTTTGCTATTGTTAGTAGAGTAAATATTCGGGCACATTAAAAGGGTCTTGCTAGAAGTATCAGCAACTCAGTTTCCAACCTTACCTCCTTTTTCTCAAGGCCTGGATTCCACATATAAAGAACCTTCTATTACAGGAGGTTTCTCTTACTGTTGAATCAAACTGAGTATTTGCTTGTTCATGCAAGTTGTGTTTCTCTGTCTTTTTTTTTTTTATTATTATACTTTAAGTTTTAGGGTACATGTGCACATTGTGCAGGTTAGTTACATATGTATACATGTGCCATGCTGGTGCGCTGCACCCACTAACTCGTCATCTAGCATTAGGTATATCTCCCAATGCTACCCCTCCCCCCTCCCCCCACCCCACCACAGTCCCCAGAGTGTGATATTCCCCTTCCTGTGACCATGTGATCTCATTGTTCAATTCCCACCTATGAGTGAGAATATGCGGTGTTTGGTTTTTTGTTCTTGCGATAGTTTACTGAGAATGATGGTTTCCAATTTCATCCATGTCCCTACAAAGGACATGAACTCATCCTTTTTTATGGCTGCATAGTATTCCATGGTGTATATGTGCCACATTTTCTTAATCCAGTCTATCGTTGTTGGACATTTGGGTTGGTTCCAAGTGTTTGCTATTGTGAATAATGCCGCAATAAACATACGTGTGCATGTGTCTTTATAGCAGCATGATTTATAGTCATTTGGGTATATACCCAGTAATGGGATGGCTGGGTCAAATGGTATTTCTAGTTCTAGATCCCTGAGGAATTGCCACACTGACTTCCACAATGGTTGAACTAGTTTACAGTCCCACCAACAGTGTAAAAGTGTTCCTATTTCTCCACATCCTCTCCAGCACCTGTTGTTTCCTGACTTTTTAATGATTGCCATTCTAACTGGTGTGAGATGGTATCTCATTGTGGTTTTGATTTGCATTTCTCTGATGGCCAGTGATGATGAGCATTTTTTCATGTATTTTTTGGCTGCATAAATGTCTTCTTTTGAGAAGTGTCTGTTCATGTCCTTCGCCCACTTTTTGATGGGGTTGTTTGTTTTTTTCTTGTAAATTTGTTTGAGTTCATTGTAGATTCTGGATATTAGCCCTTTGTCAGATGAGTAGGTTGCGAAAATTTTCTCCCATGTTGTAGGTTGCCTGTTCACTCTGATGGTAGTTTCTTTTGCTGTGCAGAAGCTCTTTAGTTTAATTAGATCCCATTTGTCAATTTTGGCTTTTGTTGCCATTGCTTTTGGTGTTTTGGACATGAAGTCCTTGCCCACGCCTATGTCCTGAATGGTAATGCCTAGGTTTTCTTCTAGGATTTTTATGGTTTTAGGTCTAACGTTTAAATCTTTAATCCATCTTGAATTGATTTTTGTATAAGGTGTAAGGAAGGGATCCAGTTTCAGCTTTCTACATATGGCTAGCCAGTTTTCCCAGCACCATTTATTAAATAGGGAATCCTTTCCCCGTTGCTTGTTTTTCTCAGGTTTGTCAAAGATCAGATAATTGTAGGTATGCGGCGTTATTTCTGAGGGCTCTGTTCTGTTCCATTGATCTATATCTCTGTTTTGGTACCAGTACCATGCTGTTTTAGTTACTGTAGCCTTGTAGTATAGTTTGAAGTCAGGTAGTGTGATGCCTCCAGCTTTGTTCTTTTGGCTTAGGATTGACTTGGCGATGCGGGCTCTTTTTTGGTTCCATATGAAATTTAAAGTAGTTTTTTCCAATTCTGTGAAGAAAGTCATTGGTAGCTTGATGGGGATGGCATTGAATCTGTAAATTACCTTGGGCAGTATGGCCATTTTCACGATATTGATTCTTCCTACCCATGAGCATGGAATGTTCTTCCATTTGTTTGTATCCTCTTTTATTTCCTTGAGCAGTGGTTTGTAGTTCTCCTTGAAGAGGTCCTTCACATCCCTTGTAAATTGGATTCCTAGGTATTTTATTCTCTTTGAAGCAATTGTGAATGGGAGTTCACTCATGATTTGGCTCTCTGTTTGTCTGTTGTTGGTGTATAAGAATGCTTGTGATTTTTGTACATTGATTTTGTATCCTGAGACTTTGCTGAAGTTGCTTATCAGCTTAAGGAGATTTTGGGCTGAGACGATGGGGTTTTCTAGATAAACAATCATGTCGTCTGCAAAAAGGGACAATTTGACTTCCTCTTTTCCTAATTGAATACCCTTTATTTCCTTCTCCTGCCTGATTGCCCTGGCCAGAACTTCCAACACTGTGTTGAATAGGAGTGGTGAGAGAGGGCATCCCTGTCTTGTGCCAGTTTTCAAAGGAATGCTTCCAGTTTTTGCCCATTCAGTATGATATTGGCTGTGGGTTTGTCATAGATAGCTCTTATTATTTTGAAATACGTCCCATCAATACCTAATTTACTGAGAGTTTTTAGCATGAAGGGTTGTTGAATTTTGTCAAAGGCCTATTCTGCATCTATTGAGATAATCATGTGGTTTTTGTCTTTGGTTCTGTTTCTATGCTGGATTACATTTATTGATTTGCGTATATTGAACCAGCCTTGCATCCCAGGGATGAAGCCCACTTGATCATGGTGGATAAGCTTTTTGATGTGCTGCTGGATTCGGTTTGCCAGTATTTTATTGAGGATTTTTGCATCAATGTTCATCAAGGATATTGGTCTAAAATTCTCTTTTTTGGTTGTGTCTCTGCCCGGCTTTGGTATCAGAATGATGCTGGCCTCATAAAATGAGTTAGGGAGGATTCCCTCTTTTTCTATTGATTGGAATAGTTTCAGAAGGAATGGTACCAGTTCCTCCTTGTACCTCTGGTAGAATTCGGCTGTGAATCCATCTGGTCCTGGACTCTTTTTGGTTGGTAAACTATTGATTATTGCCACAATTTCAGCTCCTGTTATTGGTCTATTCAGAGATTCAACTTCTTCCTGCTTTAGTCTTGGGAGAGTGTATGTGTCGAGGAATTTATCCATTTCTTCTAGATTTTCTGGTTTATTTGCGTAGAGGTGTTTATAGTATTCTCTGATGGTAGTTTGTATTTCTGTGGGATCGGTGGTGATATCCCCTTTATCATTTTTTATTGTGTCTATTTGATTCTCCTCTCTTTTTTTCTTTATTAGTCTTGCTAGCGGTCTATCAATTTTGTTGATCCTTTCAAAAAACCAGCTCCTGGATTCATTGATTTTTTGAAGGGTTTTTTGTGTCTCTATTTCCTTCAGTTCTGCTCTGATTTTAGTTATTTCTTGCCTTCTGCTAGCTTTTGAATGTGTTTGCTCTTGCTTTTCTAGTTCTTTTAATTGTGATGTTAGGGTGTCAATTTTGGATCTTTCCTGCTTTCTCTTGTGGGCATTTAGTGCTATAAATTTCCCTCTACACACTGCTTTGAATGCGTCCCAGAGATTCTGGTATGTTGTGTCTTTGTTCTCGTTGGTTTCAAAGAACATCTTTATTTCTGCCTTCATTTCGTTATGTACCCAGTAGTCATTCAGGAGCAGGTTGTTCAGTTTCCATGTAGTTGAGCGGCTTTGAGTGAGATTCTTAATCCTGAGTTCTAGTTTGATTGCACTGTGGTCTGAGAGATAGTTTGTTATAATTTCTGTTCTTTTACATTTGCTGAGGAGAGCTTTACTTCCAACTATGTGGTCAATTTTGGAATAGGTGTGGTGTGGTGCTGAAAAAAATGTATATTCTATTGATTTGGGGTGGAGAGTTCTGTAGATGTCTATTAGGTCCGCTTGGTGCAGAGATGAGTTCAATTCCTGGGTATCCTTGTTGACTTTCTGTCTCATTGATCTGTCTAATGTTAACAGTGAGGTGTTAAAGTCTCCCATTATTAATGTGTGGGAGTCTAAGTCTCTTTGTAGGTCACTCAGAACTTGCTTTATGAATCTGGGTGCTCCTGTATTGGGTGCATATATATTTAGGATAGTTAGCTCTTCTTGTTGAATTGATCCCTTTACCATTATGTAATGGCCTTCTTTGTCTCTTTTGATCTTTGTTGGTTTAAAGTCTGTTTTATCAGAGACTAGGATTGCAACCCCTGCCTTTTTTTGTTTTCCATTTGCTTGGTAGATCTTCCTCCATCCTTTTATTTTCAGCCTATGTGTGTCTCTGCACGTGAGATGGGTTTCCTGAATACAGCACACTGATGGGTCTTGACTCTTTATCCAACTTGCCAGTCTGTGTCTTTTAATTGGAGAATTTAGTCCATTTACATTTAAAGTTAATATTGTTATGTGTGAATTTGATCCTGTCATTATGATGTTAGCTGGTGATTTTGCTCGTTAGTTGATGCAGTTTCTTCCTAGTCTCAATGGTCTTTACATTTTGGCATGATTTTGCAGTGGCTGGTACCGGTTGTTCCTTTCCATGTTTAGCGCTTCCTTCAGGAGCTCTTTTAGGGCAGGCCTGGTGGTGACAAAATCTCTCAGCATTTGCTTGTCTGTAAAGTATTTTATTTCTCCTTCACTTATGAAGCTTAGTTTGGCTGGAAATGAAATTCTGGGTTGAAAATTCTTTTCTTTAAGAATGTTGAATATTGGCCCCCACTCTCTTCTGGCTTGTAGGGTTTCTGCCGAGAGATCCGCTGTTAGTCTGATGGGCTTCCCTTTGAGGGTAAACCGACCTTTCTCTCTGGCTGCCCTTAACATTTTTTCCTTCATTTCAACTTTGGTGAATCTGACAATTATGTGTCTTGGAGTTGCTCTTCTCGAGGAGTATCTTTGTGGCGTTCTCTGTATTTCCTGAATCTGAACGTTGGCCTGCCTTGCTAGATTGGGGAAGTTCTCCTGGATAATATCCTGTAGAGTGTTTTCCAACTTGGTTCCATTCTCTGCATCATTTTCAGGTACACCAATCAGACGTAGATTTGGTCTTTTCACATAGTCCCATATTTCTTAGAGGCTTTGCTCATTTCTTTGTATTCTTTTTTCTCTAACCTTCCCTTCTTGCTTCATTTCATTCATTTCATCTTCCATTGCTGATACCCTTTCTTCCAGTTGATCGCATCGGCTCCTGAGGCTTCTGCATTCTTCACGTAGTTCTCGAGCCTTGGTTTTCAGCTCCATCAGCTCCTTTAAGCACTTCTCTGTATTGGTTATTCTAGTTATACATTCTTCTAAATTTTTTTCAAAGTTTTCAACTTCTTTGCCTTTGGTTTGAATGTCCTCCCGTAGCTCAGAGTAATTTGATCGTCTGAAACCTTCTTCTCTCAGCTCGTCAAAGTCATTCTCCATCCAGCTTTGATCCGTTGCTGGTGAGGAACTGCGTTCCTTTGGAGGAGGAGAGGCGCTCTGCATTTTAGAGTTTCCAGTTTTTCTGTTCTGTTTTTTCCCCATCTTTGTGGTTTTATCTACTTTTGGTCTTTGATGATGGTGATGTACAGATGGGTTTTTGGTGTGGATGTCCTTTCTGTTTGTTAGTTTTCCTTCTAACAGACAGGACCCTCAGCTGCAGGTCTGTTGGAATACCCTGCCGTGTGAGGTGTCAGTGTGCCCCTGCTGGGGGGTGCCTCCCAGTTAGGCTGCTCGGGGGTCAGGGGTCAGGGACCCACTTGAGGAGGTAGTCTGCCCATTCTCAGATCTCCAGCTGCGTGCTGGGAGAACCACTGCTCTCTTCAAAGCTGTCAGACAGGGACATTTAAGTCTGCAGAGGTTACTGCTGTCTTTTTGTTTGTCTGTGCCCTGCCCCCAGAGGTGGAGCCTACAGAGGCAGGCAGGCCTCCTTGAGCTGTGGTGGGCTCCACCCAGTTCGAGCTTCCCGGCTGCTTTGTTTACCTAAGCAAGCCTGGGCAATGGCGGGCTCCCCTCCCCCAGCCTAGCTGCTGCCTTGCAGTTTGATCTCAGACTGCTGTGCTAGCAATCAGCGAGATTCCGTGGGCGTAGGACCCTCCGAGCCAGGTGTGGGATATAGTCTCATGGTGCCCCGTTTTTTAAGCCGGTCTGAAAAGCGCAGTATTCGGGTGGGAGTGACCCGATTTTCCAGGTGCGTCCATCACCCCTTTCTTTGACTCGGAAAGGGAACTCCCTGACCCCTTGCGCTTCCCAGGTGAGGCAATGCCTCGCCCTGCTTCGGCTCGCGCACGGTGCGCACACCCACTGGCCTGCGCCCACTGTCTGGCACTCCCTAGTGAGATGAACCCGGTACCTCAGATGGAAATGCAGAAATCACCCGTCTTCTGCGTCGCTCACTCTGGGAGCTGTAGACCGGAGCTGTTCCTATTCGGCCATCTTGGCTCCTCCCCCTCTCTGTCTTATTAAGTAAAGTTAAGCTCTTCTCGGAGAGGAAATGCTAGAACTGAGTGTTGGGTCAATTTCATCAACACAGTCCCGGGAAGACACCACCTATTTCTTAGCTTTATTAAATTAAATCGATTGGGGAGCTTTTATTTTTCACTCCACATGGATTTGATGACAAATGAGGCAAGTTATAAAGAGACTGGAAAAACAAGTTTTGCCACCCATGTTGTATGTATTAATAATATCTGTGAATATTCAGTTAGCTAACAGTTAAATGTATTAAAATATCAATAATGGTGTGACGATAGCTTCAATAGCGTATGTGTGAAGTAGCCGAGAACTTTTAAAAATTAATTTGAATTATGTCAATGAGTTTAAAAAAAAAACTCCAGATACAATGTACTTAAATGAATAATATCTCTGGGTATCCCGAAGGGTTAGGTTTTTTTTTCAAGACCACTCTTGTCCCAGGATACTTCTTTGGACCAATGGAAGAGAGAGAAGCTAGTTTTGTAAATGGCTGTGTTTTATGATTTGATGCTAATGAAACTGCTTGTGATTTTCCTCTTCCGAGCTTGTTTTTGTGTCTAAATGGACTAGAAACTAGTTTCTGCACATTATGATACATTCCTCATCCAGTGGAATGTTTTTCATTCTGGAATTTATACCAGAATGCACAAGCTGGACATTTGGAAAATCTGGACAACTGTGCTGGAGCCCAAACCTCCAATTATGGCTTGAATTGGAGCTTTTTAGAGCTTTTTGTGCACTGCAGTGGAGCCAGCGATTGAACTTAGCTTGAAGAAGTTGAAGACATGTGACAGCCTGTAATGGATAGATCTAATAATCTTCTTTAACTTCAGAGAATTGTAGATTGTCGGAGAATTCTTGGCATTGTGGCAAGATATAGCATATATTGCAAAATAATATACTAATAGACAAATAGCTAGAAAACACTTTAGCAGAGGTAGTGCATTCTTGGCAGAAAATAAATGTATTTGGCAACCACCACAAAGGCACAAGAGAAAGCCTGGAAGCATGATCCTTTCAAATTTGGATGTTTTTCTAAGATCCATTTTTTAATACTATGATTTAGAAGATATAGATCTTACACTTCTAATACTTACTCTTACATTTTTAACACATTTTTAAAAATTTGTATTGTTCTATTGATATTTAAGATTAATGATTATCTGCTTCCATTTCCCAAAAAGTAAAAATCTTCTCTCACCTTTGATTTTTTCCTCTTCATTAATTCTACCATATTTCATACTGAGTTTATGTGGAATTTTTGTTCCAAGTGTTTATTATGTTTTGGTTTAGTGTTGCACATCAACAATTATTTAGGTTTTAGTATGAATTTGCTTATTACACTTTTGTATATTTAGGACCACGTGATGTCCTTTTCTGGATTCGTTACTTATTTTTTGCTGTGTATCCTCAAGTAATTCTTTCAGAGATTGCTTAGCTGGAGGCTTTTCTTGTCTGAATATGTATTTAGAATCTCTTTCACTCAAATGCTAGTTTGGCTAGGTATGGGATTGTAGGTTGAAAATCATCACCCCCTTTAATTTGGAAGATGTTAATGACTTCTAGTACTGAGTTGTCTTTATGAGGAGTTATGCTGATGGCAGGCTGACTTTTCAGAGTTTGATTTTTTTTTCAAGTTGTTTTTCTCTGAGTTTATCCTTGAAATTCTGAAATTTCACAATGATGCATGTAGCTTTGGCTCTTATAAAATCTGGCTTAGCACTTTTAATTTGAAGATTTATGCTTTCTCCAGACCTGAGGATTTTTTTGGGTTGATATTTATTTGATTATATACATCCTTGCATTTTCTCATTTCTTTCAGTCTGGAATTCCTATAATCTAGATTTGGGAATATCAAGATAATACTCTTCATGTCATTTAACTCTGCACTTATAATTTCCTTTCTTTTGTCCATCTGTTCTATTCCATGTGAAAATGTTTCAGCTCAATCTTTCAACTCACTAATTCACCATAAAGTATGTATTGCTGCTATTATTGCCTACCTATTGAAATTTTCTTATTTTTTTAATTCTGAGAAGATAGAATTTTTAAAATTAAATTTTGTAGCAGATACTTCTACATAAAGGAAATGTTCTTTCAAGTCTTTCAACTATTCATATTTATTCTAAGTCTTTTTGTTAACTTTATTAACTCTTTCTAAGAAGGGGGTGGTCATTCTTCTTTTTGTTAATGCCTAGTTTCTCTATTACTGACTTTTGTAAAATGTTTAGCACATCTTGGCTGCCTATAGCTTTGTATTTGAGAGTCACCGCTTACTTGTTCTTTGCATTACCAGAATCTATCCCCAACAAATGGGGGAAACATTTGGAATGGAAGCTTATCTTTCAAATGTGGAAGTTCTCATCACTCCTGGAAGTGAGTAGCTACCTAGCACTGTAAGTCTTCTCCAACTTCAATATTCTTCTCTAGCCAGTTGTTAAAGCCCACATAGTGCAAAAGACAGGAAAGAAAGAAATCAACTCGTCTGCTATTCCAAAAGGAGCCTTCCAACTAATTACTCTTTAAATGTTTGAGGGTTCTGTCTTAATTTTTAAAACTTCTAATACTGGACTTGGGGACTTTCAAACCTCCCCCTTCAACAACAGGCTTCTTCTAGGTGTATTCTAGCCTATAGTTTCATTCAGTTTTATTTTGCTAAAGGCATGATTGTATATGCTGTCTGTCTCTCTGAAATTCACAAAATTTGTGGTTCATTGCTTGTACTTTTAATAGGCATAAAATATTTTACTCTGTGTGATTTGGAGTGAGAGGGAAGATATAAATGTATGTTTAGTCTATGAAATTTCAAAAATCATCCTTATGAGAAGAACTTACAAACGTGAAATATATTTGTTCCAAGCTCAGGAGGAACATTTCAATTCATGAATTTATTTAGCCTTCAGTACAAGAATTTACAAATATGGTCAGAGTAAGGTATATATCACAAGCAATCTTGGACCACACATATTTTCTTAGGTCTTATTGTGAGACAATAAGGTAAAGGGAAAGTGCTTTCAATTCTTTTTTTGACCTTATACTCTTCTTAGTTGAGATATTTTTTCCTAGCAATGTTCTCATTATAAAAAGTTTCACCACAATAAAAGTAGAATCTCCTTCCAGCTTACTGTAATTGGTGGAGATATTAATTTTTAATGGAGTTCTCATGAGGACAAGGATACACCCTTTGGGATCAGGTGGTGGTTTTATCCTTAGAGAAGATGAAGTCGTTTTGAATATAGAGCATCACTTCACATGCTTAATGGGATCATTGACCAATAACTTTCTATCAGTGACCTGACTTGACTTCAGTGCTGAGTTGTCTGAAATATATGCAAGACTGTGACATTTAATTACAACACATTTTTTAGAAATAGCATCATTACATGTTAGCCACTGGATCATGTACTTTTGGCAGTGGATATGGGTTAATTTCAACAATGCAAACTTCTTTTTTTAAACCACAGTTACAGAGAGAGTACAGAAACTCTCTGTGCTACTCTGTTCAGCTACAATACTGGATTAATGAATGTTAATCCATTGCATGGCTGATAAAGTGATGCTGAATATTAACTCCCTGGTATTCTCTCTTCTTTTTCTTTCTTTTCTCATCTACCTTTCATGCAGTCTATAACACAGAGGTTGTGAATTTACATGCTGTCTGTCTTTCAGTATGTTTCTGCATTAAAATATCACATGTCATGAAGTTCTGGAGGTCACTAGAAAATTGCAAATAATAAAATTATTTCAGGAATCTATGTAATTTTTAATTTGATCATGTGCTCCCACTATCCTTTCTAATAACTCAGGCTGATTTAATACTGTCTTATTTTTAAAAAGATAGACCTATAGAAGAAAAATATAATTAGTTGCTGACTTGGCATTTGGTTCAACAGTACTGAATTCAAAATGTTAATGATAGAGACAGATTGAGCTGGAAAGAGTATTTTATTTTCTTAACAAATTTGACTTTCACGTGCAGTTCAACTAGAACACATATGCTTCTCCTATATGCATGTTAGCTGTTTGATGTTAGGTCACTCCTTAACACACATGGAAGTAGTGATTCTTATTCTATTTTAGTAATGAGATGAAAAAGTTCAGTGAGTTCATTCAAGTTAGACAATCGGTCATTAATAGGTCCAAGGTTAAAATTCAGAAAATCTGGCATGAAGGCAAAGAAAACTCCCCAGTGACCAAAAATCTAGTAGCGAGACTATAAATAAAAAATAAAGAGATGCCCCATGGTTCAGAAAACTGGAGGCTGGATGAAAAGAACAAATAAATCTCCAGAGTACCACTGGTGCTAGGATTCCAACACACTACTGAAGAGAAATTCCTGATCTCATTCTCACATAATGTAAAGCCAGTAGTAAACTGAATGTAACTAAACCTGTGAAAATGTCCAAACACAGCTTTACTCTAGGTTAGATTGATTCGGTTCAACAAACTTACAACCAGACAGAAGAAAGGACATAACTTTTCTGTGGGAAAATACTGTTTTTCTTTGGTCATTACTATTCCTTTATGCACTATACAATAAATAAATAATATAAAATACATAAATAAAATAAATAATATAAAATAAATAAATACATAAAATAAATAATATAAAATAAATAAAATATTTTATATTTATAAATAATATAAAATAAATAAAATATTTTATATTTATAAATAATATAAAATATTTTATATTTTATAAATAATATAAAATAATATAAATAAAAAGTTTGACAAGTAATGAAAGAAGAAAATATAATCCATGTTAAAGAGAGCACATAGTCAATAGAAACAAATGCAGAGATGTTCCAGGTGTTGGAATTAGCAGACAGGAATTTTAAAATAATTATGATCAGCTTGTGGAAAGGGTAGATAATGTATGTAAGTAGATTGGCAACTTTATCAATGAAATGCACATGTTTTAAAAGTTAGTTGGAAATGCTAGAAATGAAATACATAACATGGGAAAAGAAGAATTTGTTCAATGGGCTTATTGACAACTGAACTGAGTGAGAAAGAAACTGGTAAACTTAAAGACTGATCAGTGGAAAATATCCAAAATGAAACACAGAGAGAGATGTTTTAAAACAATGAAAATAATGGAAGAGCATTTCCAAGACCTGTGGGCCCAAATCAAATGATCTACCATATGTGTTGTTGGAGTCCTGTGAGAGGAGAGAAAGAATGAGGTAGAAGAAATATTTGAAGAGATAATAGAAGAGAATTTTCAAAATAAGTGAAAGACAGCAAAGAAGTGTAATCAACCCTAAGTGGAGTATATAAAAAATATCTTCACCTATGTACATCGTGGTCAAATTACTGTAAACCCAAAATAAAAAGCAGTATCTTATAATAGACAAATAAAAGCGATAACTATATGTAAGGGAACAATGACAAGAATAATGGCTGTCTCAGTATCAGAAACAGTGAAGGCTAGAAAATAATAGAACAATATCTTTAAAATGCTAAAAGAAAATATTGTCAGCCCACAATTCTATTTCCTATAAAGACATCCTACAAATATGAAGATAAAATTATTTCTAAAAGAAAAATGATTAAATTTGTCTGTGGCAGATTTATACTACAGCAAATACTAAAAGAAGCTCTTTGGACTAAGAAGGAGTTATACCATGTGGAAGCCAGGATCTACAGGAAAGGGAATAAAGCACCAGAAAGGGAAATATATGGATAAGGATAAATATTTGAATAGCTGTCATTGCTTGTATTCAACATTGTACTGTGACTTCTAGTTAGTGCAGTGAGGCCAGAAAAAGAAATGACACACTAAAATTAAAAAGAAGTGAAACTATCATTATTCACAAATGACGTGCTTGTGTGTAGAAAACTCCATGTGGGCCCTGCATGGTGGCTCACGCCTGTAATCCCAGCACTTTGGGAGGCCGAGGTGCGCAGATCATGAGGTCAGGAGATCGAGACCATCCTGGTTAACACGGTGAAACCCCGTCTCTACTAAAAATACAAAAAAAATTAGCCGGGTGTGGTGGCAGGCACCTGTAGTCCCAGCTACTCGGGAGGCTGAGGCAGGAGAATGGCATGAACCCGGGAGGCGGAGCTTGCAGTGAGCTGAGATCGCACCACTGCACTCCAGCCTGGGCAACAGAGCCAGACTCCGTCTCAAAAAAAGAAAAAAAAAGAAAACTTCATGTAATCCACACACAAACAAATAACTACTAGAACTAATAAGTGAATTTAGCAGTCTCTGGACACAGGGCTAATATTCAAATATCAATTGCATTTCTAATTACTAACAATAAACAACTATAAAATGCTATTTAAAATATTGTCCACAATAGCATCAAAAACCCAAAATACCTAGAAACAGGCTCTTTTGAAGTGAGTTAGAAAGTGCAAAGAATCTAGACTAACCAAAATAATATTGATAAAGAAGAACAAAGTTGATGGATTTACACTATTTGATTTCAGGACTTAATACAATGTCACTGTAATCAAGTGAATATGATGTTGGCGAAATAATAGATTGATGAAGCAGAATACAAAATCCAGAAATTGGCACATACAGATATATGTGATATATACACACGTATATGATACATACATACAAACATACATTGATATCTGACCAGAGTGGCAAATTAGATTAATAAAGAAAATATTTTCTTAAAACAAATGATGTGGCCGGGCACGGTGGCTCATGCCTATAATCCCAGCACTTTGGGAGCCTGAGGCAGGCAGATCACCTGAGGTCAGGAATTCAAGGCCAGCCTGGCCAACATGGTGAAACCCCATCTCTACTAAAAATACAAAAGTTAGCCGGACACTGTGGCGGACTCCTGTAGTCCCAGCTACCTCGGAGGCTGAGGCAGGAGAATCGCTGGAACCTGGGAGGCAGGGATTTTGCAGTGAGCAGAGATCTCGCCACTGCACTCCAGCCTGGGCGACAGAGTGAGCTTCCGTCTCAAAAAAACCAAAATAAACAATCAAACAAAAAAAAAACAAATGATGCAAGAAAGATTGGCTATCCATTAGAAAACAAAAAATGATCTCTGATCTTACCTCACCCAAAACACAAAAATTACGTAGAAATAGATCATAAACTTAAATATAAACATTATAATCAAAAAGCTTTTTGAAGAAAATAAATAATATCTTTGTAACCCTGGGGTATGCAAAAATGTATTAGAATTAAAAACATTTCACCTGTCAAAGAATATTTGATTTTCAATAAAATTTAATTTCTGCTCATTAAAAGAAAGTGAACAGGCAATCGACAGACTTTGAAAATTCTCATCACTTATTTTTCATGAATAGGTCATATCCAGAATATATAAATAACTTTTACGAGTCAACAATAAAAAGATAAACAGCTCAGTAAAAAATGGGCCAAAGTCTGGAAAGACACTTAGCAAAAGAAAATTTGGGAATAAGATGTCCTACATAGGATGAGGCTAATGAACACCTGAAAAGCTATTCAACATCATAAGTCGTCAGAGAGATGCAATTTAGAATCATAATGAGTTAGCATTTCACACTCACTGGAATGGCTAAGACTGACAGCACCAAATATTGATGAGGATATGGAGAAAGATAAATACTAACAAGTCAGTAGAGTAAAATATTACAACGATTGTGGGGAAAGGTTTGCCACATTCTTAAAAGTTAAACATATTGTGTCTCAGGAATTCCACTCCTAGGTATTTATCCAGGTGATATGATCACATACGTCTACACAAAGTCTTATATGAGACTGTTCCAAGAACATCTGGAAACACTTAAATATCCATTTCCTAGAAAATGAGTAAGCAAATTGTGGTATATTTATACAGTTAAATATTACTCTGTAATGAAAAGGAATGAGCTAGTGATAACATGCAACAGTAAGAATGAGTCTTAAAAATATATATTGGCAAAAAAAAGCCAGATGTAAAGAATATATACAGTATATTATGTTCAAAGACAGGCAAAATTGTCTATGGCAATGGAAATCAGTACAGTGTGGTTTGACTGAAAAGGAGAAGGAGGAAAACTTCTGGAGTGATTGAAACGTTTTGTATCTTGTTTTGGGTGGTGCTACATCGGTGTATACAACCATCAACACTCACGCAGGGAACACTTAAAATGTGTGCATTTTATTGTAATTTTAAAATTACCCGATTCTAAAAACTGAAAAAAAAAAAGAGAAAGAAAAAACCAATCACAGCAATTTTCAGCATTTTGACTCCATATAAACTGTTATTTTGGAACACTTGGTTTTCATCTGATAAGTGTGTTTGAAAGCAATGCTATGGTAACGAGTGTAGGATTTACCAAGAGAATCTGTGGTAGGAGGAAAGGGTTAGGTCAGCAACACCTGTTTCTGGCACTCTTCTGACGAGACACCAGATTGCCTACTGGCTTCTTCCAGCTTTCCCGAGCACAGGGAGAGTGGCAGCAATACCAGGGAGCCTTATGCTTACAAGATGGACACCATATGTTTTCACTATCGCTTCGTAGCTGTTCTCATCTGTCCCTTTTCTTTGTCCTTTTAGTATCTGAGGTCCAGTAACCCTGAGAAATTTAATTTGAGAAGACACCATGAATGAAATATTAATATTTTAAAATCAAGTACAAAGAGAAGATTGCCTGTGAGTGGTTATTCTCTTCAGTTGTCCAATAGCTGTTATTTATCAAATTAACACCAAAACGTTCAAACTCTCTAAAAATGAATAGCTTTGCTTTATAAGGAGAGTTGTGAAAACTTATTAAGAACTCCTGCACATATTATTTAAAGATACCATTTACACGTGAGAGTAATTATAAATGAAATATATTAAATGTCCGAAAGTAGCACCATGTGGCAGAATTTTCAGGAAAAGAAATCGAATTAGTACTGGAAGAAGACATTCAAATAAGAGAACCACATTTTCAAGGTAAGATTGTGGTGGATTATTGAGCTGGGTTTTTGGTTCTTTAAATTGATGAGATTAGGATTTAATCACAAAATAATTTACTTATAACCTGAGATTTCAGACTTTAGCTGCTGAATATAAAATGTACACTTCTGACTTCCGTTTTTTCCATTTGTGTGATTTCAGGAAAATTTATCAGCAAAACTTGGTGCTTTTGGCCGGAGGCATCTGTTTTGCAATTTCTAATCCTGCAGCTATTTAAAATGCCTGGAGAGGAGGGTGGAAAGATTTGTGTGTGAAGGGTGACTTTAGGAAGGATGAGCAAAAGGGGTACCAAATTTGAGTACTGGTTCTGCAGTTTTGAGTGAGTTCTGGAATTTAATTCTAAATAAAGCCCAGAGCAACATTGTCTTTTTGAGTACATTTGTTTTTTCAAAGTGCCCCTTGTTTGTGAAACTAGTTTCTTCTCAGCCACTAAAAATTATTGCTTGCCTTTTGGGCCACACAGCATAGTAATAAAACAATGTAATTTACTTATGAGGAATAAGATGCACATGTATCTTTAATGCAGCATTCAATGCCTACAGTTTCAGAACCTCAGTGAAGGAGTGAAGAGCAATCTATCGGTTTTTCAATCTACTCCACCTTTGGTGTGGGAAATTCATTTCCCCCAAAGCCCTAGGAAATAGCTTCTCTCTCCTACCTGATACATAGAAATTATTTCTTTTTCTCATTATTTTATCATTTTACCCAATCTCCTACTCTCTCTTTCTGACTCCTACTTATTTTTTAGCCCACTCTCACTTTGAACTTTTTGATGAATGTGATTATAACTATTTATAATATTCAGCTTTGGATCAGTGTGTGCTTAGGTGGTTACAAAATATGCTGCACCCAAGAATAATTAGTAAAAAAAGATTAATGCCACATGAAAATAAATATTATTTGGAAAAGAAGTATTAGGCCAGAAAGGTTTCCATGTTTCAGTTGAAAATAAGATGTGATGTGATTCAGAGGGAACAGAGTAAACAACTTAAGCAACTGGAGATGTGGATATCAAACCATCTTAATTTTTGCTGTGCTTATCCAGCTGATGGGACCAGCCTCTCCTACTGACTTTGGAAGCAGCTTTGGTATGTAAAAGCCTACATAAGTCACATAGCTTGCATTCACGCACTCTATATTCCTGTATTTCTAACCTTTGGTAAAGCAACCTTTTCCTTCTGCTGTCTTCTCAGGAGCATGGTTTGCCAGGGGTCACACACTGAGATGACTCTGGTGTTACTAAGCCAGTTTCCCACTCCCCAGGCCCAACAAACTTTCACCCAGTTCACTGTGGCTTTTAGTATATGTGTAAAGCTCTACTTGTTAAACGTCAGGAGTAGAATAACTGGTTTTAACTGGTTTTGTACTTGCAAAGCTGGAGTGTGTTTATCTGTACTTTGTCACTCTGCATGATAATCGTCTTTATTATTCAGGTATTTGTGAGCACCAAATATGTATATGGGAGTTTTAAAACTCATTGATTGCTTCTCTGGTTGCCAAGGATATTGGAAGGCAATTCCTTGAGTTCCTTTATTTATTTTCTATCAGAGTTTGTTTATTATTCATGGTTTTCTATGCTTCTGAATTACTTTTATATTCCATAAAGCCTAATACTTCTTGAAGTGAAATTTCAAGTTCATCTTCTTTTGCTGCTAGCCGACTAAAATCCTAGGCCTGAGCAAGGATAGATGTGAAACTTCTGTGAGCAAAAATACAGTGAAGCTTGTTCTCAGAGCATTTGAAGTCTTATTAGAGCACTAACTTGGTTATCTCAGACCTGTGTTTCTTGTGAATGCTGTTTGACTGGTGATACTTTAGCAGCCTGGAAGGAATGCCTCCCAAATCTAATTGAGCTGTTTTTTGCTTTGGCCTGGCCTATAATAGTCGGAAGATATTTTGGGTACTACTTCCCTGATGGTAATTCTGACCCACTTATTCTATAGCAGCTTTTGTTGCCATGAAATGCTGCAAATATTTGAGATATGCTTTACAATGTTAAATATATGCTATATTTGGCCACATTAAATTTTTTATTGTCTATACTCAGTACATTTTTCCTCTTGTGAATCTTTCAGGCAACAGTAGGAACATAGGTTCATAGATTAAAAGAAACATAAGAACTTAGGAACATAGTTGATTAAGAATACTATTAAATGAACTGGATATATTTCCTTGACCCTAGGCTACTTGTAGTAAACCACTAAACTAACATGAAATAATAAATGACAATGATGAAAATGGCCTTCTGTAACACCACTGTCAGAAACTTAAGCTAAATCTTGAAATGGTAATCTAGAGAAGTCATTCTCAACCACAGAGGAGGGAAAATGGTGAGGAACGAGGGTTTTGTTCCCCCAGTGGACATTTGGGTATGTCTAGAAACACTTTTGGTGGCCACAATTGGGAAGAAGGATGTCAACAGCATCTAATGGACAAAGACCACGGATGCAATGCTGCTAAACATCTCATAACGCACAGCACAGCAACCCTCCCACCCCCATCCACACACACAGCAAAGAATTATCCAGTCTCAAATAATAATGCTGAAGTAGAAAAACCCTCCTCTAAAGACCACTTCACAGAGAAATGACTTCCTTTTATGTGTTTTGGGAAACTAGCTACACTACATGCAAGTATGAAAGCAAGGAAACTTAGCCCATAAGTCCACTACCTTATTGCAGCCGTGTCTATTTCCATGCCAAACTTTGACTGCTTACTGAGTGTTTCCACCTTTTTACAGTTGTAGCACTCCCACCAGGTTTGACTTTGGTATGGTTTGACTTTCAAAACATATGTTCTACATTTTATAAAATAAGTTAAATAGGAAAGACATAAGAGTCAAGCATAAGCATAATAAAGTTGAGAGTCAGTGGAATAGACCTGCTAGACTTCTGGAATGGACTTCTCTAGACTTGAGAAATTTGTGACCACATTCTACAACCTAATATCATATTGAACAATTATTTTAAAAGCTACAAAACACCTGGGTCAGCAGTCCTTCTCAATGAGCACAGTGGTAGGGAGAAAACATTTGCATAAATAAGTCTGGCTGGCGTGATATAATTTAAATCCTAATAGAATGGTTTTATAACAACTTCAGTTTCTAAAACTTAAGGCAAAACATTATTTTACTGTGTTTGCTATCAAAGATTTCTCATACAGATAATCATAGAAAAAATTTATAAATATTAATTGTAATTAAAGAGCATGAGAACTTATAAAACAATATTTTGAAAAGGAGAAAAATATTTAACAAAAATAATATGGTTATTATATAAAGATTATTATAAAGATTAAAGAAAAAAATTTATAGATTATTAAAATTCTTGCCAAAGCATCTTTCAGAACAGATCTTTGCATAAAATATTGAAGACATAGCTTAAAGAAATCTCATATTTTGATGTGATATCTTTTAAGAAGTTTATGTGCAAGTTAATTGCAAGTATTTTGCTTAATTATTCAATGCTGAATTAAACAATATATGGAATATTTGTTTTTGCTAAATATAAAAGATTGAATTCTATAGAATTTTTGCTTCCATTTTGTTATGAAAATACACACATTCATGCATTCTCATATACACAGATAATATAAAACCTATGCTTTTTGTCAAGAGTAAAATTCAGGATATTATTAATAACATTACCTTTAATGGCAAAAACCACAATTACTTTTGCACCAACCTAATATAACTTCTGAAGGTAAAGACAACAAAACTGTCTCAAAGAAGACTTGACTGTATGAGGTATAGCAAAATTAATAACTCACAAAAGGTAAATACATCCAGATAAATCTTCTTCAGTACCCACCTTACCTGTTTATGGGATTTCCCAATTTAATTGTCTTTCTTGTTCTTAAAATTTACTTCTGACTTACTTTTGGTTATTTTGAAATCAAGTTTACACACAAAAGATAAAGATACTTTACCATATGGACAGTCAAAAATATGTGCCACAGACAATTAAGATCATTGTTGAAAAGAAACTCCAGATCATGTTTTGAACAATGCCAATCTCATTAGAATAAATGCACAACTTCCCAAATGGATACTGTAAAGGCAGCAACACACACTTGGATGTGTGAATTATATTTAAAAATATCATGCTTAGTTTATGCATTATAATATTGCTAGCAGTGGTTTTCTTTCTTGGGGTATTTACAGACCAAGGACTTCCTGGTTCTCTACCAGTAAGGGTGCTTGCATTCACACACACGTGTGAGATTTAGAGATGACACTTCTGTTCTAACTAGGCCAATATAATATTGTGATGCCTTGGAAACATCCTTAGATATTTGTTCTGAAAAAGAGGATGACACCAATTCAGATGCCATGGAAGCAACGGAACCAGATTATCTAGTTTGTGTTTAAGATACCAATCTAAACAATCTGCTGTATTTAACTGAGCAGAATTTGGCCTGTGTAAAAAATATGTAAGCCTCATATTTTTAGCATGACAAAAAACAGAATGGACTCAGAAGACTTTGGATTTCAGAGTAGAGATTTTCCTCTATTTAAAAATTATTCATCTAAATATTTTCAAATTGCTTAGCATAAAAATACTTTTCAGTGGGAGGTGGAGCAAGATGGCCAAATAGAAGCTTCCACTGTTTGTTCCCCCTGCAGGAGCTCCAAGTTGAACAACTATCCACACAGAAAACCACCCTCATAAGAACCAAAAATCAGGTGAGCAATTATAGTACCTGGTTTTCACATCCTACTAAGGAAGAGGCCCTGAAAAGGGTAGAAAAGGCAGTATTTTTTAAAATTATTATTATTATTTTACTTTAAGTTCTGGGGTACATGTGCAGAACGTGCAGGTTTGTTACATAGGTATACACGTGCCATGGTGGTTTGCTGCACCCATCAACCGGTCATCTACATTGGGTATTTCTCCTAATGCTATCCCTCCCCTAGCACCCCAACCCCCGACAGGCCCCAGTGTGTGGTATTCCCCTCCCTGTGTACATGTGTTCTCATTGTTCATCTCCCATGTATGAGTGAGAATATGCGGTGTTTGGTTTTCTGTTCTTGTGTTAGTTTGCTGAGAATGATGGTTTACAGCTTCATTCATGTCCGTGCAACGGATGTGACATTTATAGATTCAATGCTATCCCCATCAAGCTACCATTGACTTTCTTCAAAAAATTAGAAAAAAAAACTACTTTAAATTTCATATAGAACCAAAAAAGAGCCCATATAGCCAAGACAATCCTAAGCAAAAAGAACAAAGCTGGAGGCAAGCTTTGGAGGCAAGTCGGTATGAAGCCGACTTGATCGTAATGGATAAGCTTTTTGATGTGCCGCTGGATTCAGTTTGCCAGTATTTTATTGAGAATTTTCACATTAATGTTCATCAGGGATATTGGCCTGAAATTTTCTTTTTTTGTTGTGTCTTGAAAAGGCAGTCTTGAATTGCCAATGCCGCTCCTACCACATTGCCTGGTAGCAGCCATGTGGCTTGGAGAGAGAATCTGTGCACGTTGGGGAGGGAGAATGCATTGATTGTGGGACTTTGCACTGGAACTCAGTGCTACCCTGTTATAGCAGAAAGCAAAAGGGGGCAGAAATCAGCCAGTACCCACGAAACGGAGCATTTAGACCAGCCCTAGCCAGAGGCAAATCATCCATTCCAGTGGTCAGAACCTGAGTTCCTGCAAACCCCACCACTTTGTGTGCTATGGGGTCCTAAATAAACTTGAAAGGTAGCCTAGGCCACAAGGACTGCAATTCCTGGGCAAGTCCTGATGTTGTGCTGGGTTCAGAGCAGTGGACTTGGGATGCATACAATCTAGTGAGACACCAGCTGGGGAGGCCGAGGGAGTGCTTGAGCCACCCCTCCCCCAGACCCTGGTAATGCAGCTCACAGCTCCAGGAGAGACTCCACTTGAAGAGAGGAGAGGGGAGAGAAAATAGCACTATGTCTTGCAACTTGGGTACTAGCTGAACCACAGTAGAACAGGGGACCAGGCAGAGTCCTGAGGCCCCTCGTTCCAGGCCCTATCCCTGTTGACATTTGTAGACACACCTTTTGCCAGAAGGGAACCCATTGCCTTGACAGGAAGGACTCAGAATGGGCAGGATTTATCACCAGCTGACTAAAGAGCACTTGGGCCCTGAATAATCAACAGTGGAAGCCAGGCAGTACTCACTGCAGGCCTTGGGTTCGGCTCACAGCTATGCTGGCTTCAGGTGTGACCTAGCACATTTACAGCTGTATTGGCCACAAGGAGACTTTTTTTCTGTTTAAGAAAAGGAGAGGAATGAGTAAAGGGGACTATGTCTTGCAGCTTGGTTACCAGCTCAGCCACAGTGGGATAGAGCACCAAGCAGGCACCTGGGGTCCTTGATTCCAGGCCTTGGATTCTGGATGGCATTTCTGGACAAGTCCTGGGCCAGAGGGGAGTCAACTGCCCTGAAGAGAAAGACCCAGGCCTGGCAGCATTTACCACAAGCTGACTTCAGAGTCCTTGGGCCTTGAGTCAACATAGGAGGTAACCAGGAATTACTTACCACCAGCCTGGGGCAGTGGTGGCCACTGGGAGACACTCCTCTGCATGAGGAAAGGGGAGAAGAGTGGTAAGAGCTTTGTCTTGTGGCTTGGGTGCCAGCTCAGCTGCAGTAGAATACAGTACCAGGTAGATTCCTAAGATTCCTGACTCCAGGCCCTGGCTCCCAGACAGCATTTCAGGACCTGCCCAGGGCCCCAGGGAACTCCTTGCCCTGAAGGGAAGGACACAAACCTGGCTGAATTTGCCACCTGCTGATTGTAGAGTCCTTGGGCCTTGAGTGAACATAGGCGGTAGCCAGGCAGTGGTCACTGTGGGCCTTGAGTGAGACCGAGTGCTGTGTTGGCTTCAAGTCTGACCCAGTTCTGTATCAGTGGTGGTGGCCACAGGGGTGCTTGTGTCACCCCTCCTCCAGCTCTAGGCAGGTCAGCACAGAGAAAGAGAGAGAGACCCAGTTTGTCTGGGGGAAAGTAAGGGAAGAGAGAGAGACTCCATTTGTTTGGGGTAAAGTAAGGAAGAGAACAAGAGTCTCTCCCTGGTAATTCAAGGAATTCCTCCAGATCTTACCCAAGAGCACCAAAGTGGTACATCTATGAGACTGCAAGAGCCACAGTGCTACTGGCCTTGGGATGTCCTCTAAATGGAGACATGGCTACAGTGACCAAAGACTTAGATCATAACATTCAGGTCCCTTTGAATTATCGGAAAGCTTTCCAAGAAGGATGGGTAAAAACAAGCACAGACTGTAAAGACTTCAATAAATACCTAAATATTCAATGCCCAGATACCAATGAACATCCACAAGCATCAAGACCACCCAGAAAAACATGACCTAACCAAACTAAATGAGACACCAGTGCCCAGTCCAGAGAGACCGAAGTATGTGAACTCTCAGACAGATGATCCAAAATAGCTGTTTGTTTGGGTGCAGTGGCTCATGTCTGTAATTCCAGCACTTTGCGAGGGTGAGACGAGGACTACTTGAGCCCAGGAGTTTCAAACCAGTCTGGGCAACATAGTGGGACCCCATCTCTACAAAAAAAATTTTATTAATTAGCTGGGTATGGTGATATCATATGTCTGTGATCTCAATTACTTCGGAGGATCAGGCAGGAGGATTGCTTGAGCCTGGGAGGTAGAGGCTGCATTGAGCCATGATCACACCATTGCACTTCAGCCTGGAGGACTGAGTGAGCCCCTGTCTCAAAAAAAGAAAATAGACAAAAACAACAAAATAGCTGTTTTGAGGAAGCACAACAAAATTCAGGATGACACAGAGAAGGAATTTGGAATCCTATCAGATAAATTAAACAAATTAATTAAAATAATTAAAAAGAATCAAGCAGAAATTCTAGAACTGAAAATGCAATCGACATACTGAAGAGTACGACATACTGAAGAGTACATCAGACTTTTAACAGCAGAATTAATCAAGCCAAAGAAAGTATTAGTGAGCTTGAAGATAGGTTATTTAAAATACATAGTCAGAAGAGACAAAAGAAAAAAGAATAAAAAAGAATGAAGTATGCCTACAAGATCTAGAAGATTGCCTCAAAAGGGCAAATTTAAGAGTTATTGGCCTTAAAGAGAAGATAGAAAGAGAGATAGGGATAGAAAGTTTATTCAAAGGTATAAGAACAGAGAACCTCTGAAATCTAGAAAAAGATACTAATAATCAAGTACAAGAAGGCTATAGAACACCTTAATCAAAATAAGACTACCTCAAAACATTTAATAATCAAACTCCTAAAGGTCTAGGATAAAGAATGGATCTTAAAAACAGCAAGGGAAAAAAATAACATAAAAAGGAGCTTCAATATGCCTGGCAGAGAAGTTTCTCATTGGAAACTTCACAGGCTAGGAGACAGTGGCATGACATATTCACAGTGATGAAGAAAAAACTTTTATCCTAGAATAGTACATCCAGTGAAAATATCCTTCAAACATGAAGGAGAAATACTTTCCTAGACCAACAAAAGCTGAGGGATTTCAACACTGGACCTGTCTTAAAAGGAATGCTAAAAGGAGTTCTTCAATCTCAAATAAAAAGGATGTTAATGAGCAGTAAGAAATCATCTGAAGGTACAAAACTCACTGTTAATAGTAAGTACAGGCCAGGCATGGTGTAATCTCAGCATTGTGGGAGGCCAAGAAAGGAGGATCACTTGAGCTCAGGAGTTTGAGACAAGCCTGGGAGACATGAGGAAACCCATTTCTACAAAAAATATCTCTACATAAAACACAAAATCCATCTTACTAAAAATACAAAACCCATCTCTAAAAAAAAACACAAAAATTAGCCAGGTGTGGTGGTTCACGCTACTTGGGATGCTGAGGTGGGAGGATTGCTTGTGCCTGGGAGGCGGAGGTTGTAGTGAGCCAAAATTGAGCCACTCCACTCCAGCCTGGAAGAGTGAGACCCTATCTCAAAAAAAAAAAAAAAAAAAAAAAAGAAGGACAAGGACACAGTAAGACAAAATATCATCAATATCATCACACTGTAATTGTGGAGTGCAAACTACACATACGTTGAGTAGAAAGACCAAAAGATGAACCTGTCAAAAATAAGATGTACAACTTTTCAAGACATAGACATTATGATAAGAACTAAATAGAAACAACAAAAAGTTAAAAAGGAGGGATAAAGTTAAAATGTAGACTTTTTATTAAGGTTTTTTTTTTTTTTGCTTGTTAGTTTGTTTATATAATCAGTGGTAAGTTATCATCAGTTTAAAATAACAGGTTATAAGATATTCCTTGCAAGCCTCATGATAATGTCAAATAAAAAAACCTACAACAAACACACAAAAAATAAAAAGCAAGACATTAAAACATACCACCAGAGAAATGCACCTTCACTAAAGAAAGATAGGAAGGAAGGAATAAAGGAATAAAAGACCACAAAACAATCAGAAAACAACAAAACAGCAAGAGTAAATCCTTACTTATCAAGAGTAACATTGAATGCAAATGTACTAAACTCTCCATTCAAAAGACATAGAGTGACTAACTGGATTAAAAAGCAAGACCCAATAATCTGTTGCCTACAAAAAAGATACTTTAACTACAAAGATACATATAGACTGAAAATAAAGGGTTGGAAAAAGATATTCTATGCCAATGAAAACAAAACAAGAGCAGGACTAGCTACACTTATATAAAATAAAATAGATTTCAAGAAAAAAATCTATGAAGAGAGACAAAAAAGCTCATTAAGTAATGATAAAGAGGTCAATTCAGCAAGAAGATATAATAATTGTAAATATATATGCACCCAACACTGGAGCAATTAGATATTTAAAGCAAATATTATTAGAGCTAAAAAGAGAGATAGACCCCAATACAATAATAGCTGGAGACTTCAACAGCCCACTTTCAGCATTAGATGAGCATGTGGACAGAAAATAAAGTAAGAAACATTGGACTTAGTCTGCAGTTAGACCAAATGGACCTAATATTAACAGACACTTACGGAACAATTTTTTTTCCAGCTGCAGAATACACATTTGGTTTCTTAGCACATGGATCATTCTTAAGAATGGACTGTGTGTTAGGCCACAAAACAAGTCTTAAAAGATTTTTTTAAAAATGGAAATAATGTCAAGCACCTTCTCTGACCATAATAGAATAAAACTAGATATCAATAACAAGAGGAGTTTTGGAAACTATACAAACACATGGGAATTCAAAAATATGCTCCTGAATGACCAATGGGTCAATGAAGAAATAAAGAAGGAAATTAAAAACTTTTTTGAAATAAATCACAATGGAAACACAACATATCAAAAAGCATACCAGAAGCAGTACTGAGAAGGAAATATATGGTTATAAGTGTCTACATCAAAGAAGTAGAAAAACTTCAAACAGCCTAATAATACATCTTTAATAACTAGAAAAATAAGAGAAAAAACAAACCCAAAATTGCTAGAAAAAAGAAATAATAAAGCTCAGATATAAATAAAATTGAAACAAAAAATACAAAAGTTCAATGAAATTAAAAGTTGCTTTTTGAAAAGATAAACAAAATCAACAAACCATTAGCTAGACTAAGTAAAAAGAGAAAAGAGTCAAATAAATAAAATCAAAGATGAAAAAGGAGACATTAAAACTAATACTGCAGAAATTAAAAGGATCATTAGAGGCTACTATGAGCAACTATATGCCAATAAATTGGAAAGTCTAGAAGAAATGGATAAATTCCTAGACACATAAAGCCTACCAAGATTGAATCATGAGGAAATCCAAAATCTGAACAGATCAGCAACAAGTAATAAGATCAAAGCTGTAATAAAAAGTCTCCCAGCAAAGAAATGCCCAAGACCCAATGGCTTCACTGCTGAATTTTAGCAATCATTTAAAGGAAAACTAATACCAATCTGATTCAAGCTATTTCAAAAAGTAGAGGAGGAGGGAATACTTCCAAACTAAATCTACAAGGACAGTGTTATGCTAAAATCAATACAAGACAAAGATACATCAACAACAAAAAAAATGTATAGGCCAATATCCCTGATGAACATTGACGCAAAAATCCTCAACAAAATACTAGCAAATTGAATTCAACAACATATTAATAAAAATCATTTATCATGACCAGGTGGGATTTATCCCAGGGATACAAGGATGTTGATACACAAATCAACCTATGTGATACATCATATCAGCAGAATAAAGAACAAAAACCATCTGATCATTTTAATTGTTACTGAAAAGTCATCTGATCAAATTCAATATCTCTTCATGATATAAATTCTCAAAAAGCTGGATATAGGAGGAACATACCTCAACACAATAAAAGCCATATACAACTGACCCAAGCTAGTCTTCTCCCGAATGAGGAACAACCAAAAGGCTTTCCTCTAAGATCTGGAACAAAACAAGGATGCCCACTTTCACCACTGTTATTCAGCATTGTATTGGAAGCACTAGCTAGAGAAATTTGACAAATGAAATAAAGGGCATCTGGATTGAAAAGGAAGAAGTAAAGTTATCCTTATTTGCAGATAACATGATCTTATTTTGGGAAAAACCTAAAGACTCCATAAAAACTATTAGAATTGATAAGCAAATTTAGTAAAGTTGCAGGATACAAAACCGACATAAAAAATCAGTAGTATTTCTATTTGACAGCAGTGAATAATCTGAAAAAGAAATCAAGAAAGTAATCCCTTTAACAATAGCTACAAATAAGATAAAAAGAAAACTAGGAATGGCCGGGTGCGGTGGCTGACGCCTATAATCCCAGCACTTTGGGAGGCCCAGGCAGGCAGATCACGAGGTCAGGAGATGGAGACCATCCTGGCTAACATGGTGAAACCCCATCTGTACTAAAAATACAAAAAAGTAGCCAGATGTGGTGGCGGGCACCTGTAGTCCCAGCTACTCAGGAGGCTGAGGCAGGAGAATGGCCTGAACCCCAGAGGCGGAGCTTGCAGTGAGCCGAGATGGCACCACTGCACTCCAGCCTGGGCGACAGAGCGTGACTGCATCTCAAAAACAAAACAAAACAAAACAACAACAAAAACCTAGGAATAAACTTAAGCAAAGAAGTGAAACATCTCCACAATGTAAACTATAAAACATTGATGCAAAACATTGAAGAGGACACACTAAAATGGAAAGATTGTCTATGTTCATGGAATAGAAGAAACAATACTATTAAAATGTCCATACTACCCAGAGCACTCTATAGATTCAATGTAATCTCTATCAAGATACCAATGATATTTTTTTACAGAAATAGAAAAAATAATTCTAAAATTTATATGGAACCACAAAAGACCCAGAATAGCCAAAGCTATCCTAAGCAAAAAGAACAAAAATAAAAGACTCACATTACCTGACTTCAAATTATACTGCAGAACTGTAGTAACCAAACCAGCAAGGTACTGGCATAAAAATAGACATATAGACCAATGGAACAGAAGATAAAACCCAGAAATAAATCCATATATCTACAGTGAATTCATTTTTGACAAAGATGCCAAAAGCATACATTGGGGAAAGGACAGCCTCTTCAATAAATGGCATTGGGAAAACAAAATATTCATATGCAGAAGAATGAAGCTAGATCCCTACCTATCACTATGGAAAAATCAAATCAAAATGGATCAAAGGCTTAATTCTAAGGTCTCAAACTCTAAAACTACTAAAAGAAAACATTTGGTAAACTATCTGGTACATTGGTATGGGCAAAGATTTCTTGAGTAATACCCCACAACCACAGGCAACAAAAGCAAAAATGGACAAATGGGATCACATCAAGTTGAAAAGCTTCTGCACAATAAAAGAAACAACCAACAAAGTGAAGAGATAACCCACAGAAGGGAAGAAAATATTTGCAAACTACCCATCTGACAAGGGCTTAATGACCAGAACATACAAAGAGTTCAAACAACTCAATAGGATTAAATGTAATAATCTGATTTTAAAATATGCAAAGGATCTGAATAGACATTTTCTAAAGAAGAAACACAAATGACAAACAGGAATATGAAAAGATGCTTAATTAACATCATTGATCATCAGAGAAATAAAAGTCAAAACTACAATGAGATACCATCTCACTCCAGTTGTGATGACTTTTATCCAGAAGACAGGCAATAATGAATGCTGATGAGAATGGCTAGAAAAGGGATCTCTTGTACTCCTTTGGTTGGAATGTAAATTGGAACAACCACTGTGGAGAATGGTTTGGAGTTTCCTCAGAAAAACTAATAATAGAGCTACCATAGGATCCAGCAATCCCTCTGCTCTATACATACCTGAAGAAAGGAAATGAGTGTATCAAAGAGCTATCTGCACTCCTATGTTTTTGCAGCACTATTCACAATAGCCAAGATTTGGAAATATTCTAAGTGTCCATCAACAGACAAATGGACAAAGAAAATGTAGTGCATATACACAGTGGAGTAATATTCAGCCATAAAATATGAGATCCTGCCATTTGCAATGCCATAGATAGAACTGGGAGACATTATGTATAGTGAAATAAGCCAGGCACACAAAGATAAAATGTGCATGTTCTCACTTATTTGTGGGAGATAAAAATGAAAACAATTGAAATCATGGAAACAGAGTATAATGATGGCTATCAGAGGCTGGGAAGGGTGGTAGGGTAGAGAGGTCAGGGTGGGGGTGAGGGAAGGAAACGGGGATGGTTAATGGGTACAAAAATATAGTTATATAGAATGAATAAGATCTAGTGTTTGATCGCACAACAAAGTGTCTGTAGTCACCAATAATTCATTGTACATTTGAAAATAACGAAAAGAGTATAATTGGATTGTCTGTAACACAAAGAAAGGATAAATGCTTAGGTGATGGATACTCTATTTACCCTGATGTGATTATTATGCATTGTATGCCTATATCAAAATATCTCACGTACCCCATAAATATATACACCTACTATGTACCCACAAAAAAAATAAGAAAAAAAAGAACAGAGAAAACTTTCCTCTTTGCTGTGACAACTGAAGATTTACAGAGCACACAAATTGTCTTCTAAATTAATTTTCTCTTTCTGTCAATGGAGTCGTCATTTTTCAATAGATATTCTGCCTTTTCTTTTCTTTATGGCTGTTGTGACCTTCATTCAAGCATCCACTTTCCTGTCTTCTGTCTCAGCTCCCACTTTGCCAGTCTTCAAGTGGGTCACTCCTCGGCCTGAGTTGCTCCCGAGTCATCTCACTATTTTGTAGTGCATCCAGGCTCATGAGCCAACTCAATATTTCTATTGAAAACCTCAGTTTTCCCACTTGCAAATTTCTTGCACTCTATATGCCATGTATAATACCAGATGACGTAAAATTACACTAGTAAAATACATTACATTTTCTTATAAACCACTTTAGCCCATCTCTTTAATATATAAAACCTACCAGTTCTCTTAGCAGAGTTCACAACTGGTGTTTATTCTATCATTTTCCTCTCTTCTTTCTATCCAAGCCCATTCCATCTGCTTGACAAGATGGAAAATCTTTCTGTTTTCCATTATTTCCTGTGAACAATATCACATGTCATTTTACCTAGCCAGCACAAAGTTTTACTCCTAGTTCAGTACATTTTTATTCAATTTCTTTGGCAAGCTAGGAAGAACTGTGACATTCTTCTTACTGAAAAATACAAAAGCCTAAGGTGTAAAGGTTACTCTGTATCTCATCTTTATTAACTATTGTAATCTCATGTTCCAACAGAGCAAATGTAGATATAGACTGTGATCTCTGCTTAGCCTAAACTGAGAACAGCTTTATGGATTCGGCAATTCTCCCAGGCATATATTTGCATGCCTGATTTACATTTGGAGAAGGAAGAAGAGAGGAGAAAGGGAACATTTTATATCTGAAGGCCCGATAGGGCTCTGAGAGATGAGAATGTAGGAAATGCAGAGGATAATATGGTATTGACTTCCTGGAAGGGGTGAATGAATAGTTCTGAGTCCTGTGAATTCAGGAGCTAGACATATTTTTTCTGATTTCTGGATGGAATCCAGCATGTGCACAGCAAGGAAGATTGAAGGAAAGACAGTGCCATGATGGTGCCACATTGCTGTGTAGCACTGGGGACACCAGGAGCTGTCCTGGATAAGGTAATATTATTATTATTTTTTTTTTTTGAAACAGCGTCTTGCTCTGTCCCCAGGCTGGCGTGCAGTGGCACGATCTCGGCTCACTGCAAGCTCCGCCTCCCAAGCTCAAGTGATTCTCCAGCCTCGGCCTCCTGAGTAGCTGGGATTACAGGTATGCACCACCACGCCCAGCTAACTTTTTAATTTTTAGTAGAGACTGGGTTTCACCACGTTGGCCAGGATGGCCTCGATCTCCTGAACTCGTGATCCGCCCCACCTCGGCCTCTGAAAGTGCTGGGATTACAAGTGTGAGCCACCCCACCCGGCCGGTAATATTCTTCATGATCAGTGGACTTAGACCCCTTATGTCCCATGAACCATGGCAAAAAACCAGACGTATTCATACCAGCACAACCAGCTGTCTCTTCACCAGCAAAGTCATTCTCTGGAACGTGCCAGAATTTCTTGGGTGGTGGGAGAAACTCTTCCAATCCTAAGGTTTTCTAGAAGCAGGGAGCAGAAAGAAGTCTGTAACTTTGTGGGCATATATTAATGTGCCTTCATTCCAGTCACAAACTGAGGCTTGATGACATTGGAGTTTCATGAATAAAGAAGGAAAAAGATAGTGTTTCATCCATTACATGGAAAAAAATAACTAGAAAGAGAAATCATGTCAATCTGCAAATATTTACAACCGGGAACATAATTTTAAAAACCTCCTTTCTTTGTTTTCAGTGACACATGATTTGAAGCCAGAAACACGTGATACATCGAGTATTCTCAGTGTGGAATTACATTCGGTTTTCTGGATCCAATAATTTTAGTAGTTCTAAAACTTTACAAATTTCTTTTGTAACTTTCATAAGTTGACTTCTTTATTTATGGGCCAAATTTGATTTGTTGTATGGAAAATTATAGATGTAATTTGCGATCTCTCTATGCGTATATTAAGCAAGGCATAAGCAACCCTTTTGACTGTAGCATAAATACCTCAACATGTCTGACCTTAGGAGAGTTTGTTTGCAGTCTTATGGCTTAAGAACCAGCAAGAAACCTTAAAAATCTATTGGTCAAACTGTTTTGCTAAATCTTAACAGAACAAGTATTCCAAGAACAGAACTACTAGACTTTTCTTTCTTATAGGTGATGAGGTCACCGGAAGTCCCCTTCAAATTTCACTTCTTCTTACCCTGTGGCTCTCTTATGCATGACTTTTGATAGGTTCCACTCAGAGGTCTTTGGTTCTTACCCAGATACTCTGGTTGTAAGGAAGGACTCAAGAATCAATCTCCTCATCAAGCATGTAACTTGGCACCTTTGCTTAATGAGGCCTTCCAGAAGCAAAGTACAGTAAGACCCTGGCAGCATGGTTAGTGTGGCTTCACCACAAGTGACTCATCTTGTTTCATCTTGTTCCAAGTATTCCTGGGATGAAGGTTTGGGTGTCCTATAGCAAACCATTATGTGAGATTACCTAGATCATTCACATTACTGTGGTGTGGAAATTAAACACGGTACTCAAGGGCCGGTGAGTAAAACAAAAAACACTCAGCAGCCAATGCATACTGGGGGTTAACTTTCAGTCAGTGGAGCCCTTAAACCATTTCAACAAAGCACTATAAAAAAAAGAAAGAAAGAAAATCACTGGGCAGTTTGAGCAACTATATGGAGAAAAGTTCTGTTCAACCTTGCCCTTGCACTGTGGATATGAAATAACTACATAACTAATTCTTTTTAGAACTTTTCCGATGGTACTTGTGCCTTATATACATGCTAACTTTGCTAAATTCACACAAAAGCCCTATAAGACCGATAAAAATTTCTTTTCAATAAATGTTTCAGTTGTTAGTGCAAAACATTCTCTTTAAAATTATAGATAGCATTCTTATAATTCTTACTGTGGTTGATAACAACTTAAAATTTTTGAATTATAAAATTTGAATTGAATAGAAACTCACAGAAACAATACATTAATCCTTTGTCTTGGAATTTCTGTGAAACCCTATAAAAGTATGTGTACTCTCTTAGGGTCACCAAATGGCTGAAATGATTTTAAAAAATGACTTTTAAGCCAATGTTTATGTTATCCAAAGCTTTGGAAAGACAATACTAACAAATTCCAGTGGAAAAAAAGAATGTATTACTGAAAGAGAAGTGTTTGAATTGGGCTTTTTAAGTCATAAGGAAGAAGGCCAGCTCAAGGAGTTTAATTTAAGTGAGAGAACGAGGTCTCACAGGAATCCAGATCAAACTGAACACCAAACCTACAGAACTGAATCAGCCCTTCTCTCAAAACTGACTCATCTCTCAAGATGTCTCTTTCAAGGGCTATGTTTTTCTAATTTTTGCTTTGTTTTGTTTTGTTTTAAGACATGCTCTTGATCTTTTGCTCAGGCTGGAATACAGTTGTGGGATCACAGCTCACTGCAGCCTCAACTTCCCAGGCTCAGGTGATCCTTCTACTTTAGCCTCCTGAGTAGCTGGGACTACAGGCACTGGCTACCATGCCCAGCTAATTTTTTGGTATTTTTAGTGGAGATTGGGTTTTGCCATGTTGCCCAGGCTGGTCTCCAACTCCTGGGCTCAAATGGTCTGCCTGCTTTGGCCTCCCAAAGGTTTGGGATTACAGGTGTGAGCCACTGTGTCTGGTCTTGGATGTTTCCTCTTAATCTGCTTTTTTTCTAGTACTCTCTCTATCCTAACTGACTGCTTCTGCTGATTCATTCATTATTCACAGAGCCCAGATGGCTGCACCTATCCTGATTTTTTCATGGCTTCAGCCTCAAACTTTCCTTTCATGAAAGGAAAACAGTTCATTGGACATAGCCCTTTGAATCTCTTAGAACTGATTCCTAAGAGGGAGAATCTGATTGGCTAGGCCACAGGAGTCACAGATTGCTGTCTTATCTGTGGATGAGCCATTTGGTGGGTCATTGTTTTCCCCACATCCAGTCAGCTGTGGCCAGGAAATGGGATGGATCACCTTTCACACAACATGCTTCTTTAGACAGAAGTGGCTACAAGCACAGACACCTTAAATTTCTTACTATTACCAAGAAGGTTGTAGAAATGATTTCCTTAACAAAGGCTTTTCTGCATTTTGAGAAAGAAGGTAATCACATCTCACCCTTTAAATGCTTGATGCATGCTGGATAACACTCAATACTGAGAAACAATTTGAAATATAGGATCCAGGGTTTTTACATCCTGGAATTTAATAAGTTCCATCTTATTAAATTAGCCCTGTGTCTCCCTCATAAAACTATCTGTGTTGCTCTGGGATGCTCAATTTTTTATTAATTTTTATTATCATGATTGAAGCCCTAGAACTTTGGCAGCATGTGTTACTGGTACAGGGACACTGGTTACCAGAGGGCCCCAGTTGTTGGTTAGATAGTGCTGTCTGCTTGGTGACTTGGGTATTAGTGAAGCATGGCCAGAAGTGGGCAAGCATTTCGGAAAATGTACATAGCCCCATTAAAATGCTGACTTGAATGGATTACCAAAACCAGGTTTTGTAGATCAAATTCTTCTTTTGCTTGCTTCTGATGTTACATGTTAAGGCTATTTTCAAGATATAGATGTTGCTGAGACCTAATTCTTTTTCTCCCCTACTTTCAAAAGTATGAAGAACAATTTAAATTTTCTGCCAACGCTTCAGACAGGTTTCTTTTTGTTTTGGTTTTTGAGACAGAGTCTCACTCTGTCGCCCAGGGTGGAGTGCAGTGGCATGATTTCGGCTCACTGCAACCTCCACCTCCCAGGTTCAAGCAAATCTTGTGCCTCAGCCTCCCGAGTAGTTAGGATTACAGGTGTGCATCAACATGCCTAGATAATTTTTTTTTTTTTTTGTATTTTTAGTGGAGATGGGGTTTCACCATGTTGGCCAGGCTGGTCTCGAACTCCTGACCTCAGGTGATCTGCCCACTTCGGCCTCCCAAAGTGCTGAGATTACAGGCATAAGCCACCGCACTCAGCCCAAACAGGTTTTAATTTTTAGCCCATTATGGGTTTTGGAACTAAAATGTTGGGGATTTATAACCATAAAGGGATACAGACTTTGAAACCTGGGATCCCTTCAAAAGAATTAAAGGCAAAAAAGAGTTTGCACCAGGGATTTATAATGAGAATTCTAGCAAGTATTTAACTCTGATGGGCTTGTTACTGGTTGCATTATGATGTGGTATTCCCATTGTAAGTAGACTTAATTATAAACTATAGACCTATGGACAATCAGCCCTATTGAATAATCCTATACAAGGATACTTTGATTATTGGTGTTGCAGGCCTGCCAGCTGTAAACAAATTTAATAACTGGCTGAAGGATTTCTTGACATCCAATGATAAGACTTCATTCTCCCAGTCCTTTCTGAAAACTGAAAAAAGTTATAGATACATAATACTGCCAACTAACATTGAGTACTGATAGGTGCCATATTCTACGATGAGTGCTTCATGTGCTATATTTCATTTAATCATGATGAACTCTCATGGGATATGTATTGTTATCACTCCCTTTTTATAGATGAGGAAAACATTATGTAGAGAAATAAAGTATGTGCCTGGGACAAGACCTAGAAGAGAACTCAGATATGAGCAGAGGCATTTTAGTTCTAATTATAATTGCTTCTAATACCTAACTATGCTGTATTGACAACTGGCTCCCATCCTTAATTAAGGCTAGGAAAACCTATGGATTATCCATTCCAACACCCTAATTCAATAAATAAGGAAGGGGCCCAGAAAAGTGAAAGGGTCCTGTTGAAGTTTAACCAGTTAATTAGGAGTAGAAGTAAACCCAAGTTTCTTAATTCCAAGCCCAATATATTCCCTGGTATGCCAAGGACCCTTACTGGATACAGTTTCCTAGACACAGTGAATTGCTCTTATATGAGTTTATTTCATGGGGTTTTACAGATTCTGAAATAATTCAAAAGAACTGTAGAGACATGAGTTCTAGGGGGAAAACCTTGATATAGAGATTGAGATTTGCAAAGTTTCTTTCTTTTTTTTTTTTTTAGACGGATTCTCGCTCTGTCACCCAGGCTGGAGTGCAGTGGCGCGATCTCGGCTCACTGCAAGCTCCGCCTCCGGGGTTCACGCCATTCTCCTGCCTCAGCCTCCCGAGTAGCTGGGACTACAGGCACCAACCACTATGGCTAGCTTATTTTTTGTATTTTTAGTAGAGACGGGGTTTCATCGTGTTAGCCAGGATCGTCTCAATCTCCTGACCTCGTGATCCGCCCGCCTCGGCCTCCCACAGTGCTGGGGTTACAGGAGTGAGCCACCGCGCCTGGCCGAGATTTGCAAAGTTTCTTTGGATTGATTTTAAGAATTTTTAAAATTTGTTTTAGTCATTTTTCTTGAAAATTGTTCTCATTGTTTTCTTTGAAAATTCCTAAGAGCAGCACACATTATAGTTAGAAAATTTCTAGGATATATATATATCCCAAATGAGAACTTTATGATTATATTTAAAGAAAAAATAAAACTTCTACAACCTAATTGTGAATAATCGAAACCAGGGATTTATAATGATAATTCTAGCAAGTGTTTAACTCTGATGGGCTTGTTACTGGTTGCATTATGATGTAGTATTCCCATTGTAAACAGATTTAATTATAAACTACAGACCTATGGACAATCAGCCCTATTGAATAATTTTTTCGGGTCAAGTCTCCAAGACTACCAATATTATTAAGAAAACAGTTGGGTTTTCTCGGAGCTTGCAGTGAGCTGAGATCGCGCCACTGCACTCCAGGCTGGGCTACAGAGCGAGACTCCGTCTCAAAAAGAAAAAAAAAAAAAAAAGAAAACAATTGGATTTTCTTGCTTCTCTTTTGTTTTCTGCACAAGGTTGATACAGTTTCTATCATGTGGGAGAAGACAGAGAGGTAGGAAACATTGAAATGTCATTTGTGGAAGATACAAATCGAGTGCTTAGCATCATTCTCCAGGATTCTAAACAAGATTCACCTCTTCTAAAAGCACTTATTTATTCATTCTCTCATTCAAGCTTTCATTTACTTATCAAGTATTTATTGCATGTCTAATATGTGCTGGACACTGTGCTAGATGCTAGAATTACCTCTCATCTCTAGGCTGTGTAACATTTAGGAATTGTTCCACACAATTTAGTACATGAGTGAATATAAGGCAGTATATAGTTATGTGTCTTGTTTGCTAGCCTTGTACCTCTAACTGGATTATTTGTTTTCATGAGCAGAGGCTATGGTAATTTGTATTCCAGCACAAGCTGGGTGTAGATCTAAGAAATAAGAAATGTTCTAGTCCTGGTTGTGTTCCAATATTTTCCTTTGCTATCCTGCTGTCAAGATTAAAACTTTGGGAGTGATGAGGTTTAAACATTGCTGAAAACAAAGTCTGATTATAGCTACTTAGAGTGGTAGAACTCTACTTTCCCTTCTTTCTCATTACGCTGCTTTCTTCTTTCTAGAAAAAAATTCTCTTTTCCTTGTCTTGAAGTTTGAAATGAGTATGTTATTTAAGTAAAAATAATATAGTCATATCTAGAATCTGACTCTATAAATTATGTTAAATTTTGTCTTCAGAAGAATTTATTCTAGTATTGGAAAGATGATGGTAATTTTTTGTGCCATACTTTAGATAATGGAATTTGGGAAATTCTTTGCACATAATATTCATCCCAACCATTTATAATCTTTCATGGAGATTTTCTTTCTCTTCATTATAAGCAGACATCTGTGTGGAAGTCATGCTGAGTACAGGGGCTGAGTACAGGGAAGGTGTGAGGGGGCATGGATAAGGGGCCAACTGCAAGAAAAAGTCCTGAGGCCAATTGTTAAAACTAGAATCACAACAGATATATCCAGGTTAGAATTTCAGCCACTGTTGAAATTACTTATTCATTAAATACATATGGAGTATCTATTATGTCCTAAGCACTGTTCTGAGGATATAGTAGTGGTCAAGATGGGAAAAAGTTCCTTTCCTCATGAAGCTTACCTTCTAGAAGATGAAATTATAAAGCCTTTCAGAATATGACACATATTTTGACGACTATTCCAAAACCAGATTTAATCTTTAAAAACTGCAGAGTCATCCTCCTATGGGCATTTAATGTCTGATCGGTTTTTAAAAATTATGTGTGTGATTTTTATGCACATCTCACATTTATTATTATATTTACTAGGTACTATATATACTCCTTTAAGAAATGTAGCTTTAGTGTGATCCAAAGAATATCCAATCTAGTATCATCTAATAATTATACTAGAATTTTCTTCAAAGCTATTTTCGTTGGTTTTTAACTTCTAGTCACATTCTTAACTAACACTTGGGAAGTGGGAGTCGGGGGAGGACAGTAAGTTTCTTTAAAATTAGATGCCTATTTCTTTTAGATATATCTTTATTTTTTATTTTTTAGATCTTGGGTTTAGACTTATTTGCATGCCTGAAATAAATGAAATGAACTCAGAATCTATAGATGGAAATAGTGTCAGTGCTACTGGTACCCAATGTTCTCTGTAATCTAGATTTTTAAAAATTTACCTTTGCGTCATTGGGTGATGCTGGGTTTTCTCTTCAGTTCACTGTCTCCAGTGACCTTCTGTGGAATCTGTTCCTCCAAAGCTTTTGTGATGGGAACACACAGCATGCTGTGTTCCACGTCATGTCAGTCATTACTCTCTTTGACTTTACTTGTGTTCTCAAGTCAATATGTTCCAGATTAATGAGGCATTTGTTCTTAATCAAGAAACTATTTAAGAATACACTTTTAATTTGAATGACTTGTTTATGATTAATTGTTTCAACATGCCCTTCTTATTCTTGAGGATACTTCAAAGTTGCTGCCTTTTCCCTGAACAATTCCCCAATGTCTGAGTACTGGTAGTTGCTATGACCCAGTATCCTCAAGACTGATCAAACTGGTATCGATTTTTTTTGAGAAAATCATTCATAAGTCCCCTTATCTAAAAATCACTTTGAATAATAATAATATAAAGGCAGCTGTTAAGTGAAAATTGAAAGGTTACACATTATATATTTTTAATGTTTCCCTTAACTATATATCTAATGTGGTCATATTGTTTTATGAGGAACACTCTTAGAAATAATTTCTGAAGTAAACTCATTTCCCAACTGATCCATGTGCCATTAACTGATTTAATTAAAATTTACCTTTGATTTATGTTTCCTTATTTAAATCACCAGCAAGTTTGTGTCTGTGTGAGTGCTTTATTTGAAGCTGCAAAATTAAGGGATTCATGGCCTCTAAATAATAAGAGCTAACATTGTCGAGTGCTCATTATCTGCCAGGTTTTCTTCCAATTCCTTTACATCTATTAACTCATTTACTATTCTCAGCTACCACTTGTGGGGGCCCTGTTTTCATATTATTTTACAGACCAAGAAACTGAGGCACAGAGATGCTAAGTAATTCACTCAAGGTCCCACAGATAGTAAGTGGCAGACTGGAGATTGGAAACCCAGCAGTCTGCCTCCACAACCCAAAGTCAAAGTCTACAAAGAGAGAGTAGAAAGTTCAGGTGAGAAATGGAAACTAGGATTGATAGAAATCACTTTGGAATATCTTCTATGTCCCTATGATGGCTATGAGCATCTGAAATGATACTACCGGCCTAATGTTGGGCTTGCTTAAGTAACTCACCTCTTTTTGGGTTTCAGAACATATTTGCTCCATTTTAAAAGAATAAATATGGCTCACGTAGCTTTTAAAATGAAGATTCAATATAATTCTGTTCTTGACTCCACTTAGATTCCATGTTTAAGAATCATTTAAGGTTCATTATTGCTCCTAGTGTAAACTCTAATGGGAACGATGGGTTTAAACCTTCCTGCCACTGAAGACAACATCCTAGAAATGGAAAATTAGCCAGTCAGATTCATTGACAAGAAATTAATGTGTGATTTTTTTCTTTTCATAAGTTCATTTTTCTTTCATAAGTTACTTTCTACATGTTTCTGACAAGTGCACCGACCTTTTTGAGGCTTAACCTTGCATTTGATAAGTTTAGATGGTAGGAATTTTATTCATAAGAACCCACTGGCTTATATATAACAGAATCCAATTCAAACTAATTTGAGCAAGGTGGAAGATTTAGAAGACTCAAAGGTAGAAATGTAGCTGGACTTGAGGTACCATTAGAAACACAGACTCCAGCACCATTAAGAATCTACATGGCTCCCACTTCTGTTACTTGCACACACACACACACACACATACATACACACACACACTCACTTTTTTTTCTTTCTCTTACTTTTTCCCCTTTTCTGTTCTACATGACTGGAAATTCAGTTACTGATAGTTGACCTTTTAGTTTCATACATCACAGTTCAGAGACCCAATGTATACTTCTCACTTCTAGATGCAATATTCCCAAAGGTGAATTCCAGTTTTTTCCGTTTGAATCAGGTGCCCAGCCTGGACTTATATGCTTTAGCTAGGAAATGAAGTCTGGGGAAGGGACTGTGATGAGGTCATCTTAGGTCTAATGTCTACTGTTGAGCCAATTAACTGTGGCCATAGGACACCTTCTGTGATAACCGCACAAATGGAGTGAGGAACACAGGCACTTCCCAGATGAGGGTCCTGGACAGATAACTCCATATATGACTGCTATGGTTAACTCCTTTCTAAGCAGAATAATATGCCCTTTTCT
The DNA here is from genome assembly GCF_000001405.40 of Homo sapiens. NCBI lineage: Eukaryota > Metazoa > Chordata > Mammalia > Primates > Hominidae > Homo > Homo sapiens. The sequence continues at coordinate 14,893,402 of NC_000021.9, read as the reverse complement.
CTCTTTGACCATAATATATAGGACAGTGATAGATAAGTCTACTGTTTTGTGTCTTAAAAAGATGAAAATTTACAAGAAAAAGAAGCTATTGAACGTATTTTATGTACATAGAATTACAATGAATGCAATCTGATAGGTATAAAAGAGAATAATATTTAGCCCCAAACCTATTGAACATATATAGATTCTTTTATAAAAATCGTTGTCTATATTTTGTATGTAAATGGATGTATGTGTCATTATTAATTGATTAAAATTGAGTTTGGGGTACATGATTGATAAAAGTGATACAGAATAAAGGAAGCGCAACTAAATTCTGGGTGATTGCCAGTGTAACTAAATAATACGTAAGAAAGACTTGGGGCCAGGGAAAATAATAATATTAGATAAGACATAATTTGGTATTAATTGGATATGGTGTATTAGTAGATAAGAAGTGAAATCACACGGAATCTTTTATGAAAGTTGAAAACCAGTATGAATATGTAGCTTGAGTCTTAGGAGAACCACGCTATGCTCTCTATATATATATATATATTTTTTTTTTTTTTTTTTTTTTTTTTTTTCTGAGACAGGGTCTCTCTCTGTCACTCAGGCTGGAGTGCAGTGACGCAGTCACAGCTCACTGCACCTCGACCTCCCACAGGCTCAAGCGATCCTTCCACCTTAGCCTCCCAAGTAGCTGGGACTACAGGTGCGTGCCACCATGCCCAGCTAATTTCATAAAATATTTTTGTAGAAATGGGGTTTTGCCATGTTGCCCAGGCTGGTCTCCAACTTCTTAGCTTAAGCGATCCTCCCATCTCAGCTTCCCGAAGTGGCTCCCCTCCCCACACCCCGCTCCCTGGAAGACCCATTCTCTCCTCTTCTCTGCCTTGCCATGCTCTATTCCTAGCCAACTCTGTTTGGGTTCTACCAATTGAATCCTGACTCACTGGACAAGAAATTGGAGAGTAGGAGGAGAGGGAGATCAGAGTCTTTCTTGCCCCCTCACTGCTTCAGTGCCGCCTGTCTGGAGATAGCTGTGTCCCTCTCTGACCACAGGTCCTGTGAGGAGGCTCCACCCAAGGTCCAGCTTTCAGCAAATTCTTTCTTCCTCTTACCCTTTCAGCTCTAGAGGGGTAATGCCTTCCCTCTGTTGCTAGTCTCTGGTGCCTAACCTGCCCTTTTTTGTTTCCTTAATCCTGCCAACTCTTCTATCCATTGTTCCTTCATTAAAGTCTATTCATTTGAAATCTGGAGGGTAAATTATTTTTGTTGCTGGAACCCTGACAATTTACAAGTGAGAAAATTGAAATATATATATAAATATATATAACATATATTTATTTTATTTATAAAAACATAAATATATAACACATATTTATTTTATTTATAAAAACATAAATATATAACACGTATTTATTTTATTTATAAAAACATAAATATATAACACGTATTTATTTATAAAAACATAAATATATAACACGTATTTATTTTATTTATAAAAACATAAATATATAACACGTATTTATTTTATTTATAAAAACATAAATATATAACACATATTAATTTTACTTATAAAAACATAAATATATAACACATATTTATTTTATAAAAACATAAATATATAACACATATTTATTTTATTTATAAAAACAAATATATAACACATTTATTTTATTTATAAAAACATGTATAACACATATTTATTTTATTTATAAAAACATGAATATATAACACATATTTATTTTATTTATAAAAACATGAATATATAACACATATTTATTTTATTTATAAAAACAAATATATAACACATATTTATTTTATAAAAACATAAATATATAACACATATTTATTTTATTTATAAAAACATAAATGTATATAACATTTATTTTATTTATAAAAACAAATGTATATAGCATATATTTATTTTATTTATAAAAACATAAATGTATATAACATATTTATTTTATTTATAAAAAAAGTATGTAACATATATTTATTTTATTTATAAAAACACAATGTATATAACATATATTTAATTTATAAAAACATAAATGTATATAACATATTTATTTTATAGAAACAAATGTATATAACATATATTTATTTTATTTATAAAAACATAAATGTATATAACATATATTTATTTTATGTATAAAAACATAAATGTATATAACATTTATCTATTTTAGGATAAATATATATAATATAATAATAAAAGTATAATTATTATATATTTTATGTGTAAAACATATAAAAATATATTTGTATTTCTCCACGTTCCCTCACTTGAAAATTGTCAGGGTTCCAGCAGCAACACTAATTTACCCCCAAGATAGTAAATGAATAGACTTTAATGTGCTGTATAAACATGTTTTTGGTCAGTGATGGCCCGCTTATATGACAGTAGTTGCATAAGTAAAAATGGAGCTAAAAAATTCCTATCGTCTAGTGACATCTTGATAATCCTGATCCTGTGTAGACCTAGGCTAATGTGTATGTTTTTGTCTTGGTTTTTAACAAAAAAGTTCAAAAATTTAAAAAAAAATTAAAAATAGAAAATGGCTCGTAGAATAAGGATATAAAGAAAGAATTTTTGTACAATTGCACAATGAGTTTATGTTTTAAGCTAAGTGTTCCTACAAAATAGCCAAAAAGTTAAAAACAAAGCTTATAAATAAAAAGGTTACAGTAAGTGAAGATTAATTTATTGTTGAAGAATTAAAAAAATAAATATAGTGTAGCTTGGTGTACAGTGTTGATAAAGTCTACAGTAGTATACAGTAACATCCTCGGCCTTCACATTCAGTCACTACTCACTCACTGAATCACCCAAAGTAACTTCTCATTCTGTAAGCTCCATTCATGGTAAATGCCCTTTACAGGAGTACAATTTTTTTTTGTCTTTTAATACCACATTTTTACTGTAGCTTTTCTAGGCTTAGATACACAGATTCTTACCATCATGTTACAATTGCCTACAGTATTCCATACAGTAACATGCTGTACCGGTCTGTAGCCTGAAAGCAATAAGCTATACCATATAGCCCAGGGGTGTAGCAGGCTATACCATTTATGTTTGTGTAAGTATACTGTATGATGTTCACAAAATGATGAAATTGCCTTAGGATGCATTTCTCAGAATGTGCCTCTGTTAAGCAAGGCATGCCTATGTATGGAGAGAGACTTCTTTCAGTATGCAATTGTGGAGGCTGGTAAGTCCAAAATCTATAGGATCGGGGCAGGCCAGCAGGCTGAAAATTCTTAGGCAGGAGCTGATATTGCAATCTTGAAGCAGAATTTCTTCCTCAGGGAAACTTATTTTTGCCCTTAAACCTTTCAACTGATTGAATGAGGCTCATCTACATTGTTGAGGATAATGTCCTTTACCTAAAGTCAACTGATTATAGATTTTTTAAAAGGTTAGTCCATGATTATAGATATTAAACTCACCTACAAAATATCTCTATGGCCATACCTAGATTCATATTTGAATAACTAGTTACTACAGGCTAGCCAATCTGACACATAAAATTAACCATCACACCACATAGTAAGGAGAGCTATTGCTTAAAGAAACCGAGAGGAAAAGTAAGCTCTTTGAGGAGCAAGAGGCAGATGTAGACTAGGAAGGAACCAGACTTGGGTGATGAGAGAGAGAGATCCTGTATAGCCAATGTTATAATACATAAAATGCAGAATGATTCTTTTCTAAATAACTATCTGTCCAGATATAATGTGGGTAGGACAAAACTTCATATTTTTCCCAATGTGGCTTTGTGGCATTCAAGGCTGTGGTCAGTGCTTTACCAGGGAGGAAAGCTAACAGGAAAGCTCCCTTCCTGCAAGTTCCCTGGTGGCAGGAGGAGTGATGGGGACTGTAGGCACCCTGCCGTTGAAGCTGTATTGTACCCTACTCTCAAAAGGCTTATAATTTTGCAAAGGTGACCCGTCATAGTTCACAAAAGATGAGAGAACAAGGTTACGGTGTGTGCACTCCATTTCTGTTCAGTACCTTTTGTTTCCTCTCTGGAGTTTTTCATGGGTCCAGCATCATCTGGCATCCCTCCAAGGCTGTGGTTTTATTTTTTTACTCGTTCTTGTCATAGAGGTTATATGTTGTAATTTGGACTTTGGTATGCAGTTCATAGTACAGCATGTGTTGTAAATACAGTCAACAAGCCTTTATTGAACAGAAAGTACTTTGAGCATTGTGCGAAGAGCCCTGAACTAAGTATTTTAGTTGGGAAAGATCATTGATTAATAGCATAGCTCTAATCTTCATGGGCTACAGATTGTCCTCCCTGTCAGCACCATGTTGGGTGGCAGGAGGTTGTGGACCAAAGCCTAGGAGAGTTTCAGACTAAACTTAAGCCAAAGCTTTAGACCCCCCACATGAGTCTAAAATCCCAGGTGGGTACCACAGATGAAGGCCCTAGGAACACAGATTGAGCCACAGGAATCAGGAAACAAACAAACAAAAAGCAGTTATAATTAGCAAGGCACAGAAGCAAGGTAAGGAAGCGGGTTTAAGGACCAGGAGATAGGAAAGAGTGAGAAGATCTCTGTAGTCTCAGAGCTGGTGATTCTGAGAGTCTGAAACCAATGTTAGCGTGACTATTTTTAGGTTTAGGAGAAAATAAGTATCCCTGGCTGGCTCAGGGATTGAGGGGCAGAGAATAGATTGCATCCTCGAGTTTCCTTTACAATTCTCTTGGCCCCCATTCGGTTTTAAATGGAAGCCACATTTTCATCAGAATATTTTAGATAAGCTTTCTTTGGAACTCATCTGAACTGTGACCCTGGCTGATAATCTGCCCTACACCTTAGAGCATTTTCTTTCTGAAACAGCAGATGTTTCTGAAGTAGTTTATACCATCACTCACAGACTGAGAATAATTGAGATAATGGATGTCAAACACTAAGCAGTGTGCCTGCCACGTAGTAACCATTCAATAAATGCTAGTGATGATTATCATAGGATCAGGTGCTCACCATTTCTTTTTCACTGCTTGCTCCCACAGAGTGTCAATCATGTGAGAGTCAATTGCTTGTGACTCACACATACTCCCTAATTATTTAAAAAATGCAGGTGAAATTACATTTCATTCCAACATCAGATTCCAGGAGTGCTATAGCTAATCTCTTCTCTTTGGCCTAAGCATACACTATACATGATTCTAATTTCTCTAGCTAGTTTCAGATCCAAGAAAGCATTTGTTTCTTCATTTTCAAACTTTTTAAAAGGGCAAGTGCATGGTGTATCTCTGTATTACTTATTATCAATTTTAAGCTTGGAGAGGTAAAAATCTCTATTCCTGCAGAGTTGATGGGGGCCTGTCAAGTTTCAATTCTCAGATTCTACTTGGCACAATCATCGGACTTTTTCCCCCAACCAGTATCCGAGCACCAAGACAAAGTTCATTTGTCTGAATTCTTGGGATTTCTCTTGGTTTCCTTTAAACAAAACAAAACAAAACAAAAACAAAAAAAACCATAGATACTGTGTTAAAAATTGGACAGTCTTCAGGAACAGCTGTTATTTTAATGGTCATAGTATATGTCCTCATCAGTCTCTGCTGTTTCACACCTTATTTTCTCCAGAATACTTAGATAAATTCCGTCTGGCCTGAGGGCTTTATTGCACTTTGCTTTCTTTGATTGCAGCAATATTTTCTTCACTGGAAGCTCTAATCTCTGTCATCCTTTTGAAAAACATTCTCAGAAATTAGAATTTCCCCATCACTTCCTAGAGTTAAGTGCTGCCAAAGAACCAAACAAAAACCCTCTCTGGGCTTTGGTTCCTCTAACCTTATCATTCCTTCCTGACCTCCTACATTAGCTTCCAGCAGTTTATATGCTAGTGAGTCTATTATCTGGCCAAGCTGGACTTCTACTTTAGAAGTCTGCATTTTGTGGCCAGGCGCGTGCTCACGCCTGTAATCCTAGCACTTTGGGAGGCTGAGGCGGGCGGATCACGAGGTCAGGAGTTTGAGACCAGCCTGACCAACATGGTGAAACCCCGTCTCTACTAAAAATACAAAAACTAGCCGGGCGTGGTGGGGGGCGCCTGTAATCCCAGCAGGAGAATCACTTGAACCCGGGAGGCGGAGTTGTAGTGAGCCAATATGGCGACTCCTTCTAAAGAAGTCTGCCTTTTATTCATAAATGCCTTAACGTTCTCTCTCCTCCTTCTAAAAGTGGCTCTGTTCAGAGCTTGTTTGTCCATTTGGACTATTTGTTTTGAAATATTCAGTTCTCCTTTTTCCTGGCTGTCTACTTTTAATAAGTAACCAGTTAATTTCTTGGATTGATATTTTGGGCAAGAAAAACTAGAGGATATTGAAGTTCGTTTTGGCCTTAGGAGTCTGTGATTCTGTAACTGTGTTCAGTTCATATCCTTTTATTACTTCTTTCCAAATGGTCTCTGTTAAGTGAGAATAGCGCCATTGGTATATTTTGCATCATAATGCTGGATCATCTCTGGATTTGGATGTTGGACCTGCTAGTGGCATGCTACTGGCGGAGTTGTTTAATTTCAGTTTCCTTGTTCATAGAATGGAAATAAAGAAATTATCTATTCCTTGATGTTATGAAAATTAACATATATTATACACTGAATTATAAAACAAAATAAGCTTAGAAGGTGCCTGGCACATTATAAGTGTATAATAACTGTTAGTATTGTATTATTACCCTTCGTACAGTAGATGTTAGGTTAGTCACAATATCAAATGCCACCTATCACAAAGCTGATGTCTTCAAAGAGGGTAGAACAATGTCATGCAGAGATAGGAAATGCACTTTATACAAATGTTAACAGGAGATTAGATGTATCTCACAATATTATCAAACATAAGCCATGATCTAAAGAAATGTGGGAGAAGCTTTTAGACTTAGAAGACATGAAAGCAAAAATAATGCATGGGAAAGCCATTAATAGGCAGCAAATTTTTCTAAGACAGCTCACCTCATACAACGTCTTAATAATTTCATCATTAAAACCCTCAGTGAAAATGTATAGACTTAAATAATTATTTGGATAATGTGAGAACAGTTCTCTCCTCCTGGGGTATATCACCTTACTGAGTAATTTTTTCTAATAAGACAAATAGAACATTTTGGCACCAAATCAAGAATTTTGTCCCTTGGAGGCCTGGAAGCTCATGGAAAGAAGTCATACATATCCACCTGTGTCTATTTTTGCCTACTGTCCCTTGGCATGGGATCTCTGGTTACATGGAGCCATGTGTCCTGAATCTTGAAGTTGGTCTTATTCCAGCATGGGTAGAGTGAAAGAATAGGGTGTTGAGCGTTTTTAGATGCCCCAAATGGATTAATCTGAATCTTAAAACTTATTCCCTGGAGGGACAATCATTATGGGGACAATCCATGGATTCTGATTTCATAAAATGTACATAGTCAAGTATACATAATTACGTTATATAATATAATAAAAAAATAATTATGTATATTTGACCGTCTATATCATCAAAAATATAAAATCGAGGCTATCAGTCTGGACTACAGGTCTAGGCTAATCCCAAAATTGGCTTGGATGTGTGACTAGGTTCTTAGCATACTGTGAGCTTTCTTAGGAAATCAGATTGGAGGTGACCTGAACTGAGGTGGGGCTGTCTAATCTTGCCCCAAAGCTGAGCTAATAATTTCTCTTGCCTGTGGTTGGGACTACGAGGCCAATAAGTTTTGGGGCACTTTCTCTACCTCTTTCCATATAGAGCTTCTTTATCTGATGTGAAGACCCATAATTTGCTCAGAGAATGAATTAGAATACATCCATTTGCAATTAAAATGTAACTTAAACAATTGCTCTTTAAAGTTGCCGTCTATATAAAGCATAAAGTTTCCCTGCCTTGAGTTGGTTTTTCTTTCTTCAGTTAATAGAAGGTTTAGATGCTAAGGATGACTATATTAGTCAGCTCACGCTGCTATAATAAAATACATAGACTGTTTGGCTTAAACAACAGACATTCATTTCTCATAGTTCTGGAGGCTATGAAGTGCTAGGTCAAGGTGCCAACAGATTTGGTTCTTGATGAGGGCCCTCTTCCTGGTTTGCAGAAGGCTGTCTTCTTGTTGCATTTTTACGTGGCAGAGAGAGCAAACTCTGATGTCTCCTCTTCTTATAAGGTCATTACTCCCATCATAGTAGCTCTGCCCTCACCTCCTAATGCCATAAAATTGGGAGTTAGGGTTTCAACATATGAATTTTGGAGGGATACAAGCATTCAGTTCATAACAGTGACCATGAATGTTTAATATTTGTCTGTGTTAGAAACTTTGAAATCTTTTCCAATACCAACTTTGAGGCTTCTTTTTTTTTTTTTTTTTTTTTTTTTTTTTTTTTTTTTTGAGACGGAGTCTCGCTCTGTCGCCCAGGTCGGACTGCGGACTGCAGTGGCGCAATCTCGGCTCACTGCAAGCTCCGCTTCCCGGGTTCACGCCATTCTCCTGCCTCAGCCTCCCGAGTAGCTGGGACTACAGGCGCCCGCCACCGCGCCCGGCTAATTTTTTGTATTTTTAGTAGAGACGGGGTTTCACCTTGTTAGCCAGGATGGTCTCGATCTCCTGACCTCATGATCCACCCGCCTCGGCCTCCCAAAGTGCTGGGATTACAGGCGTGAGCCACCGCGCCCGGCCTGAGGCTTCTATATTGGGAATGAAAGGGTGCTTGCTTTCCCAGCTACTTTGTGGGCATATGACCAGTATTAATATTTTAATTAAATATTGTCTTTGGGGGTTGCATTGATGTCTAAACAAAACTTTCTCTTTGCAGTGTTTAGAAACGACACCACCTGGTATTTAGGCTATAGGGTGAACACAGAGGTCTAAATATAGTTGTTGAAACAGTCCAGACCTATCAGAGTTACTGGATGGATAATTACAAAGTTATTTTGGCTTGGGGTTCTTTTCATCATCTTGCTCTGCTCAGTTTTGGGGTATTGCTCTCATCTGCATGGTTGAAGGTGGGAAGGATTGTCTTCGGCCAACCGTGTGTCTAGCTAGAACTCTATTACTGGAAAGGCAAGAGCTCCTTTGGGGGAAATCAAGCTACCAAAATGTGTATTTGTTGTTTTCCTGTAATGAAAAGTGGCAATTACATCTGCCATTATTTCAGAAGGACAGATGGACTTTACTAGTAAAGCAGCTGGGATGTCCTAGCTGACCCGCTAATGGAGTTAAAAATGGCTTTGTAAGGAACTCTTTGTACCAATTGGTTCCCAAACTGTCTTGTGAAGAAACGGAGAAAAAAAGAAGTTTTATATACAGGTATCTGGAAATGGGGGTAGGAAACAAAGAGGTTGGGGAGGCATTGATTTCTTCCAGCTGGCCTGAGTTACTCCCATTGAAAACAATTGAGAGCAGGGTTAGGAGCAGAAGCTGAAGGAGCTATGTCAATGAACAATTAAACTAGTAGTGATGAGAACAATGGAGACGAAAATAATAATATCCATATCATTTGTTGAGTGCTTACTAACTTCTGGCACTCTGCTCAGTCACTGGTATAACAATACAGTATTCCATTTAATGCTAACAATAATTTTATGAGGACAGAATTATCATTTCCATTATATTAAAGAAGGGAAAAAGTAAAAATTCAAGTTCAGAAAGGTTTTCTATGTTGCTAAAAATCAAAAAGATGCTAAGTAGCAGGGACAAATTTGAAATCTGGACCTAATTTTAGAGCCAAATTCGAAAACACCAAGTTATGTCTGACCCACCAGTAACAAAGTGCTGCTTGAAAGCTGGAGGAAGATTGCTTTCTTCCTATGCTTTTCAATACCTTTCTTTCTCCACCTCCCTTCCCTTCCTCCCACTCCCTTATCTCTTCCACCCCTGTAGGAGGACTAGTGTCCTCAGCCTTGGAGCTCTAGAGCTGACCACAGAGGATAGTGGTACTCAGGGTGGACTATTCTCAGAGAGGGACCCAGACCAGGGACTTGGTGAGGGGGTCTTTGAGGAAGAGGCCAGGGACAAAGAGGCCAGGGCTTATTTCTGAGTACACATGAGCTTTCCTCTTGAGACTTCCTGGAAGTACAGAAGACCTTAAGAAGGGCCCAATTCCTGGAAGATCTGGGTGCTAAGGTTGATGTGATTTCATTGGCCTTCCCATGCTGATGTGGCCCAGAACCATCTAGCTACACTGGTAACTGCCATAGACTATGCATTTGCCAAACTTTTCCCAAGTGCTTCTAGATCTGTAAGATGTAGGGACACGATGAGATGGTGCCTAAAATTCCTTTTAGCACGAACAAACCTATGAACCCATAATTTTTTTTTCAAATTCCAGCTGGAACTCAAATCGAGAGAGGAGGAGCAAATTGCAAATTCTTCTTCTTCTTTTTTCTTTTCTTTCTTTTTTTTTTTTTTTTTTTTTGAGATGGAGTTTTGATCTTGTTGCCGGTCTGGAGTACAATGGTCCGGTCTTGGCTTACTGGAACCTCCGCCTCCCAGGTTCACATGATTCTCCTGCCTCAGCCTCCCTAGTAGCTGGGATTACAGGCACCCACCACCATGCCCAGCTAATTTTTGTACTTTTTTTTAGTAGAGATGGGGTTTCACTATGTCAGTCAGGCTGGTCTTGAACTCCTGACCTCAGGCAATCCATCTGCCTCAGACTCCCAAAATGCTGGGATTACAAGCGTGAGCCACCGCGCCCAGCCGGAGCACATTCTTTTATGCTGATTATGATTCTCTGAAGAAGACCTCAAGGCCAATGTGACAAACGGGAGGGAAGAGCAAAAGGAGACTTGGCTCAGGGCTAAGCAATCATCTAGAAAGTTAGCATTTTGAGACACAACTTGACTAGAATGTTTTGCTTCTATTTATTTATCTAGAAAATCTTAACATGACCAAGGAAATCATGATTGTCACTGTTTTTCCTGGGCACCCTCCCTCCCCTGGCCTGGAGTCCCTAATTATGTGTAATTGGCTCAGGCTCCTGGGCCTCATAACTTCTTAAAGATGCATAAGAGGAAGTCATTCTCTTTCCTCAATGATGAGTATAGTGAGAATCCCCGTAAGTGATAAATAGATGAAGGAATTAATTTACATAATCCTCTTTCTATCTGTCCCTCTATCCATCCTTCCATCCATTTATTCAATAGTCGTTCATTTAGCACCTCCCATGAATCAAATACAGTATGCATACTGGAATTAGCATGTCCAGAAAAAGACATTTTCTGCCCTTGGGAATTTCAAAAAAATTCAAGAGAAGTGCTATGGCTTGAATATTTGTGTTTTCTCAAAATTTACTCATATGTTGAAATCCTAATACCCAAGGTGATGGTATTAGGAGGTAGGGCCTTTGGGATGTGATTAAGTCATGAGGGTGGAGTCTTCATGAATGGAACTAGTGCCCTTATAAAAGAGCCCTGAGAGAGATCCCTTGGCCCTTCCACCATGTGAGTATACAGAGAGAAGGTATGATCCATGGATCAGGAAACCAGCCTTCCCTAGACATGGAATCTGCTGGCACCTTGATTTTGAACTTCCCAGACTCCAGAACTGTGAGAAATAAATTTCTGTTGTTTATAAGCTACACAGTTTATGGTATTTTGTTACAGCAGCCTAAACAGAACAAGACAGTAAGTGGCAAAGAGATAGCAATGTGTTAACTGTTTTGATTGAAATTGAATGGTAAACCAAGTTGTATGCATCACAGAACAGGAGTAAAAAGACAAGCCTAAGAAGGGTCTTTGCTTTCTTCCTTTTTTTTTAGAGTCAGAGTCTTGCTCTGTTGCCCAGGTTGGAGTGCAGTAATACCGTCATGGCTGACTTGCACCTCAAACTTCTGAGCTCAAGCAATCTTCCTGCCTCAGCTTCCCAAGTAGCTGGAACTACAACTGCAAGCCACTATGCTCAGTTGTTTTTTATTTTTTATTTTTATATTTGTTTATTTATTTATTTATTTTTGAGACGGAGTTTTGCTCTGTTACGCAGGCTGGAGTGCAGTGGCACAATCTCGGCTCACTGCAAGCTCTGCCTCCCGGGTTCATGCCATTCTCCTGCCTCAGCCTCCCGAGTAGCTGGGACGACAGGCACCCACCACTATGCCCAGCTAATGTTTTTGTATTTTTAGTAGAGACGGGGTTGTTTTTGTTTTTTTAGAGACAGGATCTTGCTATGTTTATCAGGCTGGTCTCAAACTCCAAGCCTCAAGTGATCTTCCTGAGTCAGTGCCATTATAGGCATGAGCTACTATGTCTGGCTCCAGGTCTTAAAGTGTGAGTATGAATTCCTGGGGGATTAAGAGGAAAGGCATTCCTGGAAGCAGATATATAGGATGGTATGGGGAAAGGTTTGCATGACACACTTAGGCAATAGGAAGCAGTTTTACATGATTCAGCACACAAGATATTAATGAAGATAAAGAAAAAGATTGGTTGATTTTACAGAGACGTTGGTGTAATATGCTAAGAAAGCTCATATTATCATGAGGATAATAGAACTGCTGAAACAGTTCAGGTGGAAGAAAACTTATTCCTTAAGAGAATTATGAAAAATAAGGTATTCTTAAATTGGCAATCCATTTGTGACCCCTAGTGCCAATGGTGGCTTCTAACATCTATTCCCATTTCACAGTGTCTTGCTGTGCATTGATTCTCATCCTTAAGTTCTCATCATCCCCAGTATCACCTGGGAACAGTTAAAAACCTTAATGACCCAAATCTACTCCATTCCAGTGAATTCAAAATTTCTAGAACTGAGACCTAGACATCAAAAATATCTTAAAGCTTCCAGGTTATACCAACTACAGCCAAAGTTGAGAACTGCTAACCTAGTGGTGTGCTGGCAAGAAGAGCATGAGACCACTCTAGTGTATACCCTGCTAAGTCTCAGCTCTCCTATGCCATCCTTTAGGATATACACTGAATCCCTTTTCTGTCAGGTTTCAGTCTATATTTCTAAAAAAGGACTTCCTTGAGAATGGTATTGGAGTTCACTTCCTCAAATAGATCAGAATTTATTGTTGGAGGCAGAAAAATTAGCTAAGTGTTACAATACTGTAAGATAGTTACTCTGGTGTTAGTCTTTGCACAGATTGCTGTGGAAGAGACACTTACATTCAGAGAGGCAAGGGGAGGTGAAGTGTGTAGGAAGAGAAGCACTGAGGCAGAGTACAGGGTCCCAGGGATGAAGGACAAGAGGATTATTTTAGGTGGCGGGATCAGAATGTGTAAGGCACAAAGGCATCAAAGAACATGGCAAAGACTCAGGGTTCTCCCGGCACTTTGTTCATAGTATTTGTAGTATAGTCCCCACATTGTTGTGTCCAGTTCATTGTATACAGATTTAGTACTATTTCTATCCTATGAGGACTTTGAGGGTACATATGCCCAGAACACAGACAGCATGGCAGCATGGTCCTTGCTATATAATAGCCTCTCATGAATTAACCTGTTTTGCAGGGGGGAAACAAAGAAAGATTTAATACAGAATTCAGTCAGACAGAAGGTTGGAAATAACTAGCTTGAATATCATGAACTGACTTAAAGATTAAAAAAAAGGAACATAAATATTCATGGGAAAAAGATGAATTGAAACCAGAAGTTTCTCATGAATGTCATACCAGCTTAAATGTCTGAGTAGTGTCCAAATGAAATGCAGTGACTTCCTTTTGGTCAACATCCTAATCAATATGATCAGGTCTCTCAAATTGTATCCCATACTTCGAAGTCACACTTTGATTCATAGGGAATTTCCATTCTTCCTTACAGCTGTTGAGAGGGGAGTTCTAACAAGAGGAAGTAGCTCTGTGCACCTTCCTCACTTCCTTCCTGGCTGTGTCATTCCTGGGTCTGGGTCACCAGCTGCATCCAGGAGTCCCAGAGGGTGTCGTGAATGTTACTCACAGTGTAAATGGATCTAGAACACAACTTACTTAGAGCCATATCTTCTAGTTTTGATTTGTGTTAGAAGTGATCACAAAGTCGTTTAAACTTAAATGACACTGTCGAAACTGACATCAGTGAAAAGTATTTATTATAAACGTGTTCATTGTATATCTTAATTTCAAGGCTCTTACCGTTTTCTGTGCTTAAGTATTCTCTAATGAGAATCTTTACAAAAATTATTAAGGTGGGAAGCAAGTGGTATTATTCGCATTTAGATAGATAAACGGTGACAAAGATGCTTTCTTAAAAAGTTTTTAAACAAATATTGAGTCACAGGTAGGACTTGTTTAAACAAGTGAAAGCATTTCCAATAAGTACACATTGAAAAAAACGGACACATGGGTTGCATGAAATAACAGCTTCATGTGATCATCTCAGGGAGTTTTCCTAAGCATGCTGATTGGATTGGGTTAGTATTCGGTCAATGGCTTTTCCATACTTTTAAAGTTTGCCATCATTACTTCAAGAAAGTGAGTCTTGTCACTATCATTAAATACTTATTTGGAGCTCTGTAGCTATTTATTTCACTTCTTGTTTGAGCTTTAACACTGTGAAGATCTCAGATATTTTCCATTCATTATTCATATGAGGTTCATTGGATATATTCATCCATTTCTTTATTTTCTCTGCATCTGATATGGTTTGGTTTTGTCCCCACCCAAATCTCATATTAAATTCCCACGTGTTGTGGTGGGTCGGGGGGACCTGGTGGGAGGTCTTTCCCATGCTGTTCTCATGATAGTAAATAAGTCTCACGAGATCCGATGGTTTTATAAGAGGAAGTTTCCCTGCCCAAGCATTTTTTTTTTTTTGCCTGTGCCATCCATATGAGACATGCCTATCACCTTCCACCATGATTGTGAGGCTTCCCCAGCCAAGTGGAACTGTAAGTCCACTAAACCTCTTTCTTTTGTAAATTGCCCAGTCTCAGATATGTCTTTATCAGCAGCAAAACGGACTAATACAGCATCCTCTACCATTTTCAGCAAACTCCTTTTTATTCTGTAGTACTTTATATCTCTGATTTAAATCACATTTGCTGTTCTTGAATTCCTGTTTGAGCAAAACAAATAAACAAACATAAATGGCGTAGAATTAGTTGAAGAAATTGCCTTAAGGTAAGGCTCCAAATCTGACTATTTTAAAATATCTTAGGTTTATCTCTTTTAGATATGCCAATCTCAGGGCAGAGGTAGGTGAGGAAAGAGCTTATATGACTGCCCCTTCTCTGAGATTCAAAAAACGAGAAAATAAATTCTGTTGTTCAATTCTAAGACAAGTGGAAAAGATCAAAGACTTTATTACAGTTTTTTTATTTTTATTGAGCAGATTCACTTGGAACTTTGGCTTGCATGTGGAATGTTTACCTTTTAATAAGTGATCTGTTTAAATGTGGATCAGAGAACAAGGGTTTCTGTTTTACAGTTCAACTTTTGACCTTGGGGGATGAATGGGTGGAGGCTAAGAGGAAAAGTCCACTGTGTTTCTGCTGAACTTTTTACCCTTAAGAAAAAAATGAGCAAGTTTAAAGTTCACACAGTGCACAAGAGGTCTCCGCTGGGGATTTCTCGTATTATTAACTTCCTGACCTCAGATAATTAAAAAGGAAGAGCAGAGCCACCTCAGACTGTGACTCAACTTTGAACTTTTAACCTCCCAAGTAAAGTATTTAAATTGTAAATGGTAGACCCTGGAAGCTTTCTTATTGCTATTAAATTCCTTCATCCTTGGTCACAAAGTTATAATCTAGGCCAAAAGCATAGCCTGATCTTTCCTTTTTATTTACTTAACCTCTTTTAACAGAAAGGACTGAGAACACTATTTACCTAGAAATGACAGGTATTCTGGTGAAAGAAGTTAAGCTTAAAGGGTCACTGAATTTTGGAGCTGGAAGCAACCATAGATTATCTGTCCACTTCCCTCAGTGTGGAAAGAGAATACTGAGAACCAATTGGTTGAGTGACTTCCTTAAGGTCAGATAGTTAACAGGAGAACAAAAGAGCATCTCTAATTCATTAGCTGTATTTGTTTCAGTAGAAGAAGGATTAAAGCACGATTGGGGTTAAGGAATATTTCCCTATATTGCATAAGGGTCTAGAGGATCTGTGGCTTCTTTTTCTTTTTTTACATTAAAATTCATGAAGTAAAAAAAATCACTAGATAGGGATCAGGAGATCTGGGTCCTAAGTAGTGGCCCCTTCGCCCTTATTTATTGTGGAACCTTAGGAACTCATTTAACTTTTCCAAGCTGTGATTTGCTTTGTTGTAAAATGAAATACAGTTGGGAGGAGGTAATAAGCATCTGAGACCCCTTTCTGTTATAACGTATTTTGGTTCAATGGTATTCTTGCCTTAAGAATTCTCACTGCAATTTATGTTTAAACCTGAGCAGATATACAATTATAGGCAACATCTGTTTTTTTTTCTTTTTTTTTTTTTTAATACAAGATAAGGCTAGATGGCTGTGGTTTTAGGGTAATTGGTTATATCATGCTGAGCTTGACATCGATGGTAAGGTTCTCCTTATGTTAAAACAAAAATCCCAAAGGAAGCTGGGAATATAATGTAAGGAGGAGTGAGGGACAGAAAAAGGAAGAACAAAAGAAGCCAGACAAAGAAGAAGGAAGAAGAAGGGATGATCAGGAGAAAAGGCATCAGAAAGGAGGGTGACGGGGATGGTGGCCCCTCAGTTGGATAGGGACTCAGTCAAAGCTTGTCATACTGACAAAGCCAATGAGGACATTGTGAATCTGCCAGAGTCACATGCTGTTAATACCAAGGCTTGGATAGGCAGCTCCCACTGGCACTGGTACAACACACAGCATGCGGGACAGCCAGTGATCGGTGGGGCCCACTCTTCCCTCCTGCTGTTTGCTAACACCTTTATTGCCTCCAGTTAGTTACTCACACCACTCTCATTCCCATCTGTCGAGGAGCGTTCCCTTCCAACATTCTGTCCTCCTTCTCATATACGAGAAAAAGACCCTCCCAGTGTGACTGCAAACTGCAGAATGATACTGAGCTCTGAAATCAGGCAAGTTTGGAGTGGGGTTAGCAGTGATTTTCTTGTTTCCTAGTCCTAAGGAGTAAGCAGGTTGGAACTACAGGATGCTACTCGGGACCCTTCTGCAGACACAGCTGGAGGAAAAGGAGAGCGAGATGGCTGTCTGGCTGGAGGCCTGTTTGCACTGCCCTGGAGGCAGGACATCCCATTCATGGTCACTGCCTGTTGAAAGTGCCAAACAGCTGTATTCAGCTTCCAACACATTACAGATGTGAACCCACCCATGTCCTCAACCACTCTCAGTGGCTTTCAACTACTTTGCTTCTGCTTTACAATCTCCTCTGCCTGCTCTTCCTTGTCTGAGAGTCAGTCAAGACAAGGGATTACTGTTTGAGCAAGGGACTGCACTTATATGAATGTCTGATTAGGCAACCGAAGTTGCAGACCAGTGGGCTGTAAATAACTGGTAATTGGGGTTTTTGGTGGACAAAATTACCTAGTTATTTTCTCTGCCCGCTAAGTTCTATTCATTCACTAAATTCCTCCCACATTTTCTACTCTTGAGTACATTCTTTCCGGTGTGGATGTACAAAAATGTTAACCTCCAGAGCCCCTGAAGAGGGAGGTCAGAGGTCACCAAGCAGAGCGTGACTGTCATCATGAAACACGTCATACTGTCCCAATGCCACTTACCTGCATCAACATCTACAAAGGAAATAAAGCGCTGAGTTTTGTCTGCCAGTGAGCCCTGCAATGAAAAACATCACAATGCAAATATGTTGCACTTATGAAATTAAAAAAAGTCATAAGGTTTATGTTGCTCTTCTCAGTGATGAACTAAAACAAATTCCAGGTGGCTCAATTCAGGGCAATAATGATGAATCTATTTTTTTTATTTACTTATTTTTCTTTTTAAAAATAATTTGTACCTCAAGGCAATGAAAGAACAGAAAGTTAAGTACAACTCAGAGAGCCAGTGCCAAATAATTCAGTATGTGAATTGTCTGCAGTGAGGACTTTCATTAAGTCAGGGCCAATAATCCCCCATGAAGGTGGGAGGATCAGAGTGCTGGGAAGGGACAGCCTAGTACCTTGCCCTGTTTCTGAACTGGCCCAGCCCCACCCAAGATAAGTGGAGGAGCAGTGTGCAGTAAGTAGCCTTTGCTGACTCTAACTAACTATACCCCCAAACTGGGATAAGGCCATAACCCCAACTCCACTGTGAAGCCAAGACCTCGCCTCCAGAAGCAGCCAACACTGATGAATTCTCTGCAGTTGCCTGTTTTCCCTGGCAATATTACCTCTTTTGGCATGAACATTTGAATTGATGGTAAAACTGAAAAAAAAAATTAGCAAAAATTACACCAGCAAAAAGCCCGTTTTCTCTGTTTCCATCTTCTATATATTTATGAAGTAGATCTCTATATATTTGTCTGGTATTGTTCCTTTGGTTTGATGCACCCAGCTGGCAAGAATAAGTCATCTTTGGGGCTTAAATTTAGTGGAGTATCCCTGCAAATGCCAGGAGCTCCAGAGCTCTTAATGGAGCTTTGGCAGCCAAAATAGCAACAATTGTATAGCAGGTACAATGGGAGTGGGAGGCTGGTTGTGCAAGGAGCTGTAGTCTTCTCCCTTCCTTGTCCCCAGCAGTCCTGAAAGTGAACTAGTGTCTCAATGAGGTGTTATTTTAGGTTACAACTTGTCACACCTAATGGAAATGACACTAACAAGCAGGCAGATGCCAGTTGGAAATTTGTTGGTATCTAGGGATGGCAATTGTTGGCTCATTTATTCATTCAATCAGTCATTCAAATAACATGTATCATGCCCATCAAAAAGATGTGCCAGTCTCTGGAAACAGGAAACTCTTGGTGATCCCTGAGATATAAAAAGATGAGTTAGGATTTATTGCTGCTAAATACCTGTTTATCCAGTACTGCTAGGCAGAGGGCATGCCCTTAAAAAGCTCTAATAATTTGTGAAATATTGCTTCATACTCTGAAGCTTTCATTTGAAAACCAGACTTGATTCTTCTTTGGGAGGTCCAAAGAGACTGGCCCACCTTATTCCTAAGGGGAAAATTTGTATACCCTATAAATTTACAGTAGCTGTATGTATGGGCCTCCCTTTTGTTTCCCCTTGACCACATCAAGTTGAAGGGAGTACAGCTGGGCCCAAATTTTACTAACTTGTGTATGAATGTCTACTGAATGCAAGATATCATATAGAATAAACGATAAACACAGCCTTCCTTGACCTAAACAGAGAAAAACCTTTTCATCTATAATTGTAATATCAGGGTAATTCTGGTAAGGACTATAGGAGAAAACAGACAGTTTATGGTAAGTTATAAGACTCTGAGAAGGAAAGATTATTCATGTACAAAAAAGATAGATATAAACCTACACTGAAAATTACATAGATAAAAAAACACACATGTGCATTATAAATGCTGAAATCCAGCTGAAACAAGAATATTAAAAATTGAGCAAGGGAAATGGATTAAGCTAATGTGATGAATAATAATTCATTAGGCTCTTGGAAATGGTAGTGTTTGTATTTTTTTTTCATTAAAGATTCCAGGAAGCCAAAGACTTCTGGGTAATGTTCAAATCATTGGGAATTGATCTGACATTTAATGGCAAAAAGTTGAATGTCTAATGCCAAAACAAGGTCAATGGGTCAGGAGACCTCCATTACCTAACCTGGCTGACCTCTTTA
Organism: Homo sapiens; assembly: GCF_000001405.40. Classification (NCBI taxonomy): domain Eukaryota; kingdom Metazoa; phylum Chordata; class Mammalia; order Primates; family Hominidae; genus Homo; species Homo sapiens. The sequence goes on along the minus strand of NC_000021.9, from coordinate 14,873,773 downwards.
CATGACATATCAGAGTATTGATCAGGGTTGTGAGACAGGATTGGGCAGAGAGTTCCCTACCCCTCTTTCACTATTCTTAAAAAATTGGGTCTAGACAGCTTATTGTAGCCTGCTATGATCTGTATTTCTGTCTGATCTCAGTGAAAGGGTCTTGCTCTGTCTCTTGTCTTCCTACTTTTATTTGGCTGTACTCCTTAGACAAAAGTCTTCTTAGCATTCTGTATCAAGAGTTTAGTCATTGAAGGTCTAAACATACTCCAGGCTTTCCTCCTAGGTTTTGCCTTCAAACTTCATTGATCTTCAAACTTCAGTGATGCTACCAGAATGGTAGTCAGTTTTGATGTTTTTGAGCCATGGCTCTGAATGGTCAAATGAAATTTTCTGTCTATATTGCTAACTCTGCCTTTATTTTAGAGACCCATTATTAAAAAAGGGGTGCCAGCTTAACTAGGACATATGTTCTATTCTTACTTATGAATATTGTCTGTTTGCACTCTATCTGAGGGCTGATTGCCTTCTCAGTTTCCCTGTTAGTCATTATCTTTTATTTGATTATGGAAATGTTGGGCACTGGCTTCATAGGCCTAAACTAAATCCTTCTTATATTTAGCAGTGAAAGACTCCTTCAATTTGGTTTCTAACACTATGCAACTACATAATGATTTTAGCCTTTCCAAATGGTGTGTGTGTGTATAATATATATTTAATACATTTCTATATATAATATATATTTATATATAAAAACAAAAATTATATTTAATATATATTTCTTTTTTCTTGTTTTTTTTTTTTGAGATGGAGTCTAGCTCTGTCACCAGGCTGGAGTGCAGTGGCACAACCTTGGCTCACTGCAACCTCTGCCTCCCGGGTTCAAGCGATTCTCCTGCCTCAGCCTCCAAAGTAGCTGGGATTACAGGCGCCCATGATCACATCCAGCTAATTTTTGTATTTTTAGTAGAGACAGGGTTTCACCATTTTGGCCAAGAAGGTCTTGATCTCCTGACCTTGTGATCCTCCCACCTCAGCATCTCAAAGTGCTGGGATTACAGGCGTGAGCCACCGTGCTCGGCCTATTTAATGTATATTTCTATATCTATTATATATATCTACATCACAGATATATAATGTATGAAATTTCTATATCATAAACATAAAACATATATTAAATTATAGAAATATTAAATGTATTCTGATATATTATAGATATATTATGTAGAAACATATTGTTTATATATAAGAAATATATATTTAATATATTTTAAAATATTACATATAGAAATATAATTTATATAATATATAAATATATCTAAATATATAATAATTAGATATATTTAATATATATTTCTAGATACATTATAGATATATTATATCAAGAAATATATATTAAATATATATAATACATTTCTGATATATTTATATAATATATATCGTATATATTTCTTATCCTACCTCTGTGAAACAGAAATATATAATAGGTCATAGGAGTACCCTAATACTTCATTAGGCTTTTATAATGCGTTCCCATTGGAAATGGCTAATGTAAGCTCTTGGAATAGTTTGTTCTGCAAAGAACCCAGGACAACTGATTATTGGACCTATATTTTATCTTTATGTTCTTACTAAGACTATAACAGTGCTTAAAGGGTGTGGTAGTGATCTGTGCCCTACTTATTCCACAGTAAGGTAGAATCACAACTGGGACACAGCTGCCTAGCCACAGACTGTTTTCCTGCTCCCTCTGCAGTTAGGTGTGGCCATGAGACTAAATAAGCTCCAGTGAAATGTGAGCAAAAGTGATGTCCGTCATTCACACCTTTCTTTGAAAGTTCACATGCTCTCTCCTATAGCTCTTTTTTCCTTCCCATGGACTGAAATAGTGATGACGAGAGAGACCTTAGAAGCCACGTATTGAAGATGGCAGCACTAACCTCATTCTAGGTTGGGTTCCCAAGTAGAGCACAGCCTCCCCCAAATCCCAACTCCCCAGCATCCCAAAACACACACACACACACACACACACACACACACACACTGACCTGAACCTCCAGCTTAGACTGTTACTTTAGAGACAAATCTGCTTCTATTTTATCTGAGCCATTACATTTTGGGGAATATTTACTTTAGTAGTTTAGCCTACCTAATTAATATAAATGGCTACTTGATTTTACTAGAAAAAACTGCAAGAGCATTCAAGCCAGGGTTGGTGATGAGACTGAAAATTAGCCTTGTTCATGAGATATTTGAAGGGGAGAGGAATTGTTAGAATGGGAAAATAATGAAAGAGAAGTAGGTCAAGGGTGGAGAAAACAGTATGGAGATAGGAGTTGTACCACAGAGAGATGTTCACACTTCTCATACATAAAAGTGAAATGAAAGCATTAAAAAATAGAACCAGACATTTGCACCCACCTTTTTTCAAATGTAGAGACTTTATGGAGTATTCTGAACTGATAGGATATCGCCAGGTAATGAATTCTACATTCTTTGTGTTTGATTCAAGGTAAAGAACAGTTTTGTTCACTATAGTGAATCAAACACTAAATTAATAAGAGTTCAAAGATAAGCACTGGAGAACAGTTACCCTCTACACGTATTGCAGAAAGTAACCTCCGTATTTTCTTAAGCCTTTTCCAATCAAATTGTGTCTTTTCTCTTTAATGCTTGTCACTTAGATCTTTATCTCAGTAGGTCATCTCAAAAGTCTTGCATGCTAGAATCCAGAGAAATATAGAGATAAGCATCACCAACATTTATTGATGAAACAACTACTTAATAACCTCCAGAGGTGCTCACGCATACACAGCACATGAAAATAGTCCAGATAGAAAGTTTAAAGGGATTTCACAGTAGAAACCATGGAGATAGTGTGTGCAGTAACCCGTAGTCATTGCTGCCCTCATAGTATCTGATCTGAACCTGGCATAGCTTCAGAAAAAGCCAGGTGTTCAGGCTAAAATGAGAATGAGAAAAAAGGAGAAAGTTGCTTTCTTCTTATGTGAAAAATAGGGAATGAACATTTTATAGTTTGGTAGTAGAACCAGTTGTACGAGTTCTGCACTCGCCCATAGGGCTTAGCCTGAAGGGAGAAAAATATTTGTATTCAAAAATCACTTTAAGACTTATGGGAAGATATCTAAAGTTGGTGTATAGAATAAAGAACTGAGATTACAGTTGTATATCTGATTTGTTGGGACCACGTTTGAAACTTGAACTACTATATTTTAAAAGTTTTTTTTTTGAGTGACAATTTCCAGTTCTGTTTTTGGCATGAGGAAGTGATACAAGAAAGCTTCCTACTCTTGCACTTCTTTGTGTGTTCCCTTATTATTAAGTTTTGCTATTAAGTATTCATTTACAGTGTTCTGCCAGATAATTTATTTTAGATGTCGAGACAAGATCATTTGTTTATTGGATCCAGGTATTCTGCTATTCTTGGTTTGAAGAGGAAGTAGCTTTAAGTAAGAAATTCCCACACATTATTAATATGTATGCCCCTCTAGGTGAGTATGTATGTGTAGGAGAGAGACAGACCCACAGCTAGAGGCAGAGAATGGGACACAGAAAAAGGAGACAAAGAAACCATGGTGTCTCAGGTAATAAAATTACTTGCAAAGTTATTGAATAATGATATTGCATTTGCACATTGTACATTCCCTTTTCTTTCAAGTTTCAGTATCTCTCAACAGTCTAGGTGCTGTATGGCTGCTATTGCAGATGGAACTGGGGGAAACAGAGCAAGAGACAGATGAGGAAAAAAGAAATTATATGTATGTTTGCACGTAGAGTTCATCTCCTTTATTCCTCTCTCCTAGTTCAGTTAGTTGGAAGGATTCTGGTACTGTTTCTTTCATTTAACAACTTATCTGCTTTGACAAAGACAAATCAACTTCGACTTTTTGTGGCCCTTAGGGAAAATATTCTATATCTAGTGGTGAAATGGATTGATTTGATTAAAGCCACTGTGCAATCTCTGCTGAAGAAAGAAAATTATATTTTCCTTCACTGAAGATTGAAGAAGAGAAAACATCTGAATAAATATTTTGTTATATTTGATTTTAAAGAATGCATATGGAGAGGGTATAGAGATTGCCTTTAAACTTCAAGTTTGGAAATAAATACATATACATACATGTTACATATTTATGGTGGGAAATATGAGTAAAGTTAAAAGGACTTAATAACTGAGTGCTTTTATCAACAAATTAAAGTTTTCATTACACTTAATCAAATTTTTGTGAACTGCAGCAAAGTGTTTTTTTTCACCCCTACCCTCCCTCCCTCTCTGTCCCTCCCTCCCTTCCTTCATTTCTTCCTTTCTTTTCCTTCCTTCTTTTGAGGAGCTAAAATAAGTTTTTTTTTTCCTTAGCATTTTATCTTAAAAGTCTGGCTATGTAGTGACAGCTGGCTTAAAAAGATACCCTCACATCCTCTTCCACAAGAACCTCTCTGATATTTCAAGTCAATCCTGTGCAGAAGTTTTGAAGTTCTAAAACAATCACAAAGTTTTATTGTTTCTCAAGATTCTCCAGGACTATGAGAACTTAGGTATTCAAGAAAGGCATTTGAAAGGAACAAGAAGTACAAGTATTAGCTTTGTTCCATTCAAGTTAGGGTAGCTGCATTGCTACTATTTTCTTCCCGGTAAAACATGCTTCTCTACGTTTTTTCCTATCCCCTAGTCCCCAGCATTGTGGACTGCGAAATTATGTGACCATCCTATCCACAAGCAGTGCAGATTTTTGTTAAGAAAACAGAGGAACATGTCATTGACTTCTTATTAACGAAAGGAGGCCGTTGTCAAAATAAGAGACAATCTGAGAAAGAAGGGGAAATTCAGCCTGTTGCCACATCACTCAAGGCACGGCTGTACTTGGCATAAAAATTAAAGGGAAATGAGTTGAAAATGAAGACTTGTTACATTCTCTTTTGTAGTCAATTCTTCTTTCAGCCTCTCCCAGGAAGGAGAATGTGTTTTTTCCAAACAAGGAGCAGCAGGGGTTATCTTTTTTTGGACAAGCTAAAATCTGTCTCCTTGTCAAAGGAGACAGATCAGGTCAAAGAGGACTCTGCCTCCCAGAAACAGAGTGCAGAAGCTTAAATTCTGGTTCATGACAAGAACAAAGGGTTCTTGAGGAGGAAGCAAAATGCCGTCTCACTTGCTGGGCCACAAATTGCAGCACTGATTTAAAAATTATACACATGGCTTTTTTGAGCCATGCCAAAACCCTTTTCTCATTTTAGTGTCACTACTGGTTAGTTTGTTTGTTATGTGTGACATCTTTTTTTTTCCTCTAAGAACCATGAAACTATGCAAAGAATAGAAAGATCACAATATGGTCTTGTGGATGTCACTGCTTGAAAAGCAAAAATGCTAGTGAATTAACCATGGTTAGCAGGGATTAAGAAGAGTAAACAGTCTGAAGCAGAATGAATGTGATTGCAAGTGTTTTCAAAGGCCTTTCCTCCCCCAACTTTTTTTTTTTGAGAAGGAGTCTGGGTTTTGTCACCCAGGCTGGAGTGCAATGGCGTGATCTCAGCTCACTGCAACCTCTGCCTCCCGGATTCAAGTGATTCTCCTGCCTCAGCCTCCCGAGTAGCTGGGATTACAGGCACTTGCCACCACGCCTGGCTAATTTTTTTGGATTTTTAGTAGAGACGGGGTTTCACCATGTTGGCCAGGTTGGTCTCGAACTCCTGATCTCAGGTAATCAGCTCACCTCAGCCTCCAAAAGTGCTCGGATTACAGGCATAACCACCGTGCCTGGCCAACATTTTATTTAAAAAAAATCAAAGCTACAGAAATTGCAAGCATAGTAAAATAAGCAGTCATATGCCCTTCGTGTAGCTCTATGCTGATAGGATAGCCACTATCCACATGTGGTTAGCAGCCGCTTGAAAAGTGCTAGTCCAAATTGAAATGTGATATTCTACGTTTCTTTCTAAAATATAACCAATTCCTAATGTTTTCTGAAAAGTGAACATTTTATATGCTTCTAAACCAAGCATATAAAAATTGAATAAATATAAACCACATAAAATGATTCAAAAAATATACATATATAAAACATATATATTTGCATATAAAGACTAGACTCAGAGATATGTATCTGTGTTTAAAAGTTTAAAAGTTTAAAAGCCAACAGTCAGTAACTTTGAGACTTTACGGTTATGGATCTGTGGGTGTAGTCCTTATATGCAAATATGTGCTTTGTATATGTATCCATATATAAATCTTTGGTGCAGGTCTGATTATTTTCTTGGGATAATTCCTAAGGAGTAAAATTACTAGGTCAAAAGGAATTAACAATTCTTAAATACTTGATTCACATTGCTAAATAACTCTCCAGTAAAATTGTATCAAACCAAAGTCTCACATGATATTTGAGAGGGACAAGTTCATTTGCCAACACTAGTCATTATGCTTAAAAAACATCTTTCTCAATTTGTAAAGAAAGCTGCATCTGGTTTTATTTTGCAAGTGAGTATCAACTGTTTTGTATTCTTTTTCATTTGCTTTTTTGAGCACACTTTGGTGTGCTGCAGGAAAACACAGGAGGTTGACCCATGGAGACTTAGAGAGGTTCAAGATGTAGATATGAACTGGAGCAGCCCTCACATATTTGTGGTAGTTGATACTACAGGATGGCTTGAGGTATTTCAAGGAATATCAGGCTGGGCATGCTGGTGCATGCCTGTATCTCCAACACTTTGGTAGGCTGAGGCAGGATGATCCCTTGAGGCCAGGAGTTAGAGACAAGCCTGGGCAACAAAGCGAGACCTTATCTGTATGAAAAAATAAAAATTAGCTGGGTGTGGTGATGCACGCCTGTAGTTCTAGCTTCTTGGGCACCTGAGGGAAAATGATCACTTGAGCCCAGGAGATGGAGAGGCTGCAGTGAACCTATAACTGTGCCACTGCACTCCAGCCTGGGCAACACAGAGTTAAATCCTGTTGGAAAAAAAAAAGGAAATAGGAGATGAGAGGCAGTAAAGAATCCTGTGATCCTATGAAATCTGTAGCCAGGCTTCTGGAAAAATATGGTGTATGGAACCCTGTGGACAAGAGCATTTAAAAAATTGTGGTAAGTGCAGAATAAAGCCTTGGTCAGTAGTAACTATCAGTTTCCTAGGGCTGCCATAATGAAGCACCATAAACTGCCTAAAATCAAAGAAATTGATCACATCACAGTTCTGGAGGCTAGAAGTCTGAAATCAAGGCATCACCAGGGCCACAGTCTCTCTTACGTTTCTGAGAGATTCTTCCTTGCCCCCTTCTTAACCTCTGGTGGTTTCCTGGCAATCTGCGATGCTCCTTGGCTTGCAACTTCCTAATTCCAATCTCTGCCTTCATTGTCACAGTGTGTCCTCTCTGTGTATATGTTTTCAGATGGCCATCTTCTTAGAAGGATGCCAGTAATATTGGATCAGGGGCTAACTCTGCTCCAGTATGACCTCATTTCATCACTAATTACATCTGCCACAACTCTGTGTCCAAATAAGGTCACATTCTGAGATACTGAAGGTTAGGATTTCAACTTGTCTTTTTTGAGAGGGACTCAATTCAACTCATTACAATATCAAATGTTATACAAAGTATGATGGACACAGGGAAAAGGTCATTATATTTTGCATTTAGGAAATGATTGGTGACTTTTGGAAGAGCTGAGATCAAGGTAAAAGCCAAGTTCACAGCAGTTGATTAGTGGTGTGAAGTGGACAGTTAGCTGTGAAAGGCAGAGGGAAATAACTGAGGGTGGCACAAGAGTGAGAATATAAGACTTTCTGAGAATCAATAGGTGGTCATCAGTACATAAGGAAAGGGTCTTGAGTCAGCAAGGATGCCAATCTAATAAAGCAATATTGGAGTAAATGCCCTTATCACGCAAAATGACATTTTAGTGAATAGACTGCATATATGATGATGGTTCCATAAGATTATAATACCATATTTTTACCGTATCTTTTCTATGTTGAGATGCATAAATACTTTCCATTGTGTTACAGTCATCTACATACAGTAACATGCTGTACAGGTATGTAGTTTAGAAGCAGTAGGCTATACCATCTAGGTTTGTGTAAGTACACCATGATATTGATGTTCACATGATGAAATTGCCTACTGATGCATTTATCAGAACATATTCCCATCGTTAAGCAATACATGATTGTAGTTATTAAAATCCTACTAAATCAGGATGTATTTCCTATTAATATAAACTTATAAGCAATTTTAATCAATATTAAACACTAATACAGATATAGGTTTATTAGAGTCAATATATATGTTAATATAAGATTTTTGATGCTTTGCACTGTTTCCCAAGGTTCATAATATTATACAATTACTAAAGCTAGCAAGGTTATCATAAGACAAAGGGCATTTACAGTTTATAATCTATTTGTTTTTCTTTCAGAATCTAGAAAATAATTTTATTTGATTTTTCTGTAATTAAGTAAAATGCTGTTTTATTAAAATTTAATTTCCCCCCAAAACTTTCTAAAATCTGCAGATCTCTGAAAAGTTAATAATTTATCTGCCAAGCATACCTCCTGTATTTAAGTATTTATGAGCATGTGATAAATGTGTACTCTAAAACACAAACAGAATGTGTTTTCTTACGTATTAATGAATATTTTGATTAATTAAGCAGATATTAGAATTGCACATCACTTCAGGGTTGTTTGATTCAGAATAGCATCTGGTTTCAGTGATAACATGAATCATGAAAACTACTTATAAATGTGCTCTTGTGTTCTTCTCATAATCTCCTATGGAAAGTAAACAGGAACTGTTAAAAATGTACCTAGCACTTCTCAGGGGCTCCTGTTCTGGCTTGGTCCAACTCTGGTCATGCAGGCATTTTTCCTTTTAAGGACAATTAAGTCCTATCTTTGCAGGCCATAGTGTTACTCATGTTCGGGGAGGCCACAGAGCCGGGAAGAGGAGCCCTGAGCCCTGAGCAGGTTCAATGTCGCCCCCGTCAGGAGCACCGCTGCAATGGAAAGCTTCAGTTACCATCAAAGGGATGCAGTCAGGCCAGAGAGAGAACTGCTATTTTCAAATACAAATGAACAAAACTACAAAAATGACAGAGAAGTCTTTGTTCTCTGTCTAAATGTGAGCCCCAAACAAATCCTCCCTGATTTAATGTGAAGTTTCTGGCCTGACCCCGACACTCTCCCTGATGTGCCTTCTACACGTCTATGAGGCAGCACTGTCTGTAACAGTGTGTGTCAGGTGCAGGGACTTTTCCAGCTGTCTCATGACTGTTAGGCAACATTGCCTTTTCCTGGGACTTTCAGCTGGGCTGGCTATGGTCTTTTTAGATTTAGCTTTGGGAAGCTGCCCCCTGCTGGGCTTCGGTTGGTGTGAATGGCCTGGACTTAGGAAGGGGCACTGCTGTAGTTGGCCCTGAATGGACCCTGGACTTTGGAGCCTCCTGGATGACACAGTTGCTTACCCTCGTGTTATCAATCTGAAAAACCTCATCAAGTGATACATTTCCAATCTCCTGACTGTCCTGTGACTTATTTGATGGTATTAAGCAAAGCTCAGGTCAGAAGGATTGTCATAAAATTGTTGACTGGACTCTTTCTCAGGAAAAGTTTAGCATGTCCTGGCAACTTTTAGGCTCATACCACTAACTCTGAGAGGTCAAGGGTTTTATGTAGAATGGTAACCTTCTTAAAATTGAGGTTTTAATAAACAGAGCTACGCATAGCAGACTCATCCCTGGTCTTACAGAGAGGATGTCAAATGGCTGAACCATGTGCTTTCTCAAAGTCAGTGACAGCAGAGATGAGGAAGGGGTTGATGATGTAAGAGAGAGCTGGGACAAAGGCCAAGTCAATACCAAATGAGTTGTCATTCTCCCTATGCTTTTCATACACACCCAAGCGTTTCACTCGGGAGATACCAGAGCAAAAGGAAGATAAATGCTACATGTAGTTCGTTCTGATATAACTGTCACTAGCACATGGTGCACACGCTCCATGAGAACACTTCTGTTTCATTAATCATGCTCTTTTGAAAATGTGACTAAATGTAAGTGATGTCAATTTCCAGTGCTGCTTTTGCTTTATAAGTAGGCTTTGAGGATTTAACCATATTTGGTAGATGCTAATATTTCTGTGTTGGCCATGAGAAAGATTATTATAGTACACAATGTAGTAAAATATTTGTCTTATGTAAAGAGAGAAATAATCATTTTTATTTACATTCCTGTGCAACTCGGGTCAGTCTGCCCTAAGGAGTTTTATTTTCTAAAGAATAAGCCTAGGAAATGATTTCATCATAGATTCAAGTAACAGCGTGAAACAAACACAGCCTCGGGATTTTTGCTATGTGTAGTCCCCTTAATTTTCTAGAATAAGACAAAAGACTGTTGTAAATAATTTTGAATAAAACTCGGATTTGTTATTTAATTTTAAAGACCTCCCAGAGTTTGAGATAATCAAAACAAACTTATTTTGTGCTCAGATTAAGAGCAAAATAACAAAACTAATCTACTAGTGATAGACTTTTAAATGCAAATTTAAAACAAGATACATATCTTTCAAAGGATGATTTTCTTCTTGTCATAAAAGACAAATTACTGAAATGCCTTTAGAGATTTATATTTGTATATTGCATTTATAACAATGATAAATCTCAGTTAACAATAAAAGGTTAAATTATGTCTTAAATGTAGGAAAATATAGGAAAGGTAAGGATATTTTTATTTTTATTTTTTTTAAGGAGCAAATAGGGCAGAAATTAGAGTGGCCAGCAGGGGGCTTCTTTTAGGTTTCTTTCCCTTTCCCATAAATTAAAACCTAACCTAAAAATATAGTTTACTCTTTAGTTTTATAAATAAGGAATAAAGAGACAAACAATGGCTGCTAAATTTTCATTGCTTCCACTAGTTTAAACAAGACACGTTTTACTTCTCTTTAGTTAATTCCTCTCTCCTGCTTACTTCCCTTCCTACCACTATTTTTTCTCAAGACCTGTAAAGTGATCCCTGCAGTCTGGATTGGCCAGTGCTGCCTCTGCCTCCATCCTCAACCAAAGTTCTATCTTTGCAAACCTTCCAGGGAGGATTTTAATGATGAACTCCCCACCAAATAGAAATGAAAAGTAAATTAAGAGCAAAGAAGCATATTCTATATTGATGATTTAAATGGTAGTTATAAAAATCTAGTTGCACTCTGAACCTCCTTTTGAGAGGGACTTTCTGAAATCATGGGCTTGAGTGTAGTAGTATAATAGGCAGTGAATGGCCATGTAACATGACATTTTAAAAGAGTGCTGTGTTTTCCCAAGAATTTGAGAGTTTGTGAAAGACCTCCAGAACTAGTAGGCAGATTCTGACTCATTTTGTAATATAGCTCCAAATTATCTTTCTATCCTTTCTTACATGCATAAGAAGTGAATGTAAGAACCATAATTTTTACTTCCTTTTTGTGCCCATTTTATAAAGGTAGGCTCAAAACCTTAATGATAGAGCAGAGCAATTCACCAGAGAGTGAATTAGAGGCAAAATTGTGATAGTCTGTGTTATCCAAGTGAAATCTCAAGAGAAATTGAAACTGACATCATGTAACTTTTTAAAATAAGAATTAGGTCCTGACAGAAAAAAAAAAGTGGTATATCTATAACAATTTTTGAAGTTCCAAGTAAATAAAAAGCCAGGAATTCCAAGTTCAATATGTAAGACAAAAAATTATGTTAGGATTTTGTTTTAACATTGATATGGTTTGGCTGTGTCCCCATTCAAATCTCAACTTGAATTGTATCTCCCAGAATTCCCACATGTTGTGGGAGGGACCCAGGGGACGGTAATTGAATCATGGGAGCTGGTCTTTCCCGTGCTATCCATGATAGTGAATAAGCCTCACGAGATCTGATGGGTTTATCAGGGGTTTCCACTTTTGCTTCTTCCTCATTTTCTCTTGCTGCTGCCATGTAAGAAGTGCATTTCACCTCCTGCCATGATTCTGAGGCCTCCCCGGCCACATGGAGTTGTAAATTCAATTAAACCTCCTTTTCTTACCAGTCTTGGGTATGTCTTTATCAGCAGTGTGAAAATGGACTAATACAGTAAATTGGTACTGAGAGTGGGGTACTGCTGAGAAGATACCCAAAAATGTGGAAGCAACTTTGGAACTGGGTAACAGGCAGAGGTTGAAACAGTTTGGAGGGCTCAGAAGAAGACAGGAAAATGTGGGAAAGTTTGGAACTTCCTAGAGACTTGTTGAATGGCTTTGAACAAAAGCTTGATAGAGATATTGACAATAAGGTCCAGGCTGAGGCTGTCTCAGAGGAGGAGATGAGGAAGTTGTTGGGAACTGAAGCAAAGGTGACTCTTGTTATGTTTTAGCAAACAGACTGGTGGCATTTTGCCCCTCCCCTAGGGATTTGTGGAACTTTAAACTCAAGAACGATGATTTAGGGTATCTGATGGAAGAAATTTCTAAGCAGCAAAGCATTCAAGAGGTGACTTGGGTACTGTTAAAGGTATTCAGTTTTATAAGGGAAGTAGAGCATAAATGTTCAGAAAATTTGCAGCCTGACAATGTGATAGAAAAGAAAAACCCATTTTCTGGGGAGAAATTCAATCCAGCTGCAGAAATGTGCATAAGGAGCCAGGAGCCTAATGTTAATCCCCAAGATAATGAGGAAAATGTCTCCAGGTCATGTCGGAGACCTTCATGGCAGTCCCTCTCATCACAGGCCCAGAGGCCTAGGAGGAAAAAGTGATTCTGTAGGCCAGGCCAGGCCTAGGGTGCCCATGAGGTGTGCAACCTGGGGACTTGGTGTCCTGTTTTCCTACTGCTCCAGCCATGGTTGAAAAGGGGCCAATGTAGAGCTCGGGCTGTGGCTTCAGTGGTTGGAAGCCCCAAGCCTTGGCAGCTTCCATGTGGTGTTGAGCCTGCACGTGCACAGAAGTTAAAAATTGAGGTTTAGGAACCCTCACCTAGATTTCAGAAGATGTATGGAAATGCCTGGATGCCCAGGCAAAAGTTTGCTGCAGGAGTGGGGCCCTCATGGAGAACCTCTGCTAGAGCAGTGTGGAAGGAAAATGTGGGGTAGGAGCCCCCACACCGAGTCCTTACTAGGGCACAGCCCAGTGGAACTCTGGGAAAAGGACCACCATCCTTCAGACCCCAGAATGGTAGATTTACTGATGGCTTGCACCATGTGCCTAGAAAAGCAACAAACTCTAAACACCAGCCCATGAAAACAGCTGGGAGGAGGGGCTGTACCCTGCAAAGACACAGGAGCAGAGCTGCCCAACACCATGGGAATCCACCCCTTGCATCAGCATGACCTGGATGTGAGATCAGGAGTCAAAAAAAGTAACTTTTAAGCTTTAAAATCTGACTACCCTGCTGGATTTTGGACTAGCAGGGGCCCTGTAACCCGTTTGTTCTGGCCAATTTCTCTCACTTGGAATTGCTGTATTTACCCAATACCTGTACCCCCATTGTATCTAGGAAGTAACTAGCTTGCTTTTGATTTTACAGGCTCATAGATGGAAGGGATTTGCTTGTCTCAGATGAGACTTTGGACTGTGGACTTCTGGGTTAATGCTGAAATGAGTTAAGACTTTGGGGGACTGCTGGGAAGGCATGATTCGTTTTGAGATGTGAGGACGTGAGATTTGGAGGGGCCAGGGGCAGAATGATACAGAATGATATGGTCTGCCTGTGTCCCCACCCAAATCTCAACTTGAATTATATCTCCCAGAATTCCCACGTGTTGTGGGAGGGACCCACAGGGAGGTAATTGAATCATGGGGGCTGGTCTTTCCTGTGCTATTCTTGTGATAGTGAGTGAGTTTCACGAGATCTGACGGGTTTATCGGGGGTTTCCACTTTTGCTTCCTTCACATTTTCTCTTGCCACCACCGTGTAAGAGGTTCCTTTCACCTTCCACCATGATTCTGAGGCCTTCCCAGCCATGTGGAACTGTAAGTCCAATTAATCCTCTTTTTCTTCCCAGTCTCTGGTATGTCCTTATCAGCAGTGTGAAAATGGACTGATACAAATATAGAAAAAATGAAACTTTGATTGTTGGAATAATACAAACAGTGCAGCACAGACTGGCTTAGGGTCATGTTTCCCAAGCTGGAACAAATGGCAGTGGGATATGGGTTATTGAAACCACAGGATGAGCCTACAGCTTATTCCTCTTGTGCCAGTTTACATGTGGACTGGGAATAAAAGATTAGAAATTCCAAATGCCTTTATGCTATCTTAACAGGGTCACGTTATGACATAGAATATAAAATGATTTTTGTTATGGTCTGACATTTATGTCCAAATATGTTGAAATCCTCACCCCCAAGGTGATTGTATTAGAAGGTGGGGCCTTTGGGAAATGATTAGGTCTTGGGGGAGGAACCCTCACAAATGGGATTAGAGTTCTTCCAGAAGATGCCAGAGAGAGATTTCTTACCCCATCCACCGTGTGACTGCATAGCAAGATGTCATTGATGAGCCAGAAAGTGGGCCTACACTAGACAACAAATCTGTCAGTGCCTTGATCTTGGATTTCCCAGCCTTCAGAACTATGAGAAATAAATTTCTGTTGCTCATAAGCTACCCCATTTATGACATTTTGTTATAGCAGCCCATACAGACTAAGACAACTTTTAAAAGATGAGCCTTCAAGACATTTTGAATATGTAAAGGTCTGCTATAGCTTGACTCCTCTAGGGATATTAGTTAAATAAATGCTTCAACAGCCAAACTATGAGATTTCTTGTCTTGGCAGAGTGGTTGATTGATGTGACCTCTGATAAGTCAGTTAATTTTTCATGCATTAGTCAAATTGGTCATAGCTTTTAACTCAATTGAGGAATTATTAGAAAATTAGAATTATAGAGTTGAATACTGTATTACTTTAAATGATTTGTAAAGTATAAATGTATAAACATCACTGTAAGTGTGTTCGTTCAAAGTTTTAGAATCTACCTCAGAGGAAAAGAAGAGAGGGGTTGGAGGCAGAAATATCATGACCTACTGCAAAAACATAACTGTGATTTATATGTGCTTACATAGCTTTGTCCTTTACCATACCTTAGTTCTCAGGGTTATCCTTCAAAACAGGGAAGAAATGCATTTTTATTACTGGGTGATTTAACCAGTGGTCAAGAATATGACTTATAACCTTGAATTTTAAGACTGTCTATGGGCAGAATTTGAAGATGAAATTTAATAGGGTTCCTCTAGAGTCCTAAAAGAAGAAGTCAATAAGGGAAGAGGTCTTTTATCTAGTAGTGGTTTATAAAACAGTTCCTGGGCATGACATCACAGTGCAATGTACTTGGTTCAGATTACTCCTCATTATCTATCAGTACAACTACACCGAACAAAAGATGCCCTTCGATATTATAATGGGTCTCTGATGGGCATTAAAGGAAATGTGTAAAAATAAAACCCCTAATATTCTTTCTTTTTAAAAATACTATATTACTCCCCTTTTCTCCCCATTCATGTTTCTTTTGCTCTTACTCGAATGAGAATGAGAAGTGAAAATGAATGTATGTAATCAGGCATTCATCAAACATAGTTATCTGTTGTATTTTCCTTGTTTGGTTATTATATTTTGAAAAACTTTGACAGAAAAATGTTAAGAGAAAAATGCATGAAAAGTAGATCAGTCAGTTGTAAGGTACTCACTTTTAATTAAAATATATCTGATCTTTTTTCAAGTGTGGGCCTTTCATATCTAATTACACAAAGACTTATTGGCAGAGAAGAGGTAGTTGATTTTCTTTCTCTTATATTCCCTCCTCACTCACAGTATATTTTCCAGTATTTTGTGTTGGATGCCTCTTTTAAAAAACCTATACTCAAACAATTATCTGCAGAAAAGCAACTTTAAGATTATTGTAAGGTGATTATACTAATGGATCTAATTTTCCATGCCTCATGCCTTTCTATTTCATGCCCTTTGGTAGTGACCTCCCCATTCTTATTCTAAGTTGGCTACATGACGAGAACAATGGGATTTTAGTGGAACTGATGCAAGCAGAAGCCTGAAATGTGTTTCTGCATTTCTGCTTTCTTTTGTAGACTCCTGCC
This sequence comes from Homo sapiens, assembly GCF_000001405.40. Classification (NCBI taxonomy): domain Eukaryota; kingdom Metazoa; phylum Chordata; class Mammalia; order Primates; family Hominidae; genus Homo; species Homo sapiens. The sequence goes on along the minus strand of NC_000021.9, from coordinate 14,857,699 downwards.
CCTGCCACGAGAACACACCCTTTCCAGTTTGCTGGAGAAATATAAGAGAAGTCCAGTGAAAGAGAGCTGAGTTTCCCCAATGATGCCATCAAGATGAACTAACTACAGTTAACCAGCCAGCTGATAGCAGATGCATGAGTGAGCCCAGCTGAGAGCAGGTGAGCATGGCCCAGAGCAGCAGAGCTGCTGAGCCAGTCCCTGAGTTGAAACAAAATAATAAGTGGTTATCTTCATCCATTAAGCTTAATTTGTTGTACAGCAATAGTGTATCGATACAGGATCATTTGTTCCAGAATTCCCATATTAGAGATGAGAATACTGAGGCTGGGGATCTACATTTTCCCCAACTTAACAGAGCTACCAAACTCCCCAGATTTTAGAGTTGACAACTCTACTTATAAGTTATATAAAAGTCAGAGCACCTAATTATTGACAAACTTCTCAATCCTTACCAGCTAGTTCCAGATGATAATGTGTAAACAATATTTCCTGGAATTATTTTGATTAGTATTACACTTAAGGTTAAAGATTTTGTCAAGCCTAAGCATTACAGAAATTGTCATTCATGTGAAGTTATTCTCTTGTGCAATAGAAAAGCTTCATTTAGTGTGCTGAGTTTGTAGCTGCATTTGATGCTTAATGGGGTTAGCCCCGTGAAGCATATTGCAAGTGTCCTCTAGAGACTGGACTGGTTTCCAATTGATTTCAAGTTGCAGTTCAAATTGTTGTCTTTCACAAATAGCAACTACATTGTGTCAATTGACGACCTCGCAAAAACTACTGTAAATAAAATCTTAAACTTTGAAACTACAGTAAAGGTTACTCTGTAATGTACGTGAGACAAGCAATCATGAATTAGGAGGGTTTCCTTTCAATTATGAGTCAAGCTTCAGGATCCAAAATATAGAGCTTTTTACTGAATTATAGCTCATGGCATTGTATTTGGATTGAGAAGTGTAGAGATTCAGAATGATTTTCTCTTCTAATAGTTTGCTGTTTAATGGGAATTTTTTTATTAAGCATAAATCTCATTTTCTTTAAAATACTTTAATATCCTAGTATAGTAGATTTTTAACAGTCTAAAAGTTTTAAGCTTTTTTTATTTTGGTCTTGGAGATAGACAATAATTAACGCTCCTTAAATGCATTTTTCTTTCTTCTGATGATGACTTGCCTTTGAGGACCCGGTTCAAAACATACAGCACTGAACTGATCCACTCTGATTTTCATTTATTTATTAAGTATTTGCCTTTGTGCCAGTTTTGCAGTGTCATCAATTGGCTACAATAAATCTATATGTGCTCTGAAGAAAGTTGATTTCTTTAGTCTTCCTCTCCCAGACTGTTATTTTTTCTGTGTGATAAGCTTTAAAGGACTTAAAGGGATAAAATGTAAAGAAATTGTTTTGAGCAGAAAAGATATGCCTAATAGTTTAAAGATCTATGTTCTTCTGTTACCCAAATTCAAAACAACAATATGGCTATCGTTGTGATTATTATATTATTCTTAGGCATAAGTTATTGAGTCTTTCCATGAGAGAGCAATTCATCTTAACATAGTCTAAATCTAATAACAATATTCAAGTCTTTATTTCAGATCACTTTTCCCTCCTGATTATATATCTTTCTCCTCAAATGTTGATATTCATTAGGAAGAAGAGACCAAAGACATAGAGTTCTTTAATAAGAAAGTGATAAACTTCTGTTAGGTATAACTCACCTTACACAAAGGGTGGATTTCTGTAAACTAAGGTAGAAATTAGATTTTGTGTGTGTGAATGGAGAAATCTGTAAACACATTTTGGGGACATATTAATGTCTAGATTCTAGAGCAGCTCCCTTTAAAAATAAATATCTCTTACAAAATTTCATTCTTAAATATCAAAAAAATTGAATCTACATTTTATTATTGCCAAAACCATTTACTCCAACACTTTAATTTTCCTTTTTCTCACTATTCTTGAACCTATTAAAAGAGGAAAAAGCAAACATGTTGGAACAACATAAAAAATAAAGAAAAACAAAAACAAAAATCCCGAAGAAACAAAATGTCTAGTGTCTTAATTATATGCTGCTATGTAATAAATTACCCCAAACTAAATGACTTAAAACAGCATACTGAGTATCTCACAGTTTCTGTGGGCTGGGAATGTAGGTAAAACTTAATTGGATTTTCTGCTTAGGATCTTCCACAGGCTACAATCATTGTGACATCTGGGGCTGAGGTCTAATTTTAAGGATCAACTGTGGAAAGATCCACTTGCAAGCTCACTCACTTGGTTGTTGGCATAATTCAATTCCTTGCAGGCTCTTGGTCAGAGGGCCTCAGTTTCCTGCTGACTGTTGGCCAGAGGCTAACCTCAGTTTCTTGCCACCTGGCCACTTCTACATAGCAGTCTGCTTCATCAAAAACAGCAAGAGAGAGAGAATCTGCAAGGAAGAGGAAAGTCAGTCTTTTGCAACTTAAGGACTGAAATGACATCCCATCACTTTTGTTACATTCAATTCATTAGAAACAAGTCATTAAGTCCAGGGCATACTCAAGGGAAAGATATCACACAAGGGTATGAGATTATATAGGAGGCAGGGATCAATGGGGCCTGTCTTAGGAGTCCATGTATCATAGAGTGGTCAGTTGTTAATAGTTTAATATTGTCTCTCTTTTATGGAAATATTTAAAAAGATTTTGCTTATCTATCACATTTCATTACATATACTATGCCATTACAGCCAAATGTGAATATTGTAAGGTACATATGCAAAAAAATTACAAAAAATTTGCATGACATGGTTAAGCATCCTCTCTAGAGTACTCTAGCAGGGTTGGTGTCCAACTGTGTTGGGAGCTGTTTTCAGATTTTGCCCTACCTGTACTTTGCTGTCATCTATGAAAAGAAAAAGTGGGTTATATCTTTCCGCTGTTCTGAAGTATGCATCAAATATGATAAAGAAAGCAATAAAACTGAGAAATAAAGAGATGCAAGGCTCAGCATGATTTGTATTTGCAACTTTGGAGAAACAAATTTTTCAAATTCATTGATTGTGTATTGCATTGCAATAACTAGAGCTGTAGAAAGAGTTAATATTCTTTGCATGACATCTAAATGTGAAGAATTTCAGATACTGAGAATTCTCTGTAGTTAACAACATAGGCTCTGGTAACATAAGGAGCAGGTCATTTCAACACACACTGGCACACAAGAGCAGATCTGGAACTATGAAAGAGAGGAATCTAGACCCATCAGGTAAGAAACATTTCTTTCCACCTTTTCTCAAGATTTTCATGGACTCCCTAGTATGAGGCTAAGGTAGATATTAAAATGTCGAATTCAGTGCTGATTAAAATCCAGTTCTTCTTTCCCTTCAGGCTCATAGGAGGTTACACTTGTCAACTCTCTGTAGTTTGCAAGATTATATGACTTTCTGGCCAACTGATAATGAACAGAAGTGACATGTGTTACCATCTAGACTGAAGTATAGAAGAATGGGTCTGAGTTCTCCATATACTTTCTTCTTCCTGCTCTGGTGACCAGTGACTTTTCAAATAGTAGAATCTATGTCTACCTGAGTTCTTAAGTGACTATATAAGGAAAAGCCCTGCCACTGACCAGTGATGGACATGTGGCATGTCTAAAGTGGTAACTCTTTTTTATGTTAAGGACCTTTATCTTAGTTTCCTATTGTTACTATAACAAATTACCGTGAACTAAGTGGCTTAAAACAAAGCAAATTTATTATCTTATAGTTGTGGGATTGAGAAGTTCTAAAATCAAGATGTTGTCAAAGCTGTATAGTGCTACTAGATGCTCTTGGGGAGAATCTATTTCCTTGCTTTTTGCAACTTCTACAGGATACCAGTATTCCTTGGCTTGTGGCCCCTTCCTTCATCTTCAAAGCTAACAGCATAACATCTTCAAAGCTAACAGCATAACATCTTCAAATCTGTGTTTTCCTCTCCTTGTCTCCCTGTTTGCTACTTCTAATTTCACATTTTCTTCTCTCGCTCTGACCTTCTTGCCTCCATCTTATGAGGACCTGTGTGATTACTCGGACCCACCCAAATAATCCAGCATAGTTCCCCATTCCAACATTCTTAACTTAATCTGCAAAGTCCCTCTTGCTAAATAAGGTAACATAGTTACAGGTTCTTGAGATTAGGATATGGACACCATTGGAGACTATATTAAGCCATTCTGCATTGCTATAAAGGAATACTTGAGACTGGGTAATTTATAAAGAAAAGGGTTTTATTTGGTTCATGTTTCTGTAGGTTGTGCAAGCATGGCACGTGCATCTGTTTGGCTTGTGGTGAGGCCTCAGGAAGCTTACAGTCATGGTGGAAGGCAAAGAGGGAGCCAGTACATCACGTGAACTCGTAGAGTGAGAACTCATTCACTACCATGAAGACAACACCAAGCCATTCCTGAGGTATCAGCTCCCATGACCTGAACATCTCCCACTAGGCCCACCTCCAACACTGGGGGTCAAACTTCAACATGAAATTTGGAGGGGACAAACATCCACGTCATATCAGATATCATTATTTAACCTACCATATCCTTGGAATTAGGGGTTGATGTGTTACTGCAGCATAGTTTAATGTATGCTGAGGAATATGGAAGCCATAGTAAGTTAATACTAAAATCTCACTGGACATTAACTATAGAAGTATGCCCAAGGTAACTATTTAGTAGACATAATCAGCCTCAACTTTTTGTTGTCTTCATGAGGTTGCAAATTATAGAACTTGCTTATGAAAGTTAATACAAAATGCACAAAACTGAGAATTGTCTGTCACCCTCTGGTTTCTGGTTTCTAGGATTTCCAGGCAAGATAAACACCAAATGACACCAAAATATGATCTATTCCTATTTGGGTATTTATATATCACACATTACATGTGATGAAGTTACAACATAACTTAGGATATTAGGTATAAGATCTGAAACAAGTGAAAATATCTTTCTAAAGTATATCTAATGACAGCAATAATCACATTTTATTTATCAGATTGTTTTCTATCTGGACAAAAACACTTAATCTATTGATAATACCTTATGTGGCATTACATAGCATAATTACATAATGTAATTACATATGTTCAGCTGTATTATTTTATGTTCTACTAGGTGGAATCTTATGGAAGTTTTCATTTAAAAAAGCAATTATTTTTGTGTATATGTCTATATAAGACATAAGCAGATCAAGACAGACGATTAGGATATACGCAGCAAGACTACAATAAAATTTTGTGGGTTTCAGTATTATCTCACATATGAGAAGAAGCTAATGGGTATGGAGCTTGTGCTAATATTTTATTATTTCAACTCTAGAAGATCATGTACTCAACCACTGATTTATTCATGAATCTATCTATTTATCCTTTCAACATTCCTTCACTATCGACTAGGATGATACTGTAGTTCATCAATAAGAATATATAGGTTTTGGAGAGAGATTGACACCTAAATTTCAAACTCAGCTTCACCACTTACTAACTGTGTTGAGCTAGGTAAACACAGCCTCTCTGCCCCTTAGTCAGATGTAAGCATGATAATAATGTTTACAGTTAAGGATTATTGTGAAAATTAGTGATAATGTACATCAAACACTTGGTGTGCTGTAACCATTCAACAGATGATAATGGAGACTCTGGTTGTTATTTGCCAGAAATCAGGATGCGAAGATGGAAAACACATAACTCCTCCCTCTAAATAACTGAAGTGGAAGCAAATGACTACAGTGTAGATTAGAGTTACCAATAAGCTATGGATCAGAGAGAAGAGAATGATTTAGTTTTTGGGAGAGTCATAAAAGGTCTGCATGATAGATGACTTTTGAGATGGCTTAGAAGGAGTGAATTGGGTGTCTGAAAGAGGAGACATTTTAATTAGGAGCAATATGTGTAGTTATACGACATATTAAAGGAGAGAGAGAATAAAAGAAATCTTAAGTAATTTGGTTTATCTAGAGCACAAGGCTTTTCAAAACTCACTTTTCGGGTTTCTCAAAGAACTTAACACAGATCTACCATTGACCTGGCAATCCGATTTCCGGTATATACCCAAAGGAATATAACTCGCTCTAACAGAAAGACACATGCACCCATATGTTCATGCCAGCACTATTCACATTCGCAAAGACATGGGATTAACCTAGATGCCCATCAATAGTGGATTATGAAGAAAATGTGGTACATATACACAATGGAATACTATGCAACCACAAAAGAATATGAAATAATGTCCTTGCTGCAACGTGGATGAAGCTGGAGGCCATTATCCTAAGCAAATTAATGCAGAACAGCAGACCACATACCCCATGTTCTCACTTATAAGTGGGAACTAAACATTGAGCACACATGGATACAAAGATGAGAACAATAGACACTAGGGCCTACTTGAGGGTGGGAGGATGGTGAGGGTAAAAAAACTACCTATCAGGTACTATGCTCACTACCTGGGTGATGAAATCATTTGTATACCAAACTCCAATGACACACATTATACCCATGTAACAAACCTGCACATGTATCCCCTGAGCCTAAAATAAAAGATGAGAAAAAAAACTCTTCCCTTCCTCATCATTCTGTTCTTTCAAGAGTCCAGTGTGGCATCAGTGGGCCTAAGAATCAGAAAAGTCGTCCACTCATTCTCTAATGCCTCTGCTGTACTGAATATATATATCCTAAATACATAGCATCTACCACTTTTGTAACCTTTTTTGTTTGCTTTTCCTCTCTACTAGGTTGTAAATTTCACAAGTTTAGTGACCACCATTTATTCATCATTATATCTCTGCCATTTACAAGAACACATATTAAGTAATTATAATAAAGATTTCTTGAATGAATGAATAAATCGTGTGGCCATGGTAGAAGATTAGAAGAAGTCTGAGTGAATTAGCTAAGCAAAAGATTTTATTTTGTTCTTATGTTAGTAACAGAGAGACATATTCAAGGAGAAGATTGAGGAACCAAGAGAATAAAATTTACAGTATCATAACTGTCCAAGACATGAGCTCAGGGAGAGTGGTGGGGATTGAGGGGAAAAGACAGATTCCAGACATATTTATGACTTAGAATGAACAAATCTTGGGAATTGTTTGGTAATGAGCATAATTGAAATTACTGCTGGATGACAATATTTAAAGAAACATTCCATTTTGAACATGTGGAGCTTGAAGTTCCTGTGGAGTACCTATCAAGGAACAGCTGCAAATATTTTATAGGAAGACTGAAGAGTAGCTAGTGTTAGAGAGAAATTTAGGGACATAGGTGAGATTAAAACTGTGAGGATGGTTGAGATCACTCAAGGAAAGTATATGCAGACTGAGAAAAGGAAGGAATCAAGGAAAGAATTATGAAGAAAAGGAGAAAAATGAACTAGAAGAACAGATTAAGAAAGAAAAATCAGAAAGAGGAAAACTTGGAGGATTTTGTGTAATTGAAGCTAAGTGAGTTCCAGGAAGACAAGTATCACTAAACAAAAATAAAAATAAAGTTATATGAATTTTGAACCACATTTATTGAAAGGAGCAGCTAAGAAGCTTGTAGTAGCCTTAGTTGCCACATTTTTTGTAGTTGTAAAGGAGAAGCCAGTTTAAAATGAGTTCAGTGGCTGGGTGCGGTGGCTCATGCCTGTAATGTCAGCACTTTAGGAGGCCAAGGTAGTTGGATCATCTGAAGTTGGGAGTTCGAGACCAGCCCGACCAACATGGAGAAACCCTGTCTCTACTAAAAACACAAAATTATCCAGGCATGGTGGTGCATGCCTGTAATTCCAGCTACTCTGGAGGCTGAGGCAGGAGAATCGCTTGAAATGGGGAGGCAGAGGTTGCAGTGAGCCAAGATTGCGCCACTGGACTCCAGCCTGGGCAACAAGAGTGAAACTCCGTCCCAATAAAAGGAAAAAAAAGAGTTCATAGACAGTTGTTCAGAAAGGAGTGAATACAGAATCTTCTTTCTAGAATATTCTGACCTGAAAGATGAAGATAGGACAGTTATCAAAAGGTCAGGCAGGGTAAATGGGGATCATTTAAGTATGTGAGAGCCCCAACCATATTTTGGCCTGAGAGAGAAAGACACTGGAGAATAAGTGATTGAAAATACCAGACTAATATAGGATTATTCATGGAGCAAAGTTTATGAGGCAATTAGGCAGGATAAGTGGAGAAAATGGTGACAAAGCTCTGTGCTGCTCCATATGCTTGAAGGAGTAGAAAAGATAATTGTACAATCAACAGTGGTTATCAAGTGGTCGTAATATGCTAGCTCTGTCTGTAATTGTCTAGGGCGTTTATTTGGAGGCATGGCTCACTTTTTCAGCAAATATTTATTGAAGTTGTTCTATGTAGCTAGCACTGAGACAGGTTCTTTCACATTTACAGCATAATTCAATCTGAGGATAGGTATTTTTTTTAATTGTACTTTAAGTTCTGGGGTACATGTGCAGAACATGCAGGTTTGTTACATAGGTATACATGAGCTATGGTGTTTGCTGCATCCCAACCCATCATCTACATTAGGTATTTCTCCTAATGCTACCCCTCCCCTAGGCCCCCACCCCCTGACAGGCCCCGGTGTGTGATATTCCCCTCCCTGTGTCCATGTGTTCTCATTGTTCAACTCCCACTTGTGAGTGAGAACATGCAGTGTTTGGCTTTCTGTTCCTGTGTTAGTTTGCTGGGGATGATGGTTTCCAGTTTCATCCATGTCTCTGCAAAGGACATGAACTCATCCTTTTTTATGGCTGCATGGTATTCCATGGTATATATGTGCCACATTTTCTTTATCCAGTGTATCATTGATTGGCATTTTGGTTGGTTCCAAGTCTTTGCTATTGTGAATAGTGCTGCAGTAAACATACATGTGCATGTGTCTTTATAGTAGAATGTTTTATAATCCTTTGGGTATATACCCAGTAATGGGATTGCTGGGTCAAATTGTATTTCTGGCTCTAGATCCTTGAGGAATTGCCATACTGTCTTCCACAATGGTTGAACTAATTTACGCTTCCACCAACAGTGTAAAAGCATTCCTATTTCTCCACATCCTCTCCAGCATCTGTTGTTTCCTGACTTTTTTAATGATCGCCATTCTAACTGGTGTGAGATGGTATCTCATTGTGGTTTTGATTTGCATTTCTTTAATGACCAGTGAAAATGAGCTTTTTTTATATGTTTGTTGGCTGCATAAATATCTTCTTTTGAGAAGTGTCTGTTCATATCCTTCACCCACCTTTTGATGGGTTTTTTTTCCTTGTAAATTTGTATAAGCTCTTTGTAGATTCTGGATATTAGCCCTTTTTCAGATGGATAGATTGCAAAAAAATTCTCTCATTCTGTAGGTTGCCTGTTCACTCTGATGATAGTTTTTTTTGCTGTGCAGAAGCTCTTTATTTAATTAGATTCCATTTGTCAATTTTGGCTTTTGTTGCCATTGCTTTTGGTGTTTTAGTTATGAAGGCTTTGCCCATGCCTTATTTTATCCCAAAGAGAGGTTTAACTGTGAGTCAGGAAGGCCAATGTGGGCATAAACTTTGGGAGGAAAACACCTCAGAATTTATGCAAATTAATTAATCTTAGGGTGCTTCTTCTTGTCCTGTGGGTAGGCTGGCCCATAATTCAACCTTAGGAAATGACATATCCATGGTAATTTGTGCATTTGTAGGTGTCGTGGTGGTGGAGGGTTATGTGGAATGTTTATGTTTGTAGCCATAGGTCACAATAATTGCCTCTGCATTCCATATTTAGATATCACTTTGGAAGGCTGAGGTGTCAGTTTTATCAGCCTAGTGCTAGAAATACAATTCATACTGGCAAGGTCTATTATGAAACATAGATATCTATAATGAATGATGTATGTACCACAAAGATGAAGGCCAAGGCTTCTCATTGTTGGATCATAATTCTTCCCAAGGGGCCACAGTCATCTTCATATCAGATTTAGTTCGAGCATGAAATTTGAAAGTTCCAGTTTATACAGAAAATTTTGTAATGATCGTGTTGGAACAGTAGGAAACAATAAATTTTATCATTCTATCCTTTTGAAAGGAATTAAATACAGCCATTAGATAAGTATTCTATTTCCTAAATAGTTTTGGGTCACACAAGTTCTTCTGATTCCAACTCTTACTTTTTCAGTGGTCTATGTAGATAAGGAGTTGACTTTAGTTTACTGAGTTTTATTATGCCATATTTATTTATGTAATGTCTAGTCTATAGGCTTGTTTTAATACCAACTAAAGAATGCCATGTTTCTCTTGACCTTCTGCTCTTTCTACATTTTTCCTTTGTTCCACTTCTTTTTTGTCTTCAGCAGGCATCATTATCTATTTGCTCTCTTTAATTCTGCTGGTCCCCTGCCTTTTTTTTGAGAACTAAATGCTCAACCATTGTCTGGGAAGTAAAAGTTTCCTCTCCCTATTTAAGTTCAGTGGTTGGGACCCCCAGATTAACCTGACAAAAGACAGACTAGCAAGAGAAAACAAAATCAGAAAGTTGATTCATATGCATGTGGGAGCGCACAAAAGAAGTGGCTCACTAAATGGCTAAAGGTAGAGGTTTATGTACCTCGTTTAAAAAGAGAAGGAAGATAAAAAGACTTCTATGAGAAGAAAACATGAATTTCTTTAGGAAAGACAAATGGATTTTGGAGGAACATATGGGAAATACAGTTTATGATAATGTGTATGCAGGTGTGTAACAGTAGTTCATTTTCACACTGCTATAAAGAAATGTCCTAGACTAGGTAATTTATACAGGAAACAGTTTTAATTGACTCACAGTTCCACATGTCTGGGGAGGCCTTAGAGAACTTAAAATCATGGTGGGAGGCAAAGGGGAAGCAAGAACCTTCTTCAATTCTTCACATGGTGGCAGGAGAGAGAATGAAGAAGGAACTTCAAACACTTATGAAATCATCAGATCTTGTGAGAACTCACTCATTATTATGAGAATAGCATATCTCATGCCCCCATGATCCAATCAGCTCCCTTCTTGTTTAAAAGAGGAGCAGAGCATAAAAGATTAAAACATTTGCAGTCTGATGATGTGACAAAAAAGAAAAACTCATTTTCTAGGGAGAAAGTCAAGCCAGCTGCAGAAATTTGCATAAGTAACAAGGGGCCAAATGTGAATTGCCAAGGCAATGGGGAAAATGTCTCTGGGGCATGTCAGAAGACTTCATGGCAGCCCCTCCCATCACAGGCCCAGAGGCCTAAGAAGAATAAATGGTTTCCTGGGCCAGGCCCAGGGCCTTGCTTCTTTGTGCAGTCTTAGAACTTGGTGCTCTGTGTACTAGCCCTGGCTAAAAGGGACCAACATAGAGCTCAGGTCATTGCTTCAGAGGGTGCAAGCCCCAAGCCTTGGTGGCTTCCATGCAGAGTTGGGCCTGGGGGTGCACAGAAGTCAACTCTGCATGGAAGCCACCATTTGGAGGTTTGGGAACCCCCACCTATATTTTTCAGAGGATGCATGGAAACGTCTGGATGTCAAGGCAGAGGTGTGCCACAGGGGTGGAGCCCTTGTGGAGTACCTCTGCTAGCGCAGTGCAGAAGGGAAATGTGGGATGGGAGCTCCCACACAGAGTCCCCATGGGGGCACTGCCTAGTGGAACTGTGAGAAGACAGCCACCATCCTCCAGACCCCAGAATGGCAGATCCACTGACAGCTTGCATCATGCACCTGGAGAAGCTGCAGACACTCAATGTCAGCCTGTACTAGCAGCTGGGAGGGGGGCTGTAACCTGTAAAGCCACAGGGACAGAGCTGCCCAAGATCATGGGAGCCCACCTCTTGCATCAGCATGACTTGGATGTGAGACATGGAGTCAAAGGAGATCATTTTAGAGCTTTAAGCTTTAATTACTGTGTTGCTGGATTTTGGACTTCCATGGGGCCTGTAGCCCTTTCATTCTGGCCAATTTCTCCCATTTGGAATGGGTGTATTTACCCAATGCCTTTACTCCCATTGTATCTAGGAAGCAACTAACTTGCTTTGATTTTACAGTCTCATAGGTGGAAGAGACTTGCCTTTTCTCAGATGAGACTTTAAACTTGGACTTTTGGGTTAATGCTGGAATGAATTCAGACTTTGGGGGACTGTTGGGAAGGCATAATTGGTTTTGAAATGTGAATGAAACATGAGATTTGGGAAGGGTCAGGAGTGGAATGATATGGTTAGGCTTTGTGTCCCCACTCAAATCTCATCTTGAATTATATTTCCCATAATCTCTAAGTGTCAAGGGAGAGACCAGGTGTAGGTAATTGAATCATGAGTGTGGTTTCTTTCATGCTGTTCTTGTGATACTGAGTGAGTTCTCTCCTTATCTGATGGTTTTATAAGGGACTTTTCCTCCTTTGCTCAGCACTTCTTCCTGCTGCCTTATGAAGAAGGTGCCTTCCTTCCCCTTTGCCTTCCACCATGATTGTAAGTTTCCTGAGGCCTCACCAGCCATGATAAACTGTGATTCAATTAAACCTCTTTCCTTTACAAATTACCCAATCTTGGGTATTTCCTTATAGTAATGTGAGACCAAACAAATACATAGAACCTTGATCTTGGACTTCACAGCCTCCTGAAATGTGAGGAAATAAATTTTTGCTTTTACTCAGTCTCAGATATTCTATTACAGCAGCACAAAACAAAGACATTCTATTACAAGGAGAACAGATTATTATTAAATTTATGCAAATAACTATATTTACAGAAAAATAAAAATACTCAAAAGTATCCTCCAATTTCTGACAGGATTAGGTAGAGAGAAAAAGATAAATGCTTTATTTTTGTTGACAAAGTTTAATCTACTAAATTAAAAAAATAAATTTAAATTCAGGAGGTACATGTGAAGGTTTGTTACGTAGATATATTGTGTAGTGGTGGGGTTTGGGCTTCTAGTGTACCCAGAACCTGAATAATGAATATTGTACCCAACAGGTAATTTTCCATTTCTCATGCCTTCTCCCAACATCCTCACTTTTGGAGTTCCTAGTGTCTATTATTTCCTTCTGTGCATTCATGTGTACCCATTGTTTAGTTTCCACTGATACGTGAGAATGTACAATATTTGATTTTCTGTTTCTGAGTTATTTCACTTAGGATAATGGCCTACATCTCCATCCATGTTGCTGCAATAGACATGATTTCATTCTTTTATATGGCTGCATACTATTTCATAGTGTATATATAACATATTTTCTTTATTCAATCATCCACTTAGGGTAGACACTTAGGTTGATTCTGTGACTTTGCTATTGTGAATATAATCTACTAAATTGTTTTGATTTCTAGATAGCTGGAGAGAAAAGGAAAGGGATTCCTTATATCCAGAAAACAGAATACTAAACAGCTAGCAATATTTTGAGCAAGAGTCACAAGCAAAATGATAATCATTTTTCATCAGTTCATTCAATTTCATGTAATTCTTGTTTTGCTTGATCTTGGGTTAGTGGTTTTATGACCTATCAGCATCTCCATAAGTTCTGAATTTTCTTTTACTTAGGTCAGTGGTATAATCTTAAAGTTATTTAAGTGATGTCATCAGAAGCCTGTACCACACAGTATCTGTCACAGTCCTTTCTAAGGTTCTCTGAGGCAGTCTCTTTTGTTAAAGACACAACACTTTATGGCTTATACCTGATTTTTTTTTTAATTGTTTCTTTACATCTAAGGAAGAAGACTTCTAACTAAGGTAGAAATCAAAAGATTTCTATGTTCTAGGGCTTCTGGATTTAGAGCTATGTGCCAATTGTTTGACACAGGTTTTGGGATGAGACCCTCCTTCGGAATACATAGTTCCATGTTAGTCCAAGCAGACTTCAGAGGGAAGGCTTCTAAAATAACTCCCATCAGGCCCTGTATCAGACCTTTTTTATGCTGCTGATAAAGACATACCCAAGACTGGGAAGAAAAAGAGGATTAAATGGACTTACAGTTCCACATGGTTGGGGAGGCCTCAGAATCATGGCGGGAGGTGAAAGGTACTTCTTACATGGTGGTGGCAAGAGAAAATGAGGAAGAAGCAAAAGCAGAAACCCCTGATAAACTATCAGATCTTGTGAGACTTATTCACTATCACAAGAATGGCATGGGAAAAACTGGCCCCCATGATTCAATTACCTCCCTCTGGGTCCCTCCCAAAACACGTGGGAATTCTGGGATATTCAATTCAACTTGAGATTTGAGTGGGGACCAAACCATATCAGGCCCTGAATATCAGCCTCCAAATCAGCCAACTTCTGATTATTTACAGGAAGGCCTAGAAAAGGGTCTGGCCATTTGTTATGTTGGTGAGGAGAATTTTTTTCAGGGGGCCATCTGGCTTGTGGCACAACTACAGAATAACTGTCAGTGGAAGGGTTTATGGTCTGTGTGGATTTCAATTTTTGTTGTAAATGTGATTTCTGCTATTTAATTTTGCCAAGGGATCCTTTTAGGCTAGCCATGATACTCTTCTTCTTCTTTTAATTTGATTTTTCCATAGGTACAAACAGGTCATTTGTATAGGGGGGAAGCTCTCTAAAAATCCTTTTAAATATAAAAGCTTTTTCAGATCAAAGGATCTGTCATCTGGCCATTCATGATTTAGGATCTCCAAAGGTATACCTGTTCCAAAATGCGACTCAGAAGTAGTAAGACTTTCTGTGGCTTAACAGTGGGGACACAAGAGGCATTCCCAGAAAGGGTGCAGAACATACAGCCCCTGGAATCTAAGGTCGTTTCTCAAGCCACTTCTATAAACACCACTTCTAAGTCTCTGTCTTTCTGTGATGAAACTGCTGAAAATTAGCAATGGTGGATAGAATGCCAGCAACAAATGGAATGCCCGGGCTACCCAGATTTTTATCCAGCTAACTACAAATTCTTGGGATCCCAATCTGATGTTTGGCCATCTCTTAGCACAGACTTGGCAACCTGTACTCCTGGCAGGCAGAAAACCAGAGAGAGAGAACTCTCTTACTAAATCCAAGCCAAGCTTTCAAGACACAAAACAAGACAAACAGGGCACAATGACTATCCCTGTGAGCAAAAGGATCTATAACAAGAGTACGCAAACTAAAAGTCACAATACCCAAATAACTATTTCCCATAAGTGTTTTCTCCAGCTAATCTAAATATTGTAAAGAAAAGACAATGATATGGTAGTACTGGGAAGGGAAGACCATGGTCCCTTTAAATGATACTGAAGGGGAGAGGGAAGTGCGGTGTGGTCCCTGGCAAGGGCTCTACTCCCACGGACCTGGGTGAGGACAGGCACCCCTGCTTTTGTACCCAAATGTTGCATTTTCCGAGACCACCCCGGCCTGCCATGCCCCCATCCTGAGCCTATAAAAACCTGAGACCCTAGCGGGCAGACACACAGGCGGCCGGGTGTGGAGAGGAGCACATCAGCGGAAGAAGACACAAGCAGCTGGACGGGGACAAGACGTCGAGGGGAGCACCTAGCAGGGGAGCACCTAGCAGAGGAGCACCTAGCGGAGGAGCACCTGGCGGAGGAGCACGCTGGCAGAGGAGCAGTGGAGGAGCACGCTGGCAAAGGAGCACCTGGCGGATGAGCATGCTGGCGGAGGAGCAGTGGAGGAGCACGCTGGTGGAGGAGCACCTGGCGGAGGAGCACGCTGGTGGGGGAGCACGCTGGTGGGGGAGCACCTGGAGGAGGAGCACCTGGCGGAGGAGCACGCTGGCGAAGGAGCACCTGGCGCATGAGCACGCTGGCGGAGGAGCAGTGGAGGAGCACGCTGGTGGAGGAGCACCTGGTGGAGGAGCACGCTGGAGGAGGAGCACGCTGGTGGAGGAGCACGCTGGCGGGGGAGCACCTGCTGGAGGAGCATCTGAAGGAGGAGCACCTGGTGGGGGAGCACCTGGCAGAGGAGCATGCTGGCGGGGGAGCATGCTGGCAGAGGAGCACCTGGCGGGGGAGCACCTGACAGAGGAGCACGCTGGCGGGGGAGCACGGTGGTGGAGGAGCACCTGGCCGAGGATCACGCTGGCAGAGGAGCACCTGGCGGGGGAGCACGCTGGCAGAGGAGCACCTGACTGAGGACCCCGCTGGCAGAGGAGCATCTGGCGGGGGAGCACGCTGGCAGAGGAGCACCTAGCCGAGGACCACGCTGGCGGAGGAGCACCTGTCGGGGACCATGCTGGCGGGGAAGCACGCTGGCGGAGGAGCACACCAACAGATGCCGGCAGGCCATGGGCCAACCAGATGAGGCGGAGTTTGGCCAGGGCAGTCGGAGGAGAGCCCAGGCTGCTGAGTGGCCCAACTCCAGCGGAAGACTATCTCATTTCTGGCTGCCCCATCAGCTGAACGCTACTTCCACTCAATAAAACTTTACACTCATTCTCCAAGCCCACGTGTGGTCCAATTCTTCCACTACACCAAGGCAAGAACTCAGGAAACAGCCCTCTGTCCTTGTGACAAGGTAGAGGGTCTAATTGAGCTGGTTAACATAAGCCACCCGTAGACGGATAGACGGCAAACCTCTAAGCACCCTCTGACACACGCCCACTGAGGCTTCAGGAGCTGTAAACATCCACCCCTAGACACTGCCGAGGAGTCAGAGCCCCACAGCCTGCCCGTCTGTAAGTTTCCCTAGAGGTTTGAGCAGTGGGGCACGAAGAAGCAAGCCACACCCCCATCACATGCCCTGTGAGAGGATCAGGGAACTTTTCCTGTTTGAACAAAGACAAGTTCTTACTGCACGCACTCAGCTGGATGCTGAGCAGAGATCAGCAAGGAAATTTACCTTTGCTGGCTTGGTCAAGAGATCCTGAGATCTCAGCTGCAGCCTTCAGAGTGACTGGGGAGTCCCAACCATCCCATCTTCATTGCCAAAGTGTTGCGGAGGGAAAACTCTTCTTGTACTCACTTTGGTTCCTGGCTTGGAGGCCTGCAGATTAAACTGACAAAAGACAGATTAGCAGGAGAAATAAAAACTAAAGTTTATTTATATATGCATACGGGAGCACACAAAAGAAGTGGCCTCACTAAATAGCTAAAGTTAGGGTCTTATAGGCCTAATTTAAAAGAAAAAGTGAAGGAGAGAGAAAAGGCTTTGATGAGAAGAACATACATGTTTAGGAAAGACATATAGATTCTTAGGGGAACAAGTGGGAGAAATTGTGGTGTTATTTATGCAGGTGCAAGCGGTCTTTTCGTAGCGTCAGACTCCTTCAGAGGGGTATTCATGATAGTTGAATTCTTTTGAAAGTTTCTACTTCTAGGTAGATAAGGAGAATTCAGAAAAAGACTTCACAGTTGTATATCCTGGATCTCTCCACCACAATCCTATTACAGCTGTTACCCATTTTCACTTCCAGGTTTGCTATATACATAATACATTTGTATACATAAGACATAATTCCTGAAAGTCTCATAACTAATGACAGTGATGCTCTATGTATTAAATATAGCATATATTATGTATATATTTAAGCCATGGGGGTAGTTGAACTAATTAGGTGTTTTAGTTATATTTATTTCTTTTTAACGCATTACATGACGTAGGGAATGTGTGAAAGAAATCAGAAACCATGGCTTACATTTCAGTTTCTCATGAAGCTGTGTAATCTCGAGTCTGCTCTTTGAAAGTTGTTTTTGTATTTGTTGGTGAAGTGAGAATAATAATAATCTTCTCGCAGGACTGATGAGATATAAGGAGATAAAAAAGATGAAAGAACTTGGCAGACTGCTTGGCGCATAGTAGGCATCCAATACATTTCAGTTGAAGCTAAATCTACTTGGATCCAACTTCCCACGATGGCAACAAACTAACCTGCCTATATTTTCTCTGGTTTCCATTCGATCCTTGTCTTACTTGTAACATAGTTTAATCATAGCAGGGATGCACTAATGTATGCTACTTTTTTTTCACCAAACATTCGATATATCATTATTGTACATTATCACCATGTTATCCCTTTTAAGGTCACTATGCCATGCTGTCACTAAAAATCAGTCAAATGGAAACACACAGTCATTTACAAGCACTAGATAGTAGTTTGGCAAGGTGGAAGCTTATACTTTTAGGTCATAAATTAATAGCTAAGTTAATCTTCCTTTTTTAATTAAGAAAAGTCAACCAAGCATAAATGTTGATTAAACAGATCATGGTACCAAAAGCAGCATATAGGTAATATATGTTACACAAATTACTCAGCCTGTATCTCTCCATGAAGAACAAAGAAGAAATCAAGGTGATTATCTAAAATATATAGGCATAAAACCTAATAAACAATTTTTTATCTCAGCCACATCTGTGAATTTTTTGCATGAATTATCTGTTTAATTCCTTCAACAATCCACTTAGCTCTTGGAAGTTTTATCTAAACCCTGTTACTGTCAATCATTAAAAATGATACTTTTTCTCTTCACTATTTTATACATGTGAATATTGAGACAATAAATGTCAAAGTGACAACTAAGCTCCTTATAGGAGATACTGAGAATAAAGGCAAAATATGAAAACAAAATTTCAAACTGCTCACATTATTTTGCTGGGGAGTTTTCCTGTTGCTCTTGATCAATATTTCTTAGTCTTGGGAAAAACCTTAGGGAACCAGCATCCTAAATTATTTCTATAGGGTGTAAATTCATCTGCTGTTCCTCAAAATAAGTTATTTATTTTTAGAGAAAAATCAATGTTGAATTTGCAACTTTATCAGGTTTAAAGGCAGGTTAAATTCAGTGACAAAAGTGTTGTTTCTCATTTATATTCTCTGTATTTGAATTCAGGTATCTGTGAACCTCGGGAAATCTTTGCTTTTTTTCTCCCACCTTCCTTCTGGTCTTACAGTCAGAGAGGAAAGGGATATAATGTTTATTGTCTAAGTGATAAACATAAATTGAATCATTTAATGGGCTCAGACCTAAAGAAAAGAAACAGACTTCCCAAAAGAAAGGAGTCATATTGTTTCTCTCCAAGAACAAAATGGCTTGTACTCTATTCATTGGGTATTCTACTCCATTTGGTAAGTGCTCTTTTCCTCTTGCTTTCAGTTTATGTTCAAACATCTACATGCATTTATCAGATTGCCTTTAGAGACTGCCTGTGAGGACAGGCATTTGCATTCACTTTGAACGATCACAGCATCTTGGTATAGCAAACATTCACACCGCTATGAAAAGCAGCAGTCTCTACTTAAAGTATACAAGTGTCACTTGAAATCTAAGCTCTTAAACAAGAGGGAGGACATCTGGCCTTACTCGTTGTGCTCCTTATATTCCCACAGTCTGCAAACTTGCAGAAAATTTCCTTAGCAAGTAACCAAACAACTAGGAAGTATAATAAAATGTACTCACTGATGGTGGATGCTCACTAATGTACCCACCATTGATTAAAAAAATGTAAAGTAAACTTAGAGTACTGTAGGTTAGTTTAAAGTTATCAATTGTGTAATGCAAAGTTGGAAGAGTTTAGCAAAGTATGAGTAAGGGTTAAGTGAAGAATATTTTCAGAGGACTTTTGCAGAGTTTCTAAAAGTATACAGTGGTTTAAAGGATATATAATTCTGACTTATTCTTTACTTGAAAATGGAATGAACTTGGCTCCCCTCAAGCCAGTCCCAATCAGATCGTATAAATGAAGGCTTTTATTGTAAATTCAGTTTTCCGTCAAGGATACTACTTTCCCAGATACTTACGTGACTTTCTTCTTTATTTTCCTTTCAAGTTCCCACTCAAATAACACCTAGATGTAATAGAATCCTCACTGTCCAGGAGCACAGTTTCGTTCTCACCCTCCCTTGTTATTATTTTCTCCTTAGATCTTACTACCTGTATGACATATTGTGTATTTATTTGTTTGTCTCTGGTCTTCCTCTAGAATGCAAATGTTATGAAAACAGGAGATCTACTGATTTTGTTCATTCTTTTTTCCAGTGCCTACAATAGTTCCTGGTATGTAGAAGGTATACAATAAATATTGGCGGAGTGAAGGAACAAATGGGATTTGCTTGATTCTGCTGCAGAAGACTAAGAAAAAGACATAAATGAATAAATAACTAGTAGAATGTTAACACAATCAGAAAAAGGACCATTTCTTTTCATTTGGATGTCTCAAATCTATTTGTTGTTTTTGTTGTTGTTGTTTTTCTGGCTGGGCTTGAAATGTAGGCATGCAGCCAGGAGGCTCCATGCTGACTAATGAGATAGAGGTACCCATTTAGCCCAGCAATATTCATACATTGTATATGCATTCATTTTTCTCTAGTGACTTTTTAATATATTTTGGTGAAGATATTCCCAAGATAATGAAGATATGTTGAGTGGGCATTAAAAGTGATGAGTCTTTTTTTCCATTATCAAAGACAAATACAGGTGTGTGATGTATGCAGAGAATTAGAAGTAGGGAAAAAAATGAGGGAATCCAAAATAATGAAAAGAAATTAAAGCTCTCCAATAATCGAAAGAAAGGCCAAACTGAAAACATAAATCTCCAGACTCTGCAAGGATTTATACTGATGTGGGGCATGTGGACCAATGGCTTTCAGGATGTGATTCATTTTGAAAAAAGTGTCATTTCCATTGCCAAGTAGAGTTCATGGTTTAGTGAAAATTTCATCTTCAGTCTGATCACATGAGCCAAATTCTGGCCCTATATATTCTGATGTGAGGAATGAAGTATTTCTAGTTTATTTGTGAGATTCCAAGCATAATATCCAGGAGGGTTAGTCACATTACAGCTAAGGTAAGATTTTGTTATATTTGTGTTAGTCCTTATTCTAGGCACTGAAATTTCCTTGTAACATTACTTGAAAAAGCATAAGAACTATTTAATGAAAGAATGCTTTGGCTCTGCCCAAATGACCAAGAAAGACATCAACTCACTTATAACACAGTCTTGATGGTCAGACCAAAAGGTACGTGATTGTCAATTATTTTCAGCAGAGACTCATAGAACAACAAAGCAGGGAAGAATCTGAACAGGGATTGGACTTTAAAGAACAAGTATCATTGATCAATTAAAAAAAATGGTCATGGGCTGGGCACAGTGGCTCACACCTATAATCCCAGCACTTTGGGAGGCCGAGGTGAGAGGATTGCTTGAGTCCAGGAGAGACCAGCCTGGGCAATATAGTGAGACCCCATCTCTACAAAATTTTTTAAAATTAGCTGAGCATGGTGGCAGATGCTTATAGTTCCAGCTAATTGGGAGAATGAGGTAGGAGAATCACTTGAGGTTGGGTGGTGGAGGTTGCACTGAGCTGAGATCACTCCACTGCATGCCAGCCTGGGAGATAGAGCAAGACCTTGTCTCAAAAAAAAAAAAAAATCATGATTCAGTAAATTGAAATAGAACATGTCTTCTAATGCTAGCTATATAGTAACAATCAGAGCAAGTAGTTTACAGTTTCTACTCAAGGGTATTGATGATTAAAATGAGTCCAGCTATTTTATTGGAGGACGGGGAATCTAGATAGTAAGTTAAGCAGTAGTAGCTAATGCAACAAATACGCAGTGTAGGTCATTCTACATTTGTTGTCTGCCATATGTTGGGTTCTATGTATTATACAGTAAAATTTTACTTCAGTCTTTTTCCAAAATTCAGGGATTGGTCTGTTTAATTCAGTAACTAATGAGTTGATGTCCAATTCTTCTGGGTAAGTGAATATTCATAGAAGTAGAGGTGAAAAAATGGAGGCCACGGAATAGGTGTAAAGTAGATACACAGATCTGCATTGTGGCGGTTCTCGTTGAGCTGATATTTAGATCAGCAGTGAGACTGCTTGGTACCATTCCAGAAGACAACAGCCCTTTAGCTGGTCTTCTGTTGAAAAACTATCTAATTGATCATCTGGAGGAAGAGACTAAAAGCTGTGAAGTTGAGTCAGCACGCCTTTCAAAACTCAGCAGGTGAAGTTGTCATACTCAAGAGGAATGTATTTTTTAAGTTTAACAAGATGGATATAAATCATACTATCACTCTCTTGAGAGATCATCTACATGTGTGTCTGCCTACAAGTGTCTCAATTATTGTTTTAGATTTAACCAGGCTTTGTTTGTTTGTTTATTTACAGGAAGTGATACATATACAAATTGACACAGGAAAATGCCACTTGTATAATATTCTAGCTAGTATTTTCATCTGCTGTTGTCTGAATTCCCCCATAGTGGTTAACTTCAAAATGCAAACTTAAAGCATGAAAAAAATAAATGGTAATCTGAAATAAAATACACATTTGAAGAGCTTATTCTTTTACCCTATCAGATGGTAAAATGTTTGGCCAGATATGTAGAATAAGTTTTCTAATATGATATTTAATCAGTGTACTATCTTATTTTGGGTTAAATTAATATAATTATACTATTTATTTGGAATGAGATAGACGGAATTCAGAATTCAGAATAGAAGACCAAATATAATTAGGTCCCAGTGAACTCCCAACATAATTTTCTCTAACAGTCGCACATGAAAAGAAAAACCAAGGCAATATAATGCTTGTTTTCCTGAAACACCATCTGTTATTTTGTTTGAGTTAAGCTCAGTGCTCTAAAGGTTATGGATACTGTGCAGTAATTAGTACCATTATGGGGAATGTTCTTACTTCTATGTATTGGATTTCCCCAGTTTTACAATGATATAATTCCAAATTGTTCCTTCATCAGAGGTGTAACTAAATTTCTTTCTTGTTCTAAAATATAGGCAACACATATTGTGGTATCAATTTGCTTGTTCTGGAATGCAAATAAAATAGAAGCTTGTTTTGTATATTTTCTAGATAATTGTTGTTTTCTATATACCACATATATAGAGACTTTGAAGAAAGTGGTTATCAAATTATTAAATATCTATAAATTCTATTAATTTCTCTAGCTGAGAGAAATGTTTTCTTTTTAATTATAAGAGAATTAGATTCCCTTCCTCAAAGAGAGGCCAACAAATTTCAAGTATTTTTATATACTGTATAAATATAAATGAATCTTTGTACATCATTTCCCTCCCTGTAGAGCAAGGCTAAAATACTCTTTTGGAACAGTTGTGCAGAAATATTTAATTGCATGGCATGTGGTTATGGATATTTTATATACAGGCTATCTCTGTCTCTTAACTTACAATTAAAATGACAAATTTAAGATTCATATGTCTCAAGTATTGTTCTTATAATATTAAAAACATTACACTTGAAATAGTAAAAAAAGAAACTAAATGGTGTTTATATTAGACCAAAGCAAGTCAAAATTAGGGCTTTTATCCTGACTATGAACTCCAATAAAGTAGAGAGTATTTGCAAATTCACAAGACTCTGTAGGGTAGAGCAGTGATCTGGCCATGAACTTCATCAGAGTCAGTGCTATGTCATTGGGCTCTCTGGTCAGTGTCAGAGATTGCCACCTGGTCAAAACATTAAGGGTATACACAGTATGTACTGAGTACTTTACATAAATTAACTCATTTAATTACGACAACAAACTCCTTATGGTAGTTACCATTATTGTCTCCATTTCACAGGTGAGGAAATTGAAGAAAGATACTCAGTGGTCCTGAGGAACTCAGTGGCATATGCAAATGCAGGCAAGATAAGGCCTTAAGATGAGTCTGTGCTACTAGGCCCTACCCAGAAAAGGCAGTCAGCAGTTGAGATTTGCCTTGTGATTGTCTTAAAGGGCAAACTTCATAAAGAAAGACCAATGCACAAGTAAAGGCTTGAGCTCTATAATAATAATAGCAAGCCCTCAGATGGAACTTGCTGTCTGTCAGGCACTTTACATATAGCAATTTATTTAATCTTCATAACACCCCTAAGAGATAAATATTCTTTCTATTTCATTTTACTGTTATGGAAATTGACACATAAAGAGATTGAGTAACTTGCCTATGAATGCTGTAATGACAAAGGCAGGCTTTGAACTCAGGCAGTCTCATGCTAGAGTCCATATTCTTTGCCATTATGGGATATTGTGTCATATTTGGGGAACTTAAGATCTTAAGTAATTTATTAAGGTTTAGGAGAAAGAAGAGGAAATATAGAAAATGCCTTTTAAAATTAAAATTCAAAAAATGAGAAAAATATATCAAAAAAGTATTAATGACAGTAATAAATGAACATGCTATAATTGAGTCTATGTTTGTGCTCCTGTTTTAGTTAGTACTTTTTTTGGGTTAGATCGTCTCCACACTTCTGCACTAATTTATATTTGAAGTCCTGTCCTCTGTTGCTTTAGATTATGACCTCATTTGGAGAAAAGGGCTTTACAGAGGTAATTATGCTAAAGTGAGGTCATGTGGGTGGGCCCTAATCCACTGACTGGTGTGCTTACAAAACCAGGAAATTTGGTCACGGGCAAGTATAGAAGGAAGGCAACGTGAAGAGACATAGGTAGAGGAAGGCCGTCTATAAGCCAAAGACAGTGGCCTGGAGCAGATCTTTCCCTCACAGCCCTCAGAAGGAATCAACCTTACTGATGTTATTTCAGACTTCCAGCCTCCAGAACTGGAAGACAACACATTTCTGTTCTTTAAGCCACCATGTTTATGATACTTTATTGTGGCAACTCTAGCAAACGAATACAGTATTCTTGGATGAAAATTAGCAGAAAATAATTTCAAACAGCTTAGCCAAAAATTCTGATTGAATGGAAGGATACTGGGACACCTCATAGATTTTTAAAAGTTTGAATAACCAACCTTTAGTATACAGAGACTGGAGAACATCAGGATCTCAGGCCACAGCCTCAAGTCTCTCTCATTCTCTCTCTGTCTCACAGGTTCTCTCATTCTTCTCTTTCTCTTGCAGATGGTCTGATATGGTTTGGCTGTCTGCCCCCACCCAAACCTCATGTTGAATTGTAATCCCCAGTGGTGGGGGAGGGACCTGGTGAGAGGTGATTGGAGCATAGGGGCAGATTTTCCCCTTTCTTTTCTTGTGATAGTGAGTGCTCATGAGATCTTGTTGTTTAATGGTGTGCAGCACTTCTGCCTTAGCTCTCTCTGTCTCGTTGCCATGTGAAGATGTGTTTGCTTCCCCTTCACCTTCTGCCATGATTGCAAATTTCCTGAGGCCTCCCCATCCATGCTTCCTATACAGCATGTGGAACTGTAAGTCAATTAAACCTCTTTTCTTTAGAAACTATCCAGTCTCAGGTAGTTCTTTATAGCAATGTAAGAATGGACTAATACACGATCTTTTGTCACTTTTTTACTCATGACTACTTCAAAGGATATAGGTCCTCACACACTATCTAGCACTACCAAGCAAGTTTAAATCTCAATTCTAAACTCATAGGAGGCAGAATTTGATAGGCTTGACTTAGGTCAAGGTCTATCCCTATTCTAGCCAGCTATGGCCAGAGAAATAGGGCCATATAAGACAAACATGAATCTAGGAACAGGACCATATTATGACTTTTATGGGCCCCAGGCACTTTTGTCTTCATAGGTCCTAACCTCATACCCACACACAAAAGGAACCTAAAAATTATGTTTTATCATTACGTTAATATAACAATAGGTTACTATATAGTAAAATATTTTCTTTAACATGAAAGTTTTTTTTATGTAAAAGAAATTAAGACATTTTCATGAGCATCTTAAGTATTGTGGGCCCTAGGCACTGGGCCATCGGTGCCTAATGTGGCTTTTTTGGTGAAGTGGACTTTTTAAAGAAAGAGGGGATTTATATGGATAGCGGTGTGTTCCTATTTACTTATACTTTTGTAAAGCCTTTTCCTCCCGCTGTCTTTCTATGAAACGTTTGTAACTTGTCTTGTTGATGATGATACAAGTAATACCAATGCCAGAGAGGATTTTTTCCTTTTCTGTTCCTCCATCTCAATGCCTTTCATATTTATAAGTTAAAGTTGTTGACTTCCACTTCCTGATTACCATACGGTGTCAAGGGTATAGAATTCCTTAAATATTTACTAGGGAAAAGGCCTGGGGTAACCTATTTAAGCTCCTGGACTAAGTATTTTTACTATACTGGAGTATTTTTTCAAATCTTTCTCCAATACTCAGTGTTATATTTTACCACCTATATCCATGATAAATTGTCACCGAAGCATATGTTACATTAGTCTATTTTCATAAGTAAAATAAATCAAGAAGCCTGCTATCTTCACTGGGAAATACATATATCTTGCTTTTAAGATGATATTTAATTGTGGGTCAAATTGAACAATGGTAAGGTTTATTTTCTGTCCTACGGATGTGTAAGGGACTTCTAAGACATATTCAGCTTCCCTATTATGTGCCATTTTTGAGTCCTTTTATCTGTGCTAACAATAATGATATAAAGGAAATAAAGGCAGGATGACAAGTCTGCAATTATTTACTGAGTTTCAAGTCGAATAGGTTGGACTAGTGAGTAGACTGAGTATGAGCAATACACCTAAGTGACTGTTTTATGGAACTTTCAATGGGATTGCCATCATATGACTTGAAATACCAAGTGAAGCACATCTTTGGGGGAACAATCACAGTTTTTACAGAGTTGTGGGTTACAGAAGTAGCAATAGTTTTATAAGAAATTGGTTGGCTTATTTTGAGATATCAAATCAAAATAAGGCTCTCCAAAATGCCACTGCAGCTACACACTGGAGCCTTTGCCACTGATAGTGGCTACTGGTTTCTTAGTGCCATTTGAAGCTGTGCACACAAATGTGTACTATATTCACCCTGAGAACTGCCATTTTTAAGAGCAAAGAATCACCTTCTATATCACTCAAATAGGTATAATATGGAGCAGAATTATTACTGCTTAGGGCTCATTCAATCTGGAAACATGGTAGCTATGATGATTCATTTTATGTGTCAACTTGACTAGGCCACAGAGTGTGTAGATTTTAGGTCAGACATTATTTTGGGTGTGTCTGTGAGGGTGTTTTTGGATGAGACTGACATTTGAATTGGTGGACTGAGTAAAGCAGATTGTTTTCCACAATGTTGGTGGTCCCACCCCAATCAATTGAAGGCATACATAGAACAAGGCCTGACCTTCCCAGGAGCAAGAGGGAACTCCTTATGTCTGACTGTTTTGATCTGGGATATTGCTCTTTCCATTCTTCAGACTTGAATTGTAACATTGGCTCTTCTTGGGTTTAGAACCTGTAGCATATAATATTGGCTTTCCCGGTTCTCAGGCCTTTGGACTCAGACTGGAACTTAACCTTGGATCTCCTGGGTGTTTACTTATCCGACTGCAGATCTTGGGACTCACTAGCTTCCATAATCCCTGGGCCAATTCCTTATAATGAATGTACCTATCTATACAAACATCTTGTTGGTTCTGTTTTTCTGTAGATCCCTGACTAATATAATAGGTACACTCAAAGCAAAGCTTAGTCTAAGTTTTTTCTTTGTAACACATCAAATATTTACCTTTCATAATTTGGCCCAAGTGAACATAACATGTTATAGGCTCTCGAAAGGATTTATTACCTGGACAAAAGGTGAAATAGTAGAGTTAAAACTTCCATGATCAGGAACCATTTCAGAACAGAAGTCTTTGTTGCAGCTTGGCCATCCTATTTTGAAACTCGACTAGTTTAGATCTTTCCAACTAGTGAGCAGTAGCATACTTCTGTGTGGTGACTGGACTACCATGAAAAGTTGAACATTAAATGGCAGAGGAAGGCATGTGGGGAGGGTGGAGAAGAGACTGTGGAGGTGCCCTGAGGGCCTCCACCAGAAGTGGTATCCTCCCTTGTCTGTTCTCTAGAAGTGGGCATGGTTCAGCCACCCAGGCACCATTGTGTGGCACTCCACCCCACAAAGATGAACTCATTAATCAATGTGAAGCTAGCCCTGAAGCTGAATAAAAGGCAGGCTGATATTGCAGTGGCTCCTAAAGCATCCCGTCCTCTGTGTACAAGGACAGCTCCTGGATGTTCCCGGGAGGGCTTTGTTATGAACTGACTGAAGGTGATGTCATCTGTGTAGCCTCTCAATAAGGGGAGATATATTAACATTAATCTTGTACAGGACAGGAAGTCAGGAATGCGTCCAAAGGATTCTGTTTTACCTGCTATGAGGGCCAGAGGAGTACCATTTTGGCCATTGACAATTTTAATGGAATCAAGATCAAGGGAAGAACTATTCGAGTTGATCAATAATGAAATTACCAACTTCCTGCCTCTCTCCCTTGCCTGACCCAGAGGACTTGAATGATGCCACAAGACAGCTCTGGGAGAAGGGTTGTGGGGCCCAGAGTCCCTCACCTAGTTCATCTGAAGGCTCCAGTGATGAAGCACTCTCACAACAGCACAGCTGAGAAAAACGGGGGAAAAAAAAAACACCAAAGAGAAGATCATCATTTGAGTTAAAGACAAGGAGGGACAGAGAAGTCATCATACACTCTGCCTGCCAGAGACCAGATGAAAAATGATAAGGATGCACGAAACTGCAATAAACACACCAAGGTGGAATTAGAGTCCAGATAGGGGCTGAAGCCCTAACCAAGTTGTCCTGTGTCCAGGACAGCAGCTGCAGACCACAGCTTCCTGTGAACACAGCAGGACCTAGAGAAGGGAGTGAAAGGAAGGAGAGTCAGGATTCTGAGCCCAGTACTTTGGCAGTGGCAGGGTAAGAGGAGAAGAGCAAGGATAGGGACACATTTCAGTTGATTTGAAAGCATAGCCACACAAATTCTCCAACCCCAGGGACCATAGGCCAGACCAGGCTTCAGCCTGCTCAGATCCTCAGATTTTAAAACAAAGTGTGGTATTTAAAATGCAATGGGATGGAACTTGTGATTTTGTAATTTCTGTAAATAAAATATCTGGGGCAGAATTTCCTTAAATTGAAATCTGTTTTTTTTTACGACTACTTAAGAATTTACAATAGTTGAAATTCCATTAAAGAGTTTATATGGCATCTTTTATAAACTCTCTGAAATTCTGATGCCTAAGATTTTCTTGGCTCACTACAACCTCCGCCTCCTGGGTTCAAGCGATTCTCGTGCCTCAGCCTTCCTCAGTGGCTGGGATTACAGGCATCTGCCATCACGCCCAGCTAATTTTTGTATTTTTAGTAGAGATGGGGTTCCACCATGTTGGCCAGGCTGGGCTCGAACTCCTGGCCTCAGATGACCCATCTGCCTTGGCCTCCCAAAGTGCTGGGATTACAGGTCTGAGTCATCGTGCCTGGCCTAAGATTTTAAGAGCAGTGACCTATAGTAGTTCACATGTAATCACTCCTCTCCCATAGTATTCTGCTTAAATATTACTATTTTCAATGTAACAGGGCATGCAAAAGGTGGGAAGTACTGGACTAGATAATCTCTACAGTTTTTAATTTAGTTCTAAGCTTCTTAGGCCATGAGGGGAGGATGTCAGCCAGCATAGTGGGAAAATACTGCTATCATATGATTTAAGTAAGGACTAAAAAATATTTAGGCTCCTGCTCTTGTATTATTTTATAGATCGATAATAATACAAGATTTATTGTTTTTGCTTTTTCCACTGTAACTTTAGCTAATGATAAAATCAAAGGCAAAGTATATTTCTGTGGAAAGTAGTATCAGTTGAGATACATGACAAATCATGGCAGATTAAAGAGATAATATCTCTGGCTGGGTGCAGTGGCTCACTCCTGTAATCCCAGCACTTTGGGTGGATCACTTGAGGCCAGGAGTTCGAGACCAGCTTGGCCAACATGGTGAAACCCTGTCTCTACTAAAAATACAAAAATTAGCTGGGTGTGGTGGCAGGCACCTATAATCCCAGCTACTCAGGAGGTTGAGGCAGGAGAGTTGCTTGAATCTGGGAGGTTGAGGTTGCAGTGAGGCGAGATCATACCATTGCACTCCAGCCTGGGCAACAGAGTGAGACTCCATCTCAAAAATAAAAAATAAAAAGAGAGTATCTCTGATAACACATTCCTTCTATTCTTCTCTTTATATATCTTTAACTATATATAGAGATATATATACAGATATATATAAAATATATATAAAATCTAAGAAAGCGCAATATTTTATTCTCTCTCACAGGGTGTTTTATGTGCCAGTGATCTTGGGATATGTAAAGTGATATAGAATAATTGGAAATGCAAAGTGTTTCCTGGATTCTGTTGGTATTTGATGTTTGATTGATGAGCATTTCATTCCCATTTGCAATTTCACATTCTGCATACAGACAGAACTGCATATATGAGCTTGCAAAGGTTGCTACTTAGGATAGAAACCTTAAACTAACCTTTTGGAAATTGCCTGTTCATTTTAAATAAGAAGAAAACGACCAAATTATAATATCTTAAATGATTTGAATATATCGTGACTTTGGGCCAATCATTCTTTACACAGGAAATCTACTTGGCCTAAAAATTGTTTTAAAAAATCTAATTTTGCTCTAGTCTATACAAAAGTTACTGGTGATATAAGCAGTGAGAGTATTGCTAATCAGCATTTACTGATCAATGAAAGTAAAGTAGGCATTTACTATAGATTTTTAAGATATTTTATTTTGAATAGTAGTTTGCTCAAAAATTAACTAAAAACAGAAAAAAGTTTTTATTTACTTATTAGAACTTAGCTGTTTTTACTTTCCCACATTTACTTTTAATCTATGCATATTTTGCATAGTTGCAGGTCCTTTATTTATTTGCTTGTTCATTCATTCAAGAAATATTAAGTTTCTACTCAGTACCAGGTGCTATAATATAGTTGGTATTACAAAATAAATATGCCTGACCACAGGTTATAGGCAGTGAAAAAGATCCATACATAAACCATTAACTTAGAATAATGTAAAGAGTGCTTTCAAATTTATAAAGGGGAACACAGGAGAGTCCATGGGGCAAATGAGGTGAAAAACAGACCAGACAGGGCTTCTGATAGGTCGTGGAATCTAGGGAAGATGCGAGTAGTTCCATGTGAGAAAGAGTACGGGGTATGGTACATAACAATGAGAAATGAGGCGATTGAGAAAAGGAGGGGTGCGAGAAAGTTCTCGCATGCTATACAAACTATTTGAGCATCTCTTACTTTGAAGGAGTCAATGATTTTAAAGAGAAAGTGACATGATCAGAAATAGATTTTTGAAAAGCACATGGTAGGAAGGTGGAGGATGAATTAGGCTGGGGAGGAACTGGAAGCAGATGAGGAGGGTGGCAGTTGCAGTAGTTTAAGGAAGAGATTATGAGGGCCTGAACTAAGACAACCTGGTGCAGGAGATAGAGACGAACTCAGGATTTAAACAGATATTTAGGAGATAATTTTAGAGGGTAGGAGAACATCTCCAAATTTCTGACTCAAGAACACAAATAAAGGAGCAAAGTATATGTGATTTTGGGGTGGGTGGGGGAGAGGGAGAGGAGTGGTAGGAAATGAGGGAAGGGAGGGTGGTGGCAGAAATGGTGGAGTTTATTTTGTCTTTTGTTGAAGTCACCCAAAATAACAACTTGACAGTGGCACAGAATTGAACAATTAAGAGATTATTGGTGATCAGAGTATTAGCAATTCACAAGAGGAATGAGAGAGAACAGATAGCACTGAGAAGTGAGCAAACTAAAACAGCAACTTCAAATATTGTCTTTTCCTTATTTCATATAACAATATACACCTTTCCATAGTTTTAACAGTTATGTAATATGGCACATAATGAATATAACATAATTTAGCAAACATGTAGAATTATTTTTCTCTTAAAATTATTAGTAATGTATGGAGCATGTTTATACATATGTTTATTTTGATGCTGTTGTTTATTAGTTTCTTCAGACATTTTCTCAGGAACTGTACATCATTGGGTGAAAGAATATGAGTGTTTCCACTTTCTGTTTTTTTCTAAGCCATTTACCATCATTTATGCATATGATACTATGGCATATATTCAGTCTTAAG
Source organism: Homo sapiens (assembly GCF_000001405.40). NCBI lineage: Eukaryota > Metazoa > Chordata > Mammalia > Primates > Hominidae > Homo > Homo sapiens. The sequence continues at coordinate 14,825,923 of NC_000021.9, read as the reverse complement.
GAATTTGGTGAGTGAAATAAAATGACAGAATTCTGAACTGAAATTCATAGCCGTGGTGAATATGACTAAATATACAATTTATTTGGTCTGAGGCTAATCATTTTTCTCTAATGTCATACATTTGAAACAAAGATGGTTCTAGAGTTAAGCTCCCAGCAAAAGTCATTTCTTGATTTCATAACGCTATTGCTTGGGTGGCACACTTATATTACCAGTTATGTAGAATTCTAATAGAATGAATCAAAATACTCATTTAATCAAACGCTGGGAAAGTTAAATTTTATTCTTGCTTCTGTTAGGTGAAACTGAAATTGGCTGTATCATCTGAAACTTCATCTGTGAAGTCCCTGGTGGTTTCCTAGATGACTACACAGTTGAGTTGCCTCTGATTGGAAAAGCAGGCAAGTTTTATTTCTGATGCTTTTTTTTTTTTCTTGTTTATTTTTCTTTTATTTTTATTTTTTTTTTAATTATACTTTAAGTTTTAGGGTACATGTGCACATTGTGCAGGTTAGTTACATATGTATACATGTGCCATGCTGGTGCGCTGCACCCACTAACTCGTCATCTAGCATTAGGTATATCTCCCAATGCTATCCCTCCCCCCTCCCCCCACCCCACCACAGTTCCCAGAGTGTGATATTCCCCTTCCTGTGTCCATGTGATCTCATTGTTCAATTCCCACCTATGAGTGAGAATATGCGGTGTTTGGTTTTTTGTTCTTGCGATAGGTTACTGAGAATGATGGTTTCCAATTTCATCCATGTCCCTACAAAGGACATGAACTCATCATTTTTTATGGCTGCATAGTATTCCATGGTGTATATGTGCCACATTTTCTTAATCCAGTCTATCATTGTTGGACACTTGGGTTGGTTCCAAGTCTTTGCTATTGTGAATAATGCCGCAATAAACATACGTGTGCATGTGTCTTTATAGCAGCATGATTTATAATCCTTTGGGTATATGCAGCCAAAAAATACATGAAAAAATGCTCATCATCACTGGCCATCAGAGAAATGCAAATCAAAACCACTATGAGATATCATCTCACACCAGTTAGAATGGCAATCATTAAAAAGTCAGGAAACAACAGGTGCTGGAGAGGATGTGGAGAAATAGTAACACTTTTACACTGTTGGTGGGACTGTAAACTAGTTCAACCATTGTGGAAGTCAGTGTGGCGATTCCTCAGGGATCTAGAACTAGAAATACCATTTGACCCAGCCATCCCATTACTGGGTATATACCCAAAGGACTATAAATCATGCTGCTATACATGGGGGACTCCATTTATTATCTAAAATGTGGGACATTAAAACACTGCAGTTTCTAAATTGAAGATAAGGCATAAGTTAAATAGCAATATCTATTATCAAAGATGCTTACTTTATAAGAATACATAATTTTGGGTGAGTCCATGACATAAAATTCAATAATTTGTGGCGAAATAATTAAGTTGCCTTGACAAGCCTAATGTTGATTTTACTGTCTTCTCTTTCCCCTAGTGTTTTGGTTTTTCAGTTTGTACAAGAGGAAGAAGACGCATGATATGTGTTTGGCTCATGTGCCTGAATATGGCTCCACAGGGAAGACTTGATACAGCTGAAGCTATTGCTTTTTAGAGACTTTTTATTTTGAGCAGCTGCCTTAACAGCCTTCGTCTTGTTACATCACATGAGATATATCTCTGGAATAGGAAGAGAAAAAAGACATGACTGAGCAATAATTTTTGACTAAAACTTAAAATTACAAAACCAAAACCAGAGATAGATGTCCCTGAAGTTGTATTTTTATAGTATGTGAGAACACAATTTTCTTATCCTAGTTTTAAGGCATTCCTCTGGACCCAGGATTTTTGTTTAGTTTCATTCACATAATCAAACTCTTTTTTTTTTTTTTGCCATAGACTAATGCATTTTGGTGTAATGATCTGAGCCCTTATCCAGAAGGCATCTAAGACTCATGTACAAAAATAGATTTCAGGGCTAAACATTCTAAAAGACAATTGAGTGCTTCTTTTTTCTCCGGCCCCTAGATGTAAATGAATAACCTCTGTTCACTAACTCTTAATGTAATATAAGGGATAAATTATGCTTGTTTATTTAATTGTGCTTAACCAGAGTACTAGGTTGGAGTCAAACCACAGATATATTTGTGAGATGTGACAAAATGTAGCTTTTAGCCCGTAATACCCAAGTCATCTGGGAACATAACTGATGACAGTGTCAACACCTTTCAGGAATTCTGGAGGTGCCTTTGAGTTTAGAAATTCGTAGGTTCTCTAGAAGCAACAGTAGCATACTAAATTAACACATAACATTTCAAGCTACATTTACATAATTGCAGTGGTTATGATTAATACAAATTATATTAACTGCCTGTTTTACTCCTTATAGCTGATTGGCTGAATTTACCAGTGGGTTTGGTATGTTCAACAAATGATCCAAATTACCTTTTCATTTCAGTTAAGAAACTAATCAAAGCAAATACACTTTGATTTGTTGAGAGGCAGAGATTCTCCCTAAGTGGCAATGTCCTTGGCCTTCTAAGCTAAAACCTAAATGGAACTATAATATATATTTTGATGCTTTATCTCACTTGAGTTTTTTATTCTTTAACTGAAGGGCAGCCATGGACCATAAATACATAGAAGATAAAAATATATTGAGCTTAGGAGTTTGGTCTGTTCAATGGATGAGAACTTTATATTTTCCCTTATAAACACAATTTTCAAAGAATAGCCTGTAATAGTCGTGAAAATGGAAACCAATACTGGGGAAATGTGGACTGCAACTCTGAAAAGGTATCAAAATGCCCGATAGTTCAACACAAGGGCTAAGCAATATTTCAGGGATGTGGCCTGTCTTTGGTGGCTCGGTCACTCTAGTGAGATGAATTTGGAAAAGGATAGGCATACAGAATCCCCCCTCTGGCAGGGTTTGCCTTTGGGGTCTGCTTAAAGCCATGTTTGCTAGTAGAAATCTTGAGTAACCAGATATGTTTTATAATGCTGTGTCATATTTAAATTCTGATGAGATTGACATCTTTAAATAAGCTTGGACACAGATTGGATTTGTACAGGGAACTGGACTGAAGAATAATCGTAGGTCAGTAATAGATTTAGATATACTATTTTTATATTGTAAGCAGTTACTTCTCAGGATTAGTATTCTAATTCATTTGATTTAATATGTAATAGGTAATATTAAAAATAAAGATTTTATGCTTTGAAACTCCTTAACTGAATATTTTCATAGGAATAAGCATAGTTTTTGTGTTTAGTAATTTTAGTTAGTGAGTAATGATTAGCAGACAACATGGTAATTATATTGAAATATTACGTGAGTGCCAATAACAAAGCTTTCTGATCAAATGCTAAGAAATATGTTGTGTAAAGGGATCTCACATTTTTTATTGCGGCTTTCTTTCTACAATGTGACAAATTTCTGGGATATTTCATTATCTTCTTTTTGAATTTTTTTCAAGCAAGACTGTTCAGTATTATGTTAGCATTGATATAAAAAGAAGCAGACCATTGTTAACATTAAAATGTTACTGAGATTTCAAAGGTAGAGGACATTATCCTTTCTTATTTTTCTTTATGATACAGTATTTGTAACATAGTGCTTCTGAAATAGAAAGCACTTTTTGGAAAATAAGTTTAGTGAATAGCCAAATAATTTCTTACATATAACTTACAAAAGTAATACCATCTAGGCTAAGCTATTAAAAATATCAGTACATCAGTAACTACTCATTATATTGACCAACCAGAGCTTATCCATTTTTGGTCATTCTCATCTAGATATACACTTTCAGGCTAAAGAGAGATTTCCTTCCTTTTTCAATTGGTTATGAATAGAAGTCATCAATTTTTTTCTTACTTCCATCTTAATGGTTTGAAATAAAGAGTCAGATGCACGGCTTTTCAATTTCTTTTACTACTTTATTTTATTACTTGATTATTTTAAGGTCAAAAGATTTCCATTTCCAAAATACGTAATAGAAATGATAAAGCAGTAAAATTTGGACTTAAAATAATATGGACATTTTTCTTACAAGTGTCAACATGATTTACACATTATTAAAAAGGCAGTAAAATTTGAACTTATACAGCATAAACTTTACTTAAACTGTCAAATACATGGTTTTAAAGTTATTTTATTAATCTATCACTAATAATTATTTTTCTTATCAACAGAGAAAGTGAAGTTTCCTAAGCCATCACTAGAATTGGAAACACTAGATTTTATAAATTAATTTCTTTTCATTGACCTAAACTCCACATTTCTGCTGTGTTCATCTGAGGTCATGTCCATATAGTCAAATAGCTGAAGGAAAGGTGATATTTTTAGTCAAATCAAACTCCAAACATCATTTTTATCTAAATTATCTGGAGAATTGAATAAATATTTTTTTAAGGCTGTCTGTAGAAGAAAATTATGTCAATTTTTCATTTAGCTAGAGAGGTCCTGACCACAGTGTCTTCTGTTGAATTTCTCCTCAAGGTAGGATTCCAAAATACCTGGAAAATGTGAAACAGTGTTCCTCGTATGGGTAATGTAGCATCTTCACAAAAATTCTGTCATGATTCATTTGAAAAATAATACCTTCTCATGTCTAAAATAGTTTTTCATGAGAAATACATTCTATAAGAAAAAAACAATTGGCCTATCTTAGAGGAAAATGCTATTAAAAATTGTGTTATGGAAACAGGTAACATTTTCTTTATCTTTGTGAGTTTTTTCAACATAAATTTTGGTCAGAGAAATCATTTCAAAATAGAAGAGAGTCAGAAATAATCAGTACAGAAATGGTTTTGTTGAGAACTGTTAATTGAAAAGGCACCAAGTGAAGCCCTCATCTATGTTTGCATAAAAAACTGTTTTCATCCCTAAGAAGCTTGTAGCGTTTGGTGTTTCTAGAAAGCTACCGCAGAAGTGGTGCTGTAGGGGATAGTGATTTTTTTTTTTTTTTTTTTTGCCAACTGATGTTCCTTAATGGCAGCAGGCTTCTCAGAAAAAATGGAAAATTAATAATTCTATATAGCAAGTTCTACATATCATCACTCTATTCTCTAATACTTAGTGTTTAATGTACATAAAGAGTAGCCAATTGTGATATTAACAAACTTATTAACACCTGTTGACAAAGATCTTTGAAGACAAATCTACACGCAAGCTTTTGCCTTAGCGAACAACAGGAATAGTTTCCTTAAAAGGATACAGCTATTTTGAAATTTCCTCAACCATTGCATCCCAGTGGGGGGGATACTTACATGGTAGGACTGTTTGGCCAAAGTGCTTGAAGCATTAGGACACAACAAAGATAGTTTTGAAATGTTTTCTTGCTCAAAATACATTTGTTCTTAGGACACGGCTAGTGCTCATTTTACATTCCATGCCTGAAGTGTTTAAAACACTGTGGTACAGGTTTCTGATTCTGTGTTGGTCAATTTTGAAATCCATGTGTTAGTAGTAAGTGTGCTGATTCGTAGAGTGGGTAACTTCTGGGAACTCCCCTTTCTTTTATTGACAATTTCTTTGTAAAGCAAATGCTAATTCTACAGGCTATTAATAAAGACTGGAACTCCCTTGTTCATTAGACACGCAGTAGGAAAATGGGTAACATAGCTGTAGAAATATATTTGCAATATGTTCTCTTCGCACAATTTGCATATAAATGCCGCTTTCCCTATTTACTCAAATTAGCAATGTGTAATGGAGCACTCATAGCCTTTTTGTAGGTTCCTGTGACCTTTAATTGGCACTCATTTCAGACAATTGCCATTTTAGACATTGCTATCGCCATCTTTTGCAATTAAGTTTCAAAGTTATCATCATGGCATTTTTAATATTTAGAAATTTCTTTTTTTATCTCTGGCTTTCAGTTGAAGACTATTCACCCCGGTGGACTCATCATGTTGGGGACTTTCAATTGCTACTTTAAAAAGAACGCTTCACTGAAATAGGTCTCATCCCATCAGGAACATAGAAAAACAAGCAGCAGGCCGGGCGCGGCGGCACAGGCCTATAATCCCAGCTACTTGGGAGGCTGAGGCAGAAGAATCGCTTGAACCCAGGAGGCGGAGGTTGCAGTGAGCCGAGATCGCGCCACTGCACTCCAGCCTGGGCGACAGAGAGAGACTCTGTCTCAAAAAAAAGTAAAAAAAAAGAAAAAAAGGAAAACAAAAGAAAAAAGAAAAGCAGTTGTTTATCTTTTGGCTTAAGCCAAAAGAACCTCAAATGAAAGAAAACAAACAGATGCCATTAGAAAATGCACTAAAGATATGATGAAAGCTTATCAGAAATAATAATAAAAAATCAAATGTAGCACATCCTATGTACCTGGCACTGTTATAGGAGCTGTGTCTGTATTAACACGTAAGTGTTTGAGGTAGGTACTGTTATTATCCCTATTTGCCAATGAGAGAAAGAAGGCAAGAGAGCTTAAGGAAGTTTTCCTAATTGCCCAGCTAGAAGGCAGGACAGGTACAATTTGGTGCTAGGTGATTAGGCTTCAGAATCATCCCTCAGTCATCATATTTAATCACAGGCTTCATGCCATTAATGTCTTTGCTCCAAAGTCTTCATTTGATTGTTTTTTTCTAACTTGTTATTTTTTTGAGCAAACATTCTTGTGAACTTTCATATTTTTAATCCTTCTTTATTGAGGCTTAAAAATATTTTTAAAAAATAGTAAAATGTATTTGCTACAAAACTGAGCACTAACTTTTGAGAAGTTGTTCTAAGCTTTCATTTGTTTCTGGTCTGAATCATCAGCCACGAATTCTGAATAAGGCTGATCTTATATTATTGCCACGTTCAGGTCTCTAGAAATAACCATTATAGGACATGACCTATCATTCTTATGGATTTTATTGAATGATGAGCTCAGCTGCTTGTACAAATCATTTTATTTGCCTTCTCCTTTAATATATTTATCAGCAAATTAGGAAGCAGTATTTCGTTTTGTGTTGTTACTCAAAATAAGAGGATTTTACATTTGTAAAATATGTTTTTATATCTTAGCCCATTATCTATTAAAAACAAAACCAATAAAATTTTGTCATTTATAACTATTTTCTAAATTGGAATTATTTTCAAAATCAATAAATGTGATATTATCATTGCCTTAAGATGCTTTAAAAAATGAAGTAAAGGAGACAGACTGAAGCTAGAATTTAGCAAATGGCAAAGGGAAAACAATGACCTCTTGATTGTTAGATCAAACGCAGTTGAATTTTGACCTATATGTGATGGCCTTGTCCACAGTCAATGGCTAAATTGATCTATTTTTTGATGATTTTGGGGTTTTTTTTATTAACGTTAAAGATCAATTTTTGCCTTATTGCTCAGGTTGTCATGTAGTTTATTTGATTTTGTCATTGGAAGATAAAGTATTGCTCACTTATCAATCAAGGTTATGTCCCAGGTAAAGATAGACAATAAGGATGCTAGAAAATTTAGTTGAAGAAATGACTAATGTTGAGGAATATAACTTATTAGTATTTAACCATCTTGGCTATTATGTTTACCACATTTTGTAGATAACAATGTGCATGCGACTTATTAAATGCCTCTTGGTATATGATGATGCTGTAGAGTCTATGCCAAGTCAGGCAAAGAGCCTTATAGCTTTTGGTTTATAATCTGGGACAGAAACAGCAAGCCTAATTTTAAAATGTAAGTTTAAATAATGAATATGTTTATATGTGGAAAGGTATAGTGATAACTGCACTTTCTGTTACCAAGGACCGTTTGAGAATATCTAACAAAGGGAATTGGAAGAGGTCACCCTGCCTTCTAGCTAGTCAGAGATAATTCATTGATGGAGTGTATTTTTGAGAGCAGTTAGAAAGAGAGGGAAATAACTGGTAGTTGGCTTTATTTGAGGTAAGAAAAGGCATTCTAGGAGTAGCCTATGACATGGGAAAATACAGATGTGGAATGCAATGCAGCAACAGAGGCAAAGTAAAATGTGGACCTGGAAATAGACATCAATGAAAAGAAGATAGAGCTAAAAATTGAAGACGTCCCTTAATTCTCTGAAAGAAAGCCACCTTTTAATAAAGCCAGAGAGCGGTGGAAATACTGTTTGTACCTGGAAAAAATGTACGGAATATGTTAGCTTTAAATTAAAGTCTTATCCTGTAACACATGAGTCATGAAATATATTCTAGAGCACTTTCTTAACCTGTGTTTGAAGTACTGGAAAACACTCATTAAAATTTTATTTATACTTGGTGATAGGCAGATCATTCCCCAGAACATTGTCTGAATGCTGCTGAGAGATGTAATTTGACTAGTAAATTAATGGTTTCTGGTGATCTTAATGTTAACATAACATTTGGAGGCATTGCTCATCAGGGGTGCAATATTGTGTTTCACAAGATGCATGAGACAAAGGCACTTAATGAGTTTTGGCTGAGCTGCACATATTGTGCACAATTCTGTTCAAACTGTTACAGGTTTTCTGCCAAGATACGTAGGAGAAATGGTCTAAAAGATTAGTAGAAGAAATGGTCCCATCCCCTGCTGTGCACCCTTGTGATTGGTTTGTCAACAGTTTGAGAAAATTTTGGAATAGGCAGTAAACAGTTAGTGTCAGTTCATAGAAGGGTGGTCCCTTCAATAAGATTTATGAACAGGAAAATAATGACTCTGGTATAGTATTTCCTTCTTTGTGTAATTGCAGTTTTAATAGGTAATGGCTACTCCTATTATTCATTATTCATGCTTATTCACATTTTAAATAAATCTTTCCTGTGATAAATTCCATTTGATATACTTCTAGAAAATGAGATGGCTAGATACATTGCAAGTTTAATATTCCACTTTTGTAATATGACAAAAATTTTAAATTATTCATATCTTCATTAAATTTTAAACATAAATAAATAACAATTAAAGTTGTTGCCCATTAATAGTCTGCAAATGAAATGTGGCAAAGGCTGTTATCCTGCATCGTCTACTGCTTAGAGGACATACATATATAAGCATTATTCTTCAGTTGAAGAATCATTGTACAATAGAAAGATAAGTTGTCTATAAACCTTTAAACTTAAACAACTGGAATAGTTTTATTAAAATGTTTTCGCAAATTATTCAGCATATTTTATTTGCTTTCATCACAACTTGTATATTATCTAAAAAATAGCTATCCCTACTTTATCCATGTATACATGTTTTCCATACTAACAAAACTTCACATTTTTGTTATACCATTACAATATACATTAGCTGACATTTATTGAACGTTTGCTGTATGCCAGGAACTATTCAAAGTGCTTTACATATATGAATTCATTTAAATCTTATAAAGATCCTGTAAGGTAATTACCATCACCAGCATCATTTCATAGAAGAGAAAACTAAGAAACTTGTCTAACTCTCACAGCTAGAATCTAGTGAAGTGAGGATTTATTTCCAGTAGTCTAACGACTGAGTCAGGCTGGCACAGCACTATGTATACTAACATTTCCAGATTACTGGAAATAAATGTTTGTGGTAGGTAGAATTGAATTGTCCAATGTTTCAAAATGAGAGAATATTTTTAAGAGCATATATGTTCTACTTGGAAGAACATAGGAGTTGAACTAAGATTTGAAATAATTGTTTGCATTCAGTACTATTTTTTCTCTTTTATCATTTTAACCATTTTTTAGTAGACAGTTCAGTAACATTAAGTACATTCACATTGTTTGGCAAGCATCACCACTATCCATCTCCTGAACTTTTCATCATCTCATTTTGACCCAGTAAGTTCCATTCTACTCTCTGTCTAACACTGTTCTTCTATTCTGCTCTCTATCTCTATGTGTTTGTCAATACTATTATAAAGTGATTAAACAGTTTACATTCATTTCAAATTGGTTAATATTTTATGCTTACATTTTCAATTCTCGTTCAGAGTACAAAAGTAAAATTTAACTCAATTTCTGTCTGGATAGTCACAAATTTCCTATTAGAAAAGTCTGATTAATGAGACTTTACTAAGAATTCCAAAATGTTACCCTACTACCAGTATTGCTGGTGGTGATTTGGATGTTGGTGATACCATTTGGGCATCTGATAACAAGAAAATTCTTCTCCTTTGGCTTGCCTTGACCTTCAGAAATATACTATTGAATCTGGTAACACTTGTAAACCTATTTCGAGATTCTTTTCAGTCCTCTTAGCCATTTAGTTTACAAGCAAACACCATGATTACCAATCAAGAAGCAAACAATAGATGTCAGGGATTCTGGCTGTCTCCCCCTGATATGTCCTAGACCACTTTTGTTTTTATTTTGCATTTTTGTTTTCAGGAATAATGAGTGCTGGCAAATAGAGAAGAATGTTTATTTCGAACAAAATAAAGCAATGAAGTTGGAAATTACTGCCTCAAACAACCTAAGAAGGATGTCTTTATTTTATTTAAGAATATAGTATTAATGGTGGCCACATTCATGTCCAGTGAGGAGAGCATCCTCATATAAATACATAGAGTCTTACTTGGATCCTCCACAAATTTATATGACATTGAAAGGAAAATTGTCTGATAAATTCAGATATCATTACCTCATCTCTCATCTTGGCTAAGCCAATGAACAAACACCAATGATTAAATGAGTCCAGGATGTGAATCAACAGACCAGGTATCTTCCAGGGACCATTTTTTGGGGCTTGGGATTCCCTAAGTAGTCCATTTAGGGGCCCTGGGAAGTTTGCCACATCCCATGTGAAAGCAACACGTTCTCTTGGGCCTGATGTAATAACTGACACATAATCCATTCCAGATTTCTTTTCTGTGTAAGAAGTTACAAGAGAAAAAAGAATGAAGTATGGTAATACTTAACGTAAGTATACTATAGAACATCCCTGACAATAATGTTTCCTAATGGGGAAAGAATAAATAATAAAATTATAGGCTTAACATAGCGTAATCTCTACTAGCTCACTACTACCAAGAATGAAATAGATAATTGGTTCATCAAGATTCCAGTGGAGTGTATAAGTTTGTGTGTGTGTGTTTGTGTGTGTGTGTTGGCAGAGCTTGGAGAGTTGGGATATACATATCAGAATTATTCGTGAGACATATTCAAACTACTCTTTGCTACTTCCCACTCCCGTTCTCTAGGAAACAGTCTAGAATCTTTTGAGGGTGGAAATCTGTGTTATTTGTAAAAGTGCTTTTAGTGGTTGTGGTACTCCCCCAAAACATACTTTCACACATTCTTACATGCTAACACACATAGACACTGACACATCCATTGAGAACCATCTAAAAACGAGAGAAAAAGAAAGGCTAGTCAGCGGCAGGTCTAGCCTAGTTAGTTTGCTACACATTTGGGAAAATAGGGGCAAGTTGAACTGGGGATCTCAAGTATATTTGCACCAACAATCTTAGTAATACTGAGAACTAGAGGAAGTTGTGGTAGTTATGAAGAAAGAGAGAACAAACTGAAAACATGCACAGAGCCAGGCTAGGAAGCATCAGTGGGCCTGTGACTGGGGCCATGAAGACACAACCTGTGGATTTAACAACACAAACGTAGATCCCATGAAAATAAGTAACAAATCAAGTTAACATGTTTTAAGACAAACATTGAATTATTTTGTTTTAAGATACTTGCTATTAACAATTTATTTTTATAATTGTTCAATTAAAATAGATCTGTATGATTCATTAGACATGTATGCCTAGGGTCACCAACTTGTCATACTTTGCTCAGGAATTGCCCAGTTTCAGCATTGAAAATCCCATGTCTCTGGAATCCCTATAGTTTGGGCAATCTGTGATGGTTGGTCACTTTAAGCTCAAGACACATTATTTATAACTGTAGCTTTAGATGTTATGATACACATATTAATTATGCTTTCCTGTGGTGTATTTTGTCTGTTTCCAGCTTTAAGAAAATAAGTAGTAAACAATATGGTAAACTTTCCTTTGAATTACAAAACTATAGTTTTGAAGCAGATATTTTTACTTTCAAAGGAAGAAGACAAAATGTTATTGAAAGTAGTTGCATTTAATGCTTAAAGTGATAGTTCCTAAATTGAATGCCTGACTGGTGACCAGATGTTCTAGGAATGAATCTTAATTGATTATAATGTCTGGCTTCAAAATGCACATGCATGTGTTTGGAAAATCTGTCTTTAGATGTGTATATCTTCCTTACAGATAATTAACTCTGATGGAAAGGAAAAGGGAACAGGTGTTAGGGTCATTGTTCTTAGACAACTGAATGAAAACTGTTTCTTTTTTCTAATGGAAGTGTTTTGCACCATCCATTGCACTTCAAGCATTTCTTTAGAACCTTATACATTTTAATACATTGGGTTTTAATTTTTATTCAACTTAAAACATGTTCTAATTTTATTTTTAACTTGCTCTTTGCATGGGATATTTAGAAGTATATTTTTTAATCTCCGAATATTTGTGGTTTTACAGATATCCGTTATAGATGTATAATTTAATTTTATTATAGTCAGAGAAAACACCTGGTATGATATCATTTCTTTTTAATTGGTTGAGGTTTGTTTCATGGCACAACTGTTGTCTATCTTGCTGAATGTCTACTTGAGAAGAATGTTTAATCGGCTGCTCGTTGGTTAAGTCAGATGATATTGTTATTGAAGTCTTGACACGTAATGATTTTCTGTATATTTGTTCATTCAATTACTGAAAAGGTTGTGTTGAAATTTTAATCAATAGTTGTGGACTTGCGTATTTTTCCTTTTAGTTGTATCAGTTTCTGCTTCTTGTTTTTTGGAACTCTTTTCCTAGGTACACATCTAGGATTTTTATGTCATCTTGGTTATCCTTTACCATTATTAATTTTCTCTTCATTCCAAATAATATTTCTGTTTTTGAAGGCTACTTTGATATTAATATAACCCCTCCAGCTTTCTTTGGAGGTGGGCTTGCATGGTGTATTTTCTACATCAGTTTTCTTTTAACCTTTCCATGTTTTTATATATAGAGTTTGTGGTATACAGCATATATTTGGCTCTTGTTTTATTATTTAATTTGACCATCTCTGTATTTTACTTAGTATTTTTAGACCATTTACCTTTAATGTAACCACTTTTATGAGGTCTGGTTATAATCTGCCCAGCCTGCTAGTTGTTTTCTATTTGTTCCACCTGTTTTTTTTTTCTTTTCTGCCTGCTTTTGAATTTTCATTATGATTCCGTTTAACATGACTATTGGTTATGATTTAGACCTCTTATTACACTAGTACAACCTTATCCATGATTCCACTTTCTGTGGTTTCAGTTACCTGTGGTCAACCATGATCTGGAAATATTAAATGGAAAATTCCAGACATTGATAATTAATTTTAAATTGTGCACCATTCTAGGTGGCGTGATGAAATCTCACATTGTCCAGCTCTTACTGCCCAGTATGTAAATCATCCCTTTGTCCAGCATATTCACACTATATATCTACCCACCTGTTAGTCACTTAGTTGCTGTTATCAGTTATCAGATGGAAGAACACATAGTATATACAGGATTTGGTACTATCTGGGGTTTCAGATAGCCACAGGAGGTCTTGGTATGTATCTCCTGCTGATAATGGGGGACTACTGTAATTAAATTATTTTTAGTGATTTTTTAGGGCATAACAATATGAATCTTTAAAAATATATATTATTAGTATTTGTGATTGTCAAATTACAATTGCATACATTTATGCAAATTGGTGTTTTGATATATGTATACATTCTGGCATAATTAAATTAAGCTAATTAACATATTCATCACAGCCAGGCGCGGTGGCTCACGCCTGTTATCCCAGCACTTTGGGAGGCCGAGGAAGGCCGATCACGAGGTCAGGAGGTTGAGACCATCTTGGCTAACACAGTGAAACTCCGTCTCTACTAAAAAATTAGCCAGGTGTGGTGGCGGGCGCCTGTAGTCCCAGCTACTCGGGAGGCTGAGGCAGGAGAATGGCTTGAACCTGGGAGGCGGAGCTTGCAGTGAGCCAAGATTGCACCACTGCACTCCAACCTGGGCGACAGAGCGAGACTCCGTCTCAAAAAAAAAAAAAAAAAAATTCATCACCCTGTTTACCTATCAGTTTTTATAGTGAGACATTCAAAATTTACTCAGTTATTTTGAAACATATAATACGTTGTTATTGACTATAGTCACCTTACTGTGCAGTAGATCTCAAATCTTCTTTCTCTTCTCTGTCTGAAACTTTACATTCTTTGATCAACAGCAACTTCCCATTCCTACTGTCCCTTTATTACCCAGCCTCTGGTAGCCATCATTATATTCTCTACTTTTATGAGTTCTAATTTATTAGATTCCACATAATTGAGATCATGTGCTATTTTTGTCTTTCTGCATCTGGCTTATATTACTTAGCATAATGTCCTTCAGATTCATTCACGTTGTCACAAATGACAGGACTTCTCTCTTTTTCAAGGCTAAATAGTATTCTATCGTGTATGCGTACCACATTTTTTTTTAATCCATTTATCCACTGAGGGACATTCAGGTTGTTTTTATATCTTGGCCCTTGTGAATAATGCTGCAATGAACATGGGAGTGCAGATATCCTTTTGACCGATGGATTTCAGTGTTTTTGAATATATGCTCAGAAGTAGGATTACTGGATTGTATAGTGGTTCTACTTTTAGTTTTTAAAAGAACTTCCATAACATTTTCCATAATGGCTGCAGGGTTTTACATTTCCACCAACAATATTTGAGTTCCCTTTTCTTCATATCCTCTCCAACACTTTTTATCTCTCATAATTTTTATAAAGAGTCAACAAGTGTGAGGTGATATCTCATAGTGGTTTTAATTTGTATTTCCCTAATAATGCTAAGCATTTTAAAAATGTACCTATTGGCCATTTGTATGTTTCCTTTTGAGAAATATCTGTTCAGGTCCTTTGCCCATTTTTTAATTGGGCTATTTGTTGTTGTTGCTTTGCTATTGAGTTGTTTGAGTTCCTTATATATTTTGGATATTAACTTATTAGATGTATGGTTTGCAAATATTTATATTTCCTCCCATTCTGTGGGTTGTTTCTTTTGTTGCGCAGGAACTTTTCAGCTTGATGCCATCCCACTTGTCTATTTTTGCTTTTGTTACCTGTCTTTTGGGGTCATATCTAAAAAGCCATTGCCCAAACCAATGTCATAGAGATTTCGCTATGTTTACTAGTAGTTTTACAGTTTCAGTTCTTAAATTTAAAAGTCTTTAATCTATTTTGAGTTGTTTTTTGCATATGGTATTATATTAGGTTCCAGTTTTATTCTTCTGCATATAGATATGCAGTTTTCCAGCACCACTTATTGAGGAGATTGTTCTTTCTTCATTGCCTGTTCTGGGTACCTTTATTAAAAATTTGTTGATTGTAAATAAGTGTAATTATTTCTGGGCTTCTATCCTGTTCCACTGGTTGATGTGTCTGTTTTTATGCCAGTAGCATGCTATTTTATTACAATTGCTTTATAATATATTTTAAAATCAGACAGTGTGATGCCTCCAGCTTTGTTCTTTTTGCTCAAGATTATTGTGACTCTTTAGGGTCTTTTGTGGTTCTATAAGAGTTTAAGGATTGTTTTTTCCATTACTGTGAAAAAAGACATTGGATTTTTTTTTTAATGTGGGAGACTGGAGTTTTATTATTACTCAAATTAGTCTCCCCAATCATTAGGGGAGCAGAGTTTTTAAGGATAACTTGGTGGGTGAGGGGAAGCTGGTGAGCCAGGGTGCTGATTGGTCAGAGATGAAATCATAGGGAGTAGAAGCAGTCTTCTTGCACTGAGTCAGTTCCTGGGTGGGGGCCACAAGATTAGATGAGTTAGTTTATTGATCTGGGTGGTGCCAGCTGATCTATCACATGCAGGGTCTACAAAATATCTCAAGCATTGGTCTTAGGAGCAGTATAGGGACGGTCAGAATCTTGTAGATTCCAGCTGCATGACTCCTAAACCATAATTTCTAATACTGTCACTAATGTTAGTCCTACAAAGGCTATCTAGTCCCCAGGCAGGAAGGAGGTGTGCTTTGGGAAAGCGTTGTTACTCTCTTTGTTTAAACTATAAACTTTCTCCCAAACTTAGTTCAGCCTATGCCCAGGAATGAACAAGACAGCTTGGAGATTAGAAGCAAGATGGAGTTGGTTAAGTTAGCTCTGTTTCACTGTTTCAGTCATAATTTTGCAAAATTATGGTTTCAATCCCTCCCTTTGGGTTGTATAACAATTTAATCTTAAGGTGTATGCTATGAAGATGGGAAAAGGCCATCAATCGCTCTGGCCACAAGGTGAGAAGAATGGAACTACTTTGCAATTGCCTGAGCATACTCATGCAGGCATGGCTGGGCTTTCAAGGCTAGCATGGTAAAAACATTATTACTTCCATCTACAGTTTTAGGACAGTATTTAAGTGAACTGTATACTATAAGGTAAATAATGAGTCCTAGGATGAGGAGTACAATTCCCAATTTTAAAAGCAAAGATTTGAAAGCATTAGTTTGGAGACTTCTAGCCTACAAAGAATTTAGAATTTAGTCTAAATGGCAGGAAAAAACTTCAAGAACAGCTAACAACAGTGTACTATAGTTTTTCTTTTGAGGCATAATTTTTCTCTCTCCAGTCTCCATTTTTAAAAAAAAAACAAATAATGATAGAACTGATTTACAGTTTACAAAATAAAACTTTAGTCTTACTGTACTTGGCCTGATTATTTGCATAAAGTGCAGCAAGAATAATTATTTTTCATGTAGGCTTTAATTGGCTTTGATGGAACTCTATTCTATGAAACATCTCAGATAAGAATTTTTAAAAGCCAAGTCCAGCCATGGGTCTGTACCCTCAAATATCTTTGAGTTGAGCAAATTCCTCTTCTCTTGAGGTCCAAGATAACTAGGGGTTCCCGGGCCTGTTAGAAAGTGACATTCTTTACTTAGCACAGGTCAGAAACCTTGTACAGGGACTCTGTGCACAAAGTATGAGGCCAGATTCCCGAACGGGCTTTAATTGGCTCTATAAGTCAAGTTTGATCTTTGATTCTTTAAAGGGAGCATGCCATTCCAGTCAGTCTTGGTAAAATGACCAATTTCTCCAATTGGGTCTTATTACAAAAGAAAACAGATTCTTATTGCACTTACACAATTAACTATACTACTGTAAATTGAGAATACTCAGACATAGTTCCCAAATTCTGGAGAAATCAGGTAGAGAGAAACATATATGCTATACATTTTGTTCACAGGAGTATATTATTTTACTCACTTGTTAAAAGTTGCCAATAGCTCTAAAAAAATAGGTTATCTTGACTTTGAAAACAAGAGGTTTAGCGGTGTTTAACACATTAGTTTTCTGTGAGAATCCTAGAAGTTTGTTTTTCCTCTATTTGAATATCACAATTTTTAAAGTATCAGGGACCTGCACTCAGAGTCCTATATCTGATTATAAACTGCCTTTTGAAAAGGAGCTAAGCAAGACAAAATGTTTGTGGATGACAAAATAATTAGGATAGCCACTATTAAAGCTACAACTGACTAGGAATTTTGGTTACTTCTGTGGCATACAACAATTTTACATGACAATGCTAATTATTAGTAATGTACACTAAATCATGTCAGAATTATAGAAGTTTCCCATAATTTTTGGAACACGTACTAATAACGTATTTATACAAAATGCAGTCCAAAGAAAACCAAACACCATTAATTCTTCTATTTGAAAGTTTTTCCTCTACTCTTTTTTTTTTTTTTTTGAGACGGAGTCTCGCTCTGTCACCCACGCTGGAGTGCAGTGGCGCTATCTCGGTTCACTGCAAGCTCCACCTCCTGGGTTCAGGCCATTCTCCTGCCTCAGCCTCCCGAGTAGCTGGGACTATAGGCGTCCGCCACCACGCCCAGCTAATTTTTTGTATTTTTAGTAGAGAGGGGGTTTCACCGTGTTAGCCAGGATGGTCTCGATCTCCTGACCTCGTGATCCGCCCACCTCGGCCTCCCAGTTTTTCGTCTATTCTAATGTCACAATCTCCAGAGTTATTAATCACAATCCTGCATTTAAGAACACCTGTTAAATTTTGTAGCTGGTTATAAAAACATCTTTTAAAGAGGACTAAAACAAGATAACAATTGTCTGTGGATGACAAAAACATTTTAGGATAGCCATCCTAATAGCTGTGGTGCTAATTCATTGTGGTTTTGATTTGAATTTCCCTGATGACTAGTAATGTTGAGCACCTTTTCACAAATTTGTCAGCTGTTTGTATATCTTCTTTGGAGAAATGTCTATTCATTTCCTTCACCCATTTTGTAATTAGTTTTTTTTTTTTAGTTTTCTTTTTCTTTGTTTTTGTGTTTTGTTTTGCTGTTGAGTTGTATGAGATCCTTGTATATTTTGGATATTAGCCCATTTCATAGGTTGCTATTTTCTGTTGCTTATAACAGAATACCTGAAACTGTCTGATCTATTAAGAAAAGAAATTTATTTCTTAGGGTTATGGAGGCTGAGATGTACAAGGTAGAGAGGTATATCTGGTGAGAACGTCTTGCTGGTGGGGACTCTCTGCAGAGTCCTGAGGCAGTGAAAGGCATCACATGGTAGTGAGGGGACGGATCATACTTGCTTAGCTCTCTCCTTCTCTTATAAAATCACCAGTTCCATTCCCATAACCGATTAATCCATTAAACCACTAATCCATAAATGGATTAATTCATTTATGAGCCCTCATAATCCTGTTAACTTTTACAGGCCCCACTTTTCAATACTGCCATATCGTGGATTAAGTTTCTTGCTTATAAAATTTGGGAAACACATTAAAAGCATAGCAGTTGCCTTTTTGTTTTGTTGATTGTTTCCTTTGCTATGTAGAAGCTTTTTAGTTTTACATAACTCCCACTTATATATTATTGCTTTTGTTGCCTGAGATTTTAGTGTGATATCCAAAATATTATTGCCAAGATCAATGTCAGTGAGCTTTTTTTCTGTTTTCTTCCAGGAGTTTTATTGTTTCAGGTCTTACATTTAAGTCATTAATCCATTTTGAGTTGGTTCTCCTGTATGGTGTAAAACAAACACCCAATTATATTATTTTGCATACGGATATCTAGTTTTTCCAACACCATTTATTGAAGAAACTGTCCTTTCCTCATTGTATATCTTTGGATCCCTTGTTGAAAATTAATTGACCATATATGCATGGGTTTATATCTGGGTTATGTATTCTGTTCCATTGGTCTATGTCTCTTTTATGCCAGTACCATACTATTTTGATTACTAGAGGTTAGTAACATAATTTGAAATCAGGAAGTGTGATGTCTTCAGCTTTCTTGTACACTTGCTCAAGATTCATTTGGGTGTTAAGGGTCTTTTGTAGTTACATATTAATTTTAGGATTTTTTTTTCTATGAAAAATACCCTTGGAATTTTTGATAAGGATTACATTTAATCTGTAGATTGCTTTGGGTAGTATGGACATTTTAACAATATTAATTCTTCTAATCTGTGAACATGGAACATCTTTCCACTTACTGTGTCCAATGTAATTTTTTATTATTGTTTTGTAGTTTTAGTATACAGATCATTCACCTTCTTAGTTAAATTTATACGTAAGCTTTTTTTCTTTTCAATGCATTTTATTTTTTATTTTATTTTTTTATTTTGTTATGGTCTTTCTTACAGCTGTATTTTCTTTCTTTTTTTTAATTATACTTTAAGTTTTAGAGTACATGTGCACAACATGCAGGTTTGTTACATATGTATACATGTGCCATATTGGAGTGCTGCACCCATTAGCTCTTCATTTAACATTAGGTATATCTCCTAATGCTATCCCTCCCCCCTCCTCCCACCCCACAACAGTCCCCGGTGTGTGATGTTCCCCTTCCTGTGTCCATGTGTTCTCATTGTTCAATTCCCACCTATGAGTGAGAACATGCGGTGTTTGTTTTTTTGTCCTTGCGATAGTTTGCTCAGAATGATGGTTTCCAGCTTCATCCATGTCCCTACAAAGGACATGAACTCATCATTTTTTATGGCTGCATAGTATTCCATGGTGTATATGTGCCACATTTTCTTAATCCAGTCTATCCTTGCTGGACTTTTGGGTTGGTTCCAAGTCTTTGCTGTTGTGAATAGTGCCGCAATAAACATACGTGTACATGTGTCTTTGTAGTAGCATGTTTTATAATCCTTTGGGTATATACTCAGTAATGGGATGGCTGGGTCAAATGGTATTTCCAGTTCTAGATCCCTGAGGAATCACCACACTGACTTCCACAATGGTTGGACTAGTTTACAGTCCCACCAACAGTGTAAAAGTGTCCCTATATCTCCTTATCCTCTCCAGCACCTGTTGTTTCCTGACTTTTTAATGACTGCCATTCTAACTGGTGTGAGATGGTATCTCATTGTGGTTTTGATTTGCATTTCTCTGATGGCCAGTGATGATGAGCATTTTTTCACGTGTCTGTTGGCTGCGTAAATGTCTTCTTTTGAGAAGTGTCTTTTCATATCCTTCGCCCACTTTTTGATGGTGGCGTTTTTTGATGGTGGTTTGTTTTTTTCTTGTAAATTTGTTTGAGTTCATTGTAGATTATGGATATTAGCCCTTTGTCAGATGAGTAGATTTCAAAAATTTTCTCCCATTCTGTAGGTTGCCTGTTCATTCTGATGGTACTTTCTTTTGCTGTGCAGAAGCTCTTTAGTTTAATTAGATCCAAGTTGTCAATTTTGGCTTTTGTTGCCATTGCTTTTGGTGTTTTAGACATGAAGTCCTTGCCCATGTCTAAGTCCTGAGTGGTATTGCCTAGGTTTTCTTCTAGGGTTTTTATGGTTTTCGGTCTAACATTTAAGTCTTTAATCCATCTTGAAGTAATTTTTGTATAAGGTGTAAGGAAGGGATCCAGTTTCAGCTTTCTACATATGGCTAGCCAGTTTTTCCAGCACCATTTATAAAATAGGGAATCCTCTCCCCATTGCTTGTTTTTTTCAGGTTTGTCAAAGATCAGTTGATTGTAGATGTGTGTTATTATTTCAGAGGGCTCTGTTCTGTTCCATTGGTCTATATCTCTGTTTTGGTACCAGTACCATGCTGTCTTGGTTACTGTAGCCTTGTAGTATAGTTTGAAGTCAGGTAGCGTGATGCCTCCAGCTTTGTTCTTTTGGCTTAGGATTGACTTGGCAATGTGGGCTCCTTTTTGGTTCCATATGAACTTTAAAGTAGTTTTTTCCAATTCTGTGAAGTAAGTCATTGGTAGCTTGATGGGGATGGCATTGAATCTATAAATCACCTTGGGCAGTATGGCCATTTTCACGATATTGATTCTTCCTACCCATGAGCATGGAATGTTCTTCCATTTGTTTGTATCCTCTTTTATTTCATTGAGCAGTGGTTTGTAGTTCTCCTTGAAGAGGTCCTTCATGTCCATTGTAAGTCGGATGCCTAGGTATTTTATTCTCCTTGAAGCAATTGTGAATGGGAGTTCACTCATGATTTGGCTCTCTGTTTGTCTGTTATTGGTGTACAAGAATGCTTGTGATTTTTGCACATTGATTTTGTATTCTGAGACTTTGCTGACGTTGCATATCAGCTTAAAGAGATTTTGGGCTGAGATGATGGGGTTTTCTATATATACAATAATGTCATCTGCAAACAGGGACAATTTGACTTCCTCTTTTCCTAATTGAATACCCTGTATTTCCTTCTCCTGCCTAATTGCCCTGGCCAGAACTTCCAACATTATGTTGAATAGGAGTGGTGAGAGAAGGCATCCCTGTCTTGTGCCAGTTTTCAAAGGGAATGCTTCCAGTTTTTGCCCATTCAGTATGATATTGGCTGTGGGTTTGTCATAGATAACTCTTATTATTTTGAGGTACGTCCCATCAATACCTAATTTTTTGAGAGTTTTTAGCATGAAGCGTTGTTGAATTTTGTTAAAGGCCTGTTCTGCATCTATTGAGATAATCATGTGGTTTTTGTCGTTGGTTCTGTTTATACACTGGATTACATTTATTGATTTTCGTATGTTGAACCAGCCTTGCATCTCAGGGATGAAGCCCACTTGACCATGGTGGATAAGATTCTTGATGTGCTGCTGGATTCCGTTTGCCAGTATTTTATTGAAGATTTTTGCATTGATGTTCATCAGGGATATTGGTCTAAAGTTCCCTTTTTTTGTTGTGTCTCTCCCAGGATTTGCTATCAGGATGATGCTGGCCTCATAAAATGAGTTAGGGAGGATTCCCTCTTTTTCTACTGCTTGGAATAATTTCAGAAGGAATGGTACCAGCTCCTCCTTGTACCTCTGGTAGAATTCAGCTGTGAATCCATCTGGTCCTGGACTTTTTTTGGTTTATTAATTATTGCCTCAGTTTCAGAGCCTGTTATTGGTCTATTCAGAGATTCAACTTCTTCCTAGTTTAGTCTTGGGAGGATGTATGTGTCCAGGAATTTATCCATTTCTTCTAGATTTTCTAGTTTATTTGCATAGAGGTGTTTATAGTATTCTCTGATGGTAGTTTGTATTTCTGTGGGATCAGTGGTGATATCCCCTTTATCATTTTTTACTGAATCTATTTGATTCTTCTCTCTTTTCTTCTTTATTAGTGTTGCTAGCGGTCTATCAATTTTGTTGGTCTTTTCAAAAAACCAGCTCCTGGATTCATTGATTTTTTGAAGGGTTTTTTGTGTCTTTATTTCCTTTAGTTCTGCTCTGATCTTAGTTATTTCTTGCCTTCTGCTAGCTTTTGAATGTGTTTGCTCTTGCTTCTCTAGTTCTTCTAATTGTGATGTTAGGGTGTCAATTTTTTATCTTTCCTGCTTTCTTTTGTGCACATTTAGTGCTATAAATTTCCCTCTAAACATTGCTTTGAATGTGTCCCAGAGATTCTGGTATGTTGTGTCTTTGTTCTCGTTGGTTTCAAAGAACATCTTTATTTCTGCCTTCATTTTGTTATGTACCCAGTAGTCATTCAGGAGCAGGTTGTTCAGTTTCCATGTAGTTGAGTGGTTTTGAGTGAGTTTCTTAATACTGAGTTCTAGTTTGATTGCACTGTGGTCTGAGAGACAGTTTGTTATAATTTCTTTTATTTTACCTTTGCTGAGGAGTGCTTTACTTCCAACTATGTGGTCAGTTTTGGAACAGGTGTGGTGTGGTGCTGAGAAGAATGTATATTCTGTTGATTTGGGGTGGAGAATTCTGTAGATGTCTATTAGGTCCAAGTGGTGCAGAGCTGAGTTCAGTTCCTGGATGTCCTTGTTAACTTTCTGTCTCGTTGATCTGTCTGATGTTGACAGTGGGGTGTTAAAGTCTCCCATTATTATTGTGTGGGAGTCTAAGTCTCTTTGTAGGTCTCTAAGGACTTGCTTTATGAATCTGGGTGCTCCTGTATTGGATGCATACATATTTAGGATAGTTAGCTCTTCTTGTTGAATTGATCCCTTTACCATTATGTAATGGCCTTCTTTGTCTCTTTTGATCTTTGTTGGTTTAAAGTCTGTTTTATCAGAGACTAGGATTGCAACCCCTGCATTTTTTTGTTTTCCATTTGCTTGGTAGATCTTCCTCCATTCCTTTATTTTGAGCCTATGTGTGTCTCTGCACGTGAGATGGGTCTCCTGAATACAGCACACTGATGGGTCTTGACTCTTTATCCAATTTGCCAGTCTGTGTCTTTTAAATGGAGCATTTAGCCCATTTACATTTAAGGTCAATATTGTTATGTGTGAATTTGATCATGTCATTATGATGTTAGCTGGTTATTTTTCTCGTTAGTTGATGCAGCTCCTTCGTAGACTCGATGGCCTTTACAATTTGTCATGTTTTTGCAGTGGCTGGTACTGGTTGTTCCTTTCCATGTTTAGCGCTTCCTTCAGGAGCTCTTTTAGGGCAGGCCTGGTGGTGACAAAATATGTCAGCATTTGCTTGTCTGTAAAGGATTTTATTTCTCCTTCACTTATGAAGCTTAGTTTGGCTGGATATGAAATTCTCGGTTGTAAATTCTTTCCTTTAAGAATGTTGAATATTGGCCCCCATTCTCTTCTGGCTTGTAGAGTTTCTGCTGAGAGATCAGCTGTTAGTCTGATGGGCTTCCCTTTGTGGCTAACCCGACCTTTCTCTCTGGCTGCCCCTAACATTTTTTCCCTCATTTGAACTTTGGTGAATCTGACAATTGTGTGTCTTGGAGTTGCTCTTCTCAAGGAGTATCTTTGTGGCATTCTCTGTATTTCCTGAATTTGAATGCTGGCTTGCCTTGCTAGATTGGGAAAGTGCTCCTGCATAATATCCTGCAGAGTGTTTTCCAACTTGGTTCCATTCTCCTTGTCACTTTCAGGTACACTATTCAGATGTAGATTTGGTCTTTTCACATAGTCCCATATTTCTTGGAGGCTTTGTTCATTTCTTTTTATTCTTTTTTCTCTAAACTTCTCTTCTCGCTTCATTTCATTCATTTGATCTTCCATCACTGATACCCTTTCCTCCAGTTGATTGAATCATCTACTGAGGCATGTGCATTTGTCACGTATTTCTCATGCCATGGTTTTCAGCTCCATCAGGTCCTTTAAGGACTTCTCTGCATTGGTTATTCTAGTTAGCTATTCTTCTAATTTTTTTTCAAAGTTTTTAACTTCTTTGCCATGGGTTCGAACTTCCTCCTTTAGCTCAGAGTGGTTTGGTCGTCTGAAGCCTTCTTCTCTCAACTCGTCAAAGTCATTCTCCATCCAGTTTTGTTCCATTGCTGGTGAGGAGCTGCATTCCTTTGGAGGAGGAGAGGTGCTCTGATTTTTAGAGTTTCCAATTTTTCTGCTCTGTCTTTCCCCCATCTTTGTGGTTTTATCTACCTTTGGTCTTTGAAGATGGTGATGTGCAGATGGGGTTTTGGTGTGGATGTCCTTTCTGTTCATTAGTTTTCCTTCTAACAGTCAGGACCCTCAGCTGCAGGTCTGTTGGAGTTTGCTGGAGGTCTACTCCAGACCCTGTTTGCCTGGGTATCAGCAGTGGAGGCTGCAGATCAGCAGATATTGGTGAACAGCAAATGTTGCTGCCTGATCATTCCTCTGAAAGTTTTGTCTCAGAGGAGTACCCAGCCATGTGAGTGTCAGTCTGCCCCCACTGAGGGGTGCCTCCCAGTTAGGCTACTCGAGGGTCAGGGACTCACTTGAGGAAGCAGTCTGTCCGTTCTCAGATCTCCAGCTGCATGCTAGGAGAACCACTACTCTCTTCAAAGCTGGCAGACAGGGACATTTAAGTCTGCAGAGTTTTCTGCTGCCTTTTGTTTGGCTATTCCCTGCCCCCATTTTAAATGGGACTATATTCTTAATTTATTAAAGTATAGTGTGTGTTGTTAGTGTATAGAAATGTAACTGAATTTTGTATGTGGATTTTGTATCCTGCAACTTTATTGAACTTGTTTGTGAGTTCTAACAGCTTTATGATCAATAATCCATTAAAAAGATCATAATCATAACCAAGTTGGATTTATCTGAAGCGAAAGACCTCTACGATAACAAGTTTAAAATATTAATGCAAGAAAGTAAATAGGACACAAGAAAAATGGAAAGAGCTTCCATGTTCATGGATTGGATGAATTAGTATTGTTAAAGTATCCATACTACACAAAGCAATTTGTAAACTTAATGCAATTTATGTCAATATACCAAGGATTTTCTTCACAGAAACAGATAAAGCAATCCTAAAATGTTTATGGAGCCACAAAAGACCCAGAATAGCCAAAGCTATGCTGAGCAAAAAGAATAAAACTGGAAGAATCACATAACCTGACTCCATGTTATACTACAGAGTTATAGTAACCAAAGCAGCATGCTACTGGCATAAAAAGAGACACATTGACCAATGGAACAGAATGGAGAACCCAGAAATAAATACATACATCTACCCTGAACTCTTTTTTGACAAATGTTCCAGGAGCATACTTTGGGAAAAGAAGTCTCTTCAATAAATAGTACTGAGAAAACTGAATATCCATAGTGGAAGAATAAACCTAGACCCCTATCTCTTGCCATATAGAAAAATCAAATCAAAATTAGTTAAACACTTAATCTAAGTCCACGAACTATGAAACTACTACAAGAAAACACTGGGGAAACTCTTCAAGACATTGGAGTGGACAAAGACATCTTGAGCAATACCACACAGGCATAGGCAAGCAAAGTAAAAATAGACAAATGCGATTATATCAAGCTAAAACGCTTCTGCATAGCAAAGGAAATAACCAGCAAAGTGAAGAGAAAACCCATAGAATTAGAGAAAATATTTATAAACTACCCATCTGACAAGGGATTAATAACCAGAATCTATAAGGAGCTCAAACAACTGTATAGGGAAAAAAATTTAATAATCTGATTAAAAAATGGGCAAGTAATTTGAATAGACATTTCTCAAAAGAAGACATACAAATGGCAAACAGGTAAAAGAAAAGGTGCTCAAAATCACTGATCATAAGAGAAATGCAAATCAGACCTAAAATGCAATATCTTCTCACCCCACTTAAAATGGCTTATATCCAGAAGACAGGCAATAACTAATGTTGACAGGAATGTGAAGAAAAAAGAACCATCATACATTGTTGGTGGAAATGTAAATTAGTACAACCGCTATGGAGAACAGTATGGAGGGTTCCTCAAAATAATAAAAATAGGGCTACCATGTGAACTAGCAATTCTGCTCATAGGTCTATACCCAAAATAAAGAAAAACAGTATATTGAACTGATACCCACCTTCCCAGGTTTATTGAAGCACTATTTACAACAGCCAAGATTTGGAAGCAGCCTAAGTGTCCATCAACAGATAAAGAAAATGTGGTACACATACACAGTGGAATATTATTCAGCCATTAAAAGTGACATCCAATCATTTGCATTATTGCGTTATTACATTATTATGTTATTATGGATGGAACTGGAGGTCATTATGTTAAATGAAATTAACCACGCACAGAAAGAGAAACATTGCATGTTCTCACTTATTTCTGGGAGCTAAAAATTAAAACAATTGAACTCATGGAGTTAGAGACTAGAAAGATGGTTACTAGAGGCTGGGAAGGATAGTTGGAAGTGGGGATGGTATGGAGGAAGGTGGATGGTTAATAGGTACAAAAATAGTTAGAAAGAATAAGTAAGAACTGGTATTTCCTAGCACAACAGAAAGACTACAGCAAAATAATTTAATTGTTTATTTAAAAACAACTAAGTGTATAATATAATTGTTTGAAACACAAAGGATAAATGTTTGAGGTGGTGGATACTCTATTTACCCTAATGTTATTGTTACACATTGCATACCTGTATCAAAATATCTAACATGACTCATAAATATATACACCTAACATGGACCCACAAAAGTGAAAAAAGAAAAATTAATTTAAAAAAATCCCTTTTAGAGCTGCTTTTGCTGCATCTCATTAGTTTTGTTATGTTGCATTTCCATTTTTGTTTTTTTCAAGATATTTATAATTTTACCATTTAATTTTGTAATAAAGAACCCATTTGTCCTTTATTTTCAGCTTACGTGTGTCCTTCAAGCTAAAGGGGAGTTTCTTAGAAGTGGTATGTAGTTAGATCATGTTTTATTAAAGTCCATTCAGCCACTATAGGTATTTGATTCATGAACTTAATCCAGTCATATTTAAAGTAATAATTGATAGGTAAAGACTTTCTTCTAGACATTGTATTCTCAGTGATTTTGTTTTCTTTAAGCACTTTAAATATTTATCATCTCACTCTCTCCTGGTCTGTAAAGTTTCTGCTAAGAAATATGCTTATAGACTTATAGTAGTTGCCTTGTATATGAAAAATCACTTTTTTCTTATTGTTTTCAAAATTCTCTGTCTTTGACTTTTTACAATGTGATTATAATGTGTCCCAATGGAGACCCCCTTATATTAAACATATTTAAGACTCTTTAGTCTTTATGAATCTGAAAGCTCATTTCCCTATACAGATTTGAGAAATTTTACGTAATTATTTTTAACATAAAATAAGTTTTCTCTGCCTTTCTCCTTCTGTAGCCTTCATAATGCATATATTCATTTTCTAGATGGTGTCTCTTAAGCCCTGTTTTCTTTCTTCACTCTTTCTGATGTTATTGTTCCTCTGATTGGATAATTTCAAATGATCTGTCTCTGAGTTTGCTTACTCTTTTTTTTTTTTTTTTTTTTTGCTTGATCAAGTCTTCTGTTGAAGCTCTCTATTGTATTTTTCACTTTGGACATTGGATTCTTCAGCTCCATAATTTCTATTTGATTCTTTTTTTATGATTACTATTTCTGTTGAACTTATCATTTTGTTCATATATTGTTTTCCTGACATTGTTTATTGTCTTTGTTCTTTTGTAGCTTGTTGAGCTTCACTGACAGTTACTTTGATTTCTTTTTCAGGCAATTTATATATCTCCATTTCTTTGGAGCTAGTCATTCAAACTTCATTTTTTCCCTTGGGTAGTGTTTAATTTCCTTGCTTCCTCTAGTTTCTTGAAGGCATGCATTACTGTCTTCACATTGGAAGAAGTAGTAATCTCCTCCAGTCTTTACTGAATGGTTTCTGGAGTGAAAGACCTTTGCTAGGAGATGGATAAAAGATTCTGGGATCTCTCAGACCTTCTGTGCAGATACATCCACTTCTGCTCCACTTCTCTTATTCTTCTTGTGGAGGAAATTTTTGTGTCATGTACCTTCTCTCAATCTTGCAAAGTCAGGCCTGGTTCTGAGAGTCTCTGATTTATTTTCCCTAGGCCCATGCACTGAACTGTTCAAGGTTGTACACCATTTTCTAATCTACCACTTGAGCCAACTACTAAGATCTGTACTTGCTATTGTGATCATATGCTATCACACATGTGGGAACATGCAGGTACCATGAATGGGGATGTATTGCATGACATCTTCCAGAGGGGTACACAAGGAGTGCTGGATGTATATGTTGGCTTGTTGGATAAGTTCATAGGCTAATTGTTGTGTGGGGTTCATGAACAGACCTCTTGGTGGTGTCCTTATGTGGGTTAGCATGATCTGTGGCTAGCTATTGAAATTAGCATTTCATTTGCTATGATTTCCTACCCTTTCTCTCTCCTTCTAACTCCCCCCAGGCCATTCAGTTGTTCCACTTCCCTCAGTGTTTTGGTGGACAGCATTCCCAAGGTTGGGGAAACTGGGCACGTACTTCTCTCTCACTTTTCCATGTTGGAGAAATTGTGGGCTGAGGGTGCGTCTCTTATCACCAAGCTGTGCTACATTTGGAGAGAGGTTATGTGAGTGAAGTGAAACTGTTCTTTTTACCCTTCTGATTGGGTTCACTCAGGTTTTGTGCTCCACTGGAGTTCTGGAACTTTCATTTAGACTTTGGGGCTCTCACAGAAGTATTCTTATCTGAGTTATTGCCAAAATTGGCTTTTCTTTGTGGGGCATGAGGGTTGGAACTTCTAATTCTTCCATCTTCCTGATGTGACTGGCTAGTAACTTTTGAAGATGATTCTAATAATTTCATGTCACTGATGTCACTATGGTTTCATGTTATGTGGAAAATATTAACATACACTTTGTGCAAGTAACCTATTTATTATCAACTTCCTTGAAAAATACTTTATTATACATTAAAAGTGAGAATTCTGAAGCTATTACTGTTGAATTTTTTTTTGAAAAATAAGTGTTTACAAACAATAAATAAATAGCCATATTATTATACCATATAAAAATAGCAAAAAACCATAGCAAGAGTTTTCCTATGCTCTGTGGCAGCATTGCTCAGCCTCAAGTACACATGAATTTCACATACTTCTAATCTATCATTTTGCATGTTTCCCATTAACCTTTCTTGTGAGGACTTGATGGTTAAAACTATACATTGAGTTTGAATTTTGTTGGTTATATAGTTTTTAATTCCAAAATATGTATTTGATTTTTTGCCAAACTTCTCATAGTTTTCTGTATTCTGCAGATATTTTCAAGCTTGTTTTTAATTTCTTTAAACATTGAAAACATCTGTGTCTGATAAGCTTATATCAGTATTTTTATAGATTTATGTGGGTGTCTGTTGTTTCTGCAGGTTTATGCTCATGGTAGTGGTGGTGGTGGGGTGTGTGCATGTGTGGGTGTACTTAGTTTAGCTCTGTGTTGTTCATTGGCTTTGAAATTCTATTAATGAGGAGTTTGAGTCTCAAGGTAAAAATGTATCCTCTAGAGAAGATGTGTATCTGTTTCTGACAGGTATATCAAGACACAACCACTCTGGAAAGCTAAAAACCAAATTCTCAATTTAAGTTTTTCTCATTATTTCTTTTTTTAAAAATTTATTTTGTTTTCTTCATCACCCATGTGATGTAAGTTTGAGACATAAGTGCCCAAGAGGTTGGCTTGTGGCTTCAGATTTATAATCTCTGAGGACTGCTTCCTTTTTCTTTTCTCTGCTTATTCTGTTAGAAAAAAACTTATTTTCAGGTCCTTGGGGGTAGGGGTGTTTACTTTTATTTCATCTTTATCTTGGTAGCATATTATTTTGGTATCCTTGCTTAATATTGGAGTGCCTTATTAAATTTCAGCGTTTTGGGTAAGCCCAGACTTTAGCTTCTTTTCCTCTCACCCTATGAGACCACTAAAACCAACTGAGTTTATCACCAGCTGAGGGTTTATACCCTGGTTACTTCTATGGTTGCTCATTTTAAGTTAATATTTTCTTTTTGTAATTTTATTTTTACAGCGTGTGCCACCAGGCCAGGCTAATTTATTATTATTATTATTATTATTATTATTATTATTATTATTATTATTATTTTAGAGATGGGGTCTTGCTATATTGACCAGGCTGGTCTTGAACTTCTGGTCTCAGGTGATTCTCTCACCTTGGCTTCCCAAAGCACTAGGATTATAGGTGTAGACCACTATACATGGTCACATTTTAGCTTAATATTTAGTATCTTGTTATTCCTTTTGATACTTTTAAGATGTTTTTCATTTTTTATCTTGCCTCTAAAGTTTATATCAATTTTAAAAAACTGGTTTAAATAAACTACTACATCATTATCTTATCATCTATATATATTTTTGGAGTGCTTTCTGTTGGCAGGGAAGAGTGCCAGGGATGGGACTTTAGGATAACCCTTCTCTCAAGGGCTTATTATTCTTGTAAAAGTATAAATAATAAAAGTGGTTAGTTTTATTTAATTTCCAAATATGTGGTAAGTATAATAAGGGCTATTGGCATTCAAAGGAAGACTTATTCTCTAAGGGAAATAACATTTTAAGTAGGTCATGTGGACGGACCTTAAAATGGTGCTAAGTGGGTGGAAACATTTCAGGCAAAAGACGTGGGATAAAAATAAAGTGTAAAAGTAGAATGAACGTGGGATGTTCTGGGAAATAATGAGCATGACACTTTGTCCCGTGCTTAACATGATACTCAAACATATAGTTTGGCTTAATATTTCTTGACAGTGAATGAATGGCTAAATAAATGAAGTCTTATGTGGCTTGCAGAAACTAAAGCATATAAACAATTTCAGAGAACAGGTAAAATCAGCTTGTCAAAGACTGACTTCTGTCTTGAAATTAAAAGCATTGTTAAGTGATTTAACGTTCGAATTCTGGTGGCAAATTTCACCTCTGCTACTAACTGTGTGGCAAATTGTGTAATCTTTCAACGTTATTTTCCTCATGTGTTACATGGGGATAATTATAACAGTACTTAATGGAATTACTGTGAATGTAAAATGAGATAGGGCATGTACAATTCTAAGCAAAATATTTGGCACATAGGGTATACTAAAATATTTTTAATTGCAAATACTTGGAAGTCCTTTTAAAATAGGGGATGATAAACGTGTATAATTAAAAATATTAAATGTGAAAATCTCATTAACTTTTAAGTAGATATTTACAACTATTTTTATTTTGTTACTAAAATTATGAAGTATCTTTCATCATATTTTCAAGATTAGTCATTATATATTGAGGACATTCTATAAAGACAGGTATTTTCATGTTCATTCCTTAATCCAGGTTATTACTTAGAAATATATCTTATAACAGTAGATAGGGAAATATGTTTTTAAACAGCTTAGATTAATACGCAGTTGAACAATTATACAAAAATAATTTTTTACTCCTTCATTTATATATGATTTACATTTGAAACTTTTAATTAGTCTTTTCTTATGTTTGGTGATTTGGACTTTTTGACATCATTGCCAAATATTCAATCTATGGATTCATGTTCTTGACATATATCTAGTAATTGATCTATTCTTTATTATGTTCAACTTTTTTGGATTTAGGAGGACGGATTTCTTCCTAACTAACCTTAGCTCTTAGTATAAGATTCTATTGCAGATTGACACGGGCAGTTTTTTTTATGACACTGTTTACTTGGCATTTAAGAAAGCACTTCATCATTTAAGCTAATATATTGTCAAATGATAGATTGCTACAGAATCCAGAATTTGGCTTTCATAGGTGAAAAACCAGATTTTTGCAAAAATTAGAGAAATAATCATGAAAATTATTGAATATCTAGAAATGAACAACTCATTTCAATAGCATGCAGAACTTTAATAGAAAATTACATAAATTTCTTGGATCTTACATATAGTAATAAATTAGTAAAGAAGACATATTATCATGATGAAAGAAACATTGGTCACAGAGTTAGAGGTATTGTAGGAGAATTTCACAAGTTCAAGAACATCAGAAAAGAGGACTTAATGATGTAGTTGATAAAAGCTTCTAATACGGAGACTAGCATTTTTGTTCCCTTTTAAATTAGAGTTCATAGAAATTCAGCATTATTTGTTGAGCTGCTTCTACTTTTGCGGTTAATGAGAAAATAGTTATATTAAATATAGCCCTGGATTTCAACATTAGATAAGACAAATATGTAATGGCTGATAAAATGAAAAAAAAAATCTTGTTCAACCACCTTACTTCATAAATAAAAAAATTATGTGTTATTTTAGTAACTCATAGAGATCAACTTTAGAGATGATAGGATTTTATGGCAGAGTTGGGGCTCAATTACAGGTTTTAATGCTTTAATTTACTGTTTTTTCTACATTAAACAATGAAAAATTGCTGTGCCTCATTTTCCCCTCCTTTAAAATGGACATCATTATCATGCCTTGTCTATGTTATCATAATTGTTATGAGGATTAACTAAATAACACTTGTGAAGCAAGTATTAAGAGCATATTAAGGACTCAATGTGCAAAGCTATCATCATAATCATTTTCATTTTTATTGTCACTGTCATCACCATCATTTTGAATCCTATGTTGTTACCTTAGCTCATTTTCTACTGCTATAACAGAGTAACCGAGACTGGGTAATTTACAAACAATAGAAGTGTATTTGGCTCATAGTTTTGAAGGATGGGAAGTCCAAAAGCATGGTTCCAACCTCTTGCAAGGGCCTTCACGCTACATTATTCTATGGCAGAGGGGTGGCAGAGGGGTGGCAGAGTAAAAATATGGAAGGGCACATGAGTGCTTGAGACAGAGAGAGAAAAAGGGGGCTGAACTCTTGCAATAACTCCCACACTCCCACAATAAAAGCATTAATCCACTTACCTCTCAAGGGTCCCTCTTCTTAGTACTGTAACAATGACAAATTTTCAACACGTTAACTTTAAGGGAACATATTCAAACCATAGCAGCTGTCTTATTCCATTCAGGCTGCTATAACAGAATAGCATAGACTGGGTGGCTTATAAACAACAGAAATGTATTTCTTGTACTTCTGGAAGCTGGGAAGTCCAAGATCAAGATGCCAGCAGGTGCATAGATGGCCAACTTATCACTGTTGTCACATGGCAGAAGAAGTGAGGGAGCTCTCTGGGGTCTCTTTTATTAGGATATTAATCCCATTCATGAGGACTCTGTACTCATGACCTAATCACTGCTTAAAGGCCCCACCTGCAAATACCATCACACCAAAGATTATGTTTCAACATATGAATTCTGGGGGACACGATATTTTCAGTCTGTTGCATTTCTGGCATAGAATGAATTTAGACCTGTAGGAGTTTAGATAAAGAATGATAATGAAGAATGGAGAAGTACATTATCAGTCACATGGGTCCTGAACTACATACAGTACAGTGCAGTGATAAAACTAGGGATTCTAGAGGAAGACGTGTTGTCTATAAATCCTCTGCTACTTACTATCAGTATAACCATGGACAATTTAGTTATAATTTTTAAAACTTCGACCTTCATCCGGGCACGGTGGCTCATGCCTGTAATCTTAGAACTTTGGGAGGCCGAGGCAGGCAGTTCACTTGAGGTCAGAAATTCAAGACCAGCCCGGCCAACATGGTGAAACCCTGTCTCTAATAAAAATACAAAAATTAGCCGAGTGTGGTGGCGGGCGCCTATAATATTAGCTACTAAAGAGACTGAGGTGGGAGAATAGCTTGAACCCGGGAGGTAGAGGCTGCAGTGAGCTGTGATCACTCCACTACACTCCAGCCTGGGTGACAGAGCTAGACTTGGTCTCAAGAAATGAATACATACATACATACATATAAATAAATAAAAACTTCAGCCTTCTCCCATTTAGAGTAACAAAATCTGTGCTCAGGTGTTTCAAGTACACAAGCTTGCATTTATTATAAAATACTCATTATATGTTAACTTTTATGTCACTACTAACCAAGTTAATTTATCAAATCTGCCAACTGGTTAATCAATTCAAGTCAGTGTAACCTGAGGAAAAATTTGTTCAAACTAGTTTTTACTATATACATAAAGCTTAATTCTCAAATTTTAGTAACATCAAGGTTGGATTTTTCCAAGGCCACACTGAAATTGTAGGACGTCTTAATAACAAATATTCATTTGATATTTACTTTCCATTTTACTTTCAAACTACTTTTTTTTGTCTTCTATATGTGAATCTCTCGATAAAAGCATTTATAATGTTGAACAACACAATTTAATAAGAACTTTTTTGTTTCACAAGTTAGTGTGATAAGTATTAAAATAATATTGAGGCCAGGTATGGTGGCTTATACCTGTAATCCCAGTGCTTTCGGAGGTCAAGGTGGGAGGATTGCTTGAGCCCAGAAGTTTGAGAGCAGCTTAGGCAACCTAGTGAAACCTTGTCACTAAAAAAAAAAAGAAAAAAAATTAGCCAGGCACGGTGGCACATGCCTGTAGTTTCAGCTACTTGGGAGGCTGAGGCAGAATTGCTTGAGCCCAGGAATTTGAGGTTGCAGTGAACTATAATCATGCCACTGACCTCTAACCTGGGCAATACAGCAAGACTCTGTCTCTAAAAAATAAAAAATAAATAAAATAAAATATATAAAAAATGATGCCCCAAAGTAGCATAAGTGGTAATGATATAAACATTAATATTATACTAGATTTTCTCTATTGTGATTATTTAAAAATTGGAAAAGTTTGGGGACTGTTGTGATAGTCTAACAGAAGCAACAAGAACACTATCTTATCACTGGATATTACATTACCCAATGCGTGTAAAATGAATTATATATCACAAAAAGTAGATTTTTAACCTCCCAGTCTACAAAGGGAAATTTTATATTGATAGATATTGACCCTTGATATGGTTTGGCTGTGTCCCCACCCAAATCTCATCTTGAACTATTCCCATAATTCCCACATATCATGGGAGCGACCTGGTGGAAACTAATTAAATCATGGGGGCAGTTACCCTCATACTGTTCTCATGAGAGTGAGTGAATTCTCACATGATCTGACAGTTTTATAAGGGGCTTTTCCCTCCTTTACTCTTATTCTGTCTCCTGTCATCATGTGAAGAAGGACGCATCTGCTTTCTCTACCACCATGATTATAAGTTTCCTGTGGCCTCCCCAGCCATGTAAAATGTGAGTCCATTAAACCTCTTTTCTTTATAAACTACCCAGTATTGGGTATATCTTTATTAGCAGCATAAGAACAAACCAGTTAAGTTATATATATTTTTTATATATATATATATATATATAATTTAAGAGTCTTGATATTACCAGAAATTAGATGGTGCATATGATAAAATATTGACATTAATACTAAAGAAAAATTAGAAGAAGCAAGGAACAAAGAACACAGGCTTATTTTTGTCTCTGTTCTTTGAAGAATAAGATCTAACAGACACAACTTTAACAGTGAGGATATATTAAATATCTATTGTTACATAACAAATTACTCTAAAACAGCAGGTTAAAACAACCACGGTTTATTATTTTATAGATTTTGTGGGTCTTGAATCTGGAAATGGTTTAGCTAGCTGGTCCAGCTCAAGATCTGTCTTGTTTTTTCAGTCAAGTTGTTAGTCAGGGTTGAGATTCATCTAAAAGCTCAACTGGGAAGGATCTTCTTGAGTTCATTCACATAGTTGTTGTCAGTCCTCAGTTCCTCACAGAGTGTTGGATTGAGGGCCTTGTTTTCCTTCTGCTTGTTGGCCAGAGGCCTCTTTCAGTTCCCTGTCATATTGGCCTCTCCATAGGGCAGTGCAAAACATAGAAGCTTGCTTTCCCTAGAGTGAGTGATCTAAGAGAGAGAGGGGGGCCCAAGGCAGAAGCTGCCAAGATTTTTAATCAAGACTTGGTGAAAATAAAACTTTTTTTTTTTTTTTGAGACAGAGTCTCACTCTGTCACCCAGGCTGGAGTGCAGTGGCGCCATCTGGGCTCACTGCAACCTCCACCTCCTGGGTTCATGCCATTCTCCTGCCTCAGCCTCCCGAGTAGCTGGAACTACAGGAGCCTGCCACCACACCCGGCTAATATGTTGTATTGTTAGTAGAGAGAGAGTTCCACCATGTTAGCCAGGACGGTCTCGATCTCCTGACTTTATGATCCACCCGCCTCGGCCTCCCAAAGTGCTGGGATTACAGGCGTGAGCCACCGCGCCTGGCCGAAAATAAAACTTTTATAACCAACTAATCTTGGTAATTACATGCCATTACTTAAGCCATATACTACTGGCCATAAAAACCAACCTTGCTACAAAGTGGGAGGGATTCTACAGAGGTGTAAATAGCAGGAGACAGGAATCAGTGGGAAATCGGCTACCACAGAAGGAAAGTGGTTTCCCTTAATTTCTAACAAAGAAAGTGTTGCTGGCCTACTTTACTTGTAAGGCTCTTAGGGCTACATTCCCTTCCCTTGGATGGTGATTTTGGTGATACTAGTTAGTAAACTCAATGAAGCTCTTATCTTCCTAATTACTTAGCATAAAACAAGAAGGTTCTGGTCTTAGCAGATATTTCCTTATTTTTTTTCCATGAATTTCTAGAAAACTTAGCCTGTTTGGCCAGCCCTTCAAGTTCTGAATCTCTCTTATAAAGCAAATTGGAAGGAGACTTATCCAAAATATTTACATCAAGTATATAAGGTAGTAGAATTCTTTTGTGCCATTTCACCTCTAGAGTCCACCTTTACGGACCTGTTTATCTGCACTCAAGGCTGGGCTTCAAAATAATTATTTTGTAATTTAGGACTCCTTAGCTCTCTTTTATGAACAAAAAGTGAATTGGCTAAGACCAGGATTGTTTTCAGTAGGCTTTTTAGAGGAGATCACAGTGGTTATCTCGGTGGCTAGTTGACTTGTATAATAAGATTTGAAGACGTGGTGAAAATAGCAAGTTTAACATATCAATTAGTGCCTTATTAAAGTAAATCACACTTGGGTAGCTGGAGGAAATTATTTTCATTTAAATTTTGTATAT
Organism: Homo sapiens; assembly: GCF_000001405.40. Classification (NCBI taxonomy): domain Eukaryota; kingdom Metazoa; phylum Chordata; class Mammalia; order Primates; family Hominidae; genus Homo; species Homo sapiens. The sequence continues at coordinate 14,788,250 of NC_000021.9, read as the reverse complement.
TTTTCACTCAGAACAGATGAATGAAAGAGTATTTAGCTTCCCTCCTGATTCAATCAGATTTTTTTTTTTTTTTTTGTCTTCCAGGCTTTAATGCTTGCTGTGTAATTGATTTGTGCATCTGGTGAATGGCAGACAAGCCACAACCTCAAGGTCTTTTTCCAGAAACTGCCATATCTCTTTTCATATCTATTTAGCCTGCATTTTTGTACTCAATATTAGGCGCTATGCAGATATTTCAAGGGAGTAATGATTGCTTTTTCTATATTCTTAAGTTGTAGATGACTTGAGAAGTGGCAAGGGACAGCATGGCCTTTTTCTGCATGGTGATTATTTTTAGTTTAGTTAACCACATGTGGTGGAAATTATTATTGTTCCCAATTGTCTGCTCCTTTCCCAAGAGGTGTACATCCACTCCTTTTGCCATCTGACTACTAGTGCAATCCACTAGAGAGAATACACCTACAGTGCCATTGGTAAGCTTGGACATATGACTTTATTAGGGGATGTACATGGACATAATATAAGCCATGTTTTAGCAGATAGAATTCTTCATCTGCCTAGCCTGGGTCCCAGCATAAAAAGATACTTGGAGCAGAGCTGAGCAGAGTTAACAGCAACTCTCAGACTTGTGAGTCAAAAATGCATCTATTGTTGCAAACCACAGTATTGAGATTTTAGGGTGGTTTGTTTTCACAACCAAACCTATTAACACACTGTATAAACTGTGAAATTATCATTTCCTCTGATGGGCCATGTAGACACCTGCCATGGCTGCCAACCATAGAGTAGGTTATCTCTTTGAATGCTCTGCAAAGAAAGAACTGCTGTCACCATCCATTATTTCACACATTTGAAGGTAATAAGCAAGAGAACTTTCAACTGTGAAGAACATCTGTAAATGAATATGTTTTCTACTTCTCTGTAAAAGATGATCAATAGACTAGGTATGGGTGAGCAACTTAAGTTCAAAATCAGAAATACGTGTGGTACCTGTTAGCCTATTGTAAGAGCCTGCTCTTAGAATGTTCTCATTAAAGTGACTATTTAGAAGAACCATGGGAATGTCATTCATTCACTCAATCATTTGCTTGTTCATTATTATTATTTCCATGAGAACTAGGAAGATATTAACAGAAAAAGGTGGAGTCTTGGCTTTTAGAATAAGAAATAAATTCTGAGGAGAGATAGAAAGATCCACTAACTCATCCTAACATCCAGGGCACTCTCAGTTTTGTAGACTGATTCCAAAGCCAAATATTTAGCATTTCCCATAGATTGACATAAACCTTAGAATGGTTAGCATATTTTATGCCCTTGTGAAGTATTGGGCAAGTAAGTAGTTTTCTCCATTCTTGGTTATGGTCATCATCTATGACTTTTTCTCCACAGTTAAATCTAGTAAAAGTGGTAAAACAAAGAATATCGGTATACCCGTTTTAGTTAGTTAGTAGTGAGGACATAGTTTAGAAATCTATATCCTATTTCCCAGAAGGATCTGCAGGTTGGGTGGTGATGGTAACAAGAACATCCCAGGTTAGAAGTAGAGTGTCTTCTTAAGAGAATAAGTTCAAAGGGCAAATATCACGGACATGTGAGGAAAGAGTAGGAGTTTTCTGGGAATCATTTCAAACTGAGAAGAGGGGATTAAGTTTTAAAGAACATAGCCTGTTTGGTCAAATTGTTAAGTTTGAGAATGGCCCCCAAGTTTTTCCTTTTTTCCCCTTAAAATTTTGTTTAAGCATAACTTACATATAATAAAATGCACGCATCTTAAGTATACAATATAATGAGTTTAAAAAAATGTATAACTCTTATGTACCACCAAATTAAGACATAGAATACTTTCATCACTCCCTCAAAAGTACCCGTATGTTACTTCCAGTCAATTCCTCCATCCCTGGGCCCAGGCAACAAATTATTTACTTTTCACAATAAAATAGTTTAGCCTTTTTAAAAATTTCATATAAATGAATTTTTAATGAAATCTTTTGTGTTTTTCTTTTGCTCAGCATATTTTTGAGATTCATCTGTGATGTTACTGCATCAATAGTCTATCTTTTTCTGCTGCAGTGTTATATTCCATTGTATGTGTATACCACATTCTATTTTAACCATTTACCTGAGGTTAGAAATTTTGCTGGTTTCCAGGTTTTGGAAACTGTGAGAATAAAGCTGCTTATGAACATTCAAGTAAAATCTTTGTGAACATATGTTTCCATTTCTGTTAAACAAATATGTAGGAGTGGAATCTCCAGATTATATAGTAGGTATGTATTTTAACCCTTTGAAAAAACTGTCAAACTCTTTTCCAAAGTAATTGTACTATTTTGTATTCCTACCAGCAGTGTATGAGAATTCCTGTTGCTCTGTTTCCTCTTCATCACTTGGTATTGTCTTTTAAAATTTAGCCATTCTTTTGAGTCTGTGTAGTCTGCCTTAACAATATAGCATCTTTTCATGTGCTTATTGGTCATTGGTATATCTTCTTTTAGAAAGTGTCTGTTTAAACCTTTTGGACATTTTAAATTGCGTGTGTGTATGTGTGTGTGCGCATGTTCTTATTTTTAAGTTTAAGAGTTATTTATATTTTCTGCAGATATATTCTTTGCCAGATTATGGATTACCCAACCTGTGGCTTGTTCCTTCACTTCTTAACATTTTTTAGTGAAGAGTAGAAGTTTTTAATCTTAATAAGGTCCAATATATTCGCATATACCATTTGTTTATAGTTCATGTTTTTTGTGTCCAGTCTAGAAAAGTTTGCCTTCTTCAAGCTTACAAAGATTTCTCATTTTTTTTTTTTGCTAGAAATGTCACAGTTAGCCTGATGAGCCACATTGAGTTTTATTTGTGTGTGGTGTCAAGTGAGGGTCGAATTTCAACTGTTTCCATATAGTTATTCAGTTATTCCAGCATTAATTGTTGAAAAGACTTTCTTTCTCCCATTTAATTACCTTGTCATCTATATTGAAAATCTATTAACCACGTCTGTATGATTCTATATTTGAGTTTGCTATTCTATTTTATTGATCCATATATCTTTTTAAAAAAACATTTAGCACTACCTTTTCTGATTTCTGTAAATTTAGTCATCTTTTATATTTGTTTTCCAAAATTGTTTGGCTATTTAATTTCCTTCTGTTTCCATAAAAACTTTTATTTATTTATTTATATTTATTTATTTATTATTATACTTTAAGTTCTAGGGTACACGTGCACAACATGTAGGTTTGTTACATATGTATACATGTGCCATGTTGCTGTGCTGCACCCATTAACTCGTCATTTACATTAGGTATTTCTCCTAATGCTATCCCTCCCCAGTACCCCCACCCCATGACAGGCCCTGGTGTGTGACGTTCCCCGCCCTGTGTCCAAGTGTTTTCATTGCTCAGTTCTCACCTATAAGTGAGAACATGCGGTGTTTGGTTTTCTGTCCTTGTGATAGTTTGCTCAGAATGATGGTTTCCAGCTTCATCCATGTCCCGACAAAGGACATGAACTCATCATTTTTTATGGCTGCATAGTATTCCATGGTGTATATGTGCCACATTTTCTTCATCCAGTCTATCATTGATGGACATTTGGGTTGGTTCCAAGTCTTTGCGATTGTGAATAGTGCCACAATAAACATACAGGTGCATGTGTCTTTATAGTAGCATGATTTATAATCCTTTGGGTATATACCCAGTAATGGGATGGCTGGGTGAAATGGTATTTTTACTTCTAGATCCTTGAGGAATCACCACACTGTCTTCCACAATGGTTGAACTAGTTTACAGTCCCACCAACAGTGTGAAAGCATTCCTATTTCTCCACATCCTCTCCAGCACCTGTTGTTTCCTGACTTTTCAATGATGGCCACTCTAACTGGTGTGAGATGGTATCTCATTGTGGTTTTGATTTGCATTTCTCTGATGACCAGTGATGATAAGCATTTTTTCAATGTGTCTGTTGGCTGCATAAATGTCTTCTTTTGAGAAGTGTCTGTTCATATCCTTTGCCCACTTTTTGATGGGGGTTATTTGATTTTTTCTTGTTAACTTGTTTAAGTTCTTTGTAGATTCTGGATATTAGCCCTTTGTCAGATGAGTAGATTGCAAAAATTTTCCCCCATTCTGTAGGTTTCCTGTTCACTCTGATGGTAATTTCTTTTGCTGTGCAGAAGCTCTTTAGTTTAATTAGATCCCATTTGTCAATTTTGGCTTTTGTTGCCATTGCTTTTGGTGTTTTAGTCATGAAGTCCTTGCCCATGTCTATGTCATGAATGCTATTGCCTAGGTTTTCTTCTAGGGTTTGTATGGTTTTAGGTCTAACATTTAAGTCTTTAATCCATCTTGAAGTAATTTTTGTATAAGGTGTAAGGAAGGGATCCAGTTTCAGCTTTCTACAGGCTAGCCAGTTTTCCCAGCACCATTTATTAAATAGGGAATCCTTTGCCTATTTCTTGTTTTTGTCAGGTTTGTCAAAGATCAGACGGCTGTAGATATGTGGTGTTATTTCAGAGGGCTCTGTTCTGTTCCATTGGTCTATATCTCTGTTTTGGTACCAGTACCATGCTGTTTTGGTTACTGTGGCCTTGTAGTATAGTGTGAAGTCAGGTAGCGTGATGCCTCCAGCTGTGTTCTTTTGGCTTAGGATTGACTTGGCAATGTGGGTTAATTTTTGGTTACATATGAACTTTAAAGTAGTTTTCTACAATTCTGTGAAGAAAGTCATTGGTAGCTTGCTGGGGATGGCATTGAATCTATAAATCATCTTGGGCAGTATTGCCATTTTCACGATATTGATTCTTCCTATCCATGAGCAAGGAATAGTCTTCCATTTGTTCATGTTCTCTTTTATTTCATTGAGCAGTGGTTTGTAGTTCTCCTTGAAGATGTCCTTCACATCCCTTGTAAGTTGGATCCCCAGGTATTTTATTCTCTTTGAAGCAATTGTGAATGGGAGTTCACTCATGATTTGGCTCTCTGTTTGTTTGTTATTGGTGTATAGGAATGCTTGTGAGTTTTGCACTTTGATTTTGTATCCTGAGACTTTGTGAAGTTGCTTATCAGCTTAAGGAGATTTTGGACTGAGACAATGGAGTTTTCTAAACATACAATCATGTCATTTTCAAACAGGGACAATTTGACTTACTGTTTTCCTAATTGAATACCGTTTATTTCTTTCTCTTTCCTGATTGCCCTGGCCAGAACTTTCAACACTATGTTGAATAGGAGTGGCGAGAGAGGGCATCCCTGTCTTGTGCCATTTTTCAAAGGGAATGCTTCCAGTTTTTGCCCATTCAGTATGATACTGGCTGTGGGTTTGTCATAAATATCTCTTATTATTTTGAGATACATTCCATCAATATCTAGTTTATTGAGAGTTTTTATCATGAACTGCCATAGAATTTTGTTGAAGGCCTTTTCTGCATCTATTGAGATAATCTTGTGTTTTTTGTCATTGGTTCTGTTTATGTGATGCATTATGTTTATTGATTTGCATATGTTGAACCAGCCTTGCATCACAGGGATGATGCCAACATGATCTTGGTGGATAAGCTTTTTGATGTGCTGCTGGATTCAGTTTGCCAGTATTTTATTGAGAATTTTCGCATTGATGTTCATCGGGGATATTGGTCTAAAATTCTCTTTTTTTAGTTGTGTCTCTGCCCGGCTTTTGTATCAGGATGATGCTGGCCTCATGAAATGAGTTAGGGAGGATTTCCTTTTTTTCTATTGGTTGGAATAGTTTCAGAAGGAATGGTACCAGCTCCTCCTTGTACCTCTGGTAGAATTCGGCTGTGAATCCATCTGGTCCTCGATTTTTTTTGTTGGTAAGCTATTGATTATTGCCTCAATTTTGGAGCCTGTTATTGGTCTATTCAGTGATTCAACTTCTTCCTGGTTTAGTCCTGGGAGGGTGTATGTGTCCAGGAATTTATCCATTTGTTCTAGATTTTCTAGTTTATTTGTGTAGAGGTGTTTATACTATTGTCTGATGGTAGTTTGTATTTCTGTGGGATCGGTGGTGATATCCCATTTATCATTTTTATTGTGTCTATTTGATTCTTCTCTCTTTTCTTCTTTATTAGTCTTGCTAGCGGTCTATCAATTTTGTTGATCTTTACAAAAAACCAGCTCCTGGATTCATTGATTTTTTTGAAGGGTTTTTTGTGTCTCTATTTCCTTCAGTTCTGCTCTGATCTTAGTTATTTCTTGCCTTCTGCTAGCTTTTGAATGTGTTTGCTCTTGATTCTCTAGTTCTTTTAATTGTGATGTTAGGGTTTCAATTTTAGATCTTTCCTGCTTTCTCTTGTGGGCATTTAGTGCTATAAATTTCCCTCTACACACTGCTTTGAATGTGTCTGAGAGATTCTGGTATGTTCTGTCTTTGTTCTTGTTGGTTTCAAAGAACATCTTTATTTCTGCCTTCATTTCGTTATGTACCCAGTAGTCATTCAGGAACAGTTTGTTCAGTTTCCATGTAGTTGAGCGGCTTTGAGTGAGATTTTTAATCCTGTGTTCTAGTTTGATTGCACTGTGGTCTGAGAGACAGTTTGTTATAATTTCTGTTCTTTTACATTTGGTGAGGAGTGCTTTACTTTCAACCATTTGGTCAATTTTGGAATAAGTGTGATGTGGTGCTGTGAAGAATGTATATTCTGTTGATTTGGTGTGGAGAGTTCTGTAGATGTTTATTAGGTCTGCTTGGTGCAGAGCTGAGTTCAAGTCCTGGATATCCTTGTTAACCTTCTGTCTTGTTGATCTGTCTAATATTGACAGTGGGGTGTTAAATCTCTCATTATTATTGTGTGGGAGTCTAAGTCTCTTTGTAGTCTCTCAGAACTTGCTTTATGAATCTGGGTGCTCCTGTATTGGGTGCATATATATTTAGGATAGCTAGCTCTTCTTGTTGAATTGATCCCTTTATTGTTATGTAATGGCCTTCTTTGTCTCTTTTGATCTTTGTTGGTTTAACGTCTGTTTTATCAGAGACTAGGATTGCAACCCCTGTTTTTTTTTTTTTTTTTTTTTTGGCTTTCCATTTTCTTGGTAGATCTCCCTCCATCCCTTTATTTTGAGACTATGTCTGTCTCTGCATGAGAAATGGGTCTCCTGAATACCGCACACTGATGGGTCTTGACTCTTTATCCAATTTGCCAGTCTGTGTCTTTTAATTGGTGCATTTAGCCCATTTACATTTAAGTTTAATATTGTTATGTGTGAATTTGGTCATGTCATTATGATGTTAGCTGGTTATTTTGCCTGTTCATTGATGCAGTTTCTTCCTAGCATCGATGTTCTTTACAATTTGGCATGTTTTTGCAGTGGCTGGTATTGGTTGTTCCTTTCCATGTTTAGTGCTTCCTTCAGGAGCTCTTTTAGGGCAGGCCTGGTGGTGACAAAATCTGTCAGCATTTGCTTGTCTGTAAAGGATTTTATTTCTCCTTCACTTATGAAGCTTAGTTTGGCTGGATATGAAATTCTCGGTTGTAAATTCTTTCCTTTAAGAATGTTGAATATTGGCCCCCAATCTCTTCTGGCTTGTAGGGTTTCTGCTGAGAGATCAGCTGTTAGTCTTACGGGCTTCCCTTTGTGGGTAATCCAATCTTTCTCTCTGATTGCCCTTAGCATTTTTTCCTTCGTTTCAACCTTGGTGAATCTGACAATTGTATGGGGTTGTTCTTCTCGAGGAGTATCTTTGTGGTGTTCTCTGTATTTCCTGAATTTGAATGTTGGCCTGCCTTGCTAGATTGGAGAAGTTCTCCTGGATAGTATCCTGAAGAGTGTTTTCCAGCTTGTTTCCATTCTCCCTGTCACTTTCAGGTACACCAGTCAAACCTAGATTTGGTCTTTTCACATAGTCCCATATTTCTTGGAGGCTTTGTTCATTTCTTTTTACTCTTTTTTCTCTAAACTTCTCACTTCATTTCATTCATTTCATTTCATTCATTTGATCTTCAATCACTGATACCTTTTCTTCCACTTGATCAAATCGGCTACTGAAGCTTGGGCATGCATCCCGTATTTCTCATGCCATGGTTTTCAGCTCCATCCAGTCATTTAAGGTCTTCTCTACACTGTTTATTCTAGTTAGCCATTCGTTTAATCTTTTTTCAATGTTTATAGCTTTCTTGTGATGGGTTCGAGCATCCTCCTTTATCTTGGAGAAGTTTGTTATTACCGACTTTCTGAAGCCTTCTTCTGCCAACTCGTCAAAGTCATTCTCTGTCCTGCTTTGCTCTATTGCTAGTGAGGAGCTGCCATCCTTGGAGGAGAAAGGGTGCTCTGGTTTTTAGAATTTTCAGCTTTTCTGCTCTGGTTTCTCCTCATCTTTGTGGTTTTACCTACCTTTGGTCTTTGATGATGGTGACCTACAGATGGGGTTTTGGTGTGGATGTCCTTTTTTTGATGTTGATGCTATTCCTTTCTGTTTGTTAGTTTTCCTTCTAACAATCAGGTCCCTCAGCTGCAAGTCTGTTGGAGTTTGCTGGAGGTCCACTCCAAACCCTGTTTTCCTGGGTATCACCAGTGGAGGCTGCAGAACAGCAAATATTGCAGAACAGCAAATATTGCTGCCTAATCCTTCCTCTGGAAGCTTCATCTCAGAGGGGCACCCGGCTGTGTGAGGTGTCAGTCAGCCCCTACTGGGAGGTATCTCCAAGTTAGGCTACACGGGGGTCAGGGACCCACTTGAGGAGGCAGTCTTTCTGTTCTCAGAGCTCAAACACCGTGCTGGGAGAACCACTGCTCTCTTCAGAGCTGTCAGACAGGGATGTTTAGGTCTGCAGAAGTTTCTGCTGCCTTTTGTTCAGCTATGCCCTGCCCCCCGAGGTGGAGTCTACAGAGGCAAGTGGGCCTAGCTGAGCTGCAGTGGGTTCCACCCAGTTTGACCTTTCTGGCTGCTTTGTTTACCTACTCAAGCTTCAGCAATGGTGGATGCCTCTCTCCCAGCCAAGCTTGCTGCCTCACAGTTCAGTCTTGGACTAGAAGTGAGCAAGCCTCCATGGGCGTGGGACCCACTGAGCCACGTGCAGGATATAATCTCCTGGTGTGCTGTTTACTAAGAATGTTGGAAAAGCACAGTGTTAAGGTGGCAGTGCCCCAATTTTCCCAGTGCAGCCTGTCACAACTTCCCTTGGCTAGGAAAGGGAAATCCCCTGACCCCTTGCACTTCCCAGGTGAGGTGATGACCCATCCTGCTTTGGCCCACCCTCTGTGGGCTGCACCCACTTTTTGACCAGTCCCAGTGAGATGAACCAGGTACCTCAGTTGGAAATGCAGAAATCACCCGTCTTCTGCATCAGTCATGCTGGGAGCTGCAGATTGGTGCTGTTCCTATTCGGCCATCTTGGAATGGACTCCATATAAACTTTTAAATTAGTGTGTCAATATCTATGATTAGCCTTCTGGGATTTTTAACCGCAATTTTTTGAGTACTGTATTAGTTTATTCTCATGTTGCTATAAAGAACTTCCTGAGACTGGGTAATTTATAAAGAGGCTTAATTGACTCACATTTCTGCACAGCTGGGGAGGCCTCAGGAAACTTACAATCATGGTGGAAGAGGAAGCAAACATGTCTTTCTTCACATGGTGGCAGGAATGAGAAGTGCAGAACAAAAGGGGGAAAAGCCCCTTATAAAACCATCGGATCTCATTGTGCCATTGCACTCCAGCCTGGGCAACAGAGCGAGACTTAGTCTCAAAAAAACAAAAACAAAAACAAAACAACCCATTGGATCTCATGAGAACTCATCCACTATCAGGAAAACAGCATGAGGGTAACCACCCCCATGATTCAATTACCTCCCAACGGATCCCTCAGACAAAGACACATGGGGATTATGGTAAATACAGTTCAAGGTGAGATTTGAGTGGAGACACAGCCAAACCATATCAAGTATGTAGATCAGTTTAGAAAGAACTGACAATTTAACAATCTTAAGTCTTCTATTCAATCTACATAGTTTATATTTCCCTTTATTTAGGGCTTCTTTTTAAAATTTTTCTGAGCAAGGTTTTATAATTTTCAGCATATAGTGTATGAGGCATTGCTGACAATCTTGAGGGAGTTATCTTACTTCTTATTGTTCTGGGAGTCTGGGATGGAGATTTTTCTCTTAAGTATTTCATGCTTTTGGATACTGTACTGGTTTAAATGTTTTATTTAAAATTTTCCAATTGTTCATTACTAGCATATGGAAAGAACAGATGACATAGATATTGACGTTGTATCCTTGTATTCTAAAGCCTTGTAAAATTCATTTATTAGCTTTTTAGGTGATTCTTGAGGACTTTCTGCATGGAAGAGTATGTTACCTGTAAATAGACATATTTACTGGCCAATAAAATAATGTAAGACATATAGCCACAACATAACACTGAATCAAAATGGTGAGAGGAGAGGTTCTTGCTTTGTTCCAGTCTTATGGGGAAAATGTTCCATTTTTCCTTCTGAATATGATGTTTTCTGTATGTTTTTCAAAGATTCCCTTTATTGGGTTGCATACACTCCTCGCTATTCCTAGTTTGCAAGGGTTTTTTTTTTTTTTTTAATTTATGTATGGTACTGAATTTTGTCACATGCTTTTCTTTGTGGATCCAGATAATCAGATGCTTTCTCTAAGTATTTTTTAAAATATTATATTATTGACATTTGAATATCTAATCAACTTTATATTCTTGGATAAATTATGCTGGATTTGATTTGCTTATATTTTAAGACTTTGGGAGACTCAAATTTTGTTTGTGCAAAGATTTTAAATTATAAACTCTATTTGTATAATTCATACAAGTATATTCAATTTTATTATTAATTTTTGTGTCAGTTTTGGTAATTTGTGTCTTTTCAATAATTTTATCACTTCATCTATGTTGTCAAATTTATTGGTAGAAGATTGTTCATAATATTTCCATGTAATCAATTAATATTCCTTTACATTTTCCTTTTAGTGTTAGTAGATTCCACTCTAATATTCCTTTTTTAATTTATAGAATATTGTAATTTATACCCTCTTTCTATTTTTCTCAACTGGCCTAGCTAGAAGTTTAATTGATCAATATAATTGGTCTTTTCAAAGATTTAGCTTTTTGCTTTCATTGATTTTCTCCATTGTTGGTCATTTTCTGTGTTATTGATTTTCACTCTGGGTTTTATTTGTCTTTCTTTCTAACTCTTTGAGTTTAATTTTCTCTTCTTTACTAGCAACTTATGACAGAAGCTCTGAGCATAAATATTAGACCTTTTTATATATAAGCATTCAAAATTATAGATTTATAATATATAGATTGAACTGCTTTAGCTGCAGTTTTAGTTTTGATAAGTTATGCTCTCTTTTTTTTAGTTTAAAATATTTTCTAAATTTATGTGGAATCTCTTCTTTGATCTGTGGCATATTTAGAAGTATTTTATTTAATTTCCGTATATTGGGAGACTTTCCAGATATCTTTTTGTTAATATTCTTAGGTTCTGCTCTGATACTTCTTTTGTAATTTATAAAACATTGTAATTTATGTCCTCTTTCTATTTTTTCTCGACTGGCCTAGTTAGAAGTTTAATTGATTGATATAATTGGTCTTTTCAAAGGTCTAGCTTTTTGCTTTCATTCATTTTCTCAATTGTTGGTCATTTATGATGACTTAAATTTCTTGTAGTCAAAAACCATATTTGCATTATTTTGATATTTTAGAATTTGTTGAACAATAATATAAATATACTTCATGCTACCGAATTGTACACTCAAAAATGGTTAAGATGGTTAAATTTATGTGTTTATTTTACCACAGTAAAAATGTTTGCTATTATGAATTATAATAAAATTTGTAACTGTCTATTAAAAAATTGTTGAGACTTCCTTTATATCTCAGGTCCACCAGGTCTATGGCAACTTTTTCATTGTCAATGTATATTCTGTTGCTCTTGGCTAGAGTGTTTGATAACTATCGATTAGGTCCAGTTAGTTGAGACTGTTGTTCAAATCTTCTGTATCCTTACTGATCTTCTGTTTAATTGTTCTGTAGATTAGAGAGAAATTTTGAAATCTGTAACTATAATTGTAGACTTTTCACTTCCTCCTTTCAAGTCCATTAATTTTTGCTAAACTTTGTTTAAGCTTTCTTCTGGAGTACCTATGTCCATTTAGATTTGCTTTGTCTTGTTCATGATTGACCCCTTTATCATCATGCAATGTCCCTCTTTTCCCAAATAATAATTCTTGTTCTGAAGTCTACTTTGCCTGATAATAATATAGCTACTCCAACTCCCTAATACTTATCAATTGTATTGTATATATTTTTGCATCCTTTATTTAAATCTATCTAAGTCTTTATATTAATATTTGAAGTGTGCTTCTTGCTGCGTCTTCTTTTTTAAAAAAATCCAATCCACCCACTTATCTTGAATCTAGCCATCAATCTGATTGGGAAAATCAATGATCTTGCTATTTTTTCTATTTTTTTCTGGTTTTGTTTGTTTCTTTCTTGTTCTTGATATCTTCTTGGTTCAGCATTTTTGAATACCATTTTATCACCACTCAACTTGCTATCTACACCACTTTATTACTTTAGTGATTGCTCTGTCTGTAGGGCTTATGAATGCATATTTAATTTATCACAGTCTGTCTTCAAATCTTACTATATCATTTCTCTGCCTCATGACAATGTACTTCCATTCCTCCTTCCTGTTCTATATGCCACTTTTATACATTTACAACCTCTATCTATTACAAACCCTAGCATATTGTTTTTATTTAAAAATTATCTTTTTTGGGGGGAGTACCTTGTATTACATTGATGGTACATGACAAGGTAGGGCTCTCTAAGCTGCTTCTCTTCTTCAGGGAGTCTGGGATAGAAACCTTGTTGGGAGTGGGAGCTTTTTAGTGTGTTGGGAAATTGAGTTGGGTCAAGGACTCCCCAGCAGCTGAAAACCTCTTTATTCTTCTCTTGTTATTGCTGGGACTAGTGGCCCAGGGCTCTTCTCCTTGGTGCCCACATTGACTATAAGGTTTGCCACTCTTGCTGTAATCAAATTCATTATTATACCAGGAAATGAGCTGGATAAAGTGGTCCTTGAGAACAATTCAGCCCCAGCATGAAAAGATAAATAGTAGGCACCACTGTTAACGTCAAAGGAGACAATCTGGTTCTCAGTGTAGCCCTGGATGCTCCTTACAGGCCCTCTGATACCTGCTGTACTATTTTCTTGATGCCATCACAATTGGAGCTTTCTCCAGATGGCAGGCTAGGTCCACAACCAACACAGTTGGGACACGGACACAGAAAGCCAAGTTGGAGAACTTCCCATTCAGCTGGCGTAACCTTGCTCACAATCCTGGCAGATTCAGGAGACACAGAGATGATGTGCTGGGCAGCCCCACCCTGTCATGCCAGTTCCTCAGATGGACCATTACCAGTCTTCTGGTATCAGTGATCATAAGAACTTTGCTCCCTTCATGATGCCAAAGTTATCCTGGATGACTTATCAGAGGGCGAAGGCAATTGGTGATACTTGAGGCATTGCTGACAATCTTGAGGGAGCTGTCATACTTCTCATGGTTCTTGGAGTCTGGGAGGGAAACTGTGTTGAAGTTGGGAATATCAAAAATGTGAGGGCATCAGTAGAAGGGACAGATGTGATGACCCCTTTGGCTCCACCATTTAAGTGAGCCCCAGGACCAATGGACTCCACAACATATTCAGCACAGCATCAACCCATTTGATGTAGGCAGCATATGGCTTCTGGAAAATAGAGATGGCCTTCCCATTGTGGACAAGCTTCTTGTTCTCAGCCTCAACAGTGCCACTGAAATTGCCATGTATTAAATCATACTGGAATATGTACACCATGTTGTTTATACAATGAAGGAGTCATTGATGATGACTCTTTGTTGAAGTTTTAAAGCCGCCCTAGAGTCCAGGTGCTCTATGTGGACAAATCTGGTGACTTGGACCTTTACCATTATGTCTTAGGTATGTGCCTGGCACTTCACAAGAACACATGGCTGTTTGTGGAACAGAAAGGAGCAGAGAGCCAATTATCTTTTAAGAAACTTAAAAAAGAAGACAATCTCATTCTATATTTATTCATATATTTACCATTTTCGGTGCTCTTCATTCCTTTGTGTAGATTCAAGTTTTTATCTGGTATAATTTTTCTGTGCCAAAAGAAATTCTTTTAACATTTCTTTTAGTGCCAATCTGCTGGTGGAACGTTTTTGCAGCACAGGGTTATATGAAATCTTTATTTCATTTCTTTGAAGGGTATTTGTGCTGTAGCCCCAGGGTTTTAACCAGCAGAGGGTGCTGTGCCTCTCCAGAGTTTAGGATGAGGATAAGTGTTGAGGTGCTTCCAGCAGACCTCCCGGTTTTCAATGAAGCTGGAGTCCTAGTCTTGGCGCTGAATTTGCAGACAGCGTTGTTTCAACTTAAGGCTTGATGAGAAAAGACAGAAGCTGCTCTCCACAGCCTACTAGATAAATAAAAAAAAATATTACTAGGAAGTGGTAATAGTTTACTTGAAATAGATCAGTAGGAATTTATAGCGTTATTCAAATATTAATTGTTTTTTCCTAGCAAGAAGTTTACTAGTGTGTTATGGCTTAATTTTTGTTCATGAAAAATAATTGGTCTAGGTTTGCTTTCAGGATAAGAGATGTCTCTTTGTCCTCGCTAAAGCGGTACTTGACACTAATGTTTTTCTCTTGAAAATGCCCATAACTTTTTTCCACTTTCTTAGAAGTATGCAGCTATAGCCATTACGTTAGTGATTTGGACCTGGATTCCAGAGTACGTGGTCATTTGTCTGAAGATTACGTTCTACGATTAATTTCATTTTAATATATGAAGGTGATGCTTTGTTAAAAACAGAGAATCTTATACTCTGGTATGTTACAGAAAGAGGCTTCACACCTTTAGAAGCCCATGAAATATTTCACATACAGAAACAAACTTTGTAATGATAAGGTGATGACCTGTCCTTATATTATATAATAATACAAAAATTGTAGTGGATTTTGCCAGCATATTTGTTCATCATATACGGGAACTCATGAATGATGTTGTCACTTTTCTTCATTCTATGACAGAGGTTTTGCTTACTATATTTAGAAGACAATCACTATCAGAGGGGCAGTTGGCATAGTCTTTGGTAGACCTGGCTCCACTACATACTGGTTCTTTGGCATTGGTAAGGTATTGAATCTCTTTAAACATCAGTTCTCTTTTCTGTAACATTGGAGTAACCGTAGTATTTAGCTCATACAGTTATTGTGAGTTTCTTGAGATAATGTGTGGAAAGCACTCAGCACAGCATCTGTAACATTGTGACTCAATAAATGTCAAGGTTTATTTTAATTAACTTTTATGTTCTGTGAAAGAAATACATGATATTAAGCCACAATTATCATCTGCATTCTATGGATACTTCAGGAAGCATGGAGAGAATGCAAAGAGATAAACAGTTAATGATTTTCTAATGTAATGGAATATCCTAACTCTGATAAAGACAGAGTGCATATGATTTCTTGAGGAGTTTTCTGTTGTAAATGAAGACTGATGGTACAATGCAATAGAAAAGCCACTGGGTTTTTTATCAGGAAACTTTGCTTTATCTTGGCTGTATTACTTCCCACCACCTAAGTTTTGCAAAAACACCTGTTATCCTCTTTGGTCATAATTGGAAGATAAACCTCTTCTAGGGTTCCTTGACAGCAGTGGGAAAGTTTCTGATGCATTGTCTGGGAGGGTCACTGGCAGTCATGAATAGATGAGGTTATACTCCTGAAACAACTGGACTTCACCTGTTATGGACTGAATCATGTTCCTCCAAAATTCATATGTTGAAGTCTTTACCCCAGTACTTCAGAATGTGACTGTATGTGGAGATAACAATCTTAAAGAGGTAATTAAATGTCAAACGAGGTCATTGGAAGTGGACCCTAATCCAATATGACTGGCGTTCTAATAAGAAGAGGAGATTAGGACACAGACATACCCAGAAGACCAGGTGAAGACACCAGAAGACTGCCGTCTACAAGCCAAGGAGAGGGGCCTTCAGAAGAAGCCAACCCTGATGACAGTTTGAGCGTAAATTTCTAGGCTCTAGAACTGTGAGAAATAAATTTCTGTTGTCGAAGCCATCCAGTCTACAGTACTTCATTACAGCCGTGCTGAAAAACTAATATACCACGTGTCCCCTTTGCTCCAGGTCTCCTTGTCAGCATGACTTCTCTAAGAAACTGGGGACTCTACTATGTGGATCATGTTCATAAACTTATGAGTCCCTTTCATACTTCCCTTACATAAAAAGAGTTAAATCTATAATCTTTGTCTGCAAAATGAAAAACTGCTGGACTGAACTCACATTTGAAAGACTCCGTTTTCCTGTAAGTGCTGAGGTCTGACAATATGTCACGTATTAAAGTCTGCCAAGCTGTGGCAGTGGAGCTATCTTTTGGCTTTTCCCTGCACCATGTGAGCTAAGTTTCCTGTACATAGAAAGATCCTTCTGAAGCAGGAGCACAAAAGAAAGAGACAGGTACTTCTTTTTAGTTTCCAGAGGTTATGTAAATATTAGATCTTGCTGTCTTGTCTACAAGAAAAGTGAGTGTGCCCTCAAGACAAATGTGCTGAAGGAGTGCTTGTTTGTAGAAGCCAAAAGGATCATCCAGATATTCTAAATGTTACAAAAGCTGGTGAAGACCTTGTGTTGTGAATCTTAAATTGCCAGTTGGTTCTTTTGCTGGCAAAGGCAGCAGGCTCTTTTCAAAGTGGGATGACTGTAACAGCAGTTAAAATTAACACCTAGTATTTGTTTACTGTTGCTGCTGTAACAAATTACCACAAATTTGGCAGCTTAAAACAATACCCATTCATTATCTTACAGTCCATGAATCAGAGTCCGAGTACAGCATGGCTCAGCTAGGTCCTCTCAGATCAGCACTTTACAAAGGCTGAAATCAAGGTGTAAGTGAGGGTGAATGCTTCTTATCTAGAGGGTCTGGGGAAGAATCTGCTTCCAAACTCACTGGTAGTTTCCAGAATCCAGTTTTATATTAGAGTCTGTATTTCCCTCACACATGGCCCCCTTAATTTTTAAGCCCAAAATAGGAGGTCTAATCCTTCTTATGCTTTGAACCTTACTTCTCCTTCTGCTACCAGCCAGAGAAAAACCTCTGATTCTAAGTGCTCATGTGGTTAGATTAGGTCCACCTGGATAATCTTTCCTATTTCAAAGTCAGCTGATGAGTTACTTTAATTATATCTTCAAAGTCCCCTTTGCCATGCAATTTAAAATATTCCTGGGAGTAACTAAGGACAAAGATTACAGGGGCCAGAATTCTGCCTACCACACATCCTCAGGTGACATTCTTTTAGTTTACTTAAATGAATTTTTGTTTCATTTCTAATAGTTATGAACATATAATAGTGTTAAAATAGTTACATTGTGACTTGCATAGATTCACCAGTCTTTGCATTTTTATTTTTTTATGATAAAGTCTT
Source organism: Homo sapiens (assembly GCF_000001405.40). Classification (NCBI taxonomy): domain Eukaryota; kingdom Metazoa; phylum Chordata; class Mammalia; order Primates; family Hominidae; genus Homo; species Homo sapiens. Next base: position 14,770,759 of record NC_000021.9, on the reverse strand, counting down.
CATTTTTCCTCTATAAGCTACATACCCAGGCCCATTTCAATCTTCTCAATACTAACAGGCAACTTCCACAGTTAACTCTGGGCTTCTTGTGTAACAAGTTTGTTACTTTGTCGTTGGTCATGAAGCAGGGCTCCTTAAAGATCTTCAGGTATGGACACAGGTAGAGACAATTCATTTATCCTAGTTAGAAAAATCCACCTTTATGTCAGTGATCCTCAAACTTTAGGGTACATGAAAATCACCTGGAGAACTTGTTTAAACTTCAGACTGCTGGGCTGCACTTCTGAATTTCTGATTCAGTATCTATGAGATACTGAATATTAAGATACTGAATATTAAGGATCTATCTATGAGATAGATACTGAATATTAAGGATCTATCTATGAGATAGATCCTTAATAATTTGCATTATTAACAAGTTCCTAGTGGTATTGTTGCTACTGATCTAGGGCTTACATTTTGGAAACACTATTTTAGGTTATTTTATTTCTATTTCTCTACTTATGAAAAAGCACAAATTTGCTGCTTCGTATTTTGGGGACTACGTGCAACATATGTGTTGCTGTAATTATTTTACACTTACCCCATCAAATAATGTTCATGCAATAGAAAAAACCTGAGGAAAAAAAAAGTGACACGGAAAGAAGTTTCTTATTAATGACATTTAGGGCATTTCCTTGTAGGTACCAGGCAAAGATGAATTTATTTTTAATCCCTTATTTTTTTGCTTTAACGAAATAATGACCTATGAAAATTAAGCGTAAGACAATATAAGGAAGGGTAAGAAGGGAGATCCAAAGAAGAAAGCAAATTGTTAACATGTGAATGTTTTCACTGGGAGTAATGTTTCCAAAAAAGTTTTTTGAATTTGATTTATTAGGTTGGTGCAAAATTAATTGCGGTTTTTGAAGGTAGGGAATTTTCAGCAAATTAGGATATTATTTCTTGCAGATGACATTTATTTGTTTCATATTACAATATTTTTATGAATAGTAATGATCACTAATTCTAATGAAGATGACACGGATGAAGTGCTTGGCATATTTCAAAATAGTAAAGGTGAAAACTGGAATCTGTAAATGGAAACATTTAAAAACCATCCTCTGTCCAATTTGTTGAAGTTGAAAAGACAAACAATATGACAAGACTATATATAAGATGCACTAGGTGTGGGTTTTGGTGGATGGGGGGCATAGAAACCAAATGGAAAACTCAGGGATAGAAGGAAAGAACTCTGATCAAAGACAAGGGAAAAGGTGACAATATTGAAAAGGGTTACTTTGCCTTTTCCCAGTGTTATAGTGGCTTTCCAATTCTCTTCTCTGATCTGTTTTCCTCAATATGGCTCCAACTCAGCGGCTAGCTTCTCAGAACCCAGTCGGGAAAAGTAGAAAAATATAAACCTCAACACATCTGAGATTCTTCAGTGTCCTTTAATGTTCAGGAAATCTGACTCTCAGATAAGTCTGCCCCAATGTCCTGACCATGCGTGTTCAGAAGAAAAAAGCATCAAACGCCATGGATGAAGGCAAATGTGTTTCACACATTGAGATTGTTAAGGAAGTCTAGGATCTATGTGTAATTTTACTACTTAAATTTTATACATGTGTTTTGAGATGAGTTTTAATAAACTGACAATGATATATAACCAATTTGTGGCAAGAATAGACTTAGGAGTCATGCCATATGTTAGTATAAAACCTAGCTATGGGCTTGTCTCAGGCTTCATTGTCTGGGACAGTTCATTACAGAATAGGCAGATAGGGCCATATCCTGTGTAGGATAGATCATTTTGTTTGTTTTGGTTTTTTGAGATGAAGTGTCGCTCTGTTGCCCAGGCTGGAGTGCAATGGCACAATCTTGGCTCACTGCAACCTCCACCTCCCGGATTCAAGCAATTCTCCTCCCTCAGCCTCCCAAGTAGCTGGTATTACAGGCATCCACCACCACGCCTAGCTAATTGTTGTATTTTTGGTGGAGACGGGGTTTCACCATGTTGGTCAGGCTGGTCTCGAACTCCTGACCTCAGGTGACCCACCCTCCTTGATTTCCCAAAGTACTGGGATTATGGTATAAGCCACTGTGCCTGGCGGGATAGATCATTTTTATATAGAGGTGACAATGCATTGGAAGCAAGTGAACAAAACTGCCAATCAGTAAACCCTGGGTTTGCCTCTGAGCCTAATGATTTGCAGATTCTGGAATAATCCGCAAAATGCTCCCTTACATACACACAGCAAGTATGAGTGAGTGTGTGTGTGTGTGTGCACGTGTGAGTGCATGCATGTGCTTGTGTGTGTGTGTGTGTGTGTGTGTATTTTGTCAAGGATGTCTCCTCAGGAGCTTAGAAGTTGAAAACTCCGTAACAGAAAGAAACCAGAAACAAATGTGTGATAGGCTCAACTATATATTTTCTTTCTTCAAGCAACACATTGCTGCTATAGATCCTGGAAGCAGACAGCATTCATATACCATATTCTGAGGTTAAGTGTCTGACTCATCAATGGGAGTGAATTTACATGTGTTGAAATGTCTTCCAAATCAAAATATGGGTCTGTGAGATGAAATAGATAGGCTCAGAATATATGTTTAAAGTCCTGTTGGATAGGTTTGCAATCTATTTGTTTGTCGTATCTATGATATGACACAGTTCCTAGTTACCTCAGAGGCCCATTCCAGTTTGAAGGCTTTCATATTTGGGGAGGAAGGAGGGCTCTTAAACTGACTTAGCCTGTAAGAAACATGGTAATTGAAAGGCAAAAGTGAATGAGGGGGGCAAAATATACTATGGCATTGGAGAATATTTTGCACGGAAGTAAGTACAACAATGTTCTTGCCTACAAGTTTCATGAAATACAACTGGCTAAGGACAAAGAACCACTAGTTTAAAGTTTATGTGATGTGCCAGGCACTAGACCAGGTATCTACATTTGATTCTATTATCAATTAATTTGTAAAACTGAGGTTCAGAGTGGTAGAAAGATTGAGAATCGATTGTAAGTCTGGTTGTATCTGGTTCAAAGCCTGCTCTACATACTGAGCTACTGCAGAAATGTGAATGAATCAGCCACTAATGACCTGGATGATTTTTGCAGAAATAGCAGTGTTCTCATATCTAAAACAATAGATCTCTCTAAGGTTTATTCAGAAAGCTCTGAAAACATGATTGCATTCCTAGGAAGTTAAAAAGATTTCATAAGGTCATTGGCAAAATCTCCCTTACTACTTTCAGGCTGAGAAGTAATTTCCCCCAAGTTTGTAAAAGCCCTCACACCGATTTAATTTCAGTTTATGCAAAGCCCTTTGGGTGTAAATAAATGAGATGCTTTAATAAGGTAATTTCTTTTAGAAAATAGGTAGCATGACAAATAACAGGACAATTGACACCAGAAATAACTTTCTTGGTTTTACTTATTCTAGACTGCCTAATTTATTTTCACTCCTCAAGAGGAATAAGGCACATTGAGCATGGCCCTAATTAAAGTCTTGTCACAAGTGTGACAATAATTTAGACCTACGTGGAAATTTTGACTCCTGTTGCAAGACTCTCACAGAACTAGCCCCTGCCCGCCTCTCCAGCTTGTCTCCCCCTACTCAGTTGAAGCCACATCAGCCCTTCTTGTGGAGTGTCTTTAGACACTCCAGGCCTCAGGATCTTTCTATTCTTTTTTGTTTGGAATGCTCTTCCCGTAGATCTTTCCATTTCTATGGCTTATTTCCTTTACTCAGGTCTAGCACAGAAGGCTCCTCATTACACTGGAGACGTTTACCCACACCATCTAAAATAGTGTGATCCATCTGCCCCTTCCCACCCTCTCTATCCTGTTGCTCTGCTCTATTTTTACTTTATAGAACTTACCTCTTACCTTATATTATATTGAAAGTTTCTTTTTATTTATTTTCTCCTTTTACTTCCTCCAAAAACTGTAAGCTCCAAGATGGTAAAGAGCACGCTTATTTTATCAGTCTACTCTAGCCCCCAGAAAAACCCCAGTAATTTCACTGCCCAATCAATGCCATATTTGCAGCATGAATCAATGGAATATGTGGCTGTGAGTTTGTTGAATGGTAGTTGACCTGAACAAAGCTTCTGGAGATTAAAATCCAAGCTAAAGGGCTACTCAAATTATTATTTATTTTTTCTCTGTCCTTGCCTTAAGTCACGGACTGAAAATTCCTGGGATAGGGTGAAACACAGAAGCTGGCATCAATTTAATTAAAAAGGAGCCATTTTAAAAAGTGGAGCCATTTTGACCCTATGTTAATGAAGGAAAACGAATGTTGCAGTTGGGGCTTAGCTCCTGGCGGTGCTGCTCCTGCCTTGCAATGCGTCAGGAGCATGTTCCCCTGCACCCAGGCAGGTGGCACCACTTGTCTGGGCAACTAGGGCACCTCCTACAGGAAGGTCAGACACATAGAACCATTAATGTGACAACATGGAGAAAACCTTTTCTCTACAGTAAGTCTTCAGGAGGAAAAAGCGTGTAATGGTGGATACTGGAGTCAGGGATTGGTATAAAACCTACTCCCAGTAGGCCAATAAATGAAATAACTAATTTTATAAGTGATAAGAGATTGAGAGGAGAAAGGTGAGGGAGAGGTGGAAGATGGTGTGTGTCTTCCCATTGCTCATTTATCTGTCTCTCATGCTTGTGTCCTACTGGAGAGAGGGGGTGGTGCCTGAAATGCTTCAGTGAGCCTTAAGTATACTCCCAGCATGTAGGTTTACTCTCCCAATTTTCAGAGTATGCTGTGAAGAAAATGTTCACCTACATTAATGACATTTTGTTTCAAAATGGACCATTTATCCAACACATTATTGAATGCTTACTATACGACAATGTTTGTACTAAGAACTAAGGCCACAGAGTGTAATGAAACATAATTTCTCTCTACAAGGTGAGGGCATATAAATGACGTTATAAATACCATGTAAGTGGTATGAATAAGATGTTATGGGCTCCCCAAGGAGCATGTGTCTATAATTGGGGGAATTATGGAAGGACTCAGTTAGACGGTGGTATTTGAATTTGAAGGATGAACAGGACTTTTGTCAGACAGAAATGTCAGGAAAAGGACATGCCATACAGAAAAGCATGTATCAAAACAATGAATTGGATTTTGGTAATGGTAAGAATTTTGGTTTTTATGTGTGTGTGTGTGTGTGTGTGTGTGTGTGTGTGTCCCTACTTGAGAGCGTTATGGCATAATGATGGACATTATATGTCAAGGTTTGTTCAAGGAAATCTCAGCTACTCTACGTATTGCAAGTTTGAAATGTTTAATGCAGGGAATTAGAAGTTTATTCTCATTGGAAGGCTTTCGGGGAGATAAAGACTATCTCAGTGCAGAATACTTATTGAGGTGATTTTCAAGTGTTCATTCAGAATGTGCTTCAAATCTCATGACCACCCATGTGTCTGCTCACAATATCTGGGGAATAATGCCCTCCCAATCTTTGGAATTTGGATTTGGAGGCATTTGCTTTCCATGTCTTGTGTGATGCTTCTCAATAGTGACTCTAAACAAAAACCACATGGGGAATAGTACTGCCAGCATTTTCTTTGTTGCCATCTGCTTTCTGGCAGTGGAAAATAGACCTTATGGGTGCTAAAGTGGTACAGAATGATAGCAGACAATAAAGCTCGGTGAAAGGCAGGTAAGGTTGGCTGGAGTGCCATTGTACCGCCTTTCATGACATCATATGTGTTCGCACTTCCTCTTGGAATCATTGGAGATATTATTGAATGTCTTAACTCAGGGAATGAAATAATTAATTGAGTTTCGGAAAGATTAATCTATACTTTTATTATTAGAAAAATAACTATATATTTAAAGAAAAAATAATAAGGAATGAAGGAGGGCAACGTGTTAGTGTTGTTTTTGTGTTCTTATAAAGATACCTGAGACTGGGTAATTTACTAAGAAAAGAGATTTAATTGACTCATGTTTCTATGGGCTGTACAAGAAGAATGGTGCCAGTCTCTACTTCTGCTGAGGGCTTCAGGGAGTTTACAGTCATGGTGGAAGGCAAAGAGGGAGTGGGCCTCTCACATGGTGTGAGTGGAGGGAGGTGCCACACTCTTTTAAACAACCAGCAGTTGCATGAACTACCAGAGCGAGAACTCACTTGTTACCATGGGGATGGCACCAAGCCATTCATGAGGCACCTGCCTCCATGACCCAAACACCTCCCATGAGGCCCCACCTCAAACAATGGGGATTACATTTTAACATGAGATTTGGAGGGGACGAACATCCAAACTATATCCAGCAACATATGACACTCTGACATTCAAATTATATGAAGTTTGGATTAAGGGAAATAAAAATGGAAGGTAGAGAAATCAGTTGCTTCCTGAGCTTTGTCGTTTCCCTAACAGCCAAATTTTGGTTCTAAGAACATTAAATGAGCACCTAAACACTAACATTGTGCTTCCAGAAAAGAATCACCCTGTTCGTCTCCACTTTCACTCTTCGCGATCCTTATTCAACTGATCAGAAACAAAATTCTGTCTAGAAAGGTCACCTATGGATTTCTGTAGCAAACACTTTTAACCAACTACTAAAGATTTGCTCCTCTTGCATAATATAGAGGATGCTATGAAGTGGCTGCCCAGACATGGACTATCATTTCCAACCCCTTTGGATCTAGGTGGGACCATGTCACTGAATTCTGTTCAATGGAATGTGAGTGAAAATATAACAATTCCAAAACTGTCACATAAAATCTTCCACCCCTTCCAAACTCTCTTCCCATCCACTGGCTGGATAAAACTTTCTTGAATGACCTGGCAAGCGACATAATAGAGGGGAGATTCTTCATGAACTTGGGTCTCAGAACCACCTTTACCCTCTACACCACACTGCCGCCACCACCACCTCCAACTGGACCTTACGTGAGCAAAAATGAAACCAACACCACCACCACCAACAACAAAACACTCATATTTTATTAAGCCACTGAGATTTTGGAGCTTTTCTATAATCACAGCTGGTAATATTTTCTCTGTGTTTCTCTGTGGCAATACGTACCACATCTTTAGCACATGATATGGCTATTTAAATGAGAATGCTTTTGGAGTACTTGAAAATATAGATAAGGAATTCAGAAGGCTCTGAAAACAGAATTTTGGAGTTGTTAGCACATAGGTAGTAGTTGAAACCATGGGTGTGGGTAGGATGATTCAAGAAGAATGGGCAGAATGAGAAAAGAAGGCCAAAGAAGAAATCTTGGGGAGTCAAACAGTAAGGTTGCAAGCAGAGAATGAAGCAGTAGCAAAAAGTGTAGCCAGAAGAATAAACTATATTCTGTCCTAGGATTCATGAGGACTCAAGGGAAGGAAGAGTGTGTCAAAGGCTGAGGATAAATGTTTCACTGGAGTACAGAGAACAAAAGAAAAATAGATAGCTGTGCACTGAGGAGTGAAAAAGGGAAGTGAAAGTAGAAACAGAAACTGCAGCTGATTCTAGAAGTACAGCAGTAAGGGAAGGAAATACATGCCTTCAAATTCAGCAAAATAAGCAGATTCATTTTAAGGATGAGGACAAGTTAGACAGGTTTGTAAGCTAAAAGAGAACAGCCACGACAGAGGATACAGTGAAGATTCAAAAAACGGTGGTGAATATTGAAAAGGCGTTGGAGGACACATAATAGAATGCAAAGTCCACAAGGAGAGGGGCTTTGTGTCTTGTTTCACACTGTGTCCCCAGGCTTAGAATATTCTGGCATCAGAAGGCACTCAGTAAACATAGAGAGGAAGAAAGGAAGAAGATGAAATCAGGAGTACAGATTAAAGTGTTATCTTTGGAAGACAGGCAAGACATCCTTTGGGACAGAAGGGAAGGAGAGAAAGCTGGGGAACATGCAGATAATACAAGAGGTGCGGTTTGTGACTGATGGCTGCTATTTTCTCTGTGAGGTAGGAGGCTTGGCCATCTGTTAAAATGAGTGGGTGAGTCCAGCTAAGTAATTTAAGAAGAATGGTAAAGGTTTGTACCAGCTACTAGCATGAATAATATGGTTATTTACTTGAAATAAAAATATTAGATGATACTAACAATGCATGCATTATGAAAATTGATGCATTCATTTGAGGTTACTTACTGATTTACAGAAAATAAGCCACTGGGTGCATTCAATCATTTATAAGGTTAGGGGTTAAGTTTAAGACATAAATGTAAATTTGTCTGCGTATTATCCAGAGTAAAGTCAATATCCTCTTTGGTACATTGCACAATCTCAGACACTGTGTTACTCTTTTGCTGTGAGCTTTTAAGGTCTACCTTAATATATTCATAACTGTAACATTGTGTAATTATGAACTTCATCATTTGGATAAAATTATGAACAAAAGCAATTGTCCAGAATTCTCTGATTTAGTTGCCATATCTTAAATAATGCCTTTTGTGAAGAAAATATGTGATTAAATTATATGTAAATACTTTAATTTTATAGACTAGAGGTGGCTCTGAATATGTAGATTTCATAATGTTAAATATCACAAAGACTTCTGTGACCATAAAAAAGCTGCTTAATTAAGCACTTTAATATACTGTCAAGGCATGTATATTAAGCAAAAGCAAAAGCTTAATTACTCTTTTACAGACTGAATCCAGACAACTTTGGACATTCCTTCATTTGAAGAATTTTTACTGAACAATTACAGACCATTGATTGATACAGTGAAGATCAGAATGGCATAGTTTTCCTGTCTTCATGGAGATGAATGAATGAACTGTATTTTTTATTAGCCTAAGCATGAATTCTTCCCAAATTTCCTCCATGAACCATAGGATCCTACCTCTTAACCATTTTATGAAAATTCTATGGTGAATTGAGGTCCTCAAGTTGTCTGACAATATCTGATTTTGCCACGGTCATGTGGGAAAAGTAGGCATGTGAGCAAGTCATAGTTTTACTTGTTTGGAAGATTCTTCTAATTATGTCAAGATGAAAGGTTTTATACTGTGTAGAAGGCAGTGTGAGAGAAGTGGACAGTAGAACTCCTATTTGGTGGGCCAGTGGCTATATTTTAAAATATGAAGGATACATATTTGACTGTTTAAGTACAATGATCTGCCATGGATCTATACTTTTGGGCTGCTGTCTTTTAGGCTAAAGCAATTAAAGGCAATGTAATGAACATGGTTATCTGTGGATGCCCCTTTGATTGCCATTGTATTATGCTTTACACTGTGATGGCTCTCTCTTTGAGGAGAGACGCTGTTCCTCCAGGGAGATAAAATATAAAATATGAATCTTACCCTTAAGCATACACTTCTCCCCACTCTCAATATACAGTGGCTCTGGAATTCATGCTTCACTTGGGAGTTGAAAGTTTGCGTTTATAATTTTATATTCTTATTACAGGCCAGGCTATTGAGATTAGAAAGTCTTTATTTTTCAGTTGGAGTGTGATGAGCCATATTCCCTATTGTAAACAGCCATATTAACCAAGATAATTTAATTTGGAATGATTGCTTTTTGCCTTTGAGCTGTAGATCAAAAGGTTCCATTATATGTACAAATAAAGTAAAAAAAAATTTTTTCTGTGAATGTTACAAAATTTTTTTATTGTGGTAAAAAACACGTAAGATCTTTCCTCTTAAATTTTGGGTGTATGGTACAGCATTGTTAACTATAAGCATAATGTTGTAGAGCAGATCTGTGAAAATTTTGTCTCTTGTATGATTAAAACTTTATGCTCACGGAACAGCAATTTTCCCATTTGTCCCTCTTCCTAGCATCTAGAAACCATAATTTTACTCTATATTTCCATGAGTTTGACTATTTTAGATACTTCACATAGTGGAATCAAGTACTATTTGTCTTTCTTGTACTGGCGTATTTCACTTGGCATAATGTCCTCAAGGTATATCTATGTAACAGAATTTTCTTCTTTTTATGGCTGAATAATATTCTATTGTATAAATATATAGTACATTTTCTTTATCCATACATATTGCTGATAAACTTTTAGGTTGTTTCTAATTCTTTTCTTTTTTTGAGACGGAATCTCGCTCTGTCACCCAGGCTGGAGTTCAGTGGCGTGATCTCGGCTCACTGCAAGCTCGCCGTCCTGGGTTCACGCCATTCTCCTGCCTCTGCCTCCGGAGTAGCTGGGATTACAGGCACCTGCCTGCCACCGCGCTCGGCTAATTTTTTTATTTATTTATTTTTAGTAGAGATGGTGTTTCACCATGTTAGCCAGGATGGTCTCAATCTCCTGACCTCGTGATCTGCCCGCCTCGGCCTCCCAAAATGCTGGGATTACAGGCATGAGCCACCGCTCCCGACCAGTTGTTTCTAATTCTTATCTATTGTGAATAATGCTGCAATGAACACGGAAGGGCAAATATCTTCCATGTCCTGATTTCAGCTCTTTTGGATAAATGCCCAGAAGTGGGATTGCTGGATCAAATGGTAGTTTTTATTTTTAATTTTTCTATCAATCTCTATGCTGTTTTTTTTATAGTGGCAACATCATTTTATATTCTTACCAGTAGTGCACACGGTTCAAATTTTTCCACATCCTTGCCAACACTTTATTTTTTTAATTTTTAATTTTTTATAATGACCATCATAATGAGTGTGAGATGATACCTCAGTGTGGTTTTGATTTGCATTTCTCTAATGATTAGTGAAGAATGTCTTTTCATATGCCTGTCGGTCATTTGTATCTCTTCTTTGAAGATAGTTATTTTTATTTTTATTTTCTGCTATTGAGTTTCTTGTATATTTTTATATTAACCCCCTGTCAGATATATGGTTTACAAATATTTTCTCTCATTCTGTAGGTTGCTTTTGTACTCGGTTGATTATTTCCTTCACTATGCAGAAGATTTTTAGTTTCTGGCTTTTTCATTTGATGTAAATCCATTTGTCTATTTTTGCTTTTGTTACTTGTGCTTTTGGTGTCATATCCAAGAATTAATTGCCAAGACAAATGTTATGAAAATTTTACCCTATGTTGCCTTCTTGGAGTTTTATAAATTCATGTCTTATGTTTAAGTCTTTAATCTATTTTGAGTTGATTTTTGTGCATGATATAAAATAAGGATCCAATTTTATTCTTTTTGAATGTGAATATCTAGTTTTTCCAGCACCAATTTTTTGATACTATCCTTTTCCCATTGTGTACTCTTGGCATCCTGTCAAAGATCATTTGACTGTATATGTGTGGGTTTATTTCTGGACTCTCAGTATTGTTCCATTAGCCTATATGTCTATCTTTATTCCAGTACCATGGTCTTTTGATGACTATAGCTTTGTAATATGTTCTAAAGTTAAAAAGTTTGAGGCCTCCAGTTTTGCTCTTTTTGTCAAGATTGTTTAGGCTACTTTGGGGTCATTTGTACTTCTGTACAATTTTTAGAATTGTTTTGTCAATTTCTGCAAAAAATGTCACTATGACTTTAATAGGAATTGCATTAAATGTGTAGACTTTGGGTGGTATGGACATTTGAACAATGTCTTCTAATCCATGAACGTGGGAAGTCTTTCCATTTATTTGTGTCTTCTTTTCTTTTTTTAACTTTTTTGAGATTATGTTGTGCTCTTCATTGCCAAAAATAAACACTTTTAAAAACACAACTTCTGTTAATCAATAAATATCTCTTTCTTTCTGTGTTTTTTCCAGGCTGCTAATTAACTGCTTTGTGTATGTTCCTCCCTGGAGACAGTGTTAAGAGGTCAGGGCCAGAGCCTTCATTTGGGAGAAATGAAATACTTCTGTGTATGTGGGAGGGGCCCTTGCTCCTGCTGGCCACTGCCACCACTACCACCACCACCATCACCAAACTAAATAATCAGGTATTGGTGGTGAAGGGGTTTGTAACTGCTGGGTAGAGAGTGAAATATTGTATCTACATAGGGGAGAGGGCACAGCCATGGCCTGATGCTCTTCCCAGAAGGTTACTTCTCAAATTAAAGATGCCTGTGAATTTGAAGTGCTAGTAGGACAGACTTGGGGAAAGAACTGGAAGGGTTTATAGGCCCTTTGAATGAAGGCTGTGACATTCAATCCTAATACCAGAAATCTAAGGTACAACTGAAATTATTCCTTTTGGACAGAAAGCGTTTAAAGTAAAGAACTGAACTAACCAGGAGAGAAGTCCGGTTGGCTCCCCTACAGACGCATTAGGAAACAGGCTAAAAGGGATGTTTTAGGATCTGTGGAGCACTGCTGGCGATTAGCAGTTAGGGCCAGTAAAAAACTGTCCTGCTTAAATGCCGCTGGCATCCCTAGTAATCTATTACCCGCTTCTAGTTGGTACTGATGACCTGCCAAGAAGCTCAAGCAACAGTAGACTAGATTTCCAAAAACTAGAAGAGTCTCAAGAGAGACCCCCCAAATCCAGCTGCTGGCTTGAATCCCCATTCTTGCTGAAGCAGCAAGCTGCAGCTAGTTTATAGTTAGCATGTCACTCTGGATCTCGTGGCTTAATTGAGTTTTTAAATCACTCAGCTTCTTCTTCAATCCAGTGAGGGCTAAGAGCACATGGCTTAAGGACACAGAGAGCCTTAGGAATTCATGTTGTAGTAAAACCTTTCTGGCTTGCCCATGGGGTCACAGGGCACCTGTGACTCATCCTCATCCAGCTCCAAGTGCTCACTCTTTGGCCACTCCTTGGGTTTGGGGTACACTGCATGCCTCATGGCATTGTCTGGATTGTATTCAAAAGCCACCCCTGCAGTAAGGTTCAACTTGGCATGCTCCTTGCTAAAACACTTTTTTGTATAGGCTCAAAGTCTCAGCTCCTGGCCCTTTCTCAACTTGATGATGAGAATGTCATCCTGCTCCACGTAGTCATTAGGGTCATCATCTTGTTTCACTGGAATGACCTGGGGGCTGTTGGAGATGAGGTCTCAAGATGTGACATGTCAAATCTGGTCATCATTGCACTGCACATCGAGGGTGAACTCCACCAAGCACTCAGCAGAACTCTTCACATGGGCAGTCCCGGGAGGATAGCAGCTTGTCCACAATGTCCTCACTAATGAGGGGAATTAATCTAAGTTTGTGAGCCATGAACTCATCATGAAGAACTGAGGAATTGGCATCAATTTGAACCCAGTCAATGACTATTATGGGCACCTCAGAGAAGAAGACACTCCGAATCGAAATGGCCACTGCCGCATTGGTGTTCTGGATGATAAACTTGACATTGTGGGCTGGTTGGCTTATGGCATCATGCCCCCTATTTGTGTGTGTGTGTGTGTGTGCGTGTTTTAGCAATCTTTTATAGATTTCAGTGTCTAGATATTTTATAATACTTCTCAGTTTAGATTATTACTAAGAATTTTATTCTTTTGTATTCAGTTGTAAATGGACTGTCTTCTTCATTTTTGTTTCCAATTGTTCACTGGTAATGTACATATACTCAACTGATTTTTGTGTGTTGATTTTGTATCCTGCAACTTTGCGTAATTGGTTTATTAGTTCTAATGGTTTGTGTATGTGTGTGTGTGTCTGTGTGTGTGTAATTGTCAAGGTTTTCTACATACAGCGTCATATTATCTGCCAACAGTGAAAATTTGTTTTTCTTTCTTTCTGATTTGGATGCCTTTTTATTATATTTCTTGCCTAATTTCTCTGGCTAGGACTTCCAGTAGTATGTTGAATGAAAGTGGTCAGAGTGGGCATCCTTAACTGATTCCTGATCTTAGAGGAAAAGCTTTCAGTTTTTCACTGTATAGCATGACATTAACTGTAGCCTGTATTATGTTGAGGTAATTTTCTTCTATTAGTTTATTGAGTGTTTTTATCATGAAAGGGTGTTAAATGTTTCAGATGCTTTTTCTGCATATATTGTGATAATAATGTAATTTTTATCCTTTATTCTGTTAATGTGGTGTCTCATATTGATTATTTTTGTATTTTGGCCATCCGTGTAACCCAGGGATAAATCTGACTTGGTCATGGTGCATCCTATATATTTTGTTATGTTCTCTTTTCATCTTTATTTGTCTCAAAATATTTTTCTAAAGTTTACCTTCTGATTTATTCTTTGACTCATTGATTATTCAAGAGTGTGTTGTTTAATATTCACATATCTAAGAACTTTTCCATTTTCCTTTGCTTTTCGTTTCATTCCATTGTTGTTGGAAAATATAATTGGCACAGTTTGAATCTTCTTAAATTTGTTAAGACTTCTTTGTGACTTAACATGTGATCTATTCTGGAGAATGTTTCATGCATGCTTGGGAAAAATATGTATTCTGCTGCTGCAAGGTGGAATGTTCTGCAAATGTCTGTCAGTTCCATTTGATCTATAGTCTGGTTCAAATCCTCTTATTTATTTATTTCCTTATTGATCTTCTGTCTGGATGTTCTATCAATTATTGAGTGTGGTATATTGAAATTCCCTACTGTTATTGTGTGTTGTCTATTTCTCTATTAAATTCTTTCATTGATTGCTTCCTGTATTTGGGTGCTCTGATTATGGGCACATGTATATTTATAATTGTTACATATTCCTGGCAGATTGACCCTTATATCATTATATAATGTCTTTGTCCTTCTTTGTCTTTTTGGACAGTTCTTGACTTAAAATCTACTCTGTCTGATATAAATTTGGCCACTCTTGCTGTCTTTTTTGACTACAATTTGTGTGGATTATTTTTTCTATCCTTTCACTTTCAGCCTGTGTGGGTCTTAAAGTCCAAAGTGAGTTTCTTGTATACAGCATATAGTTGAGTCTTGTTTTCTTTAAATCCATTCAGCCACTATATCAGTCTTTTAATCGAGAGTTAAATTTATTTACATTTAAAGTAATTATTGATAGGAAAGGACTTACTATTGCCACTTCTTAAATTGCTTTTTAGCTGTCTCATAGCTTTTTGACTCACTTTTGCTCTCACTGTCTTACTTTGTATTTTTCTGACTTTTTTGTAGTGGCATGTTTTGATTTCTTTCTCATTTTCTTTTGAATATCTGCTATATAGGTACTTTCATTGTGGTTGCCATAAAACTTACATAAAACATGTTATTGTTAAAATAATCTACTTTACACTGATAACTTCCCCCATACTTTATGCTATTGATGTCACAAATTACATCTTTTTATATTGTATACCCATTGCTAGATTTTTATAATTATTTCTTATACTTTTATCTTTTAACTTTTATACAATAATTAAAAGATTTATACAGCATTGTTACAATATTACAGTTGTCTTAGTTTGTTAAGGCTGCTGTAATAAAATACCATAAGCTGTGTAGCTTATAAACAACAAACAATTATTTGTCATGGTTCTGGAGGCTGGGTAGTTTAAGGTGAAGGTATCAAGAGATTTGGTATCTGATGAGGGCCCACTTCCTATTCATAGACTATGCCTTCTCTCTGTGTTCTCACATAGCAGAAGAGGCAAGCAAGATCACAGGGGCCTCTTTTGTAAAAGCATTAATCCCATTTATGAAGGCTTGGCTCCCATGACCTAATTGTCTCCCAAAGGCCCCACTTCCTCATACCATTATCTTGGGGGTTAAGATGACAACAAATCAACTTTGAATGCACACAAACATTCAGATCACAGCAATAGTATTCTTTATGTTTTTATGTATTTACCTTTACCAGTGAGCTTTGTATTTATGTATGCTTTCATGCTGCTGTTTAGCATCCATTCATTTCAACTTGATAAACTCCCTTTAGAACTTCTTGTAAGGCGGTCTACTGATGATGAATTCCCTCAGCTTTTCTTTATCTGGGAGAGTATTTTTCCTTAATTACTAAAGGATAGTTTTTCTGGATACAGTATTCGTGACTGGCAGGTTTTTTTTCTGTCAGTGTTTTGATATATCATCCCACTTCTCTTCTGTCTTGGAAGGTTTCTTCTGAGAAATCTGGTGTTAGTCTCTTGTTCATAACAAGTTGCTTTTCTCCTGGTGCTTTCAAAATTGTTTTTCTTTGACTTTTGACAATTTGATTATGATGTTGCTTGGTGTGTATTTCTTTGAATTCATCTTAGTTGGAGCGTGCAGAGTTTCTCAAATCTAGATGTCCATTTCCATCCTTACATTTGGGAAGTTTTCAGCCATTATTTTATTAAGTAATGTTTCTGCCCCATTCTCTCTCTCTTCCCCTTCTGAAACAACAATAATGCAAATATTGGTCCATTTGATGGTGCCTTGTATGTCCCTTAGGTTTTCTTTATTCTTTGTCATTCTTTTTTCATTTTGAGCCTCTAGCAGATAATTTCACATGACTCATATTCAAGTTTGCTGATGTTTTCTTCTGAATATCAAGTCTGCCATTAAACTTCTCTAGTGAGTTTTGCAGTTTATTTTCTTTTTCAGCTCCAAAACTTCTTTTTTATATTTTCTGTATCTTTCTTAATACTTTATTCTGTTCGTTTGTTATTTCTTTGAGCTCAGTGGGCATCTTTATGACAATTATTTTGAATTCTCTTTCAAGTTGTCCACATACCTCTTTGTAGATCCAGTTTCTGGAGATTTAGTTTATTCCTTTGATTGAGCCATGTTTCCTTGTTTTTTCATGCACCTTGTGGCTTTGTATTAGGATCTGTCACTTCTCCCAGTCTTCAGACTGGCTTTGTTTAGATAAGACTCCCACTAAGTAGCCCATAAAGAGATTCTGGAATCCTCTGAAACTTTTTGGGGTATCTGGGCCTGTGCATGCAATTTCTCAGAGAGGCTTACTGTGTTTTTTGTTTCCCCTCAGGAACTCATTATCTTTTCTGATGTCTGTCTGTGCCACCACAAGTTATCTGGTTCTACAGCTGCAAGTTTCCCACTCTCTTTTGTTGTCAGTGGCTGGCAAATATCCAGGGCATGCAAGCTTCCTATCAGTACACTGAGTAAGGTGAGACAGATATCAGTTTCTCAGAAGCTGGTGTTCCAAGAAGCTAGAATGACAGACTCATTTCTCGCTCCTTTCTCCTTCCCTCTTGAAGGAGAAGCCTTGAGTTGTGCATCTTCTCTTGATTTTACTGAGGTATGGTAGCTATAGCAAACTGCCTACTGCCTTTTTTTTTAACTTTTGCTCTCAGTGGCTCCAAGGCATCGAAACTATGCTAGTTCCATGAGTGCTCCAAGTGAGGCAAGACAGAGACTAGTCCCTTGGGCAGCCCTCTGAAGAGCCAGAATGCCAACACATGCTCCACTCTTCTCCCTCCTTGCCAAGGAAGAAGTCTTAACTTGTGCACTTCCTCCCCCAATTGTGCCATGCTGTGCCAACCATATCAAGCCACCTGCTGCTTTCCATTGTCCTCAGTGACCCCCAGACATTCAAATTATGCTAGTTCTGTGGGCACACCAATCAAGGAAGTAAGAGACCTGTTTCTTGGGCAGCTCTCTGAAAAGCTGGAATGTTGGAGGCATGCTCTATTCTTTTCTCCCAGAGGAAAAAGATGTGAAGAGGCATTCTGTCTTGGCACTGAGCTGTGCTAACTTGGGGGAGAGGCTGATGCAGGTAAATGAAATTGCTCTTCTTAACTCAATTCAATTTGACTATTCTGTACTTTGTGCACACTTGGAATACTGCAACATCTTAATTGAAGTCTGGAATTCATATAAAAATGTTTAGTGTGTACATTTGTGAGCAATTCATGTTTCTGTGTGGGAATGAAGGCTGGGACTTCCTATTCAGCCATATATAGTTAATTATGTGGATAACTAACTTTATTCAGATCACTCATGTTATCAAGAAACTATCCATTAACAAAATTCTCACTTGAAAAGTATTTTTCTGGAAAAAATACTTTTTTATTTAGTGTCTAGGTGTACAATCTCTACTTGGTATGGAGGAAGTCTTGTTTACATTGAAATGCGTACTATAAATAGGATATAAGTAGATAAAAGGGGGCTATATCTTGGGCTCTTCACTTGGAAGCTTTAATTTCAGCAATTTGAACAGATCTCTCATTGTTCTGAAACATCCCTCTCCCAGGAGAAGATGGTTGGGTTTAGTGTAGGGGTGAAGACATGTTCAGAAGAGGGAATTTTTACTTAGGGATTGCAGAGTTAAGGTTTTAACAATATATTTCCAACTTTGATGATGCAACATACAATTTTTGTCATTTTAATGGAAGACAATAAATTTTATGTCCAGATATTCAGAGAAGGGAGGAATTGTTATTTTGTTTGTGTGTATTTTCCTCTTTCTCCTTTGCTCCCCTTCTTGCTGGGAGTTCCCATACCCATTTCCTTCATATTGGTCTACTTGTTGCCATCTCTTCCTGTTGAATGCTTTCATGAATTCTATATTTCCCCTTGTAGATTGTCATGCAAGCACTGCTTATTATTTCTTGTTTATCTTTCTTCTCCAGTGACCATTGTGTTTTCCTTTTCTCCTTTATCTGACCCTTCCTTTCTCTTCTTTAGAATAGTTGCTTACTGCTTACAGGAGTGCTTTGAATGCTAATGCTATAATTCAGACACTGATTTTTAAACAGAATCCAAAGATTACATTTGAGGCTGGCCTGACTCAGTATCTGCCATATGCCACTAAAATAGTCTATTGTTTATTACTGTTTTATTGTGTTCTTATACAGTTTTATACTGCTTGGGTGTGATCTGGCACTGTTAGCTTTATCCACTTCAAAATTAACCAAGCCATCTGGAGGAGTATAATTTAGAGGGGGAGCACATGGGTTTGTGAATGCTGACATCTTGATTGTGCTCTGAGGGTGTCTCTTATGTTTCTTCATACTCCAGTTTCACCCAAATAAAGCACAAAAATTAAATCACACATCTACTCGCACTTCCCCACATATACATTTTGCAGGCTTCACTGAAATATCAAGAGAACGAAAACAATAGTCTTTTGAGTTCCTTTAAATCATAACAAGTTTGTGGTATTTAAATATATTCAAGCATGAAGTGATATTAAAACAATGCCTTGATAGTTTTTTCCCAGTATAGTTTCTCATATTTTTTCTCATTTTATTGCCTAAGTATTTTATTTATTTGTTTTCTCCCTCCCTTTCTTCCTCTTTTTTCCTTCCCCTTTCATTCCTTTCCTTTCTTCTCCTCTTCTCTCCTTTCCTGTTCTCTCCTCTCCTTTTTTTTCCTTTTTTCTCCTTTCATCTACAAATTCTTGTGAAGCAAATTGTTAGCCAGAGTCAAAGATTTCAGTGATGAACAAGATAGGCAAGGAGATGTTTGATAGGAGGACACACACAATATATAGACATAAATAATAAATAATATATATTATTTTCTATACTTAGTTAAACGAAAATAAGTTATAGTTATTTGAAAGAGATTGGTAAATGAGAGTAAGGTAGCTATTTTTCTATAGAAAGTAAAGTAAGGCATCTCTGAGCAGGTAGCATCTGAGCTGACACCTAAACAACAAGAAATATTCAACAACAAGAGGACCTAGAACTCAGTATTTCAGGCAGACAAACAGCAAATGTGAGCTTCACAGGGTTTAAGAACAATCTAGGAACAGTGAATAAAAGGAAAAAGGAAAAGAAAGGAGTTTAAAGAGGTAGGCAGGGTTCCGTTCATGTTCACAATGCTGAAGGTCACGAGGATGGGGTTAGATTTTATTCCAATTGTAAGAAGAAACTATTGGAGGATTTTAGGCAGGGAAGCGATGTGATTTGATTTATGTTTTAAAAAGATCACTATGGCTTCTGCATAGTGGATGAGGAAAACAAAGCAAGACACATTAAATGGTTTGTCCTAGACTACAAGGTAAATCACAGAACAAGAACTGTCTTCTGACTCCAAATCCAGCCTTTTTCATCATTTACCTTGTGACCTCATCATTTTCTATTTTTTAAAAATCATTTTGTCCTCCAGACATGATCTTCATTTCTACCTTCTCAGATTATTCTAGCAGTTACTAAATTACGTTTTTATTTATTCTTCTCACAGATTGACCTTGCTAGGTTATAGAGGCATGTTCTATCGTCTTTATTAAGGTATGCCATTTAGTGAGGGTATGCTTAGTGCAGGTTGTATGTATAATTAAATGTACAATTATGATCCTACAATAAAACACAACAGATTAATAACTTTCCTACTGAGAGGAAACTGAAAAGTAGGACAATAGTAAAGGAAAACTAATTCTTTATGTTTGTAAGTGATTTTCATCAATGGCTTCCACTAATTCTTTTCAATTTTCCAAATAAATAAAACTTAAGTAACTTTTAATTTTCTTTTATAAAGTCAACTCTTGTCTAGAGAAATTTGGGGGTGAGGGGGATAATCCATGCATAATTTAAAAATGGAAATTTTAGATGAAGGATGGATACTGTGTTTCTGTCTTAATTTAGATAAAGTGAAACAATAAAACTGTGACCAGTCTTTGCATTTATTATTTTTTTCATTAATTTGTTTACTCATTCATTTCTTCATTCAAAAAAACTTTACCACATTCTTATGTGCCAGGCATGGAAACTCTCATGTATTTGACTTGTGACATGCTATTCTTTCTTCCTTTGTCCATTTCTTATTCCATTGGATAATTTACTTCCCTGACTCTTTCATGTGTCCTAGTAGTTTAGCTGTGAAGTCCATCTTGCATATCTATGCAGATTAAACTTGTATAATCATGTTTTCCCCTGTCAATCTATTCCTATGCTTCCTGAGCTCCCTGTGCCCACCCTCCTTTCCTTTTGTTGGAGCAACTTGATCTTTACTGACACATTCAAGCCCAGTTCATTCTCTGAAACTTGTCCTGCCCTTAGTCTAGGGTATTTAAGGAATCCTTTATGAGTAACTTGCAGGACATGACATCAAAAGTCAACATTACTGCTAATTCTGCTTGTGGGTCCTTCGTTTTCTGTTTGAAATAATGATGCATTTTCTTTTGTCATTGGTTAGTTCTCCATTTGAAATTCTGTTTTCTCCTAAGTAAAGCATTTCATTAGGCTGATAATCCCAGCTTGAACTGTAGTCTCCGATCTGGGCCAGACTTCTCCATCTAGTCTCTGCACATCATTTACTTTGAACACTTCTGTCTATGTTTGTTTCACTACAGAGATATTACCTTAGGTGAGACACTATTTCTTGCCTGTATAAGCTGAGAAATACTCTAAGGTATTTCTAGACATTCATCTCCTACTCAGAGGAATTCACTACAATCTGTTCATCTTCCTAGTTCCCTCACCATACAGACACTGACATCTCTAAGGTCACAAATTAATTTCTTTTTGGCATATTCAATGGGCTTTTATCAAAGCCTCCCCTATGTTAGAATCTCTGCACATTTATCTTCTGTAACTCAGTTTTTTGCTGGTTCTCATCTCTCCTCTGGATCCTTCATGGTTTTCTTCTATGTGTTTTTTCCTTTAATATTGATGTTTTCCAGGCTTCTGTCTCTAAGTCATTGGTCAAAATATTTTTTATTGATACACGATAAATTTAAATGTGTTTGTGGTACATGTGACATTTCGATACATTCACATAATGTGTAATAATCAAATCAGGGTTATTTGGATATCCATCACCTTAAACATTCATATTTTCTTTATGCTGGAAACATTGTAATTATTCATCACTACCTCTTTTGAAATGTACAATAGGTTACTGTTTACTATAATTACTGATTTACTTAATACGAGGGATTATTTCTTCTATCTGACTATATTTTTATACCTCACTTTATCCCTTTCTTCTCCCTACCCGCTTGTCATTTTTAATACTCTATGGGTGATCTTGTCCAGTCTCTTGTTTCAACTGCTATACAGCCCAGCCTTAATCCCCATGCTCTAGATTTATATATTCAAACTTCCGTCAACCACTTACCATCACGTTGATCCTAATAGTTTGAAATCTGAATGTGTCATCTTCCCTCTAAATGGCTCCTCTTCCTGAATTGCTGTCTAATCCTTTTCCTCTCCCACAGTTCCATATCTACCCATCCATAGTTCTAATACTTTTAATGCTTAAGTGTTTCTCCACTTTTTCTGCTCTTTTTCTTTTATCCCCACTAGCTAATTCTGGCTGGATCATCATAGCTGTTTTTACTACTCTCTCTGCCTCTAGTTTTGTCACATTTAAGCCTGTCTTCTACACCTCTGCTGCCTAAGCTATCCCTTTCCACTGCCCCTATTGGCAGCTATCTTGTAGTCATCTTCAGCTC
Organism: Homo sapiens; assembly: GCF_000001405.40. Taxonomy (NCBI): domain Eukaryota; kingdom Metazoa; phylum Chordata; class Mammalia; order Primates; family Hominidae; genus Homo; species Homo sapiens. The sequence goes on along the minus strand of NC_000021.9, from coordinate 14,748,697 downwards.
AATGCCATTTCTCCATTTATTCCAAGATGACCACTATGATGCTGGAATTCTTGCCCAATCTCTCTCTGCCATGCTGAGTTAGGTGTCCTTCAGCTATACTCAAAGATATTATGTGAATATCTATATTATCTTAATTACCTGTTTATATATCATACCTTCCTTTGCATTTTCAATGTTACCTTGCCTACTACTCCTCACAAAATACAACTCAGGTATTACTTGTGGGTTGCTTCATTTTCCAGTAAGTTTATTTCAATAAGGAGGTAATATGGATGCTGTTAGTATCTTGGCACTTATTTTTCTTATTCTTTTCTTTTTTTAGAAGGTGTTTCACTCTTGTTGCCCAGGCTGAAGTGCAATGGCACGATCTCGGCTCACTGCAACCTCCGTCTCCCGGGTTCAAGTGATTCTTCTGCCTCAGCCTCCCGAGTAGCTGGAATTACAGGCATATGCCACCACACCCAGCTAATTTTCCATTTTTAGTAGGGACGGGGTTTTACCATGTTGGTCAGGCTGGTCTTGAACTCCTGACCTCAGGTGATCCACCTGCCTTGGTCTCCTAAAGTGCTGGGATAGCAAGCATGAACCGCTGCGTCTGGCCCATTTTTCTTATTCTTAAACATCCTACTAAACATTTTGGAGCTAGTTGTATTAGGAGGTTTATTTTCTATGTGGATGGAGCAGTTTAAAAAAGCTGAAATAAGTGAAATCTTCCAAGTGATTTAAAAAATTTTTAAGCCCATGTTTCTACCTACTAAAATTCAAAAATATTTACTATAGAAGATGACTAGTCTTCTTTATGACAGTTATTTTAATTTAAAAGGAATTAAAAGGATATAACTTTTCTTGAAACATTTGCACTTAATCATGCTGTCAATTCATTATATGATTTTGGATTACTTGCTTAATGTTTCTATTTCTTCTCTGTTAATACTAATTACTCCTAATAATTATAAGAATTGTTATTGTATCCAATTTAGAAATCCTGTTATGGAAGCTATTTTTATAGTGTATTATGATTAATGCATACAATGTCCATGTAAACTTTCAATTTTTAAATGTGACACTACTTATCTATTGAACACTTACCATGTGCTAGGCACTGTTCTTGAATGCTTTATGCATAAAAGCACATTTAATCCCATCATAGCCAATAAAGTATTATTACCTTGATTTTACAAATGAGATAACTCAGATATGCAGACATCGAGTAACTTGGCCAAGTATACGTGTTATGGATTGAATTGTGTCCTCCCAATATTCATGTGTTGAATCACTAACCCCTAATGTGACTATATTTGGAGACAGAGTTTTTAAGGAGGTTAATAAGTTAAATGAGGTCACAAGTGTGGGGCTATAATCCAATAGGACCAATGACCTTCTAAGAAGAGGAAGACACACCAGGCATGCACACGCACAGAAAAGAAGACCATGTGAGGGCACAGCAAGAAGATGGCCATCTGCAAACTAAGAGGAGAGGCCTCATTAGAACCTAACCCTGCACCATGATCATGGACTTCCAGCCTTCAGAGTTAGGAAAATAAAATTCTGTTGTTTATGCCACCAAATCTGTGGTATTCGCTTATGAAAACCATAGAAAATTATACAATACCCAACAAGCAAATAGCAGAATGGAATTAAACCCATAAAGGATGGCTTCAAAGGCAATGCTTAACCACTATACTGCCTTTAAAAATTGTCCTAACAGTTCAACTTCAATTACAGAAAGTTTATAATAATTAGATGTTAATACTTTTATGCTTAACTTTATATTTCTATTTCAAATGCTTATTTCCTTTTCAATAGTTAATATTTTCTGGACAGCAATTCTGGACTATTTTCTAAATTCTCTGTTTTCTAAATTCTTATGTCATGCCCTCTGTCATAAGAATGTTTATACCCTATGATCTTCTAAAAATAAATCCTTAAAAGATGATATGGTTTGGCTATGTGTCCTCACCCAAATCTCATGTTAAATTGTAATCCCCATTGTTGGAGGATGGACCCAGTGGAAGGTAATTGGATCGGGGGGTGGATTTTCCCCTTGCTGTTCTCACTATAGTGAGTGAGTTCTCAGGAGATCTGGTTGTTTAAAAGTGTGTAGCACTTCCCTGTTTGCCCACTGTCTCTCTGTCTCCTGCTCTGACATGGTAAGACATGTTTGCTTCCCCTTCACCTTCCACCCTGATTGTAAGTTTCTTGAGGCCTCCCAGCCATGCTTCCTGTACAGCCTATCGAGCTGTGAGTCAATTAAACCTCTTTTCTTTATAAATTACTCAGTCTCACATAGTTCTTTATAGCAGTGTGAAAATGAACTAACATAAAAACTTAGTACTAGAGGAGTTGGGCATTGCTATAAAGATACTTGAAAATGTGGAAGTGACTTTGGAACTGGATAATGGGCAGAGGTTGGAACAATTTGGAGGGATCAGAAAATGACAGGAGGGTGAGGGAAAGTGCAGAACTTCCTAGAGATTTGTTGAGTAGTTTTGACCAAAACACATATTGTAATATGGACAATGAAATCCAGCTTAAAGTGGTCTCAGATGGAGATGAGGAACTTATTGGGAACTGGAACAAAGGTCATCCTTGCTATGCTTTAGCAAAGAGACTGGCAGCATTTTGCCACTGCCCTAGAGATCTATGGAACTTTGAACTTGAGAGAGATGATTTGGGTTATCTAGCAGAGGAAATTTCTAAGCAGCAAAGCACTCAAGAGGTTATCTGGCTGCTTCTAAAATCCTATGGCCATTTGCATAAGCAAAGAGAATTTGTATTTAAAAGGGAAGAGGAGCATAAAAGTTTGGAAAATCTGCAGCCTTACCAAGTGGTAGAAAAGAAAAATCAATTTTCTGGAGGGAAATTCAAGCCTGCTACAGAAGTTGCATAAGTAAAGAGGAACAAAATATGAATAGCCAAGACAGTGGGGAAAATGTCTTCAAGATATTTCAGAGACCTTTGTGGCAGCCCCTCCCATCACAGGCCTGGAGCCTTAGGAGGGAAAAAAGGTTTCATGGGCCAGGCACAGGGCCCTGCTGGTCTATGCAGCCTCCAGACATGGTACCCTGTATCTCAGCTGCTCCAGCTCTAGCCGTGGCTAAAAGGGGTGAAGGTACAGCTTGAGTCATTACTTCATGTGTTGTTGGACCTGTGGGTATACAGAAAGCAAGAGGTGAGGTTTGGGAGCTTCCACCTGGATTTTAGAAGATGTATAGAAATTCCTGGATGTCTATTCAGAAGTTTGCTGCAGGGGCAGAGCCCTCATGGAGAACCTCTACTAGGGCAGTGCAAAGTGGAAATGTGGGGTTGGAGCCACCACTGAGTCCTCACTGGGGCACAGCCTAGTGGAGCTGTGGGAAGAAGGCCACTGTCCTCCAGACCCCAGAATGGTAGATCCAATGACAGCTTGCACCACAAACCTGGAAAAGCCATAGGCACTCAATGCCAGCTTGAGAAAGCAGCCGCAGGGGCTAGACACTGCAGAGCCACAGGGGCAGAGCTGCCCAAGGCCTTCGGAGCTCACCCCTTGCTTCAATATGGCCTAGATGAGAGACATGGAGGCAAAGGAGGTTATTTGGGAGCTTTAAGATTTAATGACTGCTCTGCTGGGTTTCAGACTTGTGTGGGGCTTGTAGCCCCTCTTTGTTTTGGCCAATTTCTCCCATTTAGAGCAGGAATATTTACCCAAAGCCTGTGCTCCCATTTTATCTTAGAAGTAACTTGTTTTTCACTTCACAGGCTCATAGGTAGAAGGGACTTGGCTTGCTTGTCTCAGACGAGACTTTGGACTTGTACTTTTGAGTTAATGCTGGGATGAGTTAAGACTCTGGGGGACTGTTGGGAAGGCATGATTGGTTTTGAAATGTAAGAAGGACATGATATTTGGGAGGGGCCACGAGTGGAATAATATGGTTTGTTTCTGTATCTCCACTCAAACCTCATGTTGAATTGAAATCTCCAGTGTTGGGGGAAGAACCTAGTGGGAGGTGATTGGATCACGGGGGCAGAATTTCACCCTGTTGATCTCATGACAGTGAGGTAGTTCTCACAAGATCTGTTTGTTTAAAAGTGTGTAGCACTTCCCCCTTAGCTCTCTTCTCTCTCTCTGTCCTGCTCTGCCATGGTAGATGTGCTTGCTTTCCCTTTGCCTTCTGCCATGATTGTAAGTTTCCTAAGGTTTTCCAGCCATGCTTCCTGTACAGCCTGCAGAACTGCTCTTTCCTTTATAAAATACCCAGTCTCAGGTAGATTTTTTGTTTTGTTTTGTTTTGTTTTGTTTTGTTTTTTTGAGATGGAGTCTCACTCTGTTGCCCAGGCTGGAGTGCAGTGGTGTGATCTTGGCTCAATGAAACCTCTGCCTACAGGATTCAAGCGATTCTCCTGCCTCAGCCTCCTGAGTAGCTGGGACTACAGGTGCATGCCACCACACCTGGCTAATTTTTTTATATTAGTAGAGACAGGGTTTCACCATGTTAGCCAGGATGGTCTTGATCTCCTGACCTCATGATCCGCCCGCCTTGGCCTTCCAAAGTGCTGGGATTACAGGCGTGAGCCACTGTGCCTGGCCAGGTAGTGTGAAAATAGACTTATACAAAATTTTACTCCATCTAATTACCGTGTCTTTTGATTGCGAATTTAATCCATTTACACTTAAGATAATTATTGACATGCAAGAACTTACTGTTGCCATTTTATTACTATTTCCTTTGTTCTCTTCTACCAATCTTGCTGTCTTCCTTTGTGATTTGTCTTCCTTTGTGATTTGTCTTCCTTTGTGATTTGTCTTCCTTTGTGATTTGTTGAATTTTTATAGTGTTATGCTTTGATTCCTTTCTTTTTATCTTTTTGGTATCTTCTAGAAGTTTTTTCTTGGTGGTTACCATGGAGTTTATGTGTAACATTTTAGGGTTATAACAGTCTATTTTAAGCTAATAACAGCTTAACTTCAATTGCATACAAAATGTCTACACTCTCACTCTGCACCCCCACCATATTTTATGCTATTTATGTCACAACTTATATCTTTTAATTTTATAAATCCATTAACAAATTGTTGTAGCTATAGTTACTTTTGATATTTTTGTCTTTTATCTTTTATGCTAGAATCACAAGTTATAGTCTTTGAAAAAAAATTAGTAGATTCAGAAATTTTTCTGAGCGAATTTTGAATTCCTCCAAATGAACTCTGTCAGTTTATTGTGAGACAGCATCAAGCTGCTCTAGGCTCTACAGTTCTGGAACACTAGTAGTTTCTTATTATCTCAGTGAATATTGTATTTAAAACTAAACCTAAAGGGGGACTTCTGTGTTATTTTCTCTTTCAGATCGTGTAGACTTCAATTGGCAGAGTTACTCAGTATTATTTACTTGGAAAATCCTCTGTAACCTAAAAGTCCTAGCTCTCCTGACACTAAGGATGACAATGGAACACTTAAATGGTAGCTGCCTATGAAGGGCTGTCCCTCTACCCCCTTGTTCCCTCTGAATCTGAAGCTATTAGCCACTTACAATCTTAATAAACTAAAATTTTTTTGGATATTTGGATTAAATTTTTCTAAAGTATTTAATGGGGAAGAATAATATACTGCATTTAAGAGTTTAAGTATACCTTTTTCATGGTCTATACCCTAGAAAACAAATTATATGACTCTTTTTAATGTGTTCTTTTCATACAATATAACAGTGAGCATCCCACCCCTCATTTCTTCCTTATGGCATGCATTTTTGAAAGCATGTAGTTTGTTTTTAATCATATATAGTGTTACTTGAAGAAACTTACTCTTTGCCTATGCTCACCTCCAGCATTTTAAATTCATAACCTTAATGCTACCTTAATGTTGGCTTTCAAAATTCCAAAGTACTGTAAAAGAGAGCAAGAAAGCAAAAAATAAAATAAAATATACAGAAATAGGGAAGGAAATGCAACCAGTTTGGAGAGAAAATAGGGCATGAGTGTGAGATATGTAATAGTAATCTCTAAGATCCAGCTGTAAAATGACATGATTGAATATACAATATACTGGTGATTGAAAATATCATATATTTCACATTAAGACAATTAAACATAGATATGGGGTTAATTTTATTTCTTTTCCTTCCAGGAGATGCATATATCTGTAGAGTTTTTATAGAAAGAAAACAGAGAGAGGAATCAATCCACACTCTAATACTCTTGTTTCTAAGTAATCTAATGACAACTCTTATAATTAAGTTTTTTTAAAAAAAGTCAATGTACTGAAATGGGAATCATGAGATCATCCAGCCATTTAACATCTCAGTTATATAAGTGAGACTTCTTCTTAAATTAATTAACCAGTGAGCGTACACACAAAAAGCACAATGAGTCAAATCTTTTCATCATGAACTTAGGTTAGCTGCATAGTTTTGAGCTTTTTGGAAACTTGCCAAAATAAGTTTTTACATATCACATTATAAGTTGGAAAAAAACTAGCATTACAGAGTAGCCTCGCTGAAATGAATTTTCAGGTAAAAACAAAGGATTAAATACAATAGTTGGTGAGGAATTTGCTGAACCTTCTTGAAATTTATTTCTTCAAATTTTTAATTCATTCATTCAATATATTTGAGTGTCCATCATTTATTAATAACCTATTAGTTCATATGTTGTTTAGCCGTATTAATTTTTTAAAATGGACTTTACTTCATTATTTGAAATATTTAAGGTGGGGTATACTAATTGGGAAGGGGATTTAAGTGTGATTACTGGGTAAAGCACTTGACTTATCAAATACAGCTCACCCAGTACACAGTGCAAATAACACACAATTAAATACTTCAATCATAGAAAGTGACTTAGATAAGCAGAGATCAGAGAAACAACTGATATGGAATTATTTGTTACACAGAAATTCTATAAGCAAATCAAACAAGGATTGATTTCCTAGTGAATATCTGCTAAGACATGGGGATAGCTTTATCATATAGAATTATTTTAATGGAAATTTCAAGATTTTAAGCTAGAACACAAGCAGAGAGGTAGCGGAAACTTCCAGGAACTTGGAACTAATAAGAGTACCTTTTGTTTATAGAATGTGTACTTTACAAAATGAGTTCACACTCATGGTTTTAACAACACTGCGAAGTAGGCATTGGGAAAGCTAAGCCAGAGATTTTAATTAGGAAGAACAGCATGGGGTAATTTGGTAGTTTTAAAATTGTATTCTAGATCAGTGCTTCTCAAGTTCACTGTGTACACATACCACCTGGGGATCTTGTCACATGGTAGAGTCTGATTCACTGAACCTGGAATGGGGCCTGAGATTTTTCAAGGCTTTCATGCTCTCAGGTGATGCAAATGGCCACTTCAAGGAGGAGCTTTGGAAGAGTCCTAGGAGTCAGAGTTTTTATTGCCTTGTGGGGCTGGGAAGGGAGGTGGGAGAAGTCAGGTGAAAGTCCCTAAGGCTCTTGCTTCTCTTCACCACAATGATATCATTTCGATCTGATAATATATTAAAGTTGCACATGGGGCTTTACTTGAAGAATTTTTTGTTATAGTTAATACATTTTTTTTTTCAGTCTTTGAAACCAAAAAATTGTTTTCAAAGTCTTGGGGGAAAAATCACTAGGTTCCCATCATGTCTCCGGCAGTATCTATCCTGTCTCACTGAGGGTGTTTGCTCTTCTCTAAAGTGAGTGAAATCAAAGACAAAATCTCCAAGACAATAGCCACCAATATTATAATTTCTATATCACTTCTAAAGTAAAACTGCTAGTAAGTAGTAAATCAGAGGTTAGCTGCAGGTCTTCCATGTCCAGGGCTTTTGACACTGCACCACGTGTTTATTCAGATATTTCTATCAGTCAGGAAACATATCTGGCACTCTTGTTCATGATGAGTAATAGAGGAATCATTGCCTTTGCTAGAGGATTTTATTAAAAAAAAAAATTAGAGGGTAGTAACACCTATTGGAAAAGAGAATGTGATGAGAAAAGAGAAATGCCTGCCCCTTCCTATTTATAGGTGATTCTTGGTTATCTGGGAAGGTGCAACATCAACGAATCATAAATATGGAATGGGAGGGATCTGGAAGATTTTCTAATTTGAGTATAGTATTGTACTCACAGACGTTAAGGAATTAGTCCCATGGTGACCCAGATAGTTAGTGGCAAATTAGAGTAGGCCTTGGATCTCCTGATTCTTATATGAATTCTTCTGCATCTTTTTTAGTCCTATAACAAATCTCCCACCAGTACTGGTAACATAAAGTCACTGTGTTTGGTTGAAGGTTTCATACATTTTGTTTTTTCCTTCACCCCCTGCCTACAATTCTCCTACTAGGCCTGTTATTTGATGAAGATGATATAAATAGAAGCAGAGCAGCACATAGTGTGACCACGAAAGGCCAAAGAGCACATACTGGAGACCTGAATGTCAACCAAACTGCATAATCCCTGTTTATCTTCATTGTAGAAATTGCCATAACCGTGAGTTCTTTAGATTCTTTGGTGTTCTTAGTACATCCTAATGCAAGAACCTCTCACTGAGATCGTAGGTAAGGAGTAGAATTTTGTGATAGGCTAATGTGAAGCCATGGTGAAAATAAAAGATAGCATTGAAGGAGCTTCTGTATATACAATAAAAAAATTTAATTCAATATTTAAAAATTTTGTTATTAATATACTTATTACTTCAGCAAAGTAGACAGTATTTATTGAGTAGTACCTAGTAGACACTGTTCTAATGCTTTATAGATCTAACATCTTTTAATTCTCAAGTGCATCCAGTTTCAAGTGCGTGTATTGACAGAGTGATAGCTAAAAAATATGGAAAAGACATTTCACTCATAGGCTTCTGTCACTACCAGATTGATTTTTCACTGACTCTACAGTTGTTCGTCTGACTGCACCTAATCATGTGGTTTCTCAGGCATCCTGTGACCCATCTTGGTCTGTCACTTGAGACCTCTCACCTTTTATCTGGTCTTGAAATGTACAGCCTGCAAAGGCCTCTGAGATCTATGTTTTTTGTTGTTGTTGTTTGGTTGGCTTTTTAGGACACAAAGAACTATTTAAAATCCATCACTATTTTCTGTTTCTGTTTTTATTTTTTTCCATACAACCTCTAGATCAAGTGCAAACAACAGAGTAAATTTTATTTTATGTGTACTAATTCTCAATTCAGTATTTTTGACATCAATGGTTGAAGTGTCCTAGATTTAGTTGTTATTGTTCCACTTTAATTTTTATTTGCTACAGGAGCATCATGGTTCAGGTTAAGAGATCAAACTAGTTGCTTTATCAGATACACCCTTACATTCTCTTTCTCATGCAATACAGATCTGTCAGCCACAAATGTTAAACCTAAAATATCTACCATATGTTTTCTCTGGAAAAAGGAGTTCTATGAGGTTGAGAACTGCTGTGTAAAACACTGTATATTACTAAACTGTCAGAATGTCTATGAGTTTTCTATCTCAAGAATACTGGTATTAGAGAATACCAGTCTTCCCTCCATGAAAGTTATTGTACGTAGGTTTTACCTAGGATATACCAGGGACTCAAGATTTGCACTAAACACAACAGATGATCCTGCCTTCATGGAGATAACATTCCAGTAAGAAGATATACATTATAATTGTATGGACATGGATCATATTCTTCTTAGTCCTCTCCCTGTTTCCATCTGCTTTTTTGATAATAAGACATTTTATTTCCACAAATAAAATTTCCCTGAAGACTCCAGGAATATTATCAGGTTATCTGTAAGATTCATTTGGAATTTACACATTTGTCATCTTGTGTTGTCGTCTACCTTTTAAAAAATGTGCAAGTGTCCACGTATGTTTATTGCAGCACTATTCACAATAGCAAAGACTTGGAATCAACCCAAATGCCCATCCATGATAGACTGGATAAAGAAAATGTGGCACATATACACAATAGAATACTATGCAGCCATAAAAAAGGATGAGTTCATGTCCTTTGCATGGACATGGATGAAACTGGAAACCATCATTCTCAGCAAACTAACACAAGAACAGAAAACCAAACACTGCATGTCCTCACGCATAAGTAGGAGTGGAAAAATAAGAACACATGGACACAGGGAGGGGAACATCACACACTGGGGCCTGTTGGGGGGTGGGGGCTAGGGAAGGGACAGCATTAGGAGAAATACCTAATGTAGATGAAGGGTTGATGGGTGCAACAAACCACCATGGCACATATATACCTATGTAACAAACCTGCACGTTATGCACACGTGCTCCAGAACTCAAAGTATTATATATATATGAATGAAGGTAGATTTTATTTAATAAGCTAATTTCTTGTAGTCTATATTATTGCAACAATAAAATATATATAAAGTTGAAAAAATGTGCAAATATCTTTTCTCCATAATAAGATTTTTTTAATTTCTAAGGGCAGGGATCGCCACCTACATGGTTTTATTACATTTTATTTTGCAAATATTTACACATACAAGGAGAGTATAAAGAAAAATAAAGTGAACACCAGCTTAGCAAATAAAACACGCCCTGCACATTTGAAGTGCCGTTAAGCATTCCTCTCTGATCACGTCTCATTTCTTCCTTGCCTCTAGAGGGAGCCACCGGTATTTATCTTCCACTGTGTTTTTAGTACAATAATTGCAGGTACTCTTAGCTGTATATAATATCCTTTTGTACGTTTTAAAAGTTTGTATACAAAATCTTATACCATATTGTTCTGTGTTCATTTGACATTTTCTTCTAACATTTTTGTTCATGGGAATCCTGCACATTGTCAGTCATGCCTGTAGTTTATTGCTTTTCTCTGTTGCATATTATTTCATTATTTGAGCATAGCATAATTTATTTATTTATTATCTTGCTCTTGGACATTTGGGTGTTTTCCCATTATTTTCTAATTTTCTAAGTCTTTATACACATAATGTCTTGTGGGTGAAAGATATTAAAGACACTACATGATTTTTATTCCAAATTATAAGCCATCATCGTATTACCTTCTCCTGTTATGGAGACCAGTTCATCTCACTTAGTTTATGTAAGTTTTTCAGTTTAAATGTGTCTTCATAGTGAACTGGAATAATGCCAAATCCAGCCACAGTCTTCTACGGTTTCTAATACTTAGATTTCAAACTGAGATCACAAGCAGGAAGGGTGACAGCTAGAGTAGAGATAACATTTTCAGGGTCATTTCAGGAAATGAAAGGTCCAAATAGAATTTGATTAGGAATTGAAATATGGTGCCTAACCTGTAGTGAACCATTGCTGCTGAATGTCCTTTTTAGGCAAACAAACATTGTTATTGTGCAGTATTTCAGCATCACCTTCTGGATAGGACTGAACTCATGAGTTATTTGTAAATGAATTACAACTTTCACGGGTCTTTGTTGTAAATGCAGCCATTGGCTCATGGGTCATATAACTCAGTGCTCTAGAGGACAAACTTGCCATGGATGCCGAAGGACAAGGGAGGCTGGTTGCCACTCCATTGTGTGGAAGATGGGTATATGTCTGGGTTTTCTGGCACAACTTGATTTAACCTACTGGGCAAGCCACAGAATTGGCTTAGGACTGTCAGAGTTTCTCAATATTAAGTACAAATCTTGTAGAAAATATAAAAGCGCCAAGAAAAAAAAGTAGCTTCATTAATGACTAGTGTCCTCCTTTCCTTATATTTCAAAGTTGTGATACAAATCAAATAGACAATGTAGAAATTCAGATGCCGGTGTGATGTTTTTGTTTGGCATTTATCTCAGCAAATGAGGGGGTGATGTCATATCACAAGAGAGGTGCAATGATAAGTGTGAGAACAAGTCATCCCTTAACTAGGGAAGATTAATGTGCTGTTCCAAAATGGAGCTCTTATACATGCTGTTCACCCAAAAGAAGTATGAAAAGTGAACAAATGGAGCTGTCAGACAAAGTGCTGATGACATACAAAATATTGAAATAAATAGCTGATGATGCACGAAGCATTGAAAGACACATTGATACCCCTGTCAGCTTCACTGCTCATTTATTTCCATGTGGTTGTCCTCTTCTGAATGTGATACAGCTTTTGCTGTTAAGAACCTTCCATACTGGGTCTTCAGAGTGACAAAGTCAGAAAGTTGGGCAACTTTCCATTGGCTATAAATTAATAGAGATAAATTAAAAGAATTTAAAAAAGATAAGTCAAATCAATTATCATGGTTTACGAGGAACAGTTGTAACTGGCAATTAATTATATAAGTAAGAAGGATGATAGAAGTAATAGGCTAGCTGCTGAGAAACCTGTTGTCTTTTTCAGTGCACTCAGGATGAATACATTTCTTAGAATTCTTTGCAGTTGAGTTAGGGCCACGTGCCTAGTTGAGACAAGAACTGAAAGTCAAACCCAGGCTTAGTACCTAACATCTCTCATGAGGTTTTTCATTTGTGTTCTGTGTGTGTGTGGAAGTGAAAGGCTCCCAAATGGCAGAACCATATAATGAAAGGAACTTAGATTCCTGAGTTATGCTTTGAAGGAGAGACATCTAAGAAATCTGCCCAATACCTTTGGACTTCCTATGAGCAAGAAATAAAATGTTATTTCATTAAAACTGAGAGACAGGTGTTTGTTAGAGCAGCTAACATTTCTATCTTAATATAGTAATCAAATAAACTTTATTCAAACTCATATTTTTGTCTTAGACTATCTGTAAATTCATTTAGCTACTATACTTTTAACTGGGTCTTCCTACATTTGAATTGAAATCAATCATAAGTAAAATTTAAGAAAAATGGAAAATGGATTTAAGAAATGGAACCTTCCCACTCACCTGAGAATTTTAATTTCTGTTTCTCAGAAAACTTACAGTTTCTTATAATTTAGACTACTCCTTCGTAAATAATTTTTTGAAGTTTCTAAATCATTTTGGCCTCAAAAAATAGAATATAAAGTTAAAAATGAATGTTGGTTTTAAAAGCTTTTTGTTATGGATACAGGAAGAAATCATGAAAGATTTTAAAATGTACCAAAAAGGTTATGTCTACTCATACATTCTGGGTTCTCCTATTCCACGACTATCCATGGATTGTCTGTACCTTTTGTTGTCTTTGAGCTACTTTACAACTCTTTCAACTGTATATGACTAACAGCAATGCAAATGATTCTTATCCTTAGCCATACAAGTAAATTTTGCCCATTGGAAATACAATTAAGCTCCTTCTCCAAATCCTTCTCTCACTCCCACAGAATAAGCCATTTTTGTGTTCACTTGTACATTTATTTAAGCATTGTTGTTTTTACATGTGTAGTACTTTGATTTAGTCTTTGAAGGTTTGTGATATTGTAGACGTTTCCTCATTAATTGATGAATTAAATAAAATCTTTCAGATATGTTTATTTTATTGTATTGGATGGATTAAACAACAGAAATTTCTTTTTTTCACAGTTCTGGAGACAAGAATTCTGAAATCAAGGTGTTGGCAGGGCCATGTTCCTTTTGAAACCTGAAGAATCTTACCTTGCTTCTAGCTTCTGCTATTTGCTGGTTGTCCTTGGCTTATAAATGCATCATTCCAATCATTCTCTGCCTCCACCATCATAGGGCCATTTTCTCCCTATGTTTTCTCTGTGTCTCTTCTCTTAAATACAGTATTTATATTGGATTAAAGGCCCACTCTACTCCAGCAAGATCTCATCTTAACTAATGACGTCTGCAATGACACTATTCCCAAATAAGGTCACTTCCTGAGATGCTGGAGGTTAGGACTTCAACATACTTTTTTGGGGGACACAATTCAACCCGTAACAATTTCTTATACTAGAAACTTGGTTCATACAATCTATTTCTTTCCATTGCAATGTAAGAAAATAATTTAAACAGCAACCTCACAGACACTAAATCTTCCTGGTTTTGATCTAATAAAAATCTTGGTTGTACTTGACATATGATTTTGTTTGCATCCACTTTTATATAGAAACTCTCTTTTACATTATTACTAAAGTAACCATCTTTTGATCACAGTTTGTTCTAAGTTTCTTAGAATGCTTCTTGCTCAGTCTACTGAACTGAGATGTAAACTCAGCAACTATTTGCTGTAGACTCTGCTTTACAATATGGCTTGGGGACGAGAAAGTCCCTGTGGGTCTGTGGTATCTAACATAGTAGCCACCAGCTCCATGTGGCTATTGAGCATTTGGAATATGACTAGTGTGACCAAATTTTAAATATTATTTAATTTTTAGTAATTTAAGTTTAAATAGCTACGTGTGGCTGATGGCTGCTGTATTGGACAGCACCTCCTAGAGTAGCGCTGCATTGTGGCCCCGGTAAAAATGCTTCCTAAATGAAGTAACTGAAACCTGACTCAAACTATGTTAAAAAAAAAAAAAAGAAGAAGTTGTCAAGATACACAGTGACTCACAGACCCCAAGAACAGAAATTTATCTGGGACCAGGAATAATGAAAACCTGGTACACAAATGTCATCAAGACTCTTGACTCTGCTCTCTGAGCATCTGTTCACTTGATATTTGTATGAGAGTGATGATTATGTCCTCTTTTAAAAATTACCCTTTAATAGTTTTGAAGTTTCCACCAAGATGCCCAAAATTCATGTGACATAGCCTGGTAAGCCACATTGCTGGAGAGGTGCACCTCATAGGCAGCCTAAGCCCAGACACCTCTCTTCTTGACTCCCAGAAGTGAATCACAATCCGCAATAGAACTATACATTTACTTAACCTCTGTTTCTGTAATTCTTTTTCCTTTCTAATGATCTCGTGTTTTGTTTTTGTTTCTGGTTTGTGCATGGCCAATGAGTTATGCACTGGTGGTAGTGATAATTGGGAATTTGTTTTTATGGTCTGATTATTTGTGGTCTCTGTAGATGGTAGATAGAGATATATTCTCTGTTGGGTAAGAGACAAGAGGTAAACTCGTTTACTAATGTTTTTGCTTGTTTGTTAACTTGTTTATTTTTGTGCTTAGAATACTTAAGAATTTTGTGCTCACTAGAAAGGAGTGCAGCTATTTGATATCTGGACTGAGATTTTTGTGTTTCTCTGTTTACAGTTGACCTGTGGCTAAAGTTTTAAATCTGAAACTATACACTCTTGGTGACTCTGTATGTTTATGCTTCTATAATTCAGAAAAAACTTTAACTGTAAACTATCTTCTTGGCTGGGCGTGGTGGCTCATGCCTGTAATCCCAGCATTTTGGGAGGCTGAGGCAGGCGGATCACGAGATCAGGAGATCGAGACCTTCCTGGCTAACACGGTGAAACCCCGTCTCTACTAAAAATACAAAAAATTAGCCAGGGGCGGTGGCGGGTGCCTGTAGTCCCAGCTACTCGGGAGGCTGAGGCAGGAGAATGGCATGAACCCAGGAGGCAGAGCTTGCAGTGAGCTGAGATTTTGCCACTGCACTCCAGCCTGAGCGACAGAGCAAGACTCTGTTTCAAAAAAAAAAAAAAAAAAAAACTTCCTATCTTTAGATGATACTTAATTAGACTGCAAAGCCTCTAAAGTTATAGGAGCTGTATTCTGAGTAGATTAAAAATACATAAAAATGAATATTACTAAAATGTCTAGAAAAATAAAAAATAAACTTCTAATACTTTAAATGTGCTTGAATTAAAACATTCTTACGTGAGTTAACTTGGAAATGCTTTAAGAACTCCAATTTCTATAACAAAGGTAAATCTTTGGTAAATGAAACTAGATCTATAATTTTAGTTTACTAGCAACAGCAGTCTTCTCCTTTTTATCAATGCTAATATATAAGCATGCATTTTATTCTATTTGGGTTTGTTTTTCTTAAACTTAACCAAGTTTACTGATCAAATAAGCTAACATTACTATTATATAATGTTTAATATTGTAAAAAGGACACATTTGTATATATTTAATTATTCTAACAAAGTTTTGTTTGAACAGTAATTGTGTTATAATATGCCAGCTGGAAGACAATACAATTTCCAAGCTCATGGACTGAGTGGATTGCATTAAATTGATTAAATTGGATTGATCTTTGTCCCTGTTAATGGACGTATTCATTTTTGTCTAATTAAGAAAGTGTAAACTGGGTGAGGTGGCTCATGTCTATAATCCCAGAACTTTGGAGGCTAAGACAGGAGGATCATTTGAGTCCAGGAATTTGAGATGAGCCTGGGCAACATAGGTAGACCCCATCTCTACAAAAATTAAAAAATTAGTTGTGCTTGGTGGTGCATGCATGTGGTCCTAGCTACTTAGGAG
Organism: Homo sapiens; assembly: GCF_000001405.40. Taxonomy (NCBI): domain Eukaryota; kingdom Metazoa; phylum Chordata; class Mammalia; order Primates; family Hominidae; genus Homo; species Homo sapiens. The sequence goes on along the minus strand of NC_000021.9, from coordinate 14,732,503 downwards.
GCTGAGATGGAAGGATTGCTTGAGCCCAAGAGGTCGAGGCTACCGTGAGCCATGATTGAGCCACGTTACCACTGCACTCCAGCTTGGGTGACAGAGCAAGACCCTGGCTCCAAAAAAAAAAAAAAAAAAGAAAAGAAAAAAAAAGTATAAAATGTATTTGTGTGGCTGTTGAAAGACATATTCTGTGTGTCCATGAGCTTTGCTAATTGGCTAAAATACTTATGTATGACAGACACTTGGCTACCCTCGTTTTCTCTGTGAGAGTTTATTAAATGTTAAAATTAACACGAGTAACAGAAACTACCCTTGGAGCGATGATGACCCAAAATGAACTGTGTATGTATTTTGGAAGAAAAAAAGAATACTTTCGTTTTAAGGTAACAATTCTCAGGCTTTTGGAACCTATTGAGGAACTCAGAGAGCTTTTGCTTCTGTGAGCTATACATATCAATATTTATCATATTCAGAATTTAAACAAGTTTTAAACATTTATGGATTTATTTAAATATAGCCATGATGAATACATTGCATGCTAACATAAATATCTTAGTATTATTGTGAAATAAGTTTTTACTCATGAGCTTCCTGAGATCTGTCCTAAAGTAAAATGCCAATTTATTCCAGAATGTGAAAGAAGATAAATAATATTGAAATTTTAAAAGTGATTTTTTTAGGCCGAGTGCAGTGGCTCACATCTGTAATCCCAGTACTTCTGGGAGGCCGAGGCGGGCAGATCATGAGGTCAGGAGATCAAGACCATCCTGGCTAACATGGTGAAACCCCGTCTCTACTAAAAATACAAAAAAATTAGCTGGGTGTGGTGGCGGGCGCCTGTACTCCCAGCTACTCAGGAGGCTGAGGCAGGAGAATGGCATGAACCTGGGAGGCGAAGCTTGCAGTGAGCCGAGATCTCTCCACTGCACTCCAGCCTGGGTGACAGAGCAAGACTCCGTCTCAAAAAAAAAAAAAAAAAAAGAAAAGTGATTTTTTTCTTATAGTTCATAATACTTGAGTGTAAAACAAGCTATTAAAAGTGTTGAAATTTTAACAAAATATACTAAATCTTGATGAGTTTCCTTTTTTAGGTTACTGATGATCTTTGCCAACAATTTGACAGGTTCTTTTTTACCTTCTGTGTAATCCATGTGGATAGCAGCAGAGATTCTCTATTTTACCAGCATTATTTTATGTGGTTTTTGTTGACTAAATTTCTTAATTTATGTAATATGAAAAAAAAGAAGAAAGCTTCCCCACTTATAATAGAACTAAGGTTTTCTGTGTTTTTCTGTTTGTTTGTTTTGTTTTTTGAGATGGAGTCTTGCTCTGTCACCCAGGCTGGAGTGCAGTGGCATGATCTCAGCTCACTGCAACCTCTGCCTCCCGGGATCAAGTGATTCTCTTGTCTCAACTTCCCGAGTAGCTGGGACTGCAGGAGCATGCCACCACGCTCAACTAATTCTTGTATTTTTAGTAGAGACAAGGTTTTACCACGTTGGTCAGGCTGGTCTCGAACTTCTGACCTAAGGTGATCCGCCTGCCTCGACCTCCCAAAGTCCTGGCATTACAGGCATGAGCCACCATGGCCAGCCTAGAACTAAGGTTTTCACCACCCTGCTAATTTCAATGTTTATTTTTGTTTTATTGTCATTTTATTTAATTGGTAACTAGTTATTATTTCTCAGGCACCCACCATCTTATCTCAATCTTGGTTCCAAATCTCTGAAGACATTGTGATTTTAGCCTTCTCAAATTCAGGTCCTAAGTATAGAAAAAATAAAATAAAAATTCAGACTATCTTTTACATGTAAACTATCTTTGAGGTTTCCCAGAGGGCTCCTGGGAAACAATCACAAAAATTTGTTCTTTTGCTCATAAAAAGAGGCACTAGAAATACTGAGTTTTGTTTGATTTGCTACTATTATAACAACTGCATGGGAAAAATTGTCAAATTTGGAAAGACACGCTTTTCTCTAGGTTCAGTTTGTAAAGGTTAATGTTATTAATCCAAATATTTCAGAAATTGTATGCTTTATGTGAAGTCCTTAGAGATTTGTCAATACCTTCCTTTTCATAATATATTTCAACTCTGGTGAAACCCTGATCAAGATTATGATGAACTAGTTCTGTCGGATTTTTGAATATTTATCAGAGTCCTATTGTGCTTTATGTGACGACATTAAGCAAAAACAATATATACTTATCTGTTATAATTTCAGGTTTTACTTCAAATGCTCACTTGTCTACAACCTTACTTTTTTCATTTGAATCTGTTGGGAGACATAGCTGTTCATGGGCTTCTCATACTCCTTGCTGAGATTTCAAGGCCCTGGTTGCTCCTTTACCTGGGCCAGTTCCCAAGGCTGTGTTCTCATAAGTTTCTTTGAGGGATGAAATAAAACTTCCATCTGAGGCAGAGATTAGGCTTGCTTACTGCTTACTACAGAAGTGATGGATTTCCTCAAACTCAGAGTTCTTCAGACTGTGACATAAACCCTATGCATGCACAGCATCTATCTGGACCCTCTCTGTCACCCCTGTGGGACTTAGGTACAAGAGAAACTAAATGCAACTATATTCATTTGTGTTGCTTGCTGTGATGTAAGTAATAAAGTCCTCTGTCTCTGATCTAGGAGTCTCATGTCTTCTGTTGGTACACAAGAAACAGTAAGAGCATATCTTAGAGCTATCTTAATGGTTTGTAAGTAGAGTGAAATCAATTCCCACACCCAACAAAAGCTAGAGTCTTCTAGGCTAGTGGTTCTATATTGGAGGTGCACACTGGATTGCCCAAGGAGTTTTCTACATGTTTAGGCCCCACTCTAGACTTACTGAATCTCTTTATTTGACATTCTTGGCATATTATGTATATTATATGCTATATTCCAAGATTTTTTCTCATTAAAGCCATTCATCCAATTTTGTAAATCAGATATAGCATTCAGTGATGTTTCTGAAAATAGATTTGATCATTTTTCTCAGAAACTTTTTTTTGGAATGGTTTTATTATCTTTGATTTTCATGTCACTGAAATAATCATGTACTCCTGTCAACTGCATTATTCAACTCTACAGTTGTTCTATACTATATAGAAAAATCTCATAAAATGTTCACAATTGAAAATTATTAGTAATAAATTAACTACAGCCATTAATTCTCTTCTATCTTCAGATAGTATTTGTTTTACTCTGATGATCCCATGGAGTCTCTGCTATAAGCTACAAGGAAGATTTTGTGAGTTCAGCCAAGAACGAGAGCTTCGGAGCCTTCAGGAAAAGGCTTGTACTGCAACCTGTTGACTTATCAAAGCTGATCTGATATTGATTAGAGCAGGGATCAGCAAAGGATGGCCTGCTTCCCCGGAAAGACACTGCCTGTTTTTGTAAATGTTTTATTGAAGCACAACATGTCCACTTACATTTGTATTGTCTTTTGTGACTTTTCTTTTGCTAAAATGGCAGAGCTCAGTAGTTGTGACAGAGAGAATCTGGCCTGCAAATTATTATTTTTTCTTTTTCTCTTGCCCATGCTGCAGTGCAGTCACAGCTCACTGCAGCCTTGAACTCCTGGTCTCAAGAGATCCTCCTGCCTCAGCCTTCTGAGTAGCCAGGATTGTAGGCACATGCCATCATGCTCAGCTAATTTTTTAATTTTTTGTAGAGACTAAATCTTGCTTTGTTGTCCAGGCTAGTCTTGAACTCCTGGGCTCAAGGTGCTCTCCCACTTCAGCCTCCCAAAGCACCATTATTACAGATGTGAGCCATTGCTCCTGGCCTGGCCTGCAAATTCTAAAATAGTTACTCTCTGAGATTTTACAGAGATAATTTGCTCTCAGATTCTACCAGTGGATGGGGCTGGGTTTCTCGTATTATTTTAGGTTGAAAACTAGACAGCTTTGTGAAACTGGTAACACAAGATTCAGCAGCACAAGAATTAATTAAATATATCTAAATGAGCTAATGAGGAAATTTTTATTGTAATAATTTGTTTGTTTGAAATAGTGTTGTTTTGTTTTTCTATTTTTTGAATATATGAGGAAGTCCTATCTTTTCTTAAGCCATTAACAACCCACAGAAGTTTAATAAACTGCTTTCGTAAACTGAAAAAAAAATTTGTAAATGGTAGCTGATTTATAATGACTTTTGTATTTCAAAGCTTTTACTAAGCATCATTACTTTTCATAGTAACATAATTATGTGAATAGATTCAGTAGAATCTGTTCTCTGTTTTACCAGGTTATGTTTGGACAAATCAACTATGCAACCAAGGTGAATATCATCTTTGAAAATAATACAAATGTAATTAGATAGGATAAGTCACTTTTAAGGAACTAATGTTGATTTTATGTGTGGAGCTAATGCCTACAAAGCCCACCCAGAAATATTGGCTTACAGGGTTTGGTCTTACAGATGGCAAGACGGTCACTTCTCTGTAGAGTAAAAGCTTTAAAAAATTTGAGCGACCCCTAGAAGACAGGAATTCTGTCAGATTTGTAAATTATACAGATGAAATGTGATATAGGTATTTGTTAGGCTTGAGTTTCTAGTCTTAGGAGAACGAATACGAGATGTTTCTAAATGCACAAATACAACAGTTGATACAGAGAAATCCAGAAATTAGTCATGTGTTAAATAATCCAGATATAATGAGATAAATGTTGGTACTTGCATGAGGCAGGAAATGCTGAGAAAGAAATTATTTCTTACGGAAACTTACAAACAGAAGTTAAGTTTGTGTTCTCACTGGTTGTTCCACATTGCATAGCTCTAGATTCTCAAAACAGTCTCAAAGAGATTTGTCAACACTCTTGCTACATCTTATTAGCAATCAATCAGGCTAAAAATCGTGGGTGGGACCAAGTATTTTGGTGATTAAGAATACTCCTTGTTTGAGATAAATATGATCTTAAAGCTCAGCGTGGTTGGAGACTGTATTAATTTCTTATGCTGCTGTAAAAAATTACTACAAACTTAATGGCTCAAAACAACATGAATGTATTATCGTGCAGTTCCGAGGTCAGAAATCAATGGGTCTCACTGAGATCATTTTGCAGAATGCAGAGCTGCATTCTTCTGGAAGCCCTAGAGAAGAATTGGTTTCCTTGACTTTTGCAGTTTCTAGAAGCTACCTGCCTTCCTGCACTCAAGGCCTGCCTCCTCCATTTTCAAAGTCAGCAATTGCATAAATTCAATCTCTCCTTCCATTGTCACATGTCCTTCTTTTACTTTGACTTTCCTGTGTTTTCTCTCAATATAAGGATTCCTGTGATTACATTGGGCCTATCCAGATAATCCAGGATAATCTCCCAACCTCCAGATCCTCAATTTAATCACAACGGCATAGTCTCATTTGCCATGTAAATTAACATATTCACAGGCTCTGGGGGTTGTGGGGAGTGGGCATTATTCTGCGTAGCACAGAGACGATAGGAAAAAGTGAGAAAGACTGAAAAGATCACTGAAAAGTGAGAAAGAATGAAAAGTAAGTGCTGCCTAAACATATTCTTTCAGGTCATCTGATTCTATGGTGTTTCTACAACTTTCATTGCCTTTAAGCTTTTTAACCACTCTGTAAATTGCAAATAAGTGATACCAACAAAGGATTCCTGACTATAGACATGTAAACATATTTTGTCCAGAGGAAATACAATTCCTTTCCTGTTACCACCCCCACAACCACACGCTTCATGGAATAAGTGAGTTTTGTAAATTCATTTCTGCACACTTAATGCTTACAAAGATTTATTTCTTTGACGTCTCCTATAAACTATATAATCTCCTTAAAAATTAGTAGTAACATCTTATTGGTTTCCTTATAAATTAATAAACCACAAACAATCTTTGACCTAGGTTCATTTAATAGTTTTATAAAAGTCATGATTATACCCTATCTTAACATTTTCCTTTAACATAGAGACTTTTAATCACACACAAAAGGAGAAAGCATAGTATTGTGTTGGTGCAAAGGTAATTGTGGTTTTTGTCTACTGTAATGGCAAAAACCACAATTACTTTCACATCAACCTAATATAATGAAGTTCCATCACTCAGCTCCAAGAAATATGAGGCTAAGGCCAATTTTGCCCCTCTATACTTTCTTCCATTTTCTCCCTCCTATTATCCTGAAGTGAATTGCAAAGACCATATTATCTCATCCATAAATATTTATTGTGATCCTTTAATAATGACTCCCTTAATATAGCCAAAATATTAGTATCTCACCTAAAGTTAATAATTTCTTAATCAAATATCCAGTGTTCAAATTCTCAATAGTCTCATAAAAGTCATAAATGCATTTTTTTGTAAATTGTGAATTTCTAATCTATCATTCATTTGTTTTTTGTTAGTTAGACTATCTGTATAAAGAAAAACATCTCCTGATCTTTTATTAGATTATCCAGTGGTATAGTTGATGTAGACAAGGCAAACAAATGCCTTGTTTCTTTTCTTTATTTACTGGTTCCCAAAATAATAAATTATTTCCCTAGAATCTGGTGAGGATGACACAATAGATGTTTTCTGTCCTCCCTCCCTCTGGTTCTCTCTCTCTGTGCATGTGTATGTACGTATTTTTGCATCATTATGAACTCATGAACAAACATATTTAATATGTTTGAATCATTTGCCGTTTTTATTCTTTTACATAACAATCTTTGGCCAGTGGGAGTCCTTTTAAGTCAGCTCCTAAATCCTCTTGATGAGACCCTAGTCATATATAATAGTGTTCTTGTTCTATGGTATGGTACAGTATCCAGGCTCATCTTGTACGTTTTCTGCCCCAGGTCTGGAATCAGCCTGTAGGAAATGGTATCTGTAGACCATGATAGAGGTGTTTTTAATTATTTTTTAATTTTTTGTAGAGATGGGATCTTGCTATGTTGCCCAGGCTGATCTCGAACACCGGAGCTCAAGTGATCCTCCTGCCTCAGCCTCCCAAAGTGCTGAGATTACAGTCATGAGCCACCATGCCTGGCACGATAGAGGTAGTTATTGCTACCAGGTGGGCCATTTTTTTCTAGGCAGCTTCAGAGTTATTAAGTATATATGTATTAAAAATATATGTATTAAAATATATGTATTAAATATGGATTTAATATATGTATTAAAATATATGTATTAAAAATACATATATGTATTAAAAATTCATATATGTATACATATAAAATATATATGTATTATATATTATAATATATATTTTAAACACAAAACACATTAAGAATTTGTACTTTTAATTCTAATTCAAATTCACAATTATCAGTGTATACGTAACCTAGTCCATCTGAACTGTATATTTTCTTTATCCCGCACAGAGAATCCCAGTTCTTAGGTATGTTACAGACGCTATAATCAAAATACCATGAGAAAATCAAACTGTCATAAGCAAAAGACCAATCAGTCTCTTTGCTTTATCCTGCATTACCCGGAAAGCAATCTAAGAAGAGCAATATAATATTAGCAATGATATGCATATAGAAATAGGTTATAAATTGTTTTGAAGAAAGCTGTTTTTCATGCCTGTACCAAAATATATCATGTGCCCCATAAATATATACACATATTATGTACCCGCAAAAATAAAAAAATAAAAATAAGTAAATAAAAAGAAAGGTCTTTTTGACTTTAGGGCATACAGCACCAGGAACGTACAGATTACTATATTTTTAAAACTCTTAGGAAACTTTCTATTTTGTAGCTATACAGTCAACAGAATATTCACATATGTCAGAGTCCTGGAAGCTATCTTGAAAAACAAATATAAAATTGACAGAGCTGTGAGACAGAAGTCATCAGGAACTATGATAATTTTTTGTACCCTCTCTAAGAAAATAACGACTAGCTACATGCGGATTTTTTCACATTGCAGGGAAATAGACTTCTATTTTGTTTAAGCTGTGCTACTTTTTGTTAGTATATTATATACAGTAGAAACTAATTCTATTGGATACAAAAGATAAGAAAATCAAATGGAATTTAATAACAATAGATAAAAGAGGAATTATTGGCTAAGATAAAGATAAACCAAAGAATTATTGAAAGACAGTTTGATCTGTAATGTAGAATTTGAGATATGTGTGATTTTCTAATTTTTTTTTTTTTTTTTTTTTTGAGACAGAGTCTCTCTCTTGTGGCCCAGGCTGGAGTGCAGTGACACAATCTCAGCTCATTGCAACCTCCACCTCCCAGGTTCAAGTGATTTTCCTGCCTCAGCCTCTCGAGTAGCTGGGACTACAGGTGTGTGCCATCACGCCCAGCTAATTTTTTATATTTTCAGTAGAGACGGGGTTTAACCATGTTGTCCGGGGTGGTCTCGATCTCTAGACCTCGTGATCTGGCCGTGACGGCCTCCCAAAGTGCTGGGATTACAGGCATGAGTCAGCATGCCTGGCCCTAATTCTTAATGTATTTAAATTAGAAATTGACAAACAATAAGGAAAAAACAATAAGGGAAAAAAGAAGTCTTTGAAATGTTAGAAATTGTTAAACTTTCCTAGTTGCCTTTTATATTGATTTTAATGTTTATTTTATATATATTTTTATTTTATTTAAATTATGTTTTATAATTCTAAGTAATCTTTAGATTTTATGTTAAAATTGAGTGAAGATAAATCCTCATTTTCAACGAATATCCCTAAAAACTAATAAGGGTATGTATGCATATTTTTAGTTATCATTTAAAGAATATACATTTTTTTATTTTCAGCAACTTAATTTCCACTATGTTTAACTCAGTGATGTCAGAATTCTTTTTCACTCTGACTCTAACAGATATTGACAGTCTTTAAGTTTTAAGGTGATATTAGGGATAAGAGTAATGCCAGTAAGTATTTAATCACGTTTCACTGCAATCTCTGCCTCTGAGATTGAAGCAATTCTCCTGCCTCAGCCTCCAGAGTAGCTGGGATTACAGGTGTGCACCACCATGCCCAGCTAATTTTTGTATTTTTAGTAGAGACGGGGTTGACCAGGCTGGTCTGAAACTCCTGATTTCAAGTGACCTGCCTGCCTCAGCCTCCCAAAGTGCTGAGATTACAGGCATGAGCCACCGCACCTGGCCTCAGGTTCCAGTTTAGATATAACTTCTTCCTTCCCATTCCCTGCTTACCCCTTTAGGTAACTCCTCGTATTCAATTTTAACTGCTTCTTTACCCATCAGTTCTACCTCACACTGAAACTACACCTTGTTTTCTACGTAAATCTATGCCTCCTACAGGCCTTGGTAGTAATTGTTCCTTGATAGATAATAACCAGATAACAATTAGCCAAGGCACCTGAGCATCTCTGACAGATAGTAAGCCTCCTAAGGACAGGAAACCCATTCCTAGTACCTAACACTTCAGAAGAGGCACTCCAAAAGTATTCTGGAATACATAAAGAAATGTAAGGGGAGCCAACTATGGCATCCCCATGGGGTGCTAAAACCTCAAGTCTTGTTTACATGTAACTTTAGCCGGAGTAAAATTGCTCTCTACTGTTTCAGTTTAATTCATCAAACACTTAATGAGTGCTGTGGGTTTCTTTAGAATTGCAAAGATACCTAAGACTAAGTGCTTCCTCTTGAAGCATTTAGACACTGGTATGGAAACTCCTGCAGGTGATCAACACAACAAAGTTATCCCCTAAAGGCAAAACACGTGGCCTTTTAGACGAGTGTAGTTTAAAGGGTGTTGCAGCACCCAAGATATTTATTTCAATGCTATGCCAATTATTATTGCAGACTATCCTGGGCCACTTATAGCTGTACCCTAGGAATCCTTCCTCTTTAGGAATTCCGGTAAAGCTTGGGCAGTTTTCTACCAAAATATATCTAGAGTTGATAAAAATTTAAGAAGCTGAAGTTTAGGAGCAACTTTATTTCTCCTTAGAAATCGGTTTAGGACAGAAATACCATTTGACCCAGCAATCCCATTACTGGGTATATGCCCAAAGGATTATAAATCATTCTACTATAAAGACACATGCACACATATTTTTATTGCAGCACTATTTACAATAGCAAAGACTTGGAACCAACCCAAATGCCCATCAATGATAGACTGGATAAAGAAAATGTGGCACATATACACCGTGGAATACTATGCAGCCATAAAAAAAGAATGAGTTCATGTCCTTTGCATGGACACGGATGAAGCTGGAAACCGTCATTCTCAGCAAACTATCACAAGAACCGAAAACCAAACACCACATGTTCTCACTCATAAGTGGGAGTTGTACAATGAGAACATGTGGACACAGAGAGGGAAACATCACACACTAGGGCCTGTTGAGGGGTAGGAGGCAAGGGGAGGGATAGTATTTGGACAAATACCTAATGCATGCAGGGCTTAAAACCTAGATGACGGGTTGATAGGTGCAGCAAACCACCATGGCACATGTGTACCTATGTAACAAACCTGCACGTTCTGCACATCCATCCCAGAACTTAAAGTAAAATAAAATAATATATATTAAAAAAAAAAGAGAGAGAGAGAGAAATAGGTTCAGGATTGGCCAGACTTCATTAGCATAGAAGCTCCTCCTGCTTTGGTCCATGAAGGCAAGTTATATATCATTTCATGTTGGTCAGTGGATCCATGCGAATTAATGACCATGTGCATTTGGCCATATGCTCTAAAATTTGGACACTGCCAGAGGTGCCAATAAGGATAATGACCTCTATCCTGGCCATAGCTTCCAGTTGCAAATGACTATAATACCATAATCTGACTAGAGGTCAGAGAATCACTGGGCGCAGTTTTCCATAGTGCAATTGCATTTTTATTTTTCCTGCCAATGATGAAAGGCTTCTAGTTGTGCCTAATTAGAGAATATGATTTTTCAGTGACTGAAACTTAAATTTATTATCAACAAAACACACATTACCTGTGCCCTAAACTGAGTTAGAACGTACAATTCACCTGGGCAATAAACTAGTTTGCAAACTTATTTTAACTGCTAGGAGCTTTTCAACATAGTTTTTATTTTTTAACGTTAAATTGGGAATTAGATGTGCAGGGTAGTAATTGTTAATAAAAATTGCTTGGCTAACTTCCTATGTTTCACTAAAAGTGTATATCCTAATATTATTTTTCTATATTCTTCAGGCATGATATAAACTGAGTTTAGGAAGGACCCCTGCTGAAAGGTAGAAATTGCCATAGGAGTATCCCAATTCTTACCCATCCCTAAGGCAGTATATACAAATATAATCTGAAGAGATCAAGAGATAAAGGATTAGGAAAGAGGGAAAGGTTAATACATGATGTTACCTTGTATGAGCAACAGAATATTTTGCCTTTCTCATCATGTAAAGCACCAACACAGATGTTTCTAAATAATGGCTGGTTCCAGAAAAAATGTGTTCCTTTAATAGTGAGAGCCATATTTTTGTGTTATGCTGGCTTACTGCACATTTAAAATTGACATACGTTGGAGCACTTCAAATTTATATCTTCATTTAGGCCATTCATTTAGTAGGTCAAATCATCATTATATTTCACTGGGATGGTGGATTTTAATTCATTTAACATTTTAATCTTTCATCAGTTTTTCATTTCAGGGGATTTCACAGCATATATGGGATTTGCATAAATTTGTGTGCAGTAAATGTATTCTTTTAACAGTTTTATTCTTTCATCAGAAATTCATTTCAATGGATTCCACTATATATCACTTCCACTTCCAGTGCAGCTTTAGGTCAGGCCGTAATTGATGCAAAAGCAATGAGGTATTAAAAGAGATAGGAAATATCTGAAATTGGAAAGAGTTCAAGAAGTGGGCTATTGTAAGGGCATTACACTCCTCAGATAAGGTGGGGAGGAGAGAATAATATAGCATTTTAATCTGAAGCCTTGCATGCTTTATAATTTCAATTCTCAACCAAGTCAAAAAGATCTATTTTATCTAAGCTTGTGTCTTTAAAACAAAATTAACTGCTTCAGTGCCCTAAAACAGCCCCCATATGGCAATGTGAATGTACATGCTTGTCTTGACTATCCATTTGAATTAATAGCACAGCTTCTTTCCCTGAACATTCTATCTTCTCCCTCCCCCCTGCCGACATTCATTAAATGACATCCAAGTGATAAACATTAATATAATAAATACAGTAGCTATGGAAATAACCCAGGGAAGAGGCGCACTCTGTCTTGTGTTCATATAGAGGTAGATGAAAATCACCAGTAGTGCATTATAGTTGGCGACAGAAAACTGCAGTATGAGAGATGCTTTTAACCAAAGAGCAAAGGTGCTAGTGCTTGTTTCGTGTGCATCAGAAAAGTGAAGGGTGACCTTGAGAAAGTCCTCTTGGCTCTCTAGGTCTCTGCAAAGGAAGTGACTGCGTTTATAGTATCTACTGTAAGAGGGTGTTGATGTCTTAGATTGGTAAATGAAATGTGCTATAGAAATGACAGGTTGAAGTCAACCTTGGTTTGAATTTGTTAATGTCACTTTGAAGAATATGATCCCTCAGGAACAAAAGAAAAGAACAAAAATAAGAAAGAAAGTAGGAAAGGAAGAGAAAAGAAGGAAAGAAGGGAGGAGAATGGGATTTATCTTGTGATATTGTCATTATTGCATTTAATATATTCCTTTATAAGATTGACAGCTACTTATAGTCTTCCCCTGGTTTATCGGCATTGTGGAATGCCTGTTATGCCAAGTGTCTAATAAATATTTGTTGAATTGAATAGAATTGAACTGAATTAAAAGAAGAGTATTAATAATGCTGAGAAAGATTATCCAAGCCCATCCTTTGCTACCCCCACCCCAAACCACTGCAAGGTCATTGTATAATCTAGTGTTAGAAATATGAAGTCAATTTACTTATCACTCTGTTCATAGTGAATGTCCTTTTACTGCATCTGGCTACGGAGAGAATGTGGCTAAGAGAAAAAAGGATGCAGTCAGATTAAACATCTAAATTAGTATTTCTCATGATAATGATGATGGATCATGCAAGATCGTGGAAGGGATATATGAGGGAGGGCCATATCTTATTTCCACACTACGTCACACTGAGCTCTCTTGTGGCTCCTGTTATCATATTATAGAGGGTCTAGTTCAGGACCATCTGTAGGTTTGTATTTATGGCACTTTTACATAGAGGTTTACAAGTAAGTTGGGAGCAATCAAAAGATTTTCCAGTACATTCAGGGTAAATCTGGTTGATTCTAGATTCCACAAAACATCCTAAAATTGCCCAAAATATGGAAAGTATAGTATATTTCTTTTTATGTTAAAAAAAAAGAAAAGCTACCCTTTTCAACAATGGCCTAGAGGAGAAAGGGAGAGTGCAAAAGATAAAAACGGTTTTGTTTTTTGTTCCCACCACCCTACCCCCGGGGCTTCAGGCACTTCTGTGGACTGCATGCTGTCAAGTCTGGTCAACAGTTGTTCAAGTCTGTTTGGGCGAGGCTCCTGGTCCTCCAAAGGACACTGTATGTCCCAGGAAGTTTATTACAGTAACGTGAGAGCATCTAACTGAAGGCTAATTTTATTTGGATTTAGCTTATCAACGTAGCTGTCAAACTACAACTCGGAAGGTGAATTTCACTGTGTGGACAATTTTGCAACCTTTCAAATGATAATTGCCTGAATTCTTATGCAGGCATATATTGATGGAGGCTGACAGATGTTAAAAAGAGCAGAACCACAAGCCACACCACAGAACTGAAGATAAAAAATTATCTTTCCATTTATCCTTTCTCCATTGCTATTTTTGTAATGTATGATTTTTTTTCTTCTAAATGCAAAATACGAAGCAGGGCCCTCATTCAAATAACTGATCTTGCCTACATGTTTTCTTTAGCTTTGGCTGCTCTTCCAATCGGCAATCTCCCTCTCTCAGTGTGCTTATCTAGATGATTGTCTAGCTATTACTCTTTAAAAAATATATTGTAAAGATCTTCCATTAATATTTGAGTAATCTGGTTCAGGAAGAGCTAAGAAAGTCTGACAAACAGTAATTATCAATTTCACGAAGACTGAGACTCACTGTGTATTAAAGTATCTGAGCATCATGAGTGTGTAAGGGATCAAAGAGTTCCTTCTGAGCTCTTGAAAATTTACACCTGCATGGTGCATCTCTTTCTATTCTTTTACTTTCAACCTACATATGTTGTTTTTGAACTGAGTTTCTTGTAGATAGCATCTAGTTGAATCATATATTTTATTCATTCTGCCAACCTCTGTTACTATATTGTATATTTAAATTATTTACATTATAGGTAATATGATAGGGCTTAAGTCTGCCATACTGTTTGTTTGTTTGTTTGTTTGTTTTCTAGTCCATCTGTTTCTCATCCCTGTGTCTCCCTTTTCTTGCCTTCCTGTGAGTGAGTTTGCCATTTTGGGAGGATTTCAATTTGTAATATCTAAGTTTTTGAGTAGATTTGCTATGGATTGAATTGAGTCCTCTCCAATTTATATATTGAAGCTCTGGCCTGCAATGTGATGGTATTTGGAGATGGGACTTTGGGGAAGTTATTAGATTTAGAGAAGGTCATAAAGGTGACAATAAGCTCATGATGGGATTAGTGCCCTTATACAAGGGGAAGAGAGAAAGCTGTCTGCCTCTCAGCTCTTGAACAAATAAGAGGTCACATTAATACACAGCAAGACAATCACTGCCTACAAACCAAGAGAAGAGTGAAAGCTCAGAATGGAATCTACCTTGCTGGCACCTTGATCTTGGACTTCCCAGTTTCCAGAACTGTAAGAAATAAATTCATGTTATTTAAGCCACCTAGTCTATGATATTTTGTTATGGCATCCTCAGCTGACTAATACAATATTTCTTTGTATAGTTTTTCTTTCTTTCTTTCTTCTTTTTTGTTTTTCCTTAAAGTTTCTCATAGTCTGGCTCTATTGCCCAGGCTAGAGTGCAGTGGCATGATCACAACTCACTGAAACCTCTGCCTCCCAGGCTCAAGCCATCCTCCCACCTCAGCTTCCTGAGTAGCTGGGACTAAAGGTGCACACCACCTCTCCCATCTAATTTTTGTATTTTTTGGAGAGATGGGGTATCACCATGTTGCTGAGGCTTGTCACGAACTTTTGAGCTCAAGCAGTCCTCCCACCTTGGCCTCCCAAAGTGCTGGGATTACAGGTGTGAGCCACTGCATTCAGCCAATGTATAGTTTTCTTAGTGGTTGCTCTAAATATTATAATCTGCGTATAAAACTTAACCCAGTCCACTGGTATTGACATGTTACTACTTCCAGCGAAGTGTAGAAACCTTATTTCCACTTAGGTCTCTTTAGCCTCCCACGCTGGAAATACAACTAACTTGAATATTTTCTCTTTATTAATTGAATTTTTGCTTCAATCATCAAATATGATTTTTAAAACTCATGAGGAGGCTGGTCTACTTACTCTTATTTTTACCCATTGCATTCTTTTGTCCTTCCTTTCTGGAGTTCCAAATCTTACTTTGTTATCATTTCCCTTCTGTTTGGAGAACTTCCTTTAGCCATTCTTTAAGGATAAGTCTGTTGATGATAACTTTTCTTAGATTGCCTTTTTCTGAGAATGTATGTATTTCCCCATTCATTCTTGAAGGATATATTTGGGGTTGACAGTTCTTTCCTTTAGGCACTTCAAAAATATCAGACTTCTCCCTGGTCTCCATGGTTTCAGATAAGAAAGCTGTCATTCTAATTGTTGTTCCACTATAGGTAATGTGCTGTTTCTCTCTAGCTGCTTTCAAGATTTTTTCTTTGTTTGTAGTTTTCAGAACTTCAATTATATGTGTCTTATGTGGAGTGCTTTGAGTTTATTCTACTTGAGGTTTTCTTAGCTTCTTGAAACTGTAGATAGATTTTTACACAAAATTTTAAAAATTTTTAGCTATTATTTATTAACATATTTTTTTCATTCCACTCCCTTTCTTCTCCTCTTATGAGGTGCTGATGACATGAATCCTGGATCTTTTATTATTGTCCCATAGATGTCTGAAGCCTTGTGTATACATAAGTGTGTATATGTTAGTTTTCTCTCTGTTGTTCAGATTGAGTAATTTGTTGTTCTATCTTCAAATTTACTTATTCTTTCCTCTGTCATGCTTATTCTGCTACTGAGCACTGCCAGTGAAATTTCTATTTCAGTTATTGTAGTTTTAGTTCTATAATTTCCTTCTAGTCTTTTGATTTTTAGTTAGATATTCTGTTTTTTTCATTTGCTTCAAGGGTATTCATAATTGTTTGCTGAATAACCTTTATGATGACTATGAGAAAATTATTGTTAGTTAATTCCAATATCCTACTTTTCTCAATGTTGTCAACTGCTGTCATTTCTCATTCAAGTCATGATTTTCCTGTTGCTATTGCTTAGTATTGCAGGTGATTTTAAATTATATCCTGCGTATTTTTGTGGTTATGTTAGAATACTCTGGATCCTATTTAAGTTTTATGCTATATTAAGCAGTCATCCTCTATAAGTGATAGGCCCTAGCCTATATTTTGTGGGCTACAGTTACTCTCCCAACTTAGCTTTCTGAGCCTTAATAGTCAATTTTGGTCTCTTTGGTTTACTTGGTGCTAGTGGGCCTCCTGAAATTCTCTTTGTGCTGGCCACCAGGTTAGGCCACCTAGAGTCTTTAAGCAAGGAGAGGGAGACCCCCGGTCATGGGTTTGATACAGTTTCATAGGATTTCTGTTGTTGGTAGGGTACCCATTTAATTTCTGCCTGACATGATCGCCCAGTGTCTCTAATAGGGGGTCAGGGAGAGGGAAGAAGGAGAGTCTTGATCTTGGAAGCAGAGAACAATTTCCAAGGCTGCTTATTGTTGGAGACTCTTATTTAATCTGCAGGGAATGGGGGAAGGAATCTACTTGCTTGGGCAACATTCCGCCACAGGTTTAGGTCAGAAGATGTCGGGCCTGGGTTCTCCTTCTGCAAGTGGAATGAAGGATGTGGTGTTCAGAAGATCCCGGCTGTTGTGTTTTTCCTTCATTCCTGGGGCCTCTAGCCAGTTCACCTTTCTTTTATCATTCTTCTGTGTCATTCTATGGTTGCTGTATGTAATTGTCAGGGTTTGTAATTGTACTTAGTTGGGGAGAAACAGAGAAAGAAGAATCTGCACCATCTCGTTCATATCAGATGTTTTTCTTCTGCATTTTTAAATGTCCTTGAACACATATTTTGATAAGCCAGAAGTCATCTTTTAGGTTGTCCTTACAAACCCTCTGCTTTTAGGTACTTAGAGATTTTGAATTAAGAATAGGCTTATTAGGAAAAGGACTGAGAAGAAATCTCATGAAAACTTTTTAGTAGTTTTCATTTGGGTGGTGAAATTGTGGGTTATTCTTACTTTCTGTATGCTACAATTTTTAAAAATTCTATGAACAATATTACTTATTCCACCAGTAACATGTTATTTGGCAAAGGTAAAAGAGGAAACATGATAAAAGAAAAACATTTATTAAGCATGGCTAGACTATAAAGCGCTGAGAAACAGTAGAAATAATTACATGATTTTTTTTTCTTGCGCTAGACTCCTGGCTTTCTGTGCATCCATGCTTACAAGATAACATCTCTAGAACTAGAGTTGGCCAAATAAAAGAGGAGAAAGAAATTAAACAACAAAAGTGTTACTAGAAGTCAAGGGGGAAAAGATGACCATTTTATAACTGGTGCTTAGTCAATTGGATATTTATCTAAATATAGGTCTCTACACATGTCACTCATTACACATAAAAAAATTCTAGATGAAATGCTGACTTGTGTAAAAGGCAAAACAATAAGTCTTTTAGAAGAAGTATAGAAGAATATATTAAAGATCCTTGATTAAGCAAATATTTCTTAAAGAAAGACCAGAATCAATAACTACAAAAGAAAAATAATGATAACTGTTACCATTTTAATAATATCTGTTCACCGAAGAAGACCATTTGGAAAACAAAAGTCAACCTACAGACTGGGAAAAATATTTGCAAATCAATAAGTAAAAGGCAGAAAATCCAAATGTAAAAATGAGCATCCAGAAAAGAAGATCTCGAAATGATTAGTAAACATATGATACAGTGTCCAACTTTGTCAGTCATTAGAGAAATGCAAACGAAAAATCATAATTTGATACTACTACATGCCCATAAGAATGGCTAAAATGATAAACAGACAATGAAATATCAGTGAGCAAATAGAGCAACTAACTGTCATATATTGCTAGTGGGGTGTCTATCAGTGCAACTATGTTGGGGAATATTTGACAGTAGTAATTAAAGCCGAACATTTGTATATCGTATGACCTGACAGTTTTAATCCTAGTCAGATATTCAAGAAAAATGTGTGCATATATCCACCAAAAGATATCTACAAAAATATTCATAGCAGGATTACTAATAATAGCCTCAATCTGGAAACCACCAAATGTCTCTCCATTGTAGAACTAATAAATACATTATGGTATAATCACATAATGGAATTGTATACAGCAAAAAGGATGAGCAAACTAGAACTACAGTCTCAATATGGTTGTACTGTATAAAAATGGAATCAAATGAAAGAAGCCAGACACAAAGAAGCACGTACTATACAATTACATTATGTAATATCTAGAAACAGACAAAAGTTACCAATTGCATTAGAAGTCTGGGTAGTGGTTATCCTTTGAGGGAAAAAATGACTGAAAGAGAGGATAACAGTGTAGGTCCTGGAATGCTGATAATGTTCCATTTCTTAATCTGAGTGTTGGTTACATGAGTGTGTCACACTTAATTGAGCTTACATTTGTTTTGTATTATTTTGTGTACATAAGTGATTGTTTAGTAAGATCATTATATTCTAAACTATAATCAAATTTTATTTAAAGATAAAATAAACACAAGTACATTTTAGACAGAATGTATAATCAATTTTACCTGTTTATGAAGTCTCTGTTTCCAAGGTGACAGCAAAAGAAGGGACAATAATCAAGAGATAGGAATTGGTGGCAGATGCTCCTTGGTCTCTAAACCACTACTGTAGAATGAAGTGATCAATAGCTTAGGAATTATATTTCATGCTTCTTCTTTACCTTGAATGGCTTCAAATAAAATCTGCTTTGTCTGATATTAGTATAGCCACTCCAGCTTTCTTCTAGTTACTGTTTACATGGTATGCCCTTTTATTTTCAACCTATTTGTGTCTTTGAATCTAAAGAGTGTCTTTGTAGACAGCAGATAGGTGGATCTCTTTTTTTGGTCCATCTCCCAATCTCTAACTTTTTATTGCACTATTTATTCCATTTACCTTTAATGTAATTACTAATATGGTAGGATTTATGTCTGATGTTTTGGTAGTGGTTTTCTATGTCTTCTTGCTCCTTTATGCCTATATTACTGCATTCTTTTGTGTTAAGTAGATATTTTCTAGTGTACCATTTTAATTCTCCTGTCATTTATTTCATTATTTTTTTGATTCACTTTCTTAGTGATTTCCTGAAGATTACAAAGAACACTTAATTTACAATAATCTAGTTAAGAATAGTGTCATCTTGAGGGGAAGTGAAAAAGATTAGTGTCTTTTTAATTTCAATAGTATAAAAAACTGCTCTTATTTGGCTCTGTTCCCTCACTTTCCTTTCTGGGATTATCATGAAGTTATATCTTTATACATTATAAACCCATCAACTGAGTTTTATAATTATTGCTTTGCATAGTTATCTTTTAAATTAAATAGGAGAAGAAAAAATTTAAACATACCAAATACATACTCTCTTTGATATTTACCTATATAGTTACCTTAACCAGGGCTTTTTATTGCTTCATGTGAATTCACATTACTATCTAGTGTCCTTTTATTTCAGCCTGAGGGACTCTCTTTAGTATTTCTTGTGGAATAGTAATAAATTATCTCAGGTTTTGTTTATCTGGGATAGTCTTAATTTCTTACTTATATTTGAAAAGTAGGTTTGCTGGATACAGACTTCTTGACTGACACTCTTTTACTTTCAGAAGTTTGAATATGTCATCCCAGTGCCTTCCGGCCTCCATGGTTTCTGAATAATTTAGCTGTTAATCTTAATGCATATCTCTTGTACATAATAAGTTATTTCTGAATGCTCATCTTTCAACAGTTATTATGATCTACATAAGTGTGGTTATGTAACATTGCCAACAAAACTTGTGTTGACCACTAATTTTACTATGGAACACCAAAAGAATTACAGCTCTTTTCATTAAGGTCAAGGGTAGCTTTACATTCCTTTGGGCTTAAGTACATAAATATGTCTGTGTCTTTCCTCAGTGACATATAAATAGTATCTGTCTGATCTGACCACAGCTGTTGCCCCAGGATATATGTCAGTTCCTTTGATTTTTACCTACCATCTGGGTTATTTTCCTCATAGTATTCAGACTGTTTCTAATCTCTCCTCTTGGTGGAGATTCAATGATTTGTCCTGCAAAGTTTTCTTTGCCATTCTTCTAAGAAGAATCAAATGTCCTTATGCAAATAAAACTTATGGCATCATGCTCAGCATTATGGAAGTAAGCCAGTGACTTTCTTTCTCTCGTTGACTGCTTTTGCCTCAAGTTCTTTCTTGCATTGATAATGAAGGTGATAAGTTCAAGAGCTAGAGAACTTTTTGAAGTGATTGAGATTACTATGCATTAATACAACATAATTATGTTGCCAAAGAGATTAGAATGTATCACAGTAGTAAAGAGACATGAACTGGGTAGAAGGATGGGAACAACTGTTTTTGGTCTTTATTGACTGGCTTTCCTTTCCTCTCTTCTTGCCAACAGCAGACTTCAGTGTGGCCATATTCTGGTAAACTGTCTTTGGAAATAACAGTGCTAAATGATGCATCCAACTTTAAAATTAACTCTACCCTTCGGAAGAAGAGGGATTGTAATAAGTGGTGTGGAACTTTGAGTATACCTGAGTCTCACAAATGAAAAGATAAACAAGTTTGGATGAATTTGTTCTGACATTCTGATCCTAGGCATTGGTTTATAGAGCACATAGTTCTGTAGTGGTCTTTTGTCACTTTCCTTAGGGAGGCTGGATATGTTCAGAGGACTAGTATTTCCTGCCTTTCAGGGAATACTAGTACAAGAGAGAACAAAAAACAACCGGCAACTGAATGAGAATGTGAGTCATGGGACTCTCCTCCATTTGACTCTTGTATTTGTTTTGTCTTATTTTAACTGCATTAGTGGTCATTTCCAATTGGCCACATTATTGATAAACTTAATAAAACTATGAAAGTAAGAAGTACCAAGCTGTGGTACCATATTAACAGAGAAGAATACATTAGATTTTGTGCATTTTTGTTAGATTCAGGATTCTTTCAGAGAGAGATCCAATTACTAAGGGAGAAGCCTAGAATGGTTAA
Organism: Homo sapiens; assembly: GCF_000001405.40. NCBI lineage: Eukaryota > Metazoa > Chordata > Mammalia > Primates > Hominidae > Homo > Homo sapiens. The sequence goes on along the minus strand of NC_000021.9, from coordinate 14,711,209 downwards.
GCACAAATAGTTGATCTCTGAATTGGAAAACTTGTATGTATGTTTTTATAATCCTTTATTCTAGTAGATTATCTAATATTGCTGCTTGAACTTCCCTACCTTCCTGTAGTTAGCAAAATACTCTGTTACCAAAACTGTTATCTTTAAACAGACCTTGGTTTGTAAACTTGATGTGCAAACCAGAGAGTGTTCGAATACTCTCTTAACTGGCTAGAATGGTTGCCCATAATTGCAATCAGTCATTATAAAATCTCTAGATTTTCCATTTATGATTTTGGCATTAATCTCTTTATTAAGATTAAGGTGTCATTTAAAAATACAGTCAAGGGCCAGGCAAAGTGGCTCACGCCTGTAATCCCAGCACTTTGGGAGGCAGAGGCAGGAGGATCACGAGGTCAGGAGATCAAGACTATCCTGGCTAACACGGTGAAACCCCGTCTCTACTAAAAAATACAAAAAATTAGCCAGGCGTGGTGGTGGGCACCTGTAGTCCCAGCTACTCGGGAGGCTGAGGCAGTAGAATGGCGTGAACCTGGGAGGCGGAGCTTGCAGTGAGACCAGATCAGCCTGGGTGACAGAGAGAGACTCCGTTTCAAAAAAAAAAAAAAAAAAGCAAAAACAAACAAACAAAAAATAGTCAAGAAGGAACATCCAAATTATATTCTAGTACTTCTTCAGATAAATATTATTGTTCATCACATTTATAAAGATGTGAATAAATTGAAGAGAACATTGGCGAGAACAATGAAAATGATTAAAGGGATGAAAACGGATCTTACTTGTAAAGATGAAAGGAATAGGGTTTATTTAGTTTAGAGATAAGAAACCCAAGGGAAGTCTTGATCACTACTTTAAAATTTATTAAAGGCTGTTTAAGAGGAACACACCTAACAGGTATTCTTTCTGTCCATAAAGGACAGAATGAGAAAACAGATCTAACACTTTATTATTATTATTTGACTTGCTGATTAACCACTTAGCAAGATATTAATGGAATTTATTTTCACTACCTACATCACTCCCTGGCAGTAATTTAGACTCTTAGAGTTGTACATTAAGTTTTTCAGGGCCCAGGGGCACCATATAGTACTCTTGAGCAATAGTGTTGTGTACTAAAGAGTACAGGATGACCTAAAGCTGGCTCACTGATCACTGAGTTATAGATCAAAAAACGACTCTAAGAGATCATCTGGCCTAAGCTCCTGAGGGGAATAATAACATCATAGGAAACAGGGGTTTTATTCGCTTCATGAAGCTCTCTAGTGATGAGCATTCTATACCCTTTCTCATCAATGAGAAGGAAACACGCATATACACCAATGCACTCACACATACACTCATTACATACATTTCCTGAACACTTGAAAGCAGTTTGTTAGACGCTGAGGGTTAGAGTGTGAGAAGTGGAGAGTGTTGAGTCAAAGAAGAATCCGTTGATTCTTTTTTAAAAAAGAGACACATTAATAAAGAGTTAAGGTAGAAGAAATGATTTGCGAAGCTCATAAGTCTAACTTTTAGTTCTTTCCACATTATACAAATTTATGTAAATGATTTAAGAAACTTTGATTTATAATTAGGTACAAATCAGTGTTACATGCTGTGCTCACATATCTCCTTGAACTGGTCAAAAGAACAGGTCAAAGTTCAAACAGCAAAAATAACTAGTGTTATCATGATTAGTAGTAGAGCTTTAAGGACACTGGTAGACCCTCCTTCTGAAGAGAGTTGAGTCACTGGATTTCATTTTATAACTAATTAATATCTGTGTTTTTCAATAAGATAAATGTTATAATAATTTATAGTGCAAGAGGGAAATGAGCTCTGGTAAATTTTGATAGCTTCAATCATAAATCCATTTTTTAAAATTTAAAATACTATTAAGAATCTCTTGCATTATGACTTGAAAATCACTGTTCTGTACCATCATTATTTCTTCTCCTATTTATGAATGAATGTAGGTGGTATCTATAATTCCCACTTTCTGCTTTGGGACTTATGCCTCCAAGCTGATATGCCATCTCAGTATGTCACAGAACTAGTTCCTACTTTGCTGCACTCAATTTCTTTCTGACAGCCTAGAAATTTGATTTTATAATGAGGTATAAATCATAGAAAAGGGTTGTCTATAAAATATTTCAGTAGAAATAAGAGCAGGAGTATAAGGGTTTGTATCAATGGTGCTGTAGGTTAAAAAAAGAACATCACAATTAAGGACACCATTGAAGATGAAGGAGTCTTCAGCCTACATGTGTATTTTGTATCGGTATTGCATATACAGTGAAGGCAAAAATTAACCATGGTTTAATGTATATTTCGATCAACTTTTCCTATGATGGTAGTCAAGTGGGCTGCCTAACTGACAGAAGCATGACATAATCCATGTGATAATATTTGACATCCTTCTGTGACTTCCCACAAGGCAAGGAGAAGGTGACTGGGAAATATTCTCCCTTCCCACTCAGTCACAATTGAACTTAATGATAGAGTGACATCATTGCAAGGACCCTAGACAAGTAGAACCAAAATTGAGAAATTAGGATTGTGGCATAATTGAAGAGGGAAAGTTGCTTCTATCCTAACTGATGGAGCAGAGAAAGGTTTTATTTCAGAACTTGATATTGTTACTTTGGGCAGCTAGTCAGCTTCTTGTTTCATTATCTTTGCATTCTTTTTTATTGTGCTTGATATCCTTAGGATGGATAGAAAGAAATGTATCAAATGAGATGTACACTCAGTGTTCCCATTCTGCTTCCTTCACCAGCCCCAGATCTTAGAAGCTGGCAAAGGAAGCAGAATTGTTATCAGATAGTATTGGCTTGTATTGTTATCAAATAATACTGGTTCAGTGAATTGTTATCAGATAATACTGGTTTAGCATCTAAATGGGGCCAATATAACCCTGATCATGCTTATCTCTAATTTACCAATCAGATAAATTGTAGTATTTACTCATAAAAATTAATGTGACATGACCATGGATATACAACATTACAGTTATATAATTCCAGAAAGCCAAATAAAATATTGGTCCAAAATGCATATCCAAGTGCTATATACAAAGTATGGAACATACATGAGAATGATAAACTGCAGTTGAATATCTGAATATTTTACTTGTGTAACATCAAATATTCAGAAATAGCCAGCTGATTGGATGTTTTTATCTTCAATGCAGATATGTGCCAATATTTATTGATGGGCTTGCTCATGTAACAATTACATAGTGATATGGTTTGGCTCTGTCCCCACCCAAATCTCACCTTGAATTTTAATAATCCCCACGTGTCAAGGATGGGGCCAGGTAGAGACAATTGAATCATAGGGGTGGATTACCGGATTACCCCATACCATTCTCATGGTAGTGAATAAGTCTCATGAGATCTGATGGTTTATAAATGGGAGTTCCCCTGAACAAGCTCTCTCTTGCCTGCTGCCATGTATGATGTGTCTTGCTTTTCCTCTGATTTCTGACATGACTGTGAGGCCTCCTCAGCCATGTGGAGGAAAGCCCTTTCCTTTATAACTTACCCAGTCTTGGGTATGTCTTTATTAGCAGTGAACAGACTAATACACATGGAGATACCCAGGCCTTTATCATTTGATGTAAGTTTGGCTAGCAATGGGGATGTAAGTCTTAGGAAATTATATGCATTTTCCCTTTCCATTATATGCCTCACATGTTGCTGACTATTATTTCACTATAGTCAAGTTTTAAGAATGTGGTTCTATCAGTCAAGATTAAGGCTAGGTGCAGGAAGCGGGGATGATTCATGGATATAAAAGCATCCTCTATTTTATATTGAGCTTATATCATCACCTGGATTAATTTCAAGCCCACTGGCTTGAATGCTTTATCTATAGATTTATTTGATTCTTAAATAACATTTTGAGAAACTCTAATGTCGCTGATGAGGCTTATAAGGACGATTCACAAGAAAACCTATTTGTTTCTCTATATTTGCTTGTTTGCACATCATTCCTCCTGTTGGATTAGTGAGCAGAAGGAATTGTAAAACCACAGGGGAACGGTTTAAATGGGATAATGCAGACATTAGAGAATGATTAACAGTAATTTCACAAAGGTAGAAGGTAAGCTGCTCATTTTTATGGAACGGAACAAATGTGTTTGGAATGATTAACAAAATAAGACATCAAAAAATAGAAAAATGTAGCCACTCAATTCTGCTTGGGCAACAAACCATATGAGATATAAATGCAAATGCCACCCCCCCGACCAGTTCACATGCTTAACATTATTTACTGTTAAACTTCTGCTGGACTGTGGCAGACAACCACCACAGAACATGAAAACCACAATGCTTATATGACAGCTTTCCCAGGCAGTGAAAAGGCAGCTTATTTGATGTGTACTTTTCTTAAATCTTTTTATACTACACAAGCCGGTGTAACTCAATGCTTAACAATAGCATTTCAACAAAAGTGTAAACATTCTTCCATAATTAATAGGTCAGACAATTCACTTATATCCTGAAAGCTTCCAATTATCTTGTAAAATAAAGACAATTCATTCATTCATTAATTCCACATATATGTAGCCTCTATGTGGAACACTATCCTAAGTATTGTGAAAAATGCAAAGGAATCTACATACAGCTTTGTCCTACAGAAGCTGGGCAAGGATATATCTATTCAAAGTAAGTTTTTCACTAGAGATCCTCGTTTCTCCATCACTTAGGCCAGGTTGTGGCCAGCTTTTACTTCCTGAGAGTTGCTACTGCAACTTTTTGAAACAACTTCCAATATCATCCAAGGACCTCTTCTTCTTTATTTCCTTGCCTCCATTTAGAGGCAGATAAACCACACAAATTTCTTAGAAAGTATTGTCTCTAGATTTTCCTGGCATAGCACCCCACATATTTAGCTTTACTCCATGTTTACCCCACCCTGACCCATGGATCAGAGGGACTTAATAAGTACACTCTGGAGCTTTGGTAATGTAAGGGAGGTTCATTCCTAGGAAGGGTCGGCTTTGTTATTGAACCTTAAACCCTTGGTAATAAAATTGTGGCTTATAGACCAGTAGCATGGGCATCACTTGAGGGCCTCTAAATCAGAATCTGCATCCATATGCACACTGAAGTTTGAGAAGCATTATACTATGCTGCTAAAAGGTAAATGAATTGAAAGAGTCCTCTCTTATATTCTTAATTTGAATTCAGATAATTTGAATTAAGAGAGAGTTGGCCAGATTATGACAAACGAAGTCTTGAGTTCAATTCCATGCAGTCATTTAGGATAGAAATTATATCTTTCAGCAATGTTTCTGAAATACCCAGAATAGTGCTGATGTGAAGTAAACGCTAAATAAGTACGTGTTGAATGAATTTATATGTCCTATCCAGCATCAAGTGTAGAGTTCTCTATGTGCCACTGTATATACTTGTTGAATACATATTTGTAGATAGAAATTTGGTATTTCAATTCCCATTTCCCAATCTCTAAGAATCTATTATCTTCATCCAAATGAATTATTACCTAAATGCATTTTATTCAGTCAATCTGTAATATTTATTGAACTTTTATATTCTCCCTTTTGCCAGAAAATTGGAATTAAGGGGAAAACATTTTTTGTTGCCCTCAGAATATTGAAAGTCTAGTTCATTGACAGTTACAAAAATATATGCTATAGTAAAGGGATATGTAAAGTCCAACAGAAATGTAGGAAGATAATTTAACTTTTCTGGAGTACACTAAGAATAACTTCACAGAAGCAATGTTTGAATTGAAACTTAATGAATGAGTAGTATTTAAAGGCAGGAAAGTTTGAGAATATCCTAGACAAAAGAATCAAGGCATAGTAGAGCTTATAAAGTAACTTATTTCTGGAGAAAGACTAGGAAGGGACTATGAGACTGAGCAAGAAGGCAATGACCTCACCAAGCAAACCCTTGCATGGCTTCCTAAGGAGGAGCCTGTGTATCATTGTGGGGACAATGTGAGAGACATTGAATAATTCTGAATAGAGTATGACATAGTTAGATGTATATTTTCGACAGTGTGATGAGTGAAGAAAGACTATAACCAGAGTCTGAGTGACCAATGAGGAGACTATTGTAATAGTCTATATTACAACTCAGACTATGACAATGGAGAGGGAGAAATAACAGAGATTATCTCCTCGTTCAAACATTACTCAAGCTTCTCTCAACTCTTTTTCAACTAGGCCTTAACTCTTGGACTCTGTGGTTGCCTCTGCATTGTCTAACTTTAGCAAGAATCCTAAAAGGCCAGTTTATTCATCCTTAACATGTATCTCACCACCCTTGATTTCTGATCAAATTCTTTATCCTTCACCCTCCCCAAGGTGGTGTCTGAACATCCTAGCCTGTCTTCAGGAAGGATCCTGTGTGGTTGGTTTAGCCAGAACTTCCTCTTTACCCTTATGTTTTCTTTCAGTAATTTTCTATGTACTGGCCTCCATCTTAATCTTTGGCTATAAATTCCCACTTTTTCTTGTTATATTTAGAGTTGAGCCAAATCTCTCCCCCCATTGCAAAGGCCCATTCCAATGAGCCCTACACCTATCAAAACAGTCTCCCTCTGAATAAAATCGGCTTTACCATTTTTAAAAAGTGTCCATTGAATATTTTTTTCCCTAACGAAGAAGAGAGAAAATATTTTCAGGAAGTATTCAGGTGTAAGGATGCAGGGGACCGCCATAGACTTATCTATATTCATTCAGCTTGGGCAAAGTGAGAATGAATTGTTCTTGACAGAATTATTTTCACTACTTTAATAAATAATTACTTGTCATGTTCATAAAGTAGAAATAGTTAGTAGTCTTCTGTACATCAAAAGTATGTTTGGGCTAAGAACCTAGAGAAGAATTCTATTGAGCATTTCAGAATCAACATGGAGAAACGCAGGCTAGTCTTCATTAAAGTCTGTGCAGAGAAATGATTCTGAAAAGTACTGTTAAGACTGGTCTACAATATAAGAGAATTGCCCATGAGTTATGACCAATTTATTTCCTCTATAAGGAAAGTGGATATAAACAACACATTCCTCACATGTGGATAGGGTGAATTGCTGCCTACATCACATGGTTTAGAGAGCAAATTAAAAACCCTTTCCTGGCTGGGCGCGGTGGCTCACACCTGCAATCCCAGCACATTGGGAGGTCGAGGCAGGTGGATCACGAGGTCAGGAGATCGAGACCATTCTGGCTAACACAGTGAAAGCCCAAGTCTGTACTAAAAATACAAAAAATTAGCCGGGCATGGTGGTGGACGCCTGTAGTCCCAGCTACTCGGGAGGCTGAGGCAGGAGAATGGCGTGAACCTGGGAGACGGAGGTTGCAGTGAGCAGAGATCGCATCACTGCACTCCAGCCTGGGCGACAGAGAGAGACTCCATCTCAAAAGCAAACAGACAAACAAACAAAAAACCCTTTCCTGCCCCTGTTCTTTCTGGTGTCTAAAAATTCTCACCATTGTAGTAGAACCTTGCATTTGTGGTAAGAAGTTGCCTGTGTCGGGAGAAGACACTGAAGATATTGCTGGGCTCTTTAGTGAAAATGAAGAGTTGGGAAAGATGAGGTCAAGTCTCATCGAGAATACAGAAACCTACATGAGTATGAGGAGGCCCTTTGCTGAATATCCAGTATGAGTGTGGTTTAATTAGCAGACAGTCGGTCACATTATGGCTTACTGAGATCTAATCCCAAGATTCTCAAATGCTAATGTCCTCACAAATATCTGATGATCTTATTAAAATACAGGTTTTGATTTGGTAGGTTTGAGATGGGACCCAACACTCCATATTTCTAACAAGTACTAGGTGGATATTACACTGCAAACACTGGTCTAAAACAGAACACCAGGAAGTGTGGAATAAGAGGACCAGAAGTTAAGAAATGGATCACCCCCACAGGGTTCTGAAGGAATGAGACACAAGGGCGGTAATTTGGGGGATTGTCAGGTACAGAAAATTTTATGTCTTCTTATGTAAAGGATGCCTCTGAATGTCATTCATCTGTATGCCAAAGAGAAACTGGTTCCTTTGACCAAAGCTTTATTTCTGTGAACATTGCCAACAAGGTATGTAAAGCATACTTGCCATGCATTCTCAGAAACCTTCTCTTTTCTGAGAGTAGAGGTTTAAAGGCATAGATAACTTGCTATGTTTGTAAGCAAAAATGCCCTCCCGATGACTTTAAAAAGGTCTGTAGCCAGATCCACAAAGCCACAAACTATAAGAAATTTAAAATGAAGAGAAACTATTTACAAATGTAAGATTCAAAGAATTCTCATCTCAAAAATACTTCATTCTACTCCAATTACTGGCATGTTTTCAGTTGAAATGTGCTTTTATTTTTTTTTTGAACAATCTAAATAATTGTTCACATTTTCCACTTCATGTAGACACATCTTGATTATAATTAGAAGAAAAAATGCATCTGGTTGAATAGAATCCAAGGTGTAAAGCTGAAGTGAAGACATTAGGGATAGGTGACAGAACACTTAAGGTACAATTAAAAGATTGCCTCTGGCTATATTTATCATTGTCCCTTCTTGCATAAAAAATAGTGGTTTATTTTTAATGAAAGACTAAAATTTTACAAAACATTGGCACTTTGGACAACAACAATGCAAACAAATGGAAATTTTACCTGGCCTGAATTCAGCCTTAAAAAAAAATACAAAAAAAAACAAAAAACAAAAAAACTCTTATTCATTGTTTAAGGACAACAATTACTTTAGTTAGGTCAGTTTATTTAGTTATTTTATATTTTAAGTAGATTTAGAATATATGACCATGTACTTTTATCTGGCTTTGAAAATTAAGTCTGTGGCTCCGTTCCTGCTAAACAGCAGCTCCCTGAACTTGTTCCACAGGCAGACAGGCAGAGTATAAAAAGAGGATTAAAACTGCTTTCTGTATCCTCAACTTTATCAAGGATAGCACAGAAATCTCCATCATTCATATTGCCTAGAGAGTTCTAAAGCATTAACAATTTATCTAGCTTATGTATAATAAAAGCTGTGAAGTATATATTTTTAATGCCAATCACCAAGTCCAACCATAATGCAAAAAGTTGTAAGGCAAGTTTAATTGGTACAATTCCTGCTGAATGAATAAAATACAACGTGCTTGTAGAAAAGCTGGTGTCCAATAAACTTGACAATAAAAATCTCATCCAAAGGGGTTAAAAAAGGTATCTGGAGAAACAGGCCTCTTTGCAAGTAAGGTACTATCTTTGATATGTAAATATTGTCTTTTTTTTGAATTTGTCAAGATGAACAACATAAGGCATTGGCTTTTGCTAGAAAAAAGTTGTTAACAGTTACTTTAGACACACACACACACACACACACACACATATATATGTATACGTATGTATAAAAGACATTACTTGCAATATTCCTGGAGTTATTTCACCCTTCATTATCAATTGTTCAGAAGAACTGCTTAAGAGCTTAGTACAAACAGGGTCACAGTGCAAGTCCTAGGCAAGCTGTCAAGAAGGAAAATTTGCTCTCCAATAACCTACAATTCCTTCTCACCATATCCTCTCTTTGTGCTCTCTTTCTAGCCCTCAGTGTAAATCTTGTCAGGAAGATGTGTGGGGGGATCTGTATGTCTTCATTTACTATGAAAATCCAAAGGTTTTTTACAGGAAAGAAGAAGCTATTTTTGACATCATCCATATAATAAGCTCATTAACAGAAAGCATCTCCTAAACCAAATTAATATTTGACAAATTGACTACATTTTCTTTAGGGATCATTATGCTCATTGCATAATGATTATAATTTATGTTTTATGTATTATCAATAAATTAATATTGCTGGAAATATTATTTTTAAGGAAGTGTCTCCCAAAAGCCTAGTTAAAACTAGTTTTCAATGCAAACACAAAAAATAATGTAAAAATTAGAAATATATTATCATTATTCATAAAATACAGAAAACATATCAGATGAATAAAATTAGGCAAGATGAAACTCTCTTTCTCTCTCTCTCTTCCCATCTTCCTCCATTCTTTTTGAAATTCTTAAAGTTGAAAAAAGGACAAGATGAAAAAGAAGACAGTCAAATAAACATAAAACTAGTCAAAAGCAAGTTGAATATTAGATAAAATGGCCATTAAGGGAACTGACCAGTAGTAGAAATGGTCTTAAGTGACTGGACTTTAGATACAGTGTAGATTCAAAGAGTGTGGGCCATGATCCCCTTGCAACATTATGTGGTATGCAGATGCCTGAGCCCTGCCATAGACTTCTGAATCAGAGTCTCTGGAAGATGGGACTTTATCCTCATTTTAAACAAGTCCCCTGGAAATTCTAATATACATCATTGTTTGGAAACCTCTACATGCTCCTACTCTAGAACCAACGGGTCTTGTGTGTTTGACCTCTAGACAGTAACTAGGGCTAATTAATCTTCTTTTCCTTGCATTGTAGAAGTGTAAAGATGTCATGTTGCTTTGCAAAGCACCAGACAACAGTTCACCTTTTCTCAAAATGTCACTGAAACTGTTCAAGAGCTAGGAAGGCACAACTTAGTGTTTGCAGAAGGCTTCTCAGTTTCATGAATTTGATCACATTGTGGCATTCCTTAAATCTACCAAGTGTAAAATATCAAAAAAAACCCCACAAAATATGTTGGCAAACAAAACTAAGTTGATTTACTTACTAGAGTAACAGAGAACATTACTTTATTGAGGCTTAGTATGCTTCAAGAAGGCAAATGTCAGGAGAGGATATTTATATAGAGTTTGGATAGAATCTGGGCTTAAGTGGGTCTTAGGGTGTGTGGTTTAAGATGGAGAACTGATTATGCCTAGGAAATATTTGTGTCATAATATTTTCATGTTGGTGGACTCAAGACGGGAGAGTCTTAACGTGAATCCTGATAAGTAAACTGAAGTTGGATAAGTGATTTGTTTGCCCAGGTGAGCAATCTACTGTCCTGATAGGAGACCAAATATTTGCCCAGACAAGTTGGTTTGCAGGAATTTTCCTAAAGCAAATAGTGAAGTTATTTATTGATTTATAACCTTATATTCTTGAGCAAGAATTTCCAGGAACAAATATTTGTCATGTTAATGCAGGTGGCTTCAGTTCTTACTGACAATTGCTGGGCTCTGTGGACAAAGGTGGTGTCATTTCTCAAACCAAAGGAGACTCAAAGAGCCTTTTCCTAGGATCTCTTTATTCTAAATTCTTGTTGAATTTCACTCAACAAATATTTGTTAAATATACAATGAAAGATGGAAAATTCCAGGCACAGATACTGCTACTGTCCTCTACCCACTGCCCATGACAGACATTAATAATCAATCACAACATTCCTGCCCACTGGACCCTAACTTGGCCTCATGATCTTTTTCAGATCAGTAGCATTGAAGGCAACAGTTTCAGTGGATGAGAGTAGTTACTCAAATGGCCATAGAAGGAAGTGGGGACTGTAAAGGTGAATCAGGCCCACATTTTGTTCTTAAAGAGTTTGGAGTTAAGAAATCAAAGGGAGTACCCTGGCAACATTGCCATGTGTTTAATTAGAACAAAGCTAACATGAATGTGAGTAGCTGAAAGTAAGTCCAGATAGAGAGCTGCTGGCAGTTGTAACTGGCCTTTGATGTGAGACCAAAGCATGTGACACTTATGTGATAGGGAATGGGGAATGACTGACTCATGAAAAACTGAGAATAAAAGAATTGCAACTGTGCTTCAAGAACATTAATAATTTGAAGTACATAAGAGATTCGATAAATGTAGAGAACATGTAGGAGGCCATTGCAGGAATTTAGAAAAAAATATCCTGTAGGAACAGATTAGGGCACATATCGATAGACTAGAAAGGAAGAGGGTGGGTGAGAGAAACTCATTACACATGTACAATTGACAAGTTTTGACCCCGGGAGTTAGTTGTAGGGAAGCAATCAGAGGAGAGGAAAGAAGAAATGACTTAAAAAATACATTTAAATTGTTCAGCAACAACTAAAAGAAACAATTTCAGCCAAAATTCAACACCTATGAGGAGAGAGATGTTTGAGAGGGATTTGACCATTATAAGGGATAGCTTTTATTACTGTCTTCTTAATTTCTCTTCTTTTGGGAAATTACCTCTCCATGTGACTTTTTTGGAGAATAAAACTTGAGACCCTGTCCCTCTTGACCACAGAGCAGGCCACATAGCCTGGCATCCTCCTGAGAATTTGATCCTTAAACTAAGATACTCAGGGATGAAATGTGATAAGAATCAAGGCTCCAGATCGCGGAGCCCTAGAGATTTTTGGGGGATCAATGCCATTTTGTTCCTTAAGATACCCCAGTTCCTAACCTTCTGGAAATCAGTTGTTTCTTTCTTCCTTTGAGTCTATAGGCTATTTATTGAGAACTAAAGCCAACATAATTCCCTGTGCCTGCATTAGGCAGTACTGATGTGGAACAAATATTGCTTAGCTGCTTGCTCCAGTATATTTGTCTCCAGAAAATAAGATCGTGAGACAATTAAAACCAAGACTAGCAGCTTGCTTATCAAAGCTCATTTTAAGGCCCTTGCCTCACTGTCCCCACCAATCTATTATAAATTCTAATCAAATAATTCCCTGCCTTGATGACTTCCTTTAAAATGACTATATCCAGGGCCTAAAATCTCATATTTATCCTCCCTTGAAGATAGCCCTTCAGTGATAATACTAATATGCTGTCAAGTTGTTGACTTTATTTAGTACAGGAGATATGGTAAACTAAGATTTGCTTGATCTATGGGTTTTTCTGGTGGTCTTTTGGGGATCCAAAAGTCAGCACAAGTAAACAACCAATAAACCCTTTTTAATTTTCTGGATAAATTAGATGAAATTAAATTCTGTAGCCTGCAAGTAAAAATTGCTAATTATATCATGAATTATCATGCGTGCTTATGGAAGCTCATTTTGTGTGTAACTTGTCCCATAAAATTAGCCTATACATTTTTGAAAGGCAGAAAATTTGTCATATTGGGGCTAATGTTAAATAATGTAGAAATAAAGAAGCTTTTTACTTTGAGTTATCCCTTCTCTTTCGGTTACTAGCATATTAATCTTTGTTGTTTGACAATAGCTACATTTATTGTGCTAATTACTTATAGTTCTTAATTTTCATAAAGATAAAAGACTGCAGTAGACATCATCAGAATGTCACCCTTCCTCTTGGATCCTCTTTTTATTTCAGTAGAAATAACACCACTAGCATTTTTGTTACACAGCTACCCTTGGGGATTTGAAGTAGAGGCCTAAAGCATAAAAAAAGAGGAATTTATTGGTAATATTGGTAGGTTACTGGTGTTGACTTCCAGGCTGGTTGCCAAAGACTTGTCTAATTTTTTTTTTATCTATCAAGTTACTAGTACAATGTATAGTCAGTTCAGGCAATTATAACAAATTATCGTAGATGAGATGGCTTAAACAGGCATTTCTCACAGTTCTGGAGGCTGGAAGTCTGAGATCAGGATGCCGCCTCGTTGAGTTTTCCTAAGGATCTTCTTCCTTGTCGCAGATGATTGTCTTTTCTTTGCATCCTGACATGGAGGAAATAGGGTCAAAGAGTTCTCAGCCTCTTTTTAATAAGAGCACTAATCCCATCATGGGGGCTCCATCCTCATGACCTAATTACCTCCTGTGATGGTTAATACTGAGTGTCAACTTGCTTGGATTGAAGGATACAAAATATTGGTCCTGGATGTGTCTGTGAGGGTGTTGCCAAAGGAGATTAACATTTGAGTCAATGGGCTTGGAAAGGCCGACCCACCCTTAATCTGGGTGGGCACAATCTAATGAGCCTCCAGAGGGGCTACAACATAAGTAGGCAGAAAAATGTGAAAAGAGAAACTGGCCTAGCCTCCCAGCCTACATCTTTCTCCTGTGCTGGATGCTTCTTGTCTTCAAACACCGGACTCCAACTTCTTCAGTTTTGGAACTCGGACTGGCACTCCTTGCTCCTTAGCCTGCAAATGGCCTATTGTGTGACCTTGTGATCGTGTGAGTTAATACTTAACAAACACCCCTTTATATATATATATATATATATATATATATATATATATGAAAAAGAGTTTATATGTATATAATATATAAACTCCTTTATATATTATATACTTTATATATGTAAAGTATATATATTACATTTATATATTATATAAAGTATTTATATATTATATACTTTACATATAAACTTTTATATATATTATATATTATATATAATTTTATAGATAATGTATATTATATGCATTATATATAATATATAATATATATAAAAGTTTATATATTTTATATATAAATATATAAACTATATAAATATATAAGTATATATTTATATATATTCCATTAGTTCTGTCCCTCTAGAGAACCCTGAATGATACACCTCCCAAAGGCTGTACCTCCAAATTTCATCACATTCAGGATTAGATTTCAATATAGAAATTTAGGGGGCACACAAACATTCAGTCCATAACACCTACTGATTAAGCACAGCTAAGCGTGCATATAATCCTTGCCTCAGTGTCTGCAACTGGAGAGAAGCCAACTAAAATATAGACTTGTTAGGAAAGCGTGTGTTTTCATCCTTTAGTGGTAAAACCGCTCCTAGAATTGCACCAAGTATAAGTTTTGGTGAAGAGTCTGCAAAATTGTACATATATACCAAGACTGGTGTTTAATTTGTCTTGTCTATGGAGTTAGTAGTACAGTGCCTATCTCAGAGTAGGTAATCAATACAGCTGAACAGATCAGGATGGTCTAAATAACATGGTTGCAAGGTCTGATAATTCCAGGGATAGGACAGTCACAACAGACTAGAGTTGATCCATGTGGAGGGATTAAAGAAGCATTTGTTCAATAAGTATTTCAGCCAACCCATACTTTATAACCAGAACTGATGCCCAGCTAACATACACTGTGACAGCTGGATTAGTTCTTCATTGTTGGTGTCAGTTCTGAATGCTTGTTTTGTCTGTCCCAGTTGGTGCATGCTCATCCTTTTCTAGTTGTTACTTATTTTCATTATTACCTCCATTCACAGCCATTTTAATTAACTATTTTTTTTTCCAGGGGTGCTTGAACCTTGGTCTTGAAATCTGAAGAGAATGCTATCATCCTCTCGGATGATCCTTAATCTTAATGTCTCTTCTCATCAGTTTTGTAGCATTTCAAGGAGAGACAGTCTTGGTCAAAAACGTTGTTTATTTCTGAAGCATATGTACCTGATCAGCCATCCATGTAAGCATTTGTTTTCCTCCTCAGGAATTATATTTCTTACCATCACTGATTGCATTGGCCTAGTGCCAATCTACTGCATGCCCAGTTAGACAGCACTAAATATTAGTTTTGGTTGATACCATAGAACATTACTTATAATAACCTGGACAGTTTTAAGTCAGTGCTTAAAACCAATCAATCAGAAAATAGTATTTCAGTATCTAATGTACATAAAGCACTATTAAAATGGCCAAGGGGATAGGCACAAATTCCAACAACGATCCCTGCTTTCTAAATATATACAATTCCAATTCAGGTCTAGTACACAGTATTTATATAGTCCTAGGCAAGTAACTTAACCTTTGTGCCTCATTTACTCATTTGTAGAATGAGGATAATAACAACTGTGCCAATTTCATGTAAAAATTTAAAATATCCCTTAGCATATAAATAGGCGTTCAGAAATGGTATCTGTGAAAACTTTCAGTCTAATTGCAAAGTTGAGATGCAAGACACCTGTAATAGTATATAATACCACCTGATAGATATCAAAAGGCCAGGTAAAATTATTACATGCAAAGGACTTACAGTCCTGGGGAAGCAGCCATTCTGAGCTAGAGAGGCAGCTATTCTGAGCTGGAGAAATCTGGGAAAGCTTTTTGGAGTAAGTGGAATTAGAATGAAGCACTGAAGAAGAGGTAGACTTTGAACAAACATGCTCAATGCCTCAAGATGAGACAGTGTAAAGTGTGCTACAGCACTTGGAACAGGTGCCATACTGTATGAAGCTCAGGCTCAAGGAGTGGGGTCAAGGACAAGAAGGGCTTACAACTTCACTCCCTGCCCATAAACAGATCAGATTAAGCAGGTTAAAATTTGGTTATAATCATCATATAATGAAGGTGAAAAACAGATGGTAGTGGGCCAAATGTTGAAAGGAAAAGGCAGGATAGGGGCCGAGGCTGGGAATGTTTGCTGATGAGGTCATGGTTTATTCAAAGATGCTGCTGATGAGGTCATGGTTTATTCAAAGATGCTGCTGAGAGTATGCTCAATATCTATTTATTAAAAATCAACATTTATCTATTTCTATTCATTTTTTCTGAGATAAGCAAATATAGACAGTGAAAATGAATATTAAACATTGCTTTTTTTAAAGTTTATTTTAAAACAATGTAGATATACCTATTTTACAAATGAAGAATCATTTTCTAACTCTTCTGCCTGTTTTATGCTAAACTTTTTTTTTCCTGCCTTGATTATACAGTGGCGCAATCTCAGCTCACGGCAACCTCTGCCTTCGGGGTTCAAGCAATTCTCCAACCTCAGCCTCCCAAGTAGCTGGGATTACAGGCACCCTCCACCACGCCTGACTAATTTTTTTTTTTTAGTAGAGACAGGGTTTCACCATGTTGGCCAGGCTGATCTTGAACTCCTGACCTCAAGTGATCCACCCACCTCAGTCTGCCAAAGTGCTGGGATTACAGGCATGAGATAATGGTACTTTAAATTATTTATTTACAGAATACAGAATATATTTGATAGTTTCTATTTTTTAACTGTCTTAAGTTTACCATGTTTTAAAGAAAATTGACTCGTACAGACTCTACTACTTAAAAAATTTAGAAATGACAATAATGTAAAAGAACAAATATATTCTAGAGTTATTCTTAAAATCATCATGGCTAGATAGAGATGAAGGAGTTAACGTCTGTCCTCAGATTCATTTTTATGTTACCAGACAAAACCAATGCCTTCACTGAATGATAGGTATGAGAGCCATTATCTCCCAGGAGCACCTTGAGAAAGAGATGTCTAATCTCAATCATGTGACTTTTCTTGTTAAATAAATCCCCCATGTTTAGTACTTCTTCGTTCTTAAGTAGAAAATGTCTTATCCCTCCCCGCATTCACCTCTTCTAATCTCAAAAAGAAAAGAATCTCAAAAGAAATGTGCACTTTTACTTACCAGAATTGATTTTGTTTCTTTCTATTTGGTATTCTTCATCACATTGCCTGTGTGTGTGTGTGTGTGTGTGTGTGTGTGTGTGTTATATAATGGATGAAGAAAGTCAGGAGAATCAGTTTGCTGGCCAAATGTTTACTATATAAAGTATTTTTCTTCATATTGACTTCACTCTCCATTTCGTGTACTAACACATGTGCTTATAAACAAAGCAATTAGTCTAATAAGCCTAGTTTAATCAACACACCTCTGAGCAATATGTGGAAAATGCCTGAGAAAGCATTTAGCTGGGATTATGAAAGGCTCAGGAGACTTTTCGCTTCTGCTTTGCAGATGAGCTGCACCAGAGAGGAGCAGTGTGTGGAGACTTTCCTTTTTTTTCTAATAAAAATTTCAGCTCTACGTACATTCAGTGAGATCCACACTAATAATAATGTGTACCTTGGTGTTTTCAGGAAAATCATGGGCCATGTCTGTTCTAATTTGGCATCAATACTGCATGTTCTCCTTTCTAATGGCATGAGATGTGGTTAATGAATTATATAGAATGATCATTTGAACAATCAAAAGCAAATAAAAATTTTTTTTCTGTGAATTTGACTTTGGGTGGCTTCTCTTTCTCTCTTCATTCAAACTAATGTAGTCACTTCTCCTCACCCCCTGCCAAATATACAACCTCTTGAATGGATCAAAAATAAGTATGGATTTTTTTAAAAAGATGCTGGTCCTGGCTAACACGGTGAAACCCCGTCTCTACTAAAAATACAAAAAAATTAACAGGGCGTGGTGGCGGGCACCTGTAGTCCCAGCTACTTGGGAGGCTGAGGCAGGAGAATGGCGTGAACCCGGGAGGTGGAGCTTGCAGTGAGCCGAGATGGTGCCACTGCACTCTAGCCTGGGCGACAGAGCAAGACTCCATCTCAAAAAAAAAAAAAGATGCTGGGTGCCACAGCTCACACTTGAAATGCCAGTACTTTGAGGCTGAGGTGGGCAGATCACTCAAGCCCAGGAGTTTGAGACCTGCCTGGTCAACGTGGCAAAACTCTACAAAAAAACCCACAAAAAATTAGCCAGACGTGGTGGTGCATGCCTGTAATCCCAGCTACTTGGGAGGCTGATGTGGGAGGATCACTTGAGCCTGGGAGGTCAAGGATGCATTGAGCTGTGATTGTGCCACTGCACCCCAGCTTGGGTGACAGAGTGAGACCTTGTCTGAAAAAATTAAAATAAAATAAATTTTAAAAATTAAAAAAATAAAAAGAGAAGGAAGAAAAGTAAAATTACACATTCACATTAGTGTCCCCAACCGATGTCTTGGTTTTTTGAGTGATGATAAAGTTTTATTTTTATGTTATTCATTTATATTTTTACTATTATGGAGAGGCATACAATTCACATTCACATAGCAGTAATGCAAAATTTTAAATATTACTAAATGTCTAAGATTCGGGGTTTTTTAAAGACACAATTCTTGTATAAATGGCGTAGACCTTATTTTGTATTTTAAATTAAATATGAAACTATTCAGTTTGAAAAATTCAGAGACAAGGTTTCCTTGAGTCATAATTTTAGAGCTAGAAGTGGTAATCAATATTATTTCGTCCAACTTTCTGTACTGAAACAAAGGGTTACAGAGATAACTTGCATTGGGCTCTTATTAAGGGAAAAGGCAAGAGTAGAGTCCATATCTTCAGTAAATTTTACAGTGATCATACTTTCCCTTTAATTGGTATCAAAATATATCCTATAACACTAACTTTCCTCACATACACAGAATCTTAAATATTTAACACTGATGGACATTGACCGATCAGCATAAACACTCTTACCTGAATGCCACCCTGGTACTTACTAGCTGAATATCAGCCCTGCTTGGAAACTGTTAATGAGAATTTCATCATTTCCTGACATGCTGTTTTTCTATTAATACAGCTAAGCACCGTGCTTCTCTTAGTTACACTGCCATATTATTATGCCACGTTTGAAGTGGGGTCAGCTCTGACTTCAGAAGCCTACCTGGCTTAGACAAGTCAGTCTAACTCTCTCTGGATCGTTTATTTTTTTCTACCTAATTGATGCGAGCTGCACCTGGCACTATATTATTACTTCATCCTCTTTAGACCCACAGGCGATTTCAGCTTATAAAGGTCATGTCTTATTTTAGCTGTTATCAGCTAATTCATCACCATCAGAAAATTAATTAGTGAGCAGATTTACTAAAGACTCTATACCACGACCAAACTTTCAGTTAATTCAGTCAAATTGGTGAAAAATCAGTCCAGCCATTTTGTTTTGTGTGTGTGTGTGTGTGTGTTTTGAGCCAAACAACTAGTTAATTTATTGTGTCACTTTTCAGTAATTCATGAACTGGGCTAATTAAAAAATAACATTATATAAAGGACTTACATATGTAGAATTTTGCCAGAATTTTGACTGCTTGGATCAGAAATACCCATTAGTAAATCCTCCTTGGGAATGACCCCTAGAAGTTTTACAGTCACCTGCTGATAATTTGATGTAAATAACACTTTCTCAATCTGTTGGTGAGTACCATATGCCATTTAGGATAAAATAAAGAGGTATATTTTGGTGAGACATATTGTATCTATTTCCTCCCCCAACCTATCAAGTTTGTCGATGTAACAGGAAAAGAATATCTTCTATAGATTTTTAGAACTTGGTGTTTGAAAGTCTTTCTTAATTGGGTTCAATAATTTTTAACAGAAGCCTCGTGGTGGACAGAAAACTGCAGCAACCAACTTGAGCATGATAGAAAGTAACGTTCTTTTAAATAATTAATAGCTGCTAAAAGGTCCCATGTATTATGGAGTGGGGAGAGAGAAGACCAGATTTAATCAGAGGATTCAGGAAGGAGCGTTGATGAGAGAGATTAATCAAACTAGAGCATGGTCATATAAGGCACAGATCAGATGATTCACTCACAAAATTGAGCAAGAGCAAAGGAAGCACAGAGTA
This sequence comes from Homo sapiens, assembly GCF_000001405.40. Classification (NCBI taxonomy): domain Eukaryota; kingdom Metazoa; phylum Chordata; class Mammalia; order Primates; family Hominidae; genus Homo; species Homo sapiens. Next base: position 14,691,067 of record NC_000021.9, on the reverse strand, counting down.
GGGGGAGGGTGACATGGTGGAGAAAGACACATATGCCATGGTAGTCAAATGTCAAACCTCATTAGAAAAGTTGTCCAAAACATCTCTAATGAGCTGGAAACAATGTGCAACTCACCTGGTTAGAGGCTTTTTTGCACAAATTCAAACTCAGGCCAGGTTGCTCAATGGGTCTTCAGAGAAATTACAAACACTGGAGTGAATCCCAGCCAAGGGGAGCTGTGTTAACAGACTTCTCCCAGCCACCTAACTTTGGCAATTGAGATCTTTGGCAAAGATGAAGCATTTCGTCTCTTCGAGGTAATGTTGAATTGGCTTCATCTATATGTTGCCACTAATAATTGTTATAGAAGACATTAAGATTAGAGAAACCAAAATAACCACCACAACAGACAACACAGTTTTTCCAAAGTATCAAGATCAAGCAAGGCTGGGGGCCAGATATCAGTGAGCAGAGAAGGATATGATGGAAATCTCTGTTCCCCTGCCAAAGGAGAGGAGTTAACTACACTGAGCCACCTAAGCCATCTGTATATGCAGAATGACCTTGGCAGAAGTGGAACACATTATTTGTTTCCATGGAAGAAGAGTTTTTTTGGAGGTTTTTTTTGTTTGTTTGTTTGTTTTTTCAATCAGGCGACATGGTCTGGTGCAGAGGTGTCCTCATTTTTACTGCCAAGACCTCCTGGGCATCTGATGAAATGTTGTGAACTTCTTTCACGTTTTTGATCTAACTTTGTCCTTTGTGGATGCCTTAAAATTAATGGATTAAAAACGTCAGCAGAACTCAACTCTTTTTTTTCCTTCTCCTCCTCCAATTATAAGTAGAAGGAATGATCCTCTGCAATCATCCTTTTGATTATGTCACTGTCTTTAAATAACTTGAAAAGAATTCTTAGTTTTAATTTGCATCAAAATAAAATGTTCTGACTCTCTTTCTTTGTTCATCCCGTACCTTGCTGTTCTTATTTTGTGTTGCACATCACTCTCACCTCCCGTCTGCAGCCAGGCATAAACTATGCCATCCTGCTTGCCTTATTATTTTCCTACTTTAAGATTTGCCACTGCCCTCACTTAAAACATCGCCCACACCCCTTTCCATGAAACCAGGCCGTTTATCTCTGTCCAAACTTTGTTTAATTTTTAGAACTTTATTGCCACTGTCCTATGTTATGTGCACATACCTGTTTCTGACACTTTTGTAATCTATATGCATTTATGTTGTCTTCACTACCAATCGTTTGTAAGTTTCTTAAAAACAGGGGCCCTATATACTTCTTCTTTGTCATTTTCTCAGTACAAGGCTTATCATTGTTAGTTGATTATTGGTTCCATTTACATATCAATGAATACCATGCGATATGGCTTGGCTGTGTCCCCACCCAAATCTCATCTTGGATTGTAGCTCCCATAATCCCCATGTGTTGTGGGAGGGACCTGGTGGGAGGTAATTGAATCATGGGGTGGGTTTTTCTCATGCTGCTCTTGTGGTAGTGAATAAGTCTCAGGAGATCAAATTTATAAAGGGCAGTTCCCCTGCACACCCTCTCTTGCCTGCTGCCATGTCAGATAAGCCTTTGTTCTTCCTTCGCCTTCTGCCATAATTGTGAGGCCTCCCCAGCCATGTGGAACTGTGAGTCCATTAAACCCCTTTCATTTATAAATTACCCAGTCTCAGGTATGACTTTACTAGCAACATGAGAACGGACTAATACACCATGCTACTTTGATTTTCACTCAAGCCTGGGCAGACTGTATTACTTTGTTCTCCGATTATTTTTTTCCATTTTCTATTTGTTCAGGTTTCTATAATATCTCAAGTCTTAAAATATTTCCCTTGAAATAGCAATAAGAGTGGTCTCTTTCAGCACACAGTGAATCTATTCAAGTGTGCCAGGTCACGCTTTGGAAAGTGTAGAGGGTGTAAGGAAAGTAGTAAATCCACAAATTCCTTTGCGTCCATCCACTCAACAGATACTTGACTCTGTACTTACATTCATGTTAGGTTCTTTCTTATTTAACTTGTCAGTGGCCAGTGTGTCTGTTACTTTGTTTATAGCATAGCCTTCTAGAGCTATCACTTTTCTATAGATTAATTTACACTTTCTAACTCCTACTATAGTTCTATGTACCCAGTCTCCCTCAATTACTTTTTGATGATAATTAAACCACCAAACGTATTTTCTTTAATATTTCCAAAGGAGGAAAATTGTAAATAATGACATTTTCCACATAAGCCAGAGACTTGAGTGTCAGCCATAATCTTGTCACTTGTTATGAGAGCCAAATCTACTAACAAAAAAGCCCCCAGAGGTGAGCACTGGAACCCCGTAGACCTTTGAATATGGAGAATTCGGGCCTAAATGTGTATCTGTGGGCATGTGAAACATCACTTGTTTTCAGAATGTCTCATACTGACTCCAGACAACCTTCTGGTGGAAACCTGTCCTCAAAGGCTAGTATCAGTCATATAATTGCTCCGCAGTCACCTTGCCTCTCATGATGTGAGCCCTACTCTGAGATCATTGTCCTAATTTATAGTATTTGAAAACAAGCAAAAGGATAGACTTGAAGATATATTGACTAAGTCTCTAGTCCAGGAGGTCAAAAATCTTCCATTGTGCTGAAAATGTCAAATTTAGCCCTTCAACATTTCTCTAAACAGCTCTCTGCAATTAAGCCTCACTAACAAAAATAACCAAATATTGAGAAAGAGTTGACAGAATTAAGTTTTGCATGAGGAGAATACTACTCTTACATTTCATTAGAATTCTGGCTAGAAAAAAACATGGTGCTGATGGGATCCCTGAGGCGTGTGAGTTAGAGAGCACCTATAACATAGCTTTGTGAGGCATGTGTAGGTGGGGGAAATTTTGGTTCAAATTCTAAAGGTGACAAATTGATATGAGCTTATTATTTATATTTCCAATTTGAGCATTATGTAAGACTGCCTCCCTCAGAATCAAGAGCACCTTGTTAAAAATGCCCCACAGGCCTGCTGGGCCATTCTCCTCTAGGGGTTGTATTGAGGGAATCCACCTTTTTTTAACAAGCTCTGCCAAGTGATTCTCATGTTCAGTAAAGTTTGAGGGCCGCTGATATACACTAAAATAGGAAATCAGAAATATTCACTGAATGCTGTGCACTGGGCTAGGTGCTGAAATACAAGAGTAAACAGACTCACTTCAAGAATTCCCAAAGGCAAATCATAACCCCATTCCTACAGTTATGCATTCCTACAGAGTGCACGCAAACTCTAAAGCTTGAGGACTGAGTTTTCAAGTAGGTTACTTTTAGTTTCTGTAAATGGAAATGCATTTTCTTATCAATTAAGCTAAAAAATAGTCAAATTTATTTAAGGCATTCATAAACTGTTCTCTTAGCTGATGAAAAAATTGTGCAAAGTTATTTGCTTAAGCCAGTCTGAGAAGTTCTGGCAGAACTGGTAGAGAAAGTTATATTTTGGGGCCCCATCTTCTTTCTTTGCCTGTTACATCTCCATGGTGTTTCATCAAGGAACCCCTGGACTCCTGGCCTTTCTTCTGCTTTCCTGTCATAACCACTCTAATGACATGAGTATAATGGAGAGAGCTAAGCTGATAGTCACAAGAAATGGGTTTGTGACTCACACTAAATATGTGGTGTGGCTTTCAGCAAATTCTTTAAACTCTTTCAGTTCCTTTATTTGCAAAAATAAAGGGTAAGGTTATAGGAGCCCTGATATTCTTCCTGGTCCTCTTTCCTCAGTTCTGGGTTGCAGGCAGGAATGATAACTATCCCCCTAGTATCATTGTTGGCTTCACCCAGGGGGAAGAGTGGATGTGTTTAAGGCTTATGCTGGGCATTCCATAACCGTTTCTTTATTCACTATGAAGAAACAATTTACTCAACACTTCACTTTACCTGCCCAAAGTGGAGCTATTTATTTATTTTGCAAGCACATACAGGGCCTTGTGATGCTCCAGGAACTGATCTAAGAGCTTTGCTTAGAGTTGACAGTAACTATTCATTTTTATAACAAGCCTGGGAGGAACTATTATTGTCCCCATTAGACAGATGGAAGAATGCAAAGCACACAGTCTGCTCATGGTCACGGACACCGGAAACCAGACAGTCTGGCTCCCATAGTCTGCGTTCTCAACCATTGTTCTGTGGTCTGTGCTGAAGGTCAGAGGACAGGGAATGGAGTGGAATGTGGGCAAGTCCACTACATTCTTTGCCAAGGACTCTGCATAAATTTGGTGTGGCAGAAGAGATCACAATAACTCTGAAAACATTTAAAATAATAAATGATAATGTACACGAATTCCAGCCATTGGGTACTGCTTTGGAAGACATATCAGTCTGGGGTCACACAAAAACCAGAGTGAGAACATTGAGAATGTGAAAATGAAAGTTGCAACACTTCTTAAACACCTTCTTTCGCACGTCTGTCTATAACCCTTCTCACAGGTTGCTTCTGCTCTAGTTCCAGCTCAGCTGAAATCCATCCTACCTGCAGCCTCAGATGCTAACTTTATCTTCTCTGTCTTAATTATTTAGATCCATATACGTTTACTTTTTGTAGTTTTAATAAAATCCCCTTTACAAGGTCTAAGAGATTACAAATGTAATGTGTGGTTGGGATAAATGTTGTTATAGAAATCATCACTAAGTCTCGTTTCTCATCTGGCGTCCCTCATTCCGGGGCCTGGAACCTTGATTGTGACAGTCAGGTTTTCTTTTAACTAAAGATTTTATAAGACCACAAACAACAAAATGGTTAATTAAGAATAATTATGTCACACCTGTAATCTCAGCACATTGGGAGGCTGAGGTGGGCAGATCACAAGGTCAGGAAATCGAGACCATCCTGGCCAACATGGTGAAACCCTATCTCTACTAAAAATACAAAAATTAGCTGAGTGTGGTGGTGCATGCCTGTAATCCCAGCTACTCAGGAGGCTGAGGCACAAGAATCGCTTGAACCCAGGAGGCGGAGGTTGCAGTGAGCCGAGATCACACCACTGCACTCTCAGCATGGTGACAGAGCGAGACCCCGTCTCAAAAAACAAAAAAACGAAGCATAATTATGGATTGGGAACAACTGTATCTGCAACTCAATATATAGTAAAATCCAGCATAATTATTTACTATAAATGGAATGATAGGTATTTCTAATATTAATTTCCAATTTTGCCTTGTGAGTAAATGGTTATACATAGCCAATTGGAACTAAGAAAAGAATTCTATTCAGGGTTGGTTTCAATTGCTAAATTTTTCTACTGCTAAAATTCTGCTGAATTTCTTAAGTAACATGTGATTGCACCCTGGGATGTCACTTCCTTATTTCAAGTTCCTTTTGCTATAAGCAGACAGTTAGTTCTCAGCTTTTGCTCAAGTAATTTGTCAGTGCATAATGTAACTAAAAACTTTCTATCATTTCGATTTTTAAAGGGGTTCACTCTCAGCAACACGCCTCTACCAAATGCCTGCTATTAATTAGTTATTGCCCTGGGGATGGTTTTCATGAGTGAAATATGGCCCTGAAGTTTTCTGTTTCCATCAAAAGTCTCTGTCTTCTTGCTCAGCTGACTTTATGCTCTTTGCCTCATCAAAGTTTGACTGAGCACTTACTAAGTGTTAGATACTGCTGGACTCTGAGATTACCAACAAGAATAAAATACAACTTCTTTTTTCTGGTAGCCCACTCTTCAAAGTGGGCCAGCTGCATACACACCTACAATATTATTTGAAAATTGTCATGATAGAGATATGCCCAGGTACCACAGCAAACTAAGATAAAGCTATCAACTGCATATTAGCATAGTGGAGGCTGAGAAACTTTCACAGAAAAAGTGACTTCTAATTTGATTTTGAAAAGGGAGTTGAAGTTGGACAATAAATGATGGTGAAGAGTCCAAAATACAAGGAGAAGCAACATGTGCAAAAACATGGAAAAGTTAGAAAGTTGGTGCAGTTAGAGGACCTTAAAAGGAGTATGATATGGCTGGGCATTAAGTGTTTGGGGCAGATGGTGACCCTGGAATGGCAGAGGTCTTTTGGGGTTAGATCATAGAAAGTCTTGCAGTTGACTGTACGCAGTGGCTCATGCCTGTAATCCCAGCACGTTTGGAGGCCAAGGTGGGCAGATCACAAGGTCAGGAGTTTGAGACCATTCTGGCCAACATGGTGAAACCCCGTCTCTACTAAAAATACAAAAATTAGCCGGGCGTGGTGGCGCACACCTGCAGTCCCAGCTACTCTGGGGGCTGAGGTAGGAGAATTGCTTGAACCCGGGCAGCCCGAGATCGTGCCACTGCACTCCAGCCTGGGCAACAAGATTGAAACTTTATCTCAAAAATAATTCTTGCAGTCTATGCTAAAGTCTTTGGCTTTGTTCTGAAGATATTCATCTTGAATGAATTCCAGGCCTGTTTTAGAATATGAAGGACGCAGTGCATTGTCAACCAAGAAAAATAAGCACTGATGCAGAAAAACCCAAATGTATATAGATTTTAGAAGGTATTTCAAGACTCAAACTCCAGATTAACATATGGTACTTTAGATGAAGAAAAAGCACTGACTTAGGTAGGGGAGTGGCATATCCACACCGGTCAGCAAGGGAATGAGTTTGTTGGTGCTAAAGTAAATGGCATGCAGTGAGCCTGGTAAGTAATTACAGAGCTGGTCAATAAGGCATGGGCCATTAAAAATGAGGTGGGAGTGATGGTGGCTTCTGATGTGAGTTTTATTATTCGATGTGGTATTACTAGAAAGTATTGATTAATTGGATATAGTGGAGAGGTGAAGTGGCCCAGAAAACAGGAAGTGAAATTAACTGACTTCAAGGCACCACAAGAAGTAGCTCAGTGTAGCCCAGGCTGAGACCCCAGATGGGTCAGAAGACCAGTGTTCGGCTAGTCAATGTTTTGCCCTTTTGTGTTTTATTTAGATTTCAAAAGGCCCTTGCTACATTTAAGAGATTGATTCCTCCCAGCCGGGCACGGTGGCTCATGCCTGGAATCTCAGCACTTTGGGAGGCCTAGGAGGGCAGATCACCTGTGGTCAGGAATTCAAGACGAGCCTGGCTAACATGGTAAAACCTCGTCTCTACTAAAAATACAAAAATTAGCTGGGTGTGGTGACATGCAGCTATAATCCTAGCTACTCGGGAGGCTGAGGCATAAGAATTGCTTGAACCCAGGAGGCAGAGTTTGCAGTGAGTGGAGATCATGTCACTGCACTCCAGCCTGGGTGACAGAGTGACTGAGACTCTGTCTCAAAAAACAAAGAAAAGAAATAGATTCCTCTCCCCTACCCTCCTTCCTTCTCTCCTTCCTTTCTTCCTCCCTGCCTCCCTCCCTCTCGCTTGTTTGTTTTTTTCCCCTTCCCTTCCCTCCCTCCCTCCCTGCCTTCCTTCCTTCCCTCCTTCCTACCTTCCTTTCTTCCTTTCTTCTTTCCTTCCTTCCTTCTTCTCTCCTCTCTTTCTCTCTCTGTCTCTCTCTCCTTTCCTCTTTTGCTTTCTCCATTCAGGCTACTATAACAAAACGCCTTAGACTGGGTAATTTATAAACAACAGAAATTATTGCTCATGGTTCTGGAGACTGGGAGGTCCAAGATCAAGGTGCCAGCAGAGTTGGTGTCTGATGTGGGCCTGTTTCTCATAGATGGCACCTTCTCTGTGTCCTAACTTGGTAAAACAGCCAAACAGGGTCCCTCAGGCCTCATTTTATAAGCACTAACCTAATTTAAGAGGTGACCTAATCACCTCCTAAAGGCTGCATTTCTTAATACTATCACATTGGGTATTAGGTCCTAACACACATTCTGGGGGAACACTACCATTCAGACCACAGCACTTCCTTCCTTTCCTTCCTCTCTCCCTGTTCCCTCCTTTCTTCCTCATTTCCTTTCTTTCTTTTGCTTTTGTTAACAGGAAGAGGAATCTACAGATTAGTTAAGCTAAAAATGTAACCCTACTATTGTCTAAAATTATAAATTTAATTAGCTAAAACAGTTTTTATAACCATTTTATAGCCACAATTATTAATTCTAAATATTCAGAGACACTAAAGTATGACATATGTAATATATTATTCTTGTCATATATTTATCCCCCTACTTGATCCACATTTTGTAGGTTTATTTTTAAGGCAAATTTAAATAACTAAAAATGTTTTCAGTTTTCTACTGAATATTTCTGTATAAACTTTTAGTCTGAACTTCCTTTCTTAATTCTAGGTTACAATAACATATTAATGTCTTTGAAGTGTCTATCTAATTTGAACATTGGTTCAATGGTACCCATACAACTACGTTTATGTACAGACATGTTAGATACACTCAGTCATCTAGGCTGTAAAACAAAAGCCTTTCTTTAGAGCTTTCACTTATAATGTGACAACTTTTTGAAAGAGTAAGATATTTGGCCTAGTTTTAAAGGCTTGGCAAAAAGTAGATGTGGAGATGCATGATCAGCCTTTTATCTAGCAATCTATTATTTCTAGAATTCTAGGTCAGGGATAGCACAGCTGAGAAAAAGACAACATTAAACTCACATAAATCTCACCTGTATATCTGACAGAATAATTAATAGCATTTTTGTTCCTAAATGATCTTCTCCCATATTCTTTGCAAAACAATAGAGTTTTCCATGTGCCACACAATATCCACCCAACTTGCATATAGTAAGGTAGAGAGTTTTCAGAAAGTATGAGTGGAGAATTACTTTTGTGAAAACATGGGCAGAGAATCACGACTCCTTAAGCGCATGCCAGACAATGATACACAGAAGTTCTTTGCAGGAGAATGAATCAGGCCTGTCATCTGAATAGGAGTACTGGGATGACAACAACCATCACACATTCTCAGACTGTTCTCTAGTTTGTTCCTGAATGGAAATTATTTTAATGGGAAATTCTAAAAAGCATTAAATTATCTGTATTTTCCCTTGATTTAAAAAGCAACATATACTGTTTCAGAAAACAATTGAAAATACAGCAATTAGAAAGTAGAAAATTAAATCCACAATTCTATCATTTAGAGAGAGAAAAACATAAACATATCCTTAAATACAAACACACATATAGACAAAGAATACTATATACAGAGCTGTACAAACTATTTATAAAATAAAAAATGCACATTTATCTATTTTAGTAATCTCAGTTCAAATATACACAGAGGGGAACATTGAAGGAGCACACAATAACTGATTTGTGGTTGGCCCACATTACCATTGTGAAATCTGGTGGGTTGGCAGAAATAATTTTTTTTTTACTTTATTTTTTTAAAAGAGTGAGCATTACTGTTTTTTGTTAAAGAGGGACCATTGAAAGTAAATTTTCTAGCAACAAAATTTACCCCAAGAAGGAATATTATGAAACAGACTCAAAGATTTTTATGAGATACGGACATAGTGGTTCTTGATTTTCTTATTTTATTTTATTAAGTTCTGGGATACATGCGCTGAATGTGCAGGTTTGTTACATAGGTATACATGTGCCATGGGGGTTTGCTGCACCCATTAACCTGTCATCGTTTCAAGCCCCACATGCATTAGGTATTTGTCCTAATGCTATCCCTTCCCTTGCTCTCCTCCCCCACAACAGGCCCTGGTGTGCAATGTTCCCCTCCCTGTGTCCATGTGTTCTCATTGTTCAGCTCCCACTTATAAGTGAGAACATGCAGTGTTTGGTTTTCTGTTCCTGTGTTTGTTTGCTGAGGATGATGGTTTCTATTTCATCCATGTCCCTGCAAAAGACATGAACTCATTCATTTTATGGCTGCACAGTATTCCATGGTTCTTGATTTTTCTAAGGCAACACGATTAATCATTTCTTCACATTTTGCCTTTGTTTCAAAAGGATTTGTGGTTTCTTAAAATAATACACAGATTTGTTTTGAAACAAACATTACAGATAAGGAGCTAAATTATATTATAAATGAGTGCATGTAATATGAAAAAATAATAACTAAGTTCAGTAAAGTTACTACCAATTTATAGCTTGGTGCCCAGTTCTGACCTTCATGTTAACCACCTCTGATGGGAAAGAAACAATGAGCTATCGTACATCTTTCATAGACTAATAGGAGTTAATATGGTCAGGATATTTTCTAGTCTTAAATCCTGAGAATGATTTGTTTTAATTGATACAATCTTTTCCAGGTTTTTCTCTATTTATTTATATATTTTCAAATTTTCAGAAAGTTTCTTTATAGAGCCAGCCTTTCCTGAGTGCTATTATATATGAGACGTTATACTAGAGCTTTACGTCGGTATTCTGATTTTTTCCTCCCAACAGCTCATTGCTATAAGTACTACTATTACTCTCATTGAAAGCTGAGAAAACTGACACTTGGAGACTTTTAAGAACTTGCTGAACGTAACCTCTCTAGCAAATGGGCAAACTGCTTTGGAATCTATGGCTTTTGAATTCTAAATCACATATAGCCCACTCTTTTCATTGGGTTTCTGTAGTGAACTTTAGTAAAAGTGTAAGGTTAGGCATAATATCTATGTGAGGTTGTTAGCTATTTCTCTGGGGAGCTAGAATATAGATTAAAAACACGCAGATAAAGCATCAGTGAAAATAGGTGGACATGGGTCCTCAAATTTTAGTATTAGTATTACCTGGAGAGTCGTTAAAACACAGCTTTCTGGACATCACCCACAGGATTTTTGTTTCAGTGAGTCTGAAACAAAAATTTGCATTTTTGCCCAAGAATTTGCATTTCTAACAAGTTGTCAGGCGATGCCTATGCCGCTGGGTCAGTGGTTCATAAACTTGAAGTCACATTGGAATCACCTGGAGGGAATTTTAAAATTCCTGGGCTTTATCTCTTTTAATTAATCTTGGATGGGTCCAGGCATCCATAGGTTTTATGAGTTCCCCAGGTGATTCTAATGTGCAGTGAGGTTGCATACCATTGTTTTACACTTTCCCTATTTAATATCACTTGCTTTGGTTGGGCTTGAGACAGGGCATTGAAAAAAAGACAACTTAAAATTAGATCCTTGACCAGTTCCTAAAAGGAAGGGATTATGCTATTGATTGAAAGGAGTTGGCAGGCAAGTAGGTGCCACGGTCATTGATATGGTTTGACTCTGTGTCCCCACCTAAACCTCACCTTGAATTTTAATAATCCCCACGTGTCATGGAGAGACCCAGTGGGAGGTAATTGAATCATGGGGGGGTGGGTCTTTCCATGCCGTCCTCATGAAAGTGAATACATCTCACAAGATCTGATAGTTTTCTAAGGGGGAATTCCCCTGCACACTGTCTCTTGCCTGCTGCCATGTAAGATGCCCCTTTGTTTTTCCTTCCTCTTCTACCATGATTGTGAGGCCTCCCCCGCTATGTGGAACTGTGAGTCCATTAAACCTCTTTCCTTTATAAATTACCCAGTCTCAGGTATTTCTTATAGCAGCACAAGAAGGGACTAATACAATCCTTTACTGCAAGTTTAACGTTCTTTCCATTGTACCTTGAAGGGCCTGAGAATCCATAAAATTAGTTCAAAATATGCCCTCCCGACATGCAAACGAGGTAATTCAATAAAAAAAAATGTGTTTACCCCTCTTGTTATCCAGTTTTTCTCAAATTGATGTTTTTGACTTTGGCTTCAAGAGGCCATGCTGATCTCTTTGTTCTGACAGTAATAATTTGACAAGCTTCTAACCTCCAGAGACTCCTCCTTAATATAATCCAAGTGCTGTTTGCTATAGCAACATTCAATTTTCACACAACCTGCTTTTTCATACATTTTACTGAAATATCCCTGATCCATCTTGCATATGTCAAATGCAGAATGCATGTCATCCTCTAACTAAGGAATATCACCAGCCCTTGTGAAGTAGGGCTGTCCCACAGTCATGAGATTCTTTCGGGCTACACCATCATTGTCTTGTATGTAGTGTGGGTGTGTGGGTAGGGGTGGGGATTGGCCAATTATGTCAACATTTTTTATTGTTGCATTTTTTTATTATGTCATAAAAGTGGGTGTTTCCAAAGGGCAAAGTATAATTGAAAATTCTATAAAATGTTTTAACTCTTGGGATGAAACTCTTCTTATAAGGTCCAACTCTATTGTTTGACTTTTATACCTTTGAATTTTAGTCATATGTTCAGGGGTTTACTTTGCTCAACAAGGTAAATCAGTATAGTAGGCAACTTCACTACAAATAGTTATGGGAGTAATTGCTCACCTGAAATACAGCATCTTATTTTTATATTTGGAGCTTCTGTGACCTAAATTCACTGCTTTAGCACCAAAGGCTTATTTAGCAGCATACAGCAACATAACTTGCAGGGAAGTGTTCAAGGCTGTAGTATCGATATTTATACAGCAGGAGGGAATCAAATCATGAGCATAGCACGTGGGAATTCAAGGGAAGCATTGGTTAGTACCCACCGGAATTTCAGGACAGGGATTGTGACAGAGGTAACAATTGAGATGGCTGTTGAATTATCAGGTGTTGACCAGTGAGCAAGGAGGAGAAGGGCATTCTAGAGATGCACAGACTAGAGCAGAGCAATACATCATGCAAGATCCAAGGTTTTCCCTACGGTGTGTGCAAGAAGGCGAGTCAGGGTGCCACAAGAGATAGGGTAAGATAATGTGACATAAATAAAATTTGTAAGCCACGTGTTGGAGATTCTGTCAGAGTCTCACCATATCTTTGTACCTTGCCCAGTTCACTGTGCTCCAGGGCCAACTTCAAGCTGTGCCTTGGGGCTTTGTTGGATCTCTAGAAGGTTCTCTGGCCATTCTTGGTAGGCCAGAAGTGCTGAAGGAAGTGAGTCCCCCCGTCCCATTCCCAAAAGTGCTGCGGAAGTGAGTCCCCCCATACCCAGAAGCAGACTGACTAGATTTGTTGTATATGTATCCCACAACCTTCTCCCTTCATTAGGATAACTCGGAGACATGAGTTTTGTAGCAATTCCCCAGGATATTGTAGCAGGATTAAGCTCTAGTCTTCCCTGCCTTCCTGTCTGTGTATCAGTTCCCCATTCCCTTGTTGGTGTTCGTTGTGCTCCCAAATAAACTATCAGCGTGTAAACCCTTATTCAGGGTTGCTACTGGGGAAATTTGTGCTAAGGGAACATGATAAGGAGTTCCAGGAAGGAGTTTAAAGGTTTTAGATAAAAGTAGTTTCATCATATTTTGAGAGATCACGCTGACAGTGAGGGGATAGATAAAGTGGATGTGAAAGAGAATAGAGGCAGCAAGACGAGTGAAGAGAAAATTGCCAGAGTAAAGGGAAGATTTCAAAGACTGGTTTCCAGGACTGGGGATCGAGGAGTGGAGCTAGACAGCAGTGGTGGCTGTGGGATGTTAAGCAGTAGACAGAGTCAGCTGAATTGAGGCCGTAGGGAAGACTGAGAGCGAACGGTCCAAGAGATAGCACAAGACCAGGAGAATGGTTTATCCATTCAAGGGAGGAGCCAGCTCTAGGAGTAAAGAAGCTCTCTCTCAACTGTGCTACCAGCTCCAGATAGATGATGTCCGCAATGAGTGTATTAGATTGGAAAAATTTGAATCATTAATAACCTTCAGCAAATCACGTTCCATAGAATGATGGGACATAATTCTAATTATGGTAGACTGAACAATAAATGCAGTGACCAAGTGATTATAAATTAGTCTTTGCAAGAACATGGCTTTCAGGGGAAGGAAAAAGAGAATGATGGTTAATGGAGGAAGGTTTAAGGTCAGAGATGGTGTTTTTTAAAGACAGGAATGGCTTGAGCTGATGTGTAGATGGCAGTGATATAACAGGTAGAGGCAAAGAGGCTGAAAATTCATCAACTGATAGTATAAGGTCTTTGTTCTGAAAGAGATAGCAGGAGGGAATGAGATCATAAGCAGAGCAAGTAGTTTAACCTCACATTGTCAAGTGTTGCTGACATACCAGACCCATGAAGGGATAAAGGAAGTCAGGAAGCTGATTTAAGAGGGATGTGATATTTGTAATCTCTTACTATGGGTTTTTTTTTTTATACAGGCATTCCTGTAAACTTATATTCATGAAGAAAGTCAGAGTACTTGTTGCAGATGCAATGCTAGGTCTTCAGCCATGTGCTATAGAAACAGAAGGTGACAAATATAACCAAGGATTGGGAGGAGAAAAAGAAGAAAGCCAATTTGGGAAATGAGACTGTAAAGTTTATAATGCTACTGATTTTCAAACATTTTCAGAAGCAATGGAAAGAAGAATGCGAAGAAAATGAGTTTATTTTCCAAAATGCTTTTTTTGTTATTGTTTTGCAATTTCCCTTTGTTAACATCATATAGGTTATGGGGGTTTCTGTTTTGAAAAAAATAAATACTGCACCGTGTGTGGATTGCTACTCAGCACTCAGCAATAAACAAGTCAATGAATGCTCTAGGTTTTAATGAATTCGGTTTTACTTCTTTACATCTACTTATTAGCTTCTCTACCTAAGATGTGTACACGAATCACTCTAACATCCAGGCTTCCCTGCAAATTAAAAACAACAACACAACACAGAAAACAAAAACCACCCAGAGCTCTCAAAATTAATCCTAAATATAGTTTTGCCTGGCCCCTGTGCAACGTACAGGCTTAGCATGTTTCAGTTTTTCAGGTCTTCTTTTTGGCGTCTAATTTCCTGAAGTTGAAGAGACAGCTGTCTGGGGGCCTGAGACTTAAGATGATGAACATGCAGATATCAAGGAAATGGTTTCCTTACAGCAACAGCTCCTTTTAGATCTGAGCATTTCCTCATTCTCACCTGACTGTAGAACATTACAAGTTTCCATTTGTGCTGAATTCAGATACATTCTTTCTTATTGGTGGAGGCAGTTAGGGTTAACTTCTTTTAGCCTGCTTTATGCAAGGCAAAATTTAATCAAAGTGATCTCCAGATTCCAGTAATATGACATTTCAACTGTGTATCCTGAAGAAAAACAGTGCATACAGATGTTTGCAAATGAAACCAGAGGAAAATACTAAATCTTTATTTTTTTCCTTAGCATTTAAAGAAAGCTTGTTTTTATTTCTGGACAATAACAATTTCTATGTTAGCCACTGTTTCCTCGTCAGTCTGAGAGAAGTAAAGCATTTTGTCTTCTCTGGCAGTTGGGGTTTCTAACGAGAGTCTGCTTATCCGCATATGAAAACAGGAAGTGCTGTTGGCTGGTGACTGACTTCCTTCACTTACTACCTGCTTGTCTAAAGTTTGGGCTTCATAAAATTGGTTCAATCTTCATGGTCCAAGTAAAATAGAAAATGAAGCAATTAACCATTTAATTTAAACGATATTAACAGTCTGAGTAATTCTAATATCGATCACTTTCACACCCTGAATTACTGATGAAGAAAAATCTATAAAGTGGAATATGGGTTATGATCCAGTGCCAAGCTGGGCCATTTAGGACATGAAGTGGACAATTTGGTTTAGTGTTGGCAAACAGCTAAACAAGCCATCTTCAATCATTTGCGACTTGCAATAGTAACTTAATGTTGTTTGATTTTATTTCATCTTCCTATTTCACTTTTTATGTTCTATATGGCATTTTTGCTTTTTAATAAGTAACTTTACACGTACTGAAGCAACTACATGTCACTTTGTTTATATATATATGTATTTTTTGAGATACAGAAAAGTCCTCTAATTTGCCTGTAAGGCAGTTTTGAAAGTTGTTGCTTTAGGAACAGAGGAGTGTAAGGAATCCTACAGAGAAAGTCCTAAGTCATATCTTGGAGATAAAGAAACTGAGGCCAAGAGAAATGAACTGCCTGAAATCAAACCACTGGTTACTGGTAGTTGCAGGCTGACAACAAAATGACTGCAATTGTTCTTGGTGTCTGTGTTTACATCCATTGCAATGTGACTTTGAATCTGACCATGCACTGTGACTTTCTTTGACTGATTGATAGAATTTGGAGAAAATAAGGATGCCAGCTCAGCAGCATAATTATAATATAACTAATGCATAATTTATTTAATTTACCTTTTCTTAAATTCCCAGAATATTTTATAAAACTAGCAGTTCTCATAGGGATTTTTCTTTTCACAATTTTGGCTTCCAGCTATCTGGCAAATTTTCAAAAATTTGTTTTCTTTGCTTGTATATTGTATAATTTCTTCGTATCTTCTACCTCATAAATCCTCCTAAAATGTTCTTTCCTCTCCTTTTTGTTTTTGAGTTTTTAGGAACATCTTTGGCTGAGGTGGAATTTCTGACTATGTTATTGGGCACTACTTTGTGGTACCAAGTTTTAATCCACTTAACAGCTTCCAGCATATTTACTTTTTTTGGCAGGCAGGTGATGCTCTCAGCTATGTCCACACCAGCAGGCAAAATTGCAATAAGCAAGCAACTCTTGGAATGAATAAAAAAAATCCTTCACAAGGGGGAGGTCAACCTGTTTTTGATAAATTTCAGTTTGTTGTCACCCGAAGCTATGCACGTTAGCATAAGGCATTATCATATTTGCAGCCCAAATAGAATCCTGTATCTGACACCCTCTTTTTCTTTAGATGATTTGCTCGTTCTTATATGAAAGGCAGTAAAATGTAATAAAATGAGCACTGAACTTTATGGTAAGAGCCTGAATTCGAATTCTAGATTATCCACCACTGAACTTTATGATAAGAAGCCTGAATTCAAATTCCAGATTATCCACCCATTAACTGTGCCACTTTGGGGAAGTCACTCAACTTTATGGTAAGAAGCCTGAATTCAAATTCTAGGTTATCCACCCATTAACTGTGCCACTTTGTGGGGGTTACTCAACTTTTCTCAACCCCAGTTTTTTTATTAGTTATTTTAGAGAATAAGGTAAAATATTGTAAAGCATTTTGTAAGCTGCAGACTCCAGTATCTACTTTTCTTCTGAGCTCCATACATTTTCAATTGCCTGTTAAACATTGATGGCTAAATGTCCCATCCAAAATGCATTTCGATGTGCACTACTCAAGCTTTCATTTTCTTCCGAATTCTCTAATTCTATTAAATCATACTAATAATTTGCCAGTTACCCAGGTTGCAAATGTTTAAATATGGTTTTGTTGCCACTCTCTCATTTATCCCTTATAAGTTATTCTTTTATTTATTAATTTTTGCATCCAGAAAATGCCTATTAATCACCTGCTGCCTTTTCTGTTGCTGTACATCCTCCCTCTTTCAATCGCATCTCTGCATTTCAAAGCAGGCTCTGCTCCATTTTATCTCCCTGTTTCACACTCTGCTCCTCTGGCTTTGGCATCTATCTTATATCTCTCAGCCCAGACGTTGACCTGATTGTATCACTTCTTGCTTAGTCTGCTTTTCTGGCCCCAGTGCCTCTTGTCTCTGATAAGAAGCGCTCCTTTGTTCCTAGTCTGTGCCCTGTAGGACCCCCTCCTCCCCATCCCAATGGTCAGCTGGGCCTTCTGAGCCAATTTGTTAGCATCCCCATTTCCATGATGGCAGGAAAGGCTCAGATGCTACAAGTGACACTGAGGATGTTACCTAATTTTAATAAATATCATTTTCTCATTTTAAAAATGAGACGGATATACCTCACAGGGCTATCGTGAAATGAGAGAACACATGACTGGCACAGAGGAGGTACTCACAACCTAAGTGTTCTTCCCAAAGATCTAGCTATAGTTGCATAATACTAAACTCAGTACTCCACATCTGACCATTCAAAATAGAAGCTTAGAATCTAAGTAGGGAGATGAGAATAAAATGTTTAATAAATTTGTGTATAGAGATAGACTATGTAATGCAGTGCAGGTGGATGAGTACAAAGTACAAAAGTGAGTAGAAAAAAGTGACTCAAGAAAGACAGGCAGATATGATTTGTAAAGAAACTATTAGGTGTGAATTGGTGAAAATAAAGCAGGAGAATATTTTAGGCATGAGGAATTAGGAAAATTTTGAGAGCAAAACAAATTATGGCATTGTGGTATAAGTCTGGTAAAATGAAGAGGATGGGTTTGGGTTAAAGATCCTATTTGGAGAGGTAGAGTGGTGCTGATTATTGCAGACTTTCATTTTTGTCCTAGGAATAGAGAAATATATGTGAGCCAATGTTTTGAATATTATCAAAATTTTACAATAAAAGCAATGTGTTTTGTCACATTTTAAAGAGGCAATTAGAAATACAATGAATTTGTAAATCTGTTGATATTATATTAAACAAGTAGTCTCTAACCCCAGTTTCAAAATGCATTATTTTAAATGTGAAATAACATTTGTGAAGAAAAAAATTGACTGCATTTAGGCCATCATCCGTTCAATGGAGGTTTCCTGTGGTTTATTTATGAATATTAGTTGCTGTCCCTTTCTGTGTGAATTGGGCCAGAAAATCACAAATGCAAAAGTCTTTGGGATTGTCTAATTCAAGCACTGCACATTTTACAAGTGAGGAAACAGAAAGGGAAGTTAAATTCTTTCATGAGGTAATGTGTAGTCAGTGGCTAAATGAAACTCAAACTTTTCTTTAGATTTTTAATCTAATGCTTTAAAAATATATACTTAAGAACCTAAGATAGCCAAGATATTATTAAGGAAAAACAGCAGAGCTGTACCAGATAGGAGGACTTACTCTAAAGCTGTAGTAATTAAGAAAGTATAATATTTGCACAAAGACAAGTGGAATTATGGCTATTCCAAAAATATATCCACGCTAAAATAGTGCCTTGATATGATAAGTGTGTCATGAATTTCTATAGGAATCAGTGGTCTTCTTAAAAAATTGTGCTGGGTTAATTGGATATATCAATGAAAAACAAAAAAGAACCTCAACTCCTACCTCACATCAAACACAGAACTGAATTTGAGATGGATCACAGACCTAAAGTGTAAAAGCTAAATCAATAAAACTTCTAGAATAAAGCATGGAGAATATCTTCACGACTTCGAAATGAGTAAAGATTTCTTAATAAGACACAAAAAATGCAAAAAAAAAAAAAAAAGATTAACAAATTGGATTACATTGAAGTTGAGAACTTCTGTTTATAAAGTGATAAAATTAAGAGGATGAGAAGTTAGCCACAGGCTGGGAAAAGATTTTTGTAACATGTATTTATTTGTCAAATTACTTATCAACAGAATAAGGAACTCATACAAAAAAAAAAAGCAGATAACTTAATTAGAGATGTGTGATCAATTTTAACACACATTTCATAGTGTCAAAATGGCTAAGAATCATATGAAAAGGGCCTCAATATTGGTAAAGCCCCAGTTAAGACACACATCAGAACAAAACATTAAAGATGAACAATACCAAGATTTGATGGTGATATGAAACAGCTAGAATTCTCCTTCATTGTTGATGGGATGCAATCACTTTAGAAAATGATATGCCAATATCTACAAAAGCTAGGCATACACCTAACCCATTACCCAATTTTCTATTCTTATATAGAGAGGTAGATAGATAGACATGTTCTTATCTTAGTTATATATATATGTGTGTGTATATATATGTGTGTATATATATACATATATACATATGTATGTATATATACATATATACATATATACATATGTATGTATATATACATATATACATATATACATACGTGTGTATATATACATATATACATATGTATATATATGTTTGTATAAAACCAAAGAGAAATTAGTGCATATTTCCATCAAAAGGTATATAGGAATGCTCAGAGGAGCTTCATTCATGAGGACTGAAATAGGGGAAAATAACCATTCTCAATCAATAGTAGCAAGGGTAAATAAATTATGGAATAGTTACATAACAGGATGCCACATCATATGAAGAAGAATATACTAGACCATGAATGAATCTCAGACATAATGTTGAATAAAAGAAGTCAGATTTTTAAAGTATATGCTGCATGATATAATTTACATTAAAATAAAACAGGCAAAACAATACATGATGATAGAATAGTGATTACCTTGGGTTGGAGGTGGAGATGGTACTGGCTGAGAGGGACACAACGTGGTCTTCTGAAGCACTAGAAATTTGTATCTTCATTTGGATGGTGGTTCTATAGATGTGTCTATATGTAAAAAGTTATTGAGCTATATTGTACATTTACTATATGTAAGTTTTGTCTCAATTTTTAAAAAAATGACAGTGATGTTATTCCCTGAAAAGAAACAATTACCATTAAGAAATTGAGAAGAAAATTGTCTCTTATTTTTTTTATTCTAAAAACTGCTTCAAACATTTGCTCTTCAGAGGTTGTCATCCCAGCACCATGGCTCCCAATCTTTATCTCATCATAGTACATAGATAATCTGATATTTTTATGACACATTGACATATTACACAGCTGGAGGAGAGAGAGCTAAGATCTCTAGCCCTTCCAGGCTGTGCCTGGTGGCCTGGAAGAATCAATATATCAGTGTGTGAGTATTTTGGTTTGGCCAATTGCATAAAAATATAGACTATTTTAGTTTTATCACACAAAACATCAGGCTAAAGACTGATACAGCCTCAGGCCATTCTGGATAACTTGGTATATAAATGCTGCATCAACAAAAAGAGAAATTTGGAGAGCTGACATTGTTGGTTCTCTCATGGCATGTCTTTTTTTATACCAAATTTGTACTGTACCGAATGCAAAGAGACATTAGAGCCATGTGCCCTTCCTAGTGTCATGAAGTCTGTATTAGTCTGTTTTCATGCTGCTGATAAGGACATACTTGAGACTGGGCGATTTACAAAATAAAGAGGTTTACTGGACTTACAGTTCCACATGGCTGGGGAGGCCTAACAATCATGGAGGAAGGCAAGGAGGAGCAAGTCACATCTTATGTGGATGGCAGCAGGCAAAGAGAGAGCTTGTGCAGAGAAATTCCTGTTTTTAAAACCATCAGATCTCATGATACCCATTCACTATCACGAGAACAGCACAGGAAAGACCTGCCCCCATGATTCAATCAGTTCCCACCAGGTCCCTCCCACAACACGTGGGAATTATGGGAGCTACAAGAGGAGAGTTGGGTGGGGATACAGAGCAAAACCATATCAAAGTCTTATCAGGGAAATAATTTCATTTTAGGTGGAAAAAAATGCACTATTCTGGAGTCATCAGCATGATGGAGCTAATGTGGAGTGCTCTCTGGGGCTGGTGATCAGGCCTTCTCCTGAAATTTGTTTTGTAGAAGACGCCAGTTATATCTTTTGATACAGACTTATATCTATTAAATTCAAACCTTAAAGGGCTACTAATTTTAAAAAAATGACAATTTTATTTGTACTCATAAAATATTCTTTTAAATTAAATACCTTTTTTCATTTAGTTTCATTTCATCAGACAGCTTAAACATGTAATTTATTCTAGTTTGCTTACAAAGTTTAAAGCCATCTTTTATTCACTGTAGTTTTCTACAGGAATTTGGAAAAAGAGGTAAAAACCTTGAGATTAACCAGTCCTATGCCACACACTTTTACAGATGAAGTTGAGGTGCAGAGACCCTTTCCCTACTAGCATTATAGGGAAATGATAGACCCTTTCCCTACTAGCAAACATTTTTCTTCTCTATTGTATCTGCAAATTACTAATTTCTAAAACACATTTCTTAAACTTCTTAAAAACTTGGTGATTCCTCAAGGATCTAGAACTAGAAATACCATCTGACCCAGCAATCCCATTACTGGGCATATACCCAAAGGATTATAAATTATTCTGCTATAAAGACACATGCACATGTATGTTTTTTGCAGCACTATTCACAATAACAAAGACTTGGAACCAAACCAAATGTCCATCAATGATAGACTGGATTAAGAAAATGTGGCACAAATACAGCATGGAATACTATGCAGCCATAAAAAGGAAGAGTTCATGTCCTTTGCAGGGACATGGATGAAGCCGGAAACCATCATTCTCAGCAAACTATCACGAGATCAGAAAACCAAACACCACATTTTCTCACTCACAAGTGGGAGTTGAACAAAGAGAACATGTGGACACAGGGAAAGGAACATCACACACCAGGGCCTGTTTGGGTTGGCGGGGGTAGTGGAGGGATAACATCAGGAGAAATACCTAATGTAGGTGACGGGTTGATGGGTGCAGCAAACCACCATGGCATGTGTTTATACCTATGTAACAAAACTATGTGTTCTGCACATGTAACCCAGAACTTAAAGTATAATTTTAAAAAAAAGAAAAAAAAACCCTTTGTAGCATTTGTGAATGGGAGTTTGCTCATGATTTGGCTCTCTGTTTGTCTATTATTGGTGTATAGGTATGCTTGTGATTTTTGCACATTGATTTTATATCCGGAGAATGCTGAAGTTGCTTATCAGCTTAAGGAGTTTTTGGACTGAGATGATGGGATTTTCTAAATATACAATCATATCATCTGCAAAGAGAGATAATTTGGATTTCTATCTTCCTATGTGAATACCTTTATTTCTTTCTCTTGCCTGATTGCCCTGGCCAGAACTTCTGATACTAAATTGAATAGGAGTGGTGAGAGAGAACGTCCTTGTCTTGTTCCGGATTTCAATGCTTAAAGCTTTTGCCCATTCAGCATGATATTGGCTGTGGGCTTGTCATAAATAGCCCTTATTATTTTGAGACATGTTGCATCAATACCTAGTTTATTGAATGTTTTTAGCATGAAGGGGTGTTGAATTTTATCAAAGGCCTTTTCTACATCTATTGAGATAATCAGGAGGTTTTTGTCATTGGTTCTGTTTACATGATGGATTACACTTATTGATTTGTGTATGTTGAACCAGCCTTGCATCCCAGTGATGAAGCCAACTTGATTGTGGCTGATAAGCTTTTTAATGTGCTGCTGGATTCGACTTGCCAGTATTTTATTGAGGATTTTCACATCAATGTCAATCAGGGATATTGGCCTGAAATTTTCTTCTTGTTGTTGTGTCTCTGCCAGGTTTTGGTATCCAGATGATTCTGGACTCATAAAATGGGTTAGAATAAAACACCTATGAATACAACTTACAAGGGATGTGAAGAATATTTTCAAGGAGAACTACAAACCACTGCTCAAGGAAATGAGAGAGGACACAAACAAATGGGAAAACATTCCATGCTCATGGATAGGAAGAATTAATATCGTGAAAATGGCCACACTACCCAAAGTAATTTATAGATTCAATGCTATTTCCATCAAGCTAACATTGACTTTCTTCACAGAATTAGAAAAACTACTTTAAATTTCATATGGAACCATATGAAATTTACTCTTTTTTTAGAGCTTATATAGCCAAGACAATCCTAAGCAAAAAGAACAAAGCTGGAGGCATCACGCAACCTGACTTCAAACTATACTACAAGGCTACAGTAACCAAAACAGCATGGTACTGGTACCAAAACAGATATATAGACCAACAGAACTGAACAGAGGCCTCAAAAATAAAACCACGCATCTACAGCCATCTGATCTTTGACAAACCTGACAAAAACAAGCAATGGGGAAAGGATTCCCTATTTAATAAATGGTGTTGGGAAAACTGGCTAGCCATATGCAGAAAACTGAAACTGTACCCCTTCCTTACACCTTATATGAAAATTAACTCGAGTGATTAAAGATTTAAACATAACACCTAAATCCATAAAAACTCTAGAAGAAAACCTAGGCCATACCATTTAGGACATAGGCATGGGCAAAGGCTTCATGACTAAAACACCAAAAGCAATTTCAACGAAAAGCAAAATTGACAAATGGGATCTAATTAAACTAAAGAGCTTCCATAAAACAAAAGAAGCTATCATCTTTGACAAGGGATATATATATATATATATATATATATATATATATATATATATATATATATCCCTTGTCAAATTCTACTTTGGTTGCAAGAAACAGTAAAAGCTATCACCAGATAAAGCTTGAAATTTCAGTATTTCAAAAGCAACATATTTCTGTAAGTCTTTACGTAACAAATACGTTTCTCCCTAACTATCATTCAAAATCAGTCTCTGAAAAGGTAAGATACTTATTGTTTGTCACAAAAATGTGCATCTTGTTAGAGTTTCTCTCTCTCCCTTTCTCTCACTCTGTCTCTCTCTTCCTTTGGTAGTGGATGTTTAAAAATGGGGATAAAATGTTACCTAGACCTACCAAATAATAGATAAGATGTTAATCCTTTCTATGAATTATTTCCAAAATAAGTATTTTTGTGTTTAGCTAATTATGCTTCTAATTGTGTTAATTATGCTTCTATGAAATTCATAACTTTACATCTATCTTTCAGGAAATTTTGGCAATAGACTTGGGACAATAAATGATTACTTATTAAGCTAAGACTCATTCTTTTGCAATAAAAAGGACTATATGATTTATCTTTTTTCAATCTAACTTTAGGAAGTGCTATCTGGGGATATGGTGAGGTCTGAGGTCTATGCTATAATTTTATGCAGCAATCTATAAGATTTGAATATAAAGATTACATTGACCTCTATCTAGCTTGAAACGTGTTCCCTGTTTCCTATTCTAATGTTGCCATTCCCTGCTCTTACATTTCCATCACAAATATCATTGAGATAGAGGGACTTCAGATGTCTTCCAGACCAGAGCTTCACATCTTGTATGTGGTTACATACAGATATTCCATGAATGGCTGTGGATGTTTTATGTTAAACAGTTGACATATTGTCAACTGTTGGGAACTTGGGGATTACTAGTGGGTCCTTTAGCCACCTTCCATTTGTTTTTCTGTGCTGTTATATGACAAATGTTGAGAAAAACTAGTTATATCTGTTTTGTTTTGTAGATGAAGAAGAAGAAACCATTTGAGTTTGGAAGGCTTTGCTACAGAATTCCTTTGATGTAGTGCTAGGTATAGAATCCAGATTTTTGTGGCTTTTGCTCTGCTGCACTTTGGCTGTGACACACTTCTTTCCTTCTCTTTCAATCAGACGGTGAAATTTAATGTCTGCTCTTAGTATCTTAGTTTAATTGAAAGTTATAACCACACTAATGTATAATAACAGTTTGTTAAATTTTTCCTGAATTTTGCTTTGCTTACGTTGATGTCAATTTTCATAAAAGGCTTCAAAATGGATTTATCTTTTTTTTTAATAAAAGTGGAAATTTACATTTAGAGAAGTTAAGTGACTTGTCAAAGACTTCATAGTAAGTTGTTGAATTCACACACAGGTCTGCCTGGCTCCAAAGCTTGTGGCCTTGCACAATGTCGTGACAACTGCGTGTTAATATGAAAAGTAATTGTCATCTTCCAAGGTATAGGAATTCTTACGAGGTAATGGAAATAGATACAAAATAGTTGATTTTCAGTGTATGAGAAGAGAAGATTGTTAGGAAATGCAATGGGGCATTTGTTGTAGCTACCAGAACTCTTCTCCTCTTTGAATAAGCAATGGCTTTTGAGGAATGGGTATCCGGGAGTAATTTTAAACAAGTCAGAGCATTTTGCAAAAATAATGTTTAGATATTTTATTGTTTGTATAGCCTCTACCAGGCACAGAAGTAAGGAAAATTTCAAGTTGAAAAATAACTACAGGGAAATAAATGTTTACAAAGATTTTTAAAGTTGTCTACTGCAGTATTATCTCTACCAATATCTACCACCTCCCAAATGACAGTAGTGCACATTAAGAAAGGATTATAAGTTATTGCTTATTCAATATTAACCAAAGGTCTTGTCTTATTCTCTATTCTTACATATTCATTTTCCACCAATAGATAGTTTAATTAAATAAGCTCTTTAAAACATACATGAGGCTGTATATGTGAGAAAAAAGTGGTATTCTTAAGACACTGAAGCAAGAATCAGAGCAAACAAAGAACAGCAAAATAAAATGGCACATAGATGTGGCCTTTCAGAAACTATTAAAATATTTTTGATTTTTTTGATTGGATTGCTGACTCTAGATCTGAAGAAGAAAACTTACAAAATGAGGCTGAGACATCCTGTTGTGCTAGAATTCAAGAAACTCAAAGAACAATAAGTTGGTTCAAAGGGGCATAGTAACACACTCACTGAAAGTCAATGGCCAAATAAAAGACAAAATTGAGCATCATGAAAAATATGGGTGTATCAATTGAAGCACATTGTACATATAAAAGTCTATAAGTTCATATTGTCATGACATGCAGACAGAGAGAGGGAGAGAAAGAAGAGGGAAGAGGAAGAGGAGGATGAGGAGAAAAAGCAATTTATTGGACACCACTGAAAAAATGACCAGAGAGCACTGATATGATTCGGCTCTCTGTCCCCACCCAAATCTCACCTCAAATTGTAATCCTCACATGTCCAGGGAGGGACCTTCTGGGAGGTGATTGTATCATGGGGGCAGTTTCCCCTATGGTGTTCTTTTGATAGTGAGTGAGTTCTCACGAGATCTGATGGTTTAAAAGTGGCACTTCTCCCTTTGTTCTTGCTCTCTCCTGCTGCCTTGTGAAGAAGGTGCTTGCTTCTCCTTAGCCTTCCACCATGACTGTCGGTTCCCTGAGGCCTCTCCAGCCATGTGAAACTGTGAGTCAATTAAGCCTCCTTTTTTCTTCAATAATTACCCAGTCTCAGGTATTCTTTATAGCAGTGTGAAAATGGACTTACACAGGCACAAACTTTTTGAAAATTTTCACGTTATAATTGTTCCTCTATAAACTGTATTTTAGGTTAACCACAGCACTAGTTGATTAGAAAAATTTCTACTTTACCAAATTTTCCAGGTAATTGATGTGCAGTCACTTCCATAACTAAAAGAAAACATTCTGGGCCAGGTGCAGTGGCTCACGCCTGTAATCCCAGCATTTTGGGAGGCCGAGGGGGGAGGATCATGAGGTCAGGAGTTCGAGACCAGCCTGGCCAACATGATGAAACCCCGTCTCTACTAAAAATACAAAAATTAGCTGGGCGTAGTGGCACGAGCCTGTAACCCCATCCCAAATACTCAGGAGGCTGAGGCAGGAGAATTGCTTGAACCTGGGAGGCTGAGGTTGCAGTAAGCCGAGATCGAGCCATTGCACTTCAGCCTGGGTGACAGATCAAGACTCTGTCTCAAAAAACAAAACAAAACAAAAACCATCATATTGTAGCTCCTAATTAGGCAATTTAAGTTAAGGTAATTAATAGTTGAAATTATCTTAGTATTAATAAATATGGGAAATATTGAGTGCTTCCTGATACGATGTCAAGTACAGTACCCAATACTTATCAAAAGTTTTTGCACTTTTTAAGGTTGACTCAGAATCGAATCAACTTCCATTTAGGAAAGAGTTAATTTCCATTTATAGTGTATCCCAGAGATAGAAGAAGAAGTTAAGTGATACACAAAGAAGGAAACCAGAAAAAAATTCAGGATGTACATTTCACAAGACCTATCCTTTGCAAAAAATTAATGAGAAAGAAGAGAGAGTGAGAGTTCTGAATTACAGAGACTTGAGAGGCATGACAACCAAGTGTCAAATGTGGTCATTGTTTGGATTTTGATTCACATGGAGCAAATGAGAAGATTTTTCTTCCTTTTCTTCTTCCCCTTCCTCCTCCTTCTGGTCCTTCTTGCTTTCTTTAAGGTCATTGAAAATTTTAATTACAGACAGTGCTTTTTTTTATTTTATCACATAACAAACCATCCCAGTACTTAGTGGCTTAAAATAACAATCATTTATTTTCTCACAATTTTTCAATTTGGTCAGGGCTCTCAGGGGTTGGGGATGGGGTTCCTCTGCTATCAGCTAAGGTGGCTCATCTGGGGCTTACTTTCAAGATGACCTCATTCCCAGGGTGAGCACACTGGTGCCCATGTCATCATGCAGACGAGATGGGACAGACACCGGAGCTCTCGATTCTCCTTCATGTGGGTCTCTTTACATGCTGCTTGGGCTCCTCACAATAAGACAGCTGGGTTCCAAAGAGGAGAAAATAGAAGCCAGAAGCTTTCTTAAAAGCTAGGCTTAACTGAAACTTTGTAATAAGTTCTGGAGACCTATTGTACAGCATGATGATTATAGTTAATAATAATAGTTTTGTATATTTAAAAATTGCTAAGGGATTAGATTGTAAATGTTTTCACCATAAAAAATTGATAAGTATTCGAGGTGATGGATATGTTACTAGTTTGATTTATTTATTTCACAATGTATACGTATGTCAAATCATCACACTGGACACCATAAATGCATACAATTTTTATTTTTCAATTCAAATAAATGTGTAAAAGGAAAAAGGTAGATTTACAACTAGCGCAGTGATATTTCTGCCATAGTCCAAGTTTCAGTTAGTCATAGTCTCAGCCGACATTCAAGAGATTGGAGAAACAGACCATACCTTTCTGTGAGGGGAATGACAAAGGAAGGTATTTGAAGTAATCAGGAAACTATTTTTAGATTTATGAATGGCATTCTGATTGCCTAAAAAAAGTGAAAAATGTTTAGAGATGAATGAAATGTGTAGGAGTGAAATAACATGATGCTGAGACTTGCTTTAAAATACTTTAGCTGGAAAGAAAAAGGGGATAAAACAGGACATATGAAGTAACTTTTGCAATATCTTGATAATTGTTGAATATATGTGAGGGGCATATAAAGGAATTATTATAGTCTACTTTTGAGTATATGTGAAAATTTTTTCATCTTTTTTTAATCATAATTTGAAATAATATTATAGCTCCTAAAATAAAAGATTATAAAGAAGAAACTCAAAGTCCTAGTTTCATTTAGTTTTGCTTTTGATTAAATTTTAATATTGTATCTCAAAATATTTCTTAAATAATACACTTCAAAAGTACTAACTTGGAAAAGTATGCAGAAATAGTGAAACCTATAGGGGTACTGAGGCTCTTGGGAGGCCTGATGGAAAGGATGCCAAACAGGAAGGGCTGCTTGACATTGGTGCATGTGATGTCTGTTTCCAGTGTTCGAAAGCAACTGTGTGAGGATTTAACGCTATGAACTTCTGCAGCCATCTTCAAATCATGAAAGGAAGGGCAAGGGAACTATAGACAGTACTCATGACTGATCTTGCTGACCCTCTCCTTCAGTGACAATTGTCAATCCATAGACCTGTTCTTATACGTGAACAATAATCCTTCTTGATTAAACACTCTCAGTCATGTAGTCTATTACCTGCAACTGAAAGCATTCTTAACTGATAACACTTTAAAGCAGAAGGTACCAATGTAAATCTCCAGGTGTTGCTAATTAAGATCAAGGGGCTATAGATACCTTCCTTTAGAATATCTTATTTCTAATAAGGTTATTGGAAATAAATGTTACTTAACAAAATTAAGTCCAGGACCAGGTGATGAAGAAATTTATTTGCAAGATCTAAATTTAACTTTATTTATTCATCTGTTGATGGGCACTTAAGTTGATTCCATATCTTGGCAACTGGGAATAATGCTGCAATGAACATGGAGGTACAAATATCTCTCTAACATACAGACTTCATTTCCTTTAGATATATAGCCAGTAGTGGGATTGCTGGAAAATGTGGTATTATACACAGTGAAATACTATTGTTTTTAAAATGAAGGAAATCCTGTTATTTGTGACAACATCGATGAGTTTGGAGGATATTACGTTAAGTGAAATAAGCGAGAAACAGAGAGATAAACACTGCATGTTCCCACTAATGCGGAATCTAAAAAAGTCGAATTCATAGACGCAAAGAGCAGAATGATGATTACAAGGCTCTGGGGGATTCGAGGAGTAATTGGAGGAGACGATGGTCAAAAGATACACAATTTTAGTTAGGAAGAATAAGTTCAGGAGGTCTATTGTACAACATGGCGCTGTTAGTTAATTACAATATATTGTACATGTGAAAACTGCTAAGAGAGTAGATTTTAAGTGTTCTTACCACAAATAAATATGTAAGGTGATGCATATATTAGTTTAATTTAACCATTTCACATACATATTTCAAAACATCATGTTGTATTTCATAAATATATACAATTTTCATTTGTTAATTAAAAAATGAAAAATAATAAAAAATTTAAAAATAAATTTAACTTTCAGAACTATTAGTGCATTTAAAAGACAATTAGATTTCAAGCATATCAAGAAATAAAAGACCTAAATGAATACCAAAAAAATCACTTAGTTTTAGCTGATGTTTTCAAATAGCTAGGTTTAACAGGCCATTGTACAGATGAGTTTACTGAAGACGCAGAAGCTAAGTATCATCCTCAAGTTTACACAAGATGATATAGTTAATATAAAAAGCATAAAATTTGGAACTAGATATCCCTGGACTAGATTCCAGAATTTACCATTTTCTAGTTTTGACCTTGGCAAGTTACTTATTCTTCTGAGCCTCAATTTTCTTATCAAAAAACAAAACAAAACAAAAAAAAGAACATTTTTAAGGTTGTTTTTTTTTTTGGAGTGAGACAATATGCAAAAGTCATTAATTTCAAAACTTAGTTCGAAGCGCACAGTAATTAAAACAGTGTGATACTGGCATAGAAACAGACATGTAGACCAATGCAATAGAATGGAGAGCCCAGAAATAAACCTTCATTTATGTGGTCAAATGTCAGCAAATCTGTCAAGACCATTCAATGGGGAAAGTACAGCCTTTCAACAAATGGTGTTGGACAAATGGAATATACACATGCAAAACAATAAAGTTGGACCCTTACATTACAGCATATACAAAAAGTAATTCAAAATTGACAAAGTCCCAAAGAGATAAAAGTATAAGTTATTAGAAGAAAACATTGGGAAAAATCATCCTGACATTGGATTTGGCAATGATTTATTTGACACCAAAAGCACAGGTAACAAAAACAAAAGTAGATAATTTAGAGTTTATCAAATTAAAAAGAAAAAAATACTTCTGTGCATCAAAGGACACTATTAGCAGAGTAAAAAAGTAGCTCATTGAATGGGAGAAATTATTTGCAAATCACATATCTGAGAAGAGATATCCAGAATATGTAAGGAACACCTACAATTCAACAATAACAAAACCAAAAACTAAAGGAAACAAATTTTTTTTTTTTTGAGATGGAGTCTCGTTCTGGCACCCAGGCTGGAACCAAATTTTAAAAATGAGCAAAGGGCTGGTATAAACATTAATCCGAAGAAAGTACACAAATGGCTAATAAACAAATAAAAAGATGCCCATCATCACTAATCACTAGGCAAATGCAAATCAAAACCATGAGATACCATTTCACATTCAGGGTAGCCACTATTAAAAAAAAAAACATGAACAAACAAAAAACAGAAAATAACAAGGGCCAGCAAGGGTGCAAAGAAATTGGAACCTTTGTGTACTGTAGGTGAGAATGTAAATGACGCAGTCAGTGAGAAAAACAATATGGTGTTTCCTCTTTAACATGGAATTAACAAAAAATCAAACAATCCCCTTCTGGATATATACCCAAAAGAATTGAAAGCAGGGACTCAAACAGATATATGTACATCTATGTTCATAGCAGTCTTATTCACAATAGTCAAAAGGTAGAACTAATCCAAGTGTTTATCAACAAACAAGTGGATAAGCAAAATGTGATATATACACAAAAAGGAATATTATTTAGTCTTAAAAATGAAGGAAACTGTGGCACATGCTATTGCATGGATGCACCTTGAAGAGATTATGCTAAGTGAGGTAAGTCAGCCACCAGATGGCAAATATTGATTCCACTTACAGAAAGCATGTAGAGTAGTCAAATTTAGAGAGACAGAAAGTAGAAAGGCTGTTTCCAGGGGCTGAGGGGCAGGGGAAATGGGGAGTTAGTGTTTAATGGGTATGGGGTTTGAGTTAGGAAAGATGAAATGGTTCTGGAGATTCATGGTGGTGACAGTTGCCCAACAATGTAGAGGTACTTAATGTTACTGAACTGTTTACTTAAAAATGGTTAAAGTGGTACATTTTAGATTTATGCACTTTGCATATCTTGCCATTTAAAAATGTGTTTATCTCTATATCTTGTCATGTAGCGAATCAAACGTTTTGTTAATTGTTGAAAGAGAAAATAGGAATGGGAGATGGGAAGAAATATGAGATGGACCCTTGACCTACCACTTTTAAGAGGAAGATGTTACTTTTAACCTGAAGAATAATATTTTCTCCAGGTTTGCCTGTAGTTGTTTCCAATGCATTTTCACTGCAGGTTTTAGGACTATCATTGCCACCTTTGAAATCTGTTTACACAGATCGTGGTAAGTCTCATTCTCTCATGTTATGCATCAGCGTTCTTCATTAATTTAGGAAATTGTTTGTTCAACAAAAGCCTATATTATTTGATAATGGTCTCTGAATCCCCTGGATTATGGCAGGGATTTTACTTTGTAATAATCTCCCATGAGAACTGGCCAAACAGCTGTGAAGGCAAGAGAGAGCTACAAGAGGCAATCATATTTTTCAAAGCAGGGCAACAAGAGAGTGAAGCTGGTCAAAATGAATCTTTTCTGCATTTCGCTGGTAAGTTCCTTTATTTGCAGCATTTATGTTCTCATTTTAATTTTACTGTGTCAAAAGGAATGAAATTAGGATATATTCTAAACTTCTTATGTGATGATATTCATACACTTAGCATCTCAGAAAGTTCACATCACAAAGAACAGTGAGAAAGGATGCTTTCATTAAAGCACTTAAGCCAACTCTACTCAAAGACAAGTATTAAAAAGAGTTCTGCAACAATTACTATTATTTATCATTTTGATGTTGAATTTTTAAGTATAATGTTCTGGGAACAGTATTTTTGAGAAATAATTTTCTTCTATTTGTTATGAGACAAAATTTTGCAAAATATGCAGGCTTTGTGTTGCTTGCTTTGCTTTGAGACATCCCAGGAATCAAAATTTCTTCTTTGTTCCTTGAGTAATGAATTCCTTTCAATGCTGGCTTGGTTAAACTTCCATGGAGGTAGTTTTCTGAGTTGCACCACACTGTAAATGCAAGGTACAATAGATTAATCCAGTCCTGGAGATGTGCTTACTCAAGGGTATAAGCACCTCTCAAATTCGTTTTCACATTATTACTTTTTTTTCCTTAGCCTGAAGTGGATCAGTGAAAGTTATCAGGTAGTCATGGATCTGAAAATACTTTATAACTCTAACCTGCAATTGTGACCATCTGCCAATGCTTAAAAATGGATTTCAAAAATAATTTTATTCATTTCTGTGTTTACAGCAGGGCATTATGTCTATTCATTGGTTTTTCAAGATGTCGATGGGAGATCCCTCTCATTTGGGAAAGTAAGATGGCCTAGTTCTGATGTTTGTTTTCTTTCCTAATTGCACATAAGATTAACATAAGCAGTAGAGATGGTGCTGACATACGTTGTAATACCTAAACAGGAGGCATTTTAAGCCAAGATAAGGGGTTTAATCTTAGAGCATCTTGAAAAATAAAATGCAATTATGAGTTGTGGGAGGCTGAATCATCGAGTTCTTGTTGCCCATATAGTCCAATTTACAAAATAACTGCCAGCTCTCAACTTTGCTTTGTGCCGTATAAATCTGATGGCAGAAATCCCATTTCAGGTGATTTAAGTGGTATTGTGCATACTTTTCTAGTTGATCTAAAAGAGCTATATGTGGTTTATATGAATATACTTCCCATGGAAATAGGCAGTGTGGCACCAAAGACGATTGCTTTCTGAAATCATTTTGAATGGTAATATAATCAGTATGCTAATGTTTCTATAACATAGCATGGTTCAGCGTGGCGTGACATACGTTTGTAATGCTGCTGCTGAAGACATATAACCATATAATGAGCTTGATTGTCTTCCTCTGTGATATAGGGAAGGGAGCACTTACTTAAAAAGGATTGCCTCGAAGTCCTGACTCATGGACTCAATATGACTGTAACTCTTTTCTGTCTGTTAAAGTTGTCCTTAAGAAGTTACTTGTTCAGAAACATATTTCATTAGACGGAACCATCAAGAACCCTAGTCTTTTGTTGAATCATTGCAAAGTTTATGTTATCAAATTCAGTTGCTTTAATAAGAAAATGTGTATGAGGTACTTAAAAAATAAACATTATCTTAGGTGTTTTTTATTCCTTCTTGTGGAATAAATACATAACATAATTTAGTGTAGGTTCTCAACCACAGTGTTGTGACACCCTACTGTGCTGTTATAACCTTTGAAAAAGGGGTGGGGGTACAGCTTTTGCCAGGAACTTATGCAAAATCCAAAACATGTTTTATCCATGGCTGTAGGAATGTGAACATATGGGACACTGCATTTAAGAAAAGAGAATAAAAACCACTGGTTTAATGGAAAGATTCTTGAATTAAAAAAAATGAAGGTATATGTAAAAACACTGACCTTTAAATCTCTGGGAAGCAGGTGATTTTAAATATTATGTGTCACATAAAGATCACTGCTAAAGAAAGAATGAAAGAGTTAAACATCTTTTATTTAAGTGTAGGGGAAAATTGTAAATCTTTTAGTAAATGGGGTTTTTAAGAGAAACATAAAGGCAGAAACTTAATGAACTACCCATTCTGAACCAAGGATACTATAAATAATCCATTAAAGGTGATTGCTATTATTTTGGATCTATAAACTTGAAATGGGGTCTATCTTTCATAAGGGAGGCAGAAATATCCTTTTATACATGCCACTCTGACTCCACAATTTTTCTTAGAGTTTTACGTCATGATGAGGCTTTTAGAAAACTTGCTCATTTGAGGCACAGTGATTTTTCTTGTTGAGCTCATCATATAGTTATTGCATTTAACATGTCTTTGTAACCCATGAGGTTACAAATCAATTACTCCTGCACAATTTCTTCAATAATTTGAAATGCTGCCTCTGTCTTTATTTGGATTCTTTATTCTTTCCCATTGGTTCATTTCTATCCCTTTCATTTTACTTGTTCTTTTAAGCACTTATTAAAATATTAATAATTCTGCTGCCAAGTGAGTCTTATTCAGAAGAATACCCTGCTCCCCATTTGTCCTTCTTGAAAGTTTGGACTTCGTCTTTTTTCTATATAAACTTAGGTTCATATTGTCAAATTATATGAATACCTTTGATGGGATTTTGACTGAAATGAACTTGAATTTTAC
Organism: Homo sapiens; assembly: GCF_000001405.40. Taxonomy (NCBI): domain Eukaryota; kingdom Metazoa; phylum Chordata; class Mammalia; order Primates; family Hominidae; genus Homo; species Homo sapiens. The sequence goes on along the minus strand of NC_000021.9, from coordinate 14,656,145 downwards.
ACCATTTTTAGGGGAAATTGACTTCATTATGGTGCTAGGTCTTTTCATCCACAAACATAGATAACTCTTTATTCAATTCTTTCATAGCCTTCAATAATATTTTGTAATTTTCTCTATGATATCTTGCTTACCTTTTGATAATTTTATTGTTAGGCATCCAAGAATTTTGGATGCCATTGTGAATTTTTCTCCAAGTTTGTTGATGCTGATTTAGAGACACATTATTAGTATATTGATATCCAAATAAATAATTTTGCTGATCTTGAAGAATTCTGAGAGATACTCTGTGGTTTTCTCAGATTTTCTGTACAAATAATCTATAAAGTATTCCTTTCCTTAGCATTTATGTTATTCTCAACTTCTTTAGCTTCCATAATATTGACAAGTAGGAATGCTATGATATCAGCCATCCTACTCTTATTTCTAATGCTCATATAATTATTTATAATTCAGTCTTCATGAGGAAATTTTTTTTAAATAACTCTACTCAGGTTAAGGAAGTCCTGCCTTTTCCCAATTTGCTAAGATTTTGACGTGGGTAAACTTTAAAATTTTTCAAATGCCTTAAATATTTATTGAGATTAACTTCCTTTTAAATATTTTAATCTGTATCAAAATATTGAAGCATTCTTACATTTCTATATTAAACACTAATTGGTCTTAATGTAGTTTTATAGGTACTATTTGATTTTGTTGATATTTTATTTAGGATTTTAAAAACTATGTTAATACCTAAAATTGATCTGTTGTTTTCTTGCATTAATAGGAATATTCCATCATTTTCTTTTTCTAGAGTTTCTATTAGTAGTATTTTGTCATCTTTTAATATATCTTCTAACCTTTTACCTGTGTGTATCATGTTTTCTATTTATCCTTCTATGCTGCACCCTAAGTGAACTCAGCATTTTCTAATTCTCTCTTATGAAAGGTCTAGAGTTTAATTTTTGATTATTTAATATAAATTTCTGTGATTATTCATTTTCAAGACTTTGTAATTGTTCTTTGTTCCTATTTAATGATTTTTGTTTCATTTCTGTTTTGGTTTCATCATAAATTATTTCTTTAATATTACATTTTTATTTAGCTCTTTGGAGATTATATATATTCTTTCTTAAATTATCTCTCCATCTGTTTTATGATTTTAATTTCATCTGGAATTAAATGGTTTAATTTTCTGATTGTCAATTCAGTTGGCTCTCTTCCTCAGCATTTGATCTCTTCATGTGCTTTGGCTAATTTAGAATGACAACTCTTTTTCTTCTTCTCTCTCTCTTTCTCTCTTTCTTTCTTTCTTTCCTGGCTTCTTCGCCTTGCTTTATCTACTAGTGAGGCAAAAAATCTCATGTCTTCCTGATGCCCCAATTAAAAACCAGGGCTTACATTGGTGGTCCAGAGATCTTATTCCAAGCAGATATATGAACTATTACTAATCTAGACACTGAACTATTGGTAGCTTGTTTCATATTCTGTTTTGCTGGCCGTGTTGTTAAATTTTGCTTCTCTGGCCCATATCTTCTTGTAAGCAAGAGCCCTAGCAGCTGTTGGCAGAAGCTTTTTTCAGCCCTCTTTTATAGCAGTGGTTGCTACCATAGGCCCTGTATTTCCATCATGGAGTTTGCCTCATGTAGAGGACATCGATTGCATGCTACCCCTCAGGGTTTAAGATCTGTCCAATGCTGTCTGTTTTGGGATGGGAGCTTAATATGTCTAAAACTTTAGTTTCACTCACTACTTTGTATTTCTGTTAGGTTTCCCTACATGTTTACGTATTTTAGAGCACTCATGACTTACTTAGTTCTTAATAATTTTCCCAGTAGTTTGTAATGTGTTTGGAACAGGGGTTACTTAAAAGCGGAAACAGCAAATCATATTGGCCAAATGTTCTAAAGGTAGACAAGGCATCCAATCTTCACTTTACTTATATGTTAATATACCTAGAACTTTTCAATATGCTAAGTGTATACTGTCTACCTCTCTCTTTTAAGACTGCTTCTAGATGATGTCATAACTAGACTAATTATATCTTTTTAAAAAAGTCAATTTGATTAATAAATTTGCTTCCCAAATACAAAGAAGTTATAATACATTACACAATGATTTTAAATCCAAACTCATGCATTTTAAATTCATTTTTTCATACAAGGATAAAAATGAATAAATAATATTTTTATTATTAATGTTCTAAACATTAATATTAATTTCTTGACTGTACTTGTAAAATATTTTTGCTATTTCAAAGCATGCCTTGAATTTATTTTATCCTCATAGCTTCCTGCTGTGTGTGTGTGTGTGTGTTGCAATGTGTATCATTTGCCCTTGATGCTTTTTCATTCTTTCAAATTTTTAAAATTTTTGTAGGTACATAGTAGGTATATATATTTATGGAGTACATGAGATGATTTGATACAGACATGCAATGTGAAATAAGCACATCATGGAGAATGGGGTATCCATTCCCGCAAGCATTTATCCTTTGAGTTAAAAACATTCCACTTACACCCTTTAAATTATTTTAAAATGTACGATTAAGTTATTATTGACAATAGTCACCCTATTGTGCTATCAAATAGTAGCTCATATTCATTCTTTCTATTGCTTTGTACCCATTAACCATCCCCAGCTTCCTCCCAGAATGCCATTACTCTTCCTAGCCTCTGGTAACCATCCTTCTAATCTCAATGTACACAAGTTCAATTGTTTTGATTTTTAGATTCCACAGATAAGTGAGAACATGCGATGTTTGTCTTTCAGTGACTGAATTATTTCACTTACCATAATCATCTCCAGTTCTAATTATGTTGTTGCAAATGACTGGATTTCATTCTTTTTTGATGATTGAACCATACTCCATTGTGTATATGTACCATATTTTCTTTATCCATTCATCTGTTGATAGACACTTAGGTTGTGTCCAAATCTTAGCTATTGTAACAGTACTGCAACAAATTGGGAAGTATATACCCAGCAGTGAGATTGCTGGAGCATATGTTAGCTCAATTTTTTGTTTTTGGGGAACCTCCAAACTGTTCTCCATAGTGGTTGTACTAATTTATATTCCCGCCAACAGTGAAATAGGGTTCCTTTTTCTCCACATCTTCACCAGCATTTACTAGTGCCTGTGTTTTGGATATAAGGCATTTTTAACTATGGTGAGATAACATCTCATTGTAGTTTTGATTTGCATTTCTCTGATGATAAATGACGTTGAGCACTTTTTCACATGCCTGTTTGCCATTTGTATGTCCTCTTTTGGAAATGTCTATTCAAATTCTTTTGCCCATTTTTTGATCAGATTATTAGACTTTTTCCTATAGAGTTGTTTGAGTTCCATGTGTGTTCTGGTTATTAATCCCACGTCAGATGGATATTGTGCAAATGTTTTCTCCCATTCTGTGGGTTGTTTCTTCACTTTGTTGATTATATCTTTTTCTGTGCGGAAGCTTTTCAACATACGAGACGATTTGTTCAGTTTTGCTTTGGTTGCCTATAGTTGTGGGGAATTGCTCAAGAAATCCTTTCCCAGACCAATGTCTTGAAGATTTTCCCTAATGTTTTCTTCTAGTTTCATAGTTTGAAGTCTTAGATTTAAGTCTTGAATCCATTTTGATTTTATTTACATATATGGTGATAGATGGGGGCCTAATTTCATTCTTCTGCATTTGAATATTTAGTTTTTCCAGCACTATTTATTGAAGAGACTGTCTTTTCCCCAGTGTGTGTTCTTGACATCTTTGTCAAAAATGAGTTCACTGTAAGTGTGCTGATTTGTTACTGAGTTCTCTATTTTTTACATTGGTCTGTGTGTCTGTATTTATGCCAGCACCATTCTGTTTAGGTTACTATAGCTCTGTAGTCTAATTTGAAGTCAGGTAATGTGATTTCTCCAGTTTTGTTCTTTTTGCTTAGGATAGCTTTGGCTATTCTGTGTCTTTTGTGGTCCCATATAAATTTTAGGATTTTTTTTCCATTTCTGTGAAGAATGTCACTGGTATTTTTACTGAGGTTGCATTGAATCTGTAGTTTGCTTTGAGTAGAATGGACATTTTAACAAAATTGTCTTTCAATCCATGAACCTATATTATTTTTCAATAAATCTGTGAACATAAACTATTTTTCATTAAATATTTTCAAATTTTTTATGTCCTCCTCAATTGATTTCAGCAATATCTTATAGCTTTTATTATAGAGATCTTTCACTTTGGGATTTAATTTTATGTGTGGCTAGTGTAAATAGGATTACTTTTTAATTTCTTTTTTATATTGTTGCCTGTTCTCATAGAAATGCTACTGGTATTTTATGTTGAAATTGTATCCTGCAACGTTGCTAAATTTGTTTATTAGTTCTAACAGTTTTCCTGAGGAATTTTTAGGGTTTTCCAAATCATATCATATCATCTGCAAACAGGTATAATTTGACTTCTTCATTTCTAATTTGGATGCCATGTATATCTTTCCTTGTCTAATTTCTCTAGCTAGGACTTCCAGTACTATGTGGAATAACACTGGTGAGCCAGGTTATATTCCAGATCTTAGAGGAAAGGCTTTCATCTTTTCCCCAGTCAGTATGATACTAGCTGTGGGTCTATTGTATAAGGCTTTTATTATGTTGAGGTATGTTCCTTCTAGACTCAGTTTTTTTAGGTATTTTTTTATCATGAAGGAATGTCAAATTTTTTAAAATGATTTTTTAGTATAAATTGATATAATAATATTGTTTTTAAACTTCATTCTGTGGATATGATGTATCATACTGATTGATTTGAATATGTTGAACTATCTTTGCATCCCTGGGATAAATCTCACTTGGACGATGAATGATCTTTCTAATATATTGTTGTTGAATTTAGTTTGGTAGTATTTTGTTGAGGAGTTTTGCATTAATATTCATCAGAAATATTGGCCTGTAGTCTTCTTTTTTTTTTGATGTGTCTTTGTCTGGTTTTGGTATCACAGTAATATTGGCCTCATAGAATGAGTTTGGAAGCATTCCCCTCTCCTCCACTTTTTGGAATAGTTTGAGTAAGATTGGTATTAATTCTTCTTTAAAGGTTTGGTAGAATTCAGAAGTGAAGCTGTCAGGTTCTGGGCTTTTCTTTAGTGGGAGATTTCTTTTTTCATGGCTTTGATCTTGTAACTTGTTATTGGTCTTTTCAGGTTTTGGATTTCCTCTTGGTTCAATCTTGGTAGGTTGTATGCATCTAGGAATTCATCCATTTCTTCTAGATTTTTTAAATATATTGGTATATAGTTGCTCATAGTAGCCACTAATGATGCTTTGAGTTTCTGCATTATCAGTTGTAGTGTCTACTTTTTCTTTTCTGATTTTATTTATTTGGGCTTTATCTCTTTTTTTCAGTCTGTCTAAAAGTTTGTTAACTTTGTTTAACTTTTCAAAAAACAACCTTTTTTGTCATTAATCTTTTGTATTTTTTTAAACTTCAATTTCATTAATTTTGGCTCTGACCTTTATTATTTTGTTTCTTCTACTAATTTGGGGTTTGGTTTGCTCTTACTTTTCTAGTTCCTTAGGATGCATTGTTGGGTTGTTCATTTGCAGTTATTCATCTTTTTTGATGTAGTCATTTATTGCTATAAACTTCCCTCTTAGTACTGCCTTTGGTGTATCCCATAGGTTTTGGTATGTTGTGTTTCTGTTATCATTTCTTTCAAGAAATTTTCCAATTTCCTTCTTAATCTCTTCATTGACCACTGGTCACTCAGGAGCATATTGTTTAATTTCCATGTTGTATAGTTTCCAAAATTCCTATTCTTATTAGTTTCTGGTTTTATTCCATTGTGGTAAGAGAAGATGCTTGATATTATTTCAACTTATTTAATGTTTTAAGACTTTTTTGTTTTACATATGTTGTATTCTTGAGAATGATCCACTTTCTAGGGAAAAGAATGAGTATTCTGCAGCTTTTGGCTGAAATGTTCTGTAAATATCTATTAGATCAATTTACTCTATAGTGAAGATTCAGTCTGATGTTTCTTTGTTGATTTTCTGTCTGGAAGATCTTTTCTAAGCTGAAAATGGGATGTTAAAGTCTCTAGCTATTATTGTATTTGGTCCTATCCCTCTTTATCTCTAAAAATGTTTCCTTTATATGCCTGAGTACTCCAGTGTTGGGTGCATATATATATTCAAAATGTTTATATCATCTTGCTGAATTGATCCCTTTATCATTAAATAGTGACCTTCTTTGTCTCTTCTTATAGATTTTGTGTTGAAATCTATTTTATCTGATATAAGTTTAGTGACTTCTGTTCTTTTTTGGTTTTCATTGGCATAGAATATCTTTTTCCATCCCTTCATTTTCTCTCTTTCTGTGTGTGTGTGTGTGTGTGTGTGTGTGTGTGTGTGTGTGTGTGTTTTGAGACAGTGTCTCACTCCGTCACCCAGCCTGGAGTGCAGTGGTATGATCTTGGCTCACTGCAATGTCCGCCTCCTGGGTTCAAGAGATTCTCCTACCTCAGCCTCCTGAGTAGCTGGGATTACAGGTGTGTGCCATCACACCTGGCTAATTTTTGTATTTTTAGTAGACATGGGGTTTAACCAGGTTTTTCAGACTGGTCTGAAACTCGTGACCTCAGGTGATCCATCCACCTTGGCCTTTCAAAGTGCTGGGATCACAGATGTGACCCACTGCACCCAGCCAGTCTGTATGTGCTTTAATTAATTTATTTTTTTCATAACTTTTTTTAAAATTTTTTCTTTTATTGTTATACTTTAAGTTTTAGGGTACATGTGCACAATGTGCAGGTTAGTTACATATGTATACATGTGCCATGCTGGTGCGCTGCACCCACTAACTCGTCATCTAGCATTAGGTATATCTCCCAATGCTATCCCTCCCCCCCTCCCCCCACCCCACAACAGTCCCCAGAGTATGATGTTCCCCTTCCTGTGTCCATGTGATCTCATTGTGCAATTCCCACCTATGAGTGAGAATATGCTGTGTTGGGTTTTTTGTTCTTGTGATAGTTTTTACTGACAATGATGATTTCCAATTTCATCCATGTCCCTACAAAGGACATGAACTCATCCTTTTTTATGGCTGCATAGTATTCCATGGTGTATATGTGCCACATTTTCTTAATCCAGTCCATCATTGTTGGGCATTTGGGTTGGTTCCAAGTCTTTGCTATTGTGAATAATGCCGCAATAAACATACGTGTGCATGTGTCTTTATAGCAGCATGATTTATAGTCCTTTGGGTATATACCCAGTAATGGGATGGCTGGGTCAAATGGTATTTCTAGTTCTAGATCCCTGAGGAATCACCACACTGACTTCCACAATGGTTGAACTAGTTTACAGTCCCACCCACAGTGTAAAAGTGTTCCTATTTCTCCACATCCTCTCCAGCACCTGTTGTTTCCTGACTTTTTAATGATCGCCATTCTAACTGGTGTGAGATGGTATCTCATTGTGGTTTTGATTTGCATTTCTCTGATGGCCAGTGATGATGAGCATTTTTTCATGTGTTTTTTGGCTGCATAAATGTCTTCTTTTGAGAAGTGTCTGTTCATATCCTTTGCCCACTTTTTGATGGGGTTGTTTGTTTTATTCTTGTAAATTTGTTTGAGTTCATTGTAGATTCTGGATATTAGCCCTTTGTCAGATGAGTAGGTTGTGAAAATTTTCTCCCATTTTTTAGGTTGCCTGTTTACTCTGATGGTAGTTTCTTTTGCTGTGCAGAAGCTCTTTAGTTTAATTAGATCCCATTTGTCAATTTTGGCTTTTGTTGCCATTGCTTTTGGTGTTTTAGACATGAAGTCCTTGCCCATGCCTATGTTCTGAATGGTAATGCCTAGGTTTTCTTCTAGGGTTTTTATGGTTTTAGGTCTAACGTTTAAGTCTTTAATCCATCTTGAATTGATTTTTGGATAAGGTGTAAGGAAGGGATCCAGTTTCAGCTTTCTACATATGGCTAGCCAGTTTTCCCTTCATGCTAAAAACTCTCAATAAATTAGGTATTGATGGGATGTATTTCAAAATAATAAGAGCTATCTATGACAAACCCACAGCCAATATCATACTGAATGGGCAAAAACTGGAAGCATTCCCTTTGAAAACTGGCACAAGACAGGGATGCCCTCTCTCACCACTCCTATTCAACATAGTGTTGGAAGTTCTGGCCAGGGCAATTAGGCAGGAGAAGGAAATAAAGGGTATTCAATTAGGAAAAGAGGAAGTCAAATTGTCCCTGTTCGCAGACGACATGATTGTATATCTAGAAAACTCCATTGTCTCAGCCCAAAATCTCCTTAAGCTGATAAGCAACTTCAGCAAAGTCTCAGGATACAAAATCAATGTACAAAAATCACAAGCATTCTTATACACCAACAACAGACAAACAGAGAGCCAAATCATGAGTGAACTCCCATTCACAATTGCTTCAAAGAGAATAAAATACCTAGGAATCCAACTTACAAGGGATGTGAAGGACCTCTTCAAGGAGAACTACAAACCAATGCTCAAGGAAATAAAAGAGGACACAAACAAATGGAAGAACATTCCATGCTCATGGTTAGGAAGAATCAATATCGTGAAAATGGCCATACTGCCCAAGGTAATTTACAGATTTAATGCCATCCCCATCAAGCTACCAATGCCTTTCTTCACAGAATTGGAAAAAACTACTTTAAAGTTCATAGGGAACCAAAAAAGAGCCCACATTGCCAAGTCAATCCTAAGCCAAAAGAACAAAGCTGGAGGCATCACACTACCTGACTTCAAACTATACTACAAGGCTGCAGTAACCAAAACAGCATGGTACTGGTACCAAAACAGAGATATAGATCAATGGAACAGAACAGAGCCCTCAGAAATAATGTCGCATATCTACAACTATCTGATCTTTGACAAACCTGAGAAAAACAAGCAATGGGGAAAGGATTCCCTATTTAATAAATGGTGCTGGGAAAACTGGCTAGCCATATATATGTGCTTTTATAGTTGAAGTGTGTTTCTTGCAGGCAACAGATTGATGGGTTATGTTTTTTCATTCATGCAGCCAGTCTATGTCTTTTGATTGGAGATTTTAGTTCATTTACATTCAATGTTATTATTGATAATTAAGGACTTACTCTTGCCATTTATTACTTGTTTTCGGGTTGTTTTATGGTCTTATCTTCCTTCTTTCTCTCCTTCCTGTCTTTGTCTAGTGAAGGTGACTTTGTCTGGAGACATGGTTTAGTTTCTTGCTTTTTAATTCTTGTATATTCATTGTATGTTTTTTGGTTTGAGTTTACCATGAGGTTTGCAAATATTATGACTCATTATTTTAACCTGCTGACAACTTAACACTATTTGCACAAACAAACAAGCAAAAAGAAAACTAATTAAAACTCTATACATTAACTTTGTCTCCCTGCTTTTTAACTTTTCATTGCTTCTATTTATGTCTTATTGTACTGACAGTGTCTTGAAAAGCTGTTGTAGTTATTATCTTTCATTGGTTCATTCTTTAATCTTCCTACTTAAGATTATTTTACACACCACAGTTACAGTGTTATAATATTCTGTATATGTCTGTGTACTTACTATTACCAGTGAGTTTTGTACCTTCAGGTGATTATTTATTGCTCATTACTGTCCTTTTCTTTCTGATTGAAGTACTCCCTTTAGCATTTCTTATAGGACTGACCTGGCGTTCTTGAAATCCCTCAGCTTTTGTATGCCTGGGAAAGTCTTTATTTCTTTATGTTTGAAAGATATTTTCACCAGATACATTATTCTGGGGTAAAAATTATTTTCCTTAAGCACTTTAAATATGTCATGCTACTCTCTCCTGGCCTGTAAGGTTTCCACTGAAAAGTCTGTTGCCGGACATATAGGCGCTCAATTGTATGTTATTTGTTTCTTTTCTCTTGTGGCTTTTAGAATTCTTTCTTTATCCTTGATAGTTGGGATTTGATTATTAAATACCTTGAGGTAGTCTTCCTAGGGTTAAATCTGCTTGGTGTTCTATAACCTTCTTGTACTTGGCTACTGATATCTTTCTCTAGGTTTGGGAAGTTCTCTGTTATTATCCTTTTGAATAAACTTTCTATCCCTATCTCTTTATCTACGTCCTCTTTAAGGCCAATAACTCTTAGATTTGCCCTTTTGAGGCAATTTTCTAGATCCTGTAGTTGCGCTACGTTGTTTTTTGTTCTTTTTTCTTTTGTCTCCTCTGACTGTGTATTTTAAAATAGCTGTCTTTAGGCTCACTAATTCTTTCTTCTGCTTATACATTCTGCTATTAAAGGACTCTGATGCATTCTTCAGTGTGCCAATTGCATTTTTCAGTTCCAGGATTTCTGCTTGATTCTTTTTAATCATTTCAGTTTATTTGTTAATTTATTGGATAGAATTCTGAATTCCTTATCCGTGTTATTTTGAATTTCTTTTGAGTTTCCTCAACACATCTATTTCAAATTATCTGAAAGGTCACATATCTCTTTCTCCAGGATTGGTCCCTGGTGCCTTATTTAGTTTAGTTGGTGAGGTCCTGTTTTTCTGGATGGTGTTGATGCTAGTAGATGTTCTTCGGTGTGTGGGCATTAAGGAGTTAAGTATTTATTCTAGTCTTCACTGTCTTGGATTATTTGTAGCTGTCCCTCTTGAGGAGGCTTTCCAGATATTTGAAAGGACTTGTGTTTTGTAATCTAAGCTGTATCTGCTTTAGGGGATATCCCAAGCCCAGTAGCACTGTGGTTCTTGCAGACTCAAAGTACCTCATTGATGGTTTTCGACCAGATATGGGAGAACTCCCTGGATGACCAGTCAGAGACTCTTGTTCTCTTTTATTACTTTCTCCCAAACATACAGAGTCTCTCTCTGTGTTATGAGTTACTGAAAGCTGGAAGTGGAATGACACTGGCACCCCTGTGGCTACCACTGCTGTGACTGTGCTGGGTCAGACCTGAAGCCAGCACAACACTGGGTCTTGCCCAAGGCCTGCTGTAACCACTCCCTGGCTACTGCCTGTGTTCACTCAAAGCGCTCAGGCTCTACAGTCAGCAGGTGGCAAATCCTGTCATGCCTCTGTGCTTCCCTTCAGGGCACTGAAGGCCCCCAGGCCCTGGGTGAGTCCAGAAGTGCAGTCCAGGAGTCAGGGATTAGAGTCTAAAACATTAGAAGTCTACCTGGTGTTATTGTATTACAGCTGAGCTGGCACTCAAACCACACCAGCCTTCCCACTCTTCTCTCCAGTTTTTAAAGACAGAGGAGCCTCACTCTGTAGCCATACCACCCTAGGTACAAGGAGTACTGCTAGACTACCACAGATGCTCTCTTAAGGCCCAAGGTCTCTTAAGTCAGCTTTTTGTGAATGCTACCTGGCCTGGGATTTACCCTGCAGGGCACTGGACTCCCCTCTGGCCCAGGGCATGTCCAGAAATGCCATCCAAGCATACAGTCCTGGAATAAGAGATTACAAGAGCCCAGTCAGTGCTCTACCCCCATGTGGCTGTGCTGGTACCTAAAGTGCAAGATAAAGTCCCCTTTGCATTTCCCTCTGCTTTTCTCAAACAGAAGTTTTCCTCTGTAGCCACCACAGCTAGTAATGTGCTGAGTCTCATCTAAAGCCACTAAGTCTCAGAGGCTTTCCCAAGGCCCTTGATGTAGTACCTGGGTATCACTGCTGGCTATTCAGGGCCCAAGGGCTCTTCGGTTAGCAGGTAATGAATACTGCCAGGACTGAACCCTTTCCTTCAGGGCAGCGGTTTCCTTCTGGCCCAAGGTTGCCTAGAAATGTCATCTGGGAGCTAGGGCCCGGAAGGGGGGTACCTCATGACTCTTATCAGTGCCCTATTATGCTATGGCTGAGCTGGTACCCTCGATGCAAGACAAAGGCCTCCCTACACTTCCGTCTCTCCTCAAGCAGAAGGAAGGGGTCTCTTTTGGAGCCTCAAGATATGCAGCCTAGGGTTAGGGGCAGGGTGATGCCTGCACTCCCTTGGCTGCCCCAACCGGTGTCTCAGTGTGTTACATGCCCCCTCAGTCTACTGTCTCTGGGCTTAGTTCACACTGAGACACACATAGGAGTTGCAGTCCTTGTGTTCTAGACTGCCTTTCAAGTTTACTGGAGACACAGAGTGCTGCAGCCCTGGGCGGCAAGGTTTGCAGGCACTCAACCTTGGACCATTGGGATCAGAGATTCCCTTCTGGCCAGGGCTCGTTTAAATGCTCCCTCTATGGCTGGGCATCAGCTGAGTTTGGTCTGGGTTTTCTTTCTTCTCTAACAGGACAGCACTAAGTTCAATGCCGCACGATGGCTGTGTTCTCCCTTCCCCAGATCCCAGAGATGCTCTCCACACCAGGCCGCAGGTGCCACGGTAGGGGAGGAGTGGCGTCGGAGATTCGGGACTGTTTTTTCTATCTCTTCAGTGCCTCTTTTAGTGATTTGATGTTAAAACCAGGTACTATGAGTGCTCACCTGAATTTTGATTCTTATGAGGGTGTTGTTTTTCTGTGTAGATAGTTGTTAACTTGGTGTCCTTATTGTGGAGAAACGATCAGTGGAGCTTTCTATTCTGCCATCTTACTTCGCCTCCTCTGCCATTGAAACTGCTACTTTACAGTTGAGAAAGCTAAGTAGAGCAGACTGTATTTCTTATAAAGGGAGGTGGTACCAATTAGAGACATACATGTAACTCAAATCTGTAACCAACACAGTTTATTGGTGTCTCAAAAGGCATTTATTTAGTTTTTTGAGCTTAATGTCTTCAACATACCTCTTGAGGAATTCCCTCATTGTGTGCCTGCCTCTGCAACACTTAAACTCTTGTTTAAATTCTTGGCTCTGTAATAATGGTGGTAATAGTAATTCCTGGCTGTGTAATAATTCCTGGCTTTACTGTATTGTTCACTGTTGAAAGTTAGCATACTGTAAACTCTTAATCCCTATGCCCAGGATAATTTAAATAAAGTACTATATAAAGGTGGGTGTATAAATTAGGTACCTTTTAAAGGAAAATTATTATTCTGTTATTCCTTGACTCATAAATCTCTGTATTGCAGGAGGGCTCTATGGATAGCTTATATGAGCCAATCCCAGAGCAACAAGCTAACCAAGAAAACATGTCTAGTAGAACTGATTCTCCTATCCCACCCTTTGGAGAGAGTGAACAAACACCAAACAATCTCTTCGTGGTGAGTGAAGCATTGACTGGAGTGGATTTTTTTTTCTCTATTATAGTTCTAGAATCTCTTGCCTAATGATACTTATTAATACAGCAAAAATTCACTGTTCTCAGAAAGTTATTCCTTTTCCTTTAGTTTCTGCTTTTCTCTTTCTTGTTGTCTTTTTTATGATTTTGGCTTATTAATATGAACCACCATTTATTGAATGTGCACTAGATGATTATATAAGTTAACACAATCCTCAAAGCAACCTTATGACTATAAATAATTATATCATTTTCTAGATTTGGAAGTTGCGAGAAAGAAAGGCAAGATAAGATACTAAAGGCTATAAACTATTAAGTGTTAAAGTTGGCATTTAAACAGATACATATCTGAATCAGTAGTTTCTGGCAAATCAGGTGGTGGTTGTGAGGGAGACCTAGATTTATGCGTTTGTCAATTTCCACAGTGTAAATGCTCCACCATGGCCAATTTCAAGCTACCCATAGTTTAACTACAGGTTTGCAGTATCTGAATATTTAGTTAATAATTATCTCAAGTGCTGATTCTGACACATCACTGGCTGCTTTCAAAGTTTATGCTCTAACCACTGTAATAAACTGTTTCCTGAATTTATGGATACACACCATCATTTGTAAAAGGTAAGTGTTACAAACTGGCAAATGCAAATTGTTCTGTGAATTATCTTTAAAATTACTAGAGATAGAGTTCTCTGCATTATACAAAATTGTACCTGTCCCTGTTTAACAGTGCTGGCTATTCTAACTCTTGTGCAATTGATCTGTCTTTAAAATACAGTCAACCCTTGAACAACATGGGTTCAAGCTGTGCAGGTCCACTTATACACAGATTTTCTTTCGCCACAACTGCTCCTATTCCTCGTCCTCCTCAGCCTACTCAATGTGAAGATGACAGGAATAAAGACCTTTATGATGATCCACTTCCACTTACTGAATAATAAATGTATTTTCTCTTGCTCATGTTCTTATTAACATTTTCTTTTCTCTAGCTTACTTACTTGTAAGAACACAGTATATAATACATATAACATACAACATGTGTATCGATTGACTATTTATGTTATCAGTAAGTCTTCCAGTCAATAGTAGACTATTAGTAAAGTTTTTAGGGAGTCAAAAGTTATATGAAAATTTTGGACTACATGGGGTGTCAGCAACCCTAACCTCCATGTTGTTAAAGGGTCAACTATAATTTAATACATATAAACTTCTTTTACTTTTGTTGTGGCTTAGGACAATATAAACCAGCCTATGTCTACTACAGATAAAGAACTTCCATATACTTACAGATTTAGATGCCACTTCCTGTTCTTAAAATCACACTTTTCCTGATAACACAAAAAATAATAATGATCATTTATTCAGTGCCTTATTTTTGTAAGGTAATAGATGTATACATGAAATTATTTATGTTTATTCTCACAACAATTTTAGAGAGATTTAGAAATGTTGAAAAGGTTAAATAACTTGCCCACTCAAAGAGAGGATGCACCAGGATACAAACTCAGATCTTTTGTGCTTTAGAGAAAGGGTAACAACAAATTACTTTTAAGTTTTGCGCTTACCTTCACATATACCTATTTTGTTCTTTGGGTGCATTAAAAATGGCTTATTATCATAGCTTTCAAAGTTTTGGTTTTTTGAAAGCTTGGAGCAATTAGAAAGCAATGTTAGAAAGCAAGTTTAATAATAAGTCTCAGTAACATAAAAATAATACAAAAATATTTTTCAATGCAGTGGAAACTCTTCCCTTACCTTTACACCTTTTTTAATGTCTCTAAGATGTTGGTGTTGCTAGATATGCATAAGAGGGGGCAATAATATTTTGCACATATTAGTGTGAGAGATATAAACCATTCACATGGAGGCTGTCAATTGACAATGCAAATTGTTCATAAGCATTTTCACCCCACAATTAAAAAGAAAAATTGAATAGGCTGAAGAGCCTGAAGATATTTTTTTAAATGTCTCACACATTTAAGTAAATATGCATAAAAACCAAACCATTTCATGGCCAACTAGTCGACTAAAATTTTTTCAAACTTCATTTATATTGCAAAAGAAGACGAGAATGATAAAAACATGATTTAAATTGCTATAGCTCTGTCTTTCTCTGTAATTTCTCAGCATTTAATTAAAAATATATGTATACATACAAACATGTATGTATGTATACAGGCATACTGAAAAGTCAGTTCAACCCTCAATTTCACTTTTTAGTTGTTGAATTATGTCATTCCCATCAAAGTATTATTAATACTTATTATATTCCGAATGAAAATTATTTCACAGCTTAGATGAATAAAGTTAATTTTTTAAATAATTAAATCAAGGTATTTTAAGTACCTGCTTTCTTAGTATCCCCAGTTAATGGTTTGGAGCTTTCCTATATTTCTTTCTCAGCTTTTGAAGAATAGATTTTTTTCTTTTTCTCCTGGTATTGGCACTTCCTTCCCCCATCTTGATGTAAGGAAAAAAAGTTTCGGACCAGACTTAACAGTACCAGAAAAAAATATTATTCCATTTGGACTGGTTCCTCAGAAATACTCTGAAATCACCCTGAAATACTCTGAAAGCTAATGGAGTTATGGCTCAAGCTTCCAGTCCTCAATCCGGGTATTTGTAACCTTTCCAGAGAAGAGAGTTACTCCCAAAATCTCTAGAACCAAACTGACAATACAACTATTTGTTACGGAGGAAACTATAGCCCATAATAAAAATAATGTCAGTTGCCACATGAATTGAAAAAGGAAAATCAAAATGAGAGAAGAATCCTTGGCTTTTGGCTTCCCTTATGAAATATATTATTTATTCATACTTACTAGGAATTTCACCCTTTGGATATCACTGCTTTGAACATAGTGGGAGTTCCATAGATGAACATAAGATCATCAATATTCTCAAAGGAGATGATCCAGTGTAGTTCATATGTATAATTATGGGGTAGAGGCATTGAACAGAAAGAGGTTTATTTGGGGGTTTTAAATGAAGAATATCATACATCATCGTAAATGCCTAGTTTGTATTTTAATTGCACTTTCAGGAAGGTTGATAATGGATAGCTCGTCCAAAGAGAAACCAATTTAAGATATAGGACATTATTAAATGTTTAAAAGAGAAATAATAGGTGATCCACTTGCAGTATATTAGGAAAGGCATAAAGTATTGGAGGACAACGGCCAAAAACTAGCGGGAGTGAACAAGCATGCGGCTAAGTAAATGCGCTGAAAAAAAAACTAACATATTAGCCTAAGGACTGATCACTCCATAATGTTATTTTAAATGTAGCCTGTAACTGCTTGATTCTGTATCTATTTTAGTATCTCCTTATGTCTGAAGCTCACAAAGTATTTGAATTAGAAAAAGAGTGAGAATGCTATGGTTTGGATGTCTCTCCTAAAGTTCATGTGTTGGAAATTTAATCCCCAGTGCAATCATATTGACAGGTGGGACTTTTAAGAAGAGATTAATAGATCATGAAAGCTCTAATCTTACAAATGGATTAATGTCGTTATCATGAGAGTGAGTTTGTAATCAAGAGTGGGTTTGTTATAAAAGCCAAGTTTGGCCCTCTCTTGTTTTCTTTGTTTTGCCCTCTTTTGCCCTTTTGCTTTCTGCCATGGAGTGACACAGGAAGAAGGTCCTCACGAGATGTGGCCCCTCTGTCTTGGACTTCTCAGCTTCCAGAACTGTGAGCCAGTAAATTCCTGTTTGCTATAAATTACCCAGTCTCAGGTATTCTGTTACAGCAACACAAAACAGATTAAGACAGAGAACATAAAATGTTTGTATCTCTGCCAATTTGGGGCTAACTGGATCAAGCCTGAATTATCTGACTTGCTGTCTATATTGACTGAAGTAAGCAAATAATTGTCAATTTTCCACTTCATTTTGTATCTCATAAATTAATAGAAAACTTGAGCCTTTTAAAAAATGTGCTTAAATGTGGGTCAAAGGCATTGTTCCTATTATTCATATCTTCTGCATAGTGGTCATTCAATAAATATTTGTCAGCTAAATAAATGGATCAGTGAAGGTTCATTACTCAAGCTAAAGAAAGTCTTAATAATAATGGAGAGCCAATGATGCAGCGGATAAAATTGTCAGCTTTGGATTTGAGCAGTTGTGGATTCTCTTTCTAGCTCTGTCACTTAGAAGCTATATGACCTTGGAAAGTTGCTTCAAGTCTTGCAGTCTCTATTTCCTTACACTGTAGAACAAGGTGAATAATGTTCCGTATAAATTTGCCAAATTCAACTGTGGAAAACAGAATCTACTCTTGCTACTAGAAGCAGGCAGGATTTAGCATAGAAGTTAGAGAACGCTCAGAAGGGCTGATTTTCACTCTACAGTAGGGACTGAAAATCATAGCCTTAGGCAGCCCGTAATTGTATCATGCACGAGCTAAAAATAGCTTTTATATTTTTAAAAGTATATTTAAAAACAGAAACAAAAATAAAGGAGACAGTAGAATGCAATAGAAACTGTGTCTCACAAACCTAAAATATTTCTATCTGATTTTCACAGAAAAAGTTTGCTAACCCCTGCCCTAGAGCTACACTGTACAACCACAGGTGGCAATTGAGTACTTGAAAAGTGACTAGTCCAAATGCAGATGGACAATAAGTGTAAAATATATAATATGTTTTACAGACTTCATATAAAAAATGAGTAAAACATAGGTTATTAATAATTTTGTAATGATGATTTGATGAAGTGATAATATTTGATATATTTTAGGTAAAAAGGAAATTTTGCTCATTTCCTTTAACATGGCTACCGGATGTGGCCTCCACTTTCACATCCCACTTTCCAAATTTCACAAGGATTCGTATAATCTGCCAAGTCTAAATCATATCTGCTATCCAAGCTTTGCGGGAATGTATATAATGTGGTTTTTAGTCTTCTGGTTTTTGCAAAGAGAAAGACACACCAGAAGGTAGGTGGGGGAATGTTAAGGGGAAGTCTACTATGTCCACCACTCTCCCCTCCCAGGATCTTTAATCCTTATCATAATTGGTGTCACTACACTCAAACCAAAACACACACACACACAAACAGTGCCATCTCACCACTGGAACTCCTTTGCAGTGTACGTGAAGGATGGCTGGCTTTCAGAAGGTGGCTATCTTTTGTCTCTAGAGAATATAATTTGTGTTAAGCCGGCCCCAGGCACAGCTTTATGGTAACATTTAAAATGAGTTGGATATAACAACCCCTCTGCAATACTTGGGTCCTGTAAACTGTTAATAGATTAAGACCTTTTTTTTTTCAGTTAAGATACAGACTGATGACCAAAACAAGCAAGATTATTCAATCACATTATTTTAGAGAATAAATCACAAGGGAGTTGATACACAAAATCTTTGCTGCAACTTCTGGCAGTCATTCTCAATAGCAGCTGAATTGAAGGATTACCTGAAGACAAACAGATACCCAAACCCCATCTTGGACCTATTACATTGCTAAAAGACAATTACAGCAGTCCTGTCCATTAGAAATATAACGTGACTCACACATTTTAGTTATTCTAGTTGTCAAAATAAACTGTTTTAAAAAGAGAGACAGGTTAAATTAATTTTAATAACATATTGAATTAAGCCAATATAGCTAAAGTATTATCATTTCAACATGTAATCAGTATAAAATTAATGAGATTTTTGTATGCTTGTTTCTAAACTAACACTTTGAAATCTGATGTGTATTTTATAGTTAAGAGCACATTTCAGTTCGATGCTGAAACTTCAATGGTTTAAGTGCAATCAGTCCCAGCGAAAAAAATCTCACCTTTGGTTTTAAATTAAAATTAAAATTAAATTAAATTAAAATTCACTTCCTAAGTTGTATCAGCCACATATTAAGCACTCAATAGCCACTTGAGACTATGGATGGCTGCCATATTGGACAAGGTAGGATTGAAGGCTTGAAATTGCTGATGGCGCAGAGGCATAAAAGTAACCAGATAATATCAATTCTCCTCTTCACTTAGGGAAGTATAGATGTTAAAGTATAAAAATGTTTGATGATAGGCAATTAGTTATAAACTTTTTGAAAGAGCACAGATGTTAAAGTATAACAATACTTGATAATAAACAGTTATACACTTTTTTTTGTTTGTTTTTTTGAGACGGAATCTCGCTCTGTCGCCCAGGCTGGAGTGCAGTGGCAGGATCTTGGCTCACTGCAAGCTCCACCCCCAGGGTTCAAGCAATTCCACCCCCAACCCCGCCACCGCCTCAGCCTCCCGAGTAGCTGGGACTACAGGTGCGTGCCACCATGCCCAGCTAATTTTTTGTATTTTAATAGAGACAGGGTTTCACCATGTTGGCCAGGATGGTCTCAATCTCCTGATCTTGTTACCTCGTGATCCGCCTGCCTCGACCTCCTAAAGTGCTGGTATTACAAGCTTGAGCCACCATGCCTGGCCAGTTATATCCTTAGAGATAAAATTATAGGAAACACATCCATTTACCAATGAGGAAGATGAGATTAGTGACTTGACTGCAGTGACAGATGGAGTCTAGGCTGGAGTTCTGGATCCCAAGTAGTAGTCCTGTTTTTTGGTCTCTCTGCCACAAGTGTGTGCGGTGGCAGTGGGGTGAGGAGTTATGTGCATGCACGTGTACACAAGAGTGAGAGAGATTAAGAGGGGTTGATTAGAAGAGTGTCTTTTTGGGAGATGAGAAGTGAGGAAGAGGGAACGATGGTAGGAAAAATAACCCAACCTTATAATACATGTGCTAAATATGTTCTGATATCTAGAGAACACAGTGAAAAGAACTTGAGATGGGTGAATAGACTTACATTTTATTTCTGCTCTCAGACTGGGAACGGTGTCTTTGGGAATGTGATTGAATTTCTCTGACCCTAAGTTTTCTGAGCAATAGAATATGAATAAAAATTTATGTCTCTTGCAGAAATCCAAAACACTGCATGTTCTCACTCATAGGTGGGAATTAAACAATGAGAACACTTGGACACAGGGCAGGGAACATCACACACCAGGGCCTGTTGTGGGGTGGGGGACTGGGGGAGGGATAGCATTAGGAGAAATACCAAATGTAAATGATGAGCTGATGGGTGCAGCAAACCAACATGGCACATGTATACAACGTTGTGCACATGTACCCTAGAACTTGAAGTATAATAATAATAATAATAATAAATTCTGTCTCTTGGTTTGCAGCGAGCATCAAATGTTGTTGTAACCCTCTTTAAGCACCTGGCATGGTGCATGTTAATGATCATTGCCTTTCCTTCTGCAAACCACCACACCCGGGCAGAGTAATCTTTTAATTTAGTATCCTTGATTAAATGACTTTAAGTCAAACTCTCACTTAATCTTGGATGTTATTTTAAAATAACTGCTTAAAATAATTTGCAATCAATGCTTCTTATCTAAAAGTATTGATTTTTACTGGACAAGAAGAAGCAACAGGATTTACTGTTGATGCGCATTAGAAAACCCAAGATTTTAATCTCCACAAATTGCCTCAGACACCTAGGTATAGTGGAGTGTTTGACAACTCAGCCTTAGATTTCCCACCAAATGTAGACAGCTGTAAACAAGAACATCTATTATAGTGGTATTTTTTCACCTACTAATTCATATTTCAGGGTTTTCTTTTCCTTTTAAATTTTTTTCACTTTAAGTTCTGGGATACATGTGCAGGACATGCAGGGTTGTTACATAGGTATATGCGTGTCATGGTGTTTTGCAGCACCTATCAACCCATCATCTAAGTTTTAAGCCCCGCATACATTAGGTGTTTGTCCTAATGCTATCCCTCCCCTCGTCATTGCCCCCTAACAGTCCCTGGTGTGTGTTGTTCCCCTCCCTGTGTCCATGTGTTCTCATTGTTCAACTCCCACTTATGAGTGAGAACATGTGATGTTTGGTCTTCTGTTCCTGTGTTAGTTTGCTGAGGATAATGGCTTCCAGCTTCACCCATGTCCCTGCAAAGGACATGATCTCATTCCTCTTTATGGCCACATAGTATTTCATGGTGTATATGTACCACATTTTCTTTTCCAGTCTATCATTGATGGACATTTAGGTTGGTTCCATGTCTTTGCTATTGTGAATAGTGCTGTAATAAACGTAAGTGTCCATGTATCTTTATAACAGAATGATTTATATTCCTTTGGGTATATACCCAGTAACGGGATATATGGGTCAAATTGTATTTCCGGGTCAAATGGTATTTCTGGTTCCAGATCCTTGAGGTATCACCACACTGTCTTCCACAGTGGATGAACTGATTCACATTCCCACTAACAGTGTAAAAACCTTTCTATTTCTCCACATCCTCGCCAGCATCTGTTTTTTCTTGACTTTTTAATAATCACCATCTGACTGGTGTGAGATGGTATCTCATTGTGGTTTTGATTTGCATTTCTCTAATGATCAGTGATGTTGAGCCTTTCTTCATGTTTGTTGGCTGCATAAATGTCTTCTTTTGAGAAGTATCTGTTCATCTCCTTTGCCTACTTTTTGATGGGGCTGTTTATTTTTTTTTCTTGGAAATTTGTTTAAGTTCCTTGTAAATTCTGGATACTAGACCTTTGTCACATGGTAGATTGCAAAAATTTTCTCCCATTCTGTAGATTGCCTGTTCATTCTGATGATAGTTTCTTTTTCTGTGCAGAAGCTCTTTAGTTTAATTAGATCCCATTTGTCAATTTTAGCTTTTGTTGCAATTGCTTTTGGTGATTTCATCGTAAAATCTTTTCCTGTACCTACGTCCTGAATGGTATTGCCTACGTTTTCTTCTAGGGTTTTTTTTATAGTTTTGGGTTTTAAATTTAAGTCTTTAATCCATCTTGAGTTAATTTTTGTATAAGGTATAAGGAAGGGGTCCAGTTTCAGTTTTCTGCATATGGCTAGCCAGTTTTCCCAGCACCGTTTGTAAAATAGGGATAATGATAATAATAAAATTAAATATTTTAAAAATCAAGTTTAATTTTTTATACACTTACTCATCAGCATTTTGTACTGATAAAAAGCACTGGAAAAATCCATTAAATTATTCCCAGCTACTAGATATTAATGAGAAAGTAATATAGCAGATTCAAGCATAGTTTTAAAGACAAACAATATGATATGTGTCCAACAGTTGGTTAGAGCTCAGCACTAATGAGGCCAAGGTCAGGAGTTAATCCCCTCATGGCTAGTTAGTTTTGTTCTATTTCATAGCCAAAGGCAGCATCCATGACCTCAGATAGCTGACTTGGATATGCACGCTATTGACCATTAGGGAGTCTCGGCTGAAGGATAGAGGGCACCAGCACAAAACCATTGCCCATTATGGGAAGAACAACTGAAGGGTAGAACTACCCTGCTCCATTTGTCCATGAAGATTTTCCTCTACTATAATCATATTAGGCCACCAGGCATAATTCTCCACTTTCAACTTGGGATAACTTATCAGACAATAGTAAGAGCATTAAAATGGAAAACTGAGTTCTCCTTCTGGCTTGGTTCCTAAATAGAACTTGATTAAGTCATTACCCAATCCAGAACCCAGTTTTTACCTCTATAAACTAACAGAGTTAGACCAGATGTTTTTTAAGGCCCCATGCTGCACTAAAATGGCTCCATAAATACATTTAAGATTTTTCTGGAGTGGAGCGTTGTCCAACATTAAACTCTATTACTTTCCTTTTGGTAGTGCAGAAGGCAAAATTTTAAAAGGACCTCAGTGAACACCACTGTATTAATCAGGGTTCTCTAGAGAAACAGAAGTAATAGGGTGTGCATGGTGTCTGTGTGTGTGTATGTGTGTGTGTGTAGAGAGAGAGAGAGAGAGAGCAACATCTAGACTGGTGTTTCACTAAATATCTGGGTACTGTGGCCTAGCCATGTTGACACATAAAATAAATTAACCATAACATCTGACTTTTGGTATTTATGTCCTTGTGTAATCTTCATCCTTGCATGTTACTTGATTCCAATAGAGTAGGGCAAAGGTGACAGGAAGTCACTTTTGTGATTAGGGTACAAAAGACGGGCTAGCAGACTGCCTCTGTTGCCTTCTTGTTTTGCACACTATAATGAAGCCAGATTCCATGTGGAAGAGACCTGCATGATAAGGAACTAGGAAAGGCATTCAGTCTATAGCCAACAATAAAGTAAGGCCTCCAGCCCAACAGCCTTCAGGAAATTGAATGCTGCCAACAATCACTGAGTAAAATTAAAGGAGAATCCTTTCCCTAGCTGAACCTTCAGATGAAACCTTAAACCTTTGGGCCCACAGTTGATTACAATCCTGTGAGTGACCATGGAACAGAGAACCCATCTAAGTCAGGCCCATATTCTTAACCCACAGAAACTCTGAGATAATAAACATGTATTTTTTAAGCCATTAAATTTGGGAGTAATTTGTTGCACAATTTACTGTTGCACAATAAATAATACACAATTATTTGTATTACAATATTATTTGTATTACAATTATACAAATAATTATACAAATACAATTATGCAAATGCAATTATTTGTATTACAATTATACAAATAATACACAATTATTTGTATAAATTTGTGCACAATTTATTGTTGCACAATACATAACTAATACGGGAACTAAAATTAATGTGACAAGATACTGATCAGGGTTATTTGCAGATATACAAATGAATGCTAGTCAATTTAAGCAGAAAGGAATATACTACAGGTTATAGAGAGCCCAGAATTATTGGGAACTCAAAACACATACTCTAAGTTTGCAGGGATTACACCGAGAAGGCACAGTATAAACCAGCCACCAAAGATTGCTGCTGCTTCTATCACAGTTAGGAAGTGGCCAAATCAAGCAGCTACTACCACAATGGCTGGATCCAGAACCACTCTCTCCACTGAAGTTTGTGACATTAAAAATAGATGCACACACCTTGCTGTTTCCCTGTGTTAGTCAGGTTTTGTATCAGTGTCTTAAGTTAGCATCTGTGATAGATGTGACCTAAACAGCATATCTTATTCTAGTAGCAAGAGAAGTTAGATGAGTTTTTTTCCTTCCCTTCCTTCCTTCCTTCCTTCCTTCTTCCTACTTCTCTTTTTTCTTCTCTTCCTCTTCTTATTCCTTCTTCTACACATTGATTTTCAGATCAATGAAAGACAGATGTCCACTTCAGCAAGAAAATATATATTCAAAATATCTAGAGAGTAACATAAGTAATGGTGATTAAATTCTGATTTATAAGTATCAAGCCTAACATCTGTAAGAATCCCCAGGAGGAATTCCTAAAAATAATGCAATACAGTAATTAGAAGCACAAAATTGGGGGGAGGAAGTCAAACAAACATTATAAAAATCCCATCTTGGGTGGGGCATGGTGGCTTACGCCTGTAATCCCAGCACTTTGGGAGGTGGAGGTGGGCAGATCACGAAGTCAGGAGTTTGAGACCAGTCTGGCCAATATGGTGAACCCTGTCTCTATTAAAAATACAAAAAATTGCCGGGTGTGGTGGTGGGCACCTGTAATCCCAGCTACTCGGAAGGCTGAGGCAGGAGAATCGCTTGAACCCAGAAAGCCTGGGTGATGGAGCAAGACTCTGTTTCAAAGAAAAAAACAAACAAACAAACAAATCCCACCTTGGACAAGTTCTTTAAACTCTTTAAGCCCTTGTTTCTTCTCCTATAAAATGAGAAAACTATTTGTTACCTCTTAATTATCAGGTGAGAATAAAAAGTGACAATGTATTTTATACTATTAGCAGGAAGTCTGGGACAAGGTAAATGATCAATAGCAGGTGTTAACTCTAAGTACATAACTGTGGTTCGTAGTTTAATGGTACAAGTCCCATGGAGAACATGAGATTTAAGCTTAGCTTAAAAAGGAAGAAATAGAGTTAAAAATGATGAAAGAGAGGTGTTTAAGATGTTGTCACTGCACAGTGTCCCAGAACCTTTCACAAAAGGTCTTAAAAAACCACTTAGAGTCTAGTGTCTTATAAATGGGTAAATGGACACATTGAAAGGTGACATGTCATCTTAGAATAGGTGAGTAATGGAGAAGTCAAAGTAGGTGACTCCCAAGTTGGTATTCTAACCACTTAACTGCATTTCTTACTTGGCTTAAACTATTAAAATTGAGAGTTTTTTGTTCTGTCTTATATTATCATCAACATTGACATAGCTATTAATAACATAGACACTAAAGGAAGAAAATGAGATTAACAATGGCATCCATCAGCTAGGTCTTCATCAAACTATGGACAAGAGGAGTCAATGTCAAAACAGTGCACGTAATCTTTTCCTTGACTTTGAGATTGTGTAATGACTCATAACAAGCCAATATGTAAAACACAGATTACGTTGACTAAAAAGACTGCACTTTTCTTTCATTTTTATTGTTTCCTGTTATATCTATGATTACATACAGCTGTTCTTCTGCCACCAATTCACATATGAACACCTTTTGGTAGTTTTAATTGGTTTCGTCCCGTAAATAGAGACTTATGTTAAAATAAAATGAAATCAATAGATGAAGGTTAATTGTGCTCTGTTCTTTTTTTTATTTCCTAGGCTTACAGGAGAACTACTAATTGAATCTGATGAAAGCCATGGTTATCTCTTTAATCATCTCTAAAAAAAAAAAAAGCTGTAAAGCAAAAAAGCCCATTCCTACTTTAATTTTCTCTTAAAAGCATTTGTCATCACTACTGACATTGGACCGAACTACTATAGATCAGGAAGCATGGATTGTTTCTACAGAAAGGGATTTTAAAGTTCCTGTTCATCAGCCTTCGTTTTATACATGGACACCTGATTGAGCTGTGGGTGGGTTCCTGGGTCTTGTCCAGTTTAGTAGCAGCCCTGGGAGAGCAAGCCAGGTTCTGGGGTACCAGTTCAGTGCTTTTCCATTGCAAAGATGGAATTTGACATTTTTACCCATCGGATTTCCTATCACATTTTTTTGCAAGTTTGCTTGGCTTGCTCTTGTTTCATTTGTGGCTATGAAGATTAAAGAAGATAATAAGTGGCAGGAAACATGGCACTTAATAAACATTAGTTGTTCTTTCCCTTTCTAAAACCTTGTGTAAATATAATTTTATAAATCACATTTAAGGACACTTAAGAGACCTCTGTTTTAAGACATCTGGAAGGGAATCTTTTTGCAAAGGAGGAATCTTTTATAATGCAAATAACCATCCCCTAGGTAACCTGTTTTGCCATCCTGGATATTTATAGTGCTCTGAGAAGAGTTTGTTGCTTTAGGATTGATATAAAGCTCTCTTCGCACACTAGTAGACAAATGGCAAAGTTCGTGCAATTTACCAGCCCTCTTCCTGATGGATTATGGCCCCGTGCATTCTCCAGGCGCTATAAGCTACAGGACCTGCCCTGCGATGAGAGGCTGTGTGTGGATGCTGTACACCACCCTCTTAGAGAAAGCAGAATTCACTAGCTGTATGGGGTTGTTTCTTGAAGACAGGAGCTGGACAGGCTGGCAAGCAAGCCTTACTTTTCCCATCAGAAAGAGCTGATTGTAGCTTTTCCTTCTTCATTTTATTCTCACAGGAGGATAAAATCTGTTTTCCCTGAGAACCATAACATTATTACAGTAATATGCTGAGGGGGCTCTCTAATGCACAGACTGTCATCTAAATTCATTGGTTCCTGAAGTGTCCGCTTTTAATTAACTGTGCTGTCATAAATTGCTGGGCATTCTTTGATGATGATGATGGCAGCTACAAAATAATTAATACCTTTAAAACACATCAGTGTGCTGTTTACACACTTGTCTTCAAATAGTACTAAATTATTAGTATTAGGGCTTGAAGAAGGGTGTTCTTTCTGAGTTATTTAGTAGTGACATGTGGTATTACATTTCTCTGCATTTTTGTAGCTAATCTCCCTTCTGGCTAATAGTGCTTCTTTGTGAAATTTCTGACCTAGATGATCAGTAGATTTTGGATCTATGCCGTCAAGCATAGAAGTAGTATCAGGTAGTAGTGAAGACACCACGCACAAAACCCTAGTTTTATCACTTACTAGTTGTGTGAGCTTAGGCAAGAATGTTGACTGCTCTGTGCCTCTGTTTACCCATCTATAAATTTACCTATAAATTGAGGTTAATTGTAATAGTATCAACCCTACAGATTGTTGTGAGGATTAAATTAATTACTACACAAAAAGCATTTAGAACTATGCTTGATACTGTATGTATTCCACCGTTATTATTCTGCAAATGTGTAAAATCAAGAAATCACAAAAAGGATAGGATTTTATCCTTGTCATTCTTAGTAACTTGCTTTTTAACTGACTGGGCTCTGACATTTACCAACATTCCCCTTTGCCAAAGTGATCTCATTCATAACTTGGGAGACTTTTCTGTCACTGGAATTTTTCCATTCATTTGCAATCAGGTATGGAGGAAGGCAGTAGGACTTTTTCACATTTGTGATGACTTGTTACCAGTCACATAAATCTTCTCGTTTTGAAAATACAGTTGGTAGCTCAATATATATTTTTTCATCTCTCTGATTGCCTTAGATACACTGAAAAATTAGTCTATGAACTTTTTCTTTTTTTAATTTTAAAATTGTTTTATTTTATTATTTCATATTTTAGTTGACACAATAATTGTACATATTTGGGGAGTATACAGTGGTATTTCAATATATATCATGTATAGTGATCAGATCAGAGTAAGTAGCACGTCCATCATCTCAAATATCATTTCTTTGGGTTGGTAACACTCAACATCCTTATTTTAGCTATTTGAAACTATAATATATTATTGTTAATCATCCTATAGTTCTATGGAACACTAGAAGTTATTCTTTCTATCCAGCATAATTTGTAACCTTTAATGAAATGATTTTAATCTCCTATCCCATTGATTGGATGCTGTTGTGTTTCATCGTGTATATTTGTCTTTGTTTTAATTGATATTTTTAAGTCTTATTGCAGAAATTTCTTTCTATTACTATAAAAATAATTTCAGCTCCTGGTACCATCCTGTCTATTGCTGGACTAGAGCAAACTTTGTCTCACTTTTTGGGTGAGGATATTCAACATGGAAGGAGAAATGGTGCTCCCCAGACAAGGGAGAAGTCTCAGGAACACAAACCCCTTTTCTGTATCACATTTCCTAGAATCACTTATCCTCGTAGTTAACTCCCAAAATGCTTCCTTTAGCCTTAAGAAGATAATATGAAATAGCTTTCTATTAATTATGCCCTGAGAAGCTCGCAGCATCATTTTACTTTTTTTTGTTTTTGATTTGATGTTAGTGTATCCTCATATTTGTTAAAAATTTTAGTTCAATTTAGTACATTTATTGAGCATTCATGCTGTGCATGACAATGCTCACTGCTACTAGGGGGATCTCTTTCCTCACAAAACCCTGTTGATATTGGCCATGGGCCTCCAGACAATTTGTAGAACCACCTTTCAAAGTACAAGTATGTGTGAGAATAGTCTTCCTAACAGCCTTCAATTCTAGATCAGTTTGGAGTCAGATCAAGTCACACTCTGAGTGCTTCCATCTTGAGCATATCTAAATTGAGGCAAGGATGGAGAGTATTCAGAGAACAAGAGAGTCCTTTTGTTTTCCAGGAGTCTATGAGGAAGTAAAATTTGGTGAAAAATTTTGGAAGACTAAATGTTTATATGACTTTTATTGGGGTATATGCATTTATGCACCTAACATTAGCTCCAAGTCTTATCAAGCTCTCCTGGTGTTTATATTGCTTTTTTTTTCATTATACTTTAAGTTCTAGGGTACATGTGCACAACGTGCAGGTTTGTTACATATGTATACATGTGCCATATTGGTGTGCTGCACCCATTAACTCATCATTTACATTAGGTATATCTCCTAATGCTATCCCTTCCCCCTACCCCCACCCCATGACAGGCCCCAGTGTGTGATGTTCCTCACCCTGTGTCCATGTGTTCTCATTGTTCAATTCCCACCTATGAGTGAGAACATGCAGTGTTTGGTTTTTTCTCTTTGTGATAGTTAGCTGAGAATGATGGTTTCCAGCTTCATTCATGTCCCTACAAAGGACATGAACTCATCATTTTTTATGGCTGCATAGTATTCCATGGTGTATATGTGCCATATT
This sequence comes from Homo sapiens, assembly GCF_000001405.40. NCBI lineage: Eukaryota > Metazoa > Chordata > Mammalia > Primates > Hominidae > Homo > Homo sapiens. The sequence continues at coordinate 14,626,909 of NC_000021.9, read as the reverse complement.
TTCTTAATCCAGTCTATCATTGATGGACATTTGGGTTGGTTCCAAGTCTTTGCTATTGTGAATAGTGCCACAATAAACATACGTGTGCATGTGTCTTTATAGCAGCATGATTTATAATCCTTTGGGTATATACCCAGTAATGGGATGGCTGGCTCAAATGGAATTTCTAGTTCTAGATCCCTGAGGAATCGCCACACTGTCTTCCACAATGGTTGAACTAGTTTACAGTCCCACCAACAGTGTAAAAGTGTTCCTATTTCTCCACATCCTCTACAGCCCCTGTTGTTTCCTGACTTTTTAATGATCACCATTCTAACTGGTGTGAGATGGTATCTCATTGTGGTTTTGATTTGCATTTCTCTGATGGCCAGTGATGAGCATTTTTTCATGTGTCTTTTGGCTGCATAAATGTCTTCTTTTGAGAAGTGTCTGTTCATATCCTTTGTTCACTTTTTGATGGGGTTGTTTGTTTCTTTCTTGTAAGTTTGTTTGAGTTCTTTGTAGATTCTGGATATTAGCCCTTTGTCAGATGAGTAGATTGCAAAAATTTTCTCCCACTCTATAGGTTGCCTGTTCACTCTGATGGTAGTTTCTTTTGCTGTGCAAAAGCTCTTTAGTTTAATTAGATCCCAGTTGTCAATTTTGGCTTTTGTTGCCATTGCTTTTGGTATTTTAGACATGAAGTCCTTGCCCATGCCTATGTCCTGAATGGTAATGCCTAGGTTTTCTTCTAGGGTTTTTATGGTTTTAGGTCTGACATGTAAGTCTTTAATCCATCTTGAAGTAATTTTTGTATAAGGTGTAAAGAAGGGATCCAGTTTCAACTTTCTACATATGACTAGCCAGTATTCCCAGCACCATTTATTAAATAGGGAATCCTCTCCCCATTGCTTGTTTTTGTCAGGTTTGTCAAAGATCAGTTGATTGTAGATGTGTGTTATTATTTCAGAGGTCTCAGTTCTGTTCCATTGGTCTATATCTCTGTTTTAGTACCAGTACCATGCTGTTTTGGTTACTGTAGCCTTGTAGTATAGTTTGAAGTCAGGTAGCGTGATGCCTCCAGCTTTGTTCTTTTGGCTTAGGATTGTCCTGGCAATGCAGGCTCTTGTTTGGTTCCATATGAACTTTAAAGTAGTTTTTTCCAATTCTGTGAAGAAAGTCATTGGTAGCTTGATGGGGATGGCATTGAATCTGTAAATTACTTTGGGCAGTGTGGCCATTTTCACAATACTGATTCTTCCTATCCATGAGCATGGAATTATCTTCCACTTGTTTATGTCCTCTTTTATCTCATTGAGCAGTGGTTTGCAGTTCTCCTTGAAGAGGTCTTTCACATCCCTGGTAAGTTGGATTCCTAGGTATTTTGTTCTCTTTGAAGCAATTGTGAATGGGAGTTCACTCATGATTTGGCTCTCTGTTTGTCTGTTATTAGTGTATAAGAATGCTTGTGATTTTTGTACATTGATTTTGTATCCTGAGACTTGGCTGAAGTTGCTTATCAGCTTAAGGAGATTTAGGGCTGAGACTATGGGGCTTTCTAAATATACAATCATGTCATCTGCAAACAGGGACAATTTGACTTCCTCTTTTCCTAATTGAATACCCTGTATTTCTTTCTCCTGCTTGATTGCCCTGGCCAGAACTTCCAACGCTATGTTGAATAGGAGTGGTGAAAGAGGGCATCCCTGTCTTGTGCCAGTTTTCAAAGGGAATGCGTCCAGTTTTTGCCCATTCAGTATGATATTGGCTGTGGGTTTGTCATAGATAGCTCTTATTATTTTGAGATACATCCCATCAATACCTAATTTATTGAGAGTTTTTAGCATGAAGGGCAGTTGAATCTTGTCAAAGGCCTTTTCTGCATCTATTGAGGTAATCATGTGGTTTTTGTCGTTGGTTCTGTTTATATGCTGGATTATGTTTATTGACTCATGTATGTTGAACCAGCCTTGCATCCCAGGGACAAAGCCCACTTGATCATGGTGGATAAGCTTTTTGATGGGCTACTGGATTCGGTTTGCCACTATTTTATTGAGGATTTTTACATCGATGTTCATCAAGGATATTGGTCTAAAATTCTCTTTTTTGGTTGTGTCTCTTCCCGGCTTTGGTATCAGGATGATGCTGGCCTCATAAAATGAGTTAGGGAGGATTCCCTCTTTTTCTGTTGATTGGAATAGTTTCAGAAGGAATGGTACCAGCTCCTCCTTTTACCTCTGTTAGTATTTGGCTGTGAATCCATCTGGTCCTGGACTTTTTTTGGTTGGTAGGCTATTAATTATGGCCTCAATTTCAGAGCCTGTGATTGGTCTATTCAGGGATTCACATTCTTCCTGGTTTAGTCTTGGGAGGGTGTATGTGTCCAGGAATTTATCCATTTCTTCTAGATTTTGTAGTTTATTTGCGTAGAGGTGTTTATAGTATTCTCTGATGGTAGTTTGTATTACTGTGGGATTGGTGATGATATCCCCTTTATCATTTCTTATTGTGTCTATTTTATTCTTCTCTCTTTTCTTCTTTATTAGTCTTGCTACCAGTCTATCAATTTTGTTGATCTTTTCAAAAAAACAGCTCCTGCATTCATTGATTTTTTGAAGGGTTTTTTGTGTCTCTATCTCCTTCAGTTCTGCTCTGATCTTAGTTATTTCTTGCCTTCTGCTAGCTTTTGAATGTGTTTGCTCTTGATTCTCTAGTTCTTTTAATTGTGGTGTTAGGGTGTTGATTTTAGATCTTCCCTGCTTTCTCTTGTGGGCATTTAGTGCTATAAATTTCCCTCTATACATTTCTTTAAATGTGTCCCAGAGATTCTGGTATGTTGTGTCTTTGTTCTCATTGGTTTCAAAGAACATCTTTCTTTTTGCCTTCATTTCGTTGTGTACCCAGTAGTCATTCAAGAGCAGGTTGTTCAGTTTCCATGTAGTTGAGCAGTTTTGAGTGAGTTTCTTAATCCTGAGTTCTAGTTTGATTGCTCTGTGGTCTGAGAGACAGTTTGTTATAATTTCTTTTCTTTTACATTTGCTGAGGAGTGCTTTACTTCTAACTATGTGGTCAGTTTTGGAATAGGTGTGGTGTGGTGCTGAAAAGAATGTATATTCTGTTGAATTGGGGTGGAGAGTTCTGTAGATGTCTATTAGGCCCGCTTGGTGCAGAGCTGAGTTCAATTCCTGGATATCCTTGTGAACTTTCCATCTTGTTGATCTGTCTAATGTTGACAGTGAGGTGTTAAAGTCTCCCATTATTATTGTGTGGGAGTCTAAGTCTCCTTGTAGGTCTCTAAGGACTTGCTTTATGAATCTGGGTGCTTCTGTTTTGGGTCCATATATATTTAGGATAGTTAGTTCTTCTTGTTGAATTGATCCCTTTACTATTATGTAATGGTCTTCTTTGTCTCTTTCGATCTTTGTTGGCTTAAAGTCTGTTTTATCAGAGACTAGGATTGCAACCCCTGCCTTTTTTTGTTTTCCATTTTCTTGGTAGATCTTCTTCCATCCCTTTATTTTGAGCCTATGTGTGTCTCTGCACGTGAGATGGGTCTCCTGAATACAGCACACTGACGCTGATGGGTCTTGACTCTTTATCCAATTTGCCAGTCTGTGTCTTTTAATTGGAGCATTTAACCCATTTACATTTAAGGTTAATATTGTTATGTGTGAATTTGATCCTGCCATTATGATGTTAGCTGTTTATTTTTCTCGTTAGTTGATGCAGTTTCTTCCTAGCATTGATGGTCTTTACAATTTGTCATGTTTTTGCAGTGGCTGGTACTGGTTGTTCCTTTCCATGTTTAGTGCTTCCTTAGGAGCTCTTGTAGGGCAGGCCTGGTGGTGACAAATTCTCTCAGCATTTGCTTGTCTGTAAAGGATTTTATTTCTCCTTCACTTATAAAGCTTGGTTTGACTGGATATGAAATTCTGGGTTGAAAATTCTTTTCTTTAAGAATGTTGAATATTGGCCCCCACTCTCTTCTGGCTTGTGGAGTTTCTGCTGAGAGGTCCGCTGTTAGTCAGATGGGCTTCCCTTTGTGGGTAACCTGACTTTTCTCTCTGGCTGCCCTTAACATTTTTTCCTTCATTTCAACTTTGGTGAATCTGACAATTATGTGTCTTGGAGTTGCTCTTCTCAAGGAGTATCTTTGTGGCATTCTCTGTATTTCCTGAATTTGAATGTTGGCCTGCCTTGCTAGGTTGGGGAAGTTCTCCTTGATAATATCCTGCAGAGTGTTTTCCAACTTGGTTCCATTCTCCCCGTCACTTTCAGGTACACCAATCAGATGTAGATTTGGTCTTTTCACATAGTCCCATAATTCTTAGAGGCTGTTCATTTCTTTTTACTCTTTTTTGTCTAAACTTCTCTTCTCATTTCATTTCATTCATTTGATCTTCAATCACTGATATCCTTTCTTCCTGTTGATTGAATTGGCTACTGAAACTTGTGGATTCGTCACGTAGTTCTTGTACCATGGTTTTCAGCTCCATCAGGTCATTTAAGGACTTCTCTACACTGGTTATTCTAGTTAGCCATTCGTCTAATCTTTTCCCAAGCTTTTTAGCTTCTTTGCGGTGGGTTCAAACTTCTTCCTTTAGCTCGGAGAAGTTTGATCATCTGAAGCCTTCTTCTCTCAACTTGTCAAAGTCATTGTCCATCCAGCTTTGTTCCATTGCTGGCGAGGAGCTGCATTCCTTTGGAGGAGGAGAGGCACTCTGGTTTTTAGAATTTTCAGCTTTTCTGCTGTTTTTACCCCATCTTTGTGGTTTTATCTACCTTTGGTCTTTGATGATGGTGATGTACAGATGGGGTTTTGGTGTGGATGTCCTTTCTGTTTGTTAGTTTTCCTTCTAGCAGTCAGGACCCTCAGCTGCAGGTATGTTGGTGTTTGCTGGAGGTCCACTCCAGACCCTGTTTGCCTGGGTATTAGCAGCAGAGGCTGCAGAACAGAGAACATTGCTGAACAGCAAATGTTGCTGCCTGATCTTTCCTCTGGAAGCTTCATCTCAGAGGGGTACCCAGCCATGTGGGGTGTCAGTCTGCCCGTACTGGGGTGTGCCTCCTAGTTAGGCTACTCGAGGGTCAGGGACCCCCTTGAGGGGGCAGTCTGTCCATTCTCAGATCTCTAACTCCATGCTGAGAGAACCACTACTCTCTTCAAAGCTGTCAGACAGGGACATTTAAGTCTGCAGAGGTTTCTGCTGCCTTTTGTTTGGCTATGCCCTGCTGCCAGAGGTGGAGTCTACAGAGGCAGGCAGGCCTCCTTGAGCTGCGGTGGGCTCCACCCAGTTGGAGCTTCCCAGCCACTTTGTTTATCTACTCAAGCCTCCCCCAGCCTCTCTGTGACCTTGCAGTTCGATCTCAGACTGCTGTGCTAGCAATGAGTGAGGCTCCATGGGCATGGGATCCTCTGAGCCAGGTGTGGGATATAATCTCCTGGAGTGCCGTTTGCTAAGACTGTTGGAAAAGTGCAGTATTAGGGTGGGAGTGACCCGATTTTCCAGGTGCCATCTGTCGCAGCTTCCCTTGGCTAGGAAAGAGGATTCCCTGGTCCCTTGTGCTTCCCAGGTGAGGCGATGCCTTGTCCTGCTTCGGCTCACACTCAGTGGGCTGCACCCACTGTCTGACAAGCCCCTGTGAGATGAACCCAGTACCTCAGATGGAAATGCAGAAATCACCCGTCTTCTGTGTCACTCATGCTGGGAGCTGTAGACTGGAGCTGTTCCTATTCGGCCATCTTGGAACCACCCTGTCTATTACCTTTGAAGTTTCATAATCATCCTCTTTGCTACATGTCTACTGGAATTTTAAAAATAAACTGTCATGTCTTCTTTGAAAATCTGTAGGAAATTTGTTGAAACATAGGAAGCCAAGAAATATCCAGAAACATACTTATTCAGTTTGCGTGTGGCATTTTTGGAATCACTGTATTTTAATATTAATATAACCATTTTAGTTATGCAAGTGAACAATCTTCATTTTTGCAAGAGAATGAATTAAACAAAATAGAAATTGAATTAGCTTATTTTAATAGGAATTTATATGTGTGTTATACATATTTACATATGTGTTTGTACCCATGTTCAATTCACTTCAAAATCAGAATTCTATCTAACTATTAATAAACAATGTATCTAATAAGAAATGTCATCTATATGTATCTCCAGTGTGTTTGACATCATGTAAGGATTTTATATAGGTTAACTCATTTAATCTTTAAAGCTAAAAAAATGGAATTCAATAGGATTCTGAGATCAACAGTCACTGGTGATAGATAATTGAAAGAAAGACTACTTGCAATTCTTTTTTGCATCTAAAACAATGAGGGGTACATGAAATGCTACCTTAAAATATCACACATTGGCATACTGAATGTATTAGATCATGTTCACACTGCTATAAAGAAATATCCAGAACTGGGCAATCTATAAAGGAAAGAGGTTTAATGGACTCATAGTCAAACCACTGTGAGGGAGGCCTCAGGAAACTTACAGTCATGACAGAAGGGGAAGTAGGCAGAATGTACCTTCTTCACATGGTGGCAGGAGAGAGTAGGAGGAACTGTTAACCACTTATGAAACCATCACATCTCGTAAGAACTCACTCAGTATCACGAGAACAGCATAGGGAAAACCACCCCCATGACCCAATTCCCTCCAAGTTCCTCCCTCAACACCTAGGGATTACAATTCAAGATGAGATTTGGGTGGGGACACAAAGCCTAACCATATCATTGACTATCTTGAAGTGAAGGAAATTAAGAAAACAGCAGAAGCAGGAAGATATCTCTGACTTTCTCTTGCCCCTTCTCTCCTAAAGTGGACCATAGAAACCGAAATTTCCATTGCCCCTTTCTCCCCTGAAACAGGCCATAGAATTATAATTCCCCCTCTCTCCTTCTACCCTGAAGCAGGCCATAAAATCTAAGAAGATCACTCTCTGAATTACTCTCCCCTTCTCCTCCTCTGAAGGCTCTCAAATGACAGGTATTCTGCTCTATACTCAGAGAAAAGGGATGTCACACAGAGACGCCAAGAGGAAGCTGAACAAACAGGCCTTTCTAAATTCCCTCCAGTTTATTACCATCAGATCATACCTTTTGTCTTCCAATCATATTTCTACACGGCAATTAAAAAAAATACACTTTTCTCTGAGTTTTAGGGACTTCATTTCTGAAGGTTTATGCCACATAAAACTTTTAATAAATAAGTGTGTATTATTTTATCTTGCTAATCTCTCTTTTGTTATAGGAATATCAGCCATGAACTTTGTGATAGGTGAGGAAATAAATCTTTTCTCCCCTACAACAGTGTCTGGTACATAGTAGATGTTCAATAAGTGTTTGTTGAATAAAATGTGAATGTAGAAATGAATGACTTGTGCAATTCCAAAAAAAATACATTAGAAATGTTTTAAATCCACCAGTATTTAGTTAAGGTAAAGCACTATATGCTTGATCGTAAATGAGTCCATTTATCATTTTGAGCCTCAATTTTTTCATTTTCAAGTCAAAGTTTGCATCAGCTCTACAGTCCTAAAAATTCACCATGGGATTTACATCATCAATTGCTGCCAATCAGTTTTCTCTGGTACAGAATCATCTTTCCCATTTCCATTAGCTAGGCAACAACAACTCCTGACATATTTACATTTTTCCTTTTGACTTTGTAATTTGAAAGTGAGGTTTACAAAGCAATAAAGCAAGAAACAGGCACATATTAGTCTGAATCCCAAAGGATAGTCATCTGTAACCTCTGCATGAGAATAGAAATATATTTGATATCTACAATTTATCTGTTCTTTTAAGGTACATCTTCTCTTTCTATTTTTTAAAACTTTGACCTAATTTTATATACGGAAGTGCTTTGCTGTTAGAGTCTACCCTCATTTACCTTAAAAATAACATAGCTTGGAAATGTTTCTTAGTTTCTGTTGGTTCATTTGTAATAATTTTTCTACATTTCATTTTTTATTTTCTAACAATTGCTAGGGAGAAAAATAAAATTAAGCCACACATTCCCTAGTGAATGAAAGGTAAGAAGAATTATTACTGCCTAACTTAGGGGATACTGAAGTGAAGGCTAACAGGAGTAAGTTTTACCCAGCATTCATGGCAAATGTCAAATTAAAGGACTAGACATTTTTTCACTGAAATAACTCTCCAAAGTGGTATCTTTCTTTTGGAATTCAGAGTAGAACACACACACACACACACGCGCGTGCGCGCGCGCGCACACACACACACACACACACACACACACACACACATACACAGCTGTGGTTCTAAAAATAAAAGTGTATGTAGTCTTTCTTTGACTTGCCCCTCTAGGAATAAAGTACCCAGGGTGTGAACTCCAATATACGTGACAGTCTGCTTATGTAAGCAGCAGTCAGAATTGAAAGTCATTTACATTTTCCACAGCTGCTTTGAGTCTGGTATAAGCAGTACTAAAAATTGCTTAACCAGTTCAGTAGTAATCTACAACTAGGCAACACCGAGGGAATAGACCTATTATTCTAATTAAGTAGATGTTGGCCTGTTTAAGTAATCCCTCTTCCTCATATAATCACACTCCAGACCCACATTTAATGTGCCTGACTCTCCCTACCCTTGTAGGAAGCAGGTTGCCTAAGGAGAAATACATTAACTCTTTCATCTTAATAGAGATTAAAAAGAAGTTTCAGCTCAATTTTTTGCCCAAAATATTCATTACAAGAAAGTCTTTTAACAAAATTTCCCAAACCTAAACTGATTCATCATGAGGAAAAATTGGATGACCCCAATTCCAGTAAAACCAGAACAAAGTGGATAGTCCCTAGAGAATATTGTGACAACATACATAGTAAAAGTAACCAATCTCTATTTGTGGTCTTAGGAAATTACTTTAATCTCAGTCCAGATGTCTCCAAACTTCAAACCGGAAGCTAATTATGTTCCTTTCACCACAATCAGCTGTTACAAGTGTTTAAGCTTTGTGTGGGTCCCATACCTAATTGTATTAACAAAAGCTTCACCCAGGTGATACAGGAGACTATGTTTGCGTAATACATCTTCTTTCCAAATTCAAACTCTCTTGCTCGATTGCATATAAATTTTGTGAGCCATCTGGAATTAATCTCTTTGATAGCAAAGGCAGAGGAATCCTGATATAAGAAGTTGGTTCCAAAATACTGTGACTTGAATAATTAAAAATTAAAAGGTATCGAATGTTTCCCATATTCCTTATTGCAAATCTTGTCTATTTTCACAAAAGGTAGACTATTTTGAAGACGGCAACATTCATAATCCCAAGAGATTTACCTAAACCCATACGACAAACTAATGAGACTCAGGATGATGGATTTTGACTATTGAGACATATTTGGTCCCGATTGCATAGACTGTGGAACATGGAGCTTGCTTGTTCTTTCCTAGTGAGTTCCAAATACACATAACAGAAAAACACTACTATAAAGATGGATGGCCATCCTCTTTCCTCATGATTGTCACAAAGCTTGTTAAATGTGAGTGGCTACTGATTGTGGGGCAAGGAACACAATTAGCTTCTAATCTGAGGTTTGGAAAGATCTGGCCCAAGACCTAAACAATTTCAGAAAAAGACCTTGAATAGAGATTGCATACTTTTAGGGCACAGGATGACAAAGCATAGAGAATGGAAGGAGTGGTCCATCTGACCACTAACTCCTCAAAGGCCTGCTGATATCCTCACTCACATTAGGGCTTAATTCATGCTTCCCACATCCTTACTTACAACCCCCATCCACCACCTCTTCCCTACAAGCAATGTCCTATGGGTCATGCACAAGTATTTCAAACTTGGTAATATGTGCTCCTCGAGTTCAGGGACTGACTGTTTCAGTGTGTGGGGTTTTAGCAACGTTCTGCTCAACCACTAGGAAAATAAAAAATTCAAATTGTCCTCTGCAGTTAAAAATCTTGATACAAACAAAATAAAGATTAGATAAATGGCCCCTTCGATCACTATCTTGGGGAAAGGTTATCCTGGATTTCACTGTGCCCAGGCTGTTACTATTAACGACCTGAATAATAGAATCAAACTTCCTTTTTCTGGTTTCCATTCACCTTTCCTTTTAGCCTTAGCATTTGTGTTTTTCCCCCTCAAAAGTGGAATATTCGTTGCAATTTTCTTTAGTATGTAAATTCCTACCATGCCAAACAAATGAACCTCTCCAGAACACAATCGGTTGCCTTTCATGTAGATATTCAGTAAATGTTTTTTAAATGGAGGAGTAGGTGAATAATAAAGACAGAATCTGAAGAGCTTTTAAAGGTGTCTAGGGCAGTTTAAGCTGTTTCAAGGATGGTGAAAAATGTGACAAATTCTTTCCCCAAAAGTGTAAGGGATTTTACACAATGGTCACTTGATCTGAAGAAAAATGTCAGATGAATCACAGATGTATTTCAACACCCTGAGGGTATTGTGATAGGCTACTTTCCATTTTTCTCAAATGAAGGCACTCTATGATACAACTAACACACCCAGGTATGTGTCTCTCTCCTTGGTTTTGGTGGATTGATGGAGGGACAGAGGTTTAGATAATGAGGATTTAATTGGATGTTTTAATTTAAAAGACCTGTTGTTTTTTTTTAAACTGGCAAGGGCTTAAAATAAGATATAAGCCCTCGTTAATAAAGGAAATATCCTACCTTTCTCAAAGTTACAAAGACAAAAGGGAAAAAAAAGTTAAAATGTGAGCCAAACTTCTGTGACACATTACTAAAATACAACAGGGGACATATCAGTCTTTTTCACTAGGGAAAAGACAAAAGGAACTACGTTTGGATTATACTAGAAAATGAATGAATTCTCTTTCAGATCTCTTGATATAGTTTTGTCTTATTTTATGTTATTTATTTTATTTTATTCATTTTATTTTATTTTACAGGGAGTTTCTAATTTAGAGAATGCAAAACCAAAAAAGAGAAAGTAAGTCAAATTTACTTGGTAAACTTCATGTTCCCTTAGTTCTGTAATGTTGAATGTGAATTTTTAGTGGACTTCGTGCCAAAGTACTTTTTTTTTTTTTTTTTTTTTTTTTGCAGCTGTCATGTACAAATCTAGATGTGGATTGCTTTGCTATCATTTCTCTGTTTATGCTGATGCATGGGAAAGCTGTGTTGTGACATTCCAGTAGACAGGGATGTGCAAATTAAATTTTTCAGAAGAAACATGTGTCTAAACCAGGCCTAGATTAAAGTGGGAGCCTCCATAAAAACATATTTCTATCAGTGACCTATAAATCTTCTGAAGTATTTTTCTAATCCACATAAAAATGTGTTTGCAAAGAGTTTCAGGTTATTTAGGTCAGGCCTGGCTTTACATTCAGCACATCCAGCTGCCAGAGGACATGACATACACATGTTGCATAAGGTAATGGGATTTTAATTGATAAGCACGAATTACACATGGGCAGGAAGCCGGTTTATGGGGAAATTTTCAGATTGGTTGCCGAGGATACAGAAGAATGGCTTCCTTGCACCCTGGATTGGTCTGAGGCCAATTGTAAATTATGTGATGTTCTCTCTGGGTGTCCTCTTTCTCAAAAGCTCTTGTGCTTTTTCATATTCTTTCCTTTTTTTTTCTTTTTTATTCCCCCTGCTTAAAGCTTTCTCCCAGTTAAAAATATAAAACACATCCATAGTAAGTAGGTAATTGGGTGATTAACAGCTTAGGGACCTGTCAGGCTGGTGTAGTTGTATTTTAGTTACAATTAACTATTTAAACTACAACACTGGCATTTGAAGCACGAGGTGGAGTAAAGAAGGGGCTTTGGCTGGGCCTTTCTCAGCCTTATCGCCATGTATGTGAGGCTGTTTTTCTGACCATGAATAAGAAATTCACTAATTCCAAGGAACGTACTTAAACAAAATAGTAGCCGTTTGCTTATGATTGATGCTTCCGCAGAATATAGGCTACCAAAACATAGATGACAGAAGGAGGATTGAATTAAAGGGAAAGTGTCTGATGATGACCAATTTACAATTTTTCAAACATAAACCAGATCAGTTAAGGTGGGCCTCAGATTTCAAGCAATTAAAATAAAATTGAAGACTCCTTTGAGTTCCTTAATTTCTTTTTTTTGGCCTACCACTCTCCTGATGGAAATGATGTCTCATGTTATTATACACCTACATCACTTTACAGTATTATAAACAGCTTTATTTGTTTGGAATTCTTGCTATATGCCAAGAGATGTCCTAAGCATTTTGCATTAAAAATTAAAAACAAAAGATTAAGAAAAAGGAAACCTTATATATGCATGTTTTTGCTTACAATTTTGAGCTTAAAAAGGGTCACCTTCGTTTTAATTTAATTACTATCAAGAATATGTATCTGTGCTGCCGAAGCGAGCACATGACTATCAAGAATATGAATGTGGGAAACACTTAAGCTGTAACAGTTAGTGATGAGATATGTGTGTTTACCCACACACATGAATTGATTAGCAGTCAAGTCAGCATAGTCCTATCCTCTGCTTCTGTTTCAAAACATTTTGTTATGGAAATTTTCAATCATACATAGGGGAAGAGTTAATGATAAACTCATATCACCAAACTTAAACAAGGATCAACCTATAGTCAATTTTATTTCTACCCATTCTACTACCTCAACTGCATCCCCACTGTTTTTGTATTAATAAAGCAGATGCCAGACACATAATTTCATGCTTCAGTGTATGTTATTAAAAAATAAGAATTATTTTTTAAAAAGCATAATCACAATACCATTACTGCACTAGAACAAAACAAGACAAATGACATTAAATTGCCAAATATACAGTCACTATTACAATATTTCTGACAGACTCAAATGCTTTTTCAGAGTTGGTTTATTTAAATCAGGATCCAAAAAGCTCAGCTGGATTCAGTTCAGGTCTCTTAATTTATGTCTTTTCATTTATTTGTTGAAGAAACTGGAGTCTGTGTCCTGAAGAATTTCCCAGATTTTTGAATTTTGCTGATTGAATCCTTGTGTTTTTTTAAGCATGTTTTTCTCTACTGTATGTTTCCTGTAAACTTTTAGTTAAATCTCAAAGTGTGATAAGATTCAAATATATATAAAGTATGAAAAGGTTCAAATATGTATATTTATATATATATTTAAAAGTTGGTCTTCAGTGACTGCATACTTTCTGTTTTGTTGTATTGTAAGCTTTACGTCTACTCTCATTGTTATTCACTTACCTCACTTTACAATATTATAAATAGCTTTATTTGTTTGGAATGCTTGCTATGTGCCAAGAGATGTCCTAACCATTTTGCATTAAAAAATGAAAAGGAAACAAAAAATTAACAAAAAGGAAACCTTATCTATGCATGTTTTTGCTCACAATTTTGAGTTTGAAAAAATGGTAAACTCAGTTTTAATTTAATGACAATAAAGAATATCAATAGTAGAAAACACTTAAGCTATAACAATGTTAGTTATGAGATATGTGTGTGTTCACCCACACACATGAATTGATTAGCATGATCATATTTTTTTGACAGTGATATTGCTCAGTGGGCTCAGATGGTATCACATGGATCCACTGGCATAAAGTTGCCCATCAGCCTTTCAATTAGGCTTTATCAATAATTGATGATTATTTTCCAGATCTTTTATTTTATTAGAGATTGCATAATGGTTATATACAATTTACATCATTCTTTCTGTATTTATTGACATATTTATTTGCAAAAGCACTTCCCCCCTAGTAACTATTTGGTTATCCTGAGATACCTTCACGTAAAAAGACTTACTATTTTTTTCAGGTCTTATGAATATCAGTTTCTCCATATTGCATAGAAATTTACAGACCCAAATTGTACTTGTATTTACTGTAATTTGCCACCTAGGGTTAGGAAAATTCAAGACCATAGGTAGACCTCGGTTAGAGGTAGAATTTATTTCTGTTCCCAAAGTGTTGCACATATTCTAATTTCTGTTTGATTAAAATGTTATTTATTAAATCTAGACTTAAATATCTTTTTCTTTTATTCTTCCAGGTTATTCCGGAGATTTATGTCTGAAAATAAAATATTTGGTTAGTGATTCCTAAGGTTACAAGTGTAAACGATGTATTCTGTCTCCCCACAAGTTCTTTTCTCCTGCTCCTGCCACAAAGCAACAAAACTGATTAATGAAAGTCAAATTGAGTTGTCTTTGAATTATATAGAAGAACATTTTTTAAAAGTGGCTTCATTCTAACTTTAAATGGCTATGACAAAGAAATCATTGATTTATTTGCAATATTTTCCGTTTATATTTAAACAGAATAATCCTCTTTGGTAGTTCATTGGCTGCTCATCTTCCAGCTCTCCATGTGTAGCTTGGCTGCTCCGTGGTCAAGGTGACTTGTTAGAGATCATTTTAGATCTGTGAATCTAGGAGACAATAAAAAATTAGCAGAAAGTGGTTTCATTATAAAAGTCTCTTCTACAACATTTCACACACCAAATCTTCTCTTTAGTTTCTGTGATAGCATTCATAGTAATAATACATGCAATCAGTTTGGTTTGTACCTTAATTCTAAAGTAAAAATCGATTTCTATTCATTATTTTTAGAAAATTAATAGATTATCTCTCTTTTTACTTTACAGCAAATAGGGAGTCAGTAATTATAAAACATTCACAATGTGAAACATCTGGATCATCCAGTCAATAATTTTATTTATTTAGTTATTTTTAAGACGGAGTCTCACTCTGTTGCCGGGCTGGAAATGCAATGGTGCAATCTTGGCTCACTGCCACCTCTGCCTCCCGGGTTCAAGCAATTCCCCTGCCTCAGCCCCCAGAGTAGCTGGGACTACAGGCGCGTGCCATCACACCCAGCTAATTTTTTGTATTTTTAGTAGAGACAGGTTTCACTGTGTTGGCCAGGATGGTCTCGATCTCTTGACCTCGTGATCCGCCTGCCTCGACCTCTCAAAGTGCTGGGATTACAGGTGTGAGCCACCATGCCTGGCCTCAATAATTTTTTTTAATGTAGTGTGCCAAACTTATGGGTACCCTTTTCCCTTTCCTTCTCCCCAGCAGAGGAGTCAGGTGCTCATACTCATTTCATTCTTTTTTAAAAACCAATTTCCTGGTAAGATCTGAAAAGCTCATTCTGACTAAAGTGATACCCCACAATGGGTACAACTTTGAAGGATATCTGCGTTTTAATCAGGTTTCAATTCTCCCAGCAGTAGCATCTATAGGCGCTGGATCCTATCAGGGTCCTGCAGTCACTCGTTGTTAAATATTTTGAATATCAGCCCTAATTTGAATAGTGCACAGTCTTAAATAAAAGGAAGCAAGGCAACATTTTATTTTTCATCTAGATCCATTCTCAGTCTATTCTGCATGCACATACAGTACAACCAATATTTCTATCCTAACACAGTTCTTGATGATCAACTGCCTTTTCTATAATCAAAACATATGAGCAAATAGTGACTTTAGAAACAACACAGCATGCTGAGTTTGTCTTCATGCTATGCATAGGTTGCATTATTCAACATTTGTGTTATCAATGCATGATACAACATGTAGAATGATTTATCTGTAGTAAGTAATTTAGAAGGGACTCCAATTTTCCATTTGGTGCAATTCATTTCTTCACATGTCCAGGCCCTGCTTTAGATGTTGGGAGGACAAAGCTGAGCAAATCATTTATATTCCATTCAAGGATCTTAGAGTTTCTTGAAACTATCACAGCCCAATGTTCTTTCTACACAATTAGTTTGTTAGAAATGATGGAGAATCTAGAGGGTAAGGATAGTTTAACCTTTTCAGGATGCATAAAAACAATTGACTATGACCCTGTCTCTACAAAAAAAAAAAAATGTGCCTATCCTGGTGGCACATGACTGTAGTTTCAGCTACTTGGGAAATTGAGGCAGGAGGATAGCTATGGCCCAGGAATTTGAGGCCACAATGAGCTATGATCACACCACTGTACTCCAACCTGGGCAACAGAGTAAGACGCTGTCTCAGAAAAGTAATAATAATTGGTTATGAATTCAAGAAAACTACAAAGAATAATGCAATCATAAGCTATCAAGAGACGTTAAAGTAACAGCATTCTATCATATATGGTGAAGTGCCTATGTAGTTCATGGGAATAAGTGGGTAGCCCACAGGATACCTGTTGTTGTCCATGAAGGACTAGAACTCCCTGATATGGGGGAACCCGCCACCGATAATTCAACGTGTGTTATTTTCTATTTGTCTAAGTGTCAGCCAGTCTGACAAATAAAGGGAAAGAGTACACAAGAGAGAAATTTTAAAGCTGGGTATCTGTGGGAGACATCACACGTCAGCAGGTTTTGTGATGCCCCCGAGCCACAAACCCAGCAGGTTTTTATTAGCAATTTTCAAAGAGGAGGGAGTGCACGAATAGGGTGTGGGTCACAGAGATCACATGCTTCAAGGGCGACAAAAGATCACAAGGCAGAAGTTAAGGGTGAAACTAGAATCACTAATGAACTTCCATGTCCTGATGTGCATGCATTGTCACGGTTCAAGAGCAGAGAACCAGTCTGACTAGAATTCACCAGGCTGGAATTTCCTAATCCTAGCAAGCCTGGGGGCACTGCAGGAGACTAGGGCATGTTTCATCCCTATCCATAGCTACATAAGGCAGACACTCCTAGGGTGGCCATTTTAGAGGCCCCGCCCTGGGAATGCGTTCTTTTCCCAGGGCTGTTAATTATTAATATTCCTTACTGGGGAAAGAATTCAGCGATATTTCTCTTATCCATTTTTGGTAATAAGAGAAATATGGCTCCATCATGCCCGGCCCACAGGCAGCCAGACTTTAAGGTTATCTCCCTTGTTCCCAGAAAATTGCTGTTATCCTGTTCTTAAGGTGCCCAGATTTGATATTGTTCAAACACACATGCTCTACAAACAATTTGTGCAGTTAACACAATCATCACAGGGTTCTGAGGCGACATACATCCTCACCTTATGAAGATGACAGGATTAAGAGATTAAAGTAAAGACAGGCATAGGAAATCACAAGAATATTGATTGGGGAAGTGATAAGTGTCTATGAAATCTTCACAATTTATGTTCAGAGATTGCAGTAAAGACAGGCCAGGTGTAAGAAATTATAAAAGTATTAATTTGGGGAACTAATAAATGTCCATGAAATCTTCACAATTTATGTTCTTCTGCCATGGCTTCAGCCGGTCCCTCCGTTCGGGGTCCCTGACTTCCTGCATCACCTAGAACTAGAGCTCTCTTAAGATACCACTTACCAAGTTGCAAATCCTGTGCTGAACTTGTTTTGATTTCAAATGTCTTATACTTACTGGACAAATGTTACTATGAATTCTGCTAACCAATTATCTGCTTCACTTTAGAAGGAAAAACTGTGAATGACAAAATCTGGCAGGAACACAGCAAGCATAAGAATGATTCCCACATCAGAAGGCCCTGTCAGCTAAAAGGTAATTGCTAAATTTAGTTCAGCTGACTTTGCATTTTCCCAAAGTAGTTTAAAGGGCAGGTAAGAAAAATTCACATCTTCCACCATGAAAATAAGCAGACCATTATGGTCTACTTAAAAAGGAAAACCAAATAAGATAGAATAGAATATGCATTATTATAAACTATTAATATATACATGTATACATATATATATGTGTATATATATCACATAGACACATGTACAGAAAGGAAGTGGAATCTGGTTAAGTTGCCTGCTGAAGCAAATAAGCAATTGAAAAGAAAACTGAAAGTTTTAATGTACAAAAAATTTGAAAATATATTAAAAATTAGAGCACGAGAAAACTCTCTAAAGATAACATTGATATGTTAATAGTTATGTTTAAGTCTTCTTAAAAAATTTAAGAGAAATAACCTTGATTATGAATATAAAATGGAGTCATTTTATAATGTAAAAATTTCCAGGAGAGCAAATTAGGAGTCAGGTATAGAATAACATATTAATAGTATGTAATTTCATAATTAAAAGTACTTAACTTTGGGAAGGCAAGTAATAAAACAGAAAGTCTTAAGAGTTTACAAAGATGAAAAACCGTATCAAAAGTTGATCTGCTTGGTATTCACCCCCAAGTGTTATTGGAATGAGAAAAAAATTGATTATTTTAGCTATTGATGATTCAAGAGTCTAGAAATTTCACCTGGGAGTGAAGAATGGATTGGGAACCTTAGGAGTTTGCCTAGTGCCCTATTCTACTGTGGCTGCAAGACAAAGTCCTTTCACTCTCCTGTGTCCTCTCCTTATGCAGAAGGAAGGAGTCTCTCCCGAGGCTGCAAGCTGTGCTGCCTGGGATTGGGAAAGGGGTGATGAAAGCATCCCTTTGGCCACTCCTGCTGATATCTTACTAGATCATGTGCACCTCAGTTCCACTGGCTTTGAGCCCAGCACAGCACCAGGAATTGCCCAGGAATTTCAGGCCCTGTTGTCTGGACTGCCTTTCAAGTTTACTTAGGACCCCAAAGTGCTTCAGCCCACTGTGGAGGGGCTAGTCAGAATGTGGGGGCAAGTCTATATGCTCCCCCTGTAGTGGACAGCTGAATTTTGCCCTGTGTTGCTTTCCACTGTGAGAAACAGCACTGAGGTCAATGCAAAGTCCCACAATAACTTTGCTCTCCCTTCCCCAAGCACAAATATTCTCTCTCAGCACCATGAGGATGCTACCAGGAGATAGAGGAGGAGGGTGGAGTCAGCAATCCAAAACCACCTTTCCTACTTTTTTTAGTGGCTCTTTCAAGGATATGATGTTAGAACCAGGTATTGTGATCACTCACCTCATTTTTAGTTACTTATGGAGGTGCTCTCTTGTGTGAATAGCCATTCAAGTTGGTATTCCTGTGAGAGGGATGATTACTGAGGGTTCTATTCAGCCACTTTGCTCCACTTCCCTCTCTATCATGTTTGGATTGGACTCTGTCTTTACCACATGGATGCCAGCTATATGCATCCACACCTTCAGTCAGTTAATCAAACATTTGTCTATCAGTTTCTCTATTCATCCGCCATTCCATTTATCTATTAATCCTTCTATAAGCACATGTTGTATTTTAGATTATTGTATGTTGATCTATGGATAAAGAAGGTATAATGGTGTTACAGATTATTTTAGATGTAAATTTTTCCATAAATTTCTTCAAGCATTCTATTTCCTAAAACTACCTTTCTCTTATGTATGTTTTTGTTTTGTTTTGTTAATTTGGGAATAATAGGCACGGAATTCTATTATAGCTACACTGAAAAAGCAGCAAAGAATCCTGACCTTAGATGAGTTACTTCTGGTTGCTTTGTCAGAGAAGGAAGAAAGAAAGGCTTTACAGAATTTTTCCCAGCTTTGATATTTCTCAGGGTCTTGAGTGACCATGCATGTTCAGCGAGTGCGTGTGCATGTGTGTGTCCAAGAACCTCAGCAGACATTTCAGTAGTAGCAGTTGAGTCACTGGACATTTCCTAGAAATTAATGCCATGCTAGGAAGAGTTGATGGCCAGAGACCAAGGCTGTCTGTAACATTATAAATTGAAGGGAGAAATTCAAGACCACAAGTTGTAGGCTCAAATTTTATGGGTATAGTGGTTTCATTTGGAAGGCTCAGAGTATTTCTAAGTAATTAGTGACCTATGTATCAACCTAAAATATTTCTTTCTCATTTTAAACACTCCTTTTTAGCTGTTAATTGCATAACTACTTAAGAGTAGTTTCCTGTGCCTGAGGATAGGCAGTCTGTGGAGTTCAGTGAGATAAAGATAGGAAAGTACATCATTGCTGTCATCCACAACCCACATGATTTTATTAGATACTAATGAAATTGTAAAGATGGCTTCAATAAAATAGAAGAAAATATATAGGGAAATAAACTGTAGGAGTGACATTAACTCCTAAGCAATCTTATAAAATTCAAGGCCAAAAAAAGTAATTTTCCTCAATTTCAATTTCAAAATGATATTTCTACATTAACACATTATATTAATAGCATTTCAGCCCTAAAGAGTATTGGGACCTGATGAAAAAATTCCATAGGCTATATTTAGCTAAGATTTCTGTCTGATGTATTAATCCATAGCTCAACAACATGACTGTACTATATAGGTTAAGACCAAATTTATCAGAATAAGCTGAGTTCCAGATGCAAAATATTTTTAGTTTATCTAGTCCATTTCCTTCTTCTAAGGAGATTTTTATCTAAGCCTACATCTGTTCTATTAAAAGAGACTACATCTGTAAAATAATGTAGAATAAATTGAATGCTTAGGACTTTACAACTAAAAAATTGGCATAGCTTAGGTGTGAGGAGAAATTAATCTATAATTCAGGTTAATTGTTAAATTTTCAGCATCATAGATAGGAAGAATATTTATAATATTTATTTTAGTAAGTTAAAGTCCATTTTAAAATATTTAAATTTATTTTGACTTGAGTTTATAAAAAAGAATTGAGAAGAACAAACTTTTGAATCTGTGAATTGGAGTTTACCTAAGATTAAGTTATGATTTAATTAAAGATAATTTCAAGAACAGAGTTTTCATATTTTATACCAGAAAGTACAAAGAATAAAAATAAATCAACATTTAAAAAATAATAAAAAGGAAACAAAACATATTTGGAGATTCAGAAATTTTTCAATCAATCAGTGTAACTGTGACAGACTATTCCACAAGAAAAAGCTGGGGAAAAATGGCATATGTTAGTAAGGGAAGTGAGGGACCAGACAAAGTCAGAAAACAATGTTAGTAATAAGAGAAACATTAACTTCATCTATACTGCTGCAAACTTACTTTAAAAATAAATCTTCTTGACCGGGCGCAGTGGTTCACGCCTGTAATCCCAGCACTTTGGGCAGCCGAGGCGGGCGGATCATGAGGTCAGGAGATCAAGACCATCCTGGCTAACACAGTGAAACCCCGTCTCTACAAAAATACAAAAAATTAGCCGGGCGTGGTGGCGGGCGCCTGTAGTCCCAGCTACTAGGGAGGCTGAGGAAGGAGAATGGCGTGAACCTGGGAGGCGGAGCTTGCAGTGAACCCAGATCGCGCCACTGCACTCCAGCCTGGGCGACAGAGTGAGACTCCATCTCAAAAAAATAAATAAATAAATAAATAAATAAATAAATAAATAAATAAATAAATCTTCTTTACATATGGCTTAATGAGATTAATTATAAAAGGAGGAACCCAGTGGGAAAGAAGAGGTGTTCTTAAGGCCTTCTACTCTAGTCCACCATTTGAATTACCATTGGTTTGAAACCTAATTTCTCTCCTGAATTCTAGTCAATATCATTTGGCCAGCCTCTTCAATGTAAGCATATAAATATTTTGGCTTAATTTTTCAAGATCTTATTAATTATTTTTCTTTGTTGGTCTGATGCCAAGTAGCTTAATTTTAAGATGGCAAAAGATGGTATAAATTCACAAATATATTCACCATTCTGGTTAATTTTCAGGAAACACACATTTAATTTTAGAAAAACTTGTTTCCTAAGAGCAGGTAATTTAACTCTGGCCAAACTAGACTACATGAGGAATACCAGAGGGAAGTCCTACTTCATACCTCTAAATGCTTGCTTACAAGATGGGAATAAACTCCCTGAGGAAAGGGTACCCACTGCATGGTGTGATGCCTCATATAGCCGAGGAAGGCTTTCTGAATTCAACGATGAGACCACTTAGACTTCTAGTGTTTTATACAAATGAATCTTAGGATCCTTCAGTTCTTCAGAGGAGTTCTTCCTGAGATTATGGTTGCCTATTTGAAAATTAATATGGTCAGAAGTATCTATGCTAGAATAACCTAAAAGCTGATTAGAAATAAAAACTTTTTTACATCATCCCTTGCTGCCTCTGTATTTGAAGGGCACTTGTAATCTCAATTTTTATGCTGGATGGCATATTTTTATGCACATTGATGTTGGTAATCTACCATGTAGTTCATGCATGTTCTGATAATCTATTGTGGCAAACAAACCATTCCAATAGTTAGTAGTATAAAAGAACATCTTATTAGGCTCACACACTTGCAGATCAGTAATTCATTTGGGGAACTGGTTCACAATGTGATGTCTGAGGCTTCATTTGGGAAGACTTGAATGACTGGGGAGGACTTCGACATCTGGTAGCTGGAGTCATACAGAGGCTCCTTCACTTACATGTCTGACAACTAGTCTAGGTTAGGCCCGGCTCAGCCGGGCAGCCAACTACAGAACATGTATGTGGCCTTTTCATGTCACTCCATCTTCTCCCAGCCTCAGGGTTGGGTTTCAAGTGTGTGCAACATTCAAGGGAGCTTCACACATCACAGGAAGAAGCATCAAGGAATGAACATCCCAAGAACCCAAGGTAGAAGCTGCAAGGTTTCTTGTTTTGTAATTGTTTTTTTGTTTTTTTGCTTTTTGAGACAAGGCCTCACTCTGTTGCCCAAGCTGATCTGAAACTCCTGGCCTCAAGCATTCCTCTGCCTCAGCGTCCCAAGCAGCTGGGATATAGGTCCTCCACTGCCCCCGGCTTATACAAGGCTTCTTTAACCTAACCTTGGAAGTCACAAAATATTACTTCCACTGCACTCTACTGTGACAAGTGAGTCACTAAGATCACCCCAGAGTCAACAGGAGAAGAATTAGACTCCATTTCTTGATGGAATGGGAAAGTCACTTTGCAAAAAAACACACGGAATGGGAGGCATGGTTGTGGCCAACTTTGGAAAATATAGCCTGCATATTGTCTAATTCAACTCCTGCCTTTGCTGCTACTTAGGACCAAATAGATTCTGTCTTTATAAAACATTTTTGGAGAGTAATATTTGGGAATCATAAATAAACAAAAACGTGTAAGACCAGACACCAAAGGTTTAAGTGTGCCTAATTTAGTCCCAGCCCTTAAAGGTCCCCCATTTTTTACAGCAGGGGCTGTAAAATGGTACCTCTATAGCTGAATTTATTCAGAAGAAAAGCTTGTTTGGGGCCATATGGCGTTTTAAAAATCAGGAAATTTTACATTAAAATCCGTATATTTGTATATCCTTGAAAAACATGAGGGAAATTTCCAATCCAGGACCCAAAGTCTCAGGTGACTTCAACTGAGAGAGCTCAGAGCCATGGCTACTCTTTAGCTGTGGAGCTGGATTTTAAGCTCACTGTAGAATTCCCATTGCCTTCTTGATCTAATTAACTTCATTTAGTTATATATTTGATTCCTGTAGATATTTATATTTACAACATTGGTCTAATGGTTTATGCCCAAATTCTTCCATCTGGTACTCAGGGCCCATTACAATTTGGCCTCAGTCACCTATCCAGCCCTACCTCCTCTTACTCTATATCCAGAATTGCCCTCTGGCCTAACCAGCCTCAATCTCTACACTTAATTAAACATGTTCCGTTTATGCTGCATAATAGGCCAGGGTTCATGGAATCACTGCTATATTTACACCTTTTCCTTTCCTTCCACTTTTTCAAACTGTATCCATTCTTCAAGCTTCCATTCTGGCCTTGTCTCTTCCACAAGTTCTCTGAGTCATAGTGGTCTCTCTCCATAGTATTGTGTGTGAATCACTCATTTTTCTGCCTTGTGTTGTTATGAAAGTGCATTGCACATATTCGTATCTTATTTTCTCAGCTTGATTCCAGATTCTAGAACACAGGAGGCCACTTTACTGTTCTTTTTCTACACCTAGAAGAATGCTTATAGAAGGAGTCATTCAAAATTCCTGTAAAAAGGTGACTAAAAGAGACAAGATGGAAAGGAATAAGAGGGGAGGCAATATTTTTTTTTCCCAGTTCAGAAACTAAAAACCAAGCTGCAAAAGCTCAGCTTCTAGCAGCCTGACCCTGTGACATAAATTCTTGATTCAAAGAACCAGATCAAAAAATCAGCTCAGTTTAAAATTTAGGTACTTTCTGGAATTCTGTTGTATGGTTACTCTCATTTTAAATATTAAGTTATTGGTGCAAATAACTTTGAGACTGAGCTGTGAATTTAACATATCTTTTAACTATAGCTATGATGGAGATCTGGAGAAAAATCTGCACCTATTTATCACTGTGCATGGAGGATAGGACTTGCCTGTCCCTGCTTCCACTGCAGAATATGAGAATGAGGAATAGTAGAAAACTGAAGCAATGGTTGCAAGTAAATAGGAGTGAAAGTGAAAGGAAACGGCCCTGGTCTGCTGACCAGGTGATGTTGGGTTGCACTCTCCTTATCTGTAAAATAAGAGGCTTGGATTAAGTGACCCATAAAGTCTTGTCCTCTTTTAACATACCATATATTTCAGACTTAAATAAATGAAGCTCCCATTTGCAGGAGCTAAAAGGGAAGTGCTGCTGCATTTGAAAAGGTTTCATTTAGCTGCAAGCAAATGGATGCTACATTGCAAAGCTTTCACTAAAGCATGCATAGAACAATTTCAACATAAATAATTCATGTTGAGAAGACCTAAGCTAATGAAGCTCAAAATGCCAGGGGTGGAAAGCTTAGTTTAATAGAAACAGGTGAGGTGATAACTGCATGGAGTCATAGCATGTTGAAGTTAGAAGTGGCTTTTGTAGCTAGTCCACAATCCTATTATTACCAAGAAAGGGAGTCACAGTGAATTTCCATCACTTCCTCAGGGACACAGATGGTCAGCGGCATCCCTATTTTGTTAAATTTCTATTTTATTTTGATCTGTTTCTTGTTAAAAAAAAAGAAAAATAGCATATATTTAACAAAAAAAAATATTTTTGACGTAGCCAATGTAATGTCTTACAGACTAAATAAAAACATGAGTGTTAAATTGCACCGAAACTTCCTAAATCCTGTAATGTCTGATATTCTGTATGTAACAGTTATCTCTTTTCTTAGATCTAAATGAAGATGATTTTCTAAGTAACAACATACATACCTATCAAGGAAAAACTCTACAAGGAACTTCCTATCAGGTAATGTGAATAATCAGCATTTGCGTGTTTTGTGAAAATCGTCTTGTTACTCAGCTCTGTAATATATTAGGCATAGTGTACAATACTTACACAGCCTTTTAGCTAGTTTCTATTTAGTTATTATAGGTTGCTTTATAATTGATATGCTTATGTCCCTGTGAATTGAAATATAAATGAAAAAAATTCAATGATGATAAGATAATAAACTATTTTGATTTTGCAAAACATCATGTTGTACAGCCTTTTGATAAGTAACTCTGGGAATATTAAATTAATATACTGGGATGTTCCTGTCAAGACCTATGCTAAACACTTATATAAAAACATAAACTGTGAGTCCTGACCAATCCCTTTCAAAACTGCATTAATTAGCCCAGGAGTTTGGATAATTAAAAAAGTCTGAATGTTTGGCCTCACTAATAATAGTAATGTAACATTAATCAATGGCCAAATACTTGCTATTCACCCTGTAACAAGAGAGGATATATGAGTCAACAAGGCCAATTCAGGCATCAGACTGACTTTTGATATTTTCTCTGACAGCCATGAGGTTCTCTTTAATCATTCTGATAGTTTCATTAGAAAATTTAGAACTGAACTTCTTCGGTGCAGTGGATAGAAGGTACATAGCATATGAATTATAAAGTGCTGATTTGGTGAGGAAGGGGGGGCTCACATTCCTAAATCCAGCCTGATTCCTGAGGCTATTGGAGGCCCTCCAATAAATTAGATGGTAGATCATGATTTTGATCCACTAGAGTTTCTGCTGACTGCTCTGATGCTACCAGAGTGATAGGCCTATGCTACAAGATGTGATAACACATTGCCCTTGTAGTATCTCCCAGTGGGTTCTCCCACAGTGCATGGATGAGAGCTCTGATATCAGACAGAGCTCAGTTTGAATCTTGCTTTGACTGTTAGTAGCTATGTGGCATTGTGCAATTTACTTAGACTCTCTCTGCCTCTGTTTTTATCATCTGTAAAATACATCTATAAAAAATATCTCAGTACTTTCATGGGATTCAGTGAGACCTGTCATTAAAACACTATAGTTCTATGTCTGGTAGTTAAGACATACTTTCAAAAATTCATTTGTTGTCATTGCTCCTCCTCTTTTCTTCCTCTTCTCCCTCACCCTCCTTCTCCTCTTACTCTTTCAAGGGCTTAATAAGACTTGCACAAGCACAGCTGGAAGATTATCTCTGAAACAAGCAGTCTCATTTTCCTAAATTCAGATGAGACCTCAGATATAATATCTAAGTGAAGCATTGTCTGCTGGCCAGGAGAAAAATAACAGCTGGTTTACTGGAATAGCTCACTAGACATGCCTTCTGCCAAGAGGAAATCCTTCTGTAGGTTTTTCGTAGAAAAATAGACCCGTTTCGTGGAAAGAAGAAAGTAACATAGAAAGTTCTTTGAATAAAATGGTTAAAGATAAATCTTTACCCTAACAACAATGCTTCTGAAGGTTAAAATTGGGCAAGAAATGGTGCTTCCAAATGGTAACCATTCAACTGTGACATGTAGTGTATCACTAAAGATCGAAGGAATTCATACCTAGTGACAGACAAGCAGGAGCCATCTAATCTAAAAATCGTCGTTTGGGAGTAGGCACTGGTCTTATCTAAATTTTATTCACAGTAGACATTCAATTGAATTTAACTAAGAAACACTTATCTATATGACAGAATAGTTTAACAAAGAGTGTTATGCAAAATATTAATTTATTAACTCCTTGTGACTGAGGAGAAGGAGATGCAAACTATCTGTTGAAAGATGGGGAAGAGAGGCAGCCACTGTCAAATGGAGAAGCTGGTGTGAGTAGCAAAGTGGCTTGTCAGTGTGCATAAGAGTGGACTATGGCATGAAACTTGGCCTTCCATCAGTGAACAAATGACTATCAGATAAGTGTTTTTCCAAGTGTATCTGAGAACTGTCTGTATCAGCCTCAACTGGAGTATTACTTAAAAAGGCAGACTTTGGTGCCATACTCCTGTTCACCTGGATCGTCATGACTGGAGCCTAGGAAGTGGTATTTTTATGTGACAATATTCAGTACACAAACCATGAAACTCTTGAATTCAAGAGAGTTGGTGAGTGTCTTAGTCCATTTTGTGTTGCAATAATACAACACAAAATAAAGAAACAATAATAAAAACAAAATAAAGAAATACTTGAGACCGGGTAGTTTATAAAGAAAAAGGTTTATTTGGGTCACAATTATGATGGCTGGAAAGTTCAAGATTGGGCATCTGCATTTGGTGAAGGTCTCAGGCTGCTTCCACTCATGGCTGAAGGTGAAGGGGACCCAGAGATTCCAAGGCAAAAGAGGAAGCAAGGCAGGGAGAGGTGCACCCCTAGCTCTTTGAAACAACTGGCTCTCGCAGGAACTAATAGAGTGAGAACTCACCACTGAGGGAGAACATTAACCTATTGTAGAAGGATTCAGCCCCATAACCCAAACACCTGCCATTAGGCCCCATGTATTAGTCCTCTCTCACAATGTTATGAAGAAATACCCGAGGCTAAGTAATTTATAAAGGAAAGAGGTTTAATTGACTCACAGTTTTGCCTTGCTGGGGAGGCCTCAGGAAACTTACAACCATGGCAGAAGGCTAAGGAGAAGCAGGCACCTTCTTCACAGGGTGGCAGGATGAAGTGAGTGCAAGCAAGGGCAATGCCAGATGCTTATAAAACCATCAGATCTCATGAGAGTCACTCATTATTATGACAGCAGCATGGGGGAAACTGCCTCCATGATCCAGTTACCTCCATCTGATCCCGCCCTTGACACGTGGGAATTATGGGGATTACAATTCAAGATGAGATTTTTTGTGAGGACACAATGAAACCATATCACCCCACATCCAATATTGAGGGTCAAATTTCAACATGAAGTTTGGAAACAACAAACGTCCAAATTATAGCCATGAGTATTTGTTCACAGATGGGATATCTCATGATTTTGACTTTATAAACCCAAACTTGGCTTAGGTATGGTCTTGGAAGACAACAGCCTCATGGAAAAAGTGAAGTTTATTTTTGTTCCCTATTATGAAGATGATATAAATTCATTGTAGAATTTCTTAAAACTATGTATAAATAGAAAGAGTTAAAATAATGAATAGTATCCTAGTGCAAATATTTTCCTATGATCATTTCCTGAATATTAGTAACATGGGATAAAGTTTGTAGAATGTAAAACATTTTATAGTTATAATTATCATATGACCATGCTTACGAAATATATTTCAGACACTAAAAATGATCAGAATTAAATATTTAATTCCCAACCAGAACGTACTTAAGCAAACATGTTTCCTTCATGTTCTCAAAATGGAAGAGAAGATCTCAGGCATGGAAGAAGTTACACAGAATCAGGTAGCAGGGCAAAAGAAGGAGTTCATGGAATGCTTTCTCCAGTACCCACTTTGCCCCACGTATATTTCTGCATAGTTAGCCCGGGATAAACTTCCTGGAGAACCAGGCTTGTGGAAGAAGTGCTGATGGGTAGAGCTTGAAGCAAAGCAGTCTGCTTAGAAATGTGATCATACACCAACTATAAAGAACATCTTGGGAAAACTTGACTCCCAGCATTTATTTTTGCATTCTTGTTCTTGTTTGTTCTTCTCTGGCAGCATTCAGCTGATGGCTCAAACCTTTTGTAGCATATTAAAAGGGGAATAAAATATGCAGTAATACAGACTTTGGGCTAATATATTTTCAAAAGTGTTGCATGCCTCATTTCTCACTTAAATTCTGAGGTTGCATTCAGCCTTCAGAGTATCATTCATATTCATGATAGAAAAGAGAGATAATATTTATTACCTTCAGTGCTGGTGATATTAAGCACTGTCAAGCACCCCTACCCAGGACTGAACCAAAACATTTTCTTTCTCAGCTCCTTTGCTGAGAAAAAGTGTTGCTAATTGAATTAATTAACCCATTTCAATCAATTTCTTTCTTCGTGTCTTTCACTATGGAGATTGCAATTTTCAGCATTTGAATTCTCAGCCTCCCCAGTAGTTAGGGGTGGCCATGGAATCCAGTTGTGGCCAATGAAATATAGTCAGAAATTCCAGAGGAGGACTTTCTTTTCTGGAAAATAAAAAAAATAAGGCAGAGTCTCATGAGGATAAAGCTTTGTTTTTTGCTCTCTTTCCTGCCTGGAGCTGGATGTAATACCTGGTAAGTCAGCAGCTGTCTTCCAGCCGTGAGGCAAAGGCACACATGAAGGATGGTGGAACAGGCACATGCATAGAGCCTGATTCACTGAGGACATCCTTGAGAAGCGGCACCCGGGTTGGAAACCCTATGTCTGCACTTCTATTTTACAGAAACATAAGCCCCATACTTGTTTAAGCCACCACTGTTGGTTATTCTCTTCCTCAAAGCCGAATACATTTCTGATACCTTATTTTTAAAACAATCACTTTTGCTAATGCTAAACTCTGCTCTATGTAAGCAATCAGACAAAACTGTGTCCACAGTTAAACAGTGTCTAGACTCACCTCTTATTGCACAAACTAAACTAGCCTCCTTCAGTTCTCATGTAGTGTAACCAGCATTTAGAGTTAGTCATTTAGTCCTTAAGATGAAAATTGGATTACTAACAAATAAAATATTGGCCATACACATCCCATTGGCTATGTACAGAATTAAAACTGTATCCAACATAGCACACAATTTTTGGGAGATGCGTGTAGAATGGACAAAATGGGACCAATTTTTCATGAGCTTAACTGAGGTCACAACGCTGGGTCACTGGAGAAATAATTTAAGGTTATGCTGTGATATATTAACAAGCAGGAGAGACAGGTCTTTCACTAGGTTTTATCAGACAGATTTGAGGGAGTTCTAAACAAAAGTGTGAACAATCTAAAAGGGGGAAAACAAACAAACAAAAAGAGTCCAAAATGACAGTGTCAACCAAATGATAGTCTTTATGTATGACATGATTATATTATGACAAAATAATGATATTGTGTATTGATCAATGTTTCTTATTTCAAGTACTTTCTTATCCATTATATGACTTTTAACTATTGTATTACAAATCTATTGACGCATAACAAATTACTTTAAAATTTAGGGGCTTAAAACAAACAAAAAAAATTATTTCACAGTCCCTGTGGGTCAGGAGTTGGGGAGTGGTATAGCTGGGCATTTCTAGCTTAGAGTCTCTCATGTGGTTATAATCTCAGGTGGTTAGTGTCGCTCAAGGTGTTATCTGAAGGCTTGACTGGGGCTGAAAGGTTTGTTTCTAACTCCCTCTCATGGCTATAGGTAGGTGACCTCAGTTTTTTTATGGGAATTGACTGCAGGGATAGGTCCCTTGCCACTTTGGTCTATCCATGAGGCTGAGTGTCTTCGCAGAATGTCATCTGGTTTCCCCAGAGTGAGTATCTAAGACACAGAACAAGAAGAGGCCACAATTCCTTTTAAGATCTAATTTCAGAAGTTAAACATCATCACTTCCATTTTATTCTATTTGTTAGAAGCAACTCACTAAATCCAGCTCACACTAAGGGTGAGGGGCAGTCTTAGGTTCCACCTTCTGAAGACCTCTTCAGTGTAAAAGAATTTGTGAGTGTATTTTAAAACCACTAGAACTACCTAATAGTATTTTGAGGTTATAGACAGAGAAGTTTTCTACTTCCAAAGAGCAGGATTATAACTTATTTTGCAGGTAGAAAGAATATAGGGCTATATTTCGTTATCTTGAAAAAAAATCTAATCTCCTCTTTAATAGTAGAAGACTTTCAAGAGTGGCTTTTGTTGGTATTAAAGAAACAGGTTATTAAAATGGAATGCAAATCTCTTGTTTCCGGTGAAATAAAATTAAGATCATATTGGATTCTCTCATTTCCTTATCCGAAGTTATACTGCATTAATGATGTGTACTTTCACGTTTAAAGAAGAGAGTTTAAGCAACTCTACATTTAGCTTTTATTTAAAAAAGAGGAAATACTTGATTCTAACAAATAATTTTTATGAATGAACTCCATAAATGTATGGGTGTTTTACTTTTTGATTTCCC
Organism: Homo sapiens; assembly: GCF_000001405.40. NCBI lineage: Eukaryota > Metazoa > Chordata > Mammalia > Primates > Hominidae > Homo > Homo sapiens. The sequence continues at coordinate 14,595,982 of NC_000021.9, read as the reverse complement.
TAAAAGATTGAGAGGACTTATTTGGTATTCCTTAGCATCATTCTCATGCATTTTTAAAAAGGAATTTCGCAGCCCAGAAAATGGCTAGTAAATGCACTCTTATATACTGTGTCAAAAATAAAATCCAACCACTTAGTACTTGTTGCAGTCACTTCAGCTACTTTGTCAGTTTTCTGCTTCAAACCTCTTGCTCTTTGGCTATATTTTGTGTGCTAGAACTCCAGAATTCTGCTGGGGTTTAGACTTTATGGAAACCAAACTTGCCTTACATTTATATGAGTAAAAACACTGGACTTTAAACTTGTTGCTTAAACTCTCTGTGCTTCAATTTCCTTATGTGTAAAATAGTGACAATAAAACTTCTTGCGATTGTCATAAATATTTAAATAAAGGAGCATACTCCCTCAAGATGTTTAATGAATATTCATATTTCCCTGTCTCTAAATTCCTCTTAATCTCATTGCAGACTCTCCTCAGAATAAAATTTGAAATCACCTTTGTCTTAGTTCTTTCAGGCAGCTATAGCAAAGTACCTTAGGCTGGGTAATTTGTAAAAACAGAAACATATTTCCCACAGCTCTAGAGGCTGAGAAGTCCAAGACAAGGCACCAGCAGATTCAGTGTCTGCTTCAAAAAGGGAGCAAGGCAGCTCCCCTCAACCACTTTTATAAGGGCTCTAATTCCATTCATGAGGGCCCTCATGACTTAGTTACTTCCGCAAAAGCCCCACCTCTTAATACAATCTGATATAATTTGTGTAAGTGTTCCTGCCCAAATCTCCTGTTGAACTGTGGTTCCTGGTGTTGTAGGTGGGGCCTGGTAGGAGGTGATTAGATCATGGGATTGGATTTCTCATGAATGGTTTAGCATTAACCCATTGGAGCTGTTCTCATGACAGTAAGTGAGTTCTCATGAGATCTGGTTGTTTACAAGTGTGTAGCCCCTCCGCCTTCATTCTTTTGCTCTTGCTCCTGAAATGTAAGAAAACCTGCTCCCCCTTTGCCTTCCACCATGACTGGAGGCTTCCTGAGGCCTCCCCTACAGCAGAAGCCACTATGTTTCTTGTACAGCCTGTAGAACTGTGTGCAAATTGCACTTCTTTTCTTTGTAAATTACCCAGTCTTAGGTATTTCTTCACAGCAATGTGAAAATGGACTAATACACTATCATATTGTGTATTACATTCCAACATATTAATTTGGGGGCAACACAAATATTCAGACCACAGCACCATTTTATTACCTGTTATAGACTCCATCAAATGCCCTTTGCTGCAGTCCTGAAGTGCCCTAGGTAGAAATTGTTTGATATCAGGTACATAAAGTTTTCAAAAGGAGTAGAAGCTGACAGTTAGAAGGTTACACTGACAGGTACCAAATGTAATAAAAGACATCCCACACTATGACTTGAGATATTAATCCAAATGTGTATTTGGCTTGAGTTTAAACTCAATTAGAGTATCTAAAATGGATGTCCATTGTGTACCTAATAATGTAGAGCACTAAGGGATTAGAGTGGGCTGCTTCATAAAACATTCGGGATCCCCCCTTTCCACCAACCCTTCTAAATGTGAGATCATGGATTGGAATTGCTCTATGTGAGGGCTGAGGAGTGAATCTAATACACATAGACACATACACATATCACACACACATATATGGATATATAATGTGTATATACTATGTATACATACACATATTCCATATTTGTCTATATATGTGTATATATGCAGATGAAGTCACTGATGAAACATTAATCAGTGTACTTTGATAACAAGATAATTATTTCTAATTAAGACAGCGAATCCTTTCCCAATTAGTTTGGTAGCTTTGTGGAGTTTTTTTGTTTTGTTTTTTAAAGAATGTTAACATTAGTTGTCTCTATTTCCTTTTCTAATTTCTAAGGTGACCTCTGAATGTTGGAGTCCATTTCACTATCAAAGACATGTTGAGACCACTGTTGATGAACTGGTGAGACATTTCTTCCCAGATGTAACTATTTAAGTGGATTTCCCATCTCTTTTCCACTCATTTTAATGCCACAAGCACTGTTTTCTATAGTTCTTTATTACTTCTGTTTTCAGCTGCCACATGGAAGTGTTTCTAAAGAACATAAATAGAGGCTTGTCCTTACTGAGTGGTTTTCTGAACTAAAAGGAACATAAAGCATTTCCTTCAAAGAAGGAAAGGTTGTTATATAAAAAATTTTCCCTAAAATTTAGCAATTTTTCCTGAGATAGGAAAAAATTTATAATGTTAAAAAGCATGTCGTCTGATTTTGGGGGAAATAGGTGTTATCCCATGTTTCTGGGAGAAGTGTACATCATTATAGCATTGCTAAAAAAGAGAACTTGGAAACAGCATGAGTATGCCATAAAAGGAAATCAAGTAATTAATTGGATTATAGTCCATAGAATGAAATATAGTAAAACCATTTTTTAAAAAGTATCTCTGTGTGCCAGCTCTCCCTTATGATATTAAAATCACATCAACTGCCTTCCTTTCCTTGTTGAGATATTGCTAAACAGAAGTTCATGGAAAGGACATGTTTTAGAAGGTCAGGCAAATTTCCAGGATATTCACATACATCAACAAGTATTATAGCATTATTGATATGAAACAACTATAAGTCCTATTTGTAGTTCTTGTTCTAGATGGCTTCAGAACACTACAAGCTAATGTTTGCAACTTATTTGACCATTGCTTCCCAAAATGTAACTGTAATTTTGTGAGAAATAACTACTCTTAGTAAATCATGTTTCTTTATGTAGGTATGAATACAAAAGTTTTGATATCTTTATTTATAGCTCTCTCTTCCCCAATATTATTAACATGTTATTAACATCTAAGTTTTTATAATAGTTTTCTTTTCAACTATATGTATTTTTTTGTCTAAGAGATGTCTAAGTTGTGCTAGGTAGGAGGAAGAGGTGATGGAAAGTTATGATTTAAATATTACTTCTGTTCCCTAAAAGAAAATTATTGAGATCTGCCCTTGCTATTTCTCATGCTATCTGAGTTTTTAATGACTAGTTAAATATCAAAAAGCTGTGGGAAACAAACAAATGAACCTCAGTAAATACTAACAGGACTTTCAGATGAAAATAAAGCTATACATTTGGGAGGATTATGAAATTCCTTAATTAGAAACAGAAGCAAGAGAACTAGATTGCAGGACTTGGCTCTACCACGGACTGTGCTCTTAGGCCACTTAATTCGTATTTCTGCATTTCCGTTTCCACATTTTTGAAGTAAAATGTTGGAGTAGAGAATATTTCTTTAGACTCTGATAATCTGTGATTAACAGTAGGTCATTCTCACTTTTTCCTTGATATTTTTCTAAGGCTCAAGAATTTATGTAAAGTAACAAAAGAAGATACTTATGTAGTCAAATGTCCCCAAGGATATTTGAGGAACAATGAATTCCTGTGATCCAATCCTTCAATTTAAAGATGAAGGGCTGAAGTGCAGAGAGGAGAAGTGGCTCACTCAAGTTCACATGGCCAGTCACAAAGCAGATTTTCAAAGCAGAACAATCATTAGTCGGCACACAAGGGCAGGTTCTTACTCTAGGTTTTCTTAACATTTCTTGTGTATATGAAATAAATATTAGATAAAAATGTTTTTTTACTGTGTAATTTTCCATTCATAGCTCCTCTTCTTGCTAAGAATCCAATAGATACTTAATAAAAATTAATTAATTTGCATACTGGCTCTTAAATTTCCTATTGTTCATAATTTTTGGTCAGCTAGGAGGTGTACCCAGAAACAGAAATGTTCTTATGAGTAGTTCTAGAAACTTCTTCAAAATTTCAGAGCAGAGGATATTACGCAGGAAGTAAGAAAGATGTGGCTTCTGTGGCCTTTTCTCTTAAATCAACACAACCCCCATTTGCAATGCTGGTTTGTGTAATCCTGGCAACTCCCAGCTAGCTTGGCAGTGTGTCCACATTCAAAGACTGACCCAAAGCTATAGGTCAGTGAGCAAAAAGCAGTCTTGGCTTCCCCTGCAGAAGTGGAGAAATGGCAGTGACATTGCGACTTCATTATACTATGGAAAATTGGGCCTGTGTGGCTTCTGAAAGACTCCTTTCTTTTTTTACTGTGTTCTCAGAGGGCATGTTATTCCAAAACCAGAATTATGCACATCAAAATCTGCTTGAGAGGAAGGAGGAGCTAGAATATCATGTTAGGACTTGAAAGGGTTTTAGTGTTTTTACAGTGGAATAAGACTATTACATAAATGGCTTTGTTAGATAACCTAAATTATACTGCTTAGCTTCTTAAATACCTGCTAATCCTCTAGCCAAGCACATTTCTTCTCCCTACTCTCACCTTATGCAATCTTTCTCCTGTGAATAATCATTGAATTTTATTTGTAGTTCTCATATGACACATCTACTTTTTCCTCCAGATGTATTTTTGGCCTGCTGTTGAGATTGAATGTATTTATTGACCATACTGACTCTAGGAAGTGATATGTGTAAAACAGTACTAGAACCCCAAAGAAATCACCTTGCAGTGAGGGGGACAGGAACAGAAACAGATGACTATTTTTCTTAGTATTCATATTAAGCAATGTGCATCACAGGCAGACACAATATTTCATTCTTCTTTGCACCTCCCGTAGATTAGGTCCTCAGTAATAAATTAGGTCCTCATCTGATAAATGAATAAATAAATGTCTTATAAGCCTTCCAGGAGAATATATTTGATTTTATTAACTAATTCATTCAATTACTCATTTATTTGATGACTTAAAATTTTGCCTAGCTTTATTGTGTTTTTCCAATCTTAGTTTAAGTTCAGTTTCTATCACTGAAAAATAATAATTTTTAAAATTATAATGATATACGAATATCTAATGTCAACATGGCAATTTTCCCACCAACTGTAATTATTTCTTCAATCAATATTTCATTTGCATAAATTATCTTAAATTGTCTTTTTAATTAATTGTATTTCCAAGAAAGCAATAAAATAAACCTCTGAAGTGAAATGTATTTGTTTTCATGTGTTTGCATTGATCAATTCTAGTTCATAATCCCATTGGTTTTATTACTGTCCATTGAGTTTCTAAATGTTTATTGATCATTGTGACCTTAAAAATTATCTTTTTAGAATATGTTTTAGGTCATGAATAGAGACTAGTCACTTTTATATAGGAGGAAATGAAGATATAGATTTAGGGGTTTAATAATTCAACATTTAAAACCTCTTCTTTATTTTGTTTTACCATGAAAGTAGCTCTCTTCTTCCTGTCTCTAAGCACCTTCCCATTCAAGTGGCTAAGAACAAATTACCAGTAGAAAAAATTGAATACTTCTGTCCTTAGCAAGGATAGATTGGATTATTGAAATCTGCCTTCTAAATACATTTTGTAGTTGTTTATAGAATTTCTTCCCACATGTGATGGCTCACGCCTGTAATTCCAGCACTTTGGGAGGCTGAAGCAGGAGGATTGGTTAAAGCCAGGAGTTCAAGACAAGCCTGGGCAACATAGTGAGACTTCATCTCTACAAAAAATAAAATAAAATAAATTACCGGGCATGATGGTGCGTGCCTGTAGTCCCAGGGCTTTGGGAGGCTAAGATGGGAGGACCTCCTGAGCTCAGGAGTTCAAAGCTACAGTAAGTTCTTATCATGCAAATGCACGCCAGCCTCCAGCTTGGTGGACAGAGCAAGACCAAGACCCTGTGTCTTAAAAGAAAAAAAAATTCTCCCAATTATGCTAATTACAAAACTAACACATCTTCACTGTAGAAAACTAAGAAGAGTAGAATATATAAAGATAGAAAAAGGCCACATATAATGGTGTTTGTACTTTTTATACAAATTTACATTCTGGTTTTTCACTTAATACATGGGAGCATTAAAAAATTTCTAAGCCCTATGCATACACTGGCACAGTTTTAATAATGAAACAACGAGTCATAAGACCGGAAAACTTAGAGAAAACTGTCAATGTGATACATATGAAACTACTTGAAGTTTCGGTTTCCATTACAGTTTTCTTTAAAAATAAACCAAAATATTAATTTTTGAAAAACTCCATTTCTCCTGTTGAAGAAATTATGTGAGATAGACATCAGGTTATTAGGATTTGTTATTTGAATATTTGTTAAATATGACACTAGAGAGGAAAATTTTTCCAAATCAGAAATTAAGAAGAAGAGCAAAAACAAAGGGTTTTCTGCTTTGTTTTGTTTTGTTTTTTACTTCATTCAAGTCTGACGTGTTATTCAGCTATCTTTTCATTAGTGGAGTAAAGAGAACATAATTCAGACAGATAACGCAATCTGGATTTTGTTAGTCTCCATAAGCCTAAATTTTCCTTCTTTAAAAGGAAGTGATAAAATCAAGAGAGATTTAAAAGCTTTAAATGCCTTTCCAGCAAATATATGTAGGTATATACATACGTACACACACATATATTTATATATTTCCTTCTTAATTATGTATATTTAAGAGGATAGGCCTATAAATCTGAAAGTACCTGATACTTATCCTCTGTTTTGGAAAGCCATATTTAACCTCCAAATAAATTCCCTGAATTTGGTTGGTCTTAATTTGGCTGTCAATACTAGATAACTAGTAATTATGCTGGCATTTAAAGATCTTGTAAGAAAGAACATTGGATTAAAAGTCAGAATACTTGATTTCCATCCCAACTCTATTATTAATAAATTATCTTTCCTTGAGTAAGCCACTTAACTTCTCTGAGTTTTCTCATTTTTTATATAGCCTGGTAGACTAGATGTCTAATAATTTCCATCCTAGCTCATAAAATATGATCGTAGGACTAATCCAGTTCAATAATTCATTGATGCTATCTTCTAAAAAGTATTCTCTAATATTAATATTCAAGCAAAGTGTCTGAAAATGAGATATATTTAACCAAGCACTTCTAACAAAATTTTTGTATTACTTAAGGAAGAGTGAGCAAAATGAACTAAAAGATATTTCTGTTTATAGACACAAATATATGAAATACATAGTATATACATGTTAAATATATACATATGAAAAATTACATTTACATTAACATATAATTACCATTTTGATGGAAATTTATATCTTTCAAAGAAGACTCTAAATTACAAAGACAAAAGTGAAAAGAAAACCAATTAGAGACTTGACAGTAGTTTCAATGAAAGAAAATTAAACTAGATTGGTAACAATAGAGATGGAGAAAAAGAAACATTCAAGATACATTTTGGAGATAGAATAGACGAAACTCTTAGTTATGGACATTCAAGATACATTTTGAAGATAGAATAGATGAAACTCTTAGTTATGGAATGTGCACTTGGGTGGATGAAGATGGCCTTCACTGAGTTGAAGAAGATGGGATGAGCATCATATTTGGAGCATAGTTCTAGAGGTCAGTTCTGACTGTGCTTAGTGGGCAAAGGACATGAACAGATACTTCTCAAAAGAAGACATTTATGCAGCCAAAAAACACATGAAAAAATGCTCATCATCACTGGCCATCAGAGAAATGCAAATCAAAACCACAATGAGATACCATCTCACACCAGTTAGAATGGCGATCATTAAAAAGTCAGGAAACAACAGGTGCTGGAGAGGATGTGGAGAAATAGGAACACTTTTACACTGTTGGTGGGACTGTAAACTAGTTCAACCATTGTGGAAGTCAGTGTGCCGATTCCTCAGGGATCTAGAACTAGAAATACCATTTGACCCAGCCATCCCATTACTGGGTATATACCCAAAGGACTATAAATCATGCTGCTATAAAGACACATGCACACGTATGTTTATTGCGGCATTATTCACAATAGCAAAGACTTGGAACCAACCCAAATGTCCAACAATGATAGACTGGATTAAGAAAATATGGCACATATACACCATGGAATACTATGCAGCCATAAAAAATGATGAGTTCATGTCCTTTGTAGGGACATGGATGAAATTGGAAATCATCATTCTCAGTAAACTATCGCAAGAACAAAAAACCAAACACCGCATATTCTCACTCATAGGTGGGAATTGAACAATGAGATCACATGGACACAGGAAGGGGAATATCACACTCTGGGGACTGTTGCGGGGTGGGGGGAGGGGGGAGGGATAGCATTGGGAGATATACCTAATGCAGCGCACCAGCATGGCACATGTATACATATGTAACTAACCTGCACAATGTGCACATGTACCCTAAAACTTAAAGTGTAATAAAAAAAATTTAAAAAATAAATAAATAAATAAATAAGGTGATGGATAAAACAACAAAAAAATTGTTTTAAATACATAGTTGGATATGTGAGTCTGAAGCTCTGCAGAGAGGCCTGGGGAAAGAAATAAATTGGGAGTCATTAGCATATAAGTGATATTAAAAGTGGTATGTGTGCATGCATGCACATGAGAAGAGAATGGTGGTGATATCAGATAAAAGGCCAGGGTTAATCCTTAAGTAATTTCAAAATTTAATTTCAAGAAAAGGAAGGTGTCAGCATATAGGAGTTATAGAGGGAAGGGCCAAAAAAGGCAAAAGGAAAATCAGAGGAACATGGTGTCACAGAAGCCAAGAAAAGAGAGTGTTTCCAGAAGGTCACTGTGGTCAACATTGCTGAATATCAAATAGTAAAGGAGTTTAAGAATGGCTCATTAGATCAAAATGACAATTAAAAGGGAATGGTAGAGATGAAAGCTGATAGATGAGATAGATTAAAAGGATGAGAAGTTAATAGAATTAAAGGAAGCATACATAGTTCACATTTTTGATACAAATGCCTAGGATCAAAGAAGAATAGAAAAAGTGGTAAATAAAAGATGGTGAAGTAAAGATGAATAACATGAAGCACATTTGAATGCTATTGGGAAGAGTCCATTGAAATGGAAAATCAAAATTCAGTAGAGAGAGAAGAACAAAACTGTAAACCAAGTTGTATCACCCTCTGATTAGATATTCCATATTCTTCAACCTGCTCTACAGAAGCTTCCTGGAAGGATCTCTGTTATTCTCTGGGCTCATCTCTTGGTACTCTTCCTTTCTTTCCCTTCATGGGCACATACTAAGCATTCTTCCAGAAATTCCAGCTTTAGAACCTTTGCAAACTGTATTGTGTTCCAAGACTTCTCTTCTCTCTGCTACTTGCCTGGCTGACTTTTTCTCCAATGCAAGTCTCAGGTGAAATATTCTTTCTGACCATCTGCTGAATTCTAAACCCTCTCTAAATCTTCACATATCTGGTTCCTTCTCATCATTCAGGCCTCAGCTTTAGTATCTTCAGTGAAGCTCCTCCTGATCAGTATATTAATAAACCCTCTTTTTGCATCCTCACTAATCACCCTGTTAATTATTAATACAGCATTTCTTATGTCACATTCTTATGTTTATATACTTGTTTATATGTTTATCGCCTGTCACCTCCCTCTAGAATTAGACTTGATAAAAACTGTGATCTCATATTACTTCCTCTATGCCATATCCCCAGAATGTGAGATAGTGCTTGGCATTTACTAGGTGCTCAAATAAAAGTTTATTGATTTGTTGAATGCTAGGTTTAATTTATGGGTTAATCTTCTTAGAACACATTTAAAATTTAAAAGGTATGTTACTATAAAACTTAATCAATCACATTCAGTACAAATATGTAGGTAATGGATAAGAGAATTGAGATAAATAGGGTTATTATTTGAAAAATATTTGAGGATTTTTCTTTTTTTTTCTTTTTCTTTTTTTTTTTTTTTTGAGATGGAGTCTCGTTCTGTCACCCAGGCTGGAGTTCAGTGGTGCGATCTCGGCTCACTGCAATCTCTGCCTCCCGGGTTCAAGCAATTCTCCTGCCTCAGCCTCCCAAGTAGCTGGGATCACAGGTGCATGCCACCACACCCAGCTGATTTTTGTATTTTTAGTAGAAACAGGGTTTCACCATGTTGGCCAGGATGGTCTCCATCTCCTGACCTCATGATCCGCCCACCTCAGCCTCCCAAAGTGCTGGGATTACAGGCATGAGCTGCTGCACCTGGCTGTATTTTTAATCTGAATACATTTTCTTTTTAATACATAGTTGTAATGATTCTATACCTTTTATAATAATATTAACTCTAAATTTCATCCCTTGGATATATAGTACCTATTAACAAGAGGAGGTTGTCCAGAAATAATTTGCTACTAGAAAGTAATGAGTCTAGTATCAAACATGTACTATGGATACTCCATTTTGTATATAAAACATGTATAAAATTAGGATTGTATTTACATTCAGTACATATTTATTAAGCCATGTACAATCCTAGGCACATAGGATTTTTAAAAATAAATAAAATGCAGTAGACTGATGTCCAGTAACTCAAAGTGAATAAAGATACAAAAATTAACAATATCATGCTTTAAAAAGGCTACAATAGAATGTGAACAAAATAATGAAAGGTCAGTTTGTTTTAAAACCTCTAGGACATGAGATCTTACTTACCTGAATTCAGATACCTTCCAAATGCTTTAGTTCCTCTTGGGGGAAAATCATTTATACAAAGTTCCATTTCCCTGGTATATAATACCTTTCTCCACATTAAGTGAAAGCCTTTTTCACAAAGGGAGAAGAGAAGACGATTTTTGTTGCCAGTGTTTCAGTGGAGCAATTAAGCTTTGGCTGTAACAAGAAGTTGCCATAAGAATAGAAGCACAACAAAGAAAAAATGGTTGTGCAATGTCATCTTATTATTTCTGAAAGGGTCTAAAGAGTAGAAAATGGCCTTTCCTGAGTTGTAAAGGGTCTATAAAATCAAGTAACTCAGAAAGCACTAAAAGAAACACTGAGAAATAATACAAAAAAATAAACAGCAATAGAAATTGTGTTGAGCAGAGCATGGCCTTTGGAAAGAGAGGGAAGATTTTGTGCTTCTAAGCATATCTCATCACAGTCCTTTCTGAAAGATTAAAATGATTTCAATATTTTCCCACTTATTTAATGCAAAAAGGTAGGGTTCCTCTGACAAAAACGTCACATTTCCTACGTAAGTGCTATTTTGCAGAGACAGATCAACAAGTTTATACTGGTTGTGCAAAGTCATTCTTAAAGAACAAAGATAACAGCTGAGTATAAAGATTGGAAATGTTGCATGTCAGATATCCTTTACTTCCAAACATTTATTTGGGCTTATAGTCTCCTTAAAAGGATTGGAAAGCATTATTATAAATATGTCTCATTCAAACATTAATGAGGAAGCAAATATTCACCTCTTGAAAACTGCAGTGTCTTTGTAGATGCTATTTATCAGCTGTTCAATGGAAAGAATGAGACAAAAGCAGGTGGAGAAATATTTCTGAGTCTAGAACTTTCTGGATGAAAAAGTATTCCTATATGTATTACATCACATCTAGTGAATTCAACAGAACACAATGATTTTTATCAATTCCTATAAAACTTAGCACACAAAGAGTTAATTTCCAAAGTATTTTGAAATCCTTAAGAGGAACTATACTTAAGATAATAAGTAAAAGCTGTATAAATACAAATTCAACAGTAAACTAGTGGGAAACATTCCTGAATCTTTTAAAGAAAACAAGAGTCATTAATGCAATGTTAATTATATTTTGTCCATATTTTGTCATAATAAACAAGTGACACATATTCTAAAACATGATGTGGTATGCTGTGGCTATCTTTTGTTTCACTTAGTGCATATCTTCTAGAAAGCAAGAGGCTATTTTTTTAAAAGTATGTTATTTGAAAAATTTTCATACTTGAAACAAATGTTGTTTGTCCACAAATTTCCAAAAAGAAAATGAAGACTATTTAAATTCTGCTTTATCTAATATTAGCAGGTAGACTTTGTATACTATCAGTCTATTCCAATACTAGCAAATAGCAACTTTGAACCTCTTGTTCCATCTATATTACACTGCAAAGATCTTGTTTTTTTCCGCTGTTTCACAGTGGGCAGGAGTGAGTCATTTATAGATATTTCTGAATTCAATCCATTTTGCTGTATTTTGAAGTAAAAAAAAAAAATGGTAAAACCACTCTGCTTTAGTATGCCTGGCCAGTTGTAACATATTTTATAATTTTGAACCCAAAAAGTATGGTGTGCTTTCAAGTTAGTGCTTAAATTGACTCAGGCTTCAGGTTTTAAGGTCACATTATTAATTTTTCCACATTTATGATCTCAACATATTTTATATTTAATCTTTTGTGAGGAATAATTTGTCTTTACCTTGAGCTGTGTTTGTGCTAGGCCATAAAATCAGGCAGTGACCCTGTGGAATCAATGGGGACATTAAAGCGACTACAGAAACTGGTTTGGACTAAGAAAGCCAGAGTGCAGAATCTGGATGAGGTGAAACCGACATTAATAAACCTCCGTAAGTAAGAACTCAATAAGCTGTTAAAACTCCTTTGAGGGAGAACTAAGGAAGCATACGTTAATGAAGCCCATTTTGATAAAGTCTTAAGATAATCATTAAACATTGAGGATTTTTTTTTATTGCCAAGTTATTTTAAAACAGACATCCCCATCTGTTCCTGAATTTTACCCCGTATTTATGCACCGCCCCGTTTCTCCTTGCCTTCAAGACCGGGCTCCGAGACACAGTGAGAGAGAGCAATGGAGGAAGCTCAGCAGTGTCCACTGTCGCCATTCCTTGGCCATAGAAAACAATGTATTTGAATTTTGATGTAAGCATAACAAATTGGTATGTCCATGGCATGCAACTTTGATTTTCATTTATTTATTTATAATAGCATGCCTTAAGTAATCGAACTCTTTTAAAAATACCCATTAAACGTTTGGATTTAAAGGGATTCCATGACATAGAGCAATTGACTCTGGGTGATATATATTTCTATTTTCTGTAACTGTTTTCTACATTACTAGAAATTTCATCAGAGTCTTTGCCACATTGTGTAAATATAGATCTCACAAATGAACTTTATGGTATTACAGATATGGCTTTTTTAAATTTTTGTCGTTCTTGTTTTTTGAAAACCATTTCACTGTGAGACACACTGCATCCATACATCTCTTGGTAGATTGATATTAAAATAGACAATTTCAGAATGTCAGTAGGATTTCAGTCCAAACCACTGAGATTTTATTCTTTTAAGTAGGGCAAATAATTTTATTTATTTCCTTATAATTCTTTATTATACACATGACCTTAAAAATTAAAAAAATATTTAAGAATAGAAACATAAGAGGTGGGTTTTTTAATTGTATTTTTTTCTCAAATATCTTTCAGCATATTATTTGTATGTGGCCTCCATTCTTTCCAGTGAGATAGAATTTAATCAATTGTTATGGTTTCAAAAATGTCAGAAAAATGCGACTTTTACAAAACAAAAAATTTTATATAGCAAAATAACTTGCTTTTTAAATAAATGCTGCTGTAAATAATTTTATAAAATTGAATGACTTCTTGGTTTATCCATTGCAGTGTATTTATTTCTCTTATATAAATGGAAGAATAATTCCTATATGTGAAGAATTATAATCATAGTTTTTAACCTATTTCTTTGTCATTCAGAAGATGAAGATGACACGTTGATTTCTTGTTTGAAATTAACCAAGTCCCGAGAAAAGAAAGTGAATAGTGTTAGCACGAGGAGGAAGGAAGAAATGGAGATTAGATTGGATACTCTTTCTGCATCACTGGGTAGATCCAGCACTTTAAATAACTGCAACTTGGAAGATAAATTAGCTTGGTATGAAGGTGAAGCTTACATGTGGCATCACTGGAAGCCTTTTCCTGAAAACCCTCTCTGGACATGTCTTGATTTCCAAATAGCACAAGTTGGACCCTGGGACCACTGCTCCTCTTGTATTCGCCACACACGTCTCAAGTCTTCCTGCTCAGATATGGATCTCCTACATTCATGGGTAAGTTTGCAGACTACGGAAATGTGTCATCTTATCTGGGGTTTTGTACTGTCGGGAAAGAAACAGATAGCAAAAGTGCTAATCAGTGAAATTTATCAGTTTCAGAAAAGTTACCAGAGCAAGAGTTGTCTTTCCAAAAAGCAACCAAACTCTTGTGACTTTTACCCATATTAACATTTCATATATTCCTTTGTGTACAAATTAATGACTGCATAAAATTTTTCCAGGGATTTCTTTTTGATTGAAGGAAGACTTCGTGTGTTGACTGAGATCAAGAAAATGTGAAGTGAACTGTCTAAATTATTGCAATTATAATGAAATTTCACTGAAAAATAATAGCTAATTTTAATGAGCATTTTATTTGGGCCTGCCATTTTCCTAAGCATTTTATATGTATTATCTCATTTAAATCTCACATCAACTCTATAAGGTAAGGACTTACATTATGAAATATTACCTTAAGAAATATTATTTTTGGCCAGGCACGGTGGCTCATGCCTGTAATCCCAGCACTTTTGGGAGGCCGAGGCGGGAGGATCATGAGGTCAGGAGATCGAGACCATCCTGGCTAACAAGGTGAAACCCCGTCTCTACTAAAAATACAAAAAAATTAGCCGGGCGTGGTGGCGGGCACCTGTAGTTCCAGCTACTCGGGAGGCTGAGGCGGAAGAATGGCGTGAACCCAGGAGGTGGAGCTTGCAGTGAGCCGAGATCGCGCCACTGCCCTCCAGCCTGGGCGACTGAGCAAGACTCGTCCTCAAAAAAAAAAAAAAAAAAAAAAAAAAAAAAAAGAAATATTATTTCCCCTCATTTTACAGTTGAGAAAATGGAGGCACAAAAAGTTGGTAACAGGTGCAAAGTCAGACAGCTAACAGGAGGTAGAGCCAAGACCTATAACCTAGGTCTTGCTTTTAGCTAGAGCTCCTGCTTTTAGCTACTACATTAGAGTGTTTTCCATATACGAGGGCAGACTCTAAGGCTATTATGTGATACGTGAGAAAGAGTATGCTCTCTGGAGTCAAACAAATTTGGATGGATTCTGGCTGTGCTACTTTTTTTTTGGGCTTGGATAAGTTATTTAAACCTTTTAATCTTAACTTTCTTAACTAAAAAATGGAAATAGTCAAGAAGCTAAAGTCAAATATTATAAATCTTCTAGTACTTAAGAGTGGTACTTTTTTTTCAATTTCCTTGTAAATTGCTCAAGGCATGTTTTATAACTTTACCTACAGCTCCTCTGGTCATGTGTGTTTTCAGTGAATGAATGGGACAATTCTGTGTATCCAGGGAGCCTACTCTCTACCATTTTCCTCAAAGAATCAGTCTCTTCTTAGACAGAAGCTACATTTTATAACATATTTAGAGGTCTCTTAAAAGGCATATTTTCTCTTGGAACTTTTTTTGCCTTTTAAGATTTGTGCATTAAGTCTGCAAAGACTAGAATTAAAGTAACTTGTGTTCAAAGTGCCATAGTAAATATAACAGGTATCTGATAACAGACTTCGAACTGATGAAACTGACCAACATTAATCATTTCTAAATATCCTCCTTCTTCTTTAATCTTCATCTTCTTTTCTGGGACTGCTGCACTTTGCAGGTTTTCTCTTAGAGTAGCTTCTTGGAGAGTAGCTGGTAATATAATTAGGACGTGCTTCTGATGACTCCCTCTGATATCTTCAGAAGCAGGATCAAGGCTGATGACTCCTTGGCAAGTGGCTAAGCTGTTGTATAGGCATCTGAACACAAATAGTCAGAGTTTTCTTCAAGAATAAAATCTGGACTCCCTAACTTGGCATTTCTGGATTTCATCAGTCTGGACTCAATCTAATTTTTCAGTCTTATCTGTGCACTACCCCCACCTTATTGATTTCCTATGCCGAACTGCCAAACTGAATGATTTGCTATTCCTAAAGGCTGTCTCACACTTTCTTCCCTCTATCTTTGTGACAGTGTGATGGCCTCTGCCTGATATGTGAATTCTCTCTGTTAGAACCCATCCCATCATCCCTTAGACTCAGATCAAATACTTCATCATCTAGAAAGCTTTTCTGAGTAACACCAGGCAGAAGTAGTCCCTCCTTCCTTTGAACTTCTACATTATTTGAGGGCATTATTCTTTCATTCCATATCCATGAAACACATCCTGCCAACCTACTATTTGCTATTCACAATATCAGGCACTGGAGATACAGAGCTAAATGATATCTACACTGCCCTCATCTTCATGGAACTTAACCATACTCCACTTGTGCTGGAATTAGTTCAGTATTTGTATACTTCCTATGAATAACTTATCTTTGTATCCTCCATAGTTCCTATAATGTAATGGGTCCTCAATAAATATCTGAAGAAGTGGCCAGGTGTGGTGGCTCACACCATTAATCCCAGCACTTTGGGAGGCCAAGGTGGGAGGATCACTTGATCCCAGGATTTCAAGACCAACCTGGGAAACAAAGTGAGACCCTGCCTCCAAAAAAAAAAAAAAAAAAAAAAAGTGAGCATTTTCTAACATGAAGTGCAGAACAGAAATAAATAAATAAATATTTGAGTAGCACTTGTTGCCTAAATAAATGGAGGTTAGAAACCAATGGACTTTGTTTCCATAGATCCAGATAAAGCATATTTCTTCTTGTTTTTCTAGCTGTTCTTATAGCCAAAGCTTTCCTCATTCTAATAAATCCAGTTATAGATAAATTATTTTGTACATGTGAGTGTTTGTGGATGTGTGTAGGTGTAGGGAAATACACAACAGTCATATTTTTCTTTTTTATTTAGGTAGTTTTGTCTATTTTAATATATAACTTAACGATTAAGTGAGTTTTATCTGCAGAAGGTCAAACATATCTACAGAATGCTCAGAATTTCAGATGATATTGTTCAGCATTCGTGACAGAAAAGCCTCAGTGGACTTGGAGAGAGGGTTCAAGAGCATGTTAGAGTTAAATTGGTTTGGTAAACTTAATGAGACCACTTACACTCCGGGATTTGAGACACTAAAGTGAAAGAAGTTGGATGAGTGCAAATTATTATTTTTGTATTCTACACATATATTCTATAACAACAACAAGTGAAAAATATCCAGTTTCATTTTAGCATAGCTGGTATTTTTTTCAATAGTAATTGCAGGGTTATTATTTAGGTTATTTAACTTTCATATTATAGAATGTAAAGGAGGCAGTGTTGGGGTTTGAAAAGATGTGCTTCTGTAATGAATGTTACTTACTATTAATGGCAGGTAGTCAGAGGCGACATTTTTGCAATTTAAAAGGGTAAGAGTGTGATTATATTTTTAAAAATATACGTGCCAAGATATGCAGATATGATGGAGCTGGGCCTAAACCCCACATTTCATGGGAAATGAATCTAATCTACAAGGACACTAGTTTCTCCTTGACTTCAAAAATTTTAGGAATAGTACAATCTTGGGGTCTTTTTTTTTTTTTTTTTTTTTTTTTGATGGATTCTCACCCTGTCGCCCAGGCTGGAGTGTAATGGCATGATCTTGGCTCACTGCAACTTCTGCCTCTTGGGTTCAAATGATTCTCCTGCCTCAGCCTCCCTAGTAGCTGGGATTACAGGTGCCCGCCACCATGCCCGGCTTATTTTTGTATTTTTAGTAGAGATGGGGTTTCACCATGTTGGCCAGGCTGGTCTTGAACTCCTGACCTTGTGATCTGCTTGGTGTCTTTGATTCTATTATTACATCAGAGTTTTTAGGTGGCCTGAAATTAACTCATCTTTGAGGAAGTCCTTGTTCACCCAGATATGCTTCCTGCTAAGCCCACTGTAGCCTCCCACTCTCAAGGTGGGTGCTGATGGATTTAATGCAGCTCCGACATTGCCGGCAGAGTGTGCTTGAGTAAACTCCTTACCCTCTTTCACCCACTAATTCCAACTCTGTAAGGTGGTTTCAGTCCTACTCACTCTCTTTCCTCTGAGTAACTCTTTGCATACCAAAAACACCCAGTAGTTAAGCAAGGTTATTAATATCTATTAGAAAAATTTAGTGAAATAGTGTTGGGATTCATCTATAGTAAGTAATATTTATTGCAAAAATCAAAGCACCCAGAGGTCTGTAAGATTGGAACATTTTATTCCGTTGAGATACTATAAACAAACGGAATCAGACAGGGAAATGTATTATTTGTCAAGGGCTCTTCACAGAAGTCAACAGAAAATGAGATACAGAGATGTTTAACATGAAGTTAAGTTGTTTGTAGTGTCTGTGGGATCAGGGAGTGAAGAAATATTTGTGATTATGGAATTGATATAAATTGAGAAAGGTAAAAGATCAGATTTATGAAAGGGTATACTCCACAAGAGAAATGGGAAAGGAAAAACCAAGGATGATGATCTTTTCTAACATCTGAGATGAGTGGTGTTGAGAGGGGATTTCAGCTGCATCTTAAGAAAGGGAATAGTCGAGGTGACCAAAAATAATCTTTGAAGCCAAGTGTTTCAAATCAATTTATAAGAAGAATAACTGAAGAGTACTTACGAAGCTCTGTAAGCTAAGAGCATGGCACATCTTAACAAAAGGAGGAAAATGAGCCATAGGCTTGGTAGGGAATGAGGGTAAGAAAGGATAGAGTTTGTGGGCTGTGAAGGAGACAAAGTCTTCCTTTCATATGTTTTTATAATAACACATATATTTTTCAAAATCTGGGAGACTTTTTCAGATTTATAAGGATAAACAAATTATTTTTATAAGATTAAGAAATGGGGCCAGGTGTGGTGGCTTACACCTGTAATCTCAGCACTTTGGGAGGCTGAGGCAGGCGGATCATGAGGTCAGGAGATCGAGACCATCCTGGCTAACACAGTAAAACCCTGTCTCTTCTAAAAAAAAAATATATATATATATATATATATATATATATATATATATATATATATACACACATATATATAAATTAGCCCACCATGGTGACATGCACCTGTAATCCCAGCTACTCGAGAGGCTGAGGCAGGAGAATCACTTGAACCCGGGAGGTGGAGGTTGCAATGAGCCGAGATTGCACGACTGCACTCCAGCCTGAGAGACAGAGTGAGATTCCGTCTCAAAAAAAAAAAAAAAAAAAAAAAAAGAAACGGATGCAATCTAGACATAAACAAGGAGCAAATATCCATTCCTCCTCTCAAATTTCTAAAATATTTTCAAACCCATTTTATATAGTGTGAAAATGTTTAAAAAGTGACAGTAACAAAAGATCTTTCAGGAAGAGGCAAAGTCAAAGACCCAAAAGAACAGAACAGAGACCTGCTTACAGAAGAATTCAAACAGTATAGTGAGAAAAATTGTAATAGTGAGAGACAGAATCATATAACAAAAATCAAAGAAAAATGAGTGTAGTTGATATACAGCATCTGAAGGTGAGAACATAAACAAAGCTGTACTTAAAGGTATCTAAGGCAAGTATGAGACTTTTTTTGGAATCTTGTATGAACTCATCACAATGGTGACAAATCGTGTGGATGATGGAAAAATTCTTTACGCAACTGTTTCAGTTGGAGGAACAGGTGGTCTGCTAATGTTCACCAATAAATAGAGTAACAAAAGGTTTTACAATTCTTTCAGTTCAAACGTGCAGCAGTGGATGCTAATTATTGGCATGGGAAAGTGCTCTTAGGATACACAGCTTCACTGTTGAGTTGTATAAAAGTTTTAATATGTCTCAAGAAAACCAGAGGTCTCTGGGAGACAGACGAGGTAACTGGAGACAGACAGCTTAACCGGGATAAGCTGTCTGTGCCTGTCCTCCATTTTGTCTCTCTATTCTCTCCCTTGGCAGTCTCCCTCGGTCTCTCTGACCCTGGTCTTCCCCCTTCAATCAACATGACACACCATTATCAGATTAATCTAACAGATTAATTTTCTTGACTATTCTAACTGATAAATGCTACCCTGATTAATGATCCTGAAGCTCAAATCTAATAATGTCCCTGCTCCCCTCACAAACCTTTAAACGCCTCCCCCACAACCTACAGGGTCAAATCTAAACTCATTCACCTAATCTTCCTTCTAACCAGATGCACACAGGTCTTTTTTACACACTCTTTACTGCAGACAAAGTGAGTATCATCCTTTCATCAAGCACAATGATATTTTTTTCCATCTTCACATCTTCATACTATTTCCTCATTTTGGCCTTTCTTTTCTTCTCTACCTATTTGATAAACAGTAGTGAAGTTTAAAAGTGTAGGTGAATGAGTAAGAATCCATGATGTAGACTTTGAAAAATAGACATATGCAAAGAAAGAATTAAGGCTAGAGAGGACCAGTAAAAAGACAGTGAGTAAGGAGGCACATGGTTTAGGAAAAAGGAAAAACAATTCACGGATTCCATTCTCATTTTCTTTGTGCTTTAGTGATGTCAGGCTCCTGCCAAAAAACCTCTGTGTTCCCATTTGTGGTGAGTAGTATTATTTTTGGACCTGGTAAATAATAAGACATACTAAGAAGAAAGCTCACACACTCACCCGGAAGAAGGTAGACTATGAACTATCAATGCATAATTCCTCATAATTTAACATCCTTGTGTTTCATCTCCAACGTCAAAAATCAGTTGTTGGAACAGCTTTAAATTTACTTTTTTGCAGTGGAATTATTGTGGGATGGAAAGGTAAAAAGTTTCAGCAAATGTGTTTGGACCACTTATGGAAAAGAAAGCATCATAAATGGTAATCTGGACTGAGAATTTTGAAAAGATAAATAGGAAAATGTGATGCAAAAATGCCAAAACATATCTATACTCACTACAGTCTGTGCTAAAATTAATATACTTGACAATAAAGATTCTAAAAATAATTTTATAAACTTAAGGTGAGCAAGAAAATAATCATTAATTATGACAATTTTACATGATGAAATTTTAATTATGACCAATTTAATATTTGATGCTAGGAGAATCAGCATTTACCCAAGAGAAGAATTTGAAAATTAGGAGATTCTGCATGGCTTATTCATTCATTTATCCATTCATTCACTCATTTAGCAAAGTCACGTAAGGTGCCTCCTAAGCCATCCAGTCTATGAACTTGAGAGCTTAGAAGTATGCATGTGTGTTAGGAGAAGGGGTGGACAAGAGAGTTTACGTGATCTTATTAAAAGAAAACGGTAAAACGGAAGAATAAGTAATAGCAATTTTTGGTGTAAAAATTCAATAATATGGCAAACACTTTGTAGTACCTGTATATAAAATAAGCCTGAAAAAAGGTCTCGCCAGACATGCAAACACATTTTTTATTAGATAAAGAAGAGCTTGTAGAATAAACACATAAAATATGAGATATTATAATAGTAGAAGATGTCAGGTTTATGGAAATTCCTTAGGTTGAATATGAAGTAAATCATAAATGTGCATAAAATGTTTAAGTGTCTTTTCCAATAAAACATTTTACAATAAAAATAAAGATAAAATGAGAAAATGTAATTTCTCTGTAAGTGTGAAGTATTAGTCTAGAAACCCAGGATAAATAGAGGTAATATTAAAATAGACTTTTGAGACACAGCAATGTAGCATTCAAACCAGTCAAATTATTTGGGTTGATGTTTGGCTTTTCCCAATTACACAAACTTCATGCATATGTGAAAACAATAGTCCTGTGATCTAGTTATAGAATTGTTATGGAAACCAAGAATCCCTCTTCTTCATGAATTACCCTAAGGATTTTGCTCCTTTTCTCTCTTCATGTGTTTTCACTCTGTGCTTGTTTACTCAAAGGCATCATATTAAGGAGAAAGTTGAATTGATATTCCTTATAGTAAAATCTTCCTAAAGTTATCATAAAACATTTGTAATTTAGATTAGTTCCTATGATCATGAAATAAGATCCATGATAATCAAGTATAACTACATTTTGGCTTTCACAAGACAGTTGGAATACGTTTCACTGGATTCTCAAATAGAAGGAGGAAGACAATTATGGACAATCTGAGGTGGGGGCCCAATATGCTTATTAGCCATGAAAGACCTAAATGTCCTTTTTACTTAGAGCCTCTCTTGCATGCTCCAACAGAAGGAAGCAAATCACCAAAGCTGGACATCAATCTTTGGCAGGAGAGAAGCCTGAATGTTAGAACATTTGAAGGAGCTCATTAGAACATATAATGAGCCTTGGCAAATGCTCCAAGTGTTGCCAAATTTTCTTTTATTGCAAAGAAATATGTTCATAATTCAAATACTGCTAAGCAAACTATAGAAAAGACATATTTTGCATGTGTAGCATGGTGTGTTAGAAGCTGTGTTATACCCTTAAGGGAATACTGCTCAAAGCCAGAAGAGTCAGCTATGAGCTTAGCTCTGTCATAGTAGGATCTCTTTGGATCAAATTGCCTAATCTCCATGGGCTTCTACCTCCTCATCTTTGGAATGGAGGAGAATGTCAATGATTTTTAAGATCCTTGCTGTCTTCAATAGTTTGGGTCATAAGGATACAATGAGGAAGATAAATTATATGTGCAGAAAAAGTTTTGTATATAAAGGTTTCTTTCTAATTTTTCAAAGCAATTTTCTTCAGATGATGCCTGTTGGCCGTATTTCTACATTTTTTACCTTTACCTCAGCTGGTTTAGGTTTAGGGTTTTGTTTTTGTTTTTGTTTTGATTTCTGAACAACTATACTTCCTCTATCCCATCTCCTTTCTCTCTCCCTCATGGTCTCTGGATGCATCAGCCATGACTTAAACAATGTAAGTCAGAACCAGCAAGTATGCATATGAATTCACTTCAGGGCTACAGAAACTTCTTCATGAACAAGAATTTCCATTTTCATTCTCAGGAGCTCTCACC
The DNA here is from genome assembly GCF_000001405.40 of Homo sapiens. Taxonomy (NCBI): domain Eukaryota; kingdom Metazoa; phylum Chordata; class Mammalia; order Primates; family Hominidae; genus Homo; species Homo sapiens. Next base: position 14,573,344 of record NC_000021.9, on the reverse strand, counting down.
ATTCTAACAAGAAGTACTTTAAAAATCCTTTTCAATGCTATTTCAGAGGAGTAAAGTCTGCTTTGAAAAAATGGATGGGTGAAGTTTAAGTAAGACTGTAGAAGGGAGCAGAAGATCAGGGTCTGTGCGGTATAAAGAGTGCTTGGTTGGAGAGAGACATCTGCTTTTGCCACCATCACCCTGACTCCCACCCATCATCACATACACACTAGGTGCCACCTTGAGTGGTTCATGCCTTTGAAATCTTGTTTTCAGCACAGAGACACATTGTGATAATCATGGTCACCATTGACTTAGCACTTGACTTTATTTCAGGTAATTTTATGTATTCTTTTAATTGTGTTATGATTCAGTAAGACAGTATCATGGTATCATTATTTCTATTTTATATGTAGAAATCTGAAGCTCAAAGAGGATAACCGATTTATGCAGGTGGCAGAGCAGGATTTTAAGCTGAAATCTACATATAATCCAAAGTTTTTCTGCAAAGATCATGGCTTTGTAATTTTTGAGACTAGGCTAGTAACTTACCTTTACTTATCTCATCTATAAAAATGGAGACATCAGCTCCCAGCTTGCAGTATGAAATGACACCTTGGATGTGAAAGGGCTAATTAAAAGTAAGGGTTTAACAGCTTGATAATTAGAGACCCTGCCTTCAAGGTGCAATATAACTTTTCTCACATTTGCTCTTCTACTAGCTCTATGAATTAGGCAAAGCATTACTGCCATTTTACAGATAGAGAAATTGAGGTGCATGAAGATTAAGTGAATTACCTGAGATCCCAAACAGCACATGATGGCAGAGCTGATGCTGAACATAATCCTCCTAACTCTTAGTCCTGACTTTTCCCATCACTAAGTTGTCTTTAAATTTTGCAGTAGATCTATAAATAACCATGGCAGTAAAGAGAAGCAGCATATGGTGGAAACTCCGTGAGTCAAATAAGCCTGGACTTCAACTGTGGCCTCACCATTTACTGTCTGTGTAACTGTTAAGTCACTTCGTTTCTCAGAGTTTCAGTTTCTTATCTACCAAATGGAAAACACAAAGATTTCTTTGTGGAATTCTAGTAAGAATTGGACTAGATAATGTATGTAACATCTTTAACTGTACCTGACACCTAATTGGAACTTAATGAAGAAAAGCTATTATTTTCAAGGGAAATTTTTATCATTTAATTATAATTTATTATTATATGTTTCTAATTATTTGTCATTCAGTAACAACAGCATAATGTCGATGATATATCAGGTATTTCCCTGAGCTGTGTGGCCACAATGGTGACAAAGACAGGTTCTTGCATTAGGATGTCACCATCAACAATTCTGTATTACACGAGAAAATGTTGCACTGAATTTACATTACTGGTTTCCAGTAGTTTTTAAGATTATTTCATATAGTTTGCCCAATTATCTCCCTGGAACTAAGAAAGCTGGAGCTAACTCACTGAAATGTATACAGTGAGCAACGGGTGAGAGTTTACTTTTAGCTTCTTGGGGGTACTCTACTGACCCCATGCCTGTGAGAGACTGGGGAAAACAGACAAAAAGAAGAAGAGGCTGGAGTGCACATGCTGGCATCACCGTTGCCCTTTTCTGACCTCCCGAATTGTGACTGTATTGACAGTGTCTTGCATATGTAAAATGATGTTACCTTTTTAAAACTCTTCTCATATATTTTATAGTAGCCACATCACATATGCATTTCATGATATTTTATTTCAAAGTCATAATATATCGCTCAGTCATAACCACCTTTTTCAGAAAGAATGAAAAATGAAGGAAAGAAATTCATGTTCCCTCTCCTTCCTGGGAAGTTGTAAAGCAAGTGGTTGAATTCACTCTAAAAACCCTTATGAATATTCAGTGTAAGATCTTTATGCATCTCATGGTTCCCAGCTATTAAATACAACCATAGTGATGAATAATTGGATTAGAAATATGGCTTTATTGCAGCTCACCTCAAGCCCAACCCCAGTGGAAGCCCATGTCTCACTCATAGAAAGGATTTTTTATCCAGGGCACAAGATACGTTAAAATCAAGAACTGATTTATTCATTTACTCAACAATTTGTTTTGAGTATTTACATCATGCCAGTTAAGGAGGATAAACTGTTGGGTAGAAACAGATTATTGTGAACCTTATAGTCTAATTAGAAACAAAAATATATTTAATCACATAAATAAACATGAAATGCCAGCTTTGATAAGAGCTATGATTGTTACATGGTTCTGTGAAGGCCAATAATAGGCGAGGAGTCAGAAAATGCTTTCATGGGTAGTGATGATAGAGTTCAAATGTGATGGAAGAGAAGAGTTAACTAACTGATAATAAGGACAATGAGAATTCATAATAGCTGGGAGAGAAAACACGGAGATGTGGGATAAGGTAAGCCTGAGGAAGGAGTCAGACCACATATGGTCTTACAGGTTATGCTGTTTTGCTGTGTCTTCCCTAAAAGCAATGAGGAAGCTAAGCAAGAACTGTTTTAAGCCAAGGGCTTATTTTGATATTTCTTGTTGATTTGTTGAGGATATGAGGCTTGAGTTGATATTTTGGAAAGATCACTCTACATACAGTGAAGAAAATAGATTTGAAGGGAAAAATAGATGAAAGATGATGGTGGCGTGAACTATGGTGGTAGAAAGACAGAGATTAATGAAAAGCTCTCAGGCTCATAGGATTATGTCTCCAACATATACATTTCTCCAAATGAAAGAAATGTCAGTTTCAAAAGTCATCTCTTGTGATGCCAACCGAAAAGCTCTATTCAATTTAGGACATATGGTCACAGATGACAGCAGAGAAGTGATACAATGACACGACTGCACATTCCAAATCTGTCCTTTAATTTTTAAAGCTCAGAAACTCATAGCCACCATAGTGGCTTAGTGGAATTACTACCAATGGATAAGGAAATGTCATCCATTTGCCTCCCCTGATTCCACTTGGACATAGGCCATTGTTTCTACAAAGAGTGGCTTGGAGCCATGCAAGGTTTCAAGGGAAATTGGCCTTTTAGAGGGGCATATGAATAGATAATGCATATTGCCACTGTAAAATCTCTAATGAATATTAAGGGTGGCTTTCATTTGTGGTGATTGAAATGAACTCATAAATTCTCTCTCTAGAATGCGGGAACTTTTTCCTCCCTGTGGAGAGATTTAATGGATTTGCGGCATTCTGAATGATTTGGCAAGAAATCAGAGGTACCTGCGCAGTCACCCGCAAAGGGCACTTAGTTTCTCGCATGTGATAGTCAACCACCACAAAATATTTTCTGTGTGAACCCAGAATGATTGATGCAAGCCACTGTAACTCATGACAAGGTGTCAAGTGAAAAACTGGGGGGGGGGAAAGTGGTTAAAGACACCACAGTTTTAAAAACAAATTTGACTTTTAGAGGAGAGTTATTTCCTTTTAGAAAAAAAAAAGTTAGGCCTACTATCTGCAAGAAATTTAGATTCGTTGTTTTTGGTAAGAACCATCATATTTTGAGGCCACTGAGAGCTCCTACTGCTCTCTCTATGGAGCAGATTAAATCGTTCCCATATAGTGATAAATATATTGCAAAAAGCCATATCAGGAATACAGTAGTTGTAGCAGTTAATGATAGAACTTCCAGTTAAAACAATATTCTTTGTGTTTCTTTGGCCAGTTCCCATTTTATGTGTGCTATTTTTTGATAAGTTAATTTTTCACATTTGCAGAATCAATAACTTTCAAAGCTTTATACAATTGAAAAGGAAAAATTGGTTGCAAGAGTTCTTGGGAGTTTTGCTGGCTGTGTGGGCTTGGGTTAACAGAAAAAATCTGGGAAAAAAATCTATCAAAAAAGCAGATGAGGGTTAAGATTAAAAATATCATCAGCACTAATTTTTTTGTACACATCTAAGGAAATTGGGGAAATAACCCAAAACAGCAAAATGGGGAAATAACCCAAAACAGCAGTCGGCCAAAATGAATTCATTTATTTTACTGTGTAATGTGGAAGAGAATTATCTTTTCAGAAGAAGTAACTTTTAAATGCATTTTGTTTTTGTTTAGAGATAGGGTCTTGCTCTGTTGCCCAGGCTGCACTGCAGTAGTGCGGTCACAGCTCACTGCAGCCTCTATCTTCTGGGCTCAAGCCATCCTCCCACCTCAGCCTCCCAAGTAGACAGGACTATAGGCATGCAACAACACGCCTAGCTATTTTTATTTTTTTTTTTAAATAGAAATGAGGTATTGCTATGTTGCCTAGGCTGGTCTTGAACTCCTGGATTCAAGTGATCCTCTTTCCAGCCTCCCAAACTGCTGAGATTATAGGCATGAAGCTACTATGCCTAGCCTTTTTAATGTTTTTTAATGCTGGACTTTCAGGATCTGAAGTAAAATGAATTCTGGTTAATTTTGTTATTTTGAAGGAGTGCATTTTTGTGTGAAATGAATCTGTCATCCTGCTTTCTTATATTATCAATCAGTAAGATACTATGAAGGAGGTTAACCCAAATGTTGTGCATTTATTTACATGAAGGAATTACTACTAATACTATGATTTAAGACACTAGATTCCCTTTTAACACTGGATAGCAAAGTTAGTTTCAGTGGAGAAATCTTTCTGAGTGTAGACTTGGCTCTTAATTAGGCTTCCCTTGGGAGGGAAACTTCTTCATTTGTGAAGATTCTGGGTTGGAGGACAAGCCAGCTGACATTAGCTGGGGTTTCTTTAGCTGTAAAATAAATGGATAGTACTAGATGACCACTAAGACCTCTTCTATGAATAAATATCCATGGATCAACTTTATGAAGGAATGAAGAGTACTTGTGGATTATATTAAGCCATCACTGGGGGGAAGACCTGATTCCCGTGAAAATATTTCCGAACTTAGTACCTTATATGGCAAAATGCTGAACACCTTTTATTACTCAGTTTTAAAATAAATAGGCAAGAAATAATATGTGGTGTTTTTCCAGTCGCCTTTCCACACTTGGCTGTCATACAGTGGCACACTTATTAGAGCTCAGTGCTGCTTAGATGTGAAAGGTTGATATAGTTCTATTTATGAGGGGGATATAGGGAACTCATTCTAATTGAGAATCAGAGGCCTTATAAACCTGAACACTTAAATGAGAGACATGTCATTAAAGAAAGAATCACTTCATGTAATGTTTTCAAATAAAACCAATATTTGTTTTACAATTTTGATAGAATACTATGTTCTAAAGCGGTATTTCCCAATGTGTGGTTCCATGATTAGTAATGCTTGCTTAATCCAGACTTACTCAATCAGAATTTCTAGAATGGACATCATTTCAAAAGCTGCTTAGGTGATATTTTATGCTCACCAAAGTTTTAGAACAACTTCTGAATAGACGAACACCATTTTTTATTCTCTGATTTTTCAGTTTCATTTTCACCTATCCAAGAAGTCTTTTTGAGAATCTCTCATATGTATATTATTTTCACAAGTTATTAAATCCAGAAGGTACAACAATCCTGTAAAGTAGGCAATTGAATTTTCCAAATGAGAGGCAACAGGGCACCGAGATTGAGGAACTCGCCCAAGGTCAGTCAGTTTCAGGGCTGAGCTGCGGTTTCAGTCAAGGTCTTCTTAGTCCCATTCTTGCCATACACATCACCTTAGGACCTCACACTAAGAACACAGAAAAGAAAAAAGGACACCAGGACGCCAGGAATGGACTGGGTGTCCCTTGGTAATGCTCAGTACTCAAGGTCTTTATGATCAGCTGGAAGAGTGTACAGAGCCTCTAATGGGTGCAGTGGATAAATCCCCAGAGGTAGTTTTGTGCTTTCCAACCGACTGGGCTAAAAATCCCATTAGAGAATATTTGGGACTTTTCATAAATTGTGGAGTAGAAAAATCCCCAAGCAAAGGGTATTAACAAACCACAAGTTCACTTAGCATATATTTTCCAGATTTTACAAAATGGTTTTAAATTAAATAATTTTTATCATTTTAACATAATCTTTTTTTGATATTTATGTAAATAAAATCTGATGCTCTGGACTGGGTCATTTTTTGTGTTTTTTTTTTTTTCAAGCTTGCCGTCCAAGCCGGATTAAAAACCATTCACCTGACTTACTCGTGCAACTTCCTCTTATTTATGGCTACTCTTTTATGTTCTTTACTGTTATTTTCCTTTCTGTCTTCTGACAACACCGCCCTGGTACAGATGTTTTAGTGGATGGCTTTCTTGTGGTTCTAGGAGCCATGAAACCCTCTGTCAATACCACTCTGTATGACCGAAGGCACCTGGCATAGCATTCAACCCAATCATTGAGGAGCAAAAGTCATCTCCTCTGTCAGAGGATCAAAGAAAATGCCCAGTTTACTAATCATAAAGCCTACTTACTTTAGTAAGAGTTTCCAATATTGTTTGGTCATGATCTCTATATCCTAAGATGTTTGAACCATGACAATAGGTCTCTAGGTGGTGTGCATGTGTGTGTTTCTTTGTACTGGATAACACTAACATGGCTCAAAAAGAAATATGAGAAAGGCCAGGTGCAGTGGCTTACCCCTGTAATCCCAGCACTTTGGGAGGCCGAGGTGGGCAGATCACTTGAGATCAGGAGTTCAAGACCAGCCTGGCCAACATGGTGAAATCCCATCTGTACTAAAAATACAAAAATTAGCAAGGCATGTTGGTGCACACCTGTAACCCCAGCTACTTGAGAGGCTGAGGCAAGAGAATAGCTTGAACCCGGGAGGCAGAAGTTGTAGTGAGCCAAAATCATACCACTGCACTATAGCCTGGGCGACAAAGTGAGACCCTGTCTCAAAAAAAAAATTTTATATATATATATGGAAGGTTTTATTAGATTTTTTTATGGGCCAACCTCCCCCTGCCTTTACCTTTGTAAAATGCAGTAATTTTTAAGTGGCATTATATGGTGGTAGTCTTATATGATGCAAGAGATACTTTAAAAATCTTCCTTTAAATGTCAGAATAGATTGTGGGAAATGAAAATCACTGGTGTTAAATGGTAACAAAATTAATGATTTTGAAATACTTATGTTAAAAGGCTTTTTGAAATTGACTACTTAGCTTTTGTAGTGTGCTTTTTCTGATGGTCTTGCAACACTTGGATATCCTTATTTAACACAATTAGTAAATTTGATAGCTATATTTGTTGTGCATTACTTCAATTCAGATGCAAGTGGAGAAAAGTCTCCTTTGACTAAAACACAACTGACTTTAAATGTGGTTACTGCCAATGAGTTGTCAATGAGAGTAGCAGCTTGCCCTTTGTGTATCTGGGAAAATTGTTAAAAAGGTAAGATTATGTCTTTACTAATAACGAAAACAGAACCAATTAGCAAGTCCATCTGCAGATAGGTAATTGGAAGTGAATAAATTATTATGTCTTCCTGTTATTTTCATTGTCAAGACATACGTCCCATTGGCAAGGAGACAAGGTTTGTTGGTTTGCCTTTTGAAATTATACAAATCTACCAATCCCCAAATATTTATTAAACTCCTCATATGTTCAGAGCATTTTTGCACTTTTATTGTGGCTAGCATTGTATTTATTCATTGTGATGTTGAGAAGTTTATGTAGCATGGTATAACGGAAAGACCACTAGACTTTAAAGGAAGGAATCCTGAGTTTAAATTTGGAATCGATGACATCCGCAGTCACACTACTCTCTGATCCACAGTCTCTTTCTGTGTGGTGGGAAAAATAAAGCTTTCTCTCAGACTTATTGTTAGGATGCTAAGAGATATTTTATGTGCTGGTGCTTAGATCTCTGCTTGGTATATAGATGGAGGCCAAGAACCCATGTTAAAAGGAAACAAATACATATTTCAGAAAGCTGCATCACAAAACCAGCAAGGCAATTGTAGATTTATGTGTAAGCAATGCATTTTGTTGAGTTCATTGACTTGTTGTGGCAGTTTAACACTGTCTCTGAACTTCTCAGCATGACTCCTGGTGTAAAAGCTAGTGTTATCAATAGAGGATGAGTCATTGAAGATATTTTCCCTGCGTCTTGGAGGCCTTCTGTGAGGTATACAAACCAAAACATGTTTTTTTTTTTTTTTTTGGATAGAGTCTTGCCAAGGCTGGAGTTCAGTGGTGTGATCTCAGCTCACTGCAACCTCCGCCTCCCAGGTTAAAGTGATTCTCCTGCCTCAGCCTCCCGAGTAGCTGGGATTACAGGTACATGCCACCATGCCCGGCTAATTTTTGTATTTTTAAGTAGAGATGGGGTTTCACCATGTTGGCCAGGCTGGTCTTGAACTCCTCACCTCAAGTGATCCACCCACCTCAGCCTCCCAAAGTGCTGGGATTACAGGTGTGAGCCACCACTCCCAGCCCAAAACATGTTCTTTTTTCTTCTTGGTTTTACAAGCTCCCTGGTGTGCCCTTTTTGTTGCCCCTCTGCTCAATTTCAGTTGCTTCTCCATCCCTTTGATTCCTGAACCCTGTTTTGGAAATTATGCATGCTATAACTTTTCCTGCTGAGTGGATTTGGAGTGATCCTCCCCAGCCTTCGGTTTCTTCCTCTGACTGCTCCTAAAAATACTCCCTTGGGTCTTAGGAGAAGGTGACAACATAGTGAGCACTTGGAAAGGAATTACAAAGTGGAAAATGAATTGAAAGAAACCAGAGGAAGAGAAGGAGGGATAGGATAAAGAGGCGATCTTCTTTGACTATAAAATAAAGCTTTAGATGTACAGCCAACTGCTAAAGAAATGCATGGAGTTGCTTTTGGCTTATCATCTTTCTCCACTAATTATCTTGTGAGTTTTATTCTGCATGACAGGTTTGGCTGTGTGGTACAGTGGTGTCAGACAGGCCTGGGTTTAACTCTTGACTACTTGTTAGCTTTTTGTCTTTAGGTGAGTTAGCTGTTTTGTACCACAGTTTTCTCTTTGCAACACAGGAGACAATAACACTTGATACTGTTGTTAAGAGGATTTAGTGAGATGCAGTAATCTATAGCAGATTATCAATAAATGTTTGCTCATTTTGCTCATTTTTTCTCTTCCAAGAAATCTCCCTTCTTCTCATCTACTTCTAGGCTTTAATAATGAATGAGACTGAGTATAAGAGTATGGGAAATGGTGGCTTTAAAACATATAATCCATATTCTCCATCGGCGTCTCCATAAAACCCTTCTTCAAGTCAGTATGTAGGCATCTAAGGTCCTCTTAGATTATCTGATTTGAAATCAATTGCATGGGTTCAGAACCAGACATTACTCATTTTAAAAATCCAGATAGTGTAAGCAAATCAGACTTTTAAAAAACGAATGTATTTACCAATGCTAGACATATAGTAGGAACTCGAAAATGGTGTTGGGGTAAAGGAATGACAAAATGAATGAATGCCAGTAGGTGTGTATACCCAACTTGGCCACCCCATGCAGATACAAGCTATTTTTGGTTCACTTTTGCTACCATTCTTAATTGTACCTATATTCTTGTTAAGTCTTTTCCTACTTAGGTTATTCTACCACTACTTATGCTGACACATATGTCAATTGCTGACACGGGGCATTCACAGCTCCTTCCAAGTATTTTATACCTGTTCTTTCCATGGAGAACATTTGATTTGCAGGGTAAGAAACTATTGTGAAATTCTGTTTAAGGCCACTAATCTCTCTAAAATATAACTTTGTATGAATCACGAAGTATAGGAACCACTGTTGTTTTTGTACCCAGGGCTTAGTTACTGGGGAAGAAGCTCACTCACATGGTAAGACTACACTACATTTGTACCACAAGTAGAGACACTTGGGCTCTAGACCCAGTGCTGCTCTCAGCTTTATTTTTTTCCCCTTAAATTGAGCTTCTCCAGCTCTTTTTTGAGCCTTAACTTTCCCAAATAAATTTTATGATTTTACATAAAAATACCAAAGACAACTGAATACTAAATTGTGTACACAAAAGTTTTTCATACTTACAGAGTCTTAATTTAATAATATCATTGTGTAATTTGCATTCAAAACAAAGTGAAGTCATGTTAAATTTCTCCTTCAATATAATTCAATTAGAAACATATACTTTACATTTTTGGCTATGTCATATAATTAATATTTTGGCATCAGTGTCAGTTATGGTATTCCAGTAAATGAAATGAAAGATATTTTGGGACATATCTTACAGTTGTTAAATTATTTACTCATATATGCAAAGACATGTTGTGTCTCAGGAGGTTATGATGACATTGCAGAATATGAATCAGAATGCTTTAGCAGTGTCTCCTTGCTCTCTAGTGAATCTGGTCATTTCAGTAAAGATATATGACTTGTAAAGTTTGTGCATGTGCATTTATGTTGTTGGAAATACTGAAAACATACTCAATTTTTCTGCATTTATAATAAGAACTATTTAAACCATCCAAGACTAGAAACAGCTAAAGAGTACATAGACTTAGGAACATCAGAGCTTGGAATACAACCTACCCAAATTAGAAAGAAGTCATTTGCTTTCATTAAAGCTACCAATTATCATAACAGTTCATTACATTGGAAGAAATATACGTAACAGAAAATTACAGCTGTATTACAGTATCCTTAGTATTGATCTTACTTGGAGAATGCTTCTTAGGATTTTTGCTTGCATTGGAGTAGATAGTTCAAGATATGGATATGAATTCATTTTTCCAATTAGGATAAAGATCAAGAAAAACAATTCTGGGAAGTCAAATTGCTTGATACTGGAATATTACTTTATTCATTTCATGGTGATGAGTTTTCAACTGAATTTTTTAATCATAAAAATATCAATATCAAAATCATTTTAAGAGTCCATATTATATAGTATTATATACATACATATATATAAATATATATAGTATAGATAGTATTAGTATTATCATTTTTCACTATGACATTCCCATCACTAAATAAGGGGACCTGGCAGGATTATATTTCAAAGCATGTCTCTTTCTTTGTTCAGGTAACATTATGCAGACAGGAGAGCTCTAATATAACATGTTGGACCAAACTGAGAGAGAAGAGGGGTGATCTTTTCTGCATTCTGTTTGTCTGTTTCATAGACAGGAAAACACCGAGGAAGTTTAGTGATCAACAAGCTTTAGAAATTTTGAAAATTGGAAGAAAGGTATATCTCTCTATTTCCCATCTCTACTCCATGCTCCACATTTCAGCCAGTGCCTTTTATCTAACCACATATCTAACTGTGTCCCTCTCTTGCTTCACAATGGTTCTTCAATTGTTCCCCACCCCATGTAAATGTATACATGCTCACCTTACATTCAGCTCTACACTATTGAGCATAGTATATTGGTTTTCCAAGGCTGCCATAACAAAGTCATACAAACTGGGTGGCTTACAGCCACAGATATTATTGTCTCAGTTCTGGAGGCTAAAAGTCCAAAATCAAGGTATTGGCAGGGCCATGCTCTTTTCAAAGCCTCTAGGAGAGACTCCTTCCTTGTTTCTTCCAGCTTCTGATAGCCCTGGGCATTAGGCATTCCTTGATTCATGGTGGCATAATTCCACTTCCTGCCTCCATCTTCACATGGCCAGTCTCTCCCTGTTTGTTCTTATATGGTCATCCCTTTGTGCATGTGGGTGTCCAAGTTTCCCTCTTCTTTCAAGGACACTGGTTTTATTGGATTAAGGGTTCACCCTGCTTCATATGACCTCATCTTAACTAAACTAATTATGTTGGCAACAATCGTATTTCCAAAGAGGGTCACATTCTGAGGTGCTGGGGGTCAGGAATTCAACATATCTTTTTTGGCCATATAGTTCAACCCATAACACATGCCATCCAAATGCTTCAGAATCTGGCTGTAAACTAACACCTGTCATCTCCCTCCCATGTCTTTCTCCTTATTTATCATACACATTTGATGTAGGGAATTATTCCTCAGTTCTAGACCATATTGTATTTGCCCAACAGGTTTTCCTGCCAACTACGCAAACAGCATAAATCCACTGAAACTATGGCATTGCAGTAGAGAAGAATTTAATTGATTGAGGCCAGCCCATGCAGAAGAACTAGAGTTATCACTCTAATCAGGCTCCCCAAAGGCTTGGAGGTGGTTTTTATGGACAATTTTGTGGGCAGGGAGTTAGGGAATGGGTGCTGCTGATTGGCTGGGGAATGAAATCACAGGGTGTTGAAAATGGTCCTCGGGCACTGAGTCTGCCTCTGGATGAGGCCACATGACCAGTTGAGTCATGAGTCTGGGTGGGGCAGCGTGAAAGATACCTCAAAAAACCAATCTTAGATTCTACAATAGTGATGTTATCTACAGGAGAAATTAGGAAAGTCACAAATATTGTAACCTCTGGCTACATGACCCCTGAGCAGTAAGGAATGGTAGAAACTGTGTCTATCTTATCAGTGTTCAAGACCCTCTCATAAAAGCCTAACAATGTGGCCTTTCATTAGTTTTGCAAAGACGGTTTAGTTTTGGACTTTTAGCCTCCAATACTGAGACAATAATATCTGCTGCTATAAGCCACCCAGTTTGTATGACTTCGTTATGGCAGCCTTGGAAAACTAATATACTATGCTCAATAGCGTAGAGCTGAATGTAAGGCGAGCATGTATACATTTACATGGGGTGGGGAACCACTGAAGAACCATTGTGAAGCAAGAGAGGGACACAGTTAGATTTGTGGTTAGATAAAAGGCACTGACTAAAATGTGGAGCATGAAGTAGAGATGGGAAATAGAGAGATATACCTTTCTTCCAGTTTTCAAAATTTCTAAAGCTTGTTGATTACTAAACTTCCTCAGAGTTTTCTTGTCTATGAAACAGACAAACAGAATGCAGAAAAGATCACCCCTCTTCTCTCTCAGTTTGGTCCAAAATGTTATATTAGAGCTCTCCTGTCTGCATAATGTTACCTGAACAAAGAAAGAGACATGTTTTGAAGTTTAATCTTTGCTCTAAGATTAAACTATATACTAAATTCTTCCTAAAGTTAGCTTGGCCTACACTCAGGAATGATCAAGGACAGCTTGGAGGTCAGAAGCAAGATGGAGTCAGCTATGTCAGATTTCTTGCTGCCATAATCTTGCAAAGATGGTTTCAGTACCAAACAATTTCATGTCTCTAATATCATATACTCTGCCCATTGCTAGAATATGCCCCCCATTTTTCTTGTCCACCTGACAAATTCCTGTTTCACTAAATGTTTTCTCAAGAATTACCTTTTTAGTAAAACATTTCCTAACTTCTCCAGGCAAATTAACAATTTACCCTCTATGCTTTCACTGCTTATTACACCTCAGATTGATACAGAACATGTTACATTGGATTCTCACTCTCTGTTGATCTGCCTGTCTTCCCACTGAACTGTAAAGTCTTGGAAGGCACAGTTCATACCTTTCCGTCTTTGGACACCTGACAGAGTCCCAGGCCCATAATAGATATTTGGTAAATAATTGTTAAACAAATAAGATGAGACCACCTCCTTCCAAATCTTGCAGCATAACAAGAATGCTGGGAAGAGCCCAGAAACAATATATTATGCCTGTGGGGAATTCAAATCCCATTCATTCTTATCTCTGTCTGCCTAAAAGAGGGATTTTGAGGCCAGGCTTGGTGGCTTACACCTGTAATCCCAGCACTTTGAGAAGCAGAAATGGGAGGATAAATTGAGGCCCGGAGTTCAAGACCAGTCTGGGCAACATAGGGATAACCTTGTCTCTGCAGAAAAGAAAAAAAAAAAATTAGACAGGCATGGTGGCCAACACCTGTAGTCCTAGCAATACAGGAGGACTAGAAGGATCTCTGGAGCCCATGAGTTCAATGCTGCAGTGAGCCATGATCATGCTATTGAATTCCAGCCTGGGTGACTGAGAGAGCCCCACTCTCTGGAAAAAGAAGAGAGACAGAAAGAGACAGATTCTCCCAAGGGACCTTCACTAGTCAAGACATTAGTCAGTCATAGAAAAGACTCTTAAGCTTATTAGGGTTTTCCAAGGTGGTGATCAAAGCTGTGCTGGTTTAAAGACCAGCAACAAACTTCTGTAGTTTCCCCATTGCTGCCTTGGTAAGGTGATACTACTGAGTGGATTCTGCTCACCTACTGGTTGTCAGAAGAGATGACCTTTGCTGTCTGAAATAAAGAAGCTGCCTTTGCATGAACCACATGACATACTGATTGCACCATAAACTAGAAAAACAAAAGCCCATGTTTTTCCCCTATATATTTATTATCTTGTAAAGAAAGTTTCTTTTCTTTTTCAAAGGAGAAGTGTTACTTTTCTAACACACTATCTGCACAAACAGGAGTTGGCAAATTCAAGTCAAGCTCTAATATTCAGAGAATTATAGGGCCAGGATTTTAGTGGAGATGGGACCGACATAATTTCTTTCAATGGGTGAGGAGATATTTCATTTCAATGAATGCTTTGCAGGAAAACTCGTGGGTTCAGAATTAGAAGTCCTGGAATCAGGAGCTGAGTCGGTAGAAAAGGAAATTCAAATAGTTTTTCATATGCGTAAAAATCAGAATAAGTACTTCACAGGAAAGCTGTTAGAATAAAATAATTTATCTTAAAAGATGTTGAAGCCATGGGACAGAATGTTATAAAGATCAATAATAGATCATTATCATCATTAGGAAGGTATTTTGACATATCTTATGAATTTCTCCATACAGGAGAAAGTTTTGGTTGTTGTTGTTGTTGTTGTTTTTGTTTTTGTTTTAATTGAGATGGAGTCTCACTCTGTCACCCAGGCTGGCATGCAGTGATGAGATGTCGGCTCACTGCAACCTCCATCTCTTGGGTTGAGACAATTCTCCTGCTTCAGCCTCCCGAGTAGCTGGGACTACAGGCATGCATCACCACGGCCGGCTAATTTTTTTGTATTTTTAGTAAAGATGGTGTTTCCCCATGTTGCCCAGGCTGCTCTGGAACTCCTGAGCTCATGTGGATCTACCTGCCTCAGCCTCCCAAAGTGATTGGATTACAGGCGTGAGCCACTGCGCCCAGCTGAAAGTGTTTTTTTTTTAAATAGTTCGTAGCATGCGTGTTTCCAAATTTTTGCTGGATTTTTTTCTCATGTTGTCTAATTCAACATTTGTTCTACCTGCCATAATCCTTTTGAGTTTTGAGGGGTACGGATTCTGCAATTTTAATCCTGTTACTTGTCAATCCAAGGAGGTGGCCTAAAACGTGCACACCTATACAGTTGAGACGATTCGTTTATTCAACAACCATTTCCTGAGCCCCTGTCTGCCAGGTTCTATGCTAGTGCTAGCGATAGGCCTAATTTCTGCCTTCCAGTAACCAAAATAAACCAACAACACAACAAATCATCAAAACAGTAAAAACAATCAAGCACCTATATGTGTTTGATTGGAGAAAGCCCTTTGTGGAGGTGACATGAAGGCTCATGCCATCACTCCTCCAAAGTCCACATGCTCTCATCACACCACAGGACCTCCACGGACAGGTGGCCTGAAGGAAAGCAGGCTTTGATGACAAGGAGCCACCCATGTCAAAAGTAAAGGGAAAAGCACTTCCCGCAGATGGAAAAGCTTGAGCAAAATCCCAGGACAGGTAAGAACTGACTGGTAGTCCAAGTGCAGAGAGATCAGCGTGACCAGATCAGAGAAAGAAAGGAGGAGAATGGCATAGATAGGCAAAGACCAGAGACGTTCCAGCCTTCCTGGTGATGGAAAAGAGTGTGGAGTTTGTGTCAAGTGCATTTGCAAATCCACAGCTAAATGCTAAATCTAAGTGAAAGCAGAAGTGAATTCCCCGTAGAAATTTCCCTTAACTGGTAGCTGGGGATAAATAGCATATTCAAATATCATTAGAGCATGTGACAGCAAGAAAACACCAGGTAAAAAGAGCAATGATGTGTGTACAGGCTTTGAAAACAGGGGTTGAACATGTTCCCAGGAACCTGGGTCACACTATGACCACGTCCTAGAAGAAGTATGGGGCGTGAATTCCTAGGAATCTCAGGCTTTCTACCTTTGTCCCTGAAGGAGAGAGGATGAAATTAGTATTTGTTAAGACTCTCTCTGTGTCAGGAATTTTATACATTTTGCACAATTTAATCCCAACAATAATCTCATGAGGAAATGTTATTTTCTCCTTTTAATTAATGAGGAAATTTGAGACTTGGAGAGGACAGGTGTCAGGCTCAAGTTCATGTAGCTTGTCTGAACTCAACTCTACATCACTCCTCCAAAGTCCACATGCTCTCTTCACACCACAGGTTCTCCGTGGATGGGTAGAACGAGGAAAAGCAGACCCTTCTGCCAGGCCTGCTCAGCAGAAAACAGTCTGAGTGTTTCACTGCTTGCAGGGGCCACTCCAGGAGGTCAGAATTACATGCTCTTGGAAACATAACAAGAAATCTGATTTCTTTCCAACCAGATATTGGTTTGTAGTTAATCAGTTATTATTATTATTTTGGTTGGAGAGGGTGTTGCTGGGCACAGATGTTAACTTGGATATTCGGTTTATTGTATATTCAGTTGACAAAACCAGATCTTTCTTTCATTTCTCATAAACATGGCTGCAAATGTTATGGAAAAGTTTTCTTATTTGAGAAAAAATAGAATTGAGTTGCAGGTAACATGTTTCTAAAATCCTGTCAATGATCACTTGATTTTTGTTTCCTCTTCCCACAAATAACACATGCAGATGCTTTCAGTTAGAATGCAGGTAGGCTTCCGAGGCAGCATGCCTCACTGTGGCTTTGCACTTCATGTATAAACCTCACTTTGTGTGTGTTGGGTGGGAGAAGGCAATGTGCATCTATTTACAATATACTCAGTCTCCTAAGAAGCTCTTTTATTACCCTTTATGTTAAAAAGAAAAGGTGGAATTCCATTTAATTGGAACAGCCTAATATGTGTATGTGTATGAACACACGCATGCATATACACATACATATATACCTAAGTATATATGCAGATTTATGTAATATACATAGGAAATTTGATTTAGCTGTGATACACATTTTTTCATTAAAAACATCCACCGTAATTATTTTCTATTTATTTGTAATTAAACTGACATGCAATTGGAGTATTTCATCTTATAATTATATTGTTCTCAAAGATGATGGCATGAAGATCATATGAGGCTTTTGATTGTTTTAAGAAGTAGACAATACACTTACCCTCTCCTATAGCTTTACAACTTTGATGTAGTTTCAAATGATCAGGCCTGAAAAATAATCTGGTCACTCTTGAATCTGCTATAAATTTTTCTGATGAGTGAAAATAGAAAGGAAATAGAAATGATCTTGTTCTTCCTGTTTAAGAATAGCGTTTCTGAGGAAAGGAAGCTCATATATATCTCTTCCATGAAATTCTACTAATTGCATTTTTCTTCAGTAGGTAGAGACAGGAAATCATGGTCTATTGATCAGTACAATCTACTTTCCTCTTTGCTTCTGGGGAATAAAGTATGAATTAAGCAGGCAATTTTAATATTATACACGAGGTGTACTATGTTCAGATAAAAGTTAATAACAAAATTTATAACAAAGCACTTCTGTGCAAAATTTAGATCAATTTGTTCTGTCAGTATTGTAATATGGACAGAATTGCCTTTCTGCCAAATGAGGCACGATTCAGTGGTACTGAATAATATTCTAAGTTTAAAAGTTATTTTGAAGATTTTTAATAAAAACTTGAGCTTCGACTGTTTTATCCTGTTTATAAAGAATGAAAAGGCAAACTCTTCCACAGAATACTGTATTTTTGTGCTTGTGAGAAGAATATGAAAATGTGGAGAGAGCACAATCACTTACATGTAAGAATGGGCTTCAATGGAAAGGCTTCATCTGTGTGTGTTGCTTTCTTCCTACTGTGTCATTCTGCCATGTCCCTATGCCAATCTGAAAACTTTAAGGTAGGGGTGGTATTGACAGGAATCAATACCTGCTATATGTTTCATATAGTTAGGAGCTGAGCAAATAAGATAAATATGTCCAAATGTTTTAAAAGGCAGGGTGAAGGAAGAGACTTGGAGTTAATAAAAATGTGAAGGAATGTAGTTGGCAAAACTAGATTTTGTTTAAATAGCTACATACACTTACCAAGAAGATGCAAACCTAAAGAGACAAAGAGATTTGGGAGAAGGATAGAAAGGATGTCAACTAATGTTTTGGATAATAAAAGGTGAATGGAGAGTTGGAGCACGTTGCAATCTCAGAAGTTGTAGACAAGGAGGCTGCAATGAAATGAGTCAGTGTGCATCACAGAGGCCCTGAGAGGCTCAGCCTTTGAAGGCAGCAAGGAAACTACTTTCTTTTCTCCACAGCCCAGCAGGGCATGGAAAGGTTAGTATCTGCAGACCTGAATAGTCTCAAAGAAAAGAACTCCAGAAACTGTCATTTGAGGGTCTTCTGATGAAAAAGTTTCCTTGGGGTAGGTGTGGTGATTCATGCTTGTAATCCCAGCACTTTGGGAGGCCAAGCAGGAGAATTTCTTGAGTCCAGGAGTTCAAGACCAGCCTGGGAAGACAGTGAGAACCCATCTCTACAAGAAATAGAAAATAAACCAGACATTATGGTGCATGTCTGTAATCCCAGCTAGTTAGGAGACTGAGGTGAGAGGATTGCTTGAGCCTGGGAGTTTAAAGCTGTAGTGAGCCATGATTGTGCCACTGCATTCTAGCCTGGGTGGCAGAGGAAGACTTTGTCTCAAAAAAAAAAAAAAAAAAGAAAAAGAAAACAAAAGACTTAACTGCTAGTTGATCACCTGACAAGCCCACCCATTTACATAGAAATTCCAGTCGGGTTTTTTCATACCATGATCTTTAGTAATGTATCCAGAGAGCACAATCTCCAGACATATGACAACAGCTTAAATATGAAAGACTGAAATCAAAGCAAACAGAAGAAGTCAGAATAAAACAAGATAATGAAGGGAATAGAAGGAAAATTGTAAAAATGATAATTAATAACTTCAGAAAGATAATGGAATATATTCCAAGTATTTGCTTGTTACTATCTAGTGTTTATTATGTACCAGGCACTTTTCCAACAACACCATAATAGTGTCTCTTTTCATTCTCATAGCAATATCTTTCAAGCATTACTGTCATGTGCACTTTATGGAAAGGCTAAATAACTTGTCAAGGGCACCCAGGTAAATGACAGAGTCAGGATTTGAACCTAGGCAGTGTGGTTAAAGTCCACCCTCATAACCATTACATGTCACTGCCTTTCCAAAACTTAAGAACAGAATGTTATGAAAAGTGAACAATCAGAAAGCATTTCTGCAAATTAAAAATCTAGCTAAAGTAAAATATTTATTGTATTTATTATAGTAATTAGTAGAAAAAGTAACGGAATTTTCCTGGAAAACAAAAGGTCAAATAAATGAAATCAGAGAGCAATATAATAAAATGAGAGTATCAATCCAGTATGTTCAACATTGGACTAATCCGTTTCCAGATGGAGAGAACAAAGAGAGATGAAGAACTTATCAAGGGAACATAGGCCTAAAGAGAAGTTTTTAAATAACCCATATCAACACACATAATATGACATTTTAGGATATACCAAAGATTCGAAGAAAATCCAGAGGAAAGAGGCAGAGAAAAAGAAAGAAAAAACAGGCCATACACAACAAAACAGGAATCACAATGGCTTCTGCAGACTTCTCAACACTCTGAAAGCTAGAAGACAATTGGAGAAGCCTTCTAAATATTGAGAAAAAAATGATTTCCAGGCTAGAATTCGATTTCAAGTCAATATAGCATTCAAATGTGAAGGATCTAAAAGGATGTAAGTGCCCTTTTTCTGTTAAGGAGATATGTTTCTGCAAATGAGAGAACAGACAAAAAGAAACATGATGTGAGACTTAGACCAGAGATAATTGGAAGTGATTAAGGAGAAATTCCATTCTATCCTCAACGGAGAACAACTAAACCACATTAGAACACATTAGAACAGAAAAAACATCTAAAGTGTTTGAGCATTTGCAATGACAAGTATGATGTTTGAAATTAAATATTTGAAACAAATCACTTGAAATAATTGTCAGAGTATTTATTGGTGAAATATTAACAATATATAGAGAACCAATCATATAAAAAGAAAGACAGTTATTAATTCCAAAAATGGGCAAAAGAGGAACATAAAGCATTAAACAATATTTAACTCAGCCATGAATAATATTATTTATACCATGATAATGTTAATAGTGACTAATGATTTAACAAAATAATTATAAGGTAGTTGGGAAGTAAGAAGAGTACAAAATCCTCAAGGATAAAAAAAGGAATAAATAGATAATGCCTAATGCATAAATCAAGAAAATATATTATCTAGAAAAATAAATCTAACCAACTAGAAACATTTTTTTTTTAAATATTGGAAGGATCAGAAAAAGAGTTGAAATAGGAAGTCTAGGAATAGAGAAGGATGGGAGAGGGTGCTTGTGTTTTCTAACTTTTTTAGTGTAAGCATTTTTATATTTGCAAAACTTTAAATGACATTTAGAAATATAGAAAAGAACAATATTGTAGAAATGTGAAGATGATAATCACAATTTGGATTTGATATTGAGGCAAGCAAAATCACAAAATTAAGAGCAAAAGATTGAGGGAATAATAAACGCTCTTTAGAAATAGAAATTGGAGAGCTAAACCTCCAACTCGAGCAAATGGAATGTGCTTATGGTAGTAACTTTACGGACAGATGCCTTATCAAAAACAGGTGACTTAGTCCATTTGGGCTGCTATAATAAAATACCATAAACTTGGGGTAGCTTCCAAACAACAGAAATTCATTTCTCACAGTTTAGAGGCTGGGAAGTCCATGATGAAGACACCAGCAAATTTCTCTTCTGGTGAGGGCCTGTTTCCTGGGTCATAGATGGCACCTTCTTGCTATGTCTTCACATGGTGGAAAAGTGGGAGTGAAGGGATGTCTCTCTAGCCTCTTTTATAAGGGCACTAATGCAATCCATAAAGGCTCTGTCCCCATGACCTAATTCTCCCAAAAGCCCTACCTACTATTACCTTCCACCTTGCGGGTGAGAATTCCAACATATGAATTTTGGGACCACACAAACATTCAGACCAAGGAACTTCATAGAAAGGAATTTCATAAAGTGTGCATAAGTCTCATTTGTGCTTCTACTCTGATTACCTACACCCATTTTTGTAAGCATAAAATTAGAGACAATGATTATTATCAAGGGTAGAATTGAGGGCCAATAAGTGTCTCAACAAGGTAGCTTGGGTTGGAGAGGGGCCTGAAATGCAGATTTGTCCCCATGATACTGAATCTTAATTATAGAAAAGAGCTCTGGATTGGCTGCAGATTTACTGGTTTCAAATTTTTTTACACATGTAATGATTGAACCAACTCTCTTTTCAACCAGAAGCCAGCAACTCAACATTACCCTCCCCCTAGCCCTTAGCATTCCTGACCCGAACAGTCAAATTAATCATTCCCATTTTATGCCAGGTATTTAGGTATGCCAAGACCTACTTATGACATAGAGTGATGGTTATGAGCTGAGGCTTTGGATTGAATCCTGACTCCACCACTTCCTAGCTGTGCAAACTAGACACGTTACCAAACCCCACCAGGAAGCTGAGAATGATAATATTAGTACCAGCTCATGAAGATTTTTGTGAAGATTATATTGAAAATATTTATAAAGCACACAGCATAATTTCTGTTATGTAATAAACACTCAAGATGACAGTCATTATTATTAATATTATTAACTTGTAGAATAATATTACTTCATGAAAATTACAACTTTTAATCATAAATGGATTAAATTTTATCATTATTTGTTATGCCAACCACAATATGGCCCTTATATGACTTTAAAACCACTTAGAAAGGAAATACTTATAATTTATTGAAGTAATCTGAGTAATTTGCATTTATTTTGAATCTTAAACTTTATCAGCCTCCCTAATTTTTCCAGTCACTTTGAACTGATACTACTCATTCTTGGTACCCAGTCTTCTCTTACATTCAAACATCTTGTAAGGCATAGATGTAATTTATGAAGTTCTTTGTCTCTTCAAGGCAGTTTTATCCTGTATGATTCTTTAGGTTCACCATTCATCTTAGGCCATTGGTCCCTTCTATTTATCCCAATGATCTGTTTCTTCTATAACTGAGATAACAAGATAATGTGTTACATTATCTCTTTGGAAATTTAAAATAAGCAGTAATTTTGCCAGGCCAGGCTCTCTAAGAGGCTTCCCAAGATATCCAGAGTATGACTAGCAACTCTAACCACTCAGAAACATAGTATTTTGAGCACATCAAGGGTAGATCCTTTTCTGTCAATACATTCTAGTTAACCACTTTGGCAGTATTTAAATTTGTAATGAGAAATAGCAATCTCAGATTCCAGGTACTTGATGTCCATATGAATGCTGCCTTTGTCTCCTATAGACATATCTACCCAAGGAGCCAAATCATCATTTATGCATAGAGCTTAAAATAAAAACAAAGGAAAATAGTTAAACACATATTTTGTTTACTGAAATCCAGCTAAAATTTGCATGATATGTTCATCTCCATGCAATAGATTATCTTGTCTGGAGAATTAAGATACTCAAAGCTCACTAAGCTCTCTTTTCCTTTAACTCAGCAACTTGAAAGGAACCTTCCAGTATTTGTCTGTGTTACTGTCTTTTTTCTATTTGAGGTAAAATGAATTTAGATTCTCCCTAACCTTCCTAATTATTTAGAAGTTGTTTGGGCATCACCTCATCCTTGTTAGTTGAATGTATGGGAACTCAGGCAATGAAACTCAGGCAGGGTCTTATAAGGAGAAGTCAACAGGTGGAATATTAATTTATCATGTAGACTTCAGGTCCGTTTTTAGAAGAAATTAATCCTGGTGATAGATATGCTTGATTTCACGTCTTGTTGGAAATGGCAAACCTCAGTAGCTCCCATCTTCTTGCCACTTCCTGTTAATAGAATCAGAATTTTATCTTCCCCTAATCTCCCCAAAACATGAGCTTGTCACTTCCTGGAGCAGGTCACCAGGAGAAGCAGAAAAGTCACTGCACAGCTTTTCAATTAGTAACACATTAGAAGGGATTTCAAGAGCTGGGTAGGGCTGGGTCCCTTAGAGAAAGGAATTAGTAAACAGGAACTCCAGACATAGAATGGGTAAGTGACTTTAGAGAGTTAGGAAATATAGGAGATTCACAAGGAAGAAACGGTCCCCCCACTTCCTTAACTCCTCCCATAGGCCAGGGGGAATATCCATCCCGTCATTTCTCTTAAACTCCCAAATCCAAACAAGGAGGTGTTGAGATGTTTAATCCACCTATGGTAAGAATAAGCTAGATAACTAGAGGAGGGTACAACACCAAGGCCCCTCTATATAGCTTGGCACCAACATCTGAATTATTAAATACAGAATTGCAGAGAACGTCATCAGATGGCAATGTGTACTTATTTCAGGAAACACTGAGAAAGAAAGAGTTTTTTTTTTTGATATTGTAGGATCTCCACTTCCGTGAAACCCCAAACAGGTAGGAACACAATATCCCCACTCAACTTCTTTGAATAAAATTCTCTTCCCTGTACTATAGAAAGAAGTCTACTCTGAGGGGGCCAAAAAGAAGAGAGGAATTATCAAGGTTAAGTTACTTTTATGATTGACTCCTTTTCTTAATCATAGATGAGTAAATTCTGCAGGTTTGAATGGAATACAGTTCTTTTTTCTATAAAATGATTATTCTTACATTAAATCTTAATTTCAGAGTTGGGTTCTGTGATGACAACCTTATTTTGCTTATTTTCAAATTCTTGAAATTGGTCTCTCTGTTTTCCTCCTGTAACAAAACACTTGAGGTATAGTCAGGAGTATTTTTGGTTAGAGTTAATAAAATATCCCTTGGTCATGGTTGACCCAGCAATACACAGAGGCATGCATAAGATTGTGCCCAACCAACTCTTCATGTTAGAGAAGTTTTAACTATTAGAGCAATGCAGAGAATCTACTTTCATTCTAAAAGATTTGATTTTAAAACCCTTCATCCATTGAACCAGTGTACATGTCCTAAAATAAAATGTAGAGTAGGATTAATCCAAACTACTATCTAATTGTATTCTTCAACCTGATGGCAGAAGGCAGAGAGATGTAGATGGAGATCCTCAATGTCTCAGAATCGAGGACATCACTTTGAATGTCCCATGATCTCTAATTTCCTTCTATCTATGCTTTGAATTTTATGATTTGTGTTTTAGCAATACACTAAATAAATATTTGTTGGATTGCTGAACCAATCCTTTTATGGCTCACCTTACTTTCCCGAAAAATACACCTCAATCTTTGTCATTTGACTGCAATTTCTTCAAAATTTTTACTCATGATTCATGACACAGAGATAGTACACAAAGTTCCATTCTGTCTGGGATGTAAGACCATTAAGGTATTGTAAAGCACCAAGACTGTGCTTTTGCAATTTCCCTATTTCAGAATACATGTTAAGCAACAGGGTTGCTAGTGGTTTAATCATGGTCAGTAGTGAGGTGTGCTCTGTACTGACTCTCTGCTTCATTCTTGTTCTGTCCATCTGTGACTTTTGAGCTTGCTGGGTCACTCTGTGTCACTCACTAAATATCTCGGTGTCCTCCAAATACCATAAAATAGTAGATAATTGATAAAAACATTTGTAACCTTGTCACTTGATCTTTTTGGGGATCAAGAAGTTTAACATAGTTAGATAATGAATGGGACCTCAAATGTCACATCTGTCTTTTAAGCCCCAGAAAACATTTTTCTTGAGTGAAAGAAAGATTGGAAAAATCCTTTTCCACCCGTACTTGAAGGAAAATATTTATTTTGTTTACATTTTAAACATTTCTTGTAATGTTAAAGATGGTGAAGTGCCTAGAGATCCATAAATGGATATATATTTTTTGTTTGCTTGAGTATAACGCTTTTAAAAACTGCATCTAGTCCAGATATGGGTCTCATAAATGTGACTGTTCTCTATTCTTTAGCACTGTATTATAGAAACATTGGAGAAATGTAACCTATAGCAAGCACCACCTCAAACTGAAACTTCATGCCTTTTTAGAGTTCACAAACATTTTTTGACATAAAACATTACTGAAATGATGAATCATCTAATAAGTATGTCCTTTATTGGTATTTCATTTTACTATCAACAAAACTCTACCATGTACTAAGTGCAAGCATTATCATTGCCATTTTATTACTGATTGAACTCCATAATTAAATTTTTATTCATAGATGAAGAAAAGAGGGTGTCGAGGGTGCAAATGGTTCACTTAAAAACGTATTTTTATGACTTTCAATTTCTTAAGAGATGAAGCAAAAGATCTGCCTAGCCAACTTTCTTAACCCAAGCCCAAACTGAAAGTCTAAAAGATGTATTTCTGGGGAATTACCCCACCTCAACATTCTCAGGTTTTCCAGTGTTCTCTGTCTGTGTCAGTATTTTGAAAACACTAACTCAATAATTCTCAAAAATCAAAGTCTGCTTTTATTATCTGGTAATAAAATAATAGGCATATTAACCATAATCATGAAAAGTATATTCTTTCAATTCTGTTATAGAACAAAAACAGGTTGTTTTTAGCTAGTCAAGAGGTTTGAAATATTGTCAAATTGCACATAATAGACAATCAATTTAATATTTATTAAATAAATTAGTGAAATTTGAATCTCATTTGTTAAATGAATTAGTAAAATTTGGGCCTTGGGGTGGAGCTTAGAAGTGTGAGGGAAGTTTGAGAAATAGAGTCAGTTGATTTGTCACGTGGAAAAGCTGCTGATTAAGAATATGGCACTACACTTTTCAATTCAGAGGATTTATAAACAGAAATCTAGGTTTATTTTCTTAATCTGGGTTGCTCAAATGGAACCAGAGTTTCATATATTTTGCAAATCTCCCTTTGGTAAATCCCCATTTAACAATAAAGCTTGAACTTTTTGCTTTTACTTCTGGGTATTTTGCTTTTTTCATTATCATAAACATTTTTAAACCATGGGGAAACTCTTAATAAGTCATATTAGCTCTACCAGGACTATTAAATAGAGGTTCTGGGTGTTTTATTTGAAGAAACCGTTGATCCATTGGCTCATCACCAGGGCAGCAATTATCAGTATATGGCATCGTTTGTAGCACAAAGACATATGGTTAATTGGGGGTTCTGTTTAATTGATCTCTTTGTTAACCAGAACTTTACAACATCTTAATACATTAGAAAAGTAACATATGATAAACATTTACTTTTAGTCATGTTCCCATTTATATTTAGAATGGGTCTAATCCATATTTTAAAATATATGCATACATGCTTTAAGTAGGATTAGTATTGTTTAAGTTCTAACTTATTTTATCTTCTAACATTGTTTATTTATTTTATCTTCTAACTGTGTTTATTTAGAAATATACCATGCCTGTAATCCTAGCATTTTGGGAGGCTGAGGTGGGCGGATCACGAGATCAGGAGATCGAGACCATCTTGGCTAACATGGTGAAACCCCATCTCTACTAAAAATACAAAAAATTAGCCAGGCATGGTGGCACACACCTGTAATTTCAGCTACTTGGGAGGCTGAGGCAGGAGAGTCGCTTGAACCCGGGAGGTGGAGGTTGCAGTGAGCCGAGATCATGCCACTGCACTCTAGCCTGGGTGACAGAGTGAGATTCCGTATCAAAAAAAGAAAAAATATATACAAAATTGACTACCTTGAGTATTCTTTTTTTTTTTTTTAAATAATAGAAAACCAACATCTCAAGTTTTATTTCAGTTATTGGCTCCGATTTTTTCTTTTTTCTACCCATGGAATGCATTGTAAATTTTTACTTTTATATAAACCAAGAAAATGAGTTTTGTTTTGAAATCCTTATGGCTCTCATAACTGCAGGCATGTCTAAATATGAGATTTGGAACATACCTCATAGAAAATAGCAAGACAATAAAGAGTTACCAAAGAATTACTGTAAGAAAAAAAAATTACCCATGTAAATGTTGAAGTCATATCCTGACTGAAGGAGGAAGTGGCAGGTCCCTGGGCTCAACCTTATCTGATGCTGTGCATTAGACAGCACACTGCTGACTGTTTTCAGTTGTTTCTGTAACAGCAGAAAGTGCACTCACTAGGAGTAGTCAGAATTCAAAATGCTCAAGAGAAAGCCATCCAATGTTTCAGAGAAGGAGAAACATCAAAAACCAAAGGTAAGGTGATTTCATACATAGTTAAATAAAATCAAACTATTTAATAGAAAATAAACACATATGTGTGTTTGAACACATACAATGTTCTCATCTGTCAGTCATAAGTCAAACATAGGGTTTAATGCCTCATGGCAAATACGGAAAAATTAAATTGCAAAGTTAGATTTTAAATCACACCTAGCAATTATTGTCTCTGTAATTTTGTCTTATGGTGCATATTGGAACATTTACATCTGTAAGTGAAGTTTGAGTTCAGTTCAACTTCAAGAAAATCAATTTAGTGGTCTCTGAGTGTTTGTTATTATAAAATCTTCTTGCATGTTTTTAATGACTATGAGATTGTCAACGTCTATTGAACAGTCTACTGAATGAATTTTATCTCTTAAGTAATTAGCTCTTCAAAATAGAGTTATAAGAAGGTTGTAAAATGGAAATGTTATGGTTAAATATAAGACTTTTCTCATTTTTGAATGTTAAATCATGATAGCTCGTTGTAAAGATGTATATTTGCTATTCTCTCGAACTAATGTTATTACTACACAAAAAATCGGGCTGTGTTTTGAGAAGCATCAAAACACCATATACTGGTAGACTTGACAAATTGGTAATATGTGGAATGTTACTCTGTTCTTTGTCTTGGCAATAAGTGCTACTTTTAAAAAAAAAAAGTATAACATGGGATAAAGTTCAAATTCTATTGTAGAACTCTAGATTTATTAATAACGTAAAACAACTATTTACAAAGTACCAATGTCAGAAAATTTCTCCAATACTTGTACATTTCTTTTCTCAGGTAAATACAATTTTTAGTCTCTTTCTGAGATAAACAATAGCTGAGTCCAGATTTTTTTTAAGGATTGATTTATTGTCTATCAGTCTTTATATGTTAGGCACCCATTTTCAGAGAAAGAGATTGGTTTATTTCATTTGTTATGACCTTTTGAATTGATGAGACATTGAACAATGGTCAATATTTTGAAACTCTTTGGAAGTTACCATCCAAGTTTTTCTGAAGGAAACAAAAATAAATGATTTCTTATCTTTGGAAACTGAGAATAAATGATTTTGAATATTAATTCTTTCTGACACATATGCATAATAATGGATAGACAAGCATCTTTAGTTTAAAATGTAGCTAGATAACGTATCATGATTTCTTTTTCCCTAATATAAGAAAAACTCAAAGTAACATTTTCCAAATAATACAGAAAAGTTTTTAAAAGCATGGCTTGTGCTTCCATTTAAGATTAATTTTATATGATATTTACTTGATTAAGTACAACAAATAGTTAACAATAGTAGGTTTAGGGAAGATCATAAAAGTTAATATGGAGAATGATATACCTCAAAGTATTTAAAATCTAAAGAGAGAGTATTTAATAAAGCCTGTATTTTATAGTGAGTTAGAGTCATATTTACAACATTAAACTATTGTCAAAATGATACTTTACTCCATCATCATCATTTGGCTTAAGAGCAGTAACTATTATAATACACTTGGAATATTGTTAATCTTGACTTCCTTATTCATAAAATAAAAAAAATTTTGAAAAAATATACATCTTTGAACAAAACATATCACAGAAAATGGTCACATTGGAAATGCTAAGTTTTGTTGTGAATGAATTCTTATTTTCATTAGACAGATGGTTTCATTCTGCATGAATTTAAAGAGATGTGAATATAGAGGCACAGGCATGTTTTTCATACATTCAGTTGGATTGTTTCCTTTTAACATGGAAGTGATATTTTTCCATTTGTAATTATGTCTTAAAATAACTCCTTTCCTCATAATTCACATTTATTTTGGTGGGTAATTTTCTTTGCATATTATATGAATAAAGAGCAGTATCTGTCCAGGTGCATGGGCTCACACCTGTAGTTCCAGCACTTTGCAGGGCCGAGGTGCGTAAATCACTTGAGTTCAGGAGTTCCAGCCCAGTCTGGGCAATGTGGCAAAACCCCATCTCTACAAAAAATTCAAAAATTACCTGGGCATGGTGGCACGTGCATGTAGTACCAGCTATTCAGGAGGCTGAGGCAGGAAGATTGCTTGAGACCAGGAGATTGAAGGCTACAGTGGGCCGTGTTCGTGCCACTGCACTCCAGCCTGGGCAACAGAGCAAGACCCTTTCTCAAAAAGAAAAAAAATTGGCAGAGGTGGATGCTGTGATAATCCCTACAAATAAAAGGCTCATAGAAAAAGGAGTGCAAATCCTTTCATTTACTGAAGAGAAATTGTGTCTAGAAAGGGTCTATGTTTAGAAACAGAACCATCAAGAAATTGGTCTGAAATATAGGGAATCACTGTCTTCACTGATTAACTACATACCAGATATTAGTTTACAAAATTTCCTAACCAAGAAACATAAACTCTTCATACTATACTCTTAGAATTTGTGAAAGGAATTTTCTTGTTTTTGTGGTTTTTTTTTAAATTGTAAATCCTATAGTAGGGTAAAAACTGACAATATAAAAAATGAAGAAAATATTTAATCATTTAGCTTTTGTTAACTGTCATTGGTTCTATTTCAAGTGACCTATTGGACAATTCAAATGCAATGCATATTATAACTAATGTTACCTCAATTAAAAATGATCAAACTTTCCAATTGAAAGCTAATGGAGAAAGATTTTGTTATTAGTATTTTCAAATAGGTCTTACAGTTATGAGAAGGTTCAAAACATTCATTTATATAATATGTAGCAATAGATTTTCAGTCCTATATCAAAAATAATTCATTATTTTCTTATATTCCTAAAACTTATCGATAAACATGTTCATGAATTTAAAAAGAGTAAGTCCAAATACATGTTAAAATACAGTTTTACCATGTGTAGTGTTATCATTAGTGTACCCTCTTTTTCATCCTTTATTTCTCTCTTTCTCTATTTTTAGTAT
Organism: Homo sapiens; assembly: GCF_000001405.40. NCBI lineage: Eukaryota > Metazoa > Chordata > Mammalia > Primates > Hominidae > Homo > Homo sapiens. Next base: position 14,543,302 of record NC_000021.9, on the reverse strand, counting down.
AGGTTCTCTCCTTTGAATAGCTCAAAATTAAGAGTAGCATTCAAATTTATTGTAAGACACTTACAGTATAGGCTGAGAGGCAGAGACCAGAGATATTCTATAACAGAAACTGGTAAATTCTTGCAGAATTATTACAAAAGAAACCCATTGCATGTACTGGAATGTTAATAACTTCTAAGGGCTTTAATGTGTGTCTCAGAACTCTCTACTGTATACAGATAAATTCCAAATTAGAAAAGAAATAGGAGAATAATAGTTAAGTATTCTGTACTTAGGTTAGTTAAAAATAGGCTTGCTTAACATACATGCAAGGTACTGTTATCTTTATTCTTGAATTTTGCCTTTACCTTGGAAACAGAGTCTTGCTCTGTCACCCAGGCTGGAGTTGATGTGGTGCAATCACATAACCCTAACCCTAACCCTAACCTCCTGGGTGGACTCAAGCTACCTCCCATCTCAGCCTCCTGAGTAGCTGGGACCACAGGCACCATGCCACCAGCCCAGCTAATTTTTAATTTTTTATAGAGATGAGGTCTCCTTATGTTGCTCAGGCTGGTCTCAAACTCCTATGTTCAAGTGATCTTCCCATCTCAAACCACCTCAGCCTTCCAAAGTGCTGGGATTACAGGCATGAGCAACCACAACTGGCTGTTTTACCTCTTACTACTAGTGTCCATTACTGATAGTGATTTTAAAAACTTTTAAGCATATACAATATTCAGATTTGATGAGATGTTATTGCATTACACTCTATAAATGCTTAAATTATAGAACATAACAATTTTCCTTGTCTGTTTTTCCAACTAAAATATTTTATTTTTCTATATTTATCATTGGTTTATTTTCATGTCAGTTGCTGTGCTTACAGCTTTTTGTACACTAATTTATTTAATATTTGTAACAACTGTGAGAGAATGACTCTTATTTAGCCTCATATGTAGAGCCTAAGGCATAAGGAAGGTCAATTACCTTGAAGAAGACACAGAGTTAGATGAAAAATGAAACTGACATGAAATATGTTAATTTCCAATACTTCTGTTCTTAATATACTGCCTTTATAAGCAACAGGACTGTAGATATTATTTCTGTTTCCACCTGAATTGCCAGCTAAAGTTTATGGAGATCAGGGAAACCATGTCTGTAAGAGCGTCTGTAAGTTTAGAAATCGTCATTCCTGTCTCTGACTATGCAGGAAGTTCATCAAAGAAATCTCTCTAGGCGTCCACACACATGTCAACACCTACAATTGTAAAAAAACTTTCTTTCTTTTCCGTTCGTTCCTTCTTTCTCCTTCCTTCCTTCCTTTTTTTTTTTTCAGGGTCTCATTCTGTTACCCAGGCTTGAGTGCAGGCACAATCACCACTCACTGCAGCGTCAGCATGCCTGAGCTTATGTGACTCTCCTGCCTCAGCCTCCCGAGTCGCTGGAATCACAGTCCTGCACCACCATGCTCAGCTAGTATTTATATGTTTTGTAGACATGGGGGTTTTGCTAGATTGTCCAGGCTAACAACTTTCTTAATATTCAAATATTTTAAAAAATGACCTAATATTGAAGTAAGCACCACATATCCTCCCTCTGCAGCTAGCATAATACTTTCAACGTAGTAGACTCTCAATAAATATTTGTAAAGTGAATGAAGTTTCTTCAGTCTACTCTAGGGGTGTCTAATCTTTTGGCCTTCCTGGGCCACACTGGAAGAAGAAGAATTTTCTTGGACCACATATAAAATACATTAACACGAAGTATAATTTATGAGCTAAAAACAAACAAACAAACAAAAAAAACCACAAAAAATCACAAACAAATCTCATAATATTTTAAGAAAGTTTATGAATTTGTGTGGGGCCACATGCAAAGCCGTCAAGGCCACATTCAAAGCCATCATGGGCTACAGGGTAATACACCCTTGGTCTACTACATACAGCCTGGTTCAAGTATGGATACTCACTCAAGCTATGTACTTTTTTTTTTTTTTTACAGGATTTTGTTTGTTTTATCTGTCTTTGTTTCTTTGTTTATTTTTCCATTATTATACTTTAAGTTCTAGGGTACATGTGCAGGTTTGTTACATATGTATACATGTGCCATGTTGGTGAGCTGCAACCATTAACTCGTCATTTACATTAGGTATTTCTCTTAATGCTATCCCTCCCCCCTCCCCCAACCCCACAACAGGCCCTGGTGTGTGATGTTCCCTGCCCTGTGTCCAGATGTTCCCATTGTTCAATTCCCACTGATGAGTGAGAACATGCGGTGTTTGGTTTTCCGTCCTTGCAATAGTTTGCTCAGAATGATGGTTTCCAGCTTCATCCATGTCCCTACAAAGGACATGAACTCATCATTTTTTATGGCTGCATGGTATTCCATGGTGTATGTGCCACATTTTCTTAATCCAGTCTATCATTGATGGACATTTGGGTTGGTTCCAAGTCTTTGCTATTGTGAACAGTGCCACAATAAACATACATGTGCATGTGTCTTTATAGCAGCATGATTTATAATCCTTTGGGTATATACCCAGCAATGGGATGGCTGGCTCAAATGGAATTACTAGTTCTAGATCCTTGAGGAATCGCCACATAGTCTTCCACAATGGTTGAACTAGTTTACAGTCCCACCAACAGTGTAAATGTGTTCCTATTTCTCCACATCCTCTCCAGCACCTGTTGTTTCCTGACTTTTTAATGATCGCCATTCTAACTGGTGTGAGATGGTATCTCATTGTGGTTTTGATTTGCATTTCTCTGATGGCCAGTGATGATGAGCATTTTTTCATGTGTCTTTTGGCTGCATAAATGTCTTCTTTTGAGAAGTGTCCTTTGTTCACTTTTTGATGGGGTTGTTTGTTTTTTTCTTGTATATTTGTTGGAGTTCACTGTAGATTCTGGATATTAGCGCTTTGTCAGATGAGTAGATTGCAAAAATTTTCTCCCATTCTGTAGGTTGCCTGTTCATTCTGATGGTAGTTTCTTTTGCTGTGCAGAAGCTCTTTAGTTCAATTAGATCCCATTTGTCAATTTTGGCTTTTGTTGCCATTGCTTTTGGTGTTTTAGACATGAAGTCCTTGCCCATGCCTATGTCCTGAATGGTAATGCCTAGGTTTTCTTCTAGGATTTTTATGGTTTTAGGTCTAACATGTAAGTCTTTAATCCATCTTGAAGTAATTTTTGTATAAGGTGTAAGGAAGGGATCCAGTTTCAGCTTTCTACATATGGCTAACCAGTTTTCCCAGCACCATTTATTAAATAGGGAATCCTTTCCCCATTGCTTGTTTTCTCAGGTTTGTCAAAGATCAGATAGTTGTAGATATGTGGCATTATTTCTGAGGGCTCTGTTCTGTTCCATTGGTCTATATCTCTGTTTTGGTACCAATACCATGCTGTTTTGTTACTGTAGTCTTGTAGTATAGTTTGAAGTCAGGTAGCGTGATGCCTCCAGCTTTGTTCTTCTGGCTTAGGATTGACTTGGCGATGCGGGCTCTTTTTTGGTTGCATATGAACTTCAAAGTAGTTTTTTCCGATTCTGTGGAGTAAGTCATTGGTAGCTTGATGGGTATGGCATTGAATCTATAAATTACCTTGGGCAGTGTGGCCATTTTCACGATATTGATTCTTCCCACCCATGAGCATGGAATGTTCTTCCATTTGTTTGTATCTTCTTTTATTTCATTGAGCAATGGTTTGTAGTTCTCCTTGAAGAGGTCCTTCACATCCCTTGTAAGTTGGATTCCTATTTATTTTATTCTCTTTGAAGCAATTGTGAATGGGAGTTCAATCATGATTTGGCTCTCTGTTTGTCTGTTATTGGTGTGTAAGAATGCTTGTGATTTTCGCACACTGATTTTGTATCCTGAGACTTTACTGAAGTTGCCTATCAGCTTAAGGAGATTTTGGGCTGAGATAATGGGGTTTTCTAGATATACAATCATGTCATCTGCAAACAGAGGCAATTTGACTTCCTCTTTTCTTAATTGAATACCCTTTATTTCTTTCTCCTGCCTGATTGCGCTGGCCAGAACTTCCAACACTATGTTGAATAGGAGTGGTGAGAGAGGGCATCCCTGTCTTATTGTTTCTTTGTAGCAAGTCTGTTAATATGTGTGTAAAAATGTTTGTGTATCAGTACAACTGTAACTCATTTTAAGCTTTATGTTAAGAACTCTAATATACCCAATGTTATGAAAGAATCCCATTGTTACCTAAAGGTAGAACTTGGTCCAGGTTAAAGAATATGGAAGAAATTTTGAAAATAGAAAGACATGGATCCCACAAATTAAAGTTAGTGACTGTAATTAGAACATCTTGGCCTTTACTTGAGAGGGATTAATGATCCGTGTTAATAAATTTTAGCAGGTTTTTCTTTGAGTAAAGGAGATTCAAGTACCATTGTTATTTTTGAGGGAAACGTTAGAATAATGACAGTTCTGGAAATAGCCTTTTTTTTAACCATTCTTTTTAATCTAAAGTGCATACTAAATGAGACACCATTAGTGTCACAGATGCTAATTTTCACTAGCAATGACTGAAGTGGCATTCTTTCCCATTTGCATTTGATCCTAGCAATGATGAGAGGTGATGAGTTGATTATGAGCTGTTTTCACTGCACTGCCTGCTGTGCAAATTTATGCTCCTAGACAAGGATGACACATAGTTGTACCATTAAAGAGCTTTCTTCACTGTTTTTTTGTATCAAGACTGCTAGGATACATTTTTAACTCTTATCTAACCAGGTATAAGAAAGAGAATAAGTATTTATATGCACTGGTGCTTACTTGAGGCCAGGTACTTGTCCAAGGTGCTCATGTCCATTATTATGTTTAATCTTCTCAAAACCCCAGGAGGTAGACATTATTTTTATCTCCAATTTACAAAGAAGAAAAAAGCCCTGTAGATGCAAAAATTTTCCACAAGTTAAAAGATTTGGGATTTATGGCACAGTTTTTCTGCTTCTAAGCCTGTGTCTCTCTCCTCCTACTCTCTATTACTTCTTCATCTGGGGTACAATTTTTGTTGAATGTTTGCCTTTTCAAACAGAGTTTTCTGGAATAAAATACATGATATAAAATGTAGGTAATATGTTAGATTTACTCTTTTCCCCTTTAAAAAACGGTGGCTATAAGTAAATATTTATTTTAACTTCTAGTTATTACCTCCGTCCGCTCCAAAAACAAAACAAAACAAAAAACCAGATATCTCAAAAGGTTGTCTTCATTTTTGTGTTTATGTAGCATTTATAGCATTTTAAAAAGTATTTTTGATAAACTATAATGCAAACATAAAACCAAATAAGACAAGTCAGGAGAAAATGAAGTCTAGAACATGTTAAAATGTATCTCAAGGTTCATCAAGGCTGACTTGAATCTAAGAACTTGCTACTCACTGTGGTCCTATAGAGCAACAGCACGGGCATTCCAGGAGCTTGTTAGCCATGTGCATTTTCCAGTCTCCCCCAGGCCTACGAAATGAAAACATACATTTTAACAAGATACTCAGCAGTTCTGTGAGCACTTTATAATTTGGAAATGATGCTCTAGGTTGATGGTTTTTGGAGCCTAGGCCGAATATTTGAATCACTAAAGAGCTTTAAAAAAAAAACTGATGATTGGGTTCCATCCCCAAATATTCTTATTTACCTAATATAAAATGTGACTGGACATCAAGAATTTTTAAAGTTTTCCAACCTGGCAGCACTTTTTTCTACTTTTCAAAAGACTTAAAAGTTAATTCACTAATCCATGCATTCGTTCATTCATTTATCCTTCAACGCAACAAATGTCTATTAAATGCTTATTATGGACAATACACTGGCGATACCAAGGTGAACAAAAGATACCATATTTGCTGGAGATGACAGACAATAAATAGGATAAATAAGTAATATATACAGTATGCTAGATAATGATAGGTGCCAAGAAGAAAAAAAAATTAACAGAAAAGAAGGATTTGAAATATGAAGAACTAGAGAAGCCTTGGTGAGAATGGGACATTGGAAAAAGGACTGGAAGAAAGTGAAGGAGCTGGTCTTGGGATTGGTGAAGGAAACTGTACTCTGGGCAGAGGGAAGAGCAAGTGCAAAGGCCTTGAAATGGGACTGTCTCTGGTGTGTTTGAGAAGCAGTGGGGCAGAGTGCATAGCGGGAAGAGCCGCCGCAAAGAGCTGGATCACTGAAGGCGTTCTAGGCCATTAAAATAATTTTAGCTAGTGTTGAAAGATGTTTGAGAAGTGACAGAATCTGGCCTACAGTTTAGTGGGTTTATTTTGGCTTTTGTGTTTCAAATATACTGAAGGGAGTGAGACCAGTTAACAGACTATTGCAGAAACCAGGCAAGGGATAACTGTGGTTCAGACAAAGGAACGGCCCAGTTGACTTTGGTGTTGAGAAGACTCTAAATTTGGGATATATTTGTACTTACTTTATCCATTTGGATGTTTATAGGTAACTTACTACATGCTGTCTAAAGATGGCAGACAGAAAGTTTCCACTGTCCGGTCCCATTCTTGCTTCCAGTTGGTGCTTGCATGCCAAGGAGAAATGGCCTCATTCCATTGTTTACAGTCACCAGAAATTCACCCCTAAATTGATGTCTCACTTTGCAAAGGCTTCTTCTTCTTCTTTCTTAAACATATAATTTTCCATTGGATTTTATTTTAATTCGTAGTGCACCTTTTAAATAATTTTTAGCCTTGACCACTTCTCTCCAAACAAAGCACTAATACATTTTAGCTTTTCCGTTTTACAGAATATGAATCTGTAATCAAGTTTTATCCCAAGCAGGTAGCAAAATGTTTGGGGCCAAATGTATTAGCTATACTTGAAAAGTGTTCAGATAATATTCAGAAAGATCAGATGAATAGCTAGAGAAATGACAGAAGTGTAGCCTCCCCTTTGTTTGGAAATTTGGATATTGTATTTTATAGGAAGCTTTATAAGGTCACTACCTTGACTACCAAGATGCTGGATTTGTTAAAAATCAATTTAGTCACACACTTATCTCTTTAGTCTTTCTTTGCCTTGCTTTGGAGATAAATAGTTTCAAAATCCCTGAAAACTGTGTTTTTTTTTGTTTGTTTGTTTTTACAATAATGGAATCAAGTCCATGCTTTACATATCCGTTTCCAAATTTATCATTACCAAACTGATCCATTTCTCCTCCTTTCTAGTGTTAAAGATTTCGATGAACTTTCAGAAACAAGACATTCATATTAGCTTCTTAGTAGAAAACAAAAATGTCCTCCATTAAGAATTGATTACTAATAGCAGAAGATTTTAAACTATCTCTGTTGGTAGATGAAGTGATTCTTGCATAGATAGAGAGAGCCATTTGTCACCACAGCTGGCTAAGTCCCCCTCCTTCCTTCACTTAGTCTGTATTAGTTTGCTAGAGCTGCCATAACAAAATATCAGAGTCTGAGTAGCTTTAACAACAGGAATCCACTTTCTCACACTTCTGGAGGTTGGAAACCCAAGATCAAGGTGCTGGCAGGGTGGGTTTCACAGAGAGCTTTCAAGGAAGGATCTGTTCTGGGCCTTTCTTTTTGACATGTAGATGGCTGCCCTTTTATTGCCTCTTCATCTGTGTCTGTGTGCTCCTGATGTCTCTCTCTGTGTGTCCAAACATCATCTTATAAGGACACCAGTAGGAACGGATTAGGTCCTACCCTAATGGTCACATTTTTTACTTGATTTTCTCTTTAAAGGCTTTATATCCAAATACAGTCATGGTCTGAGGTACAAGGTGTTAGGGCTTCAAACATACGAATTTGTGGGAGTCAATTCAGCTCATAACATAGTCCATGAGCTTGTACTAATTGGAAGTGAGGATTAGGTTTTTAGTTGTTTCCTTCCTTCCAATTACTCTAGATCTTTCTCCACTTCCAGTTGACCAATCCCTTCATGCTGCCAGCCCCACATTTGACTTGACTGCCTTTACCTACACTCTCCAGTCTTTGTTATTCTTTCCTTCCTCACATCCAAATGTAACTCTGCCACAACCCACTAGACCTCTATTAGGAATCATTTGAAAACTAAAAAGTAAAACATCTATTTGACCCCCTTGACCCATGCTTTCTGGCTGCATATTAAAAATAATAGCAAAAATCATGATTACTTTTGCACCAACCTAATATTAAAATCATCTGGGGTGTTTTATAAAAATACCTATGTCTGGGCCCTAATACCAGATCTTCTGGTTTGGTTGGTGGAGTGAGGCCCGTGTTCCTGATGATCTGACCACTCTCATACATTTCTGTCTGTGCTTCTCTTAGCCTAAAATGCTCTGTGCTTTTTTTCCAACTCATGAATTCTTATCTATTCGAATTTATAGGTGGACTGTCACTTCCTCAAGAAAGCCTCCATCAGTTACCCCAGGGTAGTGTATTAGGGTCAGTCTAGCAGAGCAGTAGGTAACGTGAACTAAAGGCATAGAGACCTGAGTGTGAATGTCTTACTTTGATCTTTCTTAACCAGGGGACTTTGAACATTTTCTTAAGCCTGTTGAGCCTCATTGTGGTAATCATGAAAAGGGAAAGTCTTAAAGCATGTCACATAGGGTTGATGTGAGAATTAAGAAAATTACCATATGTATGCTTCCTAGCTGGTAGTACATGTCCATTTAATAATCTCTCCTTCTGGTGGCGGGCACCTGTAATCCCAGCTACTTGGGAGGCTGAGGCAGGAGAATGGCGTGAACCCGGGAGGCGGAGCTTGCAGTGAGCCGAGACAGCGCCACTGCACTCCAGCCTGGGCGACAGCGAGACTCCGTCTCAAAAAAAAAAAGAAAAAAAGTCTCTCCCTCCTTTCTATTTTCGTTGTGCTTGTTCCACATTTCTCTGTTTGTTGTTGTTGTTGTTGTTGTTTAAACTCACAGTTTTTCAGTATGTGCTCCCAACTAGATTCACCATCAAGAACAGAGGATCAGGGGATGTAGCTGACTCATATTTGCATCCCTGGGATTTTTGTTGAGGATTCAAGAGGGATTGAACTCGGTCTACCTGACTTTCAGATTCCGTGTGCTTTTTATAACACTTTGGCCACCACTGAAAACATTGATAGTATAGAACATAGTAGTGATTTCTCAATATATGTATAATGAGTGTGAAATGACTAATGGATAATATTAGTCATCTGCAGAAGTAGTCTACTCCAGAAGATAGTTTGTAAATGCGTCACTGATAAAGATCTGGGTAACACCCACAACAAAACAAAGTAACCATTCCTAGAATCAAAATAATCACACATTGTAATGTAATCTGCCTTAAAGACAAAAAGTATTAGCAAAAGGGTGTTGCTTTGCAGACAGCCTAGAAATAGGTGGGAGAGTAGAAATTTGCCACTGTGTCTGCAAATCATGCAAAACAGCTGAAGCAAAAATCCCTTTTGGCTGGACAGACTTCTCTTAGGTGAGATGTGTACCTAAGGCTAGGAGAAGAACTTCATGTCTCTAGTCTTAATACCACTTAATTGACTTTACTTTGACCACCACATGAATCAAGCAAACTTCCAGCAATGATCTGGTGTCCTGTGTAGGGTTTCTTTCAGGGGAAACAATTTTTTGATCAGTCAACATGAATATGCATTTTTCTTGGCAGATGAATTTCCCACAGCAAATCAATGCTCGCTTGGTTAGTATTGCCATTTTTGATATCTTATCAGTTTGGTTTATGAATTAGTCACCTTGAAGTTGTATATTTCTGCAAGCTTAAAAATAAAGTTCCCATACTTGTTGAGGTGAGGGCGTGACCCTGGACATAGAGACGTGATACTTGACCAATGTATTGTCTTCCTAAAAGGATTGAGCTAAGTTGCTAACTGGCTTCACTTCCAGGTACATTTTCTCTACAAAAGGAAAATGAATACAATTAAATAACTAAGTTTCTTTATTATATTTTTTATAGTTTTAACAGCTTAAACTCCTGGAGTAAGAGTCAAGTCAAATTTACCTTGTATCAAAATCTACATAGTGATATGGCATTCGTCTCAGTATTTGGTTAAAAAGAGCAAATTGGAATTTTCTGGGGTTTTTTTTCCCCTGAATACTTTACGTGGTTACAGTTATGCTACTGCTATTTTTAATTAAATAAGAGTGGCTGGGCATGGTGGCTCACACCTGTAATCCCAATGCTTTGGGAGGCTGAAGTGGGAGGATTGCTTGACAGGAGTTCAAGACCAGCCTGGGCAACATAGTGAGACTTTGTCTCTACAAAAAATAAAAAAAATAAAAGTTAGCTGAGCATGGTGGTGCACATGTGTAGTCCCAGCTACTCAAGAAGCTGAAGCAGGAGATTGCTGGAGCCTAGGAGTTCAAGGTTACAGTGAGCTATGATCACATCACCGCACTCCAGTCTTGGCAACCCTGGAGCAAGAGACCCTGTCTCAATAAATAAATAAATAAATAAATAATAAAAGTAATAAAATATTAAATATGTACATTTTGTAATACTTATGATTATAGTTTCTTTATATTGTAAGTTATTACATAGCAATCATCTTTTATCTTTTGTTTGATTTGTATGTTAGGACATCTAAAAATTTCAAATTACTTTAAGATTATGACTATCTCACTGTATTTAATTATCAATTATGAAAAAGTCATTACCAATAAAACAAATGTTTATAACTTTAAAAATACAGTTCCTTCAAAGATAAATGTTCTACAATTATTGAACATTACATTATAGGTCAAGGAGTGATTATAAACTGAGTTTCTTTTTACCACTACTCTTATATTTCAACTCTGCTATTAACCCCCTCAGGAGATTGAAGTATTCATCTAACCAAATCCCAGTTTTCTAAAAGGTAAATAAATGTAATTGACAATAAAAATAGTTATAGGACACTAACATCTCTTCCAAACTTCCTAACATGAACTTACTGTTTTATTTTCCCACCCATTCTTCCTCTATTTGGGATGACATACCATATATTTGCCCCCACATAAACATGTCTGTTCTTACTAAGAAAAAAAGTGTTTAAATTCCTAAGACCAGCAGCAGTGGGTGCTTCCTGGGATGGGAATGTTTATAAGCTTTATGATATTAACTGCAGCACTCAACCTCAGGTGGCATAAAGCATGCAAAAAAGAACTTTCTGTCAGTTTTATTATTTCTAAAAAGGTTCCCCTTGAAACAGAAGAGTGACCTTGCTCTGCTGAGCTGACATATGCCACTGGATTAATGGTCGAGCTCTGCTGGAGGGAAGCTCACGGAAACATTACAACTCCAGAAGCTGGGCTGGCGGTGACCATTAATCAGGGGGCCCAAAATCATGCATCAGACACACTCATTTAAAAGTAGTAAAAATGACTCAAAAAAAAACTTTTTGAGAATTAGCTTATTGTTTGTCATTACTTGTGTTCAAGGAGATCACAGAATGACTAAAATATCCCTTGGGCAGACCTTTAGAAAGGTTACTGTGTACCCAGAGGCCAAGTGAATGCAGAGGACTTTTAAGACTAATGGAAGTAAAAGGGAGTTTTTGTTCCAGATAATTTGATAGGAAATTTGGTTAAAAGGATTTTGTTTTCCCAACTTAATTTTTACATCTTTATTTAACCATAATTTCAAAGTAATGAGTACTATAAATGTTTGCCTCTTGGTGATAATTTTATTTTATTTTAAAATCTGGAGTGACTGGAATTTACTAGTGTAAAGATGAGATGGGTAAACTGTTAGGAAATATTTCAGGAAACTAAAGTTTTGTTAGCATACTCAATTATCACGTATGTTTAAAAGTTTTGGGGCTTAAAAGTACTGCACATTCTTCCATCATGTTAGATAATAAAAAATTTTTGAGATTTCCTCTCTCTGATTATTGAAAAGAAAAAAAAAAGCTTACATCTAAGATCCTGAAAGAAATTGCTCAATTTAACTTAGCTAATAATGTTACTCTTGGGTTTTCTTTTTTAACTCCTTTGATGATAAAATTGAATAGACATAATTTCTCTTTTATACTTTTAATAGTTTGTCTTTTAGATTAATGACACTATACAAAATACATATGATAAATCTTATTAACAGTACAACAAATAGAAAAATCAGTCACTTATTACAAAAACCAGAATAAATTTGGTATTTAAGTTTATGGTTAATGTAGTAAGGTCTATTGAGATCAATATTCGAAGTTATTCTTCTCTTAACTAATAGTTGCTTTTTTAAACCATCATCTTCAATATTACCTTTTGTCTATTTGCCATATCCTATACAGCAGTATTATTTAGGCAGAATTATTTATTTGTAGAATTATTTGTTTTTGTTTAGTTATAGAATTAAAATAGTTGAAAATGATGTGACTAGTTAAAATATTATTTAATATTCTATAATAAATAGAAAAATAAAATATGCATAGAAAAGACAGTTAATTTCCAAACTTATGGAAGAATAATGTATATTTTTTGTAAATTGAAAATTTCAGTCATCCATCTTTTGAATTGCCCTCCCTGTATCAAGGTACCTAGATAACAAAATTAGTAATGCAAAATTTGCTCAGGGAAATAATTTGAGTAGAGGTGGCAAATGCAGTTCCTCTCTTCTTCCCCTAAACACCCACTATCTTCTGTAACCACTGTGGACACAGTTAATCATGACTTTTTAACTCTGAAAATGGCTTTAGAACGCTTCTCAACACAGCTCTTCATGAAACATCGACCAACTATCCATGCTGGTGCATGAGTTGAAAACTTTTTGTCAGTTTTAGTTTCAAGAGATAGTTCATCCAGACAATGAAAAATCCCAGTGAAATATCCCTATAACAAATAAAAAATATTTTTATAGTGACCTAAATGATTATGTTTACTAGAGACAGTATTTATTTCTCTCCTATGAAAGTTTGGGAGAGAATTATATTAGATACTAGACACATTTTTTATCATCCAGTGATCCATCTTATACATAGCATATGTTCCACTACCTTTCTTACTTATCATAACTTTAGCAATCACAATCTTCGGATTTGGTGATTATTTCTTTCTTTTTTTTTTTTTTTTTTTTGAGACGGAGTCTCGCTCTGTTGCCCAGGCTGGAGCGCATTGGCTCAATCTCGGCTCACTGCAAGCTCCGCCTCCCAGGTTCACGCCATTCTCCTGCCTCAGCCTCCCAAGTAGCTGGGACTACAGGCACCCGCCACCACGCCCGGCTAATTTTTTTGTATTTTTAGTAGGGATGGGGTTTCACCGTATTAGCCAGGGTGGTCTGGATCTCCTGACCTCGTGATCCGCCTGCCTTGGCCTCCCAAAGTGCTGGGATTGCAGGCGTGAGCCACTGCGCCCGGCCAGATTTGGTGATTATTTCTAAAGAGCCTCTTGTTTAACAATTATACAAATCTACTAATTTTTGAAAATGGTTAAGTGAATTCAAATTATATTGATTCCAGCTAATTTTACTCCCAAAATCTGTGATTATTTTAGTGTATCATTCTGTAGACAAACTATAAATTAAGTAGGTATAGGCATAGACACATAAAATGCCTTTCAGGTACTAAGTAGTCAATACAAATGAGTATTTGTAAATGAATGAATGCAGATTTCCAAGTTGACATCTACTATACATTTTAACTTCTTTTATTTTGTATATGAATATAACCTGCTTATAGGAATTGATTCTATATTTGTGTATCTTTCATTTGAACAGGATTCTATTTAGCTCTTATGGTTTGGAATGATTTGGTCCATGGTACTAATATAGTATACATTTCTCTCACGGTTGATTCTTATTTATTCATACCGACAGCCCTTACTCTGAGTACTAAGTTGAGCCATAGAAGCCACTTAGTGTATTTATGTTAAATTACATGATGCAAACCCTTATGGTCTTTAAACATCAACAAATTATTGTCATTAGTTGCAACATGATTAAGTTCTAATTTATTTTTGTGTAACTGTGAGATGTAAGATTTTTGACATTTAACTTGAAGAGTAATGTGGGATCTGTCATTTGCCATGGTTTTGCCCAAGTCTCACGACTGTAGGATTTTTATCCATTGGAGATACAGCATGTAATAACAGCAATCAATATGCACTAAAACGTTCACTAAATGGCATCGGAAAAGGGTTTCCTAAGGGAGGTGAGACTTAATCCTGCCCTCGAAGAATGGGCTGGGTTTGAGTAGGTGGAATAAAAGAAGACCAATATTCCTTGAATAAAAAACAGTAGGAGCAAAAGCTTAGAGATATAAATGAGTTCGTCCACAGTGGCCAGCAAGAAGTGTTAGAAATTCTGCTAAATCAGATTGACTAGCATTACCCATTACCATACAGAATCACACATGCACTGAATGCTGAGTATGAGCTTTATTTTGTTGACTGAGGAAAAACTATTTAAACACTCTGAGCCTCAGTTCTCATCATCTGTGAATTGGAGAAGTTAATGCCTAACTCAGAGGGGGATTGTGTTTATCTAATGAAATAATTACGGATAAATAGCATGGCATGGAGTTTGGCAGATGGAAAGCTCTCGGTAACGGTCATGGCAATGTGGAGCAAGCTTTACATTTTGGAAAGAAGAATGAGATGATGAGACATGGTACTTTAGATGATTAGAGGGGCAAGAATTTGGGGACAAATAATCTGAAAGTTGTTGCATTGGTTCAGGAATTAGCACACACTTGAGTAAAAGTAATGAAAAAAATACCTTCAATAAAGTTTGGAGAAATAATTGGACATATGTACAGGCTGGGAGAATGTGCATTTGTGGTGTGTTACATTTTACATTAAGTGTCCAAACTCTCCAAAGACAGCAATGAGCAAATACCATTTTCCAATGGGGCTGGTAAAGTTTCAGAGGTTGGGCCAAAACAGATCCTCAGGGGAGCAGGACATAAGCACAGAGCCTTTTTTTAGTACATCTGCCTTGCAGCCCAGAGGCAGGCAGAGGGTGCCTTATGGGCTGGGGCAGGCATAAAACTGGGTTCCCTGGGGAAATTCTTGAGAATTTTAAGGAAGTGTTGGCATAATGAAAGAATTCCAGGAGGACCAAGAAGTACCATTTATTTATTTTAGTATTTATTTTAGTGGTACTTATTTATGGGCTTATTAGTTAGAGAAGAAGAGAAAGAAGGAATAGAAAGTGCACAATAACATAATTTTATAGGAGTGAGTAGGCCAAGCAGAAGTTTCACAATAGGGAAAACAAATTGAGCAGTTCACGATAGTGTCATCATGGGCACATTTTCTAAAGCTTTTCATTTCCTTTTTAATAGTTTTTTAAAGAATTGATTATACCAATTCTTCGGCCATCTTATGCTTTCTACCTGAAAAAGCAATATTTAAAACATGTAACAGTATTATTTAATTTTAATATTTAAAACATATCAAAATATTATTTAAGAACTCCTTTCAAGTAAAATAGAATATCATAATTTCTATTCATTTCCCAGAAGTGTAGCATGACTTACAGTCTATGGATACAATGTAAATAATAAGAATGAGATATTGTTGTACATTTGGGTCTTTTTTACTCATCAGACTTGTTGCATAAAATAAGCTGGTATGAATAACCACTTTTAGAGGTTATGGATCATTCTGCATTTTTTTTTTTTTTTTTTTTTTTAGTTCTAGTTTCTTTCCTTCAGGTAATCTTGGAGATGGTTTCAATTTGCAGAAAGCATTTCTAGTGTCACAGCAACTTCTGAAAGCAAATCTTTAGCATGGAAATTTTGACAAAACATTGTAAAACCGTGGTGGAATCAGAATCTGCACTTCTTGAAGCTATTTTGCAGTTGATAGAAAAGTTACTGAACCAGAGAGATAGAATAGACCAGCTTTTGTTCTTAGAGTCCAGATGTACGTTGAAAATATTTAAAGCATTGGTATATGTTTGAGCTTTGGGTTGCCTTTATCCCTGGATAAAACGTGAGTGTCGAAGACGAGGCTTTACAGCTCTAGTTGTCTTTTAGCCGTCAGTTTCCTGACACCCCACAGAAGTGTATTCCACTGGTACCACGTGACACTGAGGCAATTCTAACTGATTATTTTAAGAGAGTTAAATTTGTTTCACCTCTTCAAAAGATCTGAGTACCCGAGTTAGTTAGAACAATTAAATCCTCGAGTGTCTTTGGATAAAGGCTGACAAGCTTATTGAGATTCAGCTTTTATTATAGTAGAATATTCATATAAGGATGTGCTGAAACAGAATTCTGATCTTTGAGTACATTACTAACCAACGTTCTTTGTGCAATATTTAAAAGAGCTGAGAACTTGTTGGGAGAGTGTGTGTAATTTTTAATTTGCCAGTATATTTCAAAGTACTGCAGATGTGTGCCTCACAAATGCAAATCTTTTCTTTGAAATAGACTGTGAAACTTTTCCACCAGCACCTTACCCAAATATTAAGTCATGCTGGAGATGAGATTTCATCTGAAGACTCCCAAAGTTAGTGGTTGGCTAAGAAAGAAAATGAGGGTCAAGTTCTTCTGGTTTTGATCACAAGTTTGATTCAGATTTCTACATAGAGACCCTGTAATTTTCATTCATGTTCATAAATGCAGGCTGGTCAGTATTCTAGGAAACCGAGTTAGTTTCATTCTTTCTATCAAACTAACTTTGCCGTAATTTTTATTCTGCTCAGAAAGCAAGCCTCTTGGGAAGAAGACAGGATCTAGATTCTGTAATGGAATGGCATAGGGGAGAGTATATCAGAGTGGAGAATTTTTTAAAAAGAAATTTTTTGCAAGTTCTGGTTTCAACAGTTTCCTTATTGAGAAGAGCTAGACGATAACTAAGAACACTGCCAGCTTTATATCATGAAACAGTATTCTGTAATAATTAAGATTGTTTTGCAAAACTGGAGAGGTACTAATAAAAAAAGAATCGCCTTAAGTTCTTTTATATTACTCATTAGATTGCATAGAAACACACATACACAAATGTGTTCAAACACCCCAGCTGACCCTGGTTCTGTACTATTTTTGGGTAAGCCAAGTGGACTGTGTGGAAGAAGGTTAACTGCACGATGTGATTGCAGATAGTCTTGAAAACAGCAATCCAAGGGCACATATTTATATCAGAAAAGTTAGATGTATTAAAATGAATTTAGGAAACGCAAGTTTATTTTGTTCCCTTTCTGTACTTCCAAACAACCATGACCTAAACCATATTATGATTGTTTTTAAACAAATTGATTCCTTATTAAAGTTATGAAACTGGCTGGGCATGGCAGCTCACACCTGTAATCCCAGCACTTTGGGAGGCCAAGGCGGGCGAATTGCCTGAGGTCAGGAGTTCAACATCAGCCTGGCTAACACGGTCAAACCCTGTCTCTACTAAAAATACAAAAAAATTAGCTGGGCGTGGGGGTGCAAGCCTGTAATCCCAGCTACTCGGGGGGGCTGAGGCAGGAGAATCGCTTCAATCCAGGAGGTGAAGTTTGCAGTGAGCCGAGATGGAGCCACTGCACTCCAGCCTGCATAACAGAGGGAGACTCGGTCTCAAAATAAGTAAATAAATAAATAAAGTTATGAGACCACTAACTTTTATAAATAATTTTAGCTATTATATAGAAATATTTCTTTTGATAACTCAACAATTTATTATGGAACATTTTAAATATATGTAAAATTAGAGAGTAGTAAAATCTACCCCCATATAGCCACCATCCAGCTAATGATTCAAGAATGGCCAATTGTGTTTCTTCCTCATAGCCGCACATTTGCTGCTCCTCGCTAGATTATTTCAAATTGTATATAAGAGAGTAACATTACTTCCTTAACATCAAATAGCTAGTCATTTAAAAAATTTACCCAGTTGTCTTTTGATGTTTTTGGTATAGTGGTTTATTTGATCTATATTTAAACAAGATTCATGGATTATACTTGGATAATATGTTTCTGAAGTCTCTCAGTTTATACTTTAACTCTTTCTTAAAATTTTTTTATATTGATTTGCTGAAGAAGCTGGGTTGTTTTGCTCTGTATTTTCTTGTCTGTATTTTTTCCGACTGACTGTATCTTCTTGGTAACATTTAACATGCTCTTCTGTCTCTTTTTTTCCTTAAATGTGGTAGCTAGATACAGAGCTTGGTGTGATTGCTTTCTTGCTTCCTTTCTTTCTTATAAACAATATCTCATTAGTTGTATTTAATGCTTCCATCACAAAGCACATATTCTGGTTATCTCCTTTTGTGTGATTTTAGTGGCCATTGATGATCATTGCCTGGATCCAACATTGCATTAGGGGTTTGCAAAATGGTAATCTTATTATTTCATCATTTTTAATTGATTAGCTGAAGTATGAACATATACAGAACAATTTCCCCTCATCAACTATTTAGTTGATGAACTATTTAGTTGATGAAATAGGTTTCATACAGGAAAGGCAGATTAAATGTCTAAGTTGTCCCTTTATTTGTTAGTTTTCAGAATATAATTATAACATTTCCCAATGTAACTGATGCATTTTTCTTTTTAGTATCCTTATGAACTCATGAATTTTGACATTAGATGTATTTCAATATATTGCACTTTTCTCCATTTTACTTTTTCTCCTTACACTGTATGCTAGAGGTTATTCTGTTGCATATAAAAAGATGTATTTAATTTTTTACAGCTTCATACATTTGCATTGTGTGGATGTACCATATATTATTCAATCAGTATCCTCTTGATGAACATTAGGCTTTACAGCTTTTTGATAATATAAAAGTGCTACAGTGAATATGGAAATGTAAACAATTCATATACAAATGTATTGCTGATAAAGACATCTAGAAATGGAATTCTTGGGACAAAGGGCAAATGTATATGTAATTTTGCTAGATATTGCCAAATTTCCCTTTATAGGTATTGTGCCATTTTACAAATGCATTTCTAATTGCATAAGGAAAGACTGGAAACATTCGTGTAGAGTATAAAGACTAAATATGATCTAAAGTCAACAGACACAAAGAATTATCTAAAATATATATAGCATTTTTATTTAAGCTCATCTTCTTTTTGACACTGCTTATTTATATAATAACTCTGTCTTGATAAGAACTTCTGTCATAAGATAATATTTACTAAGTCTAATACATTACAATTATATAAACAACATTATCAATATTCAAACACATTCTCATTTATTAAGTACTATTATTTAGGAAGCAAGCTTTGTTTCCATATAATTCACCTTGTTATCATAAAACTTTACAAGAACAGAAGTCATAAATGTGTTCATTGTCCAGACCTCATAGTAGACATTAGTCCTTTTTTGTCATAAGCCATAATCTATACATCATAAAACCATCTGAGAAAGTTAGTTACTAACTTTTAAACTAGAGAATAATGAACAAATATAAATGTTCTTTTAAATATTTAGATTTTCTTCTTAAGGGTGTCTTAACATGGATTGATATACTCCTATGGCATAAAGCTATTGAGTAATTAGTGATGAGATGACTGACAAAACCCAAAGTAATAGTCCAGTGTCCTTCTTAAACCACGACTCCTAAATCTGCTTTTCTTTATTGATATAATGAGGGGAGAATTAATTTTAAAAGGTGGTGGCTATTGATTACTTAATGGAAGAAGATAGTGTAGCAAAATGCTGAAACGAGTCTATTCTGTGCCCTCCTGTGCAACAGGACCCATTATCCCATTGTGGAAATCGCACCCTTACTCTCATTAATATTTAACAGGCTATATATAGGCTACAAAATTGCCTTGGGCATGGGCTCCAATCAGCCATAGAATGGTTTCAAGTATATAAAAGAGTAATAGATTTCTGTGTGTTCAGATTGTTTATAAGCAGGACAACAATACGCTCAATTCCCTTCTGTGATTGCTGAGCAATGACAGCCAGATGGAAACACCTCCTAGGCAAGTTGGAGTGATTCATATTCTGGGAAGCCACTGTAGGCTAGTAAGTACTACATAAGAAGAGTTTGTATTTTCCAGTGTGGTTCTCAGTTTCAGCTTTCGTTTCTGCTCCTCTCACCACAGGCTGAAGGGCTCGTCCAGCCGGGGTGGCAAGTCAGCAAAAGGCGTTAATTGTGTCTAACACAGCTATCATCCTTGGGGCAATATTCTGTATCACACTGTCTATCAAGCTAACCCCTTGCCAGAGGTCAGGATCTTTTTATTTCAGTTCTTTTAAAAGGGAAACAAAAATCTTTAAAGATAGCTGGTAGGGAGACATAAGAGCTTCTAGGGACTAGGAGCCCTTGAAGTTGCCTTGTACTAAAATGGGCTGTGATTTCTGAAAGGACAATATAGCAGGTCCTCCAAAAACAGTTTTCTCCAACATCATTTTGTTATAATAATATTGATGGAGAAAAAAAAATCAGTTCCTGACCAGGGTCACTGTCTGTGCAGGGTTTGCACAATCTTCTCATTTATGTGTGGGTTTCCCCCCACATCCCAAAGAAGTGCATTCCAGGTCAATTGGCATTGGCGTGTCCAAATTGTTCCACAATGAGGAGTGTGGATGTGTGCTTCAGTGTGCCCTGCGTTGGAGCAGCACCCTGTCCAGGGCTGGTTCCTGCCTTGTGCCCTGAGTTGTGGGGATAGGCTCTGGCCACTCACAGCAACCCTGAGCTGGAATAACTGGGAAAATAATTATGTTAATTTTTTAAATTAATTTTTCTTAAATATATGTATGGATCGCATTTGTTTCAGTGTTTACCATTAGAAGTGTTTGGGTCTTTATTTAGAAATTTGATGATGTTTTTGTGATGAAAAGTAGATCACAGGAACTTGTTATTTGAACTTGTGATTTCAAGTAGCCTATGGTAAAGTGGATTTTGTTACACCTGGTTTTGCTTAAGGTAGCAATTTCCGAGATCCCATTGAGAGCATTAAGGGAGGCCTTGTTGTACAAAGTTTTATAGATTACTGACTCCCATTATTAATTTTCTAAATTACCAGATTATATGTCAGTACCACCAGTTTGTTTTTAAAATATGATAAACTTGAAATAAGATAAAGTCCTTTAGAAAGAAAATAGTCTCGGGATTTATGAGTACACAAAGAACCCAACATCAGATATCCACCATCCCAAACAATGCATAAAATTAGATAGTGAGGAAATATCAATTTTTTGACTCAATGACTCAAAAGAATTTTAAAATATGTTTAAGGGATTCATTTATTTTGTTGCATATCAGAAATTATTTATAATTGCCTGCCTACATTGAGTTGCATAATAAAAATGTAGCTTTGTAAGCAAAAGGTATTCAAGACAACATCTTCTATTAACATACTGAGCTTTTTCTCAAAACCAGTGAATGAAACTGACCCAGAGATCTCATTGTAATTCTATGTTAAATGTGGAAAAATTCCATTTTACTCCCAACCTTGGACTGTGCATACCTAAATGCTGCTTTCAATTTATTAGTAAGTCTGTGTGTGTGCCTTCTTTTTCTGATACCCAGCAGAGAACTTCAAATGATCAAGAGTTGGTAATAGAAAATGCACTTATGTTCTTTTTTTTTTTTTAAACAAACTTGGTCTTTTATTTTCATTTTTATTTTAATTTTCGGGGTACATGTACAGGATGTACAGGTTTGTTACATAAGTAAACATGTGCCATGGTGTTTTGCTGCACCTGTCAACCCATCACCTAGGTATTAAGCCCATCATGCATTAGCTATTTTTCCTGATGCTCTCCGTCTCCCTGCCCTCCACCCCACAGGCCCCAGCGTGTGAACAAACTTGATCTTTGTGAGGCGTAATGGTGGATCTACTCAGATGCTTGCTTTTTGTTTGTGTTTTGTTGTTGTTATTTGTTTGTTGGTTGGTTGGTTAGTACTACATGCTGTTAAGTTTGTGGTTAGCTCATTTCAAGAAGCTTTAGTTTGGAATTCAAGGATTCTTCAGCTGCCACTTCAAAGAGCAAAATTAAAATAAAAAATTTAAAATAATTTAACCAAGATTTTCTCCAAGGTGCTTACTTAACGCTATGACAAAAAGCGTAGAAAGACATTTGATCAACTGTAAATATAAAAATGTTAATAGGTATACCTTCACAGCCTTTGGATATTCCAGAGAGAAGAGCTTTTTAAAGCCTGTATTTGCAAGAGACGGTGCTTATTAAACTATAATCTAATATACTTATCAGTTTGGACAGTGAAAATAAATTCTAAGTTTCCTTTGCTTTTTCTTTTCTATTTTATAGCGAAGCAGCAGTTTTGGGAATTTCGATCGTTTTCGGAATAATTCTTTATCAAAACCAGATGATTCAACTGAGGTTCGTAGTTTATTCCATTTTTATGAATGTTATGCAAACACATTATGAAATATTATGAAGACAATGTCACTTTTGCAAAGTAAAATAAGAAAAATGAATACATTTTAAAATTATAGCCTTGCATATGTTTTTGTGATAAATGAACAAACCATTATTTAGTACTGTTGTGGAAAGCAATGGGTTCTTGTCACACGACCAGGAAAATTTAGGCACACAGACACATTGTAGGGTGAGTAGGGCAGGGTATATCGGGTGAAAAGGAAAAAAAAAAAGAGGAACTCTCAACAAAGCAAGAGTCCTGCTAGCAGGCTCCTACCTTACAGATTGAATCCCAGGCTACCACATAACAACAAAAGAGGCCAGGCTCCTCCCTGCAGCAAACCACACGACCTTCCCATAGCTCCGTCCCCTTCCCCCAGTGCACAGGTGGGCATTATTAAGAGAGAATCAGTTGGGAAAGGGTGGGCTTCATCCAGGATCATCAGTCTGGTTTTTCAGCCTTCAAGCTGTTTTAGGCTCGAAGGGGAGGTTTCGCAAGGGACCGTTGGCTGTTTCCTGTCTCTATCAGTACCCAGTACCGTGCAGGGCATTAAAAGTAAAATCTTATTTTAAGAAGCCTAACAGATGTTTGGGAAAGCAAAACATGAACCCGAAAAGATAGAATTCAAACTGACACTGACAATTCCAAATTTCCTGAGTATTTCTACTATAAAACAATGTGAGTATACATATATGTACACATACACATACATTGTATTTATACACATTATTTGATAGATATATATAAAATGTTATGTAAGTTGTAATTGCTTTAAATTAGAACAAGATTAAGTGGCCCAACTGTAAATTTGTTAAGGAGAGCATACAGCTGCTCAATTGGACTCTCACACTTCAATGTACACTGAAACATCCCATTGGTGAGTGCTACATACACATTTGTACACTATGAACATTTTAACCGTAGCTTAAGAAAAGCTTCCCATAAAATAAAGTTTACGTAATAATTTCAATAATATGTTCATTTAGTTGAGCACTCACGATGAAATAAGCACAATGCTAACTTTATCTATCTATAACAATTTACCTATTTATAACATAGGAACTATTAGTATATCTATTTTGCCATTGCAGAAATATGCTTGCTTCATCAAATAAAATTACTTCTAAATTACAGAGTGAGTAAATGACAAAGGCAGAAATCAACCTTTTCTCTGACTCCAAAGTTTGCCATATTATCTCATAAAGTAGGGGCCACATATGCTAAGTGGTTAATGACAGGTACAACAACAACTAATAAAATAGTACAGAGAAGGGGTGTCTACTAAGAAAACTGAAAATACTGTTTACCATTGAACCTGATTCAGCAACCTTACAGGTAATATATTCTTTTTAGATCAATAGGTTTTTAGATCAATAGGTTTTTAGATCCTATGCTTATTTTCAAATATAACTATCTGTAATATTTTAAAATAATTTAATTTCAGTAATGATCCCTTTTATTAATTTATTATGTATATATTCACATTTATGAGTAAACTTGTACATAATTGTATAGTCAATCAACATTTACATAATTGTAAGTAATAAATGTAATATATACATATAAATCTCCCCCTGGCCACATATATGTGTTTGTGTGTGTGTGTGTATATATATGGAGAGAGAGAGAAACTGTATATAATTTTATTTTCAGTTGGCATTTTGTATAAATTTTTAATTCTCCACAATCATACATATATTCTACTGCTATTTAGTTTATAATTCTGGAATTAACCTGTACAAGATAGCTCATGTTCATTCAGGTTCATTGGTTAATAATGGTGGCCTAGTAATTTGTAAAAGAATTTAGCAAACCTAATAAAATAGTGTGCATATTTTTCAACAATCCAGCACTCATTCAAAAAATAACTACTCTATGACAGGTTTTCCCTTAGACACTCAGGAAGTACTGTTGCAACAACACATGAAAATCCTTACTTCATGCCTGGAGTCTATAGGGGAAGACAAATCTTAAAAAGACAAGAACAAAACCATAAGTAATATTTAAATAGAAATTTAATTCAGGCTATGGAGAAAGGCATAGAAAAATGTTAACACTCAAAAGACATAAACATAATTTCTTTGTAGCTTCTGTAAATAACGCTAGAAAAACCTGAAAAATATGTGTGGTACATTTTTCTGAAGCTTAGAAATGGTAGAGTAACACAAGTAGTAATTAACATTTCTTATTTATGTTAGCAAAGTAATTTTATAATGAAGACAGAGAAAGTTTAAGTAGAGAGAAGAAAAAGGCTAACTCTAAAATTTTAAAGTGCTTCCGAATTAAATTTTATTCAGGACTTTTGAATTAAGCAAAGAATCTTTGCCTTGATTTCAACCTTGAATGTAGAAATTAATAAAGTGCAATGAGGGTTTAAATTGGCTGTCCATTCATATTTATCATAGGCAATTTGGGGTAAGATATGAAGCAAAATATAATATTGATTAATAATGATGTTAACTATGTGGTTAAACTTTTATATTAAAATATTCAAGTTCACTAAAGAGAAGTTTCCCATCATTTTTTATATTCAGTGAATGACTACCTGTCCACCTACCAGTAATGGTGGGCAGTGTTAAACTAGATGTCCTTCAAGTTTCCTTTCTTGCAAATATAAGGTATTTTAGGACGTGTAACCCAAACATGTCCTCCAAGAAAAAAAAATCTGCAACGTTCTACATGAGAAGTTTCATTTATTCAAATAATATCAAGTGCCAGCTCTGTGCTTGGAAGTACTCTAGACACTCAAAGAAAACAGACAAAGTCTCAAGTCTCATGGAGCATGCATCATAGTGGGAGACGCAGACAATAATCAAATGAACAAACATATTATCGGGTAATGTTAACTGCTTAGAGGAATAATTAATCAGGGCCAATAAACAGGATGTATGGAAGTGTGGAGGGTGATCAATCAGAAAATTACTCTCCTATTATATGACATGTGAATAGAAACCTGGACGACTGAAGGAAGAAATTCTTGGATATCTGGCGGAAGCCAATGGCAAAAGCAAATACAAACTTGGTGAGAACCTGATAGAGAAACTGCAAGGGGGCTAGCATGGCAATACTTTATTACAGTTGTTTTCAAACTTTAGCGAGTATCAGAATCACTTGAAGAGCTTGCTAAAGCACAAACTGCTCCCAAGTGATGTTAATGCCGCTGGTCCAGGGATCATATTTTGAGAACCACTGATCTAGTGAGCGAGGGAGACTTGAGAAGTAGCGAGGGGCAAGGTGGGTAGTGAGGATATTTTATTTCATATAGATTCTATATAATGTAATATATATCACATAATATATTAATTATATTGACAGAACATTATTTTATGTTATGACATATAGAGTCTTGTGGCTGTGAACAGAGTGTTTTATTCTGAGTCATTGGTTTAACAAAATTCCTAAGCACAGACTGAAGCAGTCCAAATAAGATGTTTGATTAATATAGCATGTGAATTACATGAAGATTTCTGTACTAATGGCTGGAACTAGTTCATATTTACTATTGCTTGCGAATATGGGAAATGTGCACACTAAGATGAAAAAAAATCTAACATTTCTCAGTGGATTTAATTAACACAAAAACTTCTTTAAAATAACCACAATCATCTCAATTTCTATGAGAAGCAAGAGGATATTTTAAGGCCTATTCAACACAGATAGATGCTACAGCCTATCTAAAGCTTCCAATAAAATATTTCTCATCTATGTAGACATAAGAACTCCTTATACCTGGTGTTTAATATTATTTGTTCATCTCAAGAAGAGGGAATAAAATGATTCTTCAATACAGCTATTTAAAAAATAGTCAAAATTCTCTAAAAGAGTTGCAGATGTGAGGCTCAAGTCCTTTAACATCACGAATTTTACTTTCTGAGTTCGTAACACAAGCAACCAGGGCTGGACAACTTTAAAAATATGTGTTATGTCCGGATTGTTAGAAATTTTGGAGGCTGCTGCACAGAATGCATGCAAAATCCACAAACTCAGAATGTTCTCTGTAACAGTGATTTCAGATCAATGTTTTTTATTGCTTTATTATTTTGTCTTTTGTAAACAATTCTAAACTAGGCACATGAAGGAGATCCCACAAATGGAAGTGGAGAACAAAGTAAAACTTCAAATAATGGAGGCGGTTTGGGTAAAAAAATGAGAGCTATTTCATGGACAATGAAGAAAAAAGTGGGTAAAAAGTACATCAAAGCCCTTTCTGAGGAAAAGGTAAATATTCTCTGATAATCATTTGTATTTTTCTACTAAAACTTTCTTAAACTATTCAGCTAGACTATAGAAGTGCTTGGTACTTTATGAAGTACTTAAGCATTTGTTTTCTTCCTCAGTCATTATGCCCAGAACTTGGGTGGAAGGAAGTATTACTTTCATTTTAACAGAAGAAACTGACACTCAGAAAGATCATGCATCTGCTGGGTGCAGTGGCTCACACCTGTAATCCGAGCACTTTGGAGGCCGTGGCGGGAAGATCACCTGAAGTCAGGAGTTCAAGACCAGCCTGGCCAACATGGTGAAACCCCGTCTCTACTAAAAATACAAAAATTAGCTGAGCATGGTGGTGCACGCCTGTAGTCCTAGCTACTCAGGAGGCTGAGGAAGGAGAATCGCTTGAACCCGGGAGGCGGGGGTTCCAGTGAGCCCTGATTGCACCACTGAACTTCAGCCTGGCAACAGAGCAAGATGGCGTCTCAAAAAACAAAACAAAAAAAAAGATCATGCATCTAGAATGTGATGCGAAGAACAATGTGAAGAACAACATGTCATTAATTTAGTAGCAAGTATCAGTACTTCATTCCTTTTTATTGCCAAATAATATTTCTCCTTTTATAGATGGATCACATTTACTTTATCCATTTATCACTTAGTGATTACTTGGGTTGCTTTCACTTTTTGGCTATTATGAATAATGCTGCTACAGATACTTCTGTTCAATTTTTGTGTGGAAATATTTTTTCATTTCTCTTGGATATATAGTAACTCCATGTCTAATAGAGAAACTGGCAAATTGTTTTTTTAAGCAGGTGTGTCATTTGACATTCCCATCAACAATGTATGAGGGTTCCAATTTCTCTGCATCATTGCCAACACTTGTTATTGTCTGTCTTTTTAATACTAGCCATCCTAGTGGATGTGAGGTGGAATCTCATTGTGATTTTGATTTACATTTGGTTGTACTTTACGTTTCCCTGATGACTAATAATGTCAAGAATCTTTTCATGTGCTTTTTAGCCATTTATCTATCTTTGTGGAGAAGTGTTTTTCAAATCCATTGTTCGTTTTTAATTGGGTTATTTATCTTCTTATTGTTGAGTTTTAAATGTTTTTTATATATTCTGGATGCAAGTTTTTTATCAGATATATGACATGCAATATAATATATTTTCTCCAATTCTGTGGATTGTATTTTTATTTTCTTGATGGTGTTGTTTGTAGCACAAATGTTCCTAATTTTATTGTAGTCCAATTATCTTTTTTTGGTCACTTGTGCTTTTGGTAACATATTTAACAAACCATTGTCTAATCTAATGTAATGAAGATTTATTCCCATGTTTTCTTCTAAGAGGCCAATAGTCTCTTAAATTTTGGTGTATCATTTATTTCAAGATAATTTTACTGTACAGTATATAGGAAGAGTCCACCTTCATTCTTTTGCATGTAGATATATAGTTGTCCTTACACTATTTGTTGAAAAGACTATTCTTTTCCTATTTGATTGTCTCGGTACTCTTGTTAAAAATCAATTGACCATAAATATATTGTCATAAATATATGGATCATAAATAAGTGAGTTTACTTATGGACTCCCAATTCTACTTTATTGATTTTTATGTCTTATGTCCATTCTCTTTTTCAATCCACTTCAACAGGGCTCTGTCTCCAGTACTCCATTAAAATAGCTGTCGCCGTCAGTAGTGACCTCTGTGTTGCCAGGTCCAATGGTCACTTTTCTTTCTCCTTACTACTTTTCAACTGTATTTGACCCAAGTGCTGATTTCCTTACATATAAAACATCCACTTTTCTTGTTTTTTTTTGACTAGGCATGCTTCTGGCATTTCTTCTTCCTCATAGCTTCCTTTCTTGGCTCTGCTTTCTTTCTCATCCCTTGAAACATCTTCCTGAGGCTTGTTCCTGGATGCTCCATTGAATCTACATTCTCCCCTTAAGTCAGCTCATCTACTCTCATGATTTTGTTTTTCACAACTATATCTCTAGCTATGACCTCTTCACTTATCTGCTATATTAATACAATCAATTGCTTATTTGATATCTTCATTTAGATGTCCAGTAGACATCCAAAACCTAATATATCCAAAGCTAATATATTTATTCTCTACACTTTTACAAAAAAAATGGTTTTCTCATCCAGTATTCCCAGTGGCAGCAGACAACACTGATCCCCAAAATAAATAAAAACAAAAATATAAAAAATAGGAAGAAAAGAAAATCTAAGAATCACCCTAAATTCCTTCTTTTTCTCACTTTTCACACTAATTCATCAGTAAATTCTCTGAATTGTATTACCACGTATATATAAACTCCCTAATTTCTCCATGTAAACTATTCCTGCTTTAGACTAAATAACCAACCTTTCTTTCCTGGATTACTATCATAATCCCCTAATTGCTTTCCATTCTTTTTATTCTTTCCCCCATAAAATTTATTCTCCATATGAAAGCCAGAAATATCTCTGACAAGTGGAAATCAGGTCATGGTTAAAATTTCAGTGTCTTCATAGTGAACCTCTTTACTTGGTGTGTTCATTCTAGATCCCAAGAAAAAGAGTAGAAACACCACAGATTTATGACAGGAAATGCTAGGAAGGCTAAAGAGAAAGCCTTTAGACTGCAACGTAAATCTGACATCTGTAAAAGGATGAGGAAAAGGAAGAAGAATCAGGTAGAGAGAGTCTCATACTTCAGCAGAATACTGAGAAAGCTTTGGTCAGATTGATGGAGGATTCTTATACTAAAGTTTTCCATTACAGGAACCCTACATTCCACTAGAATGGGCTCAAACAATACCCCTATTTTTTCAGTTACTGAAAGGGAGCATGGCTTTAGTGCAAATGGAGTGATGGATACAGAGGGGCAGTCCTGGGACTGTCAGTAAAGAAGGGTCCCGCAGCAAGAGATCTAAGTGGCACATTTCCATGGCCACCACACATGGTCTATAAAGCTTTTCTTGATGTGGCTCCAGTCTACTTCCCTGAACTCACACACTAATATTCTCCTTTCTCACACTACATTAGCCTTGCTGTTTTCCCTGCACAACCCAAGATAATTCTGAGTTCAATTATTTTGCTGTTGCTATTCCTTTTGCTTGGAAAACTGTCTCCAAAGCTTCACATAAGTTACATCTTCTTATCCTTTAGGTCAATAATTCAGGGCATATATTACTGTATGGCAGAGGTCTTTGGAGGATACTCCATTTAAATCAGCCAACCCCTAACCCTAACCTCAGCAACAAATTCTCTCACATCACCCAGTTTTATTTCTTTCATAACACTTACTATTCTCTGAAATTGTCTTATTGTGTTTAGACACACCTCCCCAAATACTCTACACAGACACACACACACGCACACACAAACACACACAGCTAACACAATAGAATATCCTTCATTATAGCAAGCACCCTGTTATCTTGTTTACCATGAAAATCCCCAGTTCCAAGAACACTGCTCAGTACCTAGGAGGTGTTCTATAAAATTGTGTTGAATGACTGAATCAAAAAAGAAATGGATAAAAGTGGAGAATCAAACTGAGTGTATATCATTTGTGTATTCTGAAGTTTTATCAATGTTTAGAAATGCTCACAAATAAAGAATGTTGAATTACATTCTGATGAATATTAAGAAATTCATAGGTTTAATCCAAACTATTGAAATATGGAAAACATTGGAGATGTTTTCAAGAAAATATAATTTGTTTTGAAATTGTCTGTCTTTTCTAATTTTATGCAAGATTTGCTTCTCACTTGACTAGGTGGCAAGCATGGTATTAGATTTGTAAAGCTTTTTAGATAAGCTTTGCTTTAGAATTGCAAAATGTACATGTTTTATTCATATCTAGTGATCTGGTAGGATGCAAATAACTGACATGAAACAACTATGCAGAGTTTAAGCTTGTAGGATCAGATCTCAATGGATTAGTAATGGTGGTAAATAGAGCATAAGGACAACATGAAGAAGTAAAAGTGCTTTAAAAGATAAACCATAGATGTCAATAAATCTAACACTTTTGATTAAATAATATTGATATGATATTCATCCTAGTTTGTAAAAATGAGCCATTATAATTTCAACTGAATTTTACAGAAAGAATGTGTCATCTGAGTAATTTTTCCAAGTATATTGTGAAAGGTTTTGCTAGAAATTGAACTGAAGATGAACTACTTTTGTATTTTATCCTTATGTATCCTTAAGTATTTTATTGCTAAAATATGTGTCTATTAAATCAATGTACTCAATGTACATCTCTGTGGAAATCTTCTCTCTGTACCTAACCTCTGATATGTTTTCTGAAGGATGAGGAAGATGGAGAGAATGCCCACCCATATAGAAACAGTGACCCTGTGATTGGGACCCACACAGAGAAGGTGTCCCTCAAAGCCAGTGACTCCATGGATAGTCTCTACAGTGGACAGAGCTCATCAAGTAAGGCTAATGAATCAGGGACAAGATCCTGGGTGTGAGGTCTGGGTTAAATTAATTAAAAAACAACAAGTTAAATCAGCCACAAGGTTCCAGCTACTTGATAAGAGAAATGGTAAAAATGTAAGATATATTAAATCTATATAGAGTTGCTATTGTTTAAATAATACATAATATATTTGACACAGTCATATAGTGTGTGAAAACTTTTAACACTGTAGTCAACGGGGCTCCTCGGGATACTCCTCAAAAAAGCCATATTAGGAGATTAAACCTGCATCTTTAAAATAAACACCTTTGTTGGAGTGAGCCACCTTTATCTTGAGTCAACATATTTCAAAATGACTTGAAGTATTCAGATAAATGAAATTTATTTTCTGCTCCATTCTCTGTCTCTTTCTTTCTCCCTTCCTCTTCCCTGCGTCCCCCTCATTCTTTCTCCCCCGACCACTTTCCTTTTTTCCTGAAGTACTCTGAAAAATGTAGCACATTTGCATCAATTTACTTTTACTGACATTTACTTTTTAGATCTTAACCCAGCATTAATCAGTAAAGAGTGAAGCAATATGCAAATAATAAATGGTAGGACTATGACCAATTAGGTGGCAAAAAGGGATCCAAAGTAACCAACAAGGATTTTCTAATGAAGATTAATATTTTTTCTAAGAAGGAAATCACTCAGGATTTAGTCAAATTTCCAGCTACAATATTTGGATGAAACGATTGATATTGCAGGGTGCCTTATGACTTTTTGTATGTAGACTGTTATACATCTCTCTAATCTTTTCAGGGTTTTTAAATGTTTTTGCAAAGTTTGTTTCCCATTTCCTTTTAAATCAACTGCTTCTGTTATCTGAAGATGTATGGCAAGACCAGATGTTTCAAATATCCTGAGTTTTATTCCTATTTTCCTATTGGCTGTAGAATAGTTATTTTGTGACAAAAGCTAACACAGAAACATTTAAAGGATGTTTTTTGCATGTATGAAATTCAGATCTCATTAGTATTAATTTCTCCTGGAAGTTTAAAAACTCTATATTGTGATGCTGGATGTGGGGAGAATTTTATTAACTAGAATGGACTGCGAAAAGCCCTGGTCTGGAGTTGTCATGGAAGGGAGGGTGTGAAGAGATGGTGGTCCATTTTACCATTACTGTATACCACTTAATTTATGTGATTAGATGCAACTCATCTGTGTTTTACATCAGTTCACATACAATGTGGAGCATCTTGAAGGAGCTATACCTTATTTCCACAATGCATGGTAGTGAAACGTGGGCTATTCCCTCACTGAACAGAGTGATGAAAGGCTTGACTGAAGGAAGATGTGAAGTGGTGACTGAGTATGAGGGTGGGGGAGGAGAATTACTTCCACTGGGAGCCATTCTTGTTCCCAGACAGGTGACAAAATGCTATCTCTTTTCTCTGTTTCCTGAAGTTTAAGATCAAAAATAAGAGGACCAGACAACAAGGATTTGGAGCAGTTTTAAAGGCCCAGTTTAGAAGTTTCAAACCACATGGGGATGCAGATATTCAGACACACTTTCTCCTTCCCTTGCACTCATACAACAAGCAAAAGTGCCACCTGTTATGACAGAAATATTGCCTCAAAATGGCCTTTGGTACACAGTGGGAACTCTGGGGAGGAAATTGTAGGGAACTTTGTAATGTGATGCTTTTGGCAAGTGACCAATACTTAGTACATTGTGCACTGGATCCGATTACGGAGACTGAAGTGAGAGGGTACTTGGGTTAGTGATAGAGGAGAGTGGCCAGATTGGCAGGAAAAAGGTTCGAAATGGCTCAGAGGACAGACGTCACTGATGGAGAGTAACTGGAAGACAGACACCAGGATGGGTCAATTAGAACTTCCTCAGGAGCCTGGCATCCAGTGTTCCAGCATTATCAATACTTAGTTGTGTCCAGATGATGATTCAGAATGTTATAAGTCTTCCATGACAACTGTGAACTTCTGCTTTCATCAGGTGGCATAACAAGCTGTTCAGATGGTACAAGTAACCGGGACAGCTTTCGACTGGATGACGATGGCCCCTATTCAGGACCATTCTGTGGCCGTGCCAGAGTGCATACGGATTTCACGCCAAGTCCCTATGACACTGACTCCCTCAAAATCAAGGTGAGAGGACATCATATCCCACCTTCTGAATGGTCTGTCAAATGCTGATTATATGATCTGTTTCAGCAAGTATAAGCAGTGGGAAGACAGTGTGAGTGTGTTCTTCCCAACAGTAGAAGTGGAGGCTAGCTTACAGTACTAAGACTTTTTTTCTTTTTTTTTTTTCTTTTTTTGAGACGGAGTCACTCTGTTGCCCAGGCTGGAGTGCAGTGGCGCAATCTCCACTCACTGCAACCTCCACCTCCCGGGTTCACGCCATTCTCCTGCCTCAGCCTCCCGAGTAGCTGGGACTACAGGCGCCCGCCACCACGCCCGGCTAATTTTTTGTATTTTTAGTAGAGACAGGGTTTCACCGTGTTAGCCAGGATGGTCTCAATCTCCTGACCTCGTGATCCGCCCGCCTCGGCCTCCCAAAGTGCTGGGATTACAGGCGTGAGCCACCACGCCTGGCCCAGTGCTAAGAATTTGAATAAAATATGTGAGGTGGAGTCGGGGTATCAGTCTGTTCAGGCTGTTAGTGTAAGTTGTTATTATGTAGATGATTCAGGTTCAGAGTCTATCAGGGAGGAAGGAATTCTCTCCATTTTCCTGAAAACCAAAAGCCTCACAGTTGCTGAAGGTGCCCAACTCTGCCTGATACTTGCAGGAATAGAAATAATGAAGAGAGAGGGAGACAAGGTGCAAATGTCAGGCGAGAGCTGAGCAGAGCAAAGGCCTTGGGAACCAGACTTGGCAGGGCAATTCCAGTATTTTTTATTTTTATTTTTATTTCCATAGGTTATTGGGGAACAGGGGTGTTTGGTTACATGGGTAAGTTCTTTAGCGGTTATTTGTGAGACCCATCACCCAAGCAGTATACACTGCACTCTATTTGTAGTAATTTATCCCTCACCACCTTCTCACCCTTTCCCCAAGTCCCCAAAGTCCGTTGGGTCATTCCTATGCCTTTGCATCTTCATAGCTTAGCTCTTGCTTATGAGTGAGAACATACGATGTTTGGTTTTCCATTGCTGAGTTACTTTACTTAGAATAATAATGTCCAGTCTCATCTTGGTCACTGCAAATGCCATTAATTCATTCCTTTTTATGGCTGAGTAGTATTCCATTGTATATATATACACCATGGTTTTCTTTTCCTTTCCTTTCCTTTCTTTTCTTTTCTTTTCTTTTTTCTTTTCTTTTGTTTTTTTCTTTTTTGATGGAGTCTTGCTCTGTCACCAGGCTGGAGTGCAGTGGCACAATCTTGGTTCACTGAAACCTCCGCCTCCTGGGTTCAAGCGATTCTCCTCCCTCAGCCTCCCGACTAGCTGGAGGCCACCGCACCCAGCTAATTTTTGTATTTTTAGTAGAGATGGGGTTTCAGCATGTTGGCCAGGATGGTCTCGATCTCTTGACCTCGTGATCCACCCACCTCAGCCTCCCAAAGTGCTGGGATTACAGGCATGAGCCACCACGCCCAGCCTATACCACAGTTTCTTTATCCACTCACTGATTGATGGTCATTTGGGTTGGTTCCATATTTTTGCAATTGCAAATCATGCTGCCACAAACGTGTGTGCAAGTATCTTTTTTGTATAATGACTTCTTTTCCTCTGCATAGATACCTAGCAGTGGAATTGCTGAATCAAATGGTCGTTCTACTTTTAGTTCTTTAAGGAATCTCCACACTGTTTTCCATAGTGGTTGTACTAGTTTACACTCCCACCAGCAGTGTAGAAGTGTTCCTTTTTCAGTACATCCATGCTAACATCTGCAATTTTTTAATTTTTTGATTGTGGCCATACTTGCAGGGGTAAGCTGGTATCACATTGTGGTTTTGATTTGCATTTCCCTCATCATTAGTGATGTTGAGCATTTTTTCATGTGTTTGTTGGCCATTTGTGTATCTTCTTTTGAGAATTGTCTATTCATGTCCTCAGCCTACTTTTTGATGGGATTGTTTGTTTTTTTTTCTTGTTGATTTGAGTTCATTGTAGATTTTGGATATTAGTCCTTTGTCAGATGTATAGATTGTGAAAATTTTTTCCCACCCTGTGGGTTGTCTGTTTGCTCTGCTGACTGTTTCTTTTACCATGCAAAATCTCTTTAGTTTAATTAAGTCTCAGCAATTTAACTTTGTTTTTATTGCATTTGCTTTTGTGTTCTTGGTCATGAAATCCTTGCCTAAGCCAATGTCTAGAAAGGTTTTTCCAATGTTATCTTCTAGAAGTTTTATAGTTTCAGATCTTAGATTTAAGTCGTTAGTCCATCTTGAGATGATTTTTCTATAAGGTGAGAGTTGTGGATCCAGTTTCATTCTCCTACATATGGCTAGCCAGTTATCCTAGCACCATTTGTTGAAAAGGGTGTCCTTTCCCCACTTTATGTTTTTGTTTGCTTTTTCAAAAATCAGTTGGCCGTTAAGTATGTGGATTTATTTCTGGGTTCTCTTTTCTGTTCCATTGGTCTATGTGCCTATTTTTTTTTTTTTTACCAGTACCATGCTGTTTTGGTGACTATAGCCTATAGTATAGTTTGAAATTAGGTAATGTGATGCCTCCAGATTTGTTCTTTTTGCTCAAGTTTGCTTTGGCTATGCAAGCTCTTTTTTGGTTCCATATGAATTTTAGAATTGTTTTTTCTAATTCTGTGAAGAACGATGGTGGTATTTTGATGGGAAATCTGTTGAATTTGTAGATTGCTTTTGACAGTATGGTCCTTTTCACAATATTGATTCTACCTATCCATGGGCATAGAACATGTTTCCATTTGTTTGTGCCATCTATGATTTCTTTCAGCAGTGCTTTGTACTTTTCCTTGTGGAGGTCTTTCACCTCCTTAGTTAGGCATATTCCAAAGTTTTGTTTTTGTTTTTGTTTTTGCAGCTATTGTAAAAGGGGTTGAGTTCTTGATTTGATTCTTAGCTTGATCACTGTTAGTGTATAAAAGAGCTACTGATTTGTGTACGTTAATTTTGTATCCAGAAACTTTGCTGAATTCTTTTATCAGTTCTAGGAGCTTCCTGGAAGAGTCTTTATGGTTTTCTAAGTAAATGATCATATCATCAGAAAACAGTGACAGTTTGACTTCATCTTCAGTGATTTAGATGCCCTTTATTTCTTTCTCTTGTCTGATTGCTCTGGCTAGGACTTCCAGTACTGTGTTGAAGAGGAATGGTGAGAGTGGGTATCCTTATCTTGTTCCAGTTCTCAAAGGGAATGCTTTCACCTTGTGCCCATTCAGCATTATGTTGACTGTGGGTTTGTCATAGATGGCTTTTATTATATTGAGGTATGTCGCTTGTATGCCTATTTTGCTGAGTTTTAATCATGAAGAAATGCTGGATTTTGTCTAATGCTTTTTCTGCATCTATTGAGATGATCATGTGATTTTTGTTTTTAATTCTGTTTATGTGGTGTATCACATTTATTGAAGTGCATATATTAAACCCTCCCAGCATCCCTGGTATTAAACCCACTTGATCATGGTGGGTTATCTTTTTGATATGTTGTTGAATTCAGTTAGCTAGTATTTTGTTAAGAATTTTAGCATCTATGTTCATCAGGGATATTGGTCTGTAGTTTTCTTTTTTGGTTACCCTCTTTCCTGGTTTTGGTATTAGGGTGATACTGGCTTCATAGAATGATGTAGGGAGGGTTCCTTCTTTCTCTATCTTGTGGGATAGTGTCAATAGGATTGGTACCAATTCTTCTTCGAATGTCTGGTAGAATGCTGCTGTGAATAGGTCTGGTCCTCAACTTTTTTTGTTGGTAATTTTAAAATTACCATTTCAATATCATTGATTGTTATTGGTCTATTCCGGGTATCTAATTTTTCCTGATTTAAGCTAGGAGAGTTGTATCTTTCCAGGAATTTATCCATGTCTTCTAGGTTTTCTAGTTTATGCATGCAAAGGTGTTCGTAGTGGCCTTGAATGATCTTTTGTATTTCTGTAGTGTCAGTTGTAATACCCCGTTTCATTTCATATTGAGCTTATTTGAATTCTTACTAATGGTCTATTAATTTTATTCATCTTTTCAAAAAACAGCTTTTTGTTTCATTTATCTTTCATATTTTTTTGTTTCAATTTTATTTAATTCTGCTCTGACCTTGGTTATTTCCTTTCTTCTGCTGTGTTTGAGTTTGGTTTGTTCTTGTTTCTCTAGTTCCTTGAGGTGTCACCTTAGATTGTCCATTTGGGCTCTTTCAGACCTTTTGATGTAGGTGTTTAGGGCTATGCACTTTCCCCTTAGCACCCCCTTTGCTGTGTCCCAGAGGTTGTCATAGGTCATGTCACTATTGTTGTTCAGTTCAAAGAATTTTTTAATTTCCATCTTGATTTCATTTTTCACCCAGGGATCATATATTTGCATGGTTTTGAAGGTTCCTTTTGCAGTTAATTTCCAGTTTTATTCCATTGTAGTCTGAAAGAGTGCTTGATATAATTTCAATTTTTTTATATTTATTGAGATTCATTTTATGTCCTATCATATGGTCTATCTTAGAGAAAGTTCCATGTGTTGTTGAATAGAATGTATATTCTGAGGTTGTTGGATGGAATGTTCTGTATGTATCTGTTAAGTCTATTTGTTCCAGGGTATAATTTAAATCCATTGCTTCTTTGTTGACTTTCTGTCTTGATCACCTGTCTAGTGCTGTCACTGGAGTACTGAAGTTCCCCACTATTACTGTGTTGCTGTCTATCTCATTTCTTAGGCCTATTAGTAATTGTTTTACAAATTTGAGAGCTCCAGTGTTAGGTGCATACATGTTTAGGATTGTGATATTTTCCTGTTAGACAAGGCCTTTTATCATTGTATAATGTCCCTATTTGTCTTTTTCAACTTCTGTTGCTTTAAAGTTTGTTTTGTCTGATATAACAGTAACTATTCCTGCTCACTTTTGGTGTCCATTTGAATGAAATATCTTTTTCCACCCCTGTACCTTAAGTTTGTGTGAGTCTTTATGTGTTAGATGAGTCTCTTGAAGGCAGCATATAGTTTGTGAAATCTTATCCATTCTGCAATTCTGTAACTTTCAAGTGGAGAATTTAGGCCATTTAATTCAGTGTTAGTATTGAGATATGAGGTACTATTCCATTCATCATGCTATTTGTTGCCTGTATACATTTTTTTTGGTTTTTTGTGTTTTTTAAATTGTATTTTTGTTTGATAGGTCCTGTGAGATTTATGCTTCAAAGAGGTTCTGTTTTGATGTGTTTCCAGGATTTGTTTGAAGATTTAGAGCTCCTTTTAGTGGCTTGGTAGTGACAAATTCTCTCAACATTTGTTTGTCTGAAAAAGACTGTATCTTTCCTTCATATATGAAGTTTGATTTTGCTGGATACAAAATTCTTGGCTAATAATTGTCTTGTTTGAGAAGGCTGAAGACAGGGTCCCAATCCCTTCTAGCGTGTTGGGTTTCTGCTGAGAAATCTGCTGTTAATCTGATAGGTTTTCCTTTATGGGTTACCTGGTCCATTTGTCTCATTGCTCTTAAGATTCTTTCCTTTGTCTTAACTTCAGATAACCTGATGACAATGTGCCTAGGCAATCATCTCTTTGCAATGAATTTCCTAGGTTCGTGTTTCTTGTATTTGGATGTCTAGATCTCTAGCAAGGCCAGGGAAGTTTTCCTTGATTATTCCTCCAAATACGTTTTCCCAACTTTTAGATTTCTCTTCTTCCTCAGGAACACTGATTATTCTTATGTTTGGTCATTTAATATAATCCCAGACTTCTTGGAGGCTTTGTTCATATTTTCTTATTCTTTTTCTTTGTCTTTGTTGGTTTGGATAATTTCAAAGACCTTGCCTTTGAGCTCTGAATTTCTTTCTTCTACTTATTCAATTCTGTTGCTGGAACTTTCCAGAGCATTTTGCATTTCTATAAGCATGTCCATTGTTTCCTGAAGTTTTGATTGTTTTTTATTTATGCTATCTATCCTTGAATATTTCTCCCTTCACGTCTTGGATCGTTTTTTGGATTTCCTTACCTTGCGCTTCACCTTTCTCTGGTGCCTCCTGGTTAGTTTAATAACTAACCTCCTGAATTCTTTTTAAGGTAAATCAGGGATTTCTTCTTGGTTTGGATTCATTGGTGGTGAGCTAGTGTGATTTTTTTGATGGTGTTAAAGAAGCTTGTTTTGTCATGTTATCAGAGTTGGTTTTCTGGCTCCTTCTCATTTGGGTAGTTTCTGTCAGAGGGAAGGTCTAGGACTGAAGGCTGTTGTTCAGATTCTTTTGTCCCATGGGGTGTTCCCTTGATGTAGTACTCTCCCCCTCTTCCTATGGATGAGGCTTCCTGAGAGCAATCTGTAATGATTGTTACCTGTCTTCTACATCTAGCCACCCAACTAGTCTACCAGGCTCCAGGCTGGTACTAAGGGTTGTCTGCACAGAGTCTTATGATGTTAACTGTCTGTGGGCCTCTCAGCTGTGGATGCCAGCACGGTATTTAGATTGTCTCCTGTTTACTGAAGGAGGAATTCACTTCCTTCAGGGGATCTGTGAGTCCTCCCAGGTTTCCTAATTTATTTCTGCAATCGTTCTGGAGCCAAAATTCATCATGTGAGCATCCACACACTCCTCTGCTCGAGTTGGAGCTGCAATCTGGTCCTGCCTGCCGTCTGCCATGATGCCCCGGAAATGTCTAGTACTTTTTAAGTTGGTTGCTATGAGTAACCAGAGACCTTTCTCCTGGTGATATTCCCTCCTGAATTCCCCCTTCTTACTCTTATCCTCTGTATTCATTCTCTATTGCTGTGTAACACATTACCTCAAGCTCAGAGGCATCAAACAACACAAATGTATTGCTGGCTCACAGTTTCTGTAGGTCATAATTATGGGCTCAACTGAATTCTAAGAAAGCTGTGATCTCACCTGAGGCTCAGGGTTCTCTTCTGAGTTCACTGGCTTTTGACAGAATTCAGTTCCTTGTGGTTGTAGGACTAAGGACCCCATTTTCTTGCTGGATATCAACTGGAGTCCATTCTAAGCCTCTAGATTCCACCAGCCAAGGCCCTCTCTACAATACGGCAGTTGGCTCTTTCAGGATGAACAGGAAAAAGCTCACTCAGGCCTTAATCTTTTTTTTTAAGGGATCCTACCTGATTTGTCAGACCCATCAAGATAATCTCCCTTTCAGTTAACTCAAAATCAAATAATTCAGTACACTAAATGGATCTGCAAAGTCCCTCCTATTATATAAGGGTAACATAATCATGAGTGTGATATCCATCATTTTCATAGTCCTGCTCACACTCAAGGAGAGGGGTGAGTTACAATAGCACAAAGAGAAGAAGGTTTTGCGCTAAAAGAATTCATAGATGTTAAATTATTCCTTTCTAGTATCACAAAGTGCTAAAAGTCAAAGGGCATAAAGTATGAATTTTCTATATTGTTAACACTAAACCAATGTTAACTAATAATTATGATATATTATGGAGTATTTATATTATTATTTAACATTTAAGGTCTTCAGCCCTTCTCTTGATCCCTTCCATGCTATTAAATCAGAGTGAGCTCAACTGGAGAATTAAAAATGCACTGTTCCCCACAGTAAGCTCCTTAGTTATGTATATGGAATGATCTGATGTCTAAGTTCAAGTCTTGGGGAAAGGGTACCCATAACCTAGTAACCATTGTGGGAGAGAGCAGTAGAAGGAAATAAACACAACACAGTTTGACTCAGGATAGTCTTTCAACTTCCGTACAATACCGTGCCAAGGGACCACTGCTGCTGCTGCCTGAGGTGAGTTTTTGTGGAGCTCTTACAGGACACAACAGGAATTCCCCAGTTACCCATGAAAATTGAAATACTATTATTTCCATCAAGGGTCTTATCCAAAATGAAATTGAGTCTTTGCTTGATGACCTGTGGGCTTTCCTGGAATGCACAGGTATATACCTTTAAAGGATAAAGTTGCAAATTTACAAGTTTCAAGGATAATAGGAAGGATGCAGTGAAGGGTTTCCATGCCTAGAAACTTTCCAGAGCTTCAGGAGAGCTTCTCAGTCTCCCTAGCTGATACCATCCAACCTATGATTTGATTCCCTTTCATTAAAGGCAGAAAGCCTAACAGATCACAGGACTAGACAGACAGATGATCACAAGATAGACCAGTTAGTTCAGTCATGGTGAATTATACCATTACAAGTAAAATTTGTTTTTTAGATGGAAGAACACACATTCTCAGAGCAGCAGGAAAAAATATTTTTAGTAGCAGGCTTGATGCTTAGTTTGTTTGAGGATAGACACTTAAAAAGGGCAAAAATATTAGAATCTGTAAAGTCCTCTCTGGGGCAGAAAGTTTTAAGTCTCAAAGGAGGAACTATAACTCTTGAACATAGGCATCCTATTTGCATAGAAATAAATTTTCTTTACAAATAAATATCCCCATGAGGTTTTCTACCCTTGCCAATAACTGGCAGCCTATAGTTAATTATGGTCTTAGATGTGAGTAAAGAAAAAGACCAATTGGTTTGTCCATACTAATATGATTCATTCATACTTCAATCTAAACTTTGCTGTGAGCTCAATCTAAATGTTATCTCTTCTTAATAAGAGGAGAGCATGAATACCTTAAAAAGAATTAAGTAGCATAATTTATCCTTAGTGTACACATACTTTTATGTGAATTCTGCAAAATTTCTTTATTTTAGATGAATGAAATACTTGAAATGGGTTTATTTTATACCATAGATAAATTTTTCAGATGCACTAGAAATATATAGAGTAACAGACTTCTCTTTCATCTCCTTCCCCAGCTAGGGAGCACCTCCTGGAATGATAACTTGAGCTTTGTTACATATATATTACTTTGACAGTATAAATAAAAAGAGCATCAATTTTTGGTTAAGATAACTTGAACTTGAGTTCTGGTTCTGCCGTTAACTTCCTGCAAGCTTTTGAGAAGTCGTTTAATATCTCTGTTTCTTTTTCTGTAATATCTACATTAATAATGATGATACCTCCTTTATGTATCTAAGAAGTGTGTTGTGAGCAAAAATAACTTAGAGTAGGCAAAAGTGTTTTGTAAATTATACTGCAGACTCTACAGTTATAAGTTGATAAATTGATACAATAACAGAAACAGAAACATGTCATCAAACTATGTGAGAGCTTTTTGTCAAGAATGTTGAAGTTTTCTTCATTATAACTAGTAAGTAACTTCTTTGAATTTTTTTTAAGATAGGATCTCACTGTGTTGCCCAGGCTGGAGTGCAGTGACATGATTACAGCTCACTGCAGCTTTGAACTCCTCCCACCTCAGTCTACAGATACATGCTACCACGCCAGGCTAATTAAAAGAAAAAAATTGTAGAGATGGGATCTCACTTTGTCACCCAGGCTGGTCTCAAACTCCTGGCCTCATGCAATCCTCCCGCCTTGGCCTCCCAAAGTGCTGGGATTATAAGCATGACCCACCATGCCACCAGCCTGAACTTTTGAAGCAAGTGAATGTTTAGATTTGTTTCTGTTATATCTGAACCCCTTTAGCATAATGTCCTCATTATTCTAGTTTTCTATGATTTCATTCTTTCTATCAGTGAGGTTCTCTGAAATCTAATGTGTATGGATTTCTTTGCCCTTAGAAAGGAGACATCATAGACATTATTTGCAAAACACCAATGGGGATGTGGACAGGAATGTTGAACAATAAAGTGGGAAACTTCAAATTCATTTATGTGGATGTCATCTCAGAAGAGGAAGCAGCCCCCAAGAAAATAAAGGCAAACCGAAGGAGTAACAGCAAAAAATCCAAGACTCTGCAGGAGTTCCTAGAGAGGATTCATCTGCAGGTGAGCAAATCTGTGTTCTGTTTGCTTTTGGAAGCATGTAAATGGAAACACCGAAGGGAGTGGATCAGTATTTGTGTTGCATTGCTTAAAAATACAAGTCTTGCAAGCAAAGGAAAACCTGTTTTCCTAGAAGAGCTCTTATTTCTCTTTTATTACTTTTTTATGCAAGGACAAGTCTTGATATAATATCCCTTGGACTATACCTTAATAGTATTTAGCAGTGACAATAGAGATTGATGTTGAGAAAATGCAGTGAAAAATGAAAAATATCTAGGAGAATAAAAAGCCCT
Organism: Homo sapiens; assembly: GCF_000001405.40. Lineage (NCBI taxonomy): Eukaryota > Metazoa > Chordata > Mammalia > Primates > Hominidae > Homo > Homo sapiens. The sequence goes on along the minus strand of NC_000021.9, from coordinate 14,500,238 downwards.
AAGAAAATGTCTAAACGAGAATGGTAAAGAGAGTATAAGGAATAAAGTAAGTCTAAAAAAGTGAAAGGAAAAATGAGAAGGGAATTGTATTTTCTACCAAGCAGAGATCAAAATCAAGTTGAGAGAAGATAACTGAATATAATCATTTTAAAAGTAATTTGAGGGAAACGGTGATCATCAAGCCGCATAATGATTGTGTTAAGGAAACTGTGTTGTCTGTATCTGTAACCCAATTATGATTTTCTTGTTATATTACCAAAATTCTTTTGAAATATCTACCTTGTTAAATAGTGTGTACATACACTACACCTAGTATCAATGAATTTACAGTTTTGCAATCCATTTCTAAAATTAACTCAGCAGCACTTTGATAGTTTTCAAAATTCACCAAGACAATAGCCAATTACACTTTTCTTAATTGTTTTTTTCTGAATTATCTAGTTATGTTCCTGTCTGTAAACACACTATCTAAGCCTTCCTATATTACTCTTGGTGCACCTCAAATGGGATATTCCTATGAGAATGTACGGGTTAGCATCTTGCCTCTGAATCTTGTTCATTGTGTGACCTGTGAGAAAACCAAGGTCTATGAGACTGAAATGACTTCCCCAAGAATGCACAGTTAAATGGTTATATGTCAGAACAGGAAATTTTGTGTTCTTTATTCTAATTCAGTGCTAAGAATATACTTTTTTAAAGAAAGAATTGTCATTCTTCTTGCTTTTCTTCCTTTTTTTTTTTTTTTTTGTTAAAAAGGGGTGGTCATAAGTTCTCCCTGATTACTTAAAACTTTTAGACTTCCTCTTATTCTATTTTAGTAATTAAAATAAGGATATTGAAATTAGAGCAAGTAAAATAGGAGGAATCTGAAGAAGTTGAAAAAGCACTCAACTTCACTTAATATTTTTATTTTGTTTGAGAGGATAGAGGTTTCAAAATAACATACAGACTTTGAAATCGGAAACCTATGAATTTTAAACTAATACATATTGATTCAAATGACGGACAAAATATACATGCTGAGAAAACAATTCTTTCCCCAACTACAGTGCTTCTATGCTTAGTAAAAGCTTCCAATTAAATAGAAAGTCTCCAATTCTTTTGGTTTACATAATGCCTTTCAATCAAAATGCTACACCCACTTTTTTGTATAGAATTACATCTGTTTCAAACTCATTTTTTAACCTACCCCAAGAATGTTTTGAGAGTAGATGCTTTTGCAATCATGAAAACAAGAAGAGATGTAGATTCTGAAATATTGCTGTAGCATGCTACTCTGCTAGAGGCATTTTATTGATAGACTTAAAGTAATGCTAGTTCTGTCAATTTAGTTAGTTGAGAAGTGAAACATTTCCAAATGGGATGCATGATCCAACTATTTAATTTATCCATGATTTGGAATTGTATAGCTTAAGGTAATTATTTCTTCTTTACATTTGGCCTTCCAAAAGGCGAGAATTATACAACATAATCATTTAAGAGCCCTGGAGTTCATATGTCAGAAACGAATACAAGTGAAGTTAAGTAAAAGTTCTATTGGCACCTTTGGTCCCCATGTGCATCTCTATACTTTCTTTAAATCTAAAGAGAACTAAAAATAAAATATTTGAATCTGACTAATTTGCTTTATATTTTTTGTCTTACAGGAATACACCTCAACACTTTTGCTCAATGGTTATGAGACTCTAGAAGATTTAAAAGATATAAAAGAGAGTCACCTCATTGAATTAAATATTGAAAACCCAGATGACAGAAGAAGGTTACTATCAGCTGCTGAAAACTTCCTTGAAGAAGAAAGTAAGTGTGTACACCTACTCTTCTCCCCAGCTGATAATCAGTTTAATGTAAATAGTATAATCATTAGAAACAAAGCCCCAGTTTTATTTACTGAGATCATGAAAGCACGCTTTCCCATAAAATAGGTATTTTCATATAAGTTTGAAAACAATAACTCTGGTCAAATATGTAATTAGGAAAAGGAACTTATTTCCTTATTGGACTCAGGAAATGAAAGGACTTTTCTGGGTACCTCATTTCCACTCTGCAAAGCTATTAATTTACATGCAAGTGGATGCCTGCATTCCCAAAGACTGAGGGAGTTAGAGACAAGTATTTAGTAACAGCATAAGCCATTAGTGCGAAATGTCACACATGGCTTCTGTAGAACAACACGAGGCTTTAAGATAATGAGCCTTCATGGCACACAGGAAAACTCATTTTATGACCACATAGTCACATCTTGTACATGTTTATAGTACTCTTTCAAAATGTTATAATAGCTTGCAAAAATATTCAGCACTCACTTTTATTATCTGAGATGGTTCTCTGTATTTGTAAGTATTAACTGAAGATGAAATAATCTTGGAGATTTACAGAATATTGTCTACAGCAACCAGGCTTGTAAAGATAGGATAGCTTTTATTTTTTATAATTATCCATCCAGACTGCCTTTCCTGCCAAATCCGGTCAGGCCCCCAAACACTGACGTTAGGGTTTGCCAAACTCTGCAAGGAGTATTTTGTGAGCAACCAAAAGGGGAAAGTCTAACTTTAAAGATAAAAAGGAACTTAGATAATCAAATCCAGCCTTCTCTATCAAAAAATACTACTACTAATAATAATTACTAGTATTAATATTATTAGTTTTTGAGATGGTGTCTAAATCTGCTGTCCCGGGTGGAGCGCAGCGGTGCGATCTCGGCTCACCGCGACCTCCGCCTCCCAGGTTGAAGCGATTCTCATGCCTCAGCCTCCGAGTAGCTGAGATTATAGGCATGCCACCACACCCGGCTAATTTTTGTATTTTTAGTAGAGATGGGGTTTCACCATATTGGCCAGCCTGGTCTCGAACTCCTGATCTTAAGTGATCCGCCCATCTTGGCCTCTCAAAGTGCTGGGATTACAAGCGTGAGCCACCGCACCCAGCAGTAAAAATAATACTAGTAATTATTAACTACATTTTTAAAACATATGTGCTCTGAGCAAGACTCTGGGCCAGGGTCTTTCCTGATTATTCTCTTGAGTACTTACCCCAGTTCTTTGAGTTAGACACTACCGCCCTCATTTTTATGATGAGTTAAGACAGCAAGTAACTTGTCTAAGAACACTCCCTTAGTGAAGTGTAGAGTTAGGATTCCAACCCAATGTATGTGCTGCTGTGTTATACTTTCTAACACTACAAGTAACAGCCCAGATGGAGAGTGAGGAGGGAGGAAAGCGTTATTTAGGGACCAGGCCTCCTGATTGTCCTTTTGTGGGCTATTCTATACTCTCTCTCATAAGTCCCACAAAACTGAGGTAGAGCACACGTTTCCTATACACTGGCTTTTTATCTAGTGAAAAGTAGTTTACTTTTTAAGAAACTGGTTTTTACTTTATTCTTATCATCCTTTTCCAAGAGCTTTCACAGGCATAACTAATTTGACATCAGCAGAACTGATTTCATCATCAGGCCTAGGTTATTATATGCTTTCTTTGAAGTTGTGAGGCTGGGAGATGCAAAAGAGAGGGAGATGTGGTCACAGAGGCAGACAAAGTTCAAGCTTCAGAAAGTAGCCAATCTAATCAATATTTCAAGTCAAGACAAAATTGATCAGTGTAAACAGATATAGTAAGTTCGTTCAGGTAAAGGAGTCAGTTTCATTCACATCTTGTCATTTCAAGACGTGGCTCCTCACTAAACAATGTTTGGCTTAGAAGTAGATTCTATAGAGTTTTATTATGGACAATGTCCAGTGTCATTGCCAATACTCTCCAAAATGATTTGACCATGAAGTACAGGGAGGAGAAGAGTATTTTTTGAACACTTGTAAATGATTGCTTTTCTTCCATAATAGCACACATCTAGGTATTTTGCCCAATTTGCAGATGAGGCAAAAATTTGGAGATGAATTTCAAAGAAGTCGAACAGCTAGATGAGTGCAGAGATGGAGATTTAATCAAAGGGAGTCTGCTGTAAAACTCCTCCACATGTGCAAATTGGCCAATATGAAAGCAATGAATATTTGAAAATTGAAGTTTTCTGCTACTTCACCAATTTTCTCAAGGGCTTTGATTCAGTTTTCTATATCAGAAGGTAAAAGGCGAGAGGCTTCCATGGCTGCCTGTCAACAGGGTTTGTGGAGAGAAGGGGCTGGGAACCTGGGCAAGCAGCACTTTCAGCAATAAACAGTATCCTCAGGGGCCCACAGAGGGAAGATGGTTTCAGTGCCAAAGGCTTGAGTCCCCTTAATTTTTTCATTCCACTTCACTCATCACCTGTCTCCTTTCTATGCTAGCAAAAGAACAATTATTCATAGATGGTAAAATTATTTATAGAGCCGATGTAATTAAAAAGAAAAAAAAAGAAAAGAAACACCTGATGCAAAATTCTTCCATTGCAAGGTGAGAAGATGAAAATCCAAGTAGCTAAGTGGCTTTCTCAAGCTCACAAATCTATAATTCAGTCTCTTACATCTATCAGAAACATGTTCCGCCTTATCCTGGTCTCTGAAAACAAAACATAGTGTCTCCAAAGCATTAAATGGTTTTTGATGTTTGATATAAAAAAGGACATGTCCCAGAAATTATTCCCCTGCATAAAACTTTAGAAAATGATGCTTGAAGGTCACTAGAAGTTGATTACTTAATGACAGCCAGTAAGGTACAAACATACACAGAGCCAAATTCTGGGAGATGAAAAATGGAAAAAAAAAATACAGATTCAACCAGTGCTTCTTGTCAACACACTACTCTGAGATTTTTCTTATTTTAATCTTATGGTCTAGAGTAGTATTAGAATATACATGTCAAAAAGATGCATATTGCAGGTTAGGCTATTCTGACTGAAAGCTATTTATCTTTTATGAAACTGCTTTGCTCAAGAAATAAAGAAGAATGACTTCCATTTGTCAATAAGATGTCGAGTTCTGATGATTTGGCACCATACTGGCTGCATGCTTATTTTTATCTATTTTCTACTCTGTGAATCATATCTCCTACAACCATGCTAAAGATTAAACACACAACCTTCCTGTACCTTGAATGATAAAGACCTTGAGTATATGGTTATATAAAACTGAGACATTTAAAAACAAATGCATGTCACGTTAAACGTTAAAAATAGTTTGCCTTTCTTTTTAAGAATGGGACATGTAAATTTTCTAGGATATTATGGATGCATTTTATTTTGATCATTGAATGATGTCAGTTTGAGGAATGGCAATAAATTTCTAGTTTGGTGTTTCATTGTTAGATTGAGAACATAAAAGGATTTGCTTTGCTAATCATGCAATATAAAAGTTGAGCAAAATGGGCACATATCTTGAGGATAAGAGCTAAAATTTTGAGATAATGTAGAAAAGACAAGTCCTATGTGAGTCTTAAATATATCTAGAGAGACCAAGAGGATGGGGTACAAAACAGGGAAAAAAACCAGACTTCTAAGATTTAAAGCAAGAATTTTTCCTTTTCTCTTCTTAGCCCAAGATAGATAGCATTGTACCCACTTTGACCTTGAAAATGTAAACTGGATTACACTTTTTTTTTTTTTTGTATTGTACTTTAAGTTCTGGGATACACGTGCAGAACATGGAGGTTTGTTACACAGGTATACACATGCCATGGTGGTTTGCTGCACCCATCAACCCTTCATCTACATTAGGTATTTCTCCTAATGCTATCCTTCCCCTAGCCCCCCACCCCCTGACAAGCAGTGGTGTGTGATGTTCCCCTCCCTGTGTCCATGTGTTCTCATTGTTCAACTCCCACTTGTGAGTGAGAACATGTGTTTGGTTTTCTGTTCCTGTGTTAGTTTGCTGAGAATGATGGTTTCCAGCTTCATCCATGTCCCTGTAAAGGACATAAACTCATCCTTTTTTATGGCTGCGTAGTATTCCATGGTGTATATGTGCCAGATTTTCTTTATCCAGTCTGTCATTGATGGGCATTAGGGTTGGTTGCAATTCTTTGCTATTGTGAATGGTGCTGCAATAAACATATGTGTGCATGTGTCTTTATAGTAGAGTAATTTATAATCCTTTGGGTATAGACCCAGTAATGGGATTGCTGGGTCAAATGGTATTTCTGGTTCTAGATCTGTGAGGGATCGCCACACTGTCTTTGACAATGGTTGAACTAATTTACATTCCCACTAACAGTGTAAAAGCATTCCTATTTCTCCACATCCTCTTCAGCATCTGTTTTTTCTTGACTTTTTAATGATCCTGATTCTAACTGGTGTGAGATGGTATCTAGGTCACTGCTTGGTGGGAAGTAAAGATGCTTCTCCAACAAGCTGATGAAAGGGCTGGTATGTGGCGTTAGTGCTGATCACAGGATTACCTCTGGAGGAGGATAACCACCCTGGGGTTCTGCAATCCCAGCAAGACCAGCATAGATATTTGGAATTTGCTCCTGTGTTGCATTTAAACTGAGAGGAATTAGGTCATCGGTTCCCTCAACTGGGAATCTAGATAAGGTTATAGGGAGAAGAAAAATTGGAGTGAGATGCAGCTCTTGAAGGGACAAGAGAGCAGGATCTGTTTATTTTGTGCACATTTAGGTTTTTCTATTTATTATCTGAATTTAAAAATGTTTCATTTACTTTGGAAGTCAATATTCCCAAATAAAAAAGAGAACAGAAAATATGTGTGTGTGTGTGTGTGTGTGTGTGTGTGTGTGTGTGTTGTTCCATAAACACAATCTTCAAGGCCCCTTTGCCTTACTCTGAAGTCCTCTTTAGAATAATAAGCTGGTTTACTGTTGTTTATAGTAAACATCTTGTCTTTATTCTGCACTTGTTCCTCATTTTTCACATTCAGAAGCACTCCAATGTGTCTTAAAATTGTGTCTATGAGAATGTGTACTATTGTCCTTGGGGAAAATGGGTGATGGAAATACCTTGTTTGCTCTAGATTACAGGGATAATTAAATTTAAAATTGAAAACAAAGTAACAGAATAAGCAAACTTTACAGAATCTGTATACAATGCATTTGAGGTACCTGCAAACTCTGGTTGCAGTGCCAAATGAGGAGGAAGGGGAAAGGGTGGGTTGTGTGCCAGAATGTTGATACCAGCTGTGGTCACAGCAGCCCCTCATTGCTCAAGCATCCCCAGTTGTGCCTTCCTGCCTGCCTGCCTGCCTGCCCAAGTCGATGCAGGGCAAATGGCGGGCCGCAGCCAGGAGCCTGGAACACGAGCTGTCAGCAGGGGAGATTTGTATTTATGCCAAGCAGCAGTCCAGCAGTTGGCCTAACAGTGTGCCAGCATAGCCTGGGCCTAGCCCCTGACATGTGTACCTGGAGTTTCCAACCCACTTGCCATATGATTTGCATCTAGATTCAAGAAATCTACAGCTTTAAAGAAAAGCTATGCTACCTGTCCACACAAAGTAGAGAAAGCATGCAGGCATTTTACTTGTATGTATTTAATATCTATAGTCATAGTTGTTTGCCCTCATGCAATTTAATTTCTTCAGATTTCTTTTTAATTTTACCTCCAAACTTTCATTTATGATGGATGCCATATTCTATATCATACAAAAAACTATAAAATAAAGTATAAGGATTCTCACTTTTCTACCAGAAAATTTCCAGTGAAAAGTGTTCACAGATTTTTCACTTTAGTCACATAAGGACCTCTCTAATGGCCGTATATATAGAGCACTCCTGTACCTGTGTTTATATTGCACTGGGATTGTATACAACACATAGCTTTGTAATGATTACCCTGGCCAAACAAGACCGAATCTTCTATTACCACATGCTTTCCCAAAGCCCCTAGTCCTGTGCTTTGCATTAGTGGATGGTTAACATAAAATGAGTAAATGATGAATGAGGAGGTCAAAAGATCCCCAAATAGTAAGTCAGTATTCTATTATTATAAAAATAAAGTTGCCTGCAATCCCACCTCACACATACAAGTATTTGTAATAAGCAGATCGGTATTCGAGTATGTTGTCAAGATTAGTTTATGAATATGCTAACCATGCATGTGTGCAAGAGTGTAAATAAGTACATTTTTGGAGGGCAATAACGTGAAACACAATCAAAGTTTAAAATATGCACACTTTTGTATCCAGAAATTCCAGTTCTAAGTATTTGTCCTACAAAATTCAAGATACGAATGCACAAAAATACTAACTAAAAATCTAGTAGTTTTGGGTAAAAACTAAAAACAATAGGGACTTCCATCAATAATTAACCTGTTAAATAAATTAAGATATACCCAAACAATGAAGTAGTTTTGAAGGTGTTATGTTAAAAAAATGATATAGCGTGCTGTTTACTGATATTAAAGTTTTTTAAAAATATGTTAAATGTGAAAGCAAATTGTAGATCACTAATATGCACAGTATTCCTATTTTTGTCAAAAGTAATAGTTTTAGACATAATGAAATTAGATTAGTTTTTTATCATATCTATATAGGGAAGGCAAAATTTTATCTCTACCCTCTTAGGCTTTTAAAAACAGCTGAAAATTAAATTGACATAGGACAGACCAACAGGAGAAAATCACACAAATTTATTTAACACAAAATTCATGTGACAAGGGAGGCTTCATGGGAAATGAAGACCCAAAGATGCAGTTAGAGTTGAACACTTGTATACTGAATTAGACAAAGAATAATAAGTTGTGAAAATGTGACAAGTCACAGAAGCTTGAAATAGGCTAGCTAATTGGGTGAAGTGGTTAGATAGATAAGGGTTTGTTTAACATGGCTTGTTTGTACAGATTTCCCTCTGCCTCAACTTCCTGTCCTTGATGATAAGAATGATACTTTTCTTCTGGTAGAGGGAAGGTAGCTTTCACATGGAAATGTCATCTGCTTTTAAGAAGCAGAAGGAAAGTCAGACTAGGCATGGTGGCTTATGCCTGTAATCCCACCACTCTGGGAGGCTGAGGCAGGAGGATTGCTTGAGTCCAAGAGTTCAAGACGAGCCTGGGCAACCTAGCCAGACCCTATTTCTCTCTCTCTTAAAAAAAAAAAAAGGGAAAGCCAGAGTGATATTCTTGCACCTGCTCTCTTCAAGTGCCTTCAACTCAAAATAGTCAATACGCCAGAGCAGCATATTTTGGGGTAATGTGTTCTTAACTCCTTCATCATGTAAATGGGTTTAATTAACCTATAAGAAATATGAACTTGACTTTCCAAGGCCCCTAATTAAATAATGTGTGACAGTTTTAAACGTTATTTGGTCATTACCAAAATAGTCAGTACAATATGACAACTTTAACTGAGGAGGGTAAATATTTCCTGGGACCAAAGCCCTCCATATGGTGTATGGTTGGGGAGAGTAGCAGTCTAATGAGATTGCCCAGGTAGGTGCTGAGTTATCGTGATCTTGAGTGAGTATGCCTCTGCCTCTGCTGAAGTTCCTAGCACAGTGGAAGTGGAGATTGCCCTAGCTGAAAGCGAAAAGGTTTATTTCCAGGTACACATCTCGTTAGAAGCTAGGCTCCAAAAAGAGATATGCAAGAGGAGGGGAAGTCATTTCAACTCCATATCTTCTCATGGCCTCAGGGGAACAGAAGCCACCAGTTATTTTCCTATGAATGGAATCCTATTCTTAATTTGTTGTTGTGTTTCCAAAAGGTGGGTTAGTATTCAAGTGAAATGAACACCAAATATTCACTGTTATTAGGAGAATTAAAGTGTTCAGGTAACTTAAGAATGGGCTTTAGATGAAATAAAAAATAACTGAGAGACATGCCATGTTGTCCACTAAAATTTCCTCCCTGGATAACGCTGCCTCTGGACAAATAAATATAGCCATAGTTACCTGAACAGTGGCTGGGTTTTCATTTGAGTGACTCCAGTGAGGTTAAAACTTGAGACTGAGGTTTTGAGTCATCCTAAGATGTGTATCCCTGGGTTTTGCCACTTTGGAGATGGCCCCAGGATAGAGAAAAACAGGAGGATGATTGATGGAGCTGAGAGGTATTCTCATATGAATTTTAACAAAATTCCTTTTTTGCTCTCCTTTAGTTCCAATGCCCTTTAATTCATCTAAATATCATTGTGTTTATTAAAAAATTATTTATTGAGAGATTCCTTTAGCCAGGAATTTTCCTATGCCTTTAAGGTTGTATTATTTTACAGTACTTCACCCAAAGAAAGCTAAGGCAAGCAAGATGGTAAAGACAAAATCTGGATGATTTGGGCAAAGAAATCTGGGAAAGTCAAGCAAAAATTAGTTTTCATTTTTTTGAATCTTTAATTTTTTAATATGTAAAGGTGGGGCAGATTTCTCTTCTTAGAGTAGAACTTTTTCCCAGAATAAGGATCCAGTTTTATTTCCTTAAAACTATCTTCACTTTTAGTATAATTGAGATTGCCTTTCTTAATTAATTAAATGTCAAAATTCCAATATAATTATTTTGTGAATAATTATATTAGACGTCTTCTGTTTTCATCACGATGCCACCCTTTTCTTTCAACATTGATAACTATCTTAAAATGTTTTTACATGGGCTTTATACAATTCTGTAACAATTTTGGTAGGAAATAAATTATTTTAATATGCAAATTAGCTCTTCATGATAAAATATTTCCTAAGTAATTTTTAAATGTTATTCTATTTTTATTATATAGAGTACAGAATTATACAGCTTTCTGGAGTTCCTAGTATGCCTGCTGTCAGCTGGCAGCAATAAGAAAGACCCTTATTCAAATTATTTAATAATTCTTCAGTGTATTCTAATTTAGATACGTATGTCCTTTAAGATATTTACAAACCATTTGGGGGCTTTATTGAAAAATTATACCGTTTTAATTCTTTCATTAAAAACAATGTGGATGACCTGAGAAATAGAGGGAAAATTAACAAATTTGAACACTTTTGTTTGTAAGTTATATGCGTATGTGTGTTTTCATATAATTGTAATAATAGAATACATGAATTATGTATACTTTTTTAAACCTAGCGTATTATCAGAAACGTTTTAGTATAAAAAGATGCACTGAAACATCCTATGGGAAGTCCATAATTTTGTAGGCAAACCTGTTTCTTATTCCAATGTGTTACTTGCCTGGTTAGCCCAGATGATTGAACCATGGGACAAAACTGATGAAGGTTATGGTTTCAATTTCTGGGTAGGCCAGTTAGCTTTACTCTGTTTCATGGCCACATGAAGGGACTAAATGACTTAGAAAGAAAATGTGGATGCATTAATGTGAATTCATCTCCTCTGCAGGAAAGAAACACCCATAACACAAGACCTAGGTTTGTGCCAATCCCTGTCATTAGTGTCAGGATGAAAAGAAACAAGAAGAGGAAAATCTTGATCCTCCAAATACAAAAGTGAATGCGATATAGCTTTCATCTCCGTAATATAACATAATGACCTGCCTTTTTATAGTTACAGTTGAGAGTTCCAGCTGATCACCTGCCTGAAATTATTGCAAGCCTGGTAGGAAGCATTTGAGGAGCACAGTCGTGTTTTCATTTCACGAGGAAATCATTTAGCAAATTACTGCTGTTCTGTAAATTACCGTGCTGCATAACTTTCATACTCAGAAACTATTTTCTTTTTCCATAAAAATTGCAGATGAAAGGTTTCTACAATAAATGACCTGTGTTTAAAACAAAACCATTCCTAGAATTTAGAGAACATGATATAGCATTTCTCATGTGGAAATAAAAACAAATACATTTTTGTTACTAATATTACACAATGACATATTCTCTAGTAAAGACAGTTTTTAATTTATTTACTTTATTCCCCATTGAGGTGAATGCACAGAGGCTTCTGAGAGTGAAATAACAAGCTAAATATTTATTTTTTTAAAGGAAAAGAACTAATTTTGGAAATTACAGTTCTTAAAGACTCTGCTTCATATCCTGAAGAGAGCCCCACAATTGGTAATCAACCTAAATAGAACAGAGTGTTGGGAACAAACAGTTTTTATTATGCCAAGTCTTGTTTAGGATATCAATGTGAAGGGAAGTAGATCAGTTCTTTTAATTTTGCATTGAGGTAATATTGGCCCAAACATAATCTGGGGAAATGTGGCCTTATCCCCACAATCATTATGACTAAGAGGTTCACACTCCAAATAGGATGATCATTGCTGATGTGGCAGAATGCATACAAAAGCACTAATTCCTCTGGCCTTTTCTAGAAACACTTGGATAATGGAACACAGAGCTGGCTCATTTCATTTCAGTGGCAATAAGATAGAAAAGCCAAGGCAGGATAGAAAGCAATTCTTCAGAGAATGAGGTCCCATTTTAGTGCTGCCTTTTCATTAAAAAAAAGGGCTTAGAAAGAAGAGTGAATGACTGATACTCAGAAAGACTAGTGAATAATAAGTAAACCCTCCCAAACTTAAAGATTGTCATGAATAATGCACACAAAATGCTTCCATGGTAGCTAAAATTTAAAAATAACAATCACAATAGGTGCCTATTAAAATTGTCATCTTATATCTAGAACTAGTTATAATATCACTAGGCAAATACCTGATATTTGAATCTATAGTTAAAATTGTGGGGCAAATGTGAAGATTCAGAAGAATGGCATAAATATGGTTTCACTGTTGCAAATACAAGCCTTAAGGAAAAGGTTAAAAGAACTGTTATGACTCATTCTGAAGATGAGCAGACTAAGAAGCAATTTTTATCATTTTCTTCCAGCCTTTCTCAACCAGTATTTTTCTTCTAAACTACAGAATTTAGGAGATATTTTAAGTAACACTTTTCAATTTCTCCCATGGATGATGCTTAACTAGTACCATTCTATAAACATTAAAGAGAAGTTAATTCATTAACACAAGGGTAACTTACAGCACAATTCTCATTTATAATGGAAGTTGATGGCAATTGGACACACAGTGGATCATAAACTAATGTTAGCAAAACATATGGAAACTAGAAAATGCATTTTAAAGAAGATAGATATATATATATAAAAAATAAATAAGATAAAGAGTAGATTTCCTAGATATAAATTAATTAGCATTATAATAGCCTATTGAAGAAAATTATACATTTTCCTTCTTTGAAGGATTCTGAGGTTTGGATTTACTTTATTCTCACTGGAATGGGATGAAGTGCAAAGCCTCTGTAGGCAGAGTTCTTGTCCCAACCTTAAATGTGTGTTTGGCTCTTTCAACGTGGAGCTATTCAGATGCCTACAGTGGTGAAGCCCCAAGGTTAGAAGGGGAAAGAGGAAGATATGGTACTGCAGCTAAGAGGCAGTACCTGAGATCTATTTCTTCTCTGAGGAGCTCAGCTCAGGATGCAGAAACACCCATCAAGAAACCACATGGACAGAGAGAAAGTTGACGCTAAAGGAATCGAGAAGAGTAATATGTGAACTTCAGGCTGCTTAGGGGTTCTTCCAAAATATATTTTGTTATATCCCTAATAGTAATCTTTTTCTAAAAGATAATGCCTGTTGAATATAGAACACTGCTTTAAGAATGCAGAATTATCAATCTGAAAATAAATGATTATTCTTCAGGACTACAGACAAAGATATGGAAGACTAAATATTCATAAAGTAGATTCAGTGGAAATTTTGGTGTTTTACTTTCTAAAAGCAACCTGGTTTCTTATGCCTATTTTGTGATACATGCAAACATAGGAAAATTCTGGATATTTAAAGTTTTATTAGTTAACTTCCAAATAATTGAAGTCCTACTGTACATTCTTACTTATAGTGATAATTTATTAATTAATCTAGATTATCATGAATCTAAAATTGTTCACAAAGATCACTATTGACTTGGATTGTGCATTTAAACTATAAATGCCTTTTTCTAATGATACTTTAAGGAGTATTTGGACAAGGCATCAGTCACACTGTGGATACAATCTGCTTTCTCTGGCAACTTATTATTAATGTAAAATGAGAGTCCATATTGATCTTTGCTGATGCGGGAAGTTCACATGAATTCCATGAAACTGCAAATGAACAATGAAGGGCAAATTTTGGCTTCTAATAAAACAGTAGCTTGAATATTTGGGTGCAAATATCTCTTTTGTAATAAACAAAGATACCTTTTACTTGCAGAACTTTCCATTGTAATGAAGTCATGGTTAGAACAGTTAAAATAGGATAATACTTGAAAGTGAATGAGTACATGAATAAGATTTTGTGTTGCTTTACCTAACTCCTGCCCTTTTTTTCCATTTACAGTTATTCAAGAGCAAGAAAATGAACCTGAGCCCCTATCCTTGAGCTCAGACATCTCCTTAAATAAGTCACAGTTAGATGACTGCCCAAGGGACTCTGGTTGCTATATCTCATCAGGAAATTCAGATAATGGCAAAGAGGATCTGGAGTCTGAAAATCTGTCTGACATGGTACATAAGATTATTATCACAGAGCCAAGTGACTGAACACGCATTCCCAACTATATATCTACAGATGCATTCCATTTTAACTCTTCTTGAGCTAAAACGTCAAATAGGAGAGGAAGATAAGATAAATATTTGTAAATAAAACCTAAAGTTTAAATGTTTTAATCTGAATAATTGTACATAAAATTTTGTATCTCTAACATTCCAAATTACTGTCAATAAAATATATATTTATTATTTTAAATGCTATGTGTTAATATTTCACTTGCTTGTATTAGAAAGGCAAAATGTAAGACTTTGGTATGTGTGACATATGCTTTATTTGGCTTTATTTTACAAGTACAGTATCTGCAAAAAACAAAGTAACCTTTTTTCATACCTGCCAGTTTTGAATTTATATATGTTATTGAACAAATAGTAATAGAGGATTCGCTGTTGAAACAAGTTGTCCAAGCAATGTTATATTCATTTTTATACTTATTGGGAAAGTGTGAGTTAATATTGGACACATTTTATCCTGATCCACAGTGGAGTTTTAGTAATTATATTTTGTTGATTTCTTCATTTTGTTTTCTGGTATAAAAGTAGAGATAATGTGTAGTCACTTCTGATTTAGTGAAACCAATTGTAATAATTGTGGAAATGTTTTGTCTTTAAGTGTAAATATTTTAAAATTTGACATACCCTAATGTTAATAATAAAAAGAACTATTTGCATATTGCATTTTCCAGAGTAATGTTACTTAAGGGTTTTAATATTGGACTTTAGAGAAAATATCTCCTCCCAGACACCCCTCACTTTTTGTAATATAAGTGCATCCCATAGCAATAATCTCAACCTCCTCAAACTCATCTGTCCCCTGAACCCCAGTGATGTTTATCTGACTCACTTGATACCCTCAGGAAACTTCAATTCAACATAACCAAACCATCGATTTTCTCTACAAATTTGTTTCTGCTTTTTTATTGCCAACTCCTCTTTACTGCTACTATCACCCAGCCAGTCATCAAAGCAGAAAATCACTTCTTGCTTCATCTCACATATATCCTCCTCATACAAATTCAATAAGTAATCAAGCCCTATGGATCCTACCTCTACAAATGCTTTCATATTCATGGCCTTCTATCCATTTCCATGGTTGTTGTCTTGCTTTGGATCCTCATGATCTCATGCACGGAAAATGGCAGTAGCTTTCCAACTGACCCCCTACCTTCTCATCCATCCTCCACACAGCCTCCAGATAAATCTTTCTAATCCATGAATCAAATCAGGTACTTTTCTGCTTGAAAGTTTTGGAGGGCTTCTCATTGTCTTTAGTATAATATCCAAACTTCCTTCCAGGCTGCATAAGGTCTTCCCCAATTGCTTTTTACCTACCTTATGAATTGTAACTACCCCCTCACCACCACCACCATACACACACACCTCTCAATCTACACTCCAGCCATAACAATATACTTGCAATTTTCTTCCCTTTGTGACTTTCCATATGCTATTTATTTTCCTGGAGTGTCTCCTGCTATTTTCCACATTAGGAAGTCTCCCTCTTTCCTCCATCCTAAAGGTCACTTACTCTGTGAAGCCTTCCATGATTCCCTTTGGTGCTCTCTTCTTTGTGTTTCCATAGCAACTTGTAAATTGTGGTTCATAGCACTTGTCATATTATGCTTTATATATTTGTATGACAATTGCCCTTCCGTAAGACTGTGACCTCCTTGTGACAGAGATTATTTTGTTTAGCCTTTTTAATCTCTGGTGCCTAACATAATACCTGGCACACAGTGGGCACTTAGGAAATATTTGCTAGAGGGCATTGAATATGATGATTATTCCTATATAACAGATTCCATCTTCCTATTTAAATTGATCCATTCAATTTATATAGGTACTGTAGGTAAGTACCTTCCAAAGTGACCTATTTTTTTTTTAACCAATAAAACGTAATACCTTAGGAAAAAACAGGAAACACAAAGTGTTATTTCAAATGCTGGAGGACAACATTACACTGCTAACGTCCGGCATATTTTTCCAGACCCCTGAGATTTAACCGCATATGCAGTGCCCAGGTGAGGCTAAAGCACATGTCTACCTCTATTCTTCCCCCTTCACAGCATGAAATGGTGTTTCATTTCAGTTTTCCAAGGTGCTGCCTCCATCATGACCCCACTCTTGCTACAGCTACCACTCCAAATCGATTATTCTGGGGCCTCCTTAAACACAGCAGTCACTAACCATGATTTTAAAACTTTAATCACCTGCTGCCTCAGGGAGATCAAGACAGGATAGCTTCTTTATGGAGATGCCAGGAAATTGTAAGTTGGGGAGCAACTAACAAACTACTTGACTTTAAAACGGTGGCAATCGCCCATGACGCATACTCAGCCACAACTTCAATCACTTAAAAATGAAGGTCTGGTACCCAGTCAAGGATTTAGGGAAATGCTTTTGAGGGGAAGTGCTGCAGAGCCCTTGAGGAGATTGAAGCACAGGAAGAGAGATTGGATTCCTAAAAAGAGGAGACACCATGAGGCTCAAGTGGTCAGGAGGAAGGCCTCATCACGGAGTTCCGCACTAAAAAGGACACAAGAATAGCGGACGTATACTCCACATTAAGGGAGGGCTGCTGTCCTCACCTTACCCACAGCTCCTTACGGATCCTCTGCAGCTCTCGCCTCAGCTCCCTCAACGTGGGGCAGGGAACATCAACAGAAGGAAGACAGGTTTTTCTCTTGGCCATGGAAAGCTGAATAAAGAGCAGCGGAAAGATAAGAAACGGCTCATCCAAGGTTGGGAGGTAGCTGAGGAACTTGGACCTTCTGCTGCTTTTGGCTGAGTGAGAGACATGAGTCCAAGCCTTTTAAGATGGCTAAAGGATTAACATTATAATAATTACAAGATCATGATACTGGCTTTGTGTTTCTAGGTTGAACCCTGACGACATTTCCCAGTCTCATATGTTTATTTATTCACTCAGCAATATTTAAAGTTGGAACATGTATGCTGTCCAAGACTATGCCAACAAAGGTCTTTTTAACTATATAACCGCATGAGAATCATAGCATAGCTTCTCTCATTGGAACCCACTGAGTCTTTCATATATACACAGATCAGAATATACCGTTATTCTGATCCCAGAGATTCCGTATCTTTGTAAATTCAAGTATGTTGTGACAATATGCATGGTTAGAGGAATTTTATTCCAGATAAATAAATAAAATCCTCATAGTAATTTTTTGATGAATACAAAAATCAGATCATTTAAATTCTGAGTTCCCCTTGTAATGTACAGATGAATATATCTACATTCTGAAGTATTTCATTATAATCTTTTCTCTTTTAATCAATTAAATTGCCAAGGGAGTTAGTTCAGAAATAAAATAACTTTTAAAATTTCAAAATGATAGGCAGCTAAAGATTATCAGGATTTCAGAAAACGTACAATTTACTGAGGTTACAGTCAAGTGCCCTGCAACTTCCTGAATGAGGCCAAATTGATGACATTTCATGTTGAGAAACTTCCGTTACAAGCAGAAGTTCTGAGAAAAATAATAGGAAGAAATTTTAGATACTCCATCACCTCACACACGCACGCACTTCCATCCTCCCCACAACCATCAAAAAACTTGAATAATTTGCATACAGACTTCAAGTACTCTTTCATAAAGTGGGAAGTCACGCTACAATCACGTAAAGGTTGAGAGCAAAACGAATAGGGACTAAATGTAGGTAAAAGAACAGCAGCTTCTAAACTTGACCAGGTTTTTTGGCTATGGAAATGAGATAAAAGCAACCCTCTTTTTATGTTACCTCCTATTTAACTGCCGAATTTCTCTGATCACACCCAATGTTCACCTAAACATAGAGACTGGAGGAGATCATGGAGTTGAAGCATCTGGTTTGAGAATTGTGTGACTGGGCAGGTCATTTATCCTCTAAGCTTAGTCTTTTTTTTTTAATCTACAAAATGTTGTCAATTAAATGAGATAATGTGTGTAAAGCACACAGCACGACGCATGTAGTATGTGCATAAAAACAACTACTGCTATTATATCCACTACTTCATTTTTATTCATTGATGTCTGGACATTCAGTGGAAGCAGTGCACATGCTGCCACAATGCAGGCATGGACTTGCAGGCATTTGAAATTCTTAAGACACAAATTGTCTCAGAGCTATGACAACTGTGTTTGTCAGAAGCAATGAGAGAGAGTCAGCTGGCTTAAGAGGACTTCTCAGATGAATGACCATTTCTTCATGAAAGAATATCTTTGTTTACTCCTAACCAGCTTACGGAGAGGCTGTGCTATATTTAGCTTTCATTCCTCACACCTAGCTCATGATAGGAGTACTCTTTTTTTTTTTTTTTTTTTTTTTTTTTGAGATGGAGTCTCACTCTGTCACCCAAACTGGAGTGCAGTGGCAGGATCTTGGCTCACTGCAACCTCTGCCTCCTGGGCTCAAGTGATTCTCCCACCTCAGGCTCCCAAGTAGCTGGGATTACAGGTGGGCAGCACCATGCTTGGCTAACTTTTTGTATTTTAGTAGAGACTGGGTTTCACCATGTTGCCCAGGGTGGTTTTGAACTCCTGAGCTCAGGGAATCTGCCCGCCTTGGCCTCCCAAAGTGCTGGGATTACAGGCATGAGCCACTGTGCCCAGCCGGAGTACTCATTTTTGAAGAATGAAGGATTTATAAATAAATGCCTAATGAATAAGTGAAAAAATAAAAGTTTTGGGGTTATTACTGCTATTAGTGCACCTTGGACCCTGGTCTCTGATAAATTATGGAGTCACAACTCATTGTGCTATAGGCAACAGAGAAGCCCTCAGGAAGGCCGCCTAAATGTAGATATTTACCTATTTATAAAGCTTAAGAGCATTTAGGCAAATAATCTGCCATGGGAAATCGAAGTGCAGAAAGAGGCTGAGAAGCTACCAGGAACATATATGACCTTTTCATAACTCTTCCTTCCCTATCTTCGTCATGCAAACTTCTCACATTTGAATTACCAACAGTTAGAGTATCAGAAGGTCTGTGTGACATAAATTATAAGTTAAGAAACCATGAGGGAAGAAAGTAAAAAAATGACATTAGTATATTCAGTGGTTTCTTTTGACCTTCTGGGGTCCCTGATGGGCCTGAGTGCAAAGCAGCATTTCCTCATAGGGCAGGAGTAGAATCCTGATGTGTAAGGCTAACAGGATCATTTCCTTTCTGAGTTCTTGGGCACTAGGCCAAGTGAATGGGCAGGAATCATTCCAGTTGCCGAGTAAAATGGGGTGAAAAGCACTTCTGGCACACTTTGTCCATATAAATTATACTTGTTTGCAATTCATCAACTCCTTCTCTCCTTTATATCCATATGTAATGTAAATGATCATCTTTCTCTGAAGCTCCATAATGATGCAAAGCTCAAAAATGTGATAGAATCAGCTAAAAGAGAGCAGATGGAAGTTTATCCCCCAATATGCATATTCATAAAAAAAAATAGAGAACTCAACAAAAGGAGATACATAAGTACTTTTACCCGGGGGCTGCATGGACTTCTGTATGACAGTAAGTTGGTTTTCTGCAACTATTCATTTCGGAAACCTTTACTCATTCGTTTCTGCAGCAGTCATTGAAAATGCTCTGGGAAAAAAAAAAAACTGTCTCTGTAGGAAACAAATATATTTCCCTTTGGATTTTTATTGCACCTTAGAATCCGTGATTCAGGAAGTAATGGTTAAATATTTTACTAGAAAAATATAATTAGAAGGCAAACAATGTAAAAAAGTGAGGTCTTAAGTGTTCCTTTAGCAATACAAACTACAGACGTTTAAAAGCACACTGTTACACTGAAATAGTGATATAGGGAGAATAATGAACTGTCTGGATCACATTTGTATGTTTTAAAAAAATATCTGATTACTCAGGGGCTAAGGTGGTTCATGCTGGTGTACTGAAGATACAGCAATGCTGCTAGAAATTTAGTTTAGACAAAGAAAAGAAAAGATAGGAAATGGTAAATATATATATATACAGCCGGGCATGGTGGCTCATTCCTGTAATCCCAGCACTTTGGGAGGCCAAGGCCGGCAGATCACCTGAGCTCAGGAGTTCGAGACCAGCCTGGCCAACATGGTGAAACTGTATAAAATCACTGGAAGGGTGGCTGTGAGTTTTGGTAGCGTACAATGAAAGAAGTAGCATTCATACCAAAATGAGATGTTTCTGACTCTCCTCTCCAATCTACTCTCCACTTGTGAAGCCTGGATATTCACTCAGATATATTCACCTGTATAAGCTACTACATTCCAGTTCTGTGCCCTGAGGTTCCTGTTGGGCTCAGTGAGCAGAAAGTCCCCTCATTCCCTGAGGAGTGAGGTCAGGGTATTTGTTTTCCCTGTGAGATCACCTTGTGCTGGTGCTTCCCTTAATCAAAGGTTGCTAGTCCTTTCAAGGTGACCTTTTACATGATTCTCCTTCCTTGAGATTCTAGTAATTGCTCTTCCTCCTGATCTCTTAGGGTCTAGATTGAGTAACAGCTCTGTAGCTCTTAGCTCCCACTACCAGTGCAGCCCTTATTGGTTCCCCTGCCCTCTACTCTGCCCACACCTTTGTAATTAGTCCCTTTATAAATAAGCCTTCCTGGGATTTCCTAATTTGATTGTGTTTCCTGCTGGTAGCTGGGCAAGTACAGTGATCCACCAATGCTCATGACCTCATGACTTCTTTTTTTTTTTGAGACGGAGTCTTACTCTGTTGCCCAGCCTCCCTGGTTCAAGAGATTCTCCTGCCTCAGCCTCTTGAGTAGCTGGGATTACAGGTGTGCACCACCAAGCCTGGCCAATTTTTGTATTTTTTTTTAAGTAGAGACATGGTTTCACCATGTTGGTCAGGCTGGTCTTGAACTCCTGACCTTGTGATCCCCCTGCCTCGGCCTCCCAAAGTGCTGGGATTACAGGCGTGAGCCACCGCGCCCGGCCATGGCTTCAAATTACTTAGGCCATGTTCTTGAAAGCAGTGAGCTCTATGGCTCCGGTATAACTACACTTACATGGTCTCAGGTCATTTTTTTCTATTTCACTACCAGCCACCAGCCTTGCTGGCAATCAGTTTGCTTCAGGAAAAGAAAGAAAAGAAAAGAAGAGGAGAGGAGAGGAGAGGAGAAAGAAAAGAAAAAAGGGTAAAGAATTTCCACTAACTCCATCAAAATTCATGTCTTGTACCCTTTCAATTCTTAATCCACCTGTTTCATGGGGCCCAGACATATACTTCTCCTTTTTCCAAGAAGCTAAGAAATTCTGGAATTGGAGTGACTGGCAGCATATAAATGGAGGTTTTCATGCTGCAGTTCAGGCCAACCTAACTGCAATTAACACTTCTTTTCTCCTTTACTAATAACAAAATCCAGTGTCCACTTTACTATGAAACACAGGGTCAATTCTATTGGGAAAATGTACCACCCAACAATATTAATATGCATCCAGCAACCATATGATAAAGCAGAATGAAGGAAGTGCATATTTTAGGCTGCTTGCTACCTAATTAGAAATATCTGACATTAATAGCATTTTGGAGGGTGTGTATAAATATGATAACACATAGATACTGAAATTACATTAGCAGTTTTTCACATCTAAAATTCTTTGATTCTAAGTTATACTTCATCTACAGTATCACTTGCTAACATCAGGCTCTCATACACAAACTCTTAGGCCTCTTAGTCTCAAAAGAGGTTGTTGTAAAATACGGATGTCCAGATAATTTGCATGATTAATGAAAATATGTTTTAGAATATTAAACATTTAAAATGTTAGCATTCAGTAGACTTTCTGACAGAAGTTAAAAGACTATTAGAATGACTGATGAATTGCTACAGTACATTAGCCCTCAGAACAAGGAACCTGCTTGCTAGAGGACATTTATGTAACTTTTTAGCTTTCTTGTTTTTTCCTTTCTCTCCCACTCTAACTAAATTGTCCTTATGTGACCTTGGCTCAGATTTAAATGGCCAAGCATAGGACTTTGCAAAGTTTTGACCCTGCAAATTACATGAAAAACTATAGTCAGAGAGGGTGAAAGAAAGCAGCTAAATTAATCAGTGCTTGGTACATAATATATCTGGCATATAGTAGGAGATTCATAGAAATGTGTTGAAGGAATGAAACGCCTTCTTTCATGTTGAGGATGGTCTTACCTCAGCACAGTGGAAATAAATAAAACAGAAAATCTCTTCCTGGTTAGTGACAAAGTCACTGACAGTTCAGTTGTTTAGATAGGGCATGTAGATCTACTTACTTTTTTCCATGTGTTAGGATTTGTATTTCCGAATGAAGCTCTTCCTACTGTAGTCTTCTAGAGCCTTTTGTCTTGGTTGGCTGCAGAGCTTATCACGACCTATTTGGTCATTTGCTTCCCTCTCCTGTTATACTTAGAGATGAAATATACAACAAAGGACTGTCAGGGAGGTGTTTACATCCCCTCTGGGTAAAAAGTAAAAGACCGTTGAAAAGGTAGGGCCACAAGAAATATCAAAATAAATTATTAAGGTAGAAGCAGTAAGCGGCTTAATGGCCTTGCTTTGAGGGAGACAATTAACATTACTATAATTTATGGGAAGTATTATCATGCAGTTATGAGCTCCCTCTCTGAGCCCTACTTGCCAAAGCCTGCTTCTTTAGGCAGTGTTTTCTTGATAGTGTTATTTAGTTGATAGTTTTCCAACACTCAAGTATTACACAGTATCATTATTCCTGTGTCAGGGAGTGTGGAGAAAAGTACACTAGGGTACATCATCTAGAATCCCATTACTTAGTCATTAATGAAAATAGTGGGCAGAGCAAGTGTAGGAGGCTGAATCATTGCCCCCCAAAGACAGCAGATTGGAATCAATGGAACCTCGTAAATGTCACCCTATTTGGGGAAATGGTCTTTGCAGATGTGACTAAATTAAGGATTTTAAAGTAAGGAGTGAGTGGGTCCCTAAATGCCACCACAAATGTCCTTATAAGAGAAAGGCAGAGGAAGATTTAACCCATGGAAAAGAAAAGACCATGTGAAGACAGAGCAAAAGGAGATTTGAAGATGCTGGCCTTGATCATTGGAGTAAAGTAACCATAAGCAGGGAAAGCTGGAAGCCACCAGAAGCTGGAAGAGGCAAGGAATGGATTCTCCCCTAGCACCTCTAGAGAAAGTGTGGCTCTGCAGACACACCTTGATGTTAGTCCATTGATAACCGATTTCTGACTGACCTCCAAAACCAAGAGAGAATTAATTTCTGTTGGTTTATAGCACCAAGTTGGTGGTGAATTTGCTGTAACAACCACAGGAAACTGAGACAGCAAATAAACTATCTCCAGCATTAAATAAGAGGATCGTTCCCCCTATTCTTGGCATTTATTAGTAGACCATAGGAAAAAGTAGATTATTAGCAGTAAGTTTAATACAAACAGATATAAACATCCATATCCCTTAAAACTTATGTGTATTGTTTCTTTCTTTCTTTCTTTCTCTTTCTTTCTTTCTTTCTTTCTTTCTTTCTTTCTTTCTTTCTCTCTCTCTCTTTCTTTCTCTCTTCCTTGCTTCCTTCCTTCCTTTCCTTCTTTCTTCCTTTCCTTCTTTCTTTCTTCCTTCCTTCCTTCCTTTCCTTCTTTCTTCCTTTCCTTCTTTCTTTCTTCCTTCCTTCCTTCCTTCCTTTCCTTCCCTCCTTCCTTCCTTCCTTCCTTCCTTCCTTCCTTTTCTTTCTTTCTTTCTTTCTTTCTTTCTTTCTTTCTTTCTTTCTTTCTTTCTTTCTTTCTTTCTTTCTTTCTTTCCTTCTTTCTTTTTTGACGGAGTTTCGCTCTTGTTGCCCAAGCTGGAGTGCAATGGCAATAGCATGATCTCGGCCTAACACAACCTCCGCCTCCCAGGTTCAAGCGATTCTACTGCCTCAGCCCCCCGAGTAGATGGGATTACAGGCATGCGCCACCATACCTGGCTAATTTTGTATTTTTAGTAGAGATGGGGTTTCTCCATGTTGGTCAGGCTGGTCTCGAACTCCCGACCTCAGGTGATCCACCCGTCTTGTCCTCTCAAAGTGCTGGGATTACAGGCGTGAGCCACCACACCTGACCTGTTCTTTTTTTCTTGTATATGTGTTGTGTGTGTTCAATCAACAACTTTTTTTTGAACAGGACAGAAAAGTCCTTCAATAAAATGAATTTATGAATATAACAGTTAAGTATATGCTATTTTTATCCCTCAGATGTTTTAAATTTCTGTGTAACATAGCTGTTATGGGCTAAAGAGCATTATACAAGTTTAAAATATTCTTGCAAAGCAAAAACACTGTGATTTTGGCTTTAGTAAAAGCAGAAGGTTCTTTGAAGACCTGTAAATCTACACTTTGCTACTTCCTGAAAGAAAAGTGATTTTTTATATCATAATTTGTTTCTCCACTCCCTCATCAACTCTTCATTGAATATGTTCTAGGTACCTGGTAAATCTGCTAAGCTTTGGGAAAAATAAGATACAGCACCTGTTCTCAAGGAATTAAGAGTTCAGTGTGGTCCTTTGGCATATGTATAAATAAATACATCCCTATGAAATGTGATATACTACAGTAGTAATGTATACAAGTGGTGTGGAAGCAGCAATCACAAATAAATTATTTCAGAACCAAATGATCTGGAAATTCAAGACTTTTGGCTACTTTGCTTACCAGCATCAGCAATCAAGTCCTGTATATATGAGCTTGAGAATAATTAAATTATTATTTAATTTATATTAATAAATTTATAATAATAAATAAATTAAATTATTTAATTAATAATTAAATGCCTAGGCATTTGCAATAGGAGAAGAATTTAACAATACATTGGAAATGTTTTGTATTCCTTATTCTTGTGGCCAGATATTTAGGACATTCATAGTGAAAATTATATTCAAGGTTAGAGTAGACAAGATTCAATATCTTCAGATTCTGGATTATAGAATTAATAAATTATAGTCATTTTTCTCCTGGCTTCAAAAGCAACTACTTGTACAGTAAAGGTTACTTAATTAAAATTTATCCAACTGAAACACCCATTTCTCTGAAACAAATGTTTGTGCAATTGACATCAACCAACTCTTCACATGAGTAGGTAAGAATAAACAGTGGAATGATGCCCAATGAATATCAATTAAAACAAATTGCTCCTAATAAACTTTGCACAGGCCCATGTTCACATGCACCTGTGTGAGCCCACACCCCCACCCTTGGAACTTTATTATTGTAACTTGTCTTCTCTAAAAGATCAATTAGCATTGACTGCATCTTAAAGACTATGTCTTCATTTTATCCTTGAAGCCTTAATTTTAATCACTGATAAGGCACAAGTTTCAGGTAGGACCAGCTATGTAATGGGAGACAGCCTGAGTGCTTAGAAAAAGGATCCAGTGCAAAATGAAAATGCACAACCTCTTGTTCAAAATGATTAAGAATTTTAAGACAGCAATACAATAGCAGAGCATTAAGCCAAATGTGGACCTTTGTGAGAGCACAGCCCTGTGCAACAACACAGGTTACATGAAGCTGGCCCTGATTTCAGATATTCCTTATCAACAGTTCCCATGTGAATTTTCCCAAAGACCATAATGCAGATGTATGGAAATGAAAACAACCTGCCTAAAAGTCACATTATGATCACATCTTCTTTACACAGGCTTATATTAACTATAAAGGCATTGTTGGGTACCCATTAAAATTCCATTTCAATCAAAACGTGGCATGCTTACTTGACTTTGCTTTTCTCCATTCTAATCAGCCTTACTCACATAACTTACGAAGCAGAGAAAATGCTATGTGTTCCCCAAACCATGTTTATTAGCCTCTTGGGTATATTCCCAGCCCTCTTGCATTCAGCTGGGTCCTTGTAATCAGTTCACGTCAATGGTAGGGCCTGACTCATAATATCTGCTTTGAGATTCATGTCCTCCTCTCATTAGGTTTTCCTTACTCTTTCTTTGGCTACCTTCATCTCTTCATCTATATGGCTGCAAGCAAGGAACACTGAAACGGGGAGCCCACCAAAGGAAGAGCTCAAATCCCTGGGTCATTTTTAGAGGAAAGCATTCGGGAATGTTGCTTGACCCCCATTTGAGTGCTACATAAAATTAAACTTTATTACATTAAGCTACTTATATTCCTCTAATACTCTAAGTTAGAGGGTATGATAATCTGAGGCAGGGGGATAGGGCCCAGAGGGGTATCAAAATTGTCAAGCAATTCTGATACACAGGAACCTTGGGCCACCTTTTGAGAAACGGCTGAAGTCATCCAATCAGCAGACTATAAAACAATGTGCTAGCCAATAGCTATCAGGTTATCTTGTGGGGATATTTATATTCTTATAATAGTATGCATTAACAATTTTGAAAGCACTCTTTCCTATGTATTTCTAGAGGATTCTGGAGCACTGTGAGGACTTCAACATTGCTAACAATGAATTATCTGGGATAGAATGACCAATAGCAACAATGATACCTGCTGAACATACCCTCAAATCTCACAAATTGTCACCTGTCTGCCTGTAGTACTTATAGAACTCAAAATCTCAAATTACCCAGGAAGAATTTGATGGAAACCCTGGAATCTGGGCTGAGTCTAATAATCTGGGAACATTGATCTTAGGAAATTCAGGGCCAGGTATTATTGGGAGGGACGAGGGGAGATGCACAGAGTGCTCAGAATAATGGCAAGTGTTATTCTCCCTTTGGCTGCAGAATGTCAGCATTTATGGGAAAAAGTCGATCAAGTACTTACTGGATCTGCTTAATCAAGCATAATCGTCGCTATGTGACTGGCAGTTATTGGAACGTCCTGTGTAAGACAGTGCCAGAACCAGTATGCAAATAACTACTTATATTATAGATAGTAAAAGGAAAAATAACTTTTTCCTCAGCACAGGAAATCAACATGATGCAATACAAGAACGTAAAGTTTGGCGTGTGAGGGATTTGGGATCATGCTTAGTTTCAACACTTATTTGCTTCAGGTTCTTAAGCATCTAAGATCCAGTTTATTCAAATGTAAAGGGGAGGTTAATGTCCACATTGCAGTGTTGTTGGGAAACTTAAACAAGTAAAGCATCTAGTATGATTTCTGCAAGATTTTACCTCTGCCCAGCTCATTATTTGTATCATATAATATTATTATTAATACTTTTAAGATTTAAGCATGAAGAAGCACTTCCATCAGGCACTTTCAAATTTGTACCATAAAGAATCCCACTAAGCATCCTTTCTGCCTTCTGTAAAACTTAGAAATTCTTTTGCCTAGTCTTTTTCAAGACACATAGTGTCAGGCATTTATCATCATCTCTTCCCCACATAGACAGACATATACTCATATTCCAAACATAGCTTCAATTGTCCAAACACTCATAAGTTGTAGGAAATAATAATTTATTAAATATTTATAAAATATTGAACTATTTTATTCACACAAGGGACTTTAATGAGAAAAATTACTTCTCATCCTCAATCTTAAAAAGAACTCTCAGGATCCTGATTTATATAGATTTTTCTAGACTGTCCCTTTTTTACTACCTACCTTTATAAATGTTTTATTTACTGTGCTGTAAGAGGTGTAGGATAGTTTTCCTCTGAAAAAAGCCAAAAATTCTTCAAATATAAGTGAAAGATGTAATTTAAGGATTATTTATAAGTGCATTTCTGAGACATGAATTAGACATCATATAAATTACTATAATAAAAATCTATCTTTTCTTCAATAATTTCAAAGCTGCCTCCCATTTTAATGTGTGCAGCAGTGTTGATATAGAGAAATGTAATTATCTAATACATTTGTTATTTTAGCTGAATTAAAAGCATTTTAACTCTTGAAATATCCTATGCCACGTAAGATTTCAGATTAAACTCTATGGCAACACCTAAAAGATCAAAATATACCTCTTCACATAAGACAAACAGGATACAAAATTTACAGTAGTTTAATTAGTATAAAAATAGCTATTTCTGCTTTGTTTGTAAATTAGGAAGCTTAATAAATAGATTTATATTTGTTGATTTTATTGCGAGCTTTCAATGAGCAATGTGTCTATTGCCCTACCTGCATGATTGCAGCAACTACTAATTGAGAACTTTCTAAATAAATAAAACTCTATTAGACACTTGGAACAAAGAAACATAAAATACATAGTCTTTTCTGTCAATGAATTTGCAATCTAGCTGAAGAAGCAGTACCAATATCAAAGACTATGATAGCAACCCAATCCCATCACAACATATGCATCACAGTACCGAACCAATAGAGCCAAATCATAGCTGAAGAGCCCAGTGAAGGGAGACATCCCTAAAGTCATGAGACTGGGATATTTGCCTTCTAAACTGAGATATTCTGGTTTTCAAAGTATACAGTTGTATGTGCGTGTGTGTGTTTTCTATTTTTTTATCGTATTGTTTTAAGAGGAGAAAGACTACACAGATACTTAGCATAAAATTATGTACTAGGTAAGCTATTTGTGAAGTAGAAATACTTAGCTATATACTATATGATGTATAAGAGGAATTGTCAATTAAAAATAAATTGACACTAATTACACCAAATTGGACTTCTGTTAATTACAGTACACCAAATGATTCATTTATACATTCTGTTTTCATTGGATGTTGTGGAAAATTGTTTGCATTTCAGTGATTAAAAGGAAATCTTTAGTACTATTCTTCCATAAGGTTTTTCTTAGAAAAAAAAATCATGGTGTACAACTTATTAAGTGATTAGCTGTGGGCTAGCTGTTACATACTAGGTGCTAGAGATATTTGGAGCCCAAAAGCATGACCCCAGACCTACAAGAACTTATCATCTGGCTGGTAAGGCAGCACTCTGTATTTAATATAGTAATACAAAGTGGGCAAGTGTTAAAGGCTAAATGAGCCTATTAGATAAAGGTGTCCCAGTGAAGGATACTATTCCCCAAACCAAAAGGAGCCAATTCCATTCTAACCCTGAGTCTATGAATATAAGAATAATGCTGATATATCTCTTTTTGGTTTCAAATTTCCATTATCTGAAATAATAAAAGACAGGTGGAAGAGAAGTCCTGGAAGAAAAGGGTTCCTAAATTTGCATTGCGAGAATGTCATAAATAACTGTTTAAACAAAATTATATAGTAAGTACTAAACATGGGGGCTGATGGTTAATTCTTCAAGAGGAGAATTCCCATATTCATAGAATCATAGGTGTCAAAGATGGAGAGGAACTAGAGAGGGTCAGTTTCAATACCACCATATTGTAGGAGAGATTTGGGATGGTAGAGGGGTAAAGATATCTATCCATGGTCACACCAATTTACAAGTAAGAAGAATTCAGATTTGTACTGAGATCTGGAATTAAGCCTATGCCTCTTTCTTCACACCATGTTGCTTAACTATAAGTAAAGCACTGGGCAATGGGCAAAGTTAGATATTTAACAAAATGTTGCTAATTGAAGTTAGATCTTATAAAGAAAAAGCAACCTCGCTCATCCTTACAAATCCTCTGAAATTTATGTTTTCTAAATAACATACAGTCCCTAGGTAGGAAAAAGGTAGATTTAGAGTAGTCTACATATCATTAACCTTAAGGAACAGCAAACAAAAAAAATCACCAATATAATATTTGCCTCATAGAATCATTGTGAGAGCACTATCCCAGAATAAGCGAATTTACCAGTCAAAGGAATCTTTACAAATCGTTCTCATGACTTCATGTGAAATAAAGGATCTATGCCAGCCAACTTAAAGAAAAACCATACCTCCTATAAGGTGTCTTGAACACCATCAGAGCCTTGCGAAACAACATTTTGATTAGCAAAGTGAAAAAGAATCACAATATTGGCACAGGGTTTTGCTACAATTTTACTTAAATCAAGACCAATTGGTTGAAAAGAGGAGATATACCAAGAAGAAAGATTCATTTCATGTGCTGCATTTCGATTAGGCTTCTGGATCCTCGAATTTAAGATCCATACTTTCCCCAGGACTCATCATTGCCTGATGATAATTACAAAGGTATGGTAATGGAGGGATTTAAATCAAACGTGCATGGTAGATCTGCTGTCACTGCAAGAACCATCTCATTGCAAGTTGGCAGGGAAGGATGTGCTTGCCTTTCAACTGGCAGAGCAGTCTTCTTGGCTGGCATAGGAACTAGCTCTGCCTTAAATCTTCCTGATTTAAATTACTGTTAGAGTAATTTGGCTAATTGAAAATATCTGTCTTTGGAGAAATTTTTCATAATGTTAGTGTCATTTGCAGGGTGCAGAAGAGATCTTCAGGGCAGCAGTGGGGCCTGCCCGCTTACAAAGCCCCCATTGATCAACAGTACCATCCAAAAAGTCCACTTAGACAAGGGGTCATCCAAGGACATGCCAATGACTCTTTCTTGCCAAATGGTGTACATGAGCAAAGTGTCTCTGAGAGAATGCGAAGCCTCCAGTAAGGCAGACAACGTAGATGGGATATTCCCAGCCCATCCTGGACAGCTCCAGTTATTTCGAGAAGTGGTGTGGAATTGGAACAGCCTTAAAGGAAAATTGGCCATCTTTAATTTTAAACATAAATGTATGTGACAGGCCACCTGAAGGAAATAAGCAGGGGGAGAAAAAAATGTCAAAGCAGACATAGTTTTACAATTTAGACAGAAACGATAGGATACCATGTGTTAAAAGTTGTGTAAAAACTGATTTTTAATAAAATCACAGTGAATGTAGTATTGTTTTTCAATGTTTTTATTTCCTAATTATTTTATCTCCTTTTAAATCTCTAAGTTAATTTTCCTTAACCTTTAAAGCACTAATCTGCTAAAAGAAAATGAGCACGTCTTTAATTGCCCTGAAACGGGAGGTTAAATTACATACTACCTACTCAGATAAAATTCTACCACAATGCATCGGTGACTTCAACAAAACAAGCTGAAATCATTGGTGGGAAAAATAAATCAGTCTCTGAGAAGGCAAATCCTTTTGGTTTGTTCTTCCTGTTCTGGCCCATCTCAGCCTTACCGGGCCTCCAGTTCTCCCTTTTCCTGAGTCTCTGAGTCCCTTATCCAATTCGGTACTCATATCACTTGCTGGTCTTACTAATCATCCTGCATCCAACGATTTACTCTTTTTCTCTGCTTTACCCCTACTGAACCCTATCTGGCTTCAAACTTGTCCTTCTTCCTTGTGCAGTTTGCTGCTTCAAAGTCTCCTCAACTGCCAAAAGCTAGCATTTATAAACATTCATAAACAAAGAAAGATTTCGGTTATAATGATCAATCCAGGAGCCCCCAAAACAGAGAATTAACTTTGAAATCTGATATTATGCCACTTGCCCCTCTCTTCAAAGCTCATTTCTAAAGGATTTGAACTATGCATTGGTGAGCCCTTTCTATTATATATCCTAGGTTAAGCCCATCTATTTAAAACTACTACCCAGCTTGGCAGAGCTGTCTTCCACAGTTTGTAAGTCAATTCTTTGGAATGCCTTTTCCAGTGGAAACTGTCATCTACAGAATGGTTTAAGTCCTAGGCCAACTCGAAATATCTATCTAGCCCACAAAGTACATGAAGAATAGCTCTGAACTAAAAGAAATTGGAAGCTCATATAGTTAAAGTTGAAAAGAAGCATGAAGATTATATAACCCAACTTTTTTATTTTACAGATGAGAAAATGGAGATATTAAAAAGCTAACTCTTCCATTCTAACACAGCATCCAAGAGGCAGAACTAGGAGTTCTCTTTATTGCCAAGACTGGGCATTATCTCAATTAACCCACATGACAATCTTGAATGATTAGTGTTATTATTCACATGAGGAAAGCAAAGTCAAGAGAGCCTAAGTAATTTTAGGTCAAGGTCATACAGCTAGCACCAGCAGGGTGGTGAAGCAGGGATTTAATCTCAGTTTTCTCAGACTTCATGCATGCTTCAGTCTACTGCCCCTCATAGGTCCAGTTATTATTTGTCGCCACCATTTCATTGAGAATCTGTTTAGAGCCATGACTAATATTTAGGATTACATTTCTTCATTACATAATGGGAGAAAGGTCACTCTCCTCACCCACAAGTCCAAATGACTAGTGGTAGCCCTATGGTCTAGAACAGATACCAAAAAGAAAATTTATGAATAATAAATAGAGCAGTTAAACTGAGCCCTGGGAGAATGCAACTTTCTTTACTTCATGTCTTGTTCCAGCCTATATTCTCTCCCCTTCCTTTCTCAGTCCGGCTCCTTCCGAGTTACCTATAATTATTTTCTCTTTTTTAACCTCCTATTTATGTAACAACTTAACTGTAGTCAGGATTCTGCCCCATCACTCCACTGAAGTTGTTCTAAAAAAAAATCTCAGTGACTTTTTTGTAGATAATTCAAATCAGTATTTTTCAATCAACTTTCTAATCTGTGTAGGCAGCATTCAATAGCTTTAATTATTCTATTCCTAAAACTCTTTTCTCTTTTACTTTTTATAAGCCCATTCATTTCAGAACCATTCCTTATCTGCCTTATTTATAAGCTCTTGCTCCTCCTCCTCTTCCTGGTCTTAAATGTTTGTGTTTTCTAGAATCTGGCCCTTGATCTTCTTTTCTGTAAAAACCAGTGTTTTTCAACTTTTCCTGAACATGGGTATCTATAAGGTGGTATACAAATTATAATAGGAAACCCTTTTGAATGGCAAAGTGCAGACCTCCATAAATCCTCTCCTCCATTAAAAAAAAAAAAAGACAGCGAATACTACTGAAAAAGGAAAAAAATTAATTTTGCCAGAACTCTAGCAATTAAGCAAAGGCTTGCGAGAATTTGAGGAACATTTATTCCAGAAGATCAACTGGCCCTTGGTAAAAACAGCAAGCTTTGTGGCATTTAAATCTGCCCTATTCCCCCTCCCTATGTCCATGGTAGCCTTCCAACCAAAAGCTACACAAACTGTAAACTCCAGAAGCCTAGGAGCCACTGGGAGGGAGTGAATGGGTTTGGAGTTCCTGGAAAATCCTATCCCTAGAGAACTGTCACTATTCACCTCACTAGCACTTTCATTCTCAGGGCTTGTTTTTATCTGATGTGACTGACAGTTGACTCAAATTTGAGGCAGCAGCTCGTTTGGTATGAACAGCCCTGTCCTTAAGGAATTTGTTAAAATCAATCAGTGGCAATTATTCAATTGTGCAGCTGAGGCAGTGACACAAGTTGGGTTAAGTAACAGACCAAAAACTTTAAAAGAAAAAACCAGGGGATGAGATTTTCACATGGAGTGTTGAAAATATCTAACATATTCCTGGAACTCTAGAAGATCATATGCACTTGCAGGGATGTGCACAAGCGCAGAAAAGACCTGGGAAGGCCTTAATCTCTCACCTGTGGATAAGTCTGAGGCTTTGCACAAGCAGGAAACGAAGGCTAAAGAAGAGTTTTCAAACTGCCTGCTGGAGTGTTGAAATATTCCCCTCAAACACACGCGCCCAAAGCCCTTCAGCAAAATGACAGCAACTTACTAGTTTAATGCATTCAAAGAAATCTATGTGAAGTCATTAGCTGACCGCTAAGCTAACTGATCAGAGATATTGAGGGGTATGCATGACAGAAAATCAGACTCTTCACAATTAATTCAGGAAACTCAATAAACAAACAAGCATCCATAGCAACAAACTAACAACACCCAGAGCTAACATTGTAATTAATCATTAAAAAATGAATACTTCTCCTCTAAGATCAGAAACAAGACAAGGATGTTTGTTATTCCTATTTCAATTCAACATTAAAGCCACATTTGAGAACATATATCGTATAACACCACTGATATGAATTGTCCATATAAACTTAGTATACTAAAAAACATCAAATTGTACACCTCAAAAGGATGAATTATATATTATGCAAATTATACCTCAATAAAGCTGGTATCAAAAATATTACTATCTGGGCTCTGTCTCCTTATACTCCCATTTAATGCTTGCACGACATGACCTGCATCTTGAGAATTTTTAAAGCACTTCAAATGATTCTACTGTGGAATCAACATTGAGATCCACTGGTCTATGTCATCTCTTTGGGAGAGTGATTCTAAATCTTGGGATGCCCACTGGAACCATCCAAGGAGTTTTTGAAATGTCAGTGCGTTCTATGAGGAACTTAACCAAATGTATAAGAAAAAAAAAAACTCCATTAAAAAGTGGCAAAGGACATGAACAGACACTTTTTAAAAGAAGACATACATGTGGCCAACAAGCATATGAAGAAAAGCCCAGCATCACTGATCATTACAGAAATGAAAATCAAAACCACAATGAGATACCATCTCACACCAATCAGAATGGCTATTATCAAAATTCAAAAAATAACAGATGGTGGAGAGGTTGTGCAGAAAAAGGAATGCTTATACACTGTTAATGGGAGTGTAAATTAAATTAATTCAACCATTGTGGAAGACAGTGCAGTGATGATTCCTCAAAGACCTAAAGTCAGAAATACCATTTGACCCAGGAATCCCATTACTGGGTATACACCAAAAGGAAAATAAATCATTCTATTATAAAGATACATGTACCCGTATGTTCACTGCAGAACTATTCACAATAGCAAAGGCTTGGAATCAATCCAAATGCCCACCAATAATAGATTGGATAAAGAATATGTGGTACATATATATCATGTAATACTACACAGCCATAAAAAAAACAAGATCATGTCCTTTGCCAGGACATGGATGGAGCTAGAAGCCATTATCCTTAGCAAACTAATGCACAACCGAAAACCAAATACCATATATTCTCACTTACAAGTGGAGCTAAATGATGAGAACACATGGACACATACAGGGGAATGACACACACTGAGGCCTGTTGGAGGGTGGAGGGTGGAAGGTGGGAGAGGCTCAGGAAAAATTATTAATGCATACTAGGCTTAATACCTGAGTAATGAAATAATTGGTACAACAAACCCCGTGACACACACTTACCTATGTAACAAACCTGTACATCCTACACATGTACTCCTAAACTTAAAATAAAAGTTAACAAAAAAAAGAAAGAAATGTCAATGCTTGGTTCCTGCCCCTAGAGATTCTGATTTAGTTGGTGTGGAATGTAGCATAGACGATAAAATTTTTTAAAAGCTGTTTATTATGTATAACAAAGTTGAGATACACTGATCTGTCATCCAAGCCACTCTAAATTTTCAGCTCAGCCCTTCTACCTAATGACTTATTTTGAATGTTCCACATGAATCTCAAACCCAATCTGTTCAAAATGAAACTCATCTTCTTTCTAAAATCTTATTCTCTACAGTGCTCAATCATCCATCTAGATTTCAAATTATAAATCCAAATATTACCATTGTCTTTTTCCTCTCCTTCATACTTCACACACAATCACTCAGTCCCAGCAATATTACTGTCAAAACTTAACCGTCAGGTTTACCCCTTCCCCTTCCTCCCCACTGCCTCTTCTTCAGTATATGTATGTATTTATCTCCTTTCACAGAATCATTATCAATTCTCACTAGTCTCCATAACTCTATACTTCATCTTTTCCAATGCACTCACCAGACTGCTCAGTAGAGCATTCGAAATTGCAAATCTGATTACACCACTGCCCAGTTTAAAATGTTTCCTTAGCTCTCAAGTACTTTCTGAATGAAATTCAAACACTTACACTGATTTTTAATTATCTGTTCCTACTTAATTCTCTAGCCTTATCATTCATCACTTCACCACACCTCTCTCGTTACCCTATCCTGTGGTGATGGGAGACTGCCTTCACTTTTTCTAATGTGCTCTACTCTCGTAACTTTCAAGCTGATCTGCCACCTACCTCCCCATATCTAGACCCACCTCCTTCACCGAAACTCATACTGACCCTTAAATACGTAGCTCAGATGTGAACCTTTTCTGAAAAAACATCCTGGTTACTTCCAGTATGAATTAAATTCCCTGCTGTGTGTTCCCATATCATCCTGGGCATTCTTCTACTACAGAATTTATCATTCTTGCAAAATTGTCTGTTTAATCTTTCTGTTAAATTGATGGCTCTCTAGGGCAGAAATTGTGACCACAGCACTGAGTACAGAAGCAACATATAGTAAATGCTTAATAACATAAGATGTGCAGTAAAGGAATAGTTGATTTTTCTTTTTTCCAGATTGTATATTGTAGCATTAGAATTTACTAATCTTTTATTGTTAATTTTTAAGAATTGTAAAACAGAATATATAGCTGTAGGAATGCATATATACACACATACATATCCTGTGTTTCTGTGTATATCTATGTGTGTGCATATATATGAAATACAGGCACCCAAGTACACACTATATGTATGTATATATAGGGAAGAACCTATACAGAAATAGAAAAATATTAATAATGGTTCTCTAGACATTTCTTTTCTTGTTTAGGCCTTTCTGTGCTTTTATATGTGAACATGTATTATTCCACAATGAAAATAATTTTTAAAAGATAAACTTGTCTAATTTTTCCCCACCGATTTTACCTGCTACAGTTTTTCTTCTAAATGAGCCAAACAAAGCAGAATGCACTCAAGTTTTTCTCTGTATGCCTGTCCTGAAAACTTATTTGTATTGAAATGAAAAAAAATTTGAATTTCTCATGTATTGAGTTATTATGATCACCATTAACAAATTATAATTCACTGCCTTTGTGTATCTTAATGTAGGAGAAGAAAATGTTTAGGTGAACAAAAAGAGAAAAACTTAGATGGTTATTTCTTAATATAGCACAAAGTATGAGAAATTCACATCTAATCAAACTAAAAAGACTACATTGACTTAAATATGTATTTGAGAATAAACATTGCACTTTGATTTAGACATTGTTTACTCAAAAATTTGTATCATGTCTTCAGAGTAGCAAAGGTTGATTGGGAAAAATGTCCCTTATCAAAGCTGTTAAAATTATGCTGTGGATGACAAAAGGTTCAGGTACCATTTTAGAGTGACACGCATTCTTAGTAAACTATTTCCCTGATTATACCGTTGATCTGACAGAAGCATATGGGCATTAAGTTTGAATGTTATGAAACCGCCTTTGCAAAAATCATAACTGAGGAAATTACGACCGTGAAAGAGGTCAGACCTAACCAACTCCATTTTCCTGTTAACTTTTAATCTGTCCTTTTTCATTTCTGGGCATAGGCCTAAATAACCTTGGAAAGAAATTTAGTTTATAGTTTGATTCTGAAACAAATTTGATAATAGCCCTTTCCCGAAAAGACCCCTTCTTGCCTGGGGACCAGTCTGCCTTTGTAGGACTAACGCATTAGCTACAAGATTAGAAATTATGGTTTAGGGGTCATACAGCCTCCAGCTGCAAGAGTCTGAACCTCCCCAAATTGCTCCTGGGAATAACATCACTATTGTAAAGCCTAAGATTAATGCTTGAGATCTTTTGCAGACCCTGCACTCCAATGCAGCAGATGACAGACACCACCTAGAAGGGTAATCTGGCTCAACCAGTTCTGAGATCCCATCTAGGAACAGAAGCCATCAAGAACCCACTTTGACCCCCAATTATTTAATCTCCAATCCAACCAATCAGCACTCCCCACTTCTCGAGCCCCTACTCACCAAATTATCCTTAAAACCTTCCGTATCCGACTTTTCAGGGAGACCAATTTGAGTAATAATAAAACTCCAGTCTCCCACACAGCCGCCTCTGCGTGAATTACTCTTTCTCAATTGCAAGTCCCCTGTCTTGATAAATGGGCTCTCTCTAGGCCGTGGGCAAGGTGAACCCGTTGGGCAGTTACAGTTATAAACTGATTTCCATTGAGAAGTCTTTCATGTTTACAAATTCTAGAAAGCACTGTAAAATTGTTGGTTCATTTTCCTTTTATAAAACCATAATTTCCAAACAATCTAAAATTGTTTGGAAACATAAACAAAACAAACCAGTGCCTAGCCATGCTTTGTTTGTTTGTTTGTTTGTTTGTTTGTTTTGGTCATTATATGGCATGGCTTAGTTGTATTTAAGCCTCTCTTTGTAGATTTCCAAGGTTAGAAATGGAGGATAAATTCAGAAATCTCTCAAGAGTGTATAGCAAATACAGCCAGAGCAAGGACATATCATTCACATGAAGACAATGGACTAAGAGAATCAAGGAAAAACTTAAAGAGGAAATTAAGATACGAAGAAAAAATTTGGAGCTTAAGTTACAAGGAACTTGAAAGAGAAAGAAAAGGACAATGGGTCTTGCATTCTTGATAATGGAGGATTGCCCGGTTGTTTGAATGAGCACAACCCTCTGGCTTTTAAAAGTACATTTGGCCTCCTTGCTTTCTCATTTTTACCTCCCACTTCTTCCATCTCCTGAACATTCCCAATCTCATCCCAAGTTAGAACATGTATTCTCCATGCTCTTCCTACTATATACCTCCTATCAGGTAGTTGAACTTAAGTGTAAACTGCAGGATGGTGCTTTAAAATCCCAGCATACCTGTGGCGAGATGAGTATATCTTCAGATGTCTACATTTGACCTCTTTCCACTTCTCTTGCCCTGTACTTTGAGCTCAGAAAACTTCTAGAATTCCAAGTAACAAATGCATTATTTTGTTAATGATTGTTTTCCCTCAAACCAACCTCAGTCTACATACAAGCATAATTACTCACTAGTATAATGTGATCTGAAGGCCACATATCTGAAAATAACATAGTCAGAAAACAAAGTATTCCAAACCACTGTGATCAAGCTGCCTTGGTACCTATCTTACCTGTGGGTGAGAGAATTTTTTAAAGAAGCTCCTGTTGATGAAAAATGTCAAAGTCTGTAAAATATTTGAAGGGGTTTATTCTGAGCCAAATATGAGGACTGTGACCCGTGACACGGCCTCAGGAGGCCATGAGAACATGAGCCCAAGGTGATTAGATTACGACTTGATCTTATACATTTTAATGGGACAGAAATTACAGGCAGAGACATAAATCAATACATGTAAGGTATACATTGGTTCAGCCCAGAAAGGTGGGATATCTTGAAGCAACTTGGGAAGGGGGTGCAGGGTGAGCTTCTAGGTCATAGGTAGATTAAAAGATTTTCTGATTGGCAGTTGGTTGAAAGAATTAAGCTTTGTCTAAAGAGTTTAAATCTGCTTGAGTTAAGGTAAGGGTGGTGGGAGTTGTGGAAGCCAAGGTTCTTATGTAGATGAAGCCTCCAGGTAGCAGGCTTCAGAGAGAATAGACGTGAATGTCTCTAATTGGGCCTTAAAAGGTGCCAGACTCTCTGGTAAAGACCTAATAAGGGAAGGAGAGTCTTTACAGAATTCAAATTTCCCTCACAAGAGACAGCTCTGTGGGTCCATTCCAAAATATGACAAAGAAATATATTTTGGGATGTATATTTCCTCCAGGATCTGCTATCTGTCATGTAATGCTACATTGGAGTCAGGTTGGAATTTAGTATCTTCTTGCTACAAAGAGTCTGTTCTGTCAGTCTTAATATCTCTGTTTTAATGTTAATGCTGGTCAGTTGTGCCTGAACACTCCAGAAGGGACAGGGTATAATGAAGCACGTCTGACCCTCACTTCCTATCACGGCCTGAACTAGTTTCTCAGGTTTCTTTGGAATCTCCTTGGTTGAGAGGGGGTTCCAGTCAGTTGGCTGGGGAGCTTGGAATTTTATTTTTGGTTTGCACCTATTTTACAATGTGATTTACTCATACATTCACTAATAAATTGCCTAGTTTGGTTTTTTAGGATACGCTGTCTAACAGAAAGATTCTGAGGGAATAAAACATAAGAAAAAAAAAATCTATTCAAGATCCTGAGATTACAGGATCAGTAAGTACGGTGAAAGGTATGTGAAGACTCAATAGCCTTGGGTTCTAGTCTCAACTCTATTATTTGCCACAAATGTCACAGGGCAACTCTCTGAAAGAATTATTCCAGTTTTTTAAACAAATCTAAAATTAAATGTATAATAATTCATTATGATGGCATGAAGCTAAATGACATAGTTTACTTAAGAATGCTCTGAAAATTGTTGACTACCATGCAAATAAAGAGTATTAATAAGCTTAATACAGAAATGTAATAATTTTGGAATTGGATCGGTTCATTTATATTAGATATAATGACATTTATTTATTTTAAGCAGGTTGGTTTCTTTTGGAGCTTTTTAATTGAAGAATTGTATACATGCACAAAATTGGTATATCATTTGATGAATTATCAAAAGTTAAACACACTCATAAAATTTCCATGATAACACAACAAAGAACATTACCAACACCCGAAGTCTCACTTTGTACCCATTTCCATCACCCAATATCCTTCCTTCTCCCCAAAGGTAATTACTGTCCTGATATCTAATGCCATAGATTACTTTTTATTCCTCTCAGACTCTCTAAATGGTATCATACAATATATACAATTTTGTACACTTTTGTGTCTGTTATTTTGTTCAACATAACTTTTGTGAGATTGAGCTCTGTTGTATGTAGCAGCAGTTTGTCATTTTTATTGCTATATAGTATTAATATGCTGTGTATGCTAATGTATGGGTATTTATAATTTGCTTATTCATTTTTCTGTTGATGGACATTTGGTTCTTTCCAGTTTCAGGCTTCTGAAAAACAATACTGCTATGAACATTCTCTTAAGTGTTTTTTGGTGCACTTATATATGCATTTCTATAGGATATAAACTCAGAAGTTAAATTTCTGGATTTGTGTGTGCTCAGATTTAGTAGACAATGCCAGTTTTCCTAATGGTTTTTACCAGCTTTTACTCCTACCATCTGGTAAAGAAATTCTGGTTACTCTTCATCCTTGCCAACACTTGGTGATATCAGTCTCTCTCATTTACCCATTCTGGTGAGAGTGTAGTGGCAATTAATTACCATTTTTATTTGCATTTTTCTGAATCACATCAGTTTTATCTATCTTTCTTGAATAGAATTCTAATTTTCTAGTAGAACTTCTCCTTATAATCGTGGAGAATAAGCCCATCTCTTTTTTCTTGGGTGAGAGATTTTAGCAGTTATAGATCGCATATGACTATGCACATCTGTTGTCATATTCAGTAGATTTTCTATTGGAAGATTGTCTCTGCAAGTTTATATATATAATATAAAATAAATAATATATATAAAACTGGAGAAAAATTGAAATAAAATTTCAAGAAGTCTGTAATAATAAGAAAAAACACATAGAGGTTCTCATTCATGATGGCTTACCGAACACTCTTGAGTTAAGCTTCCTTCCCTGCTTCCTCAAATCCCTTTTCTAATGACACAGTAAGTAAAATGATAAAAAGTAAACTCATAAAAGCACTTGAAAGTCAGGTGTTACACCACCACAAACCAGAAAAGCAAAGAATTCCTGGAAGATAATATGAAGCAAGTGGGAACAGACTGACAATGAAATCTAACATAGCTGCAGAACTATAAGTCCTTTACAAACAAAGAAGAGCTCAAAATAAATGATTTTTTTTTAAGCACCAAATCACACAAAGAACAAAAGGCACAGGGTCTGGGAGATGGAACAGGCCACAAGGAGCTGTTCAGGTAATTAATTAAAGAATGATAATAACTGTACTATGAATCATCTCCACCCTCAAATTAGTGAATCTCACATTTGTACCCAAGGTCAATGTTTCAAGTTTAGGGTTGTAGAATGAGAATTCCATGCCCAGACTGAAGTTCTGGACTGAAGACATTGAGCAATACCTCAAGAGCATGCTACACACTATAAAGGAAAGTAACCTGACTATTCAATCCCCTCTTCAAATGGGAAGTGGGTAAAAGAAGAGGAATGGATATTGTGAGCCCATTTTAAAAAGTAGGGCCTTTGCAAGACCTAAGACTTGTAGAGAAAATAAAGTATTAAAATTCCTTATGGGCTTTCTCCATTGGTGATAGGACCTGTCCATATGCGTAGAGTGACTACATAATTTCTTGTCCAAATCATAACACTTCTGAGCATGACTAAAGACACTGTCAACAAATGTGCTTGGGTAAAAGACTTAAACGAAGACTCCTGAAGTGGTCGTGGGCATGTGGTCATGTCTACCTATGCCACCAACCTTCCACAGAAATGGGTGGAGATACAGCAGTCATATTTCTCATGTTTGATGACTGGGTCAACTATGCTTGCTTGCTGATCAGCCAGACAGTATGAAGATTCTAATTTTTTTAAAAAAGAAAGAAAAGTAAGAAGACAACTTTTTCTGATTATCAGAGAGAATTGAAATGGATTTTGGTACTAGGTTATCTTAAATAATTACTGATGT
Source organism: Homo sapiens (assembly GCF_000001405.40). NCBI lineage: Eukaryota > Metazoa > Chordata > Mammalia > Primates > Hominidae > Homo > Homo sapiens. The sequence goes on along the minus strand of NC_000021.9, from coordinate 14,457,720 downwards.
TGTTTTACAATTAGGTTTTTTAAGTCTTTACCTGTTACATTAATGTGAGCATTACCTATAAATTAAATTATGTGTGTCTAGGATTTGTTTTAAAACATTCTAGTGGGAAGTTGGAATAGGAGGAGAAGAGGGGTTGATTAATACATTGACAATATATTGGTGCTTGTTGAAGCTAAGTGAGTACATAGAAGCTTATTATTATTATTATCTCTGTACTTTTTACATGCTTAAAAATTTTGTACATGCTTGAAAATTTTCATAATACAATTTTAAGTGTCAATATAAGGGGTTTTCCAACTTAGAAAAACAGCATAGGGAAAAAAACAATAATCACAACATTTGGGAAGGCAGAATAAGTAAGAAATAATTTGGAGACCCCAGGAAGCTAAATCCTAAGCTAGCAGTAAGTAGATTTGAAAAAAAAATTATTCAATTTGCTTCATACACTCTCAAAAATCTCATGAATCTAGGGGAGACCATTAACATGTAGAAGTACAAGGGAATGTGAACTAGGAATAAGAGGACTTATTGAAAGCCTGTATGAGAGGCAATAAGACTTCAAGATTTCCCCTTCTATGCTGCTCAGCCAAAGATCTGTGCCACTTTCACACTGGCAGAATACCAGAGATTTAGAATGTGGAATGTAGTGCAGAGCGATTCAGAATTAAGAGATACCAATACCAGAACTTTGAACCAAGTATTCTGTACTGAAAACATGGGAACTAAGTAAAAGTCTATACATTTATATTGAAATCCCCAGTCCTATTTTTTCCTCCTAGCTCTAGGGATGCTGGTAGACAGATTTATACCATCCATGCATGAGAGAATTTTTATCGAAGAATCTGAGCTATTTACAAGAAAAAGATCTAAACCTATTGATTTAGGATCCCCTATGAGATCACCTAATAAGAACAGTTTACAGTTAAACCTATAATCAATAAGTCACACATACACACATACATACAAACATTCCAGTCAGCTTTATAGTGAGCAATCCTCATACATAAGCATACATCCAAAAATCACAAGATATCTGAGGAAAGTTTCTAACATGAAAAACGAACCAAAATAAGCCAACAGCAATATGAAACTTGAAGAAAAGGGAATCTATTCAAGGAGATGGGGGAAAAGCATTATTAATATTCTCAGAGAAAAAAAGATAAGTTATTTCATCCATGGAACAAGAACTGCCACTTCTACCAAAAAAAAAAAAAAGACAAAAAAAAAAAAACCATAAGAAAGAGACTTTTGAAATCTAAAATATTAAAGTAGAAATTAAAAATTAAGTAAAAACATTAAAAGAAGATATTTTAAAACTAAATATAAAATAGAAAAGATAGGAAAATTATAGGACCAGTATAGGAGGTACAATATTCACAAAATAGGAGATACCAAAAGGTTAACAGGAGAAAAAAAATAAGTTAAATTTGTTTTCTATAAATTTCTCTGAATTGAAGAGTCATTCAATTTGAAAGACCCATTGAGTGGCCAATGCAATGGATACACATTAAGCGTCATTGCAAACTTTCAAAATGCTAGAAACAAAGATTCTACAAGAGTTTCAAAAGGAAAAAGAAAAAGACATAAAATACCAGAATAAAAATGCTCTTTCTCCACAGAAGCACTATTTACAAGAGATAAAACAAAAAAATGCCTTTAAAATCCTGTGAAAAAGTTATTTTCAAACTAGATTTTTATATCCAGCCACAATCTCAAAGTAAAAATAAAATGATGTAAAATAAAGAAATTTTTAGATATAAAAATGAAATTTAGAAATGCATTTTTAGATATATGAGTTATTGAAAAATTTACCTCCAATGTACCCATCTCAAGAAATCATGTACGACATGCTCCATCAAAGTGAAGATGTAAAACCAAAAGAGGAATATTTGGGATCAACTCAAAGTGAGAGGCAGAAAGAGTCCCAGGAAAACAACTCCAAAACTGTTATGGAGAAAACCCAGTCGAGATTGAAACTGGTCAAAATGCTAAAGGGGAGATATGGTCAAGTAGATGAAACTCATATTTTATATGAGTAAACAAAATAACAAAATAAGTATAACCTTCAGGAATTTTTAAACTCAACAAAAAGTGGAAAAAAGAGAAAAAGTAATCTGACATGTAATAGACATCACCAATATCCCATTCAGTTTTCCCTCCTGAAAATTTCATATCCCAATATCCATGCAATTAGACAAAGCCATGTGACTAGTTTGAGTCAATTAAGTGTGAGCAAAAATAACAAATGATCACTTCTGGTCTGAAGCAATGAAAAGCCCCTGGATTTTCCACTCCCTTCTCTCTCTCCTTTCCCTTTGAAATTATTATTGAGTGGGTGCAGCCACAAGATCAGAACATTCTGGATAGCTGTGTCAAGCATGAAGGACAAATGCCCTGGAGAGTCACTTGAACCTGGAGCTGATTTTGCACGACGGAAAGCCACTGAAATTCTGGTGTTGATTGTTACTACAGTATGGATTAACCAATTCTGGCTTATGCTATATTTTACATAGTTCTATGTAAATAACATTTACATATTAATAATAATATAAACACGAATTATTGTTCTATCCAAAATTGATATTGTGGAAACAGGAAATGTGCTGTGTGACAGTGGTGCATATAAATGTGGGAATAGGAGAGAGGAACAGGCATGAGTGTTGGTGTGGTAAGGATGTCGGCTGTGAAGGGGAGTAAAATCCCTCTCTTCTGCAGTAAAAAGTCAGTAACAGTGTCTAAATTTCAAAGAAATGGTAATAAGAGTATGTCTTGTCCACAGCTTTGGGTCCTACTTTCTATATTGGCACAAAGGTAAAACCCCTCTTGACAAGCATCTACAAGGCAGATCAATTGAGAACATACGTTGTGTTTTACTTTCGGGTGTGGCTATGAAAGTTCAGGTCTTTGACAGTGGTCAAAGGTCCTTTAGGTAATCATTCTTGACTGGCTTCTTTCATTCATAGTGGTAGAGAAGATGAAGAGGCAGTGAGAGGATCTTCCTGGCAGCCACATATATGTTTCTTTACCAAACCCCCTTCCCCTAATTAATTCAAGGAAAAGTACTTGTTTGACATGAGCTGAGACAATAAAATCCTCTCCTGCTGAATTTAGAACTGAGAGGGAAACGCCCTTGGTTTAGTATGCTCCGTTTTCCTAAAATAAGATAGAGATCTCAAGGCCTGTGAAGTGGCTATCTTCCCCATGGTGTTGACTGAGTGATAAAAACCAGCTTGAGAAGAAAACAGATGTACAGGGAGATAATGTCCGGGGTCCTTATAACTTCCCATTTCCTTGTCCTGTGTGTGAAGCACCCCTTTTATGTGTAAACTAAAAGTTTCTTTTCATGCTTAGAGCCAGAGAGTTCTGACTGTTAAGACTATGCTTATCAACTGGGACACAAAAGGCAGCTTAATTCTTTCCTTTGTACCTAAAAATATACAGTCCTTAGGTAGTTAAGAGGGAAAGGCCTCAACCAGAATCTCTCTTTTGCCGGCACAGTGATATTTATTTGACAGCCATACAGGTTTTAGAATAGGCCTCTGGCCCTTCTTTAAAAGGCACAGAAAACTGTGTCCAGGAAGCACTGTGGAATTAATAGAAGAATGAGCCTCCTGAACTGAATGATTTCACCATAGTGTCTTCTGCCTCACTACTGTCGCATACTCATAGCACAAGGTTTTAAAGGACGTAAGAAAAAACACACCCTCTCTCTCTAACGTTTATTTTTTATTAGAGGAGACTGACATTAATCATCTGTTTCCCCATCTCTAGAAACCTCTGGAACCCTTTTGCTGAAGTGTCAGCTCAGGTTTATAATATCCCACTCTCCTGGAAGACAGAAGGAAAGTCAAATGCATTATACCACCAAGAGGGCATAAGCTAATAAAGAAAAATGATTAATCAATATTTGCGAGCAATACATTGAAACAAAGAGAGTTTGCATTAGCTCCAGAGTGTAAACCACTTTGTTGAGAGAGCACTTCTGAATCCACTCCGTCATTCTGGATTTAGCAAATGTGAGCTTTTCTTCTTTCCTAGTTAATAGCCAAAATAATTAACACAGAGTTTACATGCACTGGGAAATTGCTGTGTTGAGAAAAAAAGAGAAATTGTACAAACCCTGTGGCCAAGCAGGTTGCTGCCAGAAATAGAAGTGTGAACATCAGTCTGATGGGAAACGCTGCTGTGTAAAGGTGACTGAAACTCTGACATCAGCTCAACATGTTCCACATCCACACCCTATGCAAGGTTCTCAGATTGTCTCATCAGAAGTGAGGACAACAGGGCCAGCTTTTGGTTAAAAATCTCAGATGAAAGAAATGAGTTTCTCACACTAGCATTAAGGAATACATTAAAACAAAAATGATTTAAAGTTTTTTTTTTGACACTGTCCATTTTCAACTCATACCAAAGCTATTAATATTTTAAGCTTGTTATACCTTGGTTTGTCTTTTAGAATGGAAAGGAGCCCGTAAGATCACATAGCAACTTATGCTTGTTTTAAAATGGCAGAGGAAGAGGACCGTCAGAAAGGTTAAGTGCCTAGTCCAGCATCAGCAGCTGATGAAGAGCAGAAGAGTATGAAAGCCAGGCCTCCTGGCTCCTCATTAGTGTTCCTTCCACCACACTGTGCTTCACATAAAGTCTGTAAGAGTCTCAGTATGAGAATGGGAATAATGTCACACATGAGAAGACCGGTGGTCTCCAAGGAATATCAACTTCCCACTTGTGAGAGGGCAATTTTTCTCTCCCCGAGAGAGAATCACAGCCTTCTTTTTGAAAGCTATTTAAAAGGTGCAAATGTGTGAACTTCTAACAAACTGCTAAGGCAAGTGTATTGCCTAAGCAGTAAAACGTAATGTCACGAGGAAAATCAGGTGATTTCATGTGCAAATTTTACCCTCTGGAATCTAAATATCTTGATCATCCTTAAAGGAAAAAAAAAAAAAAAAAAATCGGGCTTCTTGTCACCGCAATTGAACTGCAACTCCATTACTGGATCAATACTCCTGCTAGCAAATATCCCTCTGGAGTAGCCTTGTTACACAAATTAAAACAGTTTTGAGAGGGGGGAGTAGTAATTCTGGGAAACTTAGGGAAAATGATCTCAAAACAGAATTTGTTTAATAGACAAAACCGGGGCTGCGTGGGCGGGGGTGTGGTTGAAGAGGGTGGAATGGGTTACATTCTAACGAACTTTTTAATAAAAGAAAGATGTAGACATTGTAGCTTCCCAGAGGATAAAATGATCAAATGGATCTTTTTCCAAATAAATACTATTATGCTACACTTTCATGGTCAATAGTGCTACATTTGTAGGTGCCCCTCGTCTCAAAAACCAATTTGGCTTATCTGCTTTCTCCTTCTTACATACGTCTCAAAAGCTGTAACAGATTCAGGGAAATAGATGACCTAGTCACAAATGCTCACTTCTCTAGGGACTTGCCTTTAAATTGACCTTGAGCTTCACAAACCAAAAAGAGCATTTGTGTACCTCAGGACAGTATTAAATCTGAAAAAAAATTAAATAAAAAATGAGGGATAGGAGCAGATGGTCAAAGCAAATACATACTCATTCAGACAGCCAAGCCAATAGATAAGAATGCAGAGGCCCTATTAGCTGCAGATTCCTTATGGGGCATAAGCGGTTACAGGAAATGTCTGTTTAGATTAAGGTCACACAATCATCAGTCTTTTACAAGAAATTTTAAAATGTGAACTCGTTCAACTTTTTATGTGGCTTTGTGTTTCTGCTGTTTTAATTTGGAAGATTTTGTTGATATTGGGGAGAAAAAAGTAACAAACTGGGGTTCAGTCAAGTCGTATATGGGTCAAGAAACATTTTATTGTTCACTATGAATTTTAATGTACTCAGATATCACCTTGCTGCTAAGTCTTGTTCCCTTGTTCTCTGAAGAAGAAACACACACAGCTGTGTGGTAATATTAGTGGGATTATGGGCTACCAATGAATATACTGAAACCAAGATATGTGTGACTTATGACATAAATAAAAACTGTTGCTACCATGAGAGGGAAACACTCACAATTAATACTCACTGGCTTGTATAGGGCATGCCTGTTTTTAAATCTCCAACTGGCACCTACTGATGAGGGCTATTTTAAAAATTAGGGACGGAAAAGGTAAAGAGAAATCAAGGCTAAAGGTTGATTTTGCTACTCAATCTGAAATAAACATAACCAGAGTTTTTGAAAGGTAAAAACAAGATAAAATAATTATAGCTTAGAGTCTTAACTAGTACTTTCTAAGTGCTGTAGATAGTGTGGCAGGTTAAAGATGGCTATACATTTTTTGATATTTTTCCCATAGAGAGATGGAATCTAGAATTCCTCCCTCAATCTGGGTTGTATCTCTAATGGCTTTGATGAGTTGAACAGGACAAAACTGTCTCTGTGTTAGTTTCTGGACCTGGCCCCTAAAAATCTGGCAGCACCTATTTCTCTTTTCTTAAAACACTCTGTCTCAGAGTCTTGAGCTTCTGCATAAGAAATCTGATTATCCTGAGAAGGTCTGCTGGAAAGGTCACAAGTAGGACATCTGGTCAATCTTTTCAGCCTTCCAGTCATACCTACACATGCTAGATATGTGGGTAAAGCCACCTGGACCTCCCAACCAGCTCATTTGCCAGCCAAATACCACCAATGGCCAACCGATGAAACAGAAGAATGAAGGAGAAGAATTGCCCTTTTGAGATCTGCCTACATTTCTGACCCAGAAAATTGTGAGATATCATAAAATGCCTGTTACTTGAAGCCACTGAATTCTGGAGTGGATAACCAGAAAATGTAATACACAAGCTCTTTACATATCTTAACCTATTTAATCCTCCTTATCATGTAGGTAATACTATTTTTCCCATTTTAGAGATAAACTAGAAGAAATAGAAAGTCAACAAGATTAAGTAACTTCCCTCCAACTACATTGTCAGTAAAGGACAAAGCAAGGATCCAATCTTAGGCAGTCTGATGCTAGAATCTATACTCTTAGCCATGATATTTTCTCCATCAATTCTGAAATAAAGTCACCAATCTACAAATATTCATGGAGTTCTTGAAATATTGTAAAGCACTGATAGTTGTAATGTGGTAGAGGAGGCATGACCACAGATATTGGTACAGTAATCATATCTAATAAAAAAGAGGCATTCCCTGGACCTTCATTCACAATAAACTACTGTATCTTCCTTAACTTATTGCACCTCCTCTCCAGTTTTCTCTATTTCATCATTCCAATTATTTCCTCTATAACACTTAACCCTATCTGAAATTACTTCATTCATTTATTATTTAGTTGCTTATTGCCTTTCTTCCTCTTTGGAATGTAAGTTCAGTGGAGCTGGTGTGGAATGGTTTGAACATCGCCATATACTTAGTTTTACTTTATTTAATAAAAAGTTATTAACCAAATGTGCTAACATCTCATCATCTCATCCGCTTCAGGCTATGCTGTTAGCTTTAAAATACTAAAGGCATTCAGGCTGAATATTTAAATGTTGAGGCCAAGAGCACAGAAGAGATCTCCAGGGCCATTTCTTCCCTTTCCAGAGAATACATGCCATTTTTAGCTAGAGCAGATGTCCTCAACTTGAGCACAGTGGATGAGAGTCATATGGTTTATCAGCCCTTTACGTTTGTACCCAAAACATAGGTGTGTAGATTTGTGTGCCTTTATTTTGAGAGAAGAACCATAACTTTTATCATATTGTCAAAACAATCCTCAAATCAAAAAGCATAAAGTTATTTTTTAAAAAAGATTACTTCTTAACCTTTTTTTTCACTGTCATCTCCCAAGAAATAAATTTTTCATAAGGATTTAGTATGTGAGGTCTCACATACACAAAGAAAAAAATGGAAACAAAATGTCATGAAATAATATTTCCCCCAATTTCATGCACTTCACTTAAATATTTTCTATTTTATTTTTTCTACTTCATATTTGAAATGCTGGTTTTGACCTGCAAAACTGATTTCACACTCACTAGTGAAAGGCACTGTTATAGAAATAATTGAACCAGGTTTTTTTGTTGTTTGTTTGTTTTTCCAATTCTAGTATGCTTACAGATAAGATGTTAAAGTTGGTTGAAAGAAAGTATGGCATCTTGGCAGATAGGTGGAGAGATATTTTAGGGCAGATGTGAGCTTGTGAACTTTCCAGTCATACTCCATAGCAGTCAGTTGCTTACACTTCTGAGTAAGTCCCACTTCTAGAACATGAATAAAAGTATAATATGAAATAAGACTTCATGGCCAGGCGCAGTGGCTCACACCTGTAATCCCAGCACTTTGGGAGGCGGAGGCAGGCAGATCACCTGAGGTCAGGAGTTTGAGACCAGCCTGACCAATATGGAGAAACCCCATCTCTACTTAAAATACAAAAAATTAGCCAGGCGTGGTGGCGCATGCCTGTAATCCCAGCTACTTGAGAGGCTGAGGCAGGAGAATTGCTCAAACCCAAGAGGCGGAGGTTGCAGTGAGCCAAGATCACACCATTGCACTCCAGCCTGGGCAACAAGAGTGAAACTCTGTCTCCAAAAAAAAAAAAAAAAGAAAGAAAGAAAGAAAGATATAAGACTATAAGACATCATGAGTGTGGATGTGCATATCCATTTCTGCACCTGTAGGCTTCAGTAGGGGCAGAGTGAGGAGGGTGAGGAGTATGATAGTTTGATGTTTCACAAAGAAAGTTCTTTGAGAGCACATCCCGTGGTGAATCTACAAATTACCTACAGAACTTCACACAGCATCCTGTGGGTACATTGAATGGGGAGACAGCAAGTACAGGCAAAAGATCACTGTACTCTGAATCAAAAGAAATGGGTTGGAGTCCTAGTTCCACTACTTGAGCAAGTTACACAAACTCTCTGAGCTTCTACTCCTTATTCTCTAAAATGATAAAAATAAAGGAACTTTATCCACCTAACAGGTTATGGTGAAGAACAAATAAAACAATGACTAGATAGACCTAGGGACTTTCTATTGTTTTCCCCTTAAACTAGATCTCACTAGTTGAGTAGAATTCAATAAGTCTAGCAGTTAGTGGCAAACAATTTATATTCATTCAATAAATGTCTCTTTTCCAGACTAATAATGATACAACTTTCATAATCTGCATTTCAATCACTTTACTTACGGATTGCCACCTCTTATCCTTATAGTTCATCTACTCCACCTTCTGAAGAGAGGAAGGACTTTAATTTCTTCAAAATCTTACTAGCAACTAGCTCCACCTTGGGATGGTGGGAGGTGAAGTTGCTTAATGATATGGAATATAGGCAGTGGAGAAGAGAATTAACAACATAGAGGCAGCTTTCGTCCAGTGAAAAAATCTGGTCTTTGAGTCAGAAAAAAAACATTGTTTAAACCTCAGACCCTTAATTCACCACCTACGTGCAATGGACTTAATTGTCTCCCCCCAGGATTCATATGTTGAAGTCCTTGCCTCTTGCACCTCAGAATATAACTTTATGTGGAGGTAAGGTTTTTAAAGAGAATAATTGAATTAACATGAGGTCATTAGGATGGGTTCTAATCCAATATGAATGGTGTCCTTTTAAGAAGATGTTAGGATACAAACATGTACAGAGGGAAGATCGTGTGAGAACACAGCCATCTACAACACAAGAAGAGAAGCCTCTGAATGGAATCAACTCTGCCAACACCTTGATCTCGAACCCCTAGCCTGCAGAACTGTGAGAAAACGAGTTTCTGCCGTTTAAACCACCCAGTCTGTGGTACTTTGTTACGGCACTCTAAGCAAATATATTATGTAACCTTAGGTATCTTATAAGAGTTAAATTTGATTAATTAAATTAAATAAATAGTTCTAGGACATTTCTGTTGTCTTTATTTTCTCAAGATAGAAAAAAGAGGAGTTTGCCATAAGCAAGGTAAGATAAAGCAATTATAGATTGTTTTGAAATATAAGCTGTATACCTGGACCAAGAAAATGAGTAACATCTTCATGAATCTTGTTTAAATTATCTTGTTTATAGAATCTTGTTTGGAAATCTTTCTTGTTATCTCTGTATATTACGTATATCTTTTTGAATAAGGGGGAATCTTGTGACTTCAAATAGTGGCAAAAGTGACTTATGACTTGATTTCACAAATGGGCTCACAATCTTGACCCTTACTAGAGCCTAGCTTTGTAGTCCTTAAGAGCTAAGCTATAAGCAAAACCCCTTTATCATCCCCTCAATCGCTAAGTGAAGAGAGACAGCTTAGCGTCAGGGTACCACTCCAACCAATGAAAATTCCACTTATCCAGGGGAGGACTGGGAGAAGACCAGGTCACGTCTGCGTAGAGATTAAGCATTGCACTTGACATGGAATGAAAGGCAATGTGAAACCCTTCGTCTTGGTATACTAGAATTCCTGCTATGTTTCATAGAAAGGGAAAGCCTCAGTTTCTTTAACCATGTAGTAATGGTGTGTGTGAGCATTGAGATGTATGTGTCCATACACACATCAAAATATTAATTGTGGATATCCATAGGTTTGGAGACTTTTAAATAATCAGTCCACTTTTTTCAATACTTTCCAAATATTCTAAAGTATTATATTTATAACAAAAAAAGAGAAATTGGATTGGTGGCAAGTATAACTTAGAATTTTGTTACTTTCAATTTAATAAATGATGTTGGGAATCACCTACCAGTATATGGATAAATGAATAATTGAATTACCATTGATAATATGAGAATAAAACCTAATGAAAGAAAACACTGCTCTTTTTTTGTATGCAGAATGAAATGGGCCATTCAGAAACCACAGAGGGAGCCTCCTGGGGAACTGGCTAGCCCAGAACATTGCTACATGTTATCTCCTATGTATTGCTAGATGTTATCTGCTATGCTTCTTTGCAGAACCTTCTGATACCTGACTGAAGATGAACCTTGTGGGCCATGTGACAGCTCCCCAAAGAATTTACATAAATCCATGCCTTTAAATCTTCTATTGCCATGACAGGAAAGTGCCATTCAATTCCTTGAAACAGAAACTTTACTGGGCATTATTTTGTCTTATGATCCTGGAGATTTCTTTCCATTCTCTAGTTTTTAATTATGCGATAAGAGGAGGAAGATGGTGAGATGATCAATGATCAGTAGATCACTTTTAGCAAAAATACATCTACACGTTCTCATAATGGCCTCCGGTGCTCTTTTAGGCATGAATGAATTTTAGGCCATGTCACCAAGATGCAGCCTCTCCAAAACTACATTTTGCACACCTTTAATTCACAAACACAAATAAAATCTGTGTAAGGCCACATACGCGTTTGTATACACATTTCATAGTAATTACGTCAGCTGTGGCTTTTTGGTATTCTTTTTAAACGGGCACGGCCTTTGGAATCAGATGCATATCTGGATTTAAGTTCTGGGTCCAACACTTAATGCTGTGTGATTTTGTGCAAGTTATTGCATTCATTCGAGAACTGTGTACTGATTGCTTTTCATGATCCAGGCACTGTGCTAGGGTTAGGAGGTATAACTACAAACATGATAATAATGTTTTCTGCTATTATAGAGTTTAGTCTAGTGAGAAGACGTTCATTGAATAATTGATCACAGAAATAAACATAACATAGGAGTGCAGATATCTCTTTGATATACTGATAGAAAATAGATCCTAAGTTACACATATTCCACAGCTTTTTAAACAGTTTTTGGTGGCTGGATTGTTTTGTGTAGATCAAGTTGTAATGGGTGTGGGTTTGTAGCTAGAAGCTGGACCAGGTAGAATTGCTATGCATTTTGGACGGAGGAAGTTAAGTGTTACTGCCCCAGGGAGTTGGGAGTGGTAATTTCGGAAGGGAAGTCCTGCACCTGCTGTATTGGCTAGATCCTGATTGGTGGTGGAGTCAAGGTATGGGTGGCCTTAAGACTTGGGTAGGGAAAGGCAGAGGTTTCAGAAAAAGCTCCCACAGAACACTGCAAACCAGGATTTTAGAATAAAATGTTAGCATACTATGCTACGTTGGCTTCTTTTGGTCACCAACTCTTAAAAAGCACCTCCAAAAATTATTAATGAAATCTTAAAGGATTTTTGACTTACAGTGAAAAAATCATTAAATGTCTTCCTGCATACTAATTGGCAAGACAAAAATCTGCCTGTGTAGATAAAACAACAGAATTTATGACATAGAGATACAAATATATAGATATGAACACTGTATGAGAGCATAGAGCAAATCAACCTCGTTTAGATGGCTAAGTTGGGGAAACGTTGAGGAGCAGTCTTTTATCAGAGAACTAATAAGGACTTAGAGTAGCCAGGCAAATTCTGGGGGAGTACTTCAGGCAGCCTGGGTACAAACAGCACATGTGAAGACAAGAATGCATGCTCTAGAAGGGAAAGACTACCATGAGCCTGGAATGGGGTGAGCAAGAAGAGGCTGTAAAAGGTAAGAATGGAGAAGTAAGCAGCAGGGTCAGAACAGGCAGGGCATGGTGGGTCAATGCCTGCAGAATTTTGCAGACCAGAATTTTTTGTGGAGGAGCCACATGACTCAATATGCATTTTTAAAAGGTAATTCTGGCTACTAAGAGAATTGGATGGGAGTCAGAATGGAAAATAAAATTGCTATTGCAGCAGGCTAAGTGAGAGATAATAGTGACTTAAATTAGCACATTGCCCCTGGATTTGAGCTCAGTGGCTTGTTTGAGTTGTATACTGGAGATAGAATCAAATCAATAGGACTGGTGATGATGTAAGGGTGAGGTGAAGGGATAGCCAATTTACCAGTAAAGTGGGGGATTATTAAAAGATCTACTATACACACTCATGGTGAGCATTAAATAAGATAATGCATATCAGATGCACACAGGAAGCACCCAGTGTACGTAAGCTGTTCTTATTATGAATTAGTACAATAATAAGCATTTTAAAATTATTTTCAGCTAGTCTATTTAGAAAGTGAGTATCTTTATATTGGTTGGGAGTTGAAGAAAATTGAGGAGTAATCTTTGGCTAATTTTAAACCTTCAAAATCTTCCCTTAGGTGCACACATGTCCTTAAAGCTGCTGTCATTTTTCATCTGTTTGCAATGACTGCCTCATAACTTTACCATATCTTAAAAACAACCTCAAGCAGGAGGAATGCTTAGGCTATTGAACACCACCAGGGACTCAAAGAGATGACAGAGTAAAGAAGGATAAAACTTTCATTAAACGCTAACCTCCATGTAACTCATCCAAAATTTCTATAAAGTGGGTACATTATTTATGGTTCAAATAAATAAAAGTTGATTGAAGGATTTAAGTAAACTAACTTCTTACCTGTGTATCTTGAAAACAGAATTCTTGGGAAAAAATATTGTTTCTAACATGGCAAATACTTGACCTTGTGTAAAGATGTCATTTTCTCAACATAACTGTAGGAATGACAGGAAAGACGGAGGGTCAGAGAAGCCAATGCATGCTATTTGCATTTTGAGAAAAGGAAAAGGCGAATGGCAAGACTGCAATGCAGGAGACAGAAAAACACATCTTTCCTGGACACTTTTCCAAAATGATGGACCTTCACTTCATCATCAGAGACTTCTGGTTGTTTCCTCAGGCAAAATAAACACTGAAGGATAATTTTTCCCCTGAGGTTTCTAGAGGTGTTTTTCTACTGTCAGCCTTGTTGTTTTCAGGTTTCAGTAATGAGCAAAGAAGAAAGCATAGGTACTTCAGAAGAGTCTGCACTCAGGTCACAACAACAAGATAAAATTTCTCAAGGCCTCTAATAGGCAGAACTGCAAATATGTCATTAACCCTGACCACAGAGGACTCAGGAGGATTTTCGAAAAAACTGAACAAAATCATTGACTTGCCCAATCTGTCTCCCTGATTTTCATTGATTTACTTTCAAAATTTCTGCAACAATTAATTGGTTATTATTTACAATATCCTTTTGGGGTGAATCAATGCTATTATCCCTGGTGTAGTTCAATACCACAATATTATCCCACTAACTTTTCTGTCTACTTAACTGTGTCCCTGATCTGCAAGGATGTCTAATTGCATGACAGCATTTAATGCACATTTGCTACTAAAAATAGTTTTTGTGCTAGTGGGTTTTCCTACCAACTAGTAAAGTGGTCCCCTGCCAGTCCACAACATAACAGGGTAAAGTATTTAATACCTTTAATGCCATTGGCTGTCTGTCACTCCAAGAATGGACTCTCACGCCACCTTCTAAAATAGGAAAGGGGTTGAGAGGCCAAATGTGGATAAATGAGTAATCCTCCTATTAGGGCGATGATGGCCTCCCAAGCAAGATTTCTTATTTATACAACTAAATGTCCCTTTATCAAAATATATTATAAGCATCTGCCTTCCCTCAAACAAATACCTATTCATTTCTACATACTTTGTGACTGTCACAGACCATGTTTCAAAAATATGTGTTGGCTAGGTGCAGTGGCTCACGCCTGTAATCCCAACACTATGGGAGGCTGAGGTGGGAGGATTGGTTGAATTCAGGAGGAACAACACCCAGGCTAGTCCCAGGACAGGAAGCAGCTCTCACAGTGGCAGTGAGGTGAGTGTGTGAGGCTCTTCTGCCTCTTCCTGAGAAAGGAATACATGTGATTTCGGAGGTCCAGGGCTTAAAGATTTTGTTGGTTAATTTTCTTACTATAACAAACATAAATCACACACACGAATTGGGAATATTAGTTACACAAGTAACAGATACCCATATATCCTCCTACTGGCATCTTTTACACATTAAATAATAAACGGCTCAGTTATATTTAATTATTAAATTTGGATTGGTGACCTGTGACAGTGGTACCACTGACCCACAGGCAATTGCATGAGACTCTGCTCTCTTTATCTCCTTCCTCGACTTACTTTCTTTCTTCCTTCCTTCTTATGTTTTCCATTTTCATTCCATCTACTCTTAAGTACTTCCATCAACATGCTGTGGCATAGTCTGACCTCAGTGATGAAACCTAGAGCTAAATTATAACCAAACTTTTCTGTGAAGATGTGTATTGGAACAAGCAAAGACCAGGGGTCAAAAGAACTGTTTGTTGGCCCAGGTTCTACTAATGGGTATCCATGTGTTAGCCACATTTGCTAATCCATTAGACAGCCTGAGAAGTCGTCTGAGCCTCCATTTCCATCTGTAAAGCGGAGCTAAGAATTTATTTTCTGGCCACGCTATAAGGCTGTAGGATCAAGTGAGATTATGTACCTGAAATCTCTTTACAATCTGTAAAATGCTATGAAATACCCTTGAATTCATACTTACGGTCAGTAAGTATGGACTTGTATCTAGAATAAAAGTAAAATGATAAAATGAGATGATTAGTTGGAAGTGTAAAACTAAAAGCTGAAGAACTACAGGAACTAAGTAAAATTATAATAGCATCGGCAAAAAGAATGTTTAATGTGATACTATTTACATCATTACTAAAGTATAGTAGATGCAAGGTGGCATTCAGATTTTATATAATTGTCAATATATTGTTGATTTAATACCCAAACTTTATTTGCCTAGCAAATATCACAGATGGTAAGCTAATTTTGAAAAGCCAAAATACCACCTTCCTGTGATCCCCTCCATCTCTGCTGCATGCTTTAAATTTTATTTTCTGTTTTTTTTATGCATTGCCCTCAAGATTATAAGGAAAGAAACGGAAATAGAAATGATTAGTCAACACTAAGTATTCTTGCCCAAAAAATACACACTAAGTTGAAGAGTTGTTAATAACAGTATCACATGTAAAAACAAGGGAGGTAATTTTTTTTGCCCTACTTGGCATTTTAAAAGCCATAAGAATTCAGGTTTTGAGTTTTCTTCATCAAAGTACATCAAGAAATGGAAAGAAATCCAGAGAGTGGCAACCAAATTTAAAAGTTTACCAAATAAAGGAGGTTTGTGAGAATGAGGCAATCTTAGTTATGAGAAAAATAAAACAACTAGCATGGTAAAAGGCCAAAGGAAGGTAAATAGTAAATTTAGAGACATCTTACATAGCAAGCAAAGGATAAAATATCGTGCATTAAAGTTCTTACTGGTACCACATATTGTTAGAACGGAAAATACTCAGAGACATGTCAATTATCCAGTTTTATTTGATTGTGGAAAGGTCTAATTTTTAAGAATTAACTTGAGAGCCATAACTATAATCATCCACATTGCCAACTTGCTTGATAACCCAAAGTCTCCTCCATTCTTTCTTTTTTTACATAAATGTCAGAAGTAAAGATGCAAATATCCTGGATGCCATCCCTCAACACTAGTAAAATGCTAAAGTGTAAACAGTGCAAAATAAAGTTAGACATTATGGAATAAACAATTTGTATTTTATTGCTAAATTATTCAAAATCTAATGGAAACGTAACCCCCACGGTATTGTAAACAGTAACACCCCAAACCATGACTGCCAGGGGACTGTTTAATGGTGCTTTATTGAGAATATCATGACTTCCATGTTTCTGCACAGTGGGTAATTTATTCTTATTTTGGACTACAGGCAGAAAGTATTTATTACTAACAAAGAAGATATAAAATTTCCCCCTCCCTCACTGCACTGAGTTTGCTGCCACCACAGAGAACAGCGTTGCCAAAGAGAACATAAATCTGGGTGGGAAAAAGGTACATGAAAGAAGGGCGTGAAAGCACTACATGTCCACAGACAGGATTTGGTGAAATTTTGAACAAAATCAAGTCTTCCAAAGGAAACCAGTTGAGAAAGATTCCACACTTTATGCGCTCTGGTTAAAGACATAAACATAAAATAAAAAATAAAAAAGTAAATAGCATACATCCCATTGATGACCACATGGGACAAGAGAAATAGAAGACACACAGAGAAAGAATCCAGATCAGACCAAATGTACTTTCTCAGATGATGTAGGATTACTACTACTCCCTCTCCATAAAATGTGTCAGATATTTCTAATATTTTTAAAAAATGTTTCTAATATAATAAAAAAGATGCCCAAGAGTGGTAGCTCACACCTGTAATCCCAGCAATTTGGGAGGCTGAGGTGGGTGGATCACCTGAGGTCAGGAGTTCAAGACCAGTCTGGCCAACATGGCAGAACCTCATCTCTACTAAATATACAAAAATTTAGCCAGGTGTGGTGACAGGTGTCTGTCATCTCAGCTACTCGGGAGGCTGAGGCAGGGAGAATTGCTCGAACCCTGGAGGCAGAGGTTGCAGTGAGCCGAGATTGTGCCACTGCACTCCAGCCTGGGCAACAGAGCAAGACTCCATCTCAAAATAATAACAATAATAATAATAATAAAGACAATTTCTGAAACATCAAAAATATATTTATCAGAAACTGGAAATATTAAAAGGTGGTATACTAAAAGCGTTCCAATAAAGTCAGGAGCCAGACAGGTACGACTGTCACCAATAGTATATAGAGTTTAGCTCATGAAACAAATTTTGGAAATGCATTCACTAACTGACTATATTTTGAAAAAGAAGAGATAAAGCTATTATCATTTGCAGATAATGTAATTATATGCCCTTGTAATCCAAAATAAATAACTAAAATAATTTTAGAGCTAATAAGTTCTATAAAGTTGCTGTATATAAGAAAATTTACAAATATCAATAGTTTTTCTCTATAAGTAAAAGTAACATACAAAAGGGAAAAAAGAGAGAAAAATCTAATTCACATTAGTAACAAAATTTGATAATACCTAGGTATAAATTTAACAAGAAAGGAATAGGAAGAGGCATATCCTTTTCCCAATTGAAAATACAATCCCAGTAAGATACATTCCAATTATTAGATAAATTTTAAAGTATTCCAAGTAGAAGCTTGACTCTTTTTTTTTCCTTTTGAAATCTGACCAGTGAGCACAAAAGCTACAAAATTTTTGAAAATAATAATGAGGTTTGTGGCCTTCCAGGAATTTAAATGTATTTCTTTGTTTTAACTATAAAGTATAGTACAGATACAACAACAGAGAAATAGATCGCTTGACCTAAATAAAGCTCATAAAATAATGCAGGTACATATTAGAATGTACAAATGATAAATCTGGCATTTCATTTCAGTGGGGAAAGAATATTTTATCCAACAAATAGTACTGAGACAATTAGTTGTCAAATGAAAAAGAATAGTTGGATCCTTGTTTCACAATTGTACCGTAATAAATGACAGATCACTTAAAATGTAAATGTGAAAACAGACCAGGCGTGGTGGTAGCTCATGCCTGTAATCCCAGCACTTTGGGAGGCCAAGGCGGGCGGATCACGAGGTCAGGAGATCCAGACCATCCTGGCTAACACGGTGAAACCCTCTCTCTAATAAAAATACAAAAAATTGGCCAGGCATGGTGGCGGGCACCTGTAGTCCCAGCTACTCGGGAGGCTGAGGCAGGAGAATGGCGTGAACCCGGAAGGCGGAGCTTGCAGTGAGCGAGATCGCGCCACTGCACTCCAGCCTGGGAGACAGAGCCAGACTTCATCTCAAAAAAAAAAGAATGCCACCATTTCCTGTATCTTTACTGAGAGAGAGAATACAATAAAGCTATTTGAGAAGAGCACCCATGATGACACTGGTGCCAGGATGTAGGGGCCAAAGCGGACTGAGGCAAGAGGATCACCAAGAGCAGGGCTGATGAGAAAGGTGGGTGAGCTCAAGGGACAGACAACGCTCACTTAAATTTTGTGTCTAGTGATAAAGTTTGGTTTTTCCATAAAATAAGTAAATACTGGAAAAGGCCTGGCCAAAAGCTAAAAAGAAAAGGTTGGAAGTTTAGATAAACAGCTAATGTGCAGTTATTGAAATTCTTTCATAAAATGACAAATAATAAGGGATCCACTAGTCATAAAAACTCTGGAGGTGAAAGAATCCCACGTAAGCAATGCATTATTTCAAAAAGTTATTTCAAAAGCAGTTTCTTAACACTGGCATTTCCTTAACCTAGCAGCTTCTTCAAAGAAATGTCTAGGCTAATGTACGCATGAGCAGCAAATCTCCCTGAATTTTCCACATAGTTGCTTCACCTCTCTGCTTTCCTCCTGTTTTGAAGACTTGACCTCTCAAGTGACATCTATTCTACCAGCATCACCAAAACGAAGTAAAAAATAAATAAAAGCAGGTAATGTCAATCCTGAAGTGATGTGAACTGTGACAGAATTTTTTTTTTTTTTTTTTCTGTATTTACTTAAAACAACTCCAAAGCTTCAGTTCCATCATTGTAAGGTTTCAGAAGTTTAGCCCTTTTAGAGGGAAAAACCGTCTGTCCTGCTGTTCCTCTGCAGGCGATGGAACACTGCAAAGCTTTATTATCTTGAAAGCACTTCTTTGGTAATTCTCAAGACCTCATTTCTCAATCCAGCAGCGTTGTTGAGCAACTGCATGTGTTCTTCAGAATTAGAATTACTGTCCACAGGGAATCTGGCTCCCATGCCCCTTTTAAGTCATTTTCTGTGTACTTTGAGACAGAACATTTGGGACATGGCCCATGTAAAATGTCATATATCTGCGAAAAAGCTTTTACTTATCCAAAGGTGTTTGTGGTTTAAAAAAGAAGAGAAAGAGAGAGAGAAAGTCTTGGTTTCCTTAAACATCTTTGTGCCATCTCAAATCTGAATATTAGGTATTGTCACCCTACTACCCATCAGGAGTCCAGTGGTCTTTCTCTCCTTCTGCCATCATTTCAAAGATGGATTTTTATATTAATCATTCACTCTTTAGTGTGAATACATTCAATCATTTTAAGAGTTTGAGGAATTTTCATTTAAGCCTTGTTTCTAATTGTTTAAAATATTTTTGTCTCTCATAAAATTAATTTTAGGCATCATATGAAACTTAAATACAATTATGAATTCTCATTGCATTCCATGATCTTTTCTCTTGAATGAAAGAGAGAACAAATAGGAGTCTGACTGGACTATGGCAGTGACTGAGGGAGTCTGAAGCTGATTGACAGAACATTGTGGGTCCAGGCAGCACCCATCCTTCCAGGCTTCAGCACCCGGGGCCCACCTGCTCAAGCTCCACTATTCCTGCCCACTGCTTCCTTTCCTCCAGTCTTATCCATTGGCTCTCTTGATCCTTCATCATTCTTGTTCTCAAGACTCTAATGTATCAGAGATCAAAACTCATGTACCCTGTGCTTTCTTTCCTTCTTAGGTTTATCTAAACCCGCAGGTACTTAGAGTGCACCACATCCACATGGCCTAGAAGTTCTGCTTCCTTAAACCCTTCAATGTACAAATTCCCCATACTGGAATTTCTGAGTTTGAAAACGGTCAGAAAGATTTGAGAATGAGAACTGTAAAGTGAGTAGGAGGAGAAAGGTAACAACACTCGTGTCCTCAAATCTGAAAAGTGTAATATATATAAACATTTATCCTTGCTTTCTTTCCCATTATCTCCAACCCTCGAAGATCCAGAGATAACCTCAGGCAGGAGGTAGCAAAGCTCAAAACAGAGAAAGAGATAAAAATACAAAGACAAATCTTTCATCCCATTCATAATGTGGCTTCCAGGCTGTAGCAATCCAGAGCTGAACAAGTTATTTTGCTCTATATAAAATAAGAGTTCATGTGAATACACTAGGTTGAATCTATTACTAAAGTGAGACTATTTTGAGTTTTAAAGTTATCAGAATCCTATTATAATCAAAGAGAATAGAAAAGTTAATAGCATAATTCCAAGGTAGGGTAAAAAATAGAGCTACAGTGGGAAAAACAGATACTGTCTTCAGCATGTACACTAACAAGAGGGGCACATCACTACACTTTGGCACAAGGTGCATTTAGTTTGTTTTCATTGAAGAGGAGCACTGTTTGAGATGGAATTATGCTTATAAGTCAGATGGCAATGGCACTGATCGTTCTCCGTTTTTTTTTTTTTTTTTTTTTTTAGATGGAGTCTTGCTCTGTCAGCCAGGTTGGAGTGCAGTGGTGCAATACTGGTAACCTCCGCCACGTGGGTTCATGTGATTTCCAGCTAATTTTTGTATTTTTAGTAGAGACAGGGTTTCACCGTGTTGGTCAGCCTGGTCTTGAACTCCTGACTTCAAGTGATCCCCCCACCTCAGCCTCCCAAAGTGCTAGGATTATAGGCGTGAGCCACCATTCTTGGCCTATGTCTGCTCTTTAGCTCTTAGTCACTGGTTTTGCAGAGGGCAAATGTAATCCAAAGACTAATATATTGGGTTTGATACCAAGGAGGCAAAAAAGTGCTCAGTACAACTAGTGAAATACCAGTAATTTACATTAAAGCACAATGAAAGAGCAGAATACAAAAAAAAAAAAAAAAAAAAAAAAAAAAAAAAAAACAAGCAAACAAACAAACAAAAACCCTACTATATTAGCAGCCTTTCTTGCAAAAATACTGATCTCCTGTCAGGGTGGACACAGCTTTAGGCTGAAGGAGCAAAGTCCCAGCAAAGCTGCTCTAGGCTTTGATGAGAAGGAAAGAGTTTTAATTTATCTGGGAACGAGCATCTCTTTAATCAATTACAGAAAAGGAGAGTATCAGTAGAATTATTTATGAGAATAGCCACAAAAAGGCAGCTGTGAGAAGCATGGGGTGCTACTTTATTTCTTTCTCTGCACCAATGGATTATTAAGAATTTATCTCATAAAATAAAATTACCAGAGTTCAGACTTTCTGCTTTGGGTGATTTAAAAACATGTCAGCAAGTTCTTTGACATTGCTTTCATCAAGAAGTAGAGTCTAAGTCCACCCCTGCCTTGGGTATGTACAGATCTTAGTGACTCTTTTAAATAATCAATAGTGAGGCTGCATAAATTTATAGTCTAGGTCAGAAAAAGAGAAAAATAAATGTTCTGGTTCTGCCTCTTCCAGAACATATGCCGTGGAGCTCTGAGTCCAGTGACCCTAAAGCCATCATGCTGGAGGGAAACAGAATACACACACACACACACACACACACACACACACTCTTACACATACATACATTCATGCACTTACACACACACACACACACACACACACACACAAACACACGAGGACCCTCAGTTCTTTTGTTATGTGGGTCTCCCCAGCCCAGGTGTAATAGGTGAGTAAGCAAGCCAAATGATTCAGGCCCCAGTCACCATCTGACAGCAACCATATGAGAGGCCCTAAGTAACAACCACCCTGCTGAGCCCAGTCAACCCCAGGCCCATGAGAGATAATAATAAGTGGGCTTTTTTTGCCACAAAATAATGTGTTTTGAGATGGTTTGTTACACATCAATAAATAATTGGAGCAGTAGTTTACAAAGAGGGCTGCACAAATAAACATCTGGTGCATGAAAAAAATAAAAATTCAGTTTGTATAAATTTGTAATTGAATCATCTTAATACTTACTTTGAGGTATGCTTTATAGTTTACCCAAAATAATTTAGATATAAATGCATATAATTTATAAACACATATTCATATACTGTGGTTGCTTCTCACAATATTTTACTGATAAGTTTGTGCAATAAAAATGTTTGGAGACCACTGGTGTGGTGAAAAGAAACTTCAACTAGGAGTCTGATGATTGGGATCAGGTCTTGATTCTGTCTTATTAGCTTTGGACACTAAGCACATCTGTGTACTAGCTACCCTATCTACGAAGTGAGAATTAATGGTAACTATGACACATTTGTAAAGGCAATTTTCAAACTTAAAAGGTTGTATGGCCGGGTGCAGTGGCTTATGCCTGTAATCCCAGCACTTTGGGAGGCCAAGGTGGGTGGATCACAAGGTCAGGAGATTGAGACCATCCTGGCTAACACGGTGAAACCCCATGTGTACTAAAAATACCAAAAAAAAAAAAAAGTTACAAAAATGTCCTACTAAATTACATTTCTTCAAAACTTAATATTTAAGGAAAAAGCTTTGTGATGTATGGGAAATTAGAGTAGGCTTCATCATAATCTTTTTGTAAGCCAAAACTAAGTTAATTTTATTTGAAAAGCTAGTAGAAATGCCTAGTTATATGTTCATATCATCCCTCACGAAGTTTTAAAGATAGTTTAAACCTTTTTTTATGTTACCAGCACTAAGCTCAAAATAGCCGAGAAGTTCTGAAGTCTGATTTCATTTTTTTTAAAAATAAACTTTATTTTCTAAAACAGGTTTAGATTTACAGAAAATTTTGCAAAATAGTACACAGAGTTTCCATGTACTCCAGGCTCAGTTTTTCCTGTTTGTAATATGGTACATTTGTTATGATTAATGAACCAATACAGATGCATTGTTATTCATTTATCGAAG
This sequence comes from Homo sapiens, assembly GCF_000001405.40. NCBI lineage: Eukaryota > Metazoa > Chordata > Mammalia > Primates > Hominidae > Homo > Homo sapiens. The sequence goes on along the minus strand of NC_000021.9, from coordinate 14,434,504 downwards.
TCCATAATTTGTTCAGATTTCCTTGGTTTTTACCTAATATCCTTTTCCTATTCCAGGAACTCATTCAGGATGCCACATTGCATTCAGCTATTATGTCTGTCTCCTTAGGCTCCTGATGCCTGTGACAGTTTCCTAGTTTTTGTTTTTACTTGATGATCTGAACACTTTTGAGGAGTAAAGTATTTTGTGGGATGTCCCTCCACTGGAATTTGTTTGATGTTCTTCTCATGATTATACTGAGGTTATTGGGCTTGGGGGAAAGGAATATTACAGAAATAAAGTGCTATTTTTGTGACAGCGTGTCAAGGGTACATACTATCAACATGAGTTATGACTATTAATGTTGACATTGATAATCACGCTCAGTTAGCTTCATCAGGCTTCTTCACCGTAAAGTTACTCATTCCCTCCATCACTTTCCATACTGCACTGTTGGAGGGAAGTCATTATGTCTACCCCCTCCATGAGAGTGGAGTGTTTACATAAATTATTTGGAATTCTTCTATATGGGAGATGTGTCCATTCTCTCCTAATTACTTATTTATTCAATCATTTATGATATTGATATTATTATATCAATATGGACTCATGGATATGGATGTTATACTTTGAAATTTTATCCTGTACTACTTTATTTTCTTGCTCAACTTATTCCACCTTTGGCCATTGGGAGCGCTTTCAGTTGACTCCTGTGTCCCTTCGACACACCTACATCAATATGGGTTTGTTTGTTTGTTTGTAAGCATTTATTTGCTTTCTGCACTAAAAAATGGTCCGGGCTCAGCTTGTACATTTTCTGCCTCAGTTTTAGAATTAATCATTTATCTAAGGAGTCCTGGTTATCATTAGTTTTTTGTGACATCATGAAAATGTGCAATATACCTTTGCAAATCCTGAACATATCATTTAACTTACAATAATACCAAATACAGTGAGATTTTTATAATTTATCATAATTATGTGAAAAGGATGATATGGCAAGGATCTGATAGTGAAGATACTGGAAACATGAAGATATCGACATTGTAGAAACAAAATGGTAATGTCTGAAGAGTTTAATCATAAAGACTTTATCAATCAGAGGATAATCAGAGAAACTATAAAGATCAGAAAACTTAAGCAATGATTCTGAATTGAAATAACAAATATATTAATAAGTATACACAAAATGCTAGTGAGAATGATTTACAATGTATAATATTAGGCTCATACACTGTCAACTGATGGGATTCCAATCTTGCTACTAGAAAACTTATAGTAAGTATCTAGAAATAAAGGAAGAAAGATAATGAGAACACTAAAAATTTCCTTAAGACCACACCAGGATAATGGGAATTATCTGCATTTACTTTTGACTCTCAAGAAAACAGCAGCAATCTTTTAAAAACAACAGTAGAATTTTAGGTCTAGAAAAGACATTAGCAGTGTTCTTGTCTAACTAATAGTTTGCTATGGCTGCCATAACAAAATACCACAGACTGGTGGATTAAACAACAGAGATATAGTTTCTCATCACCCTAAAGACTAGAAGTCCAAGATTAAGAGATTAGCAAGTTTGGTTTCTTCTGAGGCCAAAAGAGTCCTCTCTCCTTGGCTTGAGATGGTCACCTTTTCACTGTGCCATTACATGGACTTTACTCTGTGCTTGTGCATTCCTGGTGTCTCTTTATGTGTCCAAATTCCCTCTTATTACAAGGGCACTGGTCAGATTGAATTAGGGACCACCCTAACAGCCTTATTTAACTTAATCATCTATTCAAAGGCCTGTAGCCAAATACAGTTACATTCTGAGATACTGCAACACTGAAACCCTTTGACTGACATCTCCTCATTTTTTCCCCATCCTTCAGCCTCTGATAACCACTATTCAATTCTGTTTCTATGTATTCAACTCTTTTTAAATTCTAGATGTAAGTGAAACCATGTACTATTTTTCTTTCTATGTCTGGCTTGTTTCACTTAGCATAATATTCTCCAACTTCATCCATGCTGTTACAATTGGCTGAATCTCCTTCTTTAAGATTGAATAATATTCATATATATGTGTATTTTATATATGTATGAAATACACACACATACATATATGCCTATATATTTTCTTTATCTATTCATCTATGGACAGACAGTTGGATTGTTTCTATATTTTATCTATTGTGAATAAAGCTGCAACAAACATGGAGATGCAGGTATCCCTTCAACATATTGTTTTAATTTTTTTAGATGTATACCCAAAAGAGGAATTGCTGGGTCATAGGGTAGTTCTACTTCTAATTTTTTGAGGAAACTCCACTCTGTCTTCTATAATGGCTGTTCCAATTTGCCTTCCCACCAACAGTATAAAAAAGCTCCCTTTTCCTCCACACCCTTGTCAACACTTCTCTTGTCTTCTTGATATAACCATTGTAACAGGTGTGACACAGTATCTCATTGTGATTTTGATTTACATTTCCCCGATGATTAGTTATGTTGAGCACCTTTTCATATGCCTGGTGGACATTTTTACATCTTCTTTGGAGAAATGCCTATTGGGGTACTTTACCAAATTTTAATTAGATTACTTGTTTTTTGCTATTGAGTTGTGTGAACTCCTTACAGATTTTGCATATTAACCCTTCATCAGATATACAGTTTGCAAATATTTTCCCCAATCTATAGGCTTTTTCATTTTGTTGATTATTTCCTTTGCTGTGCAGAATATTTTTAGTTTGATGTAGTCCCATTTGTCTGTTTTTGCTTAATCCCACTGGTTTATTTTTGTTTTTGTTGCCTGAGCTTTTGCTGTGATATCTAAAAACTTATTGACAAGACAGATGTCAAGAAGCTTTTTCCTTATGTGTTTTTCTTGGAGTTTTGCAGTTTACAGTCTTATGTTTAAGTCTTTAATCCATTTTGAGTGTGTTTTTTTTTTGTATGGTTTAAAATAAGTGTCCAATTTCAGTCTTTTACACGTGAATATCCAGTTGTCCCAGCACCATTTGTGGAAAATATTGTTCTTTCCTCATTGTATCTTCTTGGTGCCCTTGTTAAAAATTTGTTGACCATATATGCTTGGGTTTATTTCTGGGTTCTCTATTCTACTCCATTGGCCTGTGTATGGGCTTTTATACAAGTAGCATACTCTTTTTATTATAGCTTATTAATAGAATTTCAGGTCAGAAAATCTAGTGCTTCCAACTTTGTTTTTCTTTCTCAACATTGCTTTGGCTATTTGGGGTCTTTGGTGGTTCCATACAAATTTTTCTATTTAGGTGAAGAATGCCATTGGAATTTTGATACGCATTGCATTGAATCTGTATATAGTCAGCCCACTGTATCTATGGGTTCTATACTTGAAGATTCAACCAACCACAGATCAAAAAATATTCAGAAGAAAATACATTAAAAAATAAGACATTTTAAAAATACAGTATAACAACTATACTATTTTCATGTCATTTACATTGTATTAGATATTATAAGGAATCTAGAAATGAGTTAAAATATTAAAAAAGGTGTGTAGGTTATGTGAAATACTACTACATTTTATAAAAGGGACTTGAGAATCCAGAGATTTTGTTATCCACACGGGGTGTCCTGGAACCAATCCCCCATGGATATTGAGGATAACTATAGTTCTTTGGGTAATGTGGACATTTTAACAGAATTAATTCTTTCAGCCCATGAACATGAGATAGCTTTCCATGTATTTGTGTCTTTAATTTCTTTCATTAGTGTTTAATAGCTTTCAGTGTACAGATTTTCCATCTTTTTGATTAAACTTATTTCTAAGTATTTTATTCTTTTTGATTCTATAGTAAAAGGGATTATCTTTATCTTTTTTATTTGTTTTTCTGATAGATCATTACTGGTATAAAGAAATGTAACTCATTTTTGAATGTCAATTTTGTATCCTGTAAATTTACTGAATTCATCTGTTTTAAGTGTCTGTGTGTGTGTGTGTGTGTGTCCTTTAGGTTTTTCAACATATAGGATCATGTCATCTGCAGATAGAATAATTTTACTTCTTTTCCAATCTGGATATCTTCCATTTCTTTTTCTTGTCCGATTGCTCTTGGTAGTATTTGTTGAGAGTTTTTATCAAGAAAGGATGTCGAACTTTGTCGAATGCTTTTTCTGCATCTACTAAAATAATCTTATGAGTTTTGTCTTCCATTCTGTTAATGTGAGATATCGCATTGATTGATTTGAATATGTTAAACCAATCTTAGATACCAGGGATAAATCCCACTTGGTCATAATGTATAATCTTTTCAATATGTTGTTGAATTTGGTTTGCTACGATTTTACTGAGGATTTTTGCAACTGTGGTCATCAGAGATATTGACTTGTAAGCTTTTTTTTTCTTGTAGCGCTTTTGTCTGACTTTAATATAAGGATAATGCTGGCCTCATAAAATGAGTTTGAAAGTATTCCCTCAAGTTATATATTTTTTGAAAGAGTTTGAGAAGAACTGATATTAATTTTTTCAATGTTTGCTAGAATTCAGCCATTACGCCATCTGATTCAGGAATTTTCTTTGTTGGAAGGTTTTTAATTACCACATCAATCTCTTTATTTGCTATTACTCTGTTTAGGCTCTCATTATTTTCCTGATTCAGTTTTGGTGGGTTGTATGTTTATACAAATTTATTTTTTTCTGCAGATTATCCAATTTAATGGCATATAATTAATTGCTCATATTTGTCTCTAATTATCCTTATTTCTAAGGCATCTATTATAATGTCTTCACATTCATTTCTGATTCTATTTATTTAGTCTTCTCCCTTTTTTTTTTTTTTGGCTTAGTCCAGAACGGTATGTATATATTTTATTTGTTCAATAAATCAACTCTTAGTTTTATTGATTTTTCTATTTCTATATTCTTTTGGTTTATTTTGCTCTGATAGCTATTATTTTCTTTTTCATGCTTACTTTAAGTTTAGTTTGTTCTTCTTCTTCTAGTTCCTTGAGGTATAACATTAGGTTTTTCCAAATCTTACTTTTCTTTCCTTTTTTCTTTTGAGATGGATTCTTGCTCTGTCGCCCAGGCTGCAGTGCAGTGGCGCTATGTTCGCTCACTGCAACTTCCGCCTCCCAGGTTCAAGCGATTCTCCTGCCTCAGCCTCCTGAGTAGCTGGGACTACAGACGCGTGCCACCACGCCTGGCTAAGTTTTTGTTTTGTATTTTTGGTAGAGAAAGGGTTTCACCATGTTGGTCAGGATGGTCTTGATCTCACCTCGTGATCCGCCCACCTCGGCCTCCCAAAGTGTTAGGATTATAGGCGTGAGCCACCACGCCTGGCCTAGATGTTCCTACTTCTTAATGTAGACAATTACTGTTATAAACTTCCCTCTCAGAACTGCTTTTGCTGCATCTCCTAGGTTTTTGGTATGTTGTGTTTTCATCTTTTTTTGTCTCATAAGTTCTACAAATTTTCCTTTCTATTTCATCTTTGAACCATTGGTTGTTCAGAAGCATGCTGTTTAATCCCCACATATTTGTGAATGATATGGTCTGGCTGTGTCCCCACCCAAATCTTATCTGGAATTATAATCTGAATTATAATTCCCACATGTCAGGGGAGGGAAGTGATGGAAGATGATTTGATCATGGGGGTGGTTTCCTCCAGGTTGTTCTCATGACAGTAAGTTCTCACTAGATCTGATGGTTTTATAAGTGGCAGTTTTCTCTGTGCTCTTTTGCTCTTGCCTGCCACCATGTAAGACATGCCTGCTTTCCCTTCTGCTATTGTTGTAAGTTTCCTGAGGCCTCCCCAGCCATGTGGAACTGTAAGTCAGTTAAACCCTCTTTATTTATAAATTACACAGTCTCAGGTAGTATCTTTATAGCAGTGTGAAAAGGGACTGATACAGTGAATTTTCTGGTTTTCCTCTTGTTACTGATTTCAGTTACATACCAATATGGTCAGAAAAGACACTTGACATGACTTCAATCTTCTTAAATTTCTTCTTTAAAAAACAAATTTGCTAACATTTGTTTTGTGGCTAACATGTCTATCCTGGAGAATGTTTCATGTGTGCTTGAGAAGAATGTGCATTCTGCTAATATCGGGTGGAAGGTGTGGTATACCTCTATTATGTCCAATTTTTCTAAACTGTATGTCAAGTCCAATATTCCCTTATTGATTTTCTGTCTGGGTGATCTATCCATTGTTGATAGTAAGATATTGAAGTCCCCTACTGTCATTGCATTGCTGTCTATTTCTTCCTTCAGATCTGTTAAGATTTGCTTTATATATTCAGGTGCTCCACTTATGGGGGCATATTTATTTACAATTGTTATATCCTCTTGATGAATTGACACCTTTATTATCATATAATGTTCTTCTTTGTCTCTTGTGACAGTTTTTAACTTAAAGTCTATTTTGTCTAATGTAATTATAGCCACCTTTTGGTTATCATTTTTCATGAAATATATTTTTCCATACCTTAACATTGAGCCTACGTATGTCTTTAAGATTAAAGTAAATCTCTTGTAGGAAGCGTACAGTTGGGTGTGTTTTTATTTAAACCATTTGGTCATTCTGTGTTTTGTTGGATAATTCAATCAATTTACATATAAGGTAATTATCAGTTGGTAAGAACTTACTGCTGTCACTTGTTAATTGTGTCTTGTTGCTTTGTATATACTTTGTTTCTTCCTCTCCTGCTATATTTCTTTGTGATTTGATGATTTCATGTGTTGCTATTTTTGTAATCCTTTTCCTTAATCATTTGTATATCTACTTTAGTTGTTTTTTTTTTGTGGTTACCATGAGGCTTGCATAAAACATTTTATAGTTATAACAGTCTATTTTATGCTGGTAATAAGTTCAATCACATAAACTCTATACTTTTAATCTCCTTTCATACTTTATATTTATTATGTTAAAATTTACATTTTTTATGTTATGTATCCCTTACCAAATTATTGCAGCTATGGTCATTTCTAGTAGTTTCATCTTCTAATCTTATATTGGAGATAAAATTGATCTACACTCCATCATTACAGTATTACAGTGTTCTTTATTTGATGATTTATTTACCGGTACCAGTGATTTTTAAAAAATTTTTGTGGGTACACAGTAGGTGTATATATTTATGGGTTATATGAGATGTTTTGATACAGGCATGCAATGTGAAATAAACACATCATGGCAAATGGGGCATTCATCTTCTCAAGCATTTATCTTTTGAGTTACAAACAATCCAAATATACTCTTTAAGTTATTTTAAAATGTACAATTAAGGTCTTATTGACTATAGTCACCCTTTTGTGCTATCAAATTGTAGGTCTTATTCATTCTTTCTCACTATTTTTTTGTACCCATTAACCATCCCCACCTCTCCTCCAACCCCCCACTACCCTTCCCAGCTTCTGGTAACCCATCCTTCTACTACTCTCTATGTCCATGAGTTTAACTGTTTTGATTTTTACATACCACAGATAAGTCAGAACATGCAATGTTTCTCTTTCTGTGCCTAACTGATTTCACTTAACATAATGGTCTCCAGTTCCATTGAAGTCGTTGCAAATGACTGGATATCATTCTATTTTTATGGCTGAATATTACTTCATTGTTTTTATTCATTCATCTGTTGATAGACACTGAGGTTGCTTCCAAATCATAGCCTTTGTAGACAGTACTGCAAAAAACACAGGAGTGTAGATATCTCTTCAATACACTGATTTCCTTTCTTTTGGGCATATACCCAGCAGTGGGATTGCTGCATCAGGTGGTAACTCAATTTTCAGTTTTCTGAGAAACCTCCAAACTGCTCTCCATAGTGATTATACTCATTTACAACCCCAACAATGGTGTACAAGGGTTCCATTTACTCCACATCCTCGTCAACATTTGTTATTGCCTGTCTTTTGAATAACAGTCATTTTAACTGGGGTGAGATGATATCTCATTGTAGTTTTGATTTGCATTTCTGTGATAATCAATAACCTTAAGCGTTTTTTCATATGCCTGTTTGCCATTTGTATGTCTTCTTTTGGAAATGCCTATTCAAATCTTTTGCTTAATTTTCATTATTAAATTTTTTTTTCCTATAGAGTTGTTTGTGCTTCATATATTTTCTGGTTGTTAATTCCTTGTCAGATTGGGAATTTGCAAATATTTTCTCCCATTCTGTGGGTTGTATCTTCACTTTGTTGACTATATCCTTTACTGTTCAGAAGCTTTTTAACTTAATGTTTTCCTATTTCTCCATTTTTGCCTTGGTTCCCTGTGCTTATGGACCACAACTCAAGAAATCTTTGCCCAGACCAATGTCATGGAGATTTTCTCCAAATTTTTCCTGTAGTAGTTTCATAGTTTGAGGTCTTAGATTTAAGTCTTTAATCCATTTTGATTGTATTTTTTAATGGTGTTAGATAGGGGTCTAGTTTTATTCTTCTGCATACAGATATCCAGTTTTCCTAGGACAATTTATTGAAGATACTGTCTTTTCCCAGTGTATGTTCTTGGCACCTTTGTCAAGAGTGACTTACTCTAGGTGTGTAAATTTGCTTCTGGGTTCTCTATTCTGTTCCATTGGTCTATGTGCTTATCTGTTTGTTTTTATGTCAGCACCATGCTGTTTTGGTTACTATAGCTCTGTAGTATAATTTGAAGTCAGGTAACAAAATTGTCCCAGTTTTGTTCTTTTTGCTCAGGATAGCTTTGGATTTTCTGGGTATTTGTTGTTCCGTATAAATTTTAGGACTGTTTTTTCTATTTCTGTGAAGAATGTCATTGATATTTTTATAGATATTGCATTAAATCTGTAGATTGTTTCAGGTAGTATGAACATGTCAACAATACTGATTCTTCCAATCCATGAACATGGACTATTTTTCCACCTTTCAGTGTCCTCTTACATTTATTTTATCAGTATTTTATACTTTTCATTATAGAAATGTTTTATTCCTTTGGTTAATTCCTATCTATTTCACTTTACATGTGGCTATTGTAAATGGGACTGCATTGCTTTAGTTCTCTTTCATAATGTTCACTGTTGGCATGTAGAAATGGTACAGATTTTGGCCAGGCATGATGGCACACACCTGTAATCTTAGCACTTTGGGAGGCCACAGCAGGTGAATCACTTGACCTCAGGAGTTTGAGACCAGCCTGGGCAACATGGTGGAATCTCATCTCTACAAAGAAAAATAAATAAAATAAAATAAAATAAAATAAAATAAAATAAAATAAAATAAAAATACATATATATATAAAAGCTGGGTATGGTGGTGCACACCTGTAGTCTCAGCTGCCTGGGAGGCTAAGGTGGTGTGAGGGTCACTTTAGCCTGGGAAATCAAGGCTGCAGTAAGCCAAAATGGCTACTGTACTCCAGCCTGGGCAACAGAGTAAGACCCTGTCTCAAAAACAAAACAAAAAGTACAGATTTTGGTTTGTATATTTTGTATCTTGAAACTTTGCTAAATTCCTTTTATCAGTTCCAGTAGTTTTCCTGTGGAGAATTTACGTTTTTCCAAATATAAGATCCTATCATCTATAAACAAGGATAATTTGACTTCTTCCTTTGCAATGTGGATGTTCTTTATAGCCTTCTCCTGTCTGATTGCTCTAGCTAGGACTTCCAGTGTTATGCTGAATAACAGTGGCGATGGTAGGAATTCTTGTTGTGTACCAGATCATAGAGGAAAGGTTTTCAGTTTTTCCCTATTCAGTATGATACTATCTTGGGTCTGTCATATACGGCTTTAATGTTGTTGAAGTATGTTTCTTCTGTTCCCAGTTTTTTTGAGAATTTTTATCATGAAGGGATGCTGAATTTTATTAAATTCTTTTTCAGCATCAATTGAAATGATCCTATGGTTTTTATTCTTCATTCTGCTGATATAATGTATCACATTGATTGATTTATGTATGATGAACTATCCTTGCATCCCAGGGATAAATCTCACTTGGTCATGATGAAAGATCTTTCTAATGTATTGTTGCATTCAATTTCCTACTATTTTGTTGATTTTTGCATCAATATTCATGAGTGATATTGGCCTGTAGTTTTCTTTTACTGATGTGTCTTTTGTCTGGTTTTAATATATTATAATACTGGCCTCATAGGATGAGTTTGGAATTATTTCCTCATCCTCTATCTTTGAGAAGAGTTTGAGTGGGATTGGTATTAATTCTTCTTTAAATGTCTGGTAGAATTCAGAGGTAAAGCTGTCAGGTCCAGGGCTTTTTTTTTTTTAATGGGAGACTTTTTATTCCAGCTTCGGTCTTGTTACTTGTTATTGGTCTGTTCAGGATTTGAATTTCTCACAAGTTCAATCTTGGTAGGTTGTATGTATCTACAAATTTCTCCATTTCTTCTAGAGTTTCCAATTTATTGGCACAGAGTTGCTCATAGTAGCCACTAATGATCCTTTGAATTTCTGCCATATCCGTTGTAATGTCTCTTTTTTTCATTTCTGACTTTATTTATTTATTTGGATCTTCTGTCCTTTTTCTTAGGATCTTCTCTCTTTTTTCTCAGTCTGGCTGAAAGTTTGTCAATTTTGTTTAACTTTTTAAAAAACCAACTTTTTGTTTCATTGATCTTTTGTATTTTTTTATTTCAATTTCATTTATTTCTGTTCTCATCTTTTCTGCTACTAATTTTGGGTTTGTTTTGCTCTTTCTTTTCTAGTTCTTTAAGATGAAACATTAGATTGTTTATTTGAAGTTTTTCCTCTTTTTTGATGTAGGCACTTATAGCTATAAACTTCCCTCTTAGTACTTATTTTGCTGCATCCCATAGGTTTTGGTATGTTTTGTTCCCATTATCATTTGTTCCAAGAAACTTTTCAATTTCTTTATTAATTTATTCATTGGCCCATTGGTCATTAGGAGCATATGGTTTAATTTCCATGTACTTGTATAGTTTCCCAAATTACTCTTGTTATTAGTTTCTATTTTTATTCCATTGTTGTCACAGAAGATGCTTAATATTATTTCAATTTTTAAATGTTTTAGGATTTGTTTTGTGACCTAACATAGGGTCTATCCTTGAGAATGATCTATTTGCTGAGGAAAAAATGTTTATTTGTCAGCTCTTAAATAAAATGTTCCTTAAATATTTATTAGATCCATTTGATCTATAGTGCAGATTAAGTCTAATGTTTCTTTGTTGATTTTCCATCTGGAAGATCTGTCCAATGCTGAAAGTGAGGTGTTGTAGTCTCCAACTATTATTGTATCAGGAATTATCTCTCTCTTTAGCTCTAATAATATTTCCTGTATATATCTGGGTGCTCCCATGTTGGATGCATATATATTTAAAATTGTTATATCTTCTTGCTGAATAGATCCCTTCATCATTAAATCGTGACCTTCTTTGTCTCTTCTTATAGTTTTTGTCTTGAAATCTATTTTGTCTTATATAAGTATAGTCACTCCTGTTGTTTTTTGGTTTCAATGGCATGGAAGATCTTCTCCTATCCCGTTATTTTCGGTCTATATGTTTCTTTATAGGTGAAGTGTGTTTGTTGTAGGAAACAGACCAAAGGGTCTTGTTTTTTATCCATTCAGCCATGCTATATCTTTTTATTGAAGAGTTTAGTATATTTACTTACACTCAATGTTATTATTGATAAGTAAGGAATTACTCTTGCCATTTTGTTGTCTGTTTCCTGGTTGTTTTATGATCTTCTCTTCCTTTTTTCTTTCCTTCCTGTTTTGCACTAGTGAAAATAACTTTCTCTCTGGTGATATAATGTAGCTTCTTGCTTTTTATTTTTTGTGTATCCATTGTATGTTTTTTGGTTTGAGGTTACCAAGAGGCTTGGAAATGCTATCTTATAACCCATTACTTTAACCTGATAACAACAATGCTATTTGTATAAACAAGCAAAAAGAAAATGAATAACTCTATGTCTTAACTTCATCCTCCTGTTTTGTGACTTTTTGTTGTTTCTATTTATATCTTATTGTACTGACTATGTCTTGAAAAATTGCTATAGTTATTATTTTTATTGGTTCATCATTTAATCTTCCTCCTTAGGATAAAAGTAGTTTACACACCACAGTTACTGTGTTATAATGTTCTGTGTTTTTCTGTGTACTTACTGTTACCAGTAAGTTTCGTACATTCAGGTGATTATTTATTACTCATTAATGTCATTTTCTTTCTGATTGAAGTACTCACTTTAACATTTCTTATAGGACAGGTCTGATATTGATGAAATCTCTCGGCTTTTGTTTGTCTGGAAAAGTCTTTATTTCTCCTACATGTTTCAAGGATATTTTCACCAGATATACTATTTTAGGGTAAAAGTTATTTTCCTTGAGCATGATAAATGTGTCATGCCACTCTCTCCCGGCCTGTAAGGCTTCCACTGAAATGTCTGCTGCCAGACATATTAGAGCTAAAAGCAGCAAGAGAAAGGAAACAAATGACATAAACGTAATCTTAAGTTATATGTTTCTTTTCTGATTGTATGTTACTTGTTTCTTTTCTCTTGCTGCTTTTAGAATTCTTTGTTTATCCTTGACCTTTGGGAGTCTGATTATTAAATACCTTAAGATAGTCTTCTTTGGGTTAAATCTGCTTAGTGTTCTATAACCTTCTTGTACTTGCATGTTGATATCTTTCTCTAGGTTTGAAAAGTTCTCTGTTATTTTCGCTTTGAATAAACTTTTTACTCCTATCGCTTTCTCTACCTTCTCCTGAAGGCGAATAATTCTTAGATTTGCCCTTCAGAGGCTATATTCTAGATCCCATAGGTGTGCTTCCCTGTTTTTTATTCTTTCTTCTTTTGTCTTCTCTGACCATGCATTTTCAATAGCCTGTCTTGAAGGTCACTAATTCTTCTGCTTGATCAATTCTGCTATTAAAGGACTTTGATGCATTCTTCAGTATGTCAAATGCATTTTTGAGCTCCAGAATTTCTGCTTGATTCTTTTTAATCATTTTAATCTCTTAGTTAATTTACTGAATAGAATTCTGAATTCCTTCTCTGTGTTATCCTGAATTTATCTGAGTTTCCTCAACACATCTATTTTGAATTCTCTGAAAGGTCACGTCTCTGTTTCTCCAGGATTGGTCCCTGGTGCCTTATTTAGTTTACTTGGTGAGATAAGGTTTTCCTGGATGGTGCTGATGCTAGTAGATGTTTTTCAGTGTCTGGGCATTAAGGAGGTTAAGTATTTATTGCAGCCTTCACTGTCTGGGGTTATTTGTAGCTGTTCCTCTTGGGGAGCCTTTCCAGATATTTGAAAGGACTTGAGTTTTGTGATCTAAGCTCAATCTTCTTTAGGGGACTCCCCAAGCACAGTAGCACTGTGGTTCTTGCAGACTTGTAGAAGCACCTCCTTGGTTATTTTCGACTGAATCCAGGAGAACTCCCTGGATTACCAGTCAGAGATTCTTGTTCTCTTTTGTTACTTTCTCCCAAACATACAGAGTCTCTCTTTGTGTTCTGAGCTACCAAAAGCTAGAGGGGGAGTGACACTGGCACCCCTGTGGCTATCACTACTATGACTGTGCTGGGTCAGACCTGAAGCCAGCGCAGCACAGGGTCTTGCCCAAGATCTGTAACCACTCCCCAGCTACTTCTTGTACTGACTCAAGGCCCTTGGCCCCTACAATGAGTAGACGGCCATTCCAGCCAGGCCTGTGTTCTTCCCTTCAGTGTGGTGAGATCTCTGAGGCCCCAGGTGGATTCAGAAATGCCATTTGGGGGTCAGGAACTAGAGTCAAAACCTTTGAAGTCAACCTGGTCTTCTATCACATTGCAGCTGATCTGGCACTCAAACCACAAGATGCAGTCCTTCCCACTATCTCCTCCCCTTTCCAAAGGCAGAGGAGTTTCACTCTGTAGGCACTACCACCCCAAGTCACAGGGAGTACTGCCAGACTACTGCCAATGTTCCCATAAGGCCCAAGGTCTCTTAAGTCAGCTTGTTGTAAATGCTGCCTGGACTCTCTTCGGGGAAGTGGGCTCCCCTCTGGTCCAGGGCAGGTCTAGAAATGCCATCCAAGAGGCAAGTCCTGGAATAGGAGACCCTTAGAGCCTGCTTTGTGCTCTACCCCCCTGTGGCTGTGCTGGTACCTAAAATGAAAGACAGAGTCCCTTTACTTTTCCCTCTGCTTTTTGCAAGCAGAAGGAGTTTCTCACAAAACAATAGCTGGTAATATCCTGAGTCTTACCTGAAGCCAGCAAGTCTCAGAGGTTCACCTGAGACCTCAATATAGTACCTGGGACTTTCTGCTGATTATTCAGGGTCCAAGGGCTCTTCAGTTAGCAGGTGATAACTATTGCCACGACTGAGTCCTTTCCTTCAATGTGTCTGGTCCTCTTGTGGCCCAGGGTGTGCCTAGAAATGTCATTTGGGAGCTAGTTCCTGGAACAGGGGCCTAACAACTCTGGCTGGTGCCTTATCATGTTGTGGCTGAGCTGCTATCCCAGATGCAAGACAAAGTCCTCCCCACTCTTCCTTCTCTTCTCCTCAACTGGAAGGAAGGGGTCTCTCTTCGAACCTTGAGCTGTGCAGCCTGGATTATGGGTGGGGGGACGCCAGCACTCCCTTAGCTGCCCCAGCTGGTGTCTCAGTATGTTCTATGCCCACTCAGTTCACTGCCTCTGGGCCTAGTTCAGCATTAGGACTCGCCCAAGAGTTGCAGTCCTTATGGACTAGACTGCCTTTCAAGTTTACCTGGAGTTACTCAGCTACACTGAGTGCTGTAGCTCTCAGTGGTGAGGTTTTCAGGCACTCAAGTTCAGAATGCTGGGGTCAGTGATTCTCTTCTGGCTCAGGCTAGTTTAAATGCTCCCTCTGTGGGCTAACATCGACTAAGTTTGGTTCGGATTTCCTTTCTTCTCTAATAGTACAGCACTGAGTTCAATGGCTCACAATTGCTGTGTTCTTCCCCCATCACCCAGAGATGCTGTCTGCATCACTTTGCCACTGCCGGGGGTTACATAAGGGTGACATCAGTGGTTTAGGACAGCTTTTTCTATCTCTTCAGTGCCTCTTTCTGCTATATGATGTGAAAACCAGGTACTGTGAGTGCTCATCTGATCGCTGGTTCTTAGAAAGGTGTTTTTTTCTCTAAAGACACTTATTAACTTGCTGTTCTTGCAAGGGTGTGTGCGGTCAATTGGTGGAGCTTTCTTTTCTGTCATCTTGCTCCTACCAAGGAATTTTATACATCATATATCTTCATGTTAGTTGTTAGTGTCCTATAATTTCTGCTTGAAGAATTCTGTTAGCATTACTTATGAGATGGGTCTAGTGGTATTGAACTGTCTCACTTATTGCATGTTTGGAAAAGCTTTTATTTCTACTTTATTTTTGAAGGACATCTTTGTTAGAGGTAGTCTTTTTGGTGGATGATATTTTCCTTTTAGCACTTTGAATATATCATCCCATTGTCTCCAGGCTATAAGGTTTCTGCTGAAAAATCTGCTTATACTCTAATAGTCATTCCTCTGTATGTGCCATGTCACTTTTCTATTGCTGTTTTCAAATTCTGTCCAACTCTTGACAATTTAATATAACGTGTCTTATTAACTCTTGACAATTTAATATAACGTGTCTTATTAACTCTTGACAATATAATATAATGTGTCTTATGCTAAAGGACTCTTTGTGTTGAACCCATTTGGGGACTTTTGAGTTTCACAGTTTGGGATGTCCATATCTCTCCCAAAATTAGAAAGTTTTCAGCCATTGTTCTTTAAATAAACTTTGTTGCCCTCTCTCTCTCTTCTCCCTCTGAGATTTCCATAATGCATACATCAGTTTGCATAGTGGTGTCCCATAAATCTCATTGAATTTCTTCACTTTTTTCTTTTTTCTTCTCTAACTAGATACAGGTTGAGTATCCCTTATCTGAAATTCTTAGGAACAGAGTGTTTTGAATTCTCAAGACAATTGAAAGGGTGAGACACTTGCATGGGGTTCATCCTTGCAAGAACACCAAGTTAACAAGTATTTCTTGGATTTTGGATTATTTGCATTATACTTACTGGTTCAGCTTTCTTAACCCAAAAATGCTAAATCCTAAATGCTCCAATGAGTGTTTCTCTTCAGCATCATATTGGCACTGAAAAAGTTGCAGATTTTGAAGCATTTCAAATTTAGGATTTTCAGATTAGGGATACTAGACCTGTAATTTCAAATGACATGTCTTCAAGATTACAGATTCTTTCTTTTGCTTGATTAAGTCTGCTTTTCACTCTTGTATTTTTCATTCCATTCATTGTATTCTTCAGCTCTAGAATTTCTGTTTGGTTCTTTTTATAATTTCTATTTTAAAAGAAAATTATTTTAAATTCCTTTCCAGACAATTTTAAAATCTCTGTTTCTTTGAGGTCAGTTACTTTAAAGTTATTTTGTTCCTTTAGTGCTGTTGTTTCCTTGCATTTTCTTGTTTCTTGTGATTTTGTGCTGATGTCTATGCATTTGATGGAGCAGTCATCTCTTCCAGACTTTAAAGACTGGTTTTAGTGGGTAAAGACTTTCACCTGCAGGTGGGTGCAATGGCACTGATTGGATAGCTCTGGTTCTAAAAAAATGTAGCAGTGTAGTCTCTGTGTGGCTCCATCAGCTGAGGTCAGCATTAATGAAGACTGCAGAAGCATCAACAGCTAAAGTTTCAGGTGTTTGTGGCAGTGGCATTGGCAAAGTGGACTGTTAGGGTCCTCAGTAGCAAAGACTCTTGGAGTCCTCTCGCCCTCCTTTTCCCTACTGGGGGGAAACCAAGCCAAGAGGATCCCTTTTGGTGTCAAGTCTAATGTGGACTGCAGGCAGCCACAGTGGCACTAGGTTCCAGGATACAGGTGCTCAGAGCCACTGCAGAGCTGGCTTCCTGGGCTCAGGCACTTGTGAACTGCCATGGCACCTGGGTCCTGGAGAGCAAATTGATGTACCAAGGCATTGGCATGCACTTATCACCCATGTTGCCAGGGTCTAGGACTTTGGAGCTTATTTCAGTGGCTTGGGCCTGGGGATATATGATATAATGGTGGCTTGAACCCTGAGAGACAGGCACAGAAGCAGCACAGCCTAGGGGTAAAGGGGTCCTCTGGCCACTCAGGTCCTGGAGGGTGGGGCACAGCAGCAACTCTAGTTCCATGGATGTCAGGGCACAACCGTGATTCTGGCCCAAGGGGCAGGGAGCAGCATAGTAGCACTTGGGCACCTGGGGAGACACATTACTGTGTTGGCCCAGGCCTTAGAGCAGCAGTGAGACCCTAGGGACTTGTGGACATAACAGTGACTTAGGCTTCAGGGTTGGTATGGCTCCACAGCAGCTCTGCCCCAAAGGCCAGGGCACAGTGGCAGTAAGGCCCATGGAATTGTGGGGTACAGCTGTAGCTCAGGCCCTGAGAGCCAAGTGCAGCACGGTGGTGACTCCAGTCTCTGTGAAGGCAGAGTATTGCCACAGAAAGGGCTACGAAGGATGGAGCTCAGTTGTGCTAAGCCCCCTGGTATGTCAGGACACAGTGGGAACTCTGGCTCTGAGGGGCATGGTACAGCAGCAACATGACCCCAGGATGGACACGACCCTGTAGGAGCTCAGCCACAGAGGGTGGGGCACAATGGTGACTCAGACTCCAGGCAGTCAGGACACAGCACAGCAGTAACTCCAGTCCCTGGGAAGATGGGATACCAAAGAAGCTCAGGCCCTGGGAACAGTGCACAGCACAGTAATGGCACCAGTCCCTGGGATGGTGGGATGCAAGAGAACCTCAGGTTCTAGGAGGTTGAGCACAGCATAGAGGCAACTCTGGTCCCTGGAAAGGTAGAATGCCACAGCAGCTCAGGTCTTAAGTCATGGGACAGCACAGCGTGACTCTAATTCCTGGGAGGCAGGTGGTAAAGCAACTCAAGCTCCTGGGTGTAGGTCTCAGTGCAGTGGCAACTCCAGTCTCTAGGAAGGCAAGGTGCCTCAGCAACCCACACCCTGGAGAGACAGGGCACTGTGGCAGCAAGGCTGCTGAAAAGGTAGGGCACAGTGGGGACCCAGGCTTATGGCAGCAACCTAGGCCCAGAGAGAGTGGCGCGCTGGGCAACCCAGGCTCCAGGTGGTGGGATGCGGTGACAGTAAGACCCTAGGCGTGTAGGGAAACAATGGCTACTCAGGACCTAACAGCAGGGTGCAGCACAGTGGCAACTCCAATTCCAAAATGTCATGAAACCACGGTAGCTCAGCTCATGGGACAGAAGGCACAGTCTTGGCTCTTTCTCATGGGTAAGTGTAGCAGCATGGACTCCAGGCAGCTCCCTGTGTTGGGCTCAGGACTGGTGAAGACTGCAGGGGTATCCATTGGTGAGCACTGCTGGTGTCTGTGGTAATAATGAGGGCGACTGGGATCTTCCTTCTCACCCTTTCCATGCAGAAGGAAGTACCTCTTGCCTCTGAGATAATCCAGACTGGGCAATGGAGTGGCCCAGACAAGGTGTTTCCCACCCTATTCTATGCAGCCATGCTAGGTTGCTCTGCTCCACAGGGTTTGTGCTACTCTTTCGCTATATTCCAGAGCTCCCCCTTCGTTATTTTATTTGTCATGTAGTTGTTTATTCATTATTTTGTGAAAGAAATGAGAATTAGGACCTCCTTGTTTGATATCTTGCAGATATTATTTCCTTTTTCTTCTTTTTGAATAAACCCAATTGATAAATGGTTTTGTTTTTTCACCTCTTCTTGAGGTATAAACTACATATAGTACATTAAATTTTAGAAATTGTAGCATACAATTTTTATATGTCTATATACCTGTGTAACCACCACACTGATCAAAATATAGAACATTTATGAGCCCAGCAAGTTTCCTTGTTGTCCTTTCCTGTCAACACTTTCTGCAAAAGTAACAAAAGTATTCTCCCCTCTACCATAGTAGATTAGTTTTCCCTGTGTTTAAGTCCATTTTGTGTTTCTATAACAGAATGCCTAAAGCGAGATGATTTATAAAGAACTTCTTTTATAAATAATTTATAAATAAACTTCTTTTACCTTATCAGGTAAAAGATAATCTATAAAGACACTTCTTTTACCTTATCAGTTGTTCTTAGGAACAAGTGAAACTTTTATTTCCAATAAATTCTATTTGATTTTTTTAAAGCAGTATTTTCTTCCTATTGCTTCAATTTCTTTGTTTGCATCTTAAAACAGAACCTTATTCTACAGTCTTCTCAGATTATTCTATTATACAAAATTCTAGAAGTTCTACTTCCCCTTTTTTTAAATCTCCTCTTGTGTTTTGAGCTATTTTGCGGGAGGATTTCCATGTGACCTGAATCTTGTACTCTAATTCCAGCATAGTTTCGCAAAGCCTTCTGCAAGAGATTCAAGAGTATCCCCCACCCAAGACCAATTTTTATGTTAATTCTTCAGCTTGGAGTGTCAGTGTCAGCAGTAAAGTGTAAATTTGGCTCCTTAATTTGTAAGCTGTAGAACCAGGGGTTTGATTTCTCAGAAAAGACCACTCTTGTTGGGTTTCATTTTTATTTTCACTCAGGTCCCAGATAGAAAAATCCCCCTTGTTGCCCTGTACTAGCAGATGTTTTCCTCTTTTCTCCCCTTAATATATAATTTTTCTCAATGGGATAGCTCTTCAAGAATTTTGGCTTGTGTACTGATCTTAGATCCAAAGGCCAGTCAAATCCTAGACTTCATATCCAGCCCCTGAAAAAGTCTTAAAATAGAACTCTTCAGTTACAAGGACTGAGACCCCCATAACCTGCATGGTGAGTTTATGCACCTAGCACTCTGGGGATCAGTTGGCACCTCATTTTTGGCACATAACATTTTCCTTTCTCCTTTTGAATTCATCTGTGCATTTAAAACTTATTACATTTTTGTTTGCAGGAAGATAATCTTTTTTTTTTCAACTTAACAGAAATTTTTTCTATCATGGTTCTGGAGGCTGGAAGTCTGAAATCAAGATGTCAACAGGATTGTTTCTTTCTGAGAGCTGTGAGGGAAGGATGTGTTTCAGGCCTTTCTCCTTGGTTGGAGATGGCTCTTCTTTCTGTGTCTTCACATCATCTTCCCTGTGCATGCCTGTGTCCAAAGATCCTGCTTTATGAAGGCAGCAGTCATACTGGATGAGGGTGAACCCTGGTGAAAACATCCTAACTAATTGCATCTGCAATTACTCTATCTTCAAATAAAGTCACATCCTGAGATACAAGGGGGTAGGACTTTAACCTGTGAAATCTGGGAGACATAAATCCATACATGTGGAGGCAAGAGGGGGCCTTGGAAAGACTGAGGATAATCATTTTTTGTGTGTTCATTTATTTATTTAGTTTTTCCTTAGGCATTCTGCTGGGAGTATCCCATTTAAGAAATTTAAGGGGTAAGCCCATTAATTCCCTTTTTGCACATTGGAATACAAACGTGTCACTTTAAGGAAGGACTCCACCAGAGGCACAGAACAAGAATCTTGAAAACTCATTTGCAAAATATTTCACAGAAAATAGAAAAGTGTTCAAAATGTGTTTTGCTCCAATACTGCTTTCACATGCAAAGTGGTACAAAAGTTGGATTCTTTATTTTCATGCATCTACATATATATTAATTTATGCACATTGACTAGAAAATCTGCACATTATTGGTTCAGTTCTCCTGATTATTTAATTGTTTTCAAGTATATAATACAATGTGTAGGCCAGGCGTGGTGGCTCACGCCTATAATCCCAACACTTTGGGAGGCCGAGGTGAGTGGATCACCTGAGGTCAGGAGTTCGAAACCAGCCTAGTCAACATGGCAAAACCCTGTCTCCACTAAAAATACAAAAACTAGCCAAGCATGGTGGCACATGCCTGAAGTTCCAACTACTCGGGGGGCTGAGGCATGAGAATCTCTTGAATCTGAGAGGCAAAGGTTTCAGTGAGCTGAGGTCGTGCCACTGCACTCCAGCTTGGGCAACAGAGTGAGACCCTGTCTCAAAATATATACATATAAAATATATAATATATATATGCACAATGTGTTGTCTATGATTTTCTAGAACATGCCTTCTGTAAAATAAAATAAAAATAGTACAGGAAATATGACTTTCAAAAAGGAATAGAAACTGGTATCATTTTTTTTCCATGATTTGATTTACAATATTTCAAAACATTCACATGATTGCATTCTCCTGAAATGTGGGATTAGGGAGGGTGTGAAATCAAAAAAATAAAAGAGGAGAGAACAATTTTTTTCTTGGAAGGTTGACTTTCTGTCTTGCTTCCAGGCTGATAAAATGATATATGACCCAAATGAGATCTCAGAGTCACCCCTGGATTTTTTATTCTTTGCTACTTAAATCTTTTCAAGTATGTTCTAACAACTTACTACACTGTTTAAATTGACATGTCTTAGCCCATATTGCATTCTGCACAATAGGAATTTTTTTCAAATTTTTGTGAAATGCTGTGATGATCACAAGACAAATGTGATATTAGTCTTGATTCGTTTTTCTAGAACTAGATTCCTTTTTCTAGGTAGTTCATTTCACTGACCCAAAGGCAAACTTTGACCTAGTTCTCTTGCTGTATGTGTCTGACAAGTGACTAAATGAATTTAATTGTATGGAGCTTGTATGAAACCAGGAACACAAGGAAGCTAACTGGCCTGTAAAGCCCACCTCCCTGATCTCATTAACATTATACGCAAACTCAAAATATGCTAAGCTGTGACTTCCTGCACAACTTACGGTGCACTAAGGGAGTTTGTGTGAATTAAATCAATCTCAGCAGACCAGGGAGAGCAGGAAAGCTCAAAATTACATCTATTCTAAACAAACGTTCTTTACACTAATAAGACACTTAGACAACTACAAGTTACATGTCAGCACAGGTGAGGGTAATATCTAGATGATGAGGCATGGCAATAGTTAGTAGTTTGGACTGCCTTAGAAGAATCATTTAACCAACATCAGCATGATCCTACATGTATTTTCAGGTTGTGTTTCAAACTCTTTTCTGATATATTTTCAAGACCACTCTTTTCTGATATATTTTCAAGACCAGGTGATATTTCAAAAAAGTTGGCTTTAAATTAGATGCAAAAATTAGAGATATTTATAAAAAGGAATTTATCATTACTACCTCATGCTTTTATAATAAAAGTTGCCTAAAACACACATTCTACAAATGTTATTTTCTTAGTGCTACTCTAAGTTTAAAAAGCAATATGACCACTCTTCCCTCATAGAGAAAGTAATTTAACTTATGAAGTAAGCAAAGAGATTAGAACCAACTAAAATTTCCAATTTTTTTCAAATCTAATGATGATCATCTTACTCAATATTTCTCCAAGGTTTTCACAGCACACTCCACAAGACCTAAATAAGCCTATGCATCTATTCACAGGAGCAGGCACATGTACACAGAAAACAAGTGCTAAAGGGAAAAGAAAAGTTATATTTCTGGAAGATCTCTTACTCTACACACTTATACACACACATGCAAATGATTCCTCTCTGCCCAAAAATAAACCTGGGAGTGATAAGTAATGGAAGATCTAATAAGAGAGTAGTGAGAAAAAAGAAGAGCAAACAGTTAAGAAGAAAACTGTCTGGAAATTTCAGAGTTATTTCATTCCACCAAGAATTAGTATGTCTCATCAAAAAGCTAATCTACCATGATCAAGTAGGCTTTATTCCTGGGATGCGAGGTTGGTTCAACATATACAAGGCAAGAAATGTAATTCATTACATCAATAGAACTAAAAATAAATTCTACCTGATCATCTCAATAGATGCATAAAATTCAACATCTCTTCATGTTAAAAACTCTCAACAAACTAAACTATGCATTGAAGGACCATATCTCAAACTAATAAGGGTCATCTATGACAAGCCCACAGCCAACATCCCATGGAATAGGCAAGCTGGAAGCATTTCTTCGAGAACCAGAACAAGATAAGGATGCCTACTCTCACTACTCCTATTCAACATAGCACTGGAAATCCAAGCCAGAGGAATCAGAAAAGAGAAGAAATAAAAGGCATTCAAATAGAAAGAGAGAAAGTCAAACTCTCTTAGCAGATAACATGATTCTATACCTAGAAAACCCTACAGTCTCTGCCCAGAGGCTCCTAGACCACATAAGCAACTTTAGCAAAGTTTCAGGATACAAAATCAATGTACAAAAATCAGTAGCATTTCTATATAACAATAATGCTCAAGCTGAGAGCCAAATCAAGAACATAATTCCATTCATGATAGCCACAAAAAGAATAAAATAAAAACATTCCATGCTCATGGATGGGGAGAATTGATATTGTTAAAATGGCCGTACTACCCAAAGCAATTTACAGATTCAATGCTATTCTTATCAAACTACCAACAACATTTTTCACAGAATTACACAAAACTATTCTAAAATTTATATGGAACCAAAAAGAGCCCAAATAGCCAAAGCAATCCTAAGTAAAAATAACAAAACCAGAGGCATCACACTACCCAACTTCAAACTGTATTACAAGGCTATAGTAACCCAAACAGCATGGTACTAGTACAGAAACAGGCACACAGACCAATAGAATAGAGTAGAGAACCAAGAGAAAAAGCCACACACCTACAACCATCTGATCTTTGACAAAGCTGACAATAACAAGCAATGGGAAAATGATTGCCTATTCAATAAATGGTACTGGGATAACTAGCTAACCATATGCAGAAGATTGAAACTAGACCCCTTCCTTTCACCATATGCAAACATCAACTCAAGATAGGTTAAATAATTAAATGTAAAACCTAAAACTATAAAAACCCTATTAGGAAATCCTAGGAAATACCATTCTGGACACTGGACTTGCCAAAGATTTCATGACAAAGACTCCAAAAGCAATGGTAACAAAAACAGAAATTGACAAGTGGGATCTAATTAAACTAAAGAGCTCCTGCATAGCAAAAGAAACTATCAACAGAGTAAACAGACAACCTATAGAATGGGAGCAAATATTTGCAAACTATTTGAGAAAGGTCTAATATTCAGAATCTATAAGTAACTTAAACAAATCTACAAGCAAAGAAACCAAATAACTCCATTGAAAAATGGGCAAAGGGCACGAACAGACACTTCTTAAAAGAAGACACACACAGAGCCAACAAGCATATGAAAAAAATGCTCAATATAACTAATCAATAGAGAAATGCAATTCAAGACCACAATGAGATACCATCTCACACCAGTCAGAATGGCTATTATTAAATGGCCAAAAACTAACAGATTTTGGAAGGTTGCAAAGAAAGGGGAAGACTTATAAATGCTGGTAGTAATGTAAATTAGTTCAGCCACGGTGGAAAGCAGTTTGGAGAGTTCTCAAAGAACTTAAAATAGAACTACCATTCAATCCAGCAATCCTATTATTTGGAATACACTCAAAGGAATATAAATTGTTCTACCACGAAGACACATGCACATGAATGTTCATTGCAATGCTATTCACAATGGCAAAGACATGGAATCAACCTAGATGCCCATTAATGGTGGACTGGCTAAAGAAAACGTGGTATATATACACTGTAGAATACTAGGTAGCTATAAAAAAGAACAAAATACTGTCCTTTGAAGCAACATAAATGGAGCTGAAGGCCATTATCCTGAGCAAATTAATCCAGAAACAGAAAGCTAAATACTGCATGTCCTCACTTATAAGTGGGAGCTAAAACTTGAGTACACATTGACACAAATAAGAGAACAGTAGAAAACAGGGCCTACTTGAGGGTGGAAGATGGGAGGTGAGTGAGGATAAAAAAACAAAACAAAACAAAAAAAAACTACCAATCAGGTACTATGCTTATTACCTGAGTGACAAAATAATCTGTATACTAAACCTCTGCAACACACAGTTTGCCCATGTAACAAACCTCAACATGTACCTCTTGAACCTAAAATAAAAGCAGAAATAAAAAAAAGAAAGAATTAGTGCCTTCTAATTCCCCATAAAGAAATGCATATTTGAAACTATAGGTATGCAACTACATATATGTATATTTCTAAAAAAGATTCATACATTACATTTGCTTTTTATTTTAACTTAATTTTAATGTCATTTTAATTTTTCAATGATCATTTTTCAATGTCAAGAAATACTCTTCTGGAAATCCTCACTAGAGCAATCAGACAAGAGAAAGAAATAAAGGGTATCCAAATTAGAAAGGAAAAAGTCAAATTATCCTTGTTTGCATATGATATAATCTCATATTTAGAAAAACCTAAAGACTCAACCAAAAACTATTAGAACTAATAAATTCAGTGAAGATGCTGGATACAGAATACATATACAAAAATCAGTATCTTTTTCTATATGCCAACAGCAAACAATTTGAAAAAAAAAGAAAGTAATTATATTTACAATAGCTACTAATAAAGTAAAATATCTAGAAATTAACCAATAAGTGAAAAACCTCTACAATAAAAACTATTAAAAAATTGATACAAAAAATTGAGAAGAACACCAAAAAATGAAAAGATGTTCCATGTTCATGGATTGGAAGAATCAAAATTGTTAAAATGTCCATACTACCCAAAACGATCTACAGACTCAATGCAATCCCAATCAAAATATCAATGACATTCTTCACTGAAATAAAAAAAATCCTAAAATTTATATGGAATCACAAAAGACCCAGAATAGCCACAGCTATCCTAAGCAAAAAGAACAAAGCTAGAGAAATTGCATTAGCTGAGTTCAAATCATATTACAGAGCTATAGTAACCAAAACAGAAGGATATGGGCATAAAAACACATAGACCAATGGAACAGAATAGAGATCCCAGAAATAAACCCATACATCTACAGAGAACTCATTTTCAACAAAGGTTCCAAGAATGCACATTGGGGAAGGACAGTCTCTTCAATAAATGGTGATGGGAAAACTGGTTATCCATAAGCAGAAGAATGAAACTAGATCCTTATCTCTAGCCATATACAAAAATCAAATTAAAACGGATAAAGACTTAACTCAAAGACCTCAATCTATGAAACTACTACAAGAAAACATTGGGGAAACTCTTTAAGACATTGGACCATGAAGAAAAGATAAATACTTGAGATGACTGTGCTAGGCTGTTCTTGCATTGCTATAAAGAAATACCTGAGACTGAGTAATTTATAAGAAAAGAGATTTGAACAGACACTTCTCAAAAGAAGACATTTATGCAGCCAAAAAGCACATGAAAAAATGCTCACCATCACTGGCCATCAGAGAAATGCAAATCAAAACCACGATGAGATACCATCTCACACCAGTTAGAATGGCAATCATTAAAAAGTCAGGAAACAACAGGTGCTGGAGAGGATGTGGAGAAATACGAACACTTTTACACTGTTGGTGGGACTGTAAACTAGTTCAACCATTGTGGAAGTCAGTGTGCCGATTCCTCAGGGATCTAGAACTAGAAATACCATTTGACCCAGCCATCCCATTACTGGGTATATACCCAAAGGACTATAAATCATGCTGCTATAAAGACACATGCACACGTATGTTTATTGCAGCATTATTCACAATAGCAAAGACTTGGAACCAACCCAAATGCCCAACAATGATAGACTGGATTAAGAAAATGTGGCACATATACACCATGGAATACTATGCAGCCATAAAAAATGATGAGTTCATGTCCTTTGTAGGGACATGGATGAAATTGGAAATCATCATTCTCAGTAAACTATCGCAAGAACAAAAAACCAAACACCGCATATTCTCACTCATAGGTGGGAATTGAACAATGAGAACACATGGACACAGGAAGGGGAACATCACACTCTGGGGACTGTTGTGGGGTGGGGGGAGGGGGGAGGGATAGCATTGGGAGATATACCTAATGCTAGATGACGAGTTAGTGGGTGCAGCGCACCAGCATGGCACATGTATACATATGTAACTAACCTGCACATTGTGCACATGTACCCTAAAACTTAAAGTAAAATAATAATAATAAATAATAAATAAATAAATAAAAATAAAAGATTTAATTGGCTTAGGGTTCTGCAGGCTGTTTGCTCAGGAAGCATAACGGTATCTGCTTCGGGGGAGGCTTCCAATCATGGAGGAAGGCACAGAGGGAGCAGGCAAAGATTTTTCGAGTAGTAGTCCACAAGCACAGACAACCAAAGCAAAAATGCACAAATGGGAGTTTAAAAGCAAGTTAAAAAGCTTCTGCACAGCAAAAGAAACAATCAACAAAGTAAAGAGACAACCTATAGAATAGGTAAAAGTATTTGGAAACTATCCATCTGACAGAAGATTAATAACCAGAATATATAAGGAGCTCAAACAACTCAATAGGAAAAAAATAATAATTTAATAAAAATTGGCAAAAGATTTAAAGAGACATTTCTCAAAAAAGGACATGCAAATGGAAAACAGGTATATGAAGAGGTACTCAATATCATTGACCATCACAGAAATGCAAATCAAAATTACAATGGGATATCGTCTCACCCCAGTTAAAATGGCTTTCACCTAAAGGACAGGCAATAACAAATGCTGGTGAGGACATGGAGAAAAGGGAACCCTCATACACTGTTGGTGAGAATGTAAATCAGTACAACCCTTGTACACCGTTAGTTGGAAGATAAATTAGTGCAACCACTATGGAGAACGGTTTGGAGAATTTTTGAAAAACTAAAAATAGAAGTAACATATATTTCAGCAACCCCACTGCTAGATATATACCAAAAAGAAAGGAAATCATTATATCAAAGATATATCTGGACTCCCATGTTTATTGCAACACTATTCACCATATCCAAGATTTGGAAGCAACCTAAGTGTCTATCAACAGATGAATGGATAAAGAAAATATGGTACATATACACAGTAGAGTACTAGTCAACTATAAAAAAGAGTAAAATCCTGTTATTTGCAACAGCATGGATGGAACTGGAAGTCATTACGTTAAGTGAAATCAGCCAGGCACAGAAAGAGACAAACTTTGTATGTTCTCATTTATTTGTGGGAGCTAGAAAATTAAATTTGCTAAAAATTGAACAAATGGAGATAGAGAGTATAATAATGGTTACCAGAGACTGGCAAGGTTAGTGGGTAGAGAAGTGGGGATGCTTAATGAGTATAAAAACATAATTAGATATAACGACTAAGATCTAGTATGATCTTAGTGTGCGATAGCACAACAGGGTAACTACAGTCAACAATAAGTTGTACATTTTAAAGTAACTAAAAGAGTACATTTGGAATGTTTGTAACACAAAACATATAAATGCTTGAGATGATTGTGCTAGGCTGTTCTGGCTTTGCTATAAAGAAATGCCTGAGACTGAGTAATTTATAAAAAAAGAGGTTTAACTGGCTCATGGTTCTGCAAGCTATACGTACAGGAAGCATAACAGCATCTGCTTCCTGGAGGAAGGCACAGAGGAGCAGGCATATCACCTGGCAAAAGCAGGAGCAAGAGAGAGTGAGTGGGTTGGGGGAGGTGCCACACACTTTTAAACGACTAGATCTTGTGTGAACTCAGAGCAAGAGCACACTTGTCACCAAGGGGATGGCCCAAGCCACTCATGGGGGATCCACCCCCATGATCCCAATATCTCCCACCAGGCTCCACTTCTAACATTGGGAATTACATTTCAACATGAGATTTGGGCAGACAAATATCCCAACTATATTACTGATGGATACCTTATTTGCCCTGGAGTGATTGTTATGCATTTTATGCCTGAATCAAAATATTTCGTGTTCCCTATAAATATATGCACCTACTATGTACCCACAAAAATTTAAAATAAAAATAAATAAGTAAATAGTTTTCTATAATTTCATTTGTAGTTGCTTATTTGTATTTTATTATATTGATGTTACATGATTTAATTAGTCCTCAATTGCAGGATGCTTCAATTTTATACTGTTAAAGTGTTGTAGTGGTCATTTGTCACCTCACTTACCCCCTAACTTTTTTTTTTGTCTGCCCAGCTTCATTGTCGAGTCCCCATAAAACCTTAATTTTCAACAAAGGAGGCAGTTCTTTCTCACTGTTTTAAGTATTAGCAGAGAAGAATTCTGGGTGATCACCTGCTACTACAGAAGCCAGTGGAAATAAATTCTCTCTCCTCATTACTGTACATCCTGGTGTTAGCATGTGACCTAAATTTGGCCAGTTGGAGGCCCTCTCCTGGGACTTAGAACCTTGAGCTTTGAATCAAGTACGGGGGGGAAATGTTAGAGGTTGTTCATCCCAACAGGGATGGAGTTCTGAGGGCATCCTAACCAGCTCTGCTGGCTACAAGCCTGTAACTGTGCTTCTTGCCTCTTCCTCCTTGATAACTTGAGTCCCACTGAATCTGTTTCCCATTCTTCTGGAGACTTCCTGGGAGCCTCTTAACAAATACATTTTTGTAAGAGTTAGTCAGTCTGGTTCCATAGCATTAATCAGGAATTTCAATGTAATGAAAGTCTATAATAAAAACTCCAAAGATCTCTTTTGCACTTATCCACTATTATTTCTTTAGTAAAAATCTTACAAATGCTAAGCCAAACATATGCAAAATTTTAGTTGAAAAGCAAATATTGTGTCGAACTACCTTCTCAAAATACAATATAGGGATTTAAAATGTTAGCAGATTTCTGACTGTATAACCTTTTGGAATTAATCTCTCAGCCTCAGTTTATTCATTTTACTACGGGATTAATCACAGCAACAATTTAGCAGGGCCATTGTGAGGGAAAAATAAGAGAGTATATACAAAGTTTAGCACATAATAAACTGTGAGTAAGTGTTAGATTTCATTTTTATTAGAAAGAAAGTAGAAATTATATGCCCACTGGCAGTGTCTAGATGTACTCTTTCACTCCTCTGCTTTCCTTTGGCTGTCTCTTGTCCCCCTTCATCCATTCATACATGCCTGGTCTGTGACTTAAATTCTTGGCAGGGGTATTTTGCATAATTCTTGGTTCTGTCTAGGCTTTTCATTTTATACAGTCATAGGTTATACAAAAGGCAAACTAAATTTAGAAATTCCCTAAAAATAGGATTATCAGATATTTTCCCCAAACTTCTAAGAAAAATACATTTGATATATTAAGAAAACACTGCTGTAGTTGTTATTTAACTTTTAGTTATCTTAAACTTTGTCAAACTTCCTTACAATTTCTTTATAATTTACTATTTTTTATTTAATTAACATATGAGGAGATATGATATTGCAAACTTTTCAGTGCTTAGGGCTTCTAAATAAAGATCTTAAGCCAGCCCTCATTCTATAAAATGGTGCAAAATAAACTTAGACAAAGTGGGTAGAGGCTGGGAATAGTGGCTCACACCTATAATGTCAGAACTTTGGAAGGATGAGGCAGGTGAATCCCTTGAGTCCAGGAGTTTGAGACCAACCTGGGCAACATGGTGAAAGCCTGTCTCTATTATATTTTTTTAAAAAAATTTTAAAGAAAAAATTAAAATAAACATTTAAAAAGAGGGTAGAAGTTAGACACTAAGAAATAATCTTGGATACAGCATTTTAAGAAAATAAAAACAGAGCCCTGATTAAAGATATGAGAGAGGTAAGAGTTTCTTTATATGTTGTTGAAGAAGAAAGCAAATGTAAATGTTAAAATTGAAAAGTGAATTCAGTTAGATGGAGAAGGTAGGATTAATATTAGAAAAGCTTTGAGAATCTCATCTGCATTGTGTAACAGAGACACCTGCTGGTCACTGTATATTTCACTGTTCAAACACTCAAAATACATTTGCTCATTCACTTTTTACCTCCTACTCCCACAGACAGTCTCTAATCTCTTGAAAATTCACAGCATAAACATGACAGGAGATTCATACCAAAATGATAATAATTAAATCAACGGAGTGTAGTTATCACACTGAATCTGGAGAAAAACTTCTGCCAGCAAGACAACTTTGATAATGTCATTTTAATATATATTAAATCAAATCTGCTTTGTGTAATAAGCCACTAAAAGTCAGACTAAAGTCTATCAAACAACTCCTTAACCAGAAAAAAGAAACAGTTTTGTTTTCTGAAAGTACAGAATAATACGGTAATCAAAAAGATGAGGCTGGGTGTGGTAGCTCATGTCTGTAATCCTAGCACTCTGGGAGGCTGAGGCAGGCAGATCACTTGAGCCCAGGAGTTTGAGATCAGCCTGCGCAACATGGTGAAACCCCATCTCTACAAAAAAAATACAAAAAAAAAAAAAAAAAGAAAGAAAAGAAAAACTTAGCTGCGCCTGTTGAGAGGATGAGATGGGAGGATTACTTAAGCCCAGGAGGCAAAGGCTGCAGTGAGCCCAGATCGCGCCACTGCACTCCAGCCTGGGTGATAGAGCCAGCTCCTGTCTCAAAAAAAGAAATGAAAAGAAAAGCAATAAAAAAAAAAAACAGATGAAAAAAATTATAAAACAGATATATCTAAGATGCCAGATTAGGATATTTGTTTTAGAAAAGAAATGCAAATATTATCTAGAAACATTTAAAGTTTATCTTATAATAAGCCACTAATAAATATGGGTTTGTTTTCTCTTAATGTTATAAAATTATCAAGATTGATGGGGTGTGTCCATAGCAACCAGAATAGTACTTAAGAGGGATCAAACGTGAAGACTAATCGGGTGATTATGTAGGATAAGTTGGGTCTCCTATCCCTAAGAGAATCTTGACTTAGTGAGAATACAGCCCTTTTCCTTAAATAATTCAAGTTAATTAAGACATTATGGATAATATACTTTTGGCAAGAAAAATATAATTTGGGTTTTATTTAGCACCCTCCAATTTCATATTTTGAAAACAAAGATTTTAAAAATATTCCAGGGACCAATAATCACAATCAGAATCTAAAATGGCATGTAGTGTAAATTAACTTAGTAAGTTAAATATTGTACATGGCTAAATTCACAATGGGGGCAAATGTAAAAGGTGTTTACCAAATCAGTTAGCTCAGTAATTAACAGGTAGTTATTAACACTCTGTGCTCAATACTGTGCTTAGAATTATAAGAGATACAGAACTGTAAGATAATCTATTTTCAAGGCACCCACATTCTAATTGTATAGACCACTTTATTTCACATAAATAATAATGTATGAGAAAAGTCAGCACTTAGTTATGAACTACATAACATGAAGACCCAAAGTCATGTAAAAGTTTCTACATGACAGTTGGGATATCTAGAAACTAGTTAGGGAAATGTTCATGGTGGAAATTAGTACTGAAAGGGCATGTGAATCCCAGGCTGGACCTGAGTACATGGAAATCTCAGCGAAAGTTATTTCAGGAAAAGGGAAGAACACAAGCAATAGGAAAGAAGCAAAGCCTGGTGACAACTGGTTTCTGGGAAGAGAATATATCTCACTAAAGGCAGAGATTGGACTGAGGGAATAGCAAAAAATATTTCGCTAAAAAGAACGGGATCAGTGTAGGGAAATTCTTGAAAGCCTGGCAGAAGAGTTTAGATTTGATGCATCAGGACATTAAAAAGATGAGTTTTTATAAATTCAAAGAGAGAGATTTGATAAATCCACTATTTAAAAAAGATTAGTTTGGCAGCAGCCTTTAGCGTAAGTGGTCTAATATGGATTGGCTCCACTTGGGTAACTTTGCTAATAATATTCGGATTCAAACTTCAGCTACAAGGAAAATGGTTCATATATAATTTCATACATGCAATATGATAATTAAATTATATACTTGGTGTCTACGCCAACAATAAATGAGAAAGAAAGCTAAGCAATACATTTAATTTCTATGGATAACCAACAAAGTAATGAGACCCCATACCTACCCATCTACCTCTTTTGCTCCACTCCCTGATCAAAGGAAAAATATTGCTCAAGGCAAATGAATGGTTATTGTCTCTTTTTATTATCTAATCCTGCTTAGGAAAAGGTGAAGAATTTGTCCTGAATTACACAAGAATCTAAAGTAGACACTAATAATGATAAGAGTTATAATGATAACTATGCTACTATTAATGAGTGCCTATTAGTTGCTAAGCATAAAAAAGGTTTTCTCTTATGTCATTCTTGCAACAGCCCTGCAAAGAAGGGATTGTGATCCCAATTTTTGTAGCTGAGTTGCCTGAGGCTCACAAGACCTGGAGAATGTTCTCTCAGATTGTGTATTGGCATGTGAAGGCAGGTCTGTCTGGCTCCAAAGATTCTGCTTTTTGCATGATCCCACCTGGCCTATCTGGTGAGGACACCTGTCCCTGTTTCATTCTTAAGAAGCTAAATGTCAACATTGAAGGCCACTTCAAACTACATCCAAACGATTGCATGCCAAAATGTTAGTGGACTACTATGGTGAAAATGATAAGTATTGATAGAAAGATCTTGCTAGAAATTCAAATGGCAGAGTTTCAATTAATAATTTCAAAATTCATTCTCAGTATCCTAGAGTCATTATGAAGCCTGACATTGAATAATAGTTAACAACATGATAATCCTCCTGCTAGGTTTTTGTTTTATATTTGTTTGTTTTAATTACTTCTTTGTTTGAAGGATATAATTCAAGCTACTCTACATTCTGGCCTACTTTTTAAATGCTCTTGACATAAATAACTGACATAGAGATTTTACTAGGCTGCCTCTCTCATTTTGGCATGGCTTTTCACTACTATTGATTAGTATATCCTTATCTGGAAAACAAATCATCTCTGGTTTATAGCTTCTAAATAAGAGAGAAAGAAAGTTAAGGGCTGTTCACTATTTAGCTGTAAAGTTCTTTCCAGTTCTGCAATAATGTACAGTAGAGAGGAAATGACAGAAGTTAAGGTGTTCAGTCACTTTCACCTACCCTAACTCACAAGTAAAAATTGTCATTTCTGAGGTCAACAGTTAATTCAAAATATGATATTTTTGGCTCAGAGTTTTAAGTTTACAACATAAGAAATCTGGAGAACTTCTAGAATTGTATATTACATATGCAAAGCTCCCTCTCACTAGGGAAAAAAAAAGAGCTTCCATGAAACATTGTTTTTATTGCATGCTGGGCTACTGAGAATTTCAGGCAAACCTGTAAGGGACAAAAAATAAAATAAGTTTGCTAAAACTCAAAAAGAAAAAACAAAAGAATCTCCAAGAGACAGTGATGCCTTTGGAGCAAATGCCAAGATCATCACTCCAAATCCTGGGCCAGTAATGAAACAGCGAAGATAAACTCGAAAATCACAGATGTAGCCAGGGGCCTACGACAGGCTTAATATAAAGCCAGGTTGGTTGCTCAGAATCAAGTTGAATCATCTTAAAAATTTTTTTCTAAAACTGACATAAATAATAAAAGGAAGAAAAATAGTCAACACACTCATGAAGAAGAGAGAAAAAGTGAAGATCTTTGTCCTGATTAACAGCATAAACTATTATAAAAATATAATAATTAAAACAGTATTAGATCAATTGGCCAGTAAAACAAAATAGAGAGCTCAAAAACAGACTTGTGAGTATTAAAATTTAATATGTGATAGAGATAGCCATGCAAAACATTGCAGAAATTAGACTATTCACTAATAGTGTTGGCTCATAGTTATAAATATGGGGGAAAAATAGGATCCTTACAGCACACTACATGCACAAATCAGTTCCAGGTTGATTAAAGGCCCAAATATGAAAGTTAAAAAAGATAAAATAGAAGAATGTATTAATGACTCAGGGTAGGTTAGGAGATTTTAAATGATACAAAAGGTACTAATCATAAAATTGACCACATTATATAATTAAAAACTTATGTCATTTAAAGATATTACAAAGATATTTAAAAATAAGCCATAGAGACATTTGCAACATGTATAACTTGTAAAACATTAGTAACCAAAATATATAAAGAATTCCTAAAATTGGAAAGAAAAAAATTAGAAAAATGAGAAAATTTACATGAACAAGCATTTATAGAAAATAAAAAATGGAGAGTAAACTTATGAAAAATTATTTAATTTCATTAACAATTAGAAAAATGCAAATAAATATCACAAACAGATGTCATTTTACTTTCATCAGACTAGAAAATATTGACCAGCATGATAAATGCTAAGTGTTGGCAAGTATGTAGCTCAATTAAAAGTCTATGTGGCTATTGTGAATAGTGCCAATATAAAACATGGGGGTGCAGGTATTCTTTTGATGACTGATTTCCTGTCTGCTGGATAAGTACCCACTAGTGGAATTGCTGGAGCATACAATAGTTCTTTTTTTAGTTTTTTGAGAATCTTTCATACTGTTTTCCATAATGGTTATACTAATTTATATTTCCACCAACAGTGTATAAAAGTTCCACCTTCTCCTCATCTTCACCAGCACTTGTCATTTTTTGTCTTTCTAATAACGGCCATTTTACCAGAGGTGAGATGATATCTCATTGTCTTTTATTTGCATTTCCCTGATGATTAGTGATGTTGAGTATTTTTTCATATACCTGTTGTCATTTGTATGTCTTCTTTTAAGAAATGTCTATTAAGATCCTTTGCCCACTTTTTGATGGGATTATTTGTTTTTTTGTCATTGAGCTGTTTGAGTTACTTACATATTCTGGATATTAGTACATTGTTCAATGAATAATTTGCAAATAGTTTCCCAATTGTACAGGATGAATGGAATACTATTCAGCCATAAAAAATAAAATCCTATTTGCAGCAACATCAATGGAACTGGAGGTCGTTATGTTATGTGAAATAAACCAGGCACAGAAAGACACATATCACTGTTAGCACTCATCTGTGGGAGCTACCTCTTATGGAGGTAGAGAGTAGAATGATGGTTACTAGAGGCTGGGAAGGGAATGGGGATGAAGAGAGGTTGGTTAATGGGTACAAACATGGGATAGAAGGAATAAATTCTAGTGTTTGATAGCACAGTTGACTGACTACAATTAATAGTAATCTAATGTGTATTTCAAAATAGCTAGAGGGGAAGATTTGAAATGTTCCGAACATAAAGAAATGATAAATGGTTGAGGTGATGGATAGCCTAGAAACCCTGGTTTGATCATCAAACATTGCACGCATCAAAATATCACAAGTACTCCATAAACATTTACAATTATTATGTATCAATAAAAAGTCTACATGGCATTGGTGGAAGTATAAATTTCATAAAAAGAACTTTGGAAAACAATTTGGTACCATTTTGTAAAGTTGGACATCAGTTCTCCTATTTCTAAGCCGTAGAGAAATGCTTGCACAATTACATCACGAGAAATATAGAAGAATATCCACAGTAGCATTCTTCATAATAGCAAAACACTAAAAGCAATTGAAATGTCCATAAACAAGATAATGGAAAAATACATTTGAGATTTTTCACATAATGGACTATAATAGACTAATGAAAATTAAAGACATATAGCTACAAAAAACAACTTGCAATGTAAATATTGAGAGAAAAAGTCACAGAAATCTATAAAGTGTGGATACCTTGCCACTTTGTCAATATAACTAATTTGGAATTACATGGCCCAGAAGTGCTTTCTCAGCGTGATTTCGAAATAACATTACTACAAAAGAAATTTGTCTAAGATTTAGAAGGTGAAAATTTTAAGTCTCAGAAGGTTGGTAACATTCATGTGCAGTTGCAGCTCACACACGTTGTCACTGATCTTGGCAGAGGACAGCAGCCCGCCCTGCAGCTTCCCCAAATCCCTCCAGATCTCTTCCTTCACCTTCCCTGATTCTGGCCAGGTGTGGCTCAGCTCTGTGGTGAAGAGAATCATCTTCTCTGTCAAGTTACCTACATCATCAAGATTGGAGGTCATGAGAGACAGGTGTGTCTCCTTGGTCTCTCCACCTTTACTCCAGCTTTAACTCCAGACTCAGGGACAGCTGGCTGTGAGCTGAGACAGGCAAAAACAAACAAACAAAAAGACTACATATACTGGCTAATCAGTTCCATAACTGCCTACATTCTAGTCCCTTGGTCTATATCACTCACATACTTTCTGCTTTTCTGAGCAATCCCTAACTGTATGATGCCAGTGTGGGGCCTTTTAGATAACTCAAAACTAAAAGTAAATAATGAATTGTTTAGGAATGCATCATATATGATAAAACTTTTTTAATAAAGAAAATGGTAGACATAAAATTCGCCTCTGAGAGGGAGGCAGGAATAGAAAAGGATAGAAAAGAAACACATTGGTAGGCTCAGTGGTATTCAGAATTGTGTTGACAGACTTCTCAATATGGGAGGAGGGATTCACTAGTGTTCATTTTATTATTTTGCTTCACAACTTAAATATATATTATATATTATGTTTTATTCTTTTTATTATTTATACATTTATAATTTTGTATGTATAAAACATAAGAAGGGCATGAAAACAAAATTGAGTTAAGAAATCAGTAATTCAACAGGAAAAGAAGGTAGTGTCCAGAGCAGAAGTTGAACCAATTTTCTGAATCACCCCTAGAGAAAAAAGATCTTCAAGGACAGCAGAGTTTGAAAATGTGAGCAGGCCCAGAAGCAAACCACAGAGTAATTAGAATAATTTAGGAGTGGAGCATGCTCTTATAGTACCCTGGGTGCAAAACAGCTTCTCTGTCCTATGTGCTAGTAAGTGATACACAGAAATAATGGTAGAAAAAGGAAGGACAGACATAGAAGGATTTTATTACATAAGAATAATACTAAGAAACTGGAAATAACCCTAGTCTCCAATAAGAGATATTGTTTAAACAAATTACAGTACATTAGTGTAATGGGAAATTATGTAGGTATTAGACTGAAACAGGATTATGTACAACTATATGGAAAGATATCCATGACATATTGTTAAGGGAGGTGAGCAAATTATAGAATATATACAATATTAACAAATTTCTGTTAATAAAAATGCATAGCTATGTTATATATGTCTATGCAGGAAAAAAAAGTCAAAACACCACATGGGGAAGTTGGGTTGTTTGAAAGGAGTTGTTTTCTAACTTTACACACTGCTGTGTTTACATTGTTTACAATGAGCTATATAAAGAAAATGTTTTTAGCTGGCCTAAAATTCAAGGGAAAAAATCACTTTACAAAAAAGAGAAACCTAGGCCTCATATATTTCACCTAGTCCTCTGAGCTCATCATCTTCGTAAATAAAATAAGTCATTGCTAACATTTGAAATTCTTAAAGTAGATGGCACTGAAATAAGCTTATGCCTATCCCTAGAATCTGGCAAAAGAATTTTTTTAGGAAAAGAGAAAACGAATTTTACTAAAAATAGATTTAAAAGGTTAACATTAGCTGTAGACTGCATTACAAGTATTATTTTCTTTATTAAAATTTTGGCCCATTACCAATTAAATCTCTCTCTCTTTACAGGAAAAAAAAAAAAAGATGGAAGGACTTCCCTTTAATACATGAGAGTAAAGGTGTATACACAAAAACATAAAATCATACACAAAAGCCCCCTTTCCACCAATGTAAATCTTTTCTTTGAAGCAGTTATCATACTTAAAATCACATCATTATTTTGGCAACTAGTTGTTAAAGGTCTGGGCTCCTCTGATTGGGCTATAAGCTCCCTGAGCTCAGGAATCCTATCGTTCTGGTTCCTTACTGTATTCACAGTGCCTAAGAAATGGTAGTTGTACAACTATTTGTGGAGGAAAGGAAGGCAGGAAAAGGAAGAGGGAGAAAGGAGGGAGGAATGAAATTACATTTTCAAAGAAAGAAAGGAATATCCAAGGCCATATCTGCTAAAGAGATGTTATCAGTGTCATGTTATCAATGTTTACATGTAAGAGTCATGTAATCAATGTCACACAACTGACCCTGGAACTCTTTTCTAATAGCTCACTCAGAATTCTTTCTGCTGTACTAGGCAACAGATCCTATTCTGTTTCAAGTTCGTGGGTTTCCTCCCAATTTGAATCAAAAGAATATTGCTGTATATAGTATAGTTAATTTGATCTAAATTTAGGCAAGCACTTCAACACCTATTACCAAAATGTCAGATATGTTACTGTAAAAACATTTGAATCAGATCATTTGATTAGGACAAAAAGACGTGAACATCTTGACATAATTTCCCTTCTTTCCTTTGTCTCCAACCTGTATGGAGGTGAGTCTAGAAAACTCTTTTATTTTGTGATGTTATTGAATTTCATCATATCAGGCAAAAATGTAAGGCCATAGCATTGTGTTCAGAAAAACTAAGTAAGTTCTTTGAAAATACCATTTTTATTAAGGCTTTCTTTGTTGAAAAGAGAAAACCACCTGAAAGCTGATACATTTCCATATTCTATAATCCATTGTAATTCTGTACTAGTCCAGCTTTGAAAAATAATTTTAGCCATTGGAATAGTATTTATTTATATATTCTAAAGTCATATCCAAAATCTAAAGATCTTGCTGAGGCTAAATATTGTTTTGGTGGAGTGAGAAACAATGAAGATGAAAAGAGAATTAGACTACTGAAGTCTCATATTTAAGACATAATTAAGTCTAGGAAACCAAAGCTGAGTTTAGGCTTATTCTCCGAATTCTAGAGTTGCTAGAAAGAAAACTTAAAGGGTATCATTTGCATTGGAAATAGTGCATAATATATACTTTGGAGACCAAAAAAAAAAAAAATGAAAATCATACAAGAACACACATCTGCATTATCATAAACTTGTTCTTTTTAGGGATGGGATTCACTCCTTAATTCAACAGATATTATGTGTCAGAGAGTTTTTCAGGGAGTTAGTATTATATATAAGTCACAATGTAAATCACACCCAGAAGGCAACTGAAAGATAACATATTAAATAATTCCATCTTTATTTAAAAATTAAAAGAGTATATTATAGTGCTTCAGAATTGCTATGGACTGAATTGTATCCCACAGAATTTATATGTCGAAGCCCAAACCTTCGATGTGAAATGTGACTGTATCTGGCGATAAAGGCTCTAGGAGGTAATTAAGGTTAAATGAGGTCATAAAAATGAGGTACTAATACCACAAGACTGTGACCTTATAAAAAGTGTAAGATCTCTGTCTCTCTCTCTCTCTAATATAAACACACACAGAGACACACACACAAACACACACTTTGCTCTCTCTCTCTCTCCCTCTCCCCCTCTGTATCAAGTCATCAATGACAAGGAAAGCAGCCATTTGTGAGCCAGGAAGAGAATCCTCAAAAAAAAAAAAAAAAACACATTTGGCCAACACCTTGATCTCTGACCCACCAGCCACCAAAACTGTGAGAAAATAAGTTTCAGTTTTTGAAGCCAACAGTCCATTGTATTTTGTTATGGAGGCCCAAGCTGACTAAGACAAGAACATAGATTGTTTTTTTAATAAGACGGATCTAATTTTAAATTCTTCCCTAGCTAACCCTCTAAATCTCAGTTTTCTGTTTGTAGAAAGTTATGAACCCACCTCCAAACTCTGCTTTCAGAAAGAAAGCTTATAATACATACAAATCAGTTATTATGGAATTAAATAAATGGTAACTATTATTATTTTATGTTTTATTCATTATTTAAACTGTTTAGCAAATCAAAGACTTTATAACTTAAAAAGAACTTAAATAATACATGTTTAAATGCTAATTAATTATTAATAATCACCTGTCCAGAAAGACGTGATTTGTCTTTTATGAGTCTAATCATTTGTCTTGATCTTCAACTTCAAGGTAGTGTGACCTTTGAATGGCTAGCAGCATGTCAGAAGGCACAAATGGCCATTAAGCAAGAAAAAAGATTGTAAAATTATTCTATTGTTGTTGAATACACTCTTTATGCAGCTTTTAGTGAAAACATTTTAAAGATATAGTGTTATTGTTTGCATAAATTTGAATGGTGCTATTAGTTTGAGTAAACATTGCCCTCAGTTACGGTATTTGATACAATATAAGCAATCAGTATAAACTCTCAGAAGGAATGGATAAATCCAGTCATTTTAGCAATAGTAGAAATATTTATGATTAGCTGCCCTAGTACACATTTACTCAATCACTCATTCAACAACATATAATTTCCATGTATCATATATAATCAGAAACATGTATCTCCATGGCATGCTGTGGAAATACTAAAAGGAGCTAGATACGGTCTTAGTCCTTAAGCAGCTGGATCCCCAAGGCTTAGTGAAGAATTTTATCTACATACTTTCATATACACTCTTTATTTACTCTTTTCATTTATGCATTCATTTAATATATTTAAGCATCCACAAGGTATTTAGCACTGTTGTAGGAAGTGAATATACAGCAAAGACCAAGACGACAAAGCTCCGTCTTCCATGATGCCCCATTTCAGAGTCTGTGTTGTACTTCCCTGTTTACTTCTTTTTCTTCCCTGTGTCTTGGGCACATCCACCACCTACCAAAGATTTTTGCACACAGAAACAAATAGTGTAATTAGACAGAAGTAGGAATAGTATGAGTGCCATACTCTTGCATCCAATCTCATGGCAGACATTGTTAATTAATTGTGGCTCTCATTCCCCAAAAGTATGAATATGATCTTAAAATCCTTTTTA
Organism: Homo sapiens; assembly: GCF_000001405.40. Classification (NCBI taxonomy): domain Eukaryota; kingdom Metazoa; phylum Chordata; class Mammalia; order Primates; family Hominidae; genus Homo; species Homo sapiens. The sequence continues at coordinate 14,393,161 of NC_000021.9, read as the reverse complement.
TCAGTATTTGTACCAGTCAGGACCAATAAAAGGTAATAAACTCATTAAAATTTTGGTCTATTTTAACCACTGAGTGGAATGAAGAAGGCAGGGTACAAGTTACAACTCCCACTTCAACAAATAGAAAAAAATGCATACATCCCAAAGTCAAGTTTGTAAGACATCGAAGTAGGGAGGATGCAAAGAGGACTAAATGAACTGTTTCCAGAGATGGAATATTTCTTGGGAAAGATGAGACCAACAGTTTTCTTCATGGCAGCATTTGCCAAATCTGTGCACATAGTAAAGATTAAGCTTGATTTAAGCAAAGAACTCCTCTAGGAGAAACAGAAACCCTCAGAGCTTTCGGTGGACACTGGCAGGGGAATCTAAAGGAGCCCCAGACATGAGTGCTAAGGTGGTGCAAAGCAGAGAAGGAACTCCTGTTTCTTGAAATGCTTAAAAGATAAAGTCCCTCTAGAGGGAGGGGTCTGCAACAAACACAGGGCATGTCTGTACTTTAGAGAAGGACTAACTTTTTACTTGCGGTGGAATCCAACCCCTATGTGGCTAAATTCCCAGTTGTACTGAGATGATTCGTTCTCAGTCTACCTGCATAAGAGAAAAGGGAAAATCTTGTTTGAGAGGAAAGTAACATCAACCTCTCTCTCTCTATAGTTCTAACATGTATAGAAACGAGGCATCTGAATAAACTGGAAAACGTAACGAAAGAAAATGAAAAAAAATTAGATGATATAAGGACACTTCCTCTTCTCCCTAGCTATGGATATCATTGGACTAAACAGATAAAAGCTTTAAAATAACTAACGAATAAATTTAAATAAAAGAGAATAAACGATGAGCGGAATGAAAGAAAAGACAATTTTAACATACAATTAGAATCAATATAAAAATCAAATGAAACATTCTAGAACTGAAAAATATAAAATACATGAATTAAAAACTCTAGAATGTGTTTAATAGCTGACTAGACACAGTAAAGAAATTATTAGTGTACATAAAGACAGAAAAAAATTCAACTTGAAGACAGAAAAGAAATGGAAAGAAAAGAACTAAGTATTAACAAATATAGGGCAAAAATTAATATAGTACATGGGCAAATACATGCGCAATTGAAATCTCAGAAAAAGAGAAAAGGGACAGAGACAATATTTGAAGAGCTATGGATGAGAATTTTTCCAAATCTGATGAAGGCAACAACCAGAGATCCAAGAATCCCAGTCAGCCTCAAGAGAGACACATGCAAATTAACCATATTTGGCAAAACGTATTTAAACTTCTCAAAAAAAAAAAAGGGGGGGGAGAAACAGATTTTTAAACCAGGCATAGAAAAAAGGCACATCTTCTTCAAAAAGCAAGAATGAGATTTATGGATAATTTTACCAGACAAAAGCAATGGAATGGCATCTTTAAAGTGATAAAAGAAAAAGAGGGAAGAAATTAAAACTGCCAACGCAAATTCTGTATCTAAAGAAAATATTTTTCAAAAGTGAAGATGATATAAAGATATTTTAGCCCCTCCTCAAAAAATGTTGTTGCCAACAAACCAGCACTACAAAAAATATTAATGAAATTTTTCAAGCTGACGGAAAATGGTCAAAAATGAAAACATGAAAGAAATGTTAAATATGTTAAATATGTTTAACATTTAATATTTAACTAGAAATAAAATATAACATTTAATATTTAACTAGAAAAGTTAAATATGTGAGAAAATTTGGAAAATATTGATGCCTTTAAAACAATAGTTGGCCGGGTCCGGTGGCTCAAGCCTGTAATCCCAGCACTTTGGGAGGCCGAGGCGGGCGGATCACAAGGTCAGGAGATCGAGACCATCCTGGCTAACACCATGAAACCTCATCTCTACCAAAAATACAAAAAATTAGCTGGGCGTGGTGGTGGGCACCTGTAGTCCCAGCTACTCGGGAGGCTGAGGCAGGAGAATGGCGTGAACCCGGGGGGCGGAGCCACTGCACTCCAGTCTGGGCGACAGAGCGAGACTCCGTCTCAAAAAAAACGAAGCAAACAAACAAACAAAAAAATAGTAATAATTATTACTTGTAGGGTGTATAACGTAGTACATATACAACATATAACAATAAATATTCAAGGTAGGGAGTGATAAGTAAAAGTGCTGTGAGAGTTTTGCATCCTTCAAGACATGATAAAAGGACTAAATGTAATAAGTCAAAGATATATGTTAAAATCACTACGATAACCACTAAACAATGAAAGAAAAAGATTTTTAACTGAAAAAATAAAAGATATAAAATGGAATAAAAAATACTGAGTGATCTCAAAGACAGCAGGAAAGAAGTAAAAAAAATGATACTTTTTAAATAAAGGAAGATGATAGACTTAAATCCATGCATTGATCTATATCCATAGCTATAGTTAATGTAAATTGACTAAAGACTATAAATAAAAGACATATTATCCTACTGCAAAAACATAAGCCCAACTATATACTATTTACAAGAGACACTATTTAAAAAAAAATCTGTATAAATGTAAGGGGTACAAGTGTAACTTCGTTACATCGATATATATTGCATAGTGGTAAAGTCTAGGCTTTTAGTGTAACCATCATTCAATATCGTACATTGTACCCATTAAGTGATTTCTCATCGCTCACATACCCCACCCTCTCACCCTTTCGAGTTCCCAGTGTCTATTATTCCATACTCTATGTGTATGTGTACACATCATTTAGCTTCCATACAATAAACATGTTAAATATAAGGAGATAAACGGGTGAAGAGATATAGGATAGGGAAAATGTACTTAGGATATACTAACAAAAGAAAGCTGGAGTTACTCTATTAATATCAGACAAATCAGGACTGGAACAAGGGCAAGGAAAGCAAGTGCAACTGCCATAAGAGTGAATGCCTCTTACAGGATGAGGCATTTGGGCACAAAATTTAAGGGGGAGCTTACTCTCAGGGTCCTACAACTGCAGAGTCGGTATCAGAGAGTAGGCATCACCTTAAATTTTGCTGTGTAGTTCTGTTCTGATCCTGGGACAAAGTAGTCTCTAAAACAAAATGTATTATTAAATATAAAAAGGAATATTTCATGCTAATAAAATAATTATAATCTTAAATTTGTATTTGCCTAAAAACAGAGCACACACACACACACACACACACACACACACACACATCAATTGGGAAAATCCACAATCATAGATGGATGTTTTAACCTACAACTCTCAATGACAGATAAAGCATTTAGAACAATAATAAGAACAAAACTAGGATACAGAAGCCGTAAAATACATCTAAATGATAGTTCCAAAATACTACACCCAGAAATGGCAGAACACACATTTTTCACATAGATATGGAATATTCACCAAAACAGAATATATTCTAGACAATAAAACAAGTGTGAATATATTTCAAAGGATTAAAATCATACAGAATATGTTGTCCAACCACAGTATAATTATACTAGAAATCATAACAAAAAGGTAATTAGAAAATCACCAAATGTTTGGAAATTGGGAAGCACACTTCTAAATAACCAATGGTTCAAAGATGAAAAGATAATAGAAATAAGAAAATATAGTAAAGACAGTAATAAGTTAAAGCTTAAATTAAATTAAAGTGGACATAAAATGTTTATGCTATTAGCACATATTGTTTAGGCTATCCACTCGAAGTAGTATTAATGTGTAATTAATTAATATGTGCTCCAAACCTTGATTGATTTTACTTAACAACACGGTTTAGAAACACTTTTTAGAAATACAACAATACAAATGAATTTCATTTTTTGTTATAACTCCACTGTTTGACAGAGCCATAAATGGTTGATTAGGTCATTTCCAATTATTTTTTGGGAAAGAGTCCTGCCATGAGCAATTAAGATGTGTACTTTCATAAGAATATTTATAAATTCCTAGCAGTAGAATACTTAGAATTTCTGGTGTTCTTCTTCACAGTTTTCAGGTATAGAAAATTTTATTTTTCAAAATAACTTTATTTAAGTATAATTTACATAAAATAAAATTCATCCATTTTAACTGTGCAATCTAATGAGTTTGACAGAGATATATTTATATACATAAGTATTTACACAAGGAGATATCTATGTAGAGAAATATAGATCTATATCCATGTGACCACTACCACAGTTAAGATGTGGAACATTTGCATCATTGTAAAAACTTCCCTGGTGCCTCTTCCCAGTCAATCACCTCCTTGCATCTCAGCTATTACTGCCCTGCTTTCTTTCACTGTGTATTAGGTATTTCTTTTCTAGAATTTCCTATACATTTAATCACAGAGTAGAAATTCTTCTGTGCCTGGGTTCTTCTGCTTAGCTCATCATAATGTTATTGTATTCATCAATGATTCCTTTCTGTTGCTGAGTAGTATTCTGTTATATGGATATACCATAATTGGCATCTCCATTTACCTGCTGAATTTGTATTGCTTCTGTTTGGAGGCCATTAGGAACACAGATTCCCAAATCATTCATGTATAAGTCACTGTGTGGACACATTTTAATACTTCTTATGCACAATTGTACAGTAAAACTATTCGCTCAACTGTTAATGGATCTATGATTTAGTTTGTGGCTACTGCAAGAAAAACTGCTACATACATCCTTGCACAATTTTTTTTGATATGGTTTTATTTTTGTTGGTTAAATATCAAGTGAAATTGCTGAGTCATATGGTAAGGATATGTTTACCAACATAAGAAACTGTCAAACTGTTTTTGCAAAGTTAAGGTACCATTTTATAATATTGCTGGTGATGTATAAGAATTCCAGTTGTTCCCTATCTATGTCAACACTTAGTGAATCAACCTTTAAATTTTAGCCATTGTAGTGGACGTGTAGTGGTTTTGTTTGTCCCCAGTGTTAACTATCTTACCATGTGTTTATTGGCTATTAGTATATTTTCTTTTATGAAATCTCTATTACAATCTTACAACCAAATTTTAACTAGGTATTTTCTGTTATATTATTATTTAGTTGTAAGAGTTACTCATAAACTCTAGATACAAGTCTTTTGTTAGATATATGTACTATATTTTCTCAGTTCGTGAGTTGACTTTTCATTTCTTGATGGCATGTAAGAATAGAAATTTTTAATGTTAATGACATTCTATTTATCAACTTTTTTATGATTCATGCTTTTTATTTCACATGTAGGGAATCTTTACCTACAAGAAGATCACAAATATCTTCTCTCATGCGTTTTCCTACAGATTTGTAGTTTGAGTTTTGAGGTCTTACATTTCGATCTATAACTAATTTCAAGTTAATTTTTGTGTATGGTGTGAAGTAAAGGTATCCCAATATTTTGGGGATTTCTGGTATTCTATATAGCGCTTACCTCTTCAGAGCCCTTTGCTGCAACTTCAGCCTCCTTCCAAAACGCCTGAACTCTGGTATGTGTCTTCTATACAAGGCAAGGCCATATACTCTCCTTGGGACTTTCGTCTACACTGTGGTCTTGCATGTGTGTCTCTCAATAAAAATACAGGATGACTATAGACTTTACGTGGTTTATCTCTTTTTTCTCAGGGATCATAGTGTTTCTCTGCCTATTCTCCAAAGTCTGAAACTATTATTTCATCTAATTTTGTGCTGTTTTCCATCTCTTTCTCTGTGGAGAAAGAATAATTCTATTCATTATAATAATGGCTGTAAATGTAAGTCTATGTGCCCTGCATTTTAATCAATATTACCCTTTCAAAATGTACTCCACAAACAGGCCTATCATGAGCAACAGACACATTCACTAGCACTGCTTATCATTATTTAAATATTTTTCCAGTAAGATAGTATATAGTTTCCTAGGGCTGCCATAACAAATTATCACAAACTGCATGGCTTTAAAACAACAAAATGTTATTGTCTCATAGTTTTGGAGATTAGAAGTCCAAAATCAAAATATGAGTTGGGCATGTCCCCTCTAAAACATGCAGGGGAATCCTTTATTGACTCTTCGTAGCTCTGCTGGTTTGTTGACAATCTTTGACGTTCATTGGCTTGTAGCTACATAACTCTAATCACTGCCTTGGTCATCCCATAGCATTCTCCTTGTGTTTCCGTGCCTTTATATGGCCCTTTTCTTATAAGGATACCAGTAATACTGGATTAACAGACCACCCTATTTCTGTGTGACCTCATATTATCTGATTATATGTCCAACAACTTTATTTCCAAATAAAGTCACATTCTGAGGTACAGGGGTTTAGCACTCCAGCATACCTTTTTTGGAGGGGGCCACAATTCAACTGATTACAGATAGGTAGAAATGACATGTTATTATTCTGATTTATGTTTATTTAAGTGTGACTAAGGTAGAATATATTTTCATGTTTGTTGGTTATTTTTATTTTCTATTGTCTATGTCCTTTCTTATTTTTCAATTGAGTTGTACACCTTTATACTCTGAAGGAATTCTCCATAAAGGAATTAAATCTATTATAGATCATGATGTATGTTTAGTATTTCTTCAGTTTGTCATTTGTCTTTTGACTTCATATAAATTCAAATAGGTAATTCTGCCTGCTAGATAATCTTAAATTCTACATAATCAAATTTATCTGTTAAGTTTAGTTTTGCCTTATTTGTTTCTAGGTTTTAAGTCTTAATTTCAAAGACTTCTCCTACCCCTAAGTTAATGAATAAAACTACTTGTAGTTATTTAATTAAACATTTTATCTATTTATATTTATTTTGATGTTAAGGTATAATATCCCTTTTTACATTCAAAGTTATAAATAGCCAACTGCCCTGTTACATTTGTTGAATAATATAGCTTTCATTTATTTTGAAGAGATTGCCACTTTCTTCTTAGGTCTGTTTTATTTTTATTTCTTTTATTTAGTTTTTTGCAATAGGGTTCTTGCTATGCTGCCTAGGCTGGATTCAAAATCCTGGGCTCAGGTGTTCCTTCCACCTCAGTCTCCCGAGTAGCTGGGGCTACAAGCATGTGCTGCTGCTGAGCCTAAAGTCCATTTTCTGTTTCCTCTGTAGTATTAAGTTTGTAGTTTTGTCACTTAACATGCGCAAGGACTATATACCCATTAAATTCTTATCTTAAATATTCCAAATAAATTTTATTGTCATTTTATCAAGTCATAAAATATCCTGCTGGCTTTTTATTTGATATTTCACTGAATTCAAAGATATAAAAAGAACTGGCACCCTTAAAATAATAACCCCCTGGCATACAAATTATGGTCTCCAGATACCACACTTTCTTAATAAAAGAAAGCAGGGTTCCTTAGACATACAGTTAATTATAAGTATGAAACAAAACAAAACAAACAAAAAAAAATAAGAGGATTCTAGATATCTTTTTAGAGCAGGTAGCAAGGCAGTAAGTAAAGCGATTGTGTCAAAAGCATTCATGAGTGAATTTTGAAGAGGCTGCCATCGGCCAAAATTAAAGCAATCTAAGTATCAAGAAGGATAATAATTGCAATGGATTGTAACATAAAACACCAAACAATAACTATAAAAACAACGAATTAATTGGTCACTATTGGAGAATGATAACAATGATTACTTCCCAACCCCAGTGCCTTGACTTTTCTGTTCTTTATAACATTACTGGAATAGTCTCACCAGCATTCTTATCTAAGTATTTCATTGTTCCTCTGATTGTAAACAAACAAGAAGGGATAAGTGGTATCAGTTACTACCCCATTTAGTTGATTTAGATAATGAGATGCGAGACTTTTGAACTGATGAAGTATAGATGAACTTTCTGGACTTTGAGTTCATGCTATAATGGGATGGGACTTTGGTGGATGTTGCATTTTGTATGTGGACAGATGTGAATCTGAGGGGCCACAGAACCATTTTAGTAGGCATAATAAAGGCCTCCTCAAACTGTTAGAACTCGTGAATAGTTACCTTACATGGCAAAACGGACTTTGCAGATATGATAAGTTTACAGGGTTTGAAATGGAGATTACGTTGAGTTGTCCAGATAGGTCCAATGTAAACACATGACATCTAAAATTTGGAAGAGCGATGCAAAAAAATGTCCTCTGTAAAGGACCTGACCCGCTGTTGCTGGCTTTGAAGATGGAGAAAGAGGGTCTCTGAGCTAAGATATGTGTATGGCCTCAGAAACTGGAAACAGCTCTCAGGTTACAGCCAGCAAGAAAATGAAGACCTGAACCCTACAACTGCAAGAAAATGAATTCTGCCAATAACTCAAATTAGCAGGAAACTGATTCTCCCCTAGAACATCCAGAAAGGAATGCAGCTTTGCTAATAACTTGCTTTTAGTTAAGTGAGACCCATACCAAATTTCTGATATACCGAACTGTAAAAATAATAGATTTGAGTTGGTTTAAGACACTAAATTTGTGGTAATTTGTTAAGGCAGAAATAGAAAATGAATACAACCTATTTAGTTCAATCTTAATTCTAAAGGCCTTCTACTCTGAGATCACATAATCTTTACCTGCTTCTTGAACAAATCAGGATCTTGTTAGCAAGGAGAAAGGAGTGAGTGGCAGGGAGAATCCCAATGACCAGTGCTTGTCACAGACGGCTAATCTTAATCTGGTTTAAGTCTCTAGTTCTGTCTCTCAGAATTCTACCTCATGCTTTATGATCCACCACTTTCTAATCTATGGAATAGATGATCTCTTGCTTCTGTGCTCTTGGTAATTGAGTTCCGTCTGCCTGGAACACCTCCAGCCCACTGCCCATTACAAGTAATACTTAAGAACTAAGTGCTTGAATTCTTCACTCCTTATAAGAATCTTATTGAACAGCACTCACTATAGACACACACTTTTTATATTTCGCATTATGAAATACTTAAAAATGCGCAAAAGTAGAGAGAACATTACAATGGATCCCTATCAACCAGAATTCAGCTTCCATAATCAAAATTCACATTGATAAGTCAGAAATAACCAGCAATGTATTCCCACAGCAGGCTGACGTGTTGTCAACAGGGATGGTTTGATTTATATCTAAGCTGAGAAAATGGATTCAATTCTCCAGGATCTTAGTTATCGTGAACTCTAACAGCAAAAATGACAAAACCACTCTCAGAGGAGTCATTAAGTGCTACCAGTGACCAAGATGCGAGAAAAATCCTACTTCAGACTAGAACCTGAACAGCATGTCACAAGCGTCCTAAAATGGCTGTCACGTTACAGGACTTGCCCATAAGGTCAATTTTGGCCACTTAAGACTTACTTGAAGAGAGAGCTAAGGGTTTTCTTTTTAATTTCGTTTTTGTTTTTGTTTTTAATGGCCCACGTCAGTGCTAGCAATAGAGAAAATGTGTCCCTGATCCCTTGGATAAATCGAATTGACTGAAGAATGCTTGAATTCATTTATCCCAAAACAAAGGCAGACGGCTGAGGGTCACTGGAGTTTCAGGGCTGCTCCCAGCGTTGGAGCACGGACGCCAGAGCCGACTTCCCTCAGGCCCCGCACTGCGGCAGGGACCCTTCTACGGAGGATGGCTGGGGCTCCGGGAGGCTATAGGAACGCCATCTAGAAGCTAGATCTCAGGCAAACGAACGCGCTTTAAAAGGAATTAAAACGAAAGAACACAAACTCGAATCCTGGACCTGATTAGGGGCACGACCAAAGAAAGAAATAACTAACGGTTCTCACCCTCCCTTTCATTCCCTCCCGCGGAAAGAGAAAGGCTGGAACTCCGCTTCCCAGAATGCAAAGCGCGGGGCGGGGCTAAAGAGATAGCCTGTTTTCCCTCAAGTAGGATCGCGGGACCACAGGTTTGATTATAAACGCCAGTCTCTCGCCACGGCGCTCCTCCCCCTCAGTCTCACTGGTCCTGCCGGCCGTTGCGTGGAAGGGGGACTCAGTCGTCACTGGCAGCGGTTGAATGGAGGCTCTTTGCCCCGCGCCCTCACGGTAGATGAAGTCCTTGCTTTGGTCAGAGCGATAGCTTCTCCGATTGCCTCAGAGCAAGCGGACTACATTTCCCAGGGGGCTGCGGGACTGCCGGGAGGAGTGGGGGCGGTGCCTCACGTCTGGTACAGTCATCACAAGCCTGTTCGGCGGGACTGTGATGGCCAGAGAGATGACGATCTTAGGTGGGTTCCCGGGGGTCCTTGTTGCTCTTGCGGGCGTAGAGGCGATCTGAGGATGCCAGAGTGGGCAGGGGTGGTTGACTCACCTCCTGGATCTAGCTGGAGCAGCGGAAGGGGAGTCAGAAAGGTGACTTAGAGACGGTTTTCGGCTGTTCGGAGTGGATGGGGGCGGGGACGCCTCTAGGAGGGCCCCGGCCCCTGCAGGCCAAGGTAGGATAGACGGCGACCAGCTGTGTCCATCCCAGGGACATCAGGCTTAGGGAGGCGTTCCTTTCAACAGCACCTAGGTTTTTGAATTGCCTGTTGAATTGGGGCAAGCTATGGAAGGCTGCGAGAACGTGCACCTCCAGGACCCCTTTGTGGAGGAAGGGGGAGGAGCTACATCCGGATCTGTCGGCTCAGGGATGCTGAATTTGGAGGCTTTTTCCATCACATCGGGTTTGGAATTACCTATCCCCCACCCACACACACACCCACCCCGCGTCTCCAAGGTGATGAAATGCTTCTGAAATGTTGCCTGTAGCTGGAAGTGGAAAGTGGGATTCGCACTTGGTTTTATTTCTTTGAGTTATGTGTTGATGAGGATGAGCTAACAATTAGTAACACAGAGCCCTGAAAATTCATGTTTTGGGTCATATGTAATATGAGCGGACACAGGTGTATAACACAGCCTCCTGATACCAAATACGAGATTCATTAAAAACTAAAGGGGCATCTTTCTTCGCTTATGTTTACAATCTGCGTGGCATTTGTTCCTACTCTTTTTTCTTTTTTTTTTAAATTAGTATTTGTTGGGCATCTGCTATTCCTGGTCTGGGGGATACAACAGTGAACGAAACTTGTCTTCAAGAAGCTTTCATAGATGTTGCCGTCAGGGTTGCCCACCTTTATGCTTCTTCTCCCCTAAATATTACCACTGCAAGAAGGAAGTCCCTAGTTCATACTTAAATACATAAAAAGTTAACTGTGTTCTGTTTTGAAGTGACAGTTTCATATCTAAGGAACTTTCAAAATCATTTTATCCCATTTATTCATTTCATCCTTTTGAAAGGGAAAAGGAGGTGAGATACGAGGAGAGAATTTTAGACTTATAAAATAATAAAGTTTTTCTTGTGAGAATTTTAATAATGGAGCTTTTAAAAAAAGATAATCGAAGCTTTTTATAAAGCTGTAAAATCTAAATATCAATTGATCAAGAATATTAGATTATATCTGGCTTTTGCTCCAGATAAATGTTGTTTCTTGTCAGCATCTGCACAAATATTATTGAAATATTTTTACATTTTATTACATTTATTAGAGAATGACACAAACATACAGTTATAGGGTTTTTTGTTGTTTGTGTTTACTTCATTTTAAATTTTATTATAACCAGTTTACATTTTGAAAAACTTGCTGTCTGAGAGGAGTGCTATCAGCAGTCCTATAAAAAATTTTGAAATTTGTCTTTTTTAGCCTTGTTTCAACGAGTGATATTAAAGGGACTTTGCTACAGTAATTTAGTACATTGTACTAGTTTGATAAAATACATCTTTTAATTTTCCTTTATTTCAGGATCGGCTGTTTTGACTCTCCTGTTGGCCGGCTATTTGGCACAACAGTATTTACCATTGCCTACTCCTAAAGTGATTGGTATTGATCTTGGCACCACCTATTGTTCTGTTGGGGTGTTTTTTCCTGGCACAGGAAAAGTAAAGGTGATTCCAGATGAAAATGGGCATATCAGCATACCCAGCATGGTGTCTTTTACTGACAATGATGTATATGTGGGATATGAAAGCGTAGAGCTGGCAGATTCAAATCCTCAAAACACAATATATGATGCCAAAAGATTCATAGGCAAGATTTTTACCGCAGAAGAGTTGGAGGCTGAAATTGGCAGATACCCATTTAAGGTAAGTGATTAATCTAAAATCTATATTAATTTTAGTGTACTCTTTTAGTTAATGCTTTGGCTTCATGTCACAAAACATTCTATCTCGTCTAGTTTTATCTATTAATACATGAAAGTTCTGTTATCTCACATAACCAGAAATTCCACAGCAGCTATAGGATCAGTTAATCACTGACTCCATAATGCTAACAGGTACTTAAGGCCTTGCCATTTTCTTGCTGTCCCATCCTCAGCATGTCTTGCTTAGCTCTTTCAAGGTAGCAGGAAGGTTGATGAAGCCCTGTGTACCATAGATAGATATTCTGTGTGTGTATGTGTACATATTTATATACATATAAAGAGAACATACCAGGTGTGCTATTTTTTGCTATTTAATATGTCATGGATAATTAATAGGATCATGTCATTATCTTTAATGATTTTGTGGAATGACTATTCCATTATTAATTAGACTAGTCTCTATCAGTGTACTTTTTTGTGGTTTTTCACTAATGTTGGAGATTCCGGTAATATCCTTACTTATCTTTGTACACTTCTCTGAAAGTTTCCTAACTTGAATGCTAGAAGTCTAATTGATAGGTCAAATGTGTACGTTTTTAAGGCTTTTGATTTATTTTTCTGGTTTGCTCACCAGAAAGGTTATATGCTCTTAACCATAATTTTTTAGAGTGGCTGTATCTTCGCTAGTTATTTTTTTTAATCTTTAACAGTCAGATAAGTGAAAAATAGTATCCTGTATTAATTTTTATTTATTTTGATTTTTTTTAGTGAGATCAGAATTTTTAGAATTTTATTGATATTTTAATTTTCTTTTATGGTCCATTTTTCTTTGTCCTTTTTTGTTTTGGTGTGTTTTTCTTTTCCTTAGTGAGCTATAAAAGACCTTCATTATATGTTTTTGTTATCTTTTCCTTACCTTTTTTTTTTCACTGATGTTTTTGAGCTGGATGTCAAAGTTTTAAATTTTTGATTTTAGACTCTTATCATGTTTACTGTAGCCTATCCCATCCTATCCACTGCTACTTTTTTTTCCCTCTTAATACGTTTATGTATTTGTTGGTTTGGATTTCGCTGCTTTTTTTTTCTTTTAAACATTTAAAGCTTTTTTCCATGTGGAGTTTTTCTTGGAAGTTATGAAGTGAAATTCTAAATGAAGTGAAATTCTAAATGAATTAGTTTTTGTTTTTTTTTTTGAGACAGTCTCATTCTGTCTCTCAGGCTGGAATGCAATGGCATGATCTTGGCTCACTGCAACCTCTGCCTCCCAGGTTCAAGTGATTCTCCTCCCTCAGCCTCCCAAGCTGGCATTACAGGCGTGTGCCACCACGCCTGGCTAATTTTTGTATTTTTAGTAGAGACGGGATTTCACCATGCCGGCCATTATTTAGTTTCAAAATAGACAGTTGTATCAGTGCTGCTTATTGAATAAACCTAGCCATAAAAATGTTCAAATTTTTCATCCGTTTTCAAAGAAAAAAAAATTGCTCCCTGCATTTCTTAGGTTTATTACTTTGTTGTTTTTTGACTTCTTTTTTGGGATTCTTTACTGACTTACAATCTTTAATGAAAAAATCATCTAAAGCTATATATGCCCTCTGAATTACAGCTTTGGGTACGTTACTTATTGACCCAAAAACTACTTAATGTTTCTAAGTGATCTGATTTTTTTGTTGTTGTTTTTGTTTCATGTGGGCACTGATGGTTCTGGTATATTTGTATCTTAGTTTAATATTGTCCATGTAGCTTCTTTATGTTTTCCCCAGACTAGTGAAGTACTTTTTGGAAGGTCAGTTTTTCATGATGGAAACCTAACTATGAGGCCTGAAGTGAGAAAACATTCTTATAATTTCTTAGATTAATTCTCTTTTTTATTTATATTAATAGAATCTTGGTAAAACTAGGATAGTATTTTTTAGAGTTAAAATAGTTTTTTAAATGTACACCCACATTATCGGGGACAATGAGCTAATGCACAATACATGTTTTCATGGGAAACAAGAATGTAAATGAGATTTGATTCTTGGATAAGTACATAATGATGTACTAAAATTATTCTTGTTAATATGTACTAGAAAATTCTTTCAGCTATCCATTACTCTTAGAAACAAGAAATTTGGGAAAAAAAGGGAAAAGATTCTGAGTTACATACTTGAATGAGCAACTTTTATTTCTTACATTTCATCATTTATTCTTTCTTTATTCAGCAAAAATATATTGAGAATCTTTTGTGTTCTAGTCATGTGCGTGGTGATGAATTTTATTCTGCTGTTATTAAAAACTAGTGTGGGCCAAGCACGGTGGCTTTCACCTGTAATCCCAGCACTTTGGGAGGCTGAGGTGAGCGGATCACAAGGTCAGGAGTTCAAGACCAACCTGGCCAACATAGTGAAACCCTGTCTCTACTAAAAATACAAAAATTAACCAGGCATGGTGGCACGCATCTGTACTCCCAGCCACTTGGGAAGCTGAGGCAGGAGAATCGCTTGAACCCAGGAGGCGGAGGTTGTGGTGAGCCGAGATCATGCCACCGCACTCCAGCGTGGGCAACAGAGCAAGACTCCATCTCAAAAAAAAAAAAAGTAAAACTAATATGGATTCATTGTACAGATTTTAATGTATAACATTTAACAAGTTCTAATCTTGGTAAATGTACTAGATAGATTTCAAATGCATTTTTTGATTTTGTAAAGATAAGGGTAAGTTCTCATGAAATCTAGTATTTATGTATATATGTATGTCTGTATGCTTTTACTCTTTTATTTATTTACTTATTTGCAAATCCTATTCACAGGTTTTAAACAAAAATGGAATGGTTGAGTTTTCTGTGACAAGTAATGAGACCATCACAGTGTCCCCAGAATATGTTGGCTCTCGACTATTGTTGAAGTTAAAGGAAATGGCAGAGGCATATCTTGGAATGCCAGTTGCCAATGCTGTCATTTCTGTACCAGCAGAATTTGATCTAAAACAGAGAAATTCAACAATTGAAGCTGCTAACCTTGCAGGTAACAGTACCCTTGACTGAGATGCATTTTTCTCAAAATTGTGTTGGGTTGAAAACCTTCTGTAGTAAGGTTTACCACTTCCCAAACCACACAACCATAGTCAAAATAAACAAACTATATGGTAGGTGTATTAGGGTTCTCTAGAGGGACAGGACTGATAGTATATATGTGTATATGAAAGGGATTTTATTAAGGTGTATTGACTCACACTATCACAGGGTGAAGTCCCACAGTAGGCTGGCTGCAAGCTGAGGAGCAAGGAAGCCAGTCTGAGTCCCAAAACCTCAAAAGTAGGGAAGCCAACTGTGCAGCTTTTAGTCTATGGCCGAAGGCCCGAGAGCCCTTGGCAAACCACTGGTGTAGGTACAAGAGTCCAAAAGCTAAAGAACTTAGAGTCCGATGTTCAAGGGCAGGAAGCGTCCAGCACGGGAGAAAGATGGAGGCCAGAAGACTCAGGCAGTCTAATCCTCCGACATTCTTCTGCCTGCTTTTATTCCAGGCACACTCTGGCAGCTGATTAGATGGTGCCCACCCAGATTGAGGGTGGATCTGCCTCTGCCAGTCCACTGACTCAAATGTTACTCTCCTTTGGCAATACCCTCACAGACACACCCAGGAACAATACTTTGCATCCATCAATCCAATCAAGATGATAATATTAACCATCAATGTAGGTAAAGTAGATAGATTTTTATACAGGTTTATAATTTTGAAAGCTCTATAGCACAATATAAAATATGTATTTAACAAGAACCAATCAGATGCTACAGGACAAAGGCTCAAAGAGAAAATGGACACATGTTAGCAGTGAGGAATTCTTTCTTCTAAATTCCGTTAATGTTAAGGTGAATATAATTTTTTAAGTAAAATCTGAGATAGATCATTTAATGATTTAACATTTAATGCCATTGAACCAATATTGAGGGCCTTACTAAAAAAAGAAAGAAATCTTTGTTCTCATGGAACTTATGTTCTACCAGAGGGAAACACAGAATGAGCATAAAAGGTAAATTTAATAATGTTTTCAGCCTCTACATTACTGATATTTTGGGCCAGATAATTCTTTATTGTGGAGGACTGTCCTGTAAACTACAAAATATTTAACAGCGTCCCTAGCCTCTATTCACCAGATGCTAGCAGCGCCCTCCTCCACCAAGTGGTGACAATGAAAAATGTCTCCATATGTTGCCAGATTTCTTCTGGAGGTAAAATCCTGTCTTGTTGAGAGCCACTGATACAATGTATATCAGAAAGTAACCACTATGAAGAAAAGAGCAGGCTAATGGGTCAAGGTTGCTTTTGGTGGTCAGGGGATGGATGACTTGTAGAATTTAAATAGGGTGATCAGGCAAACCTCATTGAGAAAGTAACATTTAAGCACATTTGAAGAAAGCAAAATACTTAACCATGCAGACGCATGGAGAAAGTGTGTTGTAGGAAGAAGAGATGGCCACTGCAACAGCCATAAGCTGGGAATTTGCTGGTACATAGAGGATAGGAAGTTGGTCAGTGTGGCCAGAGTAGAATAAGTGGTAAAATCAGAGAGCTGAAGTGAAGGGTGTTATGATCTCTGGAATAATTCTTTAGAGTTTGAATGTTGTCATAGCTCCTGATACATAATGCCATACTACTTTGCATACCGCTCATAAGTATGGCATTTAGTTTAAAGCAGGAATTTCATTCAAAGAAACCTGATCTTTTACCTGCTCAACATAAGCCTCTTTAATTTCCATAGCACTTAGTGATAGTATATAATGATTAAATTTTTTATTTTTTTTTATTTTTTGAGACGGAGTCTCACTCTGCTGCCCAGGCTGGAGTACAGTGGCGCGATCTCGGCTCACTGCAAGCTCCGCCTCCCGGGTTCACGCCATTCTCCCGCCTCAGCCTCCCTAGTAGCTGGGACTACGGGCGCCCGCCACCACGCCCGGCTCATTTTTTATATTTTTAGTAGAGACGGGGTTTCACCGTGTTAGCCAGGAGGGTCTCTTGATCTCCTGACCTCGTGATCCGCCCACCTCGGCATAATGATTAAATTTTTATCGCTCATATATTCCAAAGTAGAATATGAATGTTAGAAAAGGCTGGGAGACTTTTTGAAAATTAAGTGTTAATTAATAAAGAGTAGAATGACTTATTGCACTGAACCTTGGATTTTATTTCTTTATATTGTAATCTTTCAGAATAATTTTAAAGATAGCATTTAGAAGAGCCTATGTTTACTGTTCCCATTTCATGCTTCTGTTCGGTTTGTGACTGCTCTCATTATTACTCAGTGGTGGAGTTCATGTCACAGAAGACACAAACATGCTGTAAGTGGGAAGAGATTACTTGATCGCATCCTCTCATGAATTTTTCTTCCCTTAACCAATCTTACAGGACTGAAGATTTTGAGGGTAATAAATGAACCCACAGCAGCAGCTATGGCCTATGGTCTCCACAAGGCTGACGTCTTCCACGTCTTGGTGATAGACTTGGGCGGAGGAACTCTAGATGTGTCTTTACTGAATAAACAAGGAGGGATGTTTCTAACCCGAGCAATGTCTGGTAAGAAAAATGCAGGGAGAGGCTGGGCGCAGTGGCTCACGCCTGTAATCCCAGCACTTTGGGAGGCCGAGGCGGGTGGATCACGAGATGGGGAGATCGAGACCATCCTGGCTAACACGGTGAAACCCTGTCTCTACTAAAAAAAAAAAAAAAAAAAAAATTACAGAAAAATGCAGGGAGAGTTGAAGAGGTTTGGGCAGTGCTTTCTTTAACATATCCAATGTGTAATGCATCCTTTTTTTCCCCCAGAATTCTTTGACTTCATTTTGATAGTTTTCTGTATATGTAATTTTATACCATTTGTATATATTTACAGCAAAAAGTTAAATCTCAAAAAATGCTGGGCATCCTATAAGTCGCATAAATACATTGCCAGTTACCCAATTACGGCTCACATAGCCAGTAGGACTTTTCATGGTGATGGTGAAGAAAGGGAACAGAGGGAAGAAAAATTTCTTTAAAATGAAGGGTGATCAGTATATTTCATTTAATATGTTTTATAAAGTAGATGTCTTTAGAAAGTCTAATTGTATTTTTCCCTAGGAAATGATAGGATTATGCATTCTAAACCCTTTTTTAAACGTTTTTATTTTGTCGAATTTAGCTTAAGGGATTCAACCTGTTTGACACGTTGAGTTGTAAGTTACAGGTATTCTAACCTCTGCATTTTTTTTTCTCTTTTTCTAATCAAGTTAAATACCAGGAAATTATATTACACTACTCTTTTCCTTTGAAATTATTTATCTAGTTTTCAGGTAGAAAAGTAGAAAGACCTTTTCAGGTCCTAATCAGGCAAGAAAAAATGAAAGGAAAAAAAGAGATTAAATACCTACTTTTTCATTATAAGAAGCACTTTCTTCTGTTGAGAATGACATTCAGTGTTTTTAAATAGCTACTTATAAGCCAATCTGTATTCTTAATCTCTATTTACTGAAAAATTATTTGATATTGTGAAGAGATACTTCCTTTTATATAATTTAAAATTTTGACCCTGATGTGCACTAGTTTTTAAATAGTACTTATTTGGGTTAAGATAGCTTTAACCCAGTCATTATTTTTTAAATTTTTATTTATTGATTTATTTTATAGAGGCAGGGTCTTGCTATGTTACCCAGTCTGGTCTCCAACTCCTGGCCTCAAGCAACCCTCCCACCTCAGCCTTCCAAAGTTCTAGGATTACAGGTGTGAGACACCATGCCCAGCAACACAGTTATTTTTAACCAGTCTCTGTATGAATAAAATTGTAATGATACATGAAACAGGGATTTGTTATTCCCAGAATATAATTTTTACGTATACATAATAACATACGTGTATACATACACACATATATGCATAACTATATTAAACTTTTATTTTTCACTCAGGAAACAATAAACTTGGAGGACAGGACTTCAATCAGAGATTGCTTCAGTACTTATATAAACAGATCTATCAAACATATGGCTTCGTGCCCTCTAGGAAAGAGGAAATCCACAGATTGAGACAAGCTGTGGAAATGGTCAAATTAAATCTGACTCTTCATCAATCTGCTCAGTTGTCAGTATTACTAACGGTGGAGGAGCAGGACAGGAAGGAACCTCACAGTAGTGACACTGAACTGCCAAAAGACAAACTTTCCTCAGCAGATGACCATCGCGTGAACAGTGGGTTTGGACGTGGCCTTTCTGATAAGAAAAGTGGAGAAAGTCAGGTTTTATTTGAAACAGAAATATCACGGAAACTCTTTGATACCCTTAATGAAGACCTCTTTCAGAAAATACTGGTACCCATTCAGCAAGTATTGAAAGAAGGCCACCTGGAAAAGACTGAGATTGATGAGGTGGTTTTAGTTGGGGGCTCCACTCGTATTCCTCGGATCCGTCAAGTCATTCAAGAGTTCTTTGGAAAAGATCCCAACACATCTGTAGACCCTGACCTAGCAGTAGTAACGGGAGTGGCTATCCAAGCAGGGATTGATGGAGGCTCTTGGCCTCTCCAAGTCAGTGCTTTAGAAATTCCCAATAAGCATTTACAAAAAACCAACTTCAACTGAATTCTGCAGAAATAATGGTTATTTGTGAACTTGTCTGATGATCTCTTCCCATTTATCAGATTACCTTTTCCACAAAAGAAAGTCTCTAAAATATCACAGATTTACCTAGAGGGCAACATTTAGATACAGGAAAATTTTACATAGTGTTTTGTCTTAGGATTAGACGTGACCAGATTGATCCTGTTTGATTTTGGAGAGATCCTATTCTAACAAATACTCTAAAATGATAAAATTGAGGTACAACTCTCTTAAAAGAGTATGGATAACTATATTTTCTGGATTCTGGAGGTTGATAACCATATGCACTTAACATTATATTCTATAAACATTAAGTAGTGCCAGTTATGAGATTCCCAGTTCTTACTAAATTGTATTAGCAGGAGCTGGTAATTACTTGTATTATCACATGTAACTAATAATTTGAACTATACTTGAAGGACCGTGTTGATGTCAGGTATTTACAGTGGTTGGAAGATAGCAGTATTATTAGCATAAGCTGCATACGTAATATTCAGTAACTGCCATATTATATAACAAATTTACATTCACAAATTCAGTATCCTGTTAAGTGTCATATTCTTGTAATCTGCATTCTCCAGGAGTTTTATGTGTTTAATAGATGAATTTATTTTATTTCTAAAGGTATTCAAATGTTTCAGCACCATATAATAGAAATACCCAATTATATTCTAGTTCCTTTATGTCCTGTACATCATTCTCTGCTTGGATTTCCATTATTCTGTTTGGTTAGAGAATAAAATTGGTAATTGCATTTGAAGAATGTGTTAATGTCATAATAAAGCCATGATTGCTATCTTATTTTTGTTATCCGAGACCTTTGCAAACATTGGCAAATAGCATCAATTACCTACTGTATTTGTTTCTTTGTTTATATTTTCAGTAAGCCCTGGGGAATATAGCATGGAATTGAGCTACTAAATGGTTTTGGTTCCGTTTTACGGAGATTTTTCCTCATATTTAGTTTTGAATGAGGAAAATGTGCTCAATTATAAAAGCTGTGTTATTGTTTTCTATTATTATTTTTAAATAATCACACTTGGACTCTTTTCAAACATTAGGTTAGTTTGTAATGAAAGCAAAAAATTTGTGAATACTGGAAGTAACGTGGAAATCTAATGTGGAAGCCATTGTGGCAAGGTTTCTACAAATCGGCATTTGGAGCAGAGTTGTTTGTTTTTGTTGTTTGTTTCCTTTAAGAAAAACCACAGGGACCAAGAAAGAAAATATAACAGTTTGATTTCTGTCATACCCATTGTATTTGAAGATATATGGATACAGATTATATATATATATACATATTTTCCTTAATAGAGGAATGCTTCATATTATTCAAAAATTATATCCTGATCACCTTTTTTTGTTTTTTATTGTAAAGTATCTCTGCTTTATCCATTGCTGAATTCGATAGGATGTTGAAATGCTGGTCACCAAAAAAGGAAACTGAGCAAATTCATTTCAACAACATCAAAACTTCAGCTTCTCATAGTAAAAAGCTGAATGTTACTAATATTTTTCATATCTAAAAAAAAATTCTTAGCAATGAAATTGCTGTTAAAACACAAATTTCAATCAAATACTTTTGTGTATAGAAAATATGTATAGTAGGTAGATAGAAAAGTATAAAATGTTTGTTGAAGTATCTTATTTTAGAATGAATGGAGAAATGCCAAAGATGAATCCTTCACTGCATTATGAAAATATTTCACATGTTCTCTTGGACTTTATATAAATCTGTAATAGATTTTAGAATTGAAAAATTCTTTGTGAAGGTCTTCTAAAAGTGTTCCAATTTATCTCAAAATCTCCATATATAGGATCAGCTTAAAACATAAAGAAAACCTTGAATTTCTCAAATGTTTGAGATGTTCAAGACAGTCTCTTAATCCGTTAATGCTTTTGGAAACAATTGACAAAATAGGGCAGGCAGCTCATCTCATGTCCTGAAGTTGGAATTTAAATAATTCCTATTTGCAAATTAGAATGACAGTGTTGGAATTTGGAGGCAGTAGTTGAGCATATTCTCTAGTATATAGCTACACCTTTAATAAAATGAAGGAATGTCTTCAATCATATTTTAGTGGGCTATTTATAAATAGTCTTGAAGTCAATTTAGTTTATTTATTTAAAAGATAATGCATCCTGAAAGGGATCATTTATGAATAACAATCTGAAGTCTTTTCATAAAAAAAATTAATAAACTTTAGTTGTACATTTAGCCAGTGTTATTTGAAGTATGTAACTTTTAAAATATTAAGTGTCTTGTATGATTAGAATATGTGAATGAGTAACTTATTTTGTATCAGGAATGTTTTGGTACTGTGTTTTCACTCAAACCACTGACTTAACAGATACTGCTGTGTATAACATGTACTAAATATTACAGTTATTGTGCATAACAGATTGTTCCTCTTATATTTGTGTGTATACAGGCAATTCATGTTTTAATGTAAATAAATACCATTTTGCAGTTTGTTTTTTAAACTATGTACTTTTTCATTCAGGACTAGTCTGGAGTATACTTTTCAGGCATATAAATAAGAAAGTGAGGATGGAACTGATTTGATGCCAAGGCACTCAATCTCAGTAGCTGTTGCCTAGTTGTTCCCGAAATGTACATTTCTCTATATCCTTTCTATTGCTTATATGCTTTCCACTGGCTTCTCTAATTTAGAAAAGACAACTTGTAGCATATGAACAGTATCTTCAGAATTCTAAATACTAATTCATGGCTTCTGACCACGATGGAGCCAGAAACTAAGCTAACCTAATCTAGCTAGTTAGTAAATAATCCTGCATAACAGGATTCCTTTGGTTGATGGTTAATAAATATTTCTCTAACAAAGTTTATATTAGTCTTTGGACAAAAAAACAATATATTATGTTTTGCTTCTTTAAGAAACTCATTTGATTAATGTAATCTAAGATGAGCCTTTAGGTAATGACGGTATACTTGACCTTGGAGAGACTCAAATATATGAGGAAATACAGCAATACTTCATATTTATCTTAATTAACAGATAGTGCCTCACTGAGGTAGGCAGCCTCTGATGTGGGACCCAATGATCCCACCTTGTGGAATTAACATCCTTGGGTAATCCTATTCTCTTGAATTTGGGCAAGAGATAATGACTCAATGCTAATGAATAATACGGCAGAAGTGCTGGGATGTCATTTCTGAAATTAGGTTTAAAAAAGATCAGCTTCCTTCTTGGATGCACCCTCTTGCTGGCTTTCTCTTTTGGATCCCAGCTGCCACATAAAGAAGACCATGTGAAGAAGGCTGTTCTGGTGAATACAGGTGTAGAAAGACACCCTAGAAGATGAGAGCCACATGGAGGCAGAAAGGTACCCCCCACTGACAGGAGGCACGAATTTCCAGCTATGTGAGACAGCCTTCTTGAAATGAACCCTCCAGCCTTAGTAAGTCTTGAGATGATGCAGCCACAGTTGACTAGTTGAATCCACCTCATGAGAGACCTTAATTCTTGTTTTGGCAAGAATTATAAACAGTTTGCCTTCCATAATTCTTGTTTTGGCAAAGAATTATCATTCATTTCTGTTATTTTAAAGTTCTGTTTTTTTAAAGTACTTTGGATTAATTTGTTACACAACAGCAGATAATAGAGTTCTCACTATGGCACTGCTCTAAAAACTTTACTAATACTAATCAATTTAGTTTAGTTCTAGCCACCATTTGAGTAGGTACTATTATCTGCATTTTCAAATAGGGAAATTAAGGCATAGACGTGTTAGGCAGTTTTCCCAGGATTACAACTATTAAGTGAGAAAGTCGGGATTCAAATCCAGTCTATGCTTGTAATCCCAGTGCTGTGCTGCCTTACCCATTACAGAATACAATCCCATAGTACCTTTTCTGTTCTGTTACCAAACCTGGATAATATCCATGTAAGACCTCTTATTTACCAGCTAATGTTAACATTGGAGATTTATGCTTGTTATTCCTTTACGTTTTCAACAAGCAGGTTTAGAATGTATAGATTTCTTAAATACAAAATGAAATCAATAGCACCTATTTCACCTGGTTTTTGTAAGTGTCTGGCACATAGAAAGTGATAACGATTAATACATATGGTAGATACAGAAATGAACAAAGTTCAGTGACTGTCAATTTTATGTGAGTTTTTTAATTGGTTGATTGAGATGGAGTATCGCTCTGTCTCCCAGGCTGGAGTGCAGTGGTGCGATCTCAGTTCACTGAAGCCTCCACCTCCCAGGTTACAGCAATTCTCCTGCCTCAGCCTCCTGAGTAGCTGGGATTACAGCACGTGCCACCACATCCAGCTAATGTTTGTATTTTTAGTAGAAACAGGGTTTTGCCATGTTGGCTGGGCTGGTCTCGAACTCCTGACTTCAGGTGATCCACCTGCCTCGGCCTCCCAAATTCTAGGATTACAGGAATAAGCCACCGCTCATGGCCTTATGTGGGTTTATTAAGGATGCCACGAATAGGTTAGATTCCCCAATATCATCAGAACTTAATTCAATGGGTCTAAAATTTCTGTAAATTATTGAGAGTTCTTCTGACAAACTATGAAAAAAAAATTGCTTTGGTAAAGCATTTGCTTTGTTTTGACAAGAATTACAAACGATTTGCCTCACATTAAGTTATTTGGATTTTAAAGCAGGAATAAATGCAGTTTGTTTGATACCTCATTGAATTACCTATTAATTGGCCTACCTAAAATACCTAAAAAATTTCAAATGCTCTAACACTTGTAACTCTGTAACTTATTTTATATATATTATATGTATACATATATATGTGTGTATGTGTATGTGTATGTATGTAAAGCTAATATGATAAAAACACATTTTTTTTCTGTTAAGAGTTCATTCACCTTAAATTACTTAACATGGACTGTTGGAAACTGGAAACTGGGTCTCAATTATTAGGTGTAATCAATACCCTTCCTCTGTCTCCCAAGTTGCTAAACTAATAAGATAATTTTGACATGATTGAAAAGTTCTTTGAGTAGTTGTTGCAGATCCTGCTAAATGCTATCACAATATTTATTCTATTCATGCTTACTTCTGGACCCCACTTTTATTTGGAGCAGCAATATCCCTACTTCAAAAACTATATTTTCCAACTTCCCTTGCAGCTAGGGATGGCTCTATGACATAATTCTGGCCAATGAGATATAAGCATAAATCACTAGGTATAAACTCGGGCTTTTTTTAAATTTATACATCTGGATTGTACAAATATCTGCTCACCATTCATTTCTCCTTCTTGGAATGCAGACATGATACTGGAGATAGCAAGGGGTTTGCAACTGCTAAGCAACAAACATGCTATGGATGTTTGAAACAAAGATAGGTACAGCCCAGGTGATATGGAGCCACCTTAACCAACTTTGTACTCTCTATTTTGGGACTTCCTTCTACCTGAGAACAATAAGCCGTGTGGTTGTTTACGCTTCTTGTTTTACTTCTTTTCATACTTGTACTTTTCAATTTATGACCCTTACGTAGTTAAACATTTGGTCACATTGTCCTTTGTTGGACTTCTGCTTCTGCCCAAGATGGAATAAAAGAAAACTGATTTTCCTCCTGCCTGTATTAACTAAAAAGTCAAACAGAATATATGAAACAACACTTTTTAAGACCTTATGTATCATGACTAATAATACCTGTTTGTTACCTCTCCAATATCATAAACAATATGGTAATATAGGTCAAGCAGTAAGATGTTCTGTAAAATCTGGAAATTGTTGCACAAATGCTCATGACAGAAAGCCAGAAGCAGATGTTCACAGGGCATTAGTGGTGACTGAAGCTGTACTCATATTTATGCCTAGTTCCTTTTGCCCTCCATTGTCTTGCATTCTAAATCATTCATCTTAGTCTTCATCTTGATCACCACATTATTTCTACTGTGTACATCAGAGTTTAAAAAGGCCATAAACCAGTCACCACAAGCGCATTAATGAAGATCTGAGTTGTTTAAACATGAATTCAAAAACTGATCCTATGTCACTTTCCTTGGCACACAAAAAAATGCATATGTGTTATTTTCTTTCTAAATGTTTGAAGCAAATTTATCAAAAATAATTTTCTATTTATGATCTATTTTACGTTCTCCTTGTACGCCTATTCCTTTTCTCTTTTTGCAGCATTATTGAGATAAACAAAAGGTTACTACCTTTGGGCAACAATGATAACTAAGCTCAGACTGGGCATTCTGAAAATAACTAGTGAGAAACCTGGGTTACCTGGATAGCAATCATCCAGAAGCCAGTAATTCTTTATATGGTTCAGACCCATTACCTCGGCCCATTAACTCAGCAGCATAGCAGACACTTGAACTACCAATAGCCTTCCTTTTCATAAGAAGATTTAGTGACATGTCGATAACAGTACAGCCAGAAGTTCTTACTTCCTGTATTTAAAAATGATCTGCTTGCATCCAGGAAAGTAGGAAAGGAGAACTAGAAGGAGCTAGAAGAAGCTCCTAACTGCTGCCTCCTCATATTTGCTTGATCTCACTGAGATAATATTAGGCATCACGGAGGCCTATATCTTCTTTGAGTCTCCAGTTATCCCAAGGTTGCTGTGTATAAAATAGGCTTTTATAAACTTTTTGCAGTTTTTATTTACTAAAGAGTGTGTCCTGCGATGGGTGCGGTGGCTCATGCCTGTAATCCCAACACTTTGGGAAGCCAAGGCCAGCGGATCACGAGGTCAGGAGATCGAGACCATCCTGGCTACCACAGTGAAACTCCGTCTCTACTAAAAATATAAAAAATTAGCTGGGTGTGGTGGCACACAGATGAGGCAGGAGAATCACTTGAACCCAGGAGGCAGAGGTTGCAGTGAGCCGAGATTGCATCACTGCACTCCAGCCTGGGCAACAAAGCAAGACTCTGTCTGAAAAAAAAAAAAAAAAGAGTGTGTCCTGGCATGGTGGCTCATGCCTGTAATCCCAGAACTTTGGGAGGCCTAGGTGGGCAGATTACCTGAGGTCAGGAGTTCAAGACTAGCTTGGCCAACAGGGTAAAACCCTGTCTTTACTAAAAATACAAATATTAGCCAGGCATGGTGCCACATGCCTGTAATCCCAGCTACTAGGGAGGCTGAGGCAAGAGAATTGCTTGAGCCCAGGAGACAGAGGTTACATTGAGCCGAGATCATGCCACTGCACTCCAGTCTGGCCGGCAGAGCAAGACTCTGTCTCAAAAAAAAAAAAAGTGTGTCCTATGATGTGATTTTGTAAATATGAGACTACGGTTATAAGGAACAATGAGTGTTGGTGTTTAAATAATAGCCAATATGTTATTCAATGTTTTTTATATGCTAGACACTGTCTTAAGTGATTACATGTATTCCATGATTTAATTTCCAAAGCATACTTAGGAGGTAAATAAAATTATGACTCCCAAATAAACACAGAGAAATATGTTAACTTACTCAAGTTTATACAACTATTAAGTGGTTGAGTTGGGATTTCACATAGGTATCCTGTCTTGAGATCCTGAACTCTTATTTACTATGTTTTTGCATTCTAGCTTTTAAATTTTCTTTTAAAAGAAAGTCCCTTTAGATCAGGTAGAACTATTCACTATTTATATGCATATTAAAATGCAACATTAAGTTTTCTAAACCCTTCTGTATCAAGGCTATGTTTAGAAGTAAATGAAATTGCCATTACTCAGCCATTTTTTGACCTACAGAAATGACTATTTTATATGGTCCAACCTAATGCTATATTTAAAGAGGCATGGATCCCACCCCCACCACAAGCTTTGATTTTATTTAATATGCTTACAAAGATACTGGTTTAAAATCCTGTTTTTTAAAAGATTTTGGAAGTTTTTCGAACTACAGACTATTTTTTAGTGTTTCCTCTGGAATGAGACATCTTGGTAGAGAAGTAGAAAGAGCATCATCAGCTATGTAGTCACGTAAACCTAGATTCCAGCTCCTCTTGGAATCTTAATATCATATTTGGTAAAATAGAGCAGATAATTCCTTTCTTATATTATTTAGTGAGAATTGAAAGTGACACATGTTCCAAATATATTGCACATTACCTGGCACATTGTGGGCTTTCAATAATGAACATTCTCATTATCCTCAAAGAAAGCAACTTAATGTTACATAGGATTTTTCTCTATCAGCTATGGTAAATATTTTGTCTATTGAAATTTATCATTATTTTATGAATCTATTTTGAAGTTATAATCTTTAAACAAATCATACAATCATGGAATAATCTTTTTTATTACAAACGTGCTACCTCTCTGTAATCCAATCATTTTGAGTGCTTTGTACTTTGCTTCTAGTGTACATCAATAATTGATCAAGCTTTATGTACATAATTGAAATAAGAATAAAATATTAATTTCTTAAAACAATAAAATTATCTTTGAATAACTTTGATTTAGTCACTTTTTGTGTTTTTTACTTTTGCTTTTCTTTTACTCTGTATTACATATGAAGATAATGTATATCTGTATATATATGCAGAAAACTACCCGTATTCTAAATATGCAGATTGATGAACATTCACAAACTGAATGAGTGCTCAGATTCACTTCAAGAAACAAAATGCTACCATTAATCCAGAAGTCTACCTTGTGTACCTTATTATAACCCTCCCCACCAAGGATAACCAGTATCCCAACTTCTAATAGTATAAATTAATTTTTCTTTTAAAAAAATTATATAATTAGAATCATGGAGTCATATAGCAATATTCTTTTGTGGCTATTTCACTCAACATTCTTTGTGAGATTCATCAAATTGCCTAATGTACACAGTAGCTGTTGTACCTTCATTCTATTAGCTAGATAGTATTCTATTATGTGAATATACCACAATTTATCCAGGTTACTGTTGATTTCCCATTAGATTTTAAAATTATTCAGCTTCTCTGATTTACTAAAATTATAGGAGTAGGGAGCTAAAACATCTTTTAACTCATATGAATGAAATATTTTGATTCCTTTCTTAATAGAATTCAACAGCTATTTATTCAATGTTTACAAAGCACTTCAGGGATTGTAAAGACAGGACAACACTTCAAGTAGCTTACATCCTTAAGGGAGGAGACTTTAGATAATACAAGTTTTCTAGTTTAAGGCAACTTTTCATAAATACCCTTAGGAAATAGAGCAAGGTTGTACAGGGCTGCATACAGAGGAAGAAAGGAGGACAAAAGAAATGGTTGATGGGCTTTAAAGAACATGTTAAACTATTTTATTAATATCTTCTTGAAAGAAAATCCTATTGAAGTTTAAAGACTTTAAATTTGAAGGGCAATTCAGAGACATAATGTTGCTTCCTTTAAATAAAGCTACTAAAGAAAAAGCCCTTCAAAATCTGATTAGGACTACAAATCAACAATCCTCTCATAAATGTAATAAAATATCTCACTGAGGTATATATATTAACCAAAAAATAATGTTCCAAAGAAAATATTAGGTTTTTTCTTCACTCAAAGGTAAATAGTAAAAATATAAAACATTATAAACAATTATAAAATTCTGTTAATATATAATTACTCTTTCCAAAAAGCAGCTGACTAGCTTATTTTTTTCTGTGATTTCTTCATCATTTCATAAATTACACAATAGCTCAAAATATATTTGTAAAACTTATTTGTTTTCATTTTTTTTGAAAGATGGGGTGTCTGTCACCCAAGCTGGAGTGCTATCGTGTATCATACCTCACTGCAAACTTGAACTCCTGGGCTCAAGCAATATTCCCACCTCAGCC
Organism: Homo sapiens; assembly: GCF_000001405.40. Lineage (NCBI taxonomy): Eukaryota > Metazoa > Chordata > Mammalia > Primates > Hominidae > Homo > Homo sapiens. The sequence goes on along the minus strand of NC_000021.9, from coordinate 14,363,854 downwards.
TCCTGAGTAGCTGGGATTACAGGTATGCACTATCATGCCCATCTCATTTTTTTCATTATATTTACTTACTTTTTGTAGAGACAGGATCTTGCTTTGTTGCCCACGCTGGTCTCAAGTTCCTGGCTTCAAGCTTTACTTTCACCTCGGCCTCCCTAAATGCTGGGATTATGAGTGTGTGCCACAGTGCCCAGCCCACATCCATTTATATATAAATAAGTACTTATAGTACTCTAAAATGTCTAGCTATTCATTCTGCAAACATTTGCTCGGCATCAGTTATGTGAAAGGAACTATGCTAGGAACATAACATACAAGGATGATTAAAACTGGGCACTTGCCTTCAAGGGGAAAGCAGACTTTAAAATGGAGTATGAGCCCTGCCATGATAAAGGTATGCACATGGGGCTAATGAAAGCACAGAAAAGGGGCGTCTAGATCACACTGGAGGGCAGAGGGGAAGATCGGGGGACACATTGAGAAGGGAACTCCCAAGAGAAGTCAGGGACTTAAAGGACAAGTGGCATTTGGCATTTTGGCCAATGTGAACAAGGTAAGCACGAACGGAAGAGGGAAATCTAGGTACAGCCCAGGATGGTTACAAACTGTGGTGATGGCCGGGGGCCGTGGCTCACACCTGTAATCACAGCACTTTTGGAGGCCGAGGCGGGCAGATCACCTGAGGTCAGGAGTTCGAGACCAGCCTGGCCAACATGGCCAAACCCCAGCTCTACTAAAAATACAAAAATTAGCTGGGCATGGTGGCAGGTGCCTGTAATCCCAGCTACTCGGGAGGCTGAGGCAGGAGAATCGCTTGAACCCGGGAGGCGGAGGTTGCAGTGAGCTGAGATCAAGCCATCGCACTCCAGCATGGGCAACAAGAGCAAAACTCCATCTCGAACAAATAAACAAACAAAAACAAACAAACAAACAAAGAAACTCTGGTGCCTATGAGTGTGTGTGCCAACTCATAGCAGCGGCCTGCCCTTGTGCATTTCTCTTCTGTCTTTGCTTTTTAAATACTAATGCACTGTAGTGTTTTTTTACTAGGCAAATTAACATACAGCTAAAGTAATTTGTTTTTTTGTCACTGAGTCTTGTGTTATTCCAGCATCCGTTGTCATTTCATAGAAAAGTCCTTTCTGACGTATCAAATTCTGAGGCGCTTCGAATTCCACAATGCTTCCTGAGTCTAGAACATGCACCCTGAAATGTGAAAAGAATAGTGTCAGATAACATACAGTCTTCCACCTCACATTTTATTGGTCCTGCTAATATAAAGTTTAAACTATTCTATGAGTTATTTCAGTACAAAATATAGGTGCTAGTTAATTCAGGAACTATATCAAGTTCTCTAGTAATTATTCTTTTACCTTTAACTTTTTCTTCCAATTATTTTGGAAAATACCTTCTATATATATCATTATCTATATCAAGTTTTCTAATATTCTTTTAGCTTGAACTTTTTCTTCCAGTGATTTTGGAAAATACCTTTTATATCATTAGGGAAAATTTTGTATCTCTCAGCACAGATATAATTATTTATGACCGGCATGTAATCAGTGTGTTTCATATGCCCAATATTTATCTTGGCAGAAATGATTTTATTTCTGAAAAGAAAGAAAGCACACTTGTCTGAATCAATGATAGATTGCAGTCTGTGAGCAATGGTCAGGATGATGCAATCAGAAAACTCCTTCCTGATTGTGGTCTGCACCAACTTGTCCATCTCAAAGTCAATGGAGGCTGTTGCTTCATCCAAGATGAGAATTTTTGTTTTTCGAAGCAGAGCACGAGCTAGACAGACCAGCTGCCATTGTCCCATGCTGTTAAAATAATAATAATAATAATTTCAACAATGGACTTCATGGTAACACACTTCATGGCTTAAAATTCTGATGATACTGCTATTCATTCTTTTTCTGACCCACAACTTCATTTGTTCTTTTATTCAAAAAATATCTCTTGAGGGAGTGCCAGACTTTAGACCAATGAGCAAAACAGACAAAAATCTCTGTGTAGCAGATACATTCTCATGGGGACACAGAAAACAATAAGCAAGATAATTGAGTAAAAAGCATAGTAGGAGGGGTATATGAGTACGGTGCAACATTATATGCAGTAATTCCATGGATAATATGTATATAATAAGTGTTAAGAATTCAAACACACAGAAGTGGGGTATAAAGTGTAGATGTGGGATGGGCATGTTAGATGGGTGTGCCAAAGAAATCCTCTGGAGAATTTTAAGGCAAGAACTGAAGGACATGGAGAGTGAGGCTTACAGATTTCCAGTAAAAACTTGTTCCAGGTAAAGGAAATAGCAGATGTAAAATCCCTGTGGTAGGCGTGAATTGGCCTGGCAAACTCATGACACAGCATGGAGGCCAATGTCGCAGAAACACAGAGGGGTAGGGAGAAAGTGATCAAAGAAGGGGTGGTGGGAGTCTTGCCACGCAGGCCATTACAGGGATCTAGCTCACTTTTCTGGGGTCTCTGATCACATGAAGTGGGCTATCGTAAGGCAACAAACAATGGTGAAGGCAAAGTAGCCCCTTACATTTTTTAGGAACAAGGCTTTTAGAGTAGTAGTCTTGACAAAAGAAGATTCAATTAAATAGTGACTTTTCATAGGGCATTGCTCTTTTTTTTTCTTTCCTTTCTCTTAGTCAGTGGTTTCCCAGCCTAGAGCTACCAATTTACTTTTCCTTCCTCTTCCCTAGAAAGAATCGGCCATGGTGTACTTTAAACAGGCCCTGGTGGCTCAGGAGCTGTATTTCTCTTGGATGCCAATTCGAGTTTCTAAAGAGCTTGGAATGAATAACTTGGACAAGCTCTGCTCTTAGCAGCTTACCTGAGGTTCTCGCCACCCTCTGAAATCTCAGTAGCTTCTCAGGAAGGGACTGCACAAATTGTTTCAAGTGACACAATTCCAGCACTTCCCACAGCTTGCTATCAGAATATTTGTTTAGGGGATCCAGGTTCATTTGAAGGGTTCCAGAAAATAAAACAGGGTGCCAAAGCAGGAAATAGTCCTGCATAATCTTACTGTCATGAGGCATAAATACATTTTAAAAAATCAGACTCAGAAAACAAAGCAGGAGAAAGCAAAATTATCAGACCTAATACAGTCATCAAATTCATTTTATATTTACAACAAAAACAGAAGAGAGTCAGAATAAACTAAAATTCATATTGTCATCATAAGTCTCCTGATTTTCTTTCTCCTCTTCCTATTATTGAAAATAATAATGAGTACTGAAATAATGATGACAATTACTGCCGTGTAGTCAAGGATATAATATAACATATAATAAATATGAAATATAGTATGTATATATTATCAATCAGTATACCAACTCAGAAAGATAGAAGTTAGTATTCTTATTTTACAGAAAGTGAGCTGGAGGTTCCAAAGAGTTCTTGTCTACACCACACGAAGGTAAGTTAGTGGTTGAAGAGAATTCGAAGAGGATTGAGTTCATTTTCTTTATGCTACACCAAGATGCCTAGTGACACTATATTTTACTCTATCTATAAGAGAGGAACAACTGATGTCTCTTTTTTTCCACTAATTTTTTTCCCTTCCAGAATTCCAGATTTTACTCAAATTTGTTTTGAAGTAAATGCATGAATACAAGTATACGTCTAAACAATATGACATTTTAATATATTAAAATGAGTATTTTAATAGATTTTTAGAAGACAGTACAATGATTTTTTTTTTCTTTTGAGATGGAGTCTAGCTCTGTTGCCCAGGCTAGAGGGCAGTGGCGCAATCTCGGCTCACTGAAACCTCCGCCTCCCAGGTTCAAGCAATTCTCCTGTCTCAGCCTCCTGAGTACCTGGGATTACAGGTGTGCACCACCATGGCTGGATAATTTATGTACTTTTAGTTGGGACAGGGTTTCACCATGTTGGCCAGGCTGGTCTCAAACTCCTGACCTCAGATGATCCACCCGCCTCGGCTTCCCAAAGTTCTGGGATTACAGGCGTGAGCCACTGCACCCAGTTTCAGCTGAGTATTTCATCTTTGACTTAAGAGGCATATTTTTAAGCTAGTTTGCATGCCCCTTAATGATCAAGTTCCTTTGATTCCACAGATGGAAAAATCAAAGGACTTGAGAAAAGAGAACTAACTGAATTACTGTTCTTTTTTTAATGTTTCTAAACTTCAAGTGAAAAAGAGTCAAAATTCTACACTCTAACAACTAAGCAAAAACTTCAGTAATATTTTCTTCAAAAAAAATCAATGTGTTTCAGTCTGATCTATTTATTTGAATTTTATTTGCACTTACTATTATGAAGGAAATTTTATCAAAAAGATGAACTGGTTTTTCAAATAGATAAATGCTCTTAGGAAGAATGCTTTATGATAAGGGTGTTTAAAGAGGATTCAATTACATAGCAGTTTTTCATATATTCCATTTAAAATGATATGGCTTCAAACAATGAATTTATAGACTTGGAAGGAACAGATTTTTAAAAAGAAAGACAACAGATTTACTTGGAGTGGGTTAAGAAAGCCTATGGCAACATAGGCTTTACCTGTGGAATAATATTAAGTTTGCCATGAAGGTCATGAAGTCCAATAGTTGATACATCAATTCCGTCAATAATAATTTCGCCTCCTGCTCTCTCCACAACTTCTAAATAAGCAATTTGATAGTGTGGATTTGCCTGCTCCAGTCCTGCCCACAATTCCAATCTGTAATGAAATAATCACAAACTCTACTTTTTGTAAGGAAACAAGGCCTTTGCACTGGCAACAAATGTATTAGGTGTCAGGTCAGTGGGATCCAATTTTGTCAGCAAGACTAACCTTGATGGGCGTGGAAGATGTCAGGTGACTTCTAAGGACCAGTCTTTATCCAAATACTCTTTACTTGCTGGAAAGGCTCTGACTAATCTGTGTTTTTCCTTTAGCTCTGAGTAATTTAGTTGCTTCCTCACCAAAGATCCCCAGCAGACCCAGGAAAAACAGATCATTCCTGAACCACCCCTGAACTACCCATTAAAGTTTAGGGCAAAAGAAGCAATGATAATGAATGGTTTTATTGAGATTTTCAGAAAACAGATTTTCTCTGTCTTCCCTTCATTGAAACAAGCAAAGAAACAAATAGGGCACTGGAATCTTTTGCCAGATAGACTAGAAAATCCAAAGGAATATCTGTAAATTTCCCTAGTATATCAAAGGAACTCTGCATTAAAACTATTATGGGCAGCCAAAAATAGTGTTTAAGGATTTTGACTCCTGGCCAAAATAATCATTTTGTCCTAAACATCCCAGTGATTAAACATTTCCCTATGACCATGAGAACTAAAGAGCAATATCTTCTGGTTGCTGATTTGTGTCTTGGTATTAATAGGAATGTTAGGCAGATAGAATATTAAAGTGGTTGGTTTACCCTAATATAAAATCTTAAGTCTAACAAAATGCATCAGAAAAAACAGAAATCTGTTTAATTCATTGGGGTAATGAAAATTTCAGAATGATTTGTCTGTTCCAAAAATATTTCTGCTCCAAAAATATTTTTGCTAATGTCTCTGTTTGCTTTTTAAAACATAAAACTAATATCATATACTATCGACAGTTTTGTAAGTTGCTTGTGTTAACTAAAGTGCATTTCAAGCATTTTCCCATCTTTTTAACGGTTTTGGAAAACATGATGTCTTTGAGTATACAAATAGTCAAACATATGGATTTATTGTGTTTGGGGTAACGATTTACTTATTGTTGCAATTCATTTTATAGAGGAAGTAAAAACTAAGTACACCAAAGTTATGTTTCACAGTAGTATATGAGCAATTTAATTAAGAAATGTATTTTTTATAGAGGGAAAACTTATTCAGTACACACCAACCACATGTCTTTATTACTTTTGTGTAACAAAAGACCACCTTATATTCAATATCATATTATACTCAACAATGAATGCATTCAGATAAAAGGGAAACCAAACATATGAAATATATATGATACCTTCTCTTCCCCATGAGTCTGGAAAGTGATATCTTGCAACGCTAAACCAAGATCATCTTGGTATCGAGCCTGATAATTAATAAATTCCACTATACCTTTATTGGGCCATTGTAATGGAGGTCTTCTAGACATTATCCAAGGTGACTTAAAACAAAAACAAACAAAAAATAAATACTTTAAACAACAATTATAATTAAAAAATCCCTACCCCCAAAATAATTCTTATGCAGGTAACAAAAGTGAATATAAATGATGAAAGACATTTGTGGATATTATGATTTTCTGAAAATAGTTTTAAATGTTACCAACCTGAAACTTATCTAGTTATAAGAAAATATTAGAAATAAATATTTTGAGGTAGCAAGACTTCTCATCTCTTATCAAGTTATTAAGAAAAAATAACTTGAAATTTTAGCTGAGATAAGGACAGCTTGTCATTCATTCATTCCTCAAAGGTTTGCTGTGTCAGTCACTATTTTAGTCGCTGGAGGTTCCGCAGTGAGAAAAACAGATAAAAATTATTTCCCTTGTGGGGTGTAGTGGGGACAGACAAAAAGAACCATATAACATATGCAGCCATGCTGGATGATAATAAAGCTTTGTAAGACAAGAAACAGCCAGGGTTGGGAAAAGGAGGAGGTGTCATTTAAAGAAGGGTAGTTAGGAAAGGCTTTGCTGACTGTGGTCAGAGAAAATGCTAGGTGGATACCAATGGAAGAACATTCTAGGCAAAGGGTTTAATGACTAATTGGATCTAATTAGTTGTGCCCAAGACCTAAGACAGGGGCCTGTGTGAATACTGGAGGAAGCACGAGGTAAAAGAACACACAAGAATGTGTGATGCCTGGGCAGTGAGGTAAAGTGTTTCATGGGAAAGAGAGTGACGGCTAACATCAAATGATAGATCAGGTAAAGTGAGGACTGAGAAAGAACCTGCTGTGATTTTCATGAGTCAAGTTTCAGTGCAATAGTGGGATCAAAAGCCTATTTGGCGAGCGTCCAGAAATGAATCAGAGAAAATGAAATAGAAAAGCAAGTACAGGCAACTTTGCAAAAGAATTTTTCTGTAATGGAAAGCAGAGAAACAGGTGTAGAGGGCTGAATAAGGTTATTTGAACACATTTATCCTTCCACATCAAGAGTTTTTGTAGCAGTATTTGTCACAACTTGCGTCAAAGTACACAAAGATTTTTGTTTGTTTAAATGTGTGTACACACATATTTTTATCATCTTTTTCTAATGTGAAAGAAATATATTTTATGATCAAAAATTTAGAAAATATAGAAAAATAATATTTGATATTAGCCATGAGATGACAGACTGAACAAGTTGAATATTGGTAACTGAAGATTGTGAAGGTAGACTAATCTTTCATGAAATTTCTTTGAGAAGGAAAGACAAGACCTGGGGAAAAATCCAGAGGAAAATTCAAAGTTCAGGTAGGAGTTGGAGAATGTAGAAAATATTTTGGCTTAGTTACAGGCTGAGAGGAACTGCAAGGGAGTGCGAATTAGAAGAGGTGGTTAATGGAGTAAGATCTGAGAGAAGACAGGAAGAAATATTACCAAAGATGCAATGGGAAATGTTAGATTTTTCTTTGGAGGAGGTACCTGTTCCTCAGTTTCATGAGCAAAAGAGGAAGAGTTACAAGATAAAAAAGAAAGATAGCTTCCTAGGTGGATTGAAGAAGGAACAGAAATTCAAGTCATCTTTGTTATCTGCCCTGTTAATTAATAGAATTGGAAGCAGAAGTAATCCAGATGAGTAAAATATTTTAGAAACTTAAATATTATACTCTGTCAATAGTTGAAATAACTCTTCACCCTCCCAAATTACAGTTAGAGGGAACAAAACAGACTGATTTATTCTCCTCTCCCTTCCCATTCACAGAGATACTAATGATGAGTAAATAGAACAAAAGGTACAAGCAATAAAATGTAATTAATTTAGAATTGTGCAGAATCTAAATAATTATGAGTTGACTATATTAAGACACTTTTATCACTGTAAAATCCCCACAAAGTTATAATTGCAAGTTGAATTTTTTACTCTATACATCAGTAGAGGACAAATCACTGCGCCTTTTAGAAACAAGATAACATCTTGCATTTTTATAACTCATTGAAGTAGGGATATATCTTATAATTTAGGGTGTATCCTAATTTAATTAGAAGTATTTTTATTTCTATTTTAATGATATATAAAATAATAGGCCACTTTGTAGCAATTTTGGTTTTAATTTCATTGAAACACTGAATATCATATGAATTTGGAAATGCAGGTTTGCTTAACATTTTTTTTAATGTCAATTTATGGTACATTACAATGTCTTACTCCTGCATCCAATCCATTTATTGATTATTTAGGAGTGCTTACCTCTTTTTTTTTCTCATACTTTTTTTTTTATTAGACAGGATCTTGCTCTATCACTCAAGCTAGAGTGCAGTGGCGTGATCATAGCTCACTGCAACCTTGAACTCCCAAGCAGAAGGGATTCTCCTACTTCACCCTCCCAAGTAGCTTGAACTAAAGGCATAAGCCACCATACCCAGCTTTCTTTCTTTCTTTCTTTCTTTCTTTCTTTCTTTCTTTCTTTCTTTCTTTCTTTCTTTCTTTCTTTATTTTTGTAGAGACAGAATCTCACTATGTTGACCAGGCTGGTCTTGAACTCTTGAACTTAAGTGATCCTCCCATGACTCCCAAAGTACTGGGATTACAGGAGGCGTGCTTACTTCTTTATCCATATTTTCATATTCACAAACTCTTTCAACAGCAACTGCATTGGTTTCAATTTCACATGCTTTCTTCACCCAAAAATTCAGAGAATGAGTTATCTGGGGGGTATGGGGGAGGAAAGAAGAGCTTAATGGATGTTCTTTAGTTTTTTATGTAATATAAATAATACTTTATTTTTTATAGAGTTTCACTTTTCATTTCTTGAATCTGCTGAGAGCTCGTCACATACTGTCTCATATACTTTATATCTTTTGATTATTATTTAGCAGCTCTAGAAATAAGCATATTTCTTCATATGCATATTTGTGTTTAAGGATACAAACTCATTAATATCATAAATAATGGAATTACTTGGGATAAGATAGACCATAATTCAGCATATATGCAAGAAGTGCATAGTGGGTATAAGGAATGATGAATACCAAGATTGATGGGATATGCCTCAAAAAAATGTGCATCCTAAATGAGAAAAAAAATAGTGTGCAAACACTTTGGCATTCTTCACTACCTTCCATCAGAAGGAAGATTCTCCTAGCTTTCTAACTATTCCTGCTCCCCTATTAAAAAAAAAAACTATATTTTCTTCTCACTCTATTCCCAAATGTAGATTCTCTAAGGGTGTAACTTTGAACAGAATTCTAAAAGTCAAAAAACTTGTACAATGCAATTTTTTTCTTGAGTTTGGTGCCAACTCATTTGATAGACCACCTGACTTGAAGTGATATGGGGCTCTTCAAAGCATTTACTTAATCCAGTTAGGGTGTACATGCAGTAGTGTTTGATTATGGGCTTCTGAACCAGGCCCTGGATATGGCTATGTACATATTTCCTTTCTAGAAGCCTAAATTCTGAATTCTGAAATGCAACTGGCTCAAGGTTTTTGGATATGGGACCAAGAGTATATAACACAATCACCTAGACTTATCTTCTACATAATGTGGAAGCAGTTTAGGGCATTTGCTATTTTACAAAGGGGGCATGCATCCTACCACTAGTGCATTGCAGTGTAATATCAAATAGGGTTTATTAGGGAAAAACTTACAAGCCGAAGAGAAACAGCAAATATATTCTCCCTAGAGAATTATCTTCTTGCTTAGGCTGAGCAAATGAGATACACCAGCTGTGTTGGAGAGGGACCCTACCCTTGTAACACTCTATAAATCCACCAGGACAGAAAAGCAGGAAACTTCTGAGTAACTACAGAATAGCAGGAGTTTCCTGGTCTTTCAGCACTCAGCCTTGAGTATTAGCCTATTCTTCCTATAAGTTAACTTAGAATTGCTGAGCTAGCTTCCTGCTACTAACAAGATAGAGAAGGAAATGAGCCTCCAGGGCAATCCAGATTTGTCTCTCATTACTTAGTTAATATAATATATAATTCAGACAAGCAAAGAAGAAGAGTGTTTAATTAATTGGATTATAAACATACCATATACCACAAAAGTCATTATTACTTACATTTAGGGCATAGGATACAGACAAACCAACTATTGCTGAATCTATAGAATTGCCAGCCAGCACAGCAAGCAGTGCAGCAAAAAGCACCATTAAGTTGCCAAGAAATTCAAGTCTAACAGACAGCCACCTGTGACAGATGGAATATATTCCTGAGTAACTGAGATGAAAAAGTTTTGGTGCATTTGGTACTAACCCTCTCCTCTGGGAAATTGAGACATAAACAGCAATAGCTGCTTTCTTTTTTCTCCCCAACTTACTTGGAACTCAATCAAACATGGGATCATCACATGATAACTTAAAGAATTCATCTGCATGAAAATGCATTTTACTTTTGCAGAACTTTGCTTTAAAACTTGATCTGAATTTAGAAGCAAAATAACACCAGCTATAATGATGTATTGCATTTTTTAAATCCTATTGGAAAATCAATTCCCTTTCCAATTGTGTATACTTTTTAATATGATAAAATTAGTCTTTAAAAATTGAAACATGCTCAACTTCTATTTAATTCATTTTTCTCCTTTATGTGAGATTATAACTTCAAATTCAAAAATTTTACAAAACAGTGTATACAAATAAAATATATTCTAAAGATATAAAACACAATGTAGAATTATGTCATGAGTAATTCTAAAAGCACCTTTTTCATATTAAATAGTATGTGCCTTTCATGTGAATATAAATAGATATAATTTAATTTAAATGTACATTAAATACTGGAAAATATTTGTCTTATTAATACATACTTCTAAAACTTGGATGAAATGCCATTTCAAAACCGTCTGTTTAGAAGTCAGTGAGCAAGATGTCTAAGAAGAGATTGATCCTAGGCTAGGTATTAACGGGACTTACAGGTTGAAAATTACATTATTGTAGAAACAGACCAAGTCTTCATTCACCATCTCTTTGTATTGCTGGATAAACCTCTGTTCATGTCCAAATGCTCTGATGGTGGACACTCCTGATAAAGTCTCACTAAAGTGAGAAATGACAGGAGAACGGGACCCTCCTGTCAACCTCCGGATTTGCCGAGAGCTTGCCACATAGTATCTCTAATCAGAAGACAGAAAGAAGCAGTCGGAAAAATGTAGCAGAAATTGCTTCAATAGTTCAAAAACTACAAGACCCTTGTGTTGTGATTTAAAGAATGACCCCCCAAAAGTCAGATACAAGTCCTAATCCCCCGTATCTGTGAATGTGACCTTATTCAGAAATAGCATCTTTACACATGTAATTAAGTTAAGGATCTCAAGATGACATCACCCTGGATGTAGGGTGGACCCTAAATCCAATGTTGAGTATCCTTATAAAAGACAAAAAAGAAGACATAGACACAGGGAAAACACCATCTCTGCCAGTGGCAGAGATTGAAGTGATGTGTTTAGAAGCCAACGAAAATATCAGGATTGTTGACAGCCAGCAGAAGCTAGGAGAGGAGCATGAAAGAGATTTTCCCTCAAAGCCTCCAGAAGGAATCAACTCTGCCTATATATTGATTTTAGACTTCTGGCCTTTAGAACTGTGAGAGAGGCCAAGTGTGGTGCCCACGCTTATAATGCCAACACTTTGGGAGGCCAAGACAGGAGGGTTGCTAGAGCCCAGGAGTTTGAAACGAGCCTGGGCAATGTAGGAAGACCTTGTTTTTACAAAAAGTTATATATATATATTATATATATATATATATGAAGACTTCGTTTTTACAAAAAGCAAAACATATATATATTATCCAGATGTGGTGGTGCATGCTTGTTGGCCTAGCTACTCGAGAGGCTGAGGCAGGAGGATCACTTGACACTTGAGCCCAGGAGGTTGAGACTGCAGTGAGCTATGATCGTGGCACTACACTACAGCTTGGGTGACAGAGCCAGGCCCTGTCTCATAAAAATAAAATAAAATAAAACAAACAGGTTTTTAAAAATTGTGAGAGAATACATTTCTGTTGTTTTAAGCCACCCAGTTGGTAGCACTTTGTTAGAGGAGCCTTAGGAAACTCATGTGCCCTTGTGATGGTAAAAAGCCCAAATTCTGAGGCTGGGAGCGGTGGTTCACGCCTGTAATCCCAGCACTTCAGGAGGCTGAGGCAGGCAGATCACTGGAGCTCAGGTGTTCAAGACCAGCCTGGGCGACATGGTGAATCCCCATTTCTACCAAAAATACAAAAATTAGCCTGCTGTGGTGGTGACTGCCGGTGGTATCAGCTACTCAGGAGGCTGAGGCAGGAGAATCGCTTGAACCTGGGAGGCAGAGGTTGCAGTGAGCTGAGATCATATCATGCCACTGCACTCCAGCTTGGGTAACAGAGTGAGACCCTGTCAAAAAAAAAAAAAAGCGCCAATTCTGGACAGCACAACAAGAACATAATTGGGCAAAATTTCACTTCGACAGTGCTCTCAAATGACCATTATTGAGTCCCTTCTATGAAGAAAGCTCTATGTTACATGTTGAATATGTGACCGAACAGTTAACTCATTGAATGAGGGAAGCAGACCAAATGCACAATGATATTTTGTACTTAAACATAATTATAGAAAAATAATATTTTTTATTTTTTTCTTCAAATATTTCCACTACAGTCACAATTATAAGTTATCTATTTCCCCTTGGCTTGAAGTTGAGGACAATTAGGATAGGTAAGACTGCTGGGAGCTGGATGGAGCATGCCCTGTATTAACCGGATTATTAATCAGCCCCGGAAAATTGCTACCAACTGGAAATGAAAATCAAAAGTTATGCGGTCTTGCACAATTTTCAGGAAAATTTTAAATCTGGAATTTTATGTAAAATCCCAGATTTTAAAATGTCTACATTTGGTAAAAACACTGAGCAAGCTAAACAAAACCATATCTCAGGTTACATACAGCCTGGTGGTCTACAACTGAACTCTATGCTAAGTGCTCTGAAGAATACAGGGGACTATGGCATTCTGAGGCTGTAAAGGATTTAGATTGCCTAGATTAGGGAATATGTTATTGGGGTCACAGACCATGTGAGTAGATAAATAAGGGTAAAATGCTTTCCCTAGACAAATGCAAATACGCATACACACTTGGAGCTTCTGATCAATTTTCAGTGAATTGTAGAATCCATGGAGTTCTTTCATGCAACTCTCTGGGGAATCTGGTTTAAGAAATTTTATCTAGATCAATGCTTCTCATACTTTAGTAAGAATCATCTGCCTGAAGGGTTTGTTGAAAGGCAGGTTTCTGGGCTCTACCTTGGGACATTCTGACCCAATAGGTCTGAGCTATGGCCCATGGGTCCAGGAACTACACTTTACACAGCACACATCCAAACCAAACCTTTTATTTCACAGGGGAAAGAAATAGAGCCTAGAAAGGGAAATGATGTCCCAGGCAGGTAAGTAAGGAAGATGACTAGAACTCCAAGTTCCTGCATCCAAATTCAGACCTCATCCTATATTACTGCCCCTAATGAGACATGATCTCTAGACTCCTTTTTACTCCTGATAACTCTGTTATAGATTACCAGACAGGAGACCAACACATAAAATTTCATTTGCCACATGAGTGCTTTTTTTCTAGATTTTTACAATATATATAAAACATAGTCTCTGCCCCCAGAGCACTTACATTTTCATATATTCTGGATTTATTATACCATCAGTATATGCCAGCAGTGTAATAAATCCATAATAGTAGATATTAGAATAGTAGATAAGGAGTCAGTTCTTTTTGCACTATTGTGATAGAGAATGCTCCACACAGAAAATGGAAAATGACCTAGGCCATCAATGTCAAGTAAGATCGGGACAGACAGAAAGAACAGGGAAAAGATGTGAAGTAGGAAGAATAATGGAGTATAGGTAAGGAAATGAGAAAATCATTTGTAGTCTGGCTTGAGCAGACTAAACTCTAACATGAATTTTAAAACTTGGGTTTTTGAAAAGCATTAAATTCTAAGAATCTTTTTGTGAAAAGAGCCTCAGATACTTCTATATTTAAAATATGCTTCAGCATTGATTTTACCTTGTATGTTATCAGTTGAAACTATCAGGATAAAGAAATCATGCTTTGGAATAAATATTATTTTAATATAGGAATTTCACTGAAAATTTAGAAATAATGGGTAATTTTCTCTGTATTTTATACTTCATTTAAAATCTCCAACAAATGTAAGGATTACGTTTTCATAGTAGATTGCATATTTGAGGATAATCAACTAAAATACGGAGTGGAAAAACATACATTCATTATTTTGGATTCAATCTGAGCTCCATTTACACCTATAATCTACTTTTGTTTTTCTGTTTACTTAAACTAATTTCATCTTTTACTGAAGTCCTTATTGCCAAGATAAATAAAATAAATGGGAAATAGTTATTTCTGCAACTGTCTTTAAATTTCACTCTTTATTTGCGGATTCAGCCTGTAATAAAAAATTGCACATACTTCGATAAAGGCAATGTAAAAAGATGCCTAAAATGTTTTATAATAATAATCTCTTGATATCATACATTTGAAAAATTCATCTATTTATAGTTCTTGCATGTTTGACTAGTACCTTGGTATAAGTGTCAAAAAAAGTTGTGGGAACAGAAATAAGGTGTATAAATCTGTGAATATGAAAAGAACTTTTATGTCACAGTGTAGGAGCGAGCTGGAGAAATTTCTTTTATGTGAGTCATTTCTGTATGAATCTATAAACTTTTTTTAAACCAAAAGCTGTCATGGTTTCTTGTAAAATAATAAAGATAATAAAGACATCCATTTTAATTGATTCTTTTCATTGTTTAATAAAATTGCTTTGTTTGATTGCTGAAGAAAAAATGCTAAGAAATTTTGTTTTCCACTGAAGCCTTACAGTAACATAATTTTGCAAATGATATAATATGAAGATATCATGTAAGTATCATGAGAAACATATTTAGCTCTTCCAGCAATTGTTTGTCTGGAAGAGACAGGTGATGTCTGAAAAAATAGGACAAAAAGGCAGTATCTGTTTCTCTCTTGGATATGCAGGGAAATTAATTTTCTGCTAAAATTACAACATACAGGTTTTGTGGCGGGCATAAAAATGCAGGCCCCAGCTCTCCTGCTGCAGGAGCATAGCTGACTGACAGCCCCTGAGACTGCACTGATAGATCCACTGCTGTATTAGCATAGAGGCCAGCCAATGACTGAGTACTGGCAGAAAGTGCACATGAGACCCTCCAATGGACAACTGTGATTGAGAACTTCCTGTTGAACCTGTTATAGAACTGTCCTGTCGTCCAAGACCCTTGTTACCCAATCCGTCTTCTTTCCTTTTCTCAATCACAGGGATTCAGCCTGAGTGGCTGTCTGAGGACTTGCTCAGCCCAGCCTTCTTCTGCTCCCTCTCCTTTATCTTTTACAGGCATTTCCCCCAGTAAAATCTCTAGTACATGTATTTCTTTCTTCGACTCTGCTTCTTAGAGAACCTGGACAAAGAGGAGGTTTAAGTGGGTCTGAAACTATATTTGATTGTGAACTTATAAGTTATTAATACAAATAAAAATGTATGCATTTACTTGTATAGAGAAATAGAAGAACACTAAGGGAATAATCCCCAGAATGAAGAGGGGCAAAGCTCCCACAATGACCAAAACTGTTCCAATAATATCCAATGTACAATTCACCCACAGCCGTAAATAGTAATGCAAACGCATATCAATTATAAATACGCCCTGAAAAATTTGATATTAGGTCACTTTATTTTTAACTTTTTACAGTTTAAAATGAGAGAAAGAAGAAATATATTATTCAATGGCAAAATTAAAAATGTTTACCCAGGTATGACAATCTATTGATTTCATAAATAAATCTAACTACATGATCTTTGCTCATCCCCATATATTTTTCCCCTGTAGTCAACTATAACAATTAAAAGGCTGTTCCGATTTCAAGATACTTATCATCAAGCAATTTATATTTCCCAGTGACCACTACATGGCAATTAATTATACAATTAAAGTCAGACTTTGATCAAAAAAGCAAAAACAAAAATGAAAAAACAGTCCATAATTCAATAGCTGTTTTTTTTTAATTCCAGTATTTGGGGCATTGGGCTACCATTATTTATGACTCAAAATTTGTAAATCACTCCTGGGGCATTGTTATCAACTAAGAACATGTTCAGTGGCCTTCCTGGGTAACTGGATCCTACTCATATCAAAAGAGACAGGAAAACAAGATAATCTTCATTTATAAAATTATGAACTGAAAGATGGAGTGGCAAATAGGAATGAGAGAAGGACAAAGGGAAGGTCATGCATTGATATGTACTTTTTTTTTTTTTTGAGAGAAAGTCTCGCTGTGTCACCCAAGCTGCAGTACAGTGGTGCGATATCGGCTCCCTGCAAACCTCTGCCTCCCAGGTTCAAGCAATTCTCGTGCCTCAGCCTCCCACGTAGCCAGGATTGCAGTCATGAGCCACCATGCCCAGCGAGTTTTTATATTTTTAGTAGAGGCGGGGTTTCGTCATGTTGACCAGGCTGGTCTCGGTGATCCACCTGCCTCGGCCTCCCAAAGTGTTGGGATTACAGGCATGAGCCACCGCACCCAGCCTGTTTTACACTTTGTTGCATATAACTTAATCTGTTTGTGGCACAAGGTATGACCTGAGAGATGCCAGGGAATACTAAGACACTGAACCTTGACTGGATGAACTACTCAGTTCAGGACAAAACTGATATAAAAAATAGAGATGAAATTTTGTTAATTCTACCCTCTTTTGGGAGTTCCCTGGTTATTTCATATACCAAACAATGTAACAGTATTGTATTCACATGGAATTTCCTGTTTTGAATTTACCTGCCCGTACTCCCATCTGCTTAAGACTCAATCATTTGAAATTTTACTATATAAAAAAGATAATAAATCAGTAGGGTTGTAGTCAGAAATGTCCTCTGGGAGAAACAGAATGGTGGTGATCAAATTCTTCTATAATTTTTCAAAAGACAGTATGTACTTTGGTACAATTAAGCTTGATTTAATATTACATTAGAAATTTATTATGTTAGGTACTTTCATTTATGTTTTTGTGTTTTATCTTCACTTCCCTTTATACACCCACCATGTTTTTACATATACATAGAAATGTGTTTATACACTTTGAGGTTATGGACTTGCGCATCTTAATATAGGGACCACTAGCAATATGTGACTACTGAACACTTGGAATGTGGCTATTGCAAATTGAGATATGCTATAAGCACATGATAAAAACCAGATTTAAAATACTTTGTACAAAAAAGTGTAAAGTTTAATCAATAATTTTATATTAATTACAGTTGGGAATAATGTTTTGGATATACTGTGTTAAATAAAATGTATTATCACAATTAATTCTTTCCATTGTGTTTTCTTTTACTTCTTTATTATGGCTACCAGGAAATTTAAAATCACATACGTGGTTTGCATTTTATCTTTATTGGACAGTTCTATTAGAAACATTTTATAGTAGACACAATGAGAAAACTCCTACAGATAAGCAGAGACACTCTGAAAATCTCAACTCATTCCCCATTCACCATAAGTGACGTTATGTTTTCTTAAAGGCAGGATGTTTTTAAAGTCTAGATATCTCCACATTGACTTACATTTTTTCTTTCTTTCTTTCCTTCTTTCTTTTTTTTCTTTCTCTCCCTCTTTCTTTTTTCTTTCTTTCTTTCTCTCTCTCTCCTTCCTTCCTCCTTCCCTCCCTCCCTCTCTCTTTCTTTTTCTTTCTTTCTTCTTTCTCTCTTCTTCGTTTCTCTCCCTCCCTCCCTCCCTCCCTTCCTTCCTTCCTTCCTTCCTTTCTTTTAGATGGAGTTTCACTCTTGATGCCCAGGCTGGAGTGCAGTGGCGCAATCTCGGCCCACCACAACCTCCGCCTCCCAGGTTTAAGCGATTCTCCTGCCTCAGCCTACCGAGTAGCTGGGATTACAGGCATGCACCACCACGCCTGGCTAATTTTGTATTTTTAGTAGAGACAGGGTTTCTCCATGTTGGTCAGGCTGGTCTCGAACTTCCGACCTCACGTGATCCGCCCGCCTCGGCCTCCCAAAGTGCTGGGATTACAGACGTGAGCCACCGTGCCTGACCAACTTACATTTTCTTTCCCTTCTTAGCCTAAAGCAGTGATTCTCAAACTCGATGTGTGGAAGAATTAGAGTGGTACATCTCAAAGCATGTGTTTCTTGGATTCTTAAGTAATTTTTCAGTGTTATTTTAATTATATGTACAAAATGTGACTCTGTTGTACATCAATTATATACGTCCTAACGCTTAGAAATATACTTAACAATGAAATCTACATAAAACACATAATATTTTGTACAAGTGAGCATATAAGGTACTAAATATGGGTCACTTTTATGTATGCTATTTAATAAGGTGTGTCTTTGCTTACCTTGGTGAAACGACTGATGATCTGGCCTGTGGAATTTGTTTCAAAAAACTGGATGGGGAGGTGCAGTACATTATTTAACAGTTGAACATACATGGTTCGAGAGGCAGCCAGGGATCCTCTAGTGATGACGTAGGCTCCAGAGCAGACAAAAAGACCTAAACTCACATAGTTATCACAGTTACATTAATAATATAAGGAAATTTGTGTTTTAGCTTTCAAAAGATTGCTGTAAAAAGATTAATTATAAAAGCTATTTATATTATTTTAACTGAAAACTCAAACATTATACCTAAAATGTGTAATTGTAGACTAAAATAAATATAAACATAATATATGATGTATGTGAAATAAATACACATTTCTGATGTTTTGCCATGCTGCTACAGCAGAACGCTCTCATTTGTGGTCATAGGTTCCACACAGAAATGTACAGAAGATAAAAAGTCGATCTAATGCAGAGAAGTTTAGCAACGTATTACCTTTATGATGTTCTGTGGGACAATATGTTAGTTACCAGTGCTTTTAGCCAAATATTTCCATTCTCCCAGGTTCTTGGTACATAGTAGAGTTGAACTTTCTGGCCCCCTTTTGGTTGATAGACCCAAATGAATAGTTTTGAACCATGAATTATAAGAGAAATGATATATGACACTTCCGAGTTAGAACATTTAATTGCTGGTGTCAGTCCTACTCCCTTTGCACAGTGCCTGCCAGCATTTAAAATGGTGCTTGGCTCGTTTCCTCAGCTGGAGTCCGTAGGATAAGCAGAGTCCCTTTCCTGACCCACAGTGGACACATAAAATGAGTGAGGGCTACAATTCTTTTGGTGTCCTAAGCTCCTGAGAAGTGGTTGATGGGAGGGTTGTTCTTGCATTAGCTACTTAGCAGGTAAACTTGCAGCTTTAGTGGAAGAAGCTGAAAAACAGTTATTAGCACACATAGAAACAGAAGAAAGTTCTTTGAAAGATACATTTCCATCAATATGTGAAGCCTGGGAACAAAACCAACCAGCACAAAATAAGTAGATCTGCAAAATTAAGAGAGTTGTGAACACTTTATTTGAACCTCTGGATCAAGTGTGTTTAAAAATCGATGCCTGGGCATTTTACCTTTGGGTGTCAATACACTTCCATGTTACTTAAGCCAGTTTGCTCTTGAGTCTTAAAAGATACACAACTGTTCCATTGGACTCTAGCATACAAAAGTGCTAATAAAAGTGTGTTGCCAATATGATCCTTGTTCCTTTGCAGGTATCATGTTTAAAACAAAACAAAACAAAACAAACTAGTTGCTTCTCACCATCTTACGTTCTTTTAGCTAATTTCCTTATATTTTTGAATAATATATCATACGGCTATTAGCTTTCTCAGTCTTAAGTGTGTTCTATTATTTTCCTCCATTCCTCCCATACTTCCCTATTTCCCTTCCAATAGATTACCCATTTTTTCTCAAATATTCAATAAACACATATTGCTCATGAAGGTCACCAAATATGTAGCTTGTGTCACTATTTTTCTGTATGCTTAATTTTCTGTGTAACTAGGGCTAATTTATTCCCAAACACTTCAATAGCCAAAAGTCTCTTCTGAATACACTCAAACTCATCAAATATCCTACTGTTTATTTAATCTTATTTAGCACCAGCACTCTGCAACATAAACTACTGCCTTGGGACTCTCGGTCTTCCTGCTCTAAACTAGAATTGCTGCTGGAACAGGCATTTCTATTCTTCAGTGTGGGAAGTTTTTCGTTTTTTATTTTTTATTTTATTTTATTATTATTATTGTTTTTTTGAGACGGAGACTCGCTCTGTCGCCCAGGCTGGAGTGCAGTGGTGCGATCTCAGCTCACTGCAAGCTCTGCCTCCCGGGTTCATGCCATTCTCCTGCCTCAGCCTTCCGAGTACCTGGGACTACAGGCGCCCGTCACCACACCCAGCTAATTTTTTGTATATTTAGTAGAGACGGGGTTTCACCATGTTGGCTAGGCTGGTCTCGATCTCCTGACCTCGGGATCCACCTGCCTTGGCCTCCCAAAGTGCTGGGATTACAGGCATGAGCCACCACGCCCAGCCAGGAAGTATTTTTTAAAAATATTATGTACTTAGTATTTTTTCCCCATTTACTGAAACTTTTTATATACATGTTAAACTTCTTGAACTGTACCTGTAATTTTTTCTTATCTTTCATTTTCCATCTCTGTTTATAATGTTGTACATTTGGGATAATTTCTTCTAACTTATGTTACATTTGTACAACCTTTTAAAATGTTTTCAAGAGCTTTCTTGTTCTCAGGCTGAACTTATTTTAGCACATTCCACATTGACTTCATGGATGCAATATTTTGAATCTCTGAAAGCAGTAATTAGACATTTTGAAGGTCTAATTGTATTCCACATATTGTTGTTTTACTTCTGGGCCTGACTGCTGTATTTGTTGACTTTTATTTATGCTGTTGGTTTGAGTGAAATGTATTCCCTGGATGGGCATTATCAGTTTAAAAATATGAGACAAAGACATGGTTAATTAATATAGGTACCTGATGTGACTTTCTTCTGCCGTTGCATATGTTAATTTCCCCCAACATTTCTCTCCCCTGAATGGAAGAGTTTGCTTCAAGTTCTGCTTAAGTGGGAAGGTATGACCCTGAAAGGCTTCATACTGGGATGCAAGTCAAGTTGGCTGAGCCTTCTCCAAAAGCCACAATAAGGAGGCTTCCTTCTATCTGTGTCACACATGCTAGAAACCCTAATTTCCTCTTTAAACATCAGCTTTCTAGTTTTCATCATACTGTTACTATCACAGTGGCTGTATACATTGGTGGTGGTAGCAGCGTTGTTCTAAAAGAGGCTGATGGGCCATCAGAACAACGTTCTAATGAATTACTTTGATTACTTCCATGAAACTCAATTCTTCCCTCTGTACCTGTGAACATAAGTTTAGTGTTTTTCCATGGCTCAACTGAACATCTCCCTCTTCTGCTCCAGCTTCTCCAGTATCTGTTCCTGGCTACAGGTTTTCTTCTACCCTTCATTTTCTGTCCCATATATATTCCCGTATATAGAAATGTATTACTCTGAAGTCTCCTTACACCTTTCCTTTTATATTTATTCACTGTCCTTTCAGTGGAATTTAGTGAGGTAAGTAAAGTAAATGAACCACTTAGCCCTCTTAAACTGGAAGCAGCAGTGTGCTCCTTAATCATCACACTTTGAAAATAAGGTGCCTATATTTTACACATTGGATCGGAGAAAGGAAGTTCCCAACAGTGAGACATAAAACACGATACATTAGAAATGTGCCAAGTATCCTAGAAATTTGAAGCGAATAGCTGAGACTCAGGGAAAAAAACTATTCAGGGCAATTTCTTTTTTAAAAAATGAGGTAAGATCTTTATTAGTGTCATAAAATATGGATGTAGCATTTTCAGCTTCAGTTCTCCAGTTTTGTTTGAATGCTAGCCTTCTATATTTTTTGTAGTGGGCCTCTAGTATTAACATGTGAAAGTGCTGTTTATGCTTTAAAGTTCCAAAAAATAAAAAATATAAATGAGCTATGATGATGTCAGTGAATATAGCCTGCTCTCAATTAAATCAGGTTCCATAAGAGAGCTGAGTTCTACCAAGAAAAAAACAAAAAAACCCAGAAATTATAGATTTTTATTTCTAGGCTCACCTTACTTATGGAAACATAATTTGCAATTGCACTTAATAAGCCTTAAAAATTAAAAATTTTTTAAATGTAAAAAATGTGAAGCAGCAATATATCAGGGAAGATTAATATTCTAACAACTGCAGACCACTCTAAACAAAAGCCAATCAGGAAAAAAATCTTTATGATAAAACTGTTCATAATCTGTTTCTTTGGTTATAAACTCTTTCTATATTTACTGACAGTTAATTAAAATTAAGGCTTTACATAAGTAATATTATGGACACTAAAATTGCATACTTTATATGTTATAGAAATGCTATTTACTCACTTAAAATGTTCTTCAAAGGTTATTGCATCTACTCTAAAGCTGTAACATAATTTCACTGAATTGGTGTGAATTTAGCCTTCATATGTACATGTGACATGCAGAGATACGGAGATTCATGTATATATGGATGTTTCTCTTGCTATAATTTGAGACCTCTACATCTGTATCTTCCTCACTGAGTTGCAAACTGCAAGTCAATAAATCTGACTCTCACTGACTCAAAAGCAAAGAAGTTGTAAAGTCCTGTTCTTCCATACTCCAGATAATTCTTATATCTCATTTTCGTTATGAACATCTCTTTTCCCAGTGAATGTTAACAAAATGACAGAACAAACATAAATCTGTCTCATAATATCTGCCTATTTTTAAATGGAGACAGTTACAAGCAGTACTATGGCCAGACAGTAAAAATAAGAGAGGAGAAAAGAGAAGCAAGGTTCTAAGTTTCATAGTTTTTGTTTTATCTGACTTTTCCATTACCAAAATCATGCATCTCTCTCTGTTTTCCCATATGGATATGAATATGAAGATATAACAACTTCCACATAGATGGCTCTATTATTTTCTTATTTGCGTTACTACCAGTCTCACTCTAGGTGCACCTGTTTCACTTGATACAAACACAAGAAATTATCTCTAAAAAAAACTTCCCTTTAGTTATACTATACTTTTGAATTTTCCAAACAATTATTCAATTAACTACAATCTATATTCTTTTTCCATTTCTCTCTTGATCATGTTTCCTTTACTATAATCAAGAATCATTTCTTAATTTTCTTTGTTTTTAATAGATATGTAACATTTCAGAACTACTGAGAATTTACTTCAAACAGTATTTTTTTTTTTTTGCCTTTGTTACATCATACTTTTCTGTTTCTTGGAAGGCAATGCTCACAGTTTGGAATTTCTCAAAGTATATTCTGTGGAACACAAGTTGCTCCAAGATATTAATGAGCAACACAAGGAAAAAAATCATGGTCAAATAAATTTGAGGAGCATTGTGCTAAACAGAATTAAACAGGTCATTTTATTGTAGAATATCTCAAAACCTTTAATGAAGGAAAGAAAAAAGATTTCAGATTCATGGAGGAACTCAGTTTCCCAAACCTATTGAAATAGAACCTGGTGTTTGTAGAATGTCTCATTACTGTCCATGTAAATGCCAATTTAGTTTTTAAGAACATTGGCTTGGGAGTAAGCTGGACATGGATGCAAATCCGGCTCCAAAACTTACCAGTCACAGGGCTTTGTCATAATTATTTATATTTTCTATTGTTAAATAATAGCTAACATTTATTGCACTCTTGAGTATGCACTACACATATTTGATGTAATCAAGGAAACAATATCTATCCTTTACAAGTGATAAAACTGAAACCATAAGTAACAAAGTTTAAGTAAAGAGTGTCAGAGCTCCCTCATTAGGGTACATGCTAAATAAACTACTGTGTTAGCTTAAGCCGTATGAAATTGCCATTTTTGTGGGTCAGAACAAGTCAAATACAGGCATTTTCATTTGTTTCAACTTCAACAATGAAAACATGCCTGGGTTTCCAGACATGGAGCAGGCATTCACATCATTGTGGCTGTTGTTCTGTCTCCTTCTCTCCCTCTGATCATCTGACGAGGAACTTATCTCTGTTCAATTTCTGTGAAGTTAGTCCACTAATCAGCTCTATGTGGACACCCCTCAAGAATCTGTCATTCACTCTCATGGCTCTTATTCCTCATTCATGGTGATCCTATCTACTCCTATGGGTTCACTGATTATCTCTACAGAATAATTCCAAGAGTAAGTAGAACTAAGAGCTCTAGAATGTTAGAATTTGACAGAAATGTAGAAATCATCCAGTTTAAGCCCCTCATTTTACAGATAAAGAAGCCTAATTTCCAGACTTACAGATGTGCATTTTTAGTCTGCCAACTGGAGAAAAAAAAATGGAAAAATTCATCAAAACTTCCCATTAAATGTGTCCAACAATGAACTCACCATTTCTGTCCTTCACTAATTAAGGCTCTGGTTTGATTAGTGGTTTCCTATTTTTTTCCTGGTTTCCTGTTTTCCTTATTTTTGTCATCATTGATATCCCAGTTACCCAACCTAAACCTCAAAAGCATGATTGACTAATGAATGCCCTTTCCTGACTCACCCTCAAATGGACAATTCTTAGGTTTTTCACTGTAATGTCTTTCCTATTCATCCCTATTATCCAATTCCATTGTAGCTCTCTGGCCATTCATTCACTCTTTCATTCGGTATTTATTCAATTCTCTTCTGCTTCTTACCTATTGGTTATTTTGGGTGACACAGCCATGGATCAGATAGGAGATCTTTCTATACTAGACTACCTTTCTTCTGGACTCCCAAATACACTTGATTATTCTTTTCCTACCAACCCCTGCTTCATTCTAGTCTCTCTGACTTTAGTCTCTCTGACTTTAGTCCCTCCAATAAAAACCCATCTTTTTATTATCACTGCTAATTTATTATTTGAAATACAAATCCAACTATGTCACTTCCTTCATCAATTTTCCAAAATCCTCCACTTGCCTTCCCAATGATCATCTCTGACATATCTCCAATCTTCCTTCTCACCTTTAGCTCCCCTACTTTTCCCTACCAATAACCTGAAGACCACTCAAACTGGCACCCTCACTCTTGCCAAATACCTTCTTACCTCCCCATCCCTGTCTTTACTCACACCTGTCTATCTGCCTCTATGACTTTCTCTCCTTCTCTGTGATCTCAAGCTGATAAACTTCTATTCATCCTTTTAGTCTCCCCTCAATTGTCAAGTACTCCTTAGAAATCACATTAATATGGCAACCCAATACAGCCTCCCCTTGCTCTGAATTCTCACAGTGTTTTCTTTCACTATCTTTATAGTGTTTAATGCTGATCATGTAGTTTGATTGTATACGTGACCTAGGCTCACTAGGCTTTAAACCCCTTAATAGACACCTATTTATCTTCACATCACCCACAACCTTCACATATACACAGTGGCCATTTTTGAATCTTTCATGACTTTACATAAAAGCCTCAGTTTCCTCAGCTGTAAAATGAGGACAACAGCACCTTTTTAAATAATTATTTTCAAGATTAAGTAACTATGTGTAATATTTAATGTGAGCCATGTAGATGACACCATAAGTTTTGGATTATTCTCTCAAATATGGTAAAGTGGAAACATATGCATTTGAGTTATCCCCAAATATTTGAAAATTATGGCCCAGATTTTATTTGAAATAACACGATGCCACTAGTTTGTGTTTGAATCAATTAGGTCAGAAAAAGAAAAGAGAAACAGCTTTACATTTTCTTTTACCTTTTATTAATCCCAATAATCCATAGATGTTAAGTTTATTGCTTCTTATTTGCTTCCATTCTGTGAACTCATTCATGTTTTTTGCTTCTTTTGCCCATGCACTAAGCCATAGATTCTGTCCAATGCTCACCAAATTCTGCCCTAAGTAAGTGACCACAGTCAGCCACACCCAGAGCCAGCCAAAGGCTTGGAGGTACTGCAGAATGATGGAGAACTTCAACTAAAGGCAAAATTGATATAAAATTAGATTACCAAGAGATACCGGAACATGACATGCCATTTCTGAATAAGTTCCCTTATTGATAGTTTCTGATTAGCATCAATTAAATACGTAGTAAGATACAGCATTTCAAAGATGTACTTTAAAGTAACACCTCAATTTAAACCCTATTCTGACGTTTCCTAAGCTTTGTGATCTTGGTCAAGTCACTAACACCTGTAATCCTCAGATGAATCACCTGTTAATTAGAAGAACAGTAGTCACCACATAAGTATATGTAGAGTGTCAAGCACAGTACTGAACCCTTAAAATCTCAATTAATGTTAGTTGCTCTCATTAGTGAAAAAGAATATACATAACTAAATAACGTGTAATCCTAACTAACCACCAACAATTCCATTTCATTCAACTTCCTCAAACTATTATATAGCAATTCTCCTCAAATTAAATGAGAAATCTATAGTATTTATCAATAATGCAAGGTAAGATTTTATGTTTAGGTGGTTAATAGCAAATAACATTAGTTCTTCTGGTGCTTACCCCACCAACAGGGATCTTTTCTTTTTTCATTGAGAGCTGTTTTCCTTGATCCAATGAGGGCCTGATAAAGCAAGACGATGTTTGCTTTTTAGGTTTTACATGAAACTAACATAAAAAAATTATACATCCTTAACCATTTTGTTGCATCGTTCTCTACTCCCTTACTCTAACAGCAACTTGGTTTTCCCCGATAATAACTTTGCATCTTTTTGGTCTTATCAGAGGTATACTCTTCATTCTACCATATCCCACATAATTTAGGGCCAGGGCTTGTGGTCTATTTTTAACTGCTTCTTCTAAATAATTATCCCTTAAACTCGAATCAAGTCTTTAGAGCATTTAAACTGATGCCATCTGGCTGTACCATACTCTGTCCCTTCTCATCCTGGCCTAGACTGGCATCTACTCACTTCTTGCTATGTCAGAAGATGAACTAACATCACGGTTACTCTTCTCATTTTGTTCTGCCACCACCCTGGGTAATGTCATAGATTACATGAAAAACTGTATTAAACTTAATCTCTTTTCCAGCTTCATGATCTTCATAGCTCCATGTCCTGCATGTGCACCACACTTTGGCCATCAACTTTCATGACCTTAAACCATGAATCTTATTACTTAGAACTAACCCATCTCTGAAAACCCAACTCTAAGTATTTCAATCTCTGATCACAATCTCTTCTATTTATAAGTTTTAAATTCAGTTATTCTCACTACATTTGGTTTTTATTTTACTTAGATTCCCAAATCTAGCCTTCTATCATCTTTGCTGTCTTGGATAATCAATGATCCTGCTTTACCTGAGATTTACCTGGTTTTAGCATTGACTATCCAACTTCTAGAGAATTCCTGAGTCCCAGGCAAACCTATATTCGCTCTCTTTTCCCTGCATTCTCCATGATTATCATTTCATGCAATCTTTGGTAATATTTTTGAACCCCCATTCCCTGCTTTTCTTCCATGAAGAAAAGGTGAGTTCTAACCTGTCTCTTAGAACTTGCATGTCAATCCTGGTCACCTCGACTTCTGTGAAGTGCTGCTTCAAAAAATCAGGCAACCCTGAAAACTGGTTCTACCGTCACTTAACATCTTCTTTCTACGTGGGTTCTTAACAGTGCCTAGAAATCCTTGCATGACTCTCAGAAGGGGACTCATATCCCACTTCATGGAGGAAACAGAAGACAAGGAAGTCAGTCACCAAACCTTTACATTTATTGCATTCCACCCAGTCTTTCCCAATTCTCTCCTGTAACAAACACAGACAGTTAAAAATACAGGTTATAAGACTTCTCCTCTAGAAATCTATCTTTTAAACAAATGATAGAAAGGGATCATATCTTAAGGCAAGTCTGAAAAACACTGAGTTGTTCTCTTATCTTCACCTTCTTCCTTTCTACTGACTCCTTCTCATCAGCTGACAGAAAACAACTCATTCTTCTCATTTTAAAACCATCACAAAACAACGACAACAATAACAACAACAACAGTTATTCTCCTTATTCAGTTACCATCCTACTTTTTGCTGCCCTTTTGTAACCAAATATTTTTCTGTCAAACCACATTTTCCTCCTTAAAGTTTTTGGCACCTGGTTGAAATTGTTTCCATCAAGAGTGCTAGTAAACTACTTATTGCTGTGTCTATTAGACACTTTGAAAGTTATTTCACTTAAACTCTTCATCACATTTAATATTGTTGACCACTCACTTGTTTAAAGGGCTCCTTCTTCACTTCTTTTCACCACTGTACTTTCATATTCTTTCCACCTTTCTGGCCCTCCGTTAGTTTCTCTTTAGGTTCCTTTCTCTGTCTTCCCTCCAATGTTTATGTTTCCTCGGGCTCAGTTCTAGGAATTATTTCCTTTGTATGCTTCACACTATCCTGAGCAATCTCATCCACTCCCATAGTTTCAATAACCTGATTCTTTGTGGATGATTTTCAAATTGGTATCTCCAGTCCATAGCTTTTCCCTGAGCTCCAGATCCATGTGTCAAATGCTTTCTTGACATCTACTTTATTTCTTTGCTTGTTTCTATCATAGACAACCTTAACTGAGCCAGTTACTTTCCTCTCTCCCCTAGTGTTTTCTCTGGCTTTGCAAGGAGCCACAACACTTCCTCTGTCTTGATCATGGGACATTTCCATCTATTCACCAAGTATTTGTCAATTTCGTCTTCTAAATATTTCTGAAATCATATCATTGGATAAATATTTAGAAAATAACAAACAGCAAGAAGAAAAGTGAGAAGAAAGGAGGAGGAGAAGGAGGAGGAAAAGGATAAAAGATGGAGAAGAGGAAAAGAAGGAGAAGAAAAGATTTACAATCCTACATTTCAGAGACAATCTGTGGTAACACGCTTGTGAATATTTCAGTAGTCTTGCCTCTCTTTGTGTGTGATATGATAATATTGTTAATGTTGCTCTTATATTATGTTATATTATATAATGTGTATAAGATATAACTTATATTACTATTGCTCTTATATTGATATAGGTCAATATTGTAATTATTAATATGATTGTCAATATTAATAATATTGATAATGTTGTTCTATAACCAGTTCATACTTTTTTAAGAAAATTACACAGTTATAACCCAATTTATAAAAAACATATTCTTCTATAACACCACTATATTTTATAACATAATATTTTATCATTTTACCGTGATATGATTTATTTAACAAAGTCAATGCTTATAGTGGTTGTATTTTTTTTTCCTACTTTATTGCTATAGTGACCATTCTTTTCATACATCTTTTATTGCCTCTTGTACTAAATTCCCATACACGATAACATGCGACATGATCAATTACAAGTCATTTGATGTATCCACTATTAAACTGACCTCTAGAAATGCTGAACTGATGTACACACCTCTCAGCAGATTATGAGAAACCCCCATTTCTTCATGGTTTCCATTGTATTTTTCAGAATAAGAAACGCCTTATTTGGACAGCCTGGTAGTTCTTCCCTTCCTATCTCTGGAACGAGTATCCAGAAACATTCTGTGGGAGGTTGCAGTGCATGTCCTTTGTAGGATCAGCCTCAGCATCAGAGAAAGATACACTATTTAACAGACACTTTCATTGGAATAGCTACTGGTATATGATTTGGGTTAATTACTGTCATCATCCTTCAAGCTGCTGGCATGGCTTCTCTTTGGATAAGCAAATTTAGCATTGGTGCCAAGCCAAAAAATTAATTCTTAATGTAGCTGGACATAAAATGCTATGAAATCCAACTGTTAAAAGGGAATTAAGCCTTCCTAATTAGATATAACTAACGAAAACCAATAATTTATTGGATACTATATAGAAAGGTATTGCTTTTTCAAACAAAAATGTTATTCATCATTTTTTCACAAAAAAAATACCTTGCATTTGGTTCTAGGCACTTTGTTTTGAATAACAGGCTTTATTTGAGTCTTTTAAGAGAGAAATTATTTAATCTTGGTAGAGAAATTTTAAACATGAGTCTTGTTCTGTCCTTGAGAAATTCTCAGGAAAATTGGCACAATGTCCATTTACATATTTTGTATAAAATATGTAAAATCATCATATTGAAACCATTGTCTCTGAGCTAAGCCCAAAAACAAAGTGTGGAGTACATATGGGAAGACAAAAGTGATTCAGTGTTGCGCATGAAAGACAAAAGGGGGCAGCCTAGGTAGTAAAGTAAAATTTCCAGTTTATTTTATTCAGGGAAGACAGTGACAGAGATTTAAGAAAGTAATTAATAGGCATAATATAAATTTAGAAAAAAATGTGGAAACAGCTTGAAATAAATATTTTAGTTCTGCTAGAAAAATAATGTCATTAAACTAACTCTAATTCTTAAACTTTGAGGGGAAAATTTTTCAGAAATTATTTGGTTCAACCCCCCTACTCCTTCTTTTGAACATACTCCTGATAGGCAGCTAGACAGTTTTCCCATGAGCCTTTTCATGAGGAAGACTTACTGTATTCTATTTTAGTAGATCCCATTACAGAGATCCTGTATTTGTTGAGAAGTTCCTGCCGGCTTGTATCTTCCAATCCTTACTCTTTTGTTGTGTGGAGCGGGGGGCGGTGGAGGGGGGTCAGAGTCCCACTCTGTCACCCAGACTGGAATGCAGTGGCACAATCTCGGCTCACTGCAACCTCTGCTTCCCAGATTCAAGCAATTCTCCTGCTTCAGCCTCTGGAGTAGCTGGGACTACAGGCAAACACCACCGCACCTGGCTAATTTTCGTATTTTTAGTAGAGATGGGGTTTCCCCATGTAGGCCAGGCTGGTCTCGAGCTCCTGACCTCAAGTGATCTGACTGCCTTGGACTCCCAAAGCGTTGGGATTACAGGCATAAGCCCCCATGCCCAGCCACAATCCTTAATCTATCTTAATTCTGCACTAATTGGAAATGATTGGAGAATTTGAAAAAAATAGAAATTTAGATTGAAAAGTCAGGAAAACTCTCTTTATGTAATATTATCTTACCAAACAATAAAGCAGATAAAAAATGAGAGAGAGAATAGAAAATAATAAACCAGTATAGCCAAGTAATTGGAAAAATTATAATAGGCTTCTCAAACATAAGATAAAATGTGATTTGTTTAGTTGTTTGAAATCTCTTATTTGAAAAATTTAGTTTATTCTTTAAAAAGTCGGTTTGACTCTGGGTTGTGTTGATAAAAATATGACATATTGGACCTGAGGTGATCTTACCAAAGTATTCTTTTCTCCCTCCTCCTTCCCTCCCTCCCTCCATCCTTCCCTCCCTTCCTTCCCTCTTTCCTTCCTTCCTTCCCTTCTTCCTTCCTTCCTCTTTCTCTCTTTCTCTTCCTTCCTTTTTCTTTGCTTCCTTCCTTCCTTCTTTTTTCTTTCTTTCTTCCTTCCTTCCTCCCTCCCTCCCTCCCTCCTTCCCTTATTTATTTATTTATTTATTTATTTCTCTCTTTCTTTCTTCTTATTAGATTCCATTTGTCAATTTTGGCTTTTGTTGACATTGCTTTTGGTGTTTTACTCATAAAGTCCTCGCCCATGCCTATGTCCTGAATTGTATTGCCGAGGTTTTCTTCTAGGGTTTTTATGGTTTTAGGTCTTATGTTTAAGTCTTTAATCCAACTTGAGTTAATTTTTGTATAAGGTGTAAGGAAGGGGTCCAGTTTCAGCTTTCTGCATATGGCTAGCCAGTTTTCCCAAAACCATTTCTTAAATAGGGAATCCTTTCCCCATTGCTTGTTTTTGTCAGGTTTGTCAAAGATCAGATGGTTGTAGATATGTGGTGTTATTTCTGAGGACTCAGTTCTGTTCCATGGTTTTTATATGCTGTTTGGGTTAGTGTGGCCTTGTAGTATAGTTTGAAGTCAGGTAGTGTGCTGCCTCCAGCTTTGTTCTTTTTGCTTAGGATTGTCTTGGCTATATGGGCTCTTTTTTGGTTCCATGTGAAATTTAAAGTAGTTTTTCCTAATTCTATGAAGAAAGTCAATGGTAGCTTGATGGGGATAGCACTGAATCTATAAATTCCTTGGGCAGTATGGCCATTTTCACAATATTGATTCTTCCTATCCGTGAGCATGGAATATTTTTCCGTTTGTTTGTATCTTCTCTTATTTTCTTGAGCAATGGTTTATAGTTGTCCTTGAAGAGGTCCTTCACATGCCTTGTAAGTTGTATTCCTAGGTATTTTATTCACTCTGTAGCAATTGTGAATGGGAGTTTGCTCATGATTTGGCTCTCTTTTTGTCTATTATTGGTGTATAGGAATGTTTGTGATTTGTGCACATTGATTTTGTATCCCGAGACTTTGTTGAAGTTGCTTATCAGCTTAAGGAGTTTTTGGGCTGAGATGATGGGGTTTTCTAAATATAGAATCACATATTCTGCAAACAGAGACAATCTGACTTCTTCTCTTCCTATTTGATACCCTTTATTTCTTTCTCTTGACTGACCTGGCCAGAACTTCCAATACTATTTTGAATAGGAGTGGTGAGAGAGGGCATCCTTGTCTTGTGCCAGTTTTCAAAGGAAATGCTTCCAGCTTTTGCCCATTCAGTATATTGGCTGTGAGTTTGTAAAAAATAGCTCTTATTATTTTGAGATATGTTCCATCAATACCTAGTTTATTGAGTGTTTTTAGCATGAATGGCTGTTGAATTGTATCAAAGGCCTTTTCTGCATCTATTGAGATAATCATGTGGTTTTTGTCATTGGTTCTCTTTATGTGATGGATTATGTTTATTAATTTTTGTGTGTTGAACCAGCCTTGCATCTCAGGGATGGAGCTGACTTGATCATGGTGGATAAGCTTTTTGACGTGCTGCTGTATTTGTTTTGCCAGTATTTTATTGAGGGTTTTCACGTTATGTTCATCAGGGATATTGGCCTGAAATTTTCTTTTTTTGTTGTGTCTCTGCCAGACTTTGGTATCTGGATGATGCTGGCCTCATAAAATGAGTTAGGGAGGATTCCCTCTTTTTCCATTGTTTGGAATAGTTTCACAAGGAATGGTGCCAACTCCTCTTTGTACTTCTGGTAGAACTCGGCTGTGAATCCGTCTGGTCCTGGGCTTTTTTTGGTTGGTAGGCTATTAATCACTGCCTCAATTTCAGAACTTGTTATTGGTCTATTCAGGGATTTTACGTCTTCCTGGTTTTGTCTTGGGAGGGTGTATGTGTCCAGGAATTTATCCATTTCTTCTAGATTTTCTAGTTTATTTGCATAGAGGTGTTTATAGTATTCTATGATGGTAATTTGTATTTCTGTGGGATCAGTCGTGACATTACCTTTAACACTTTTTATTGCATCTATTTGATTCTTCTCTCTTTTCTTCTTTATTCGTCTGTCTAGTGGTCTATCAATTTTGTTAATCTTTTCAAAAAACCAGCTCCTGGATTCACTGATTTTTTTGAAGGGTGTTTCGTGTCTCTATCTCCTTTAGTTCTGCTCTGATCTTAGTTATTTCTTGTCTTCTGCTACCTTTTGAATTTGTTTGTTCTTTCTTCTCCAGTTCTTTTAATTGCAATGTCAGGGTGTCGATTTTAGATCTTTCCCGCTTTCTCCTGTTGGCATTTAGCACTGTAAATTTCCCTGTAAACACTGCTTTAGCTGTGTCCCAGGTATTCTGGTATGTTTTGTCTTTGTTCTCATTGATTTCAGAGAACTTATTTGTTTCTGCCTTAATTTCACTATTTACCCAGTAGTCATTCAGGAGCAGGTTGTTCAGTTTTCATGTAGTTCTACTGTTTAGAGTGAGTTTCTTAATCCTGAGTTCTAATTTGATTGCACTGTGGTCTGAGAAACTGTTATGACTTCCGTTCTTTTGCATTTGCTGAGGAGTGTTTTACTTCCAAT
This sequence comes from Homo sapiens, assembly GCF_000001405.40. Lineage (NCBI taxonomy): Eukaryota > Metazoa > Chordata > Mammalia > Primates > Hominidae > Homo > Homo sapiens. The sequence continues at coordinate 14,329,911 of NC_000021.9, read as the reverse complement.
TATGTGGTCAGTTTTAGAATAAGTGTGATGTGGTGCTGAGAAGAATGTATATTCTATTGATCTGAGGTGGAGAGTTATGTAGATGTCTATTAGGTCCGCTTGGTCCAGGGCTGAGTTCAAGTCCTGAATATCCTTGTTAATTTTCTGTCTCATTGATCTGTCTAATATTGACATGGGGTGTTAAAGTCTCCCACTATTACTGTGTGGGAGTCTAAGTCTCTTTGTAGGTCTCTAAGAACTTGCTTTATGAATCTGGGTGCTCCTGTATTAGATGCATATATATTTAGGATAGTTAGCTCTTCTTGTTGCATTGATCCCTTTACCATTATTTAATGTCCTTCTTTGTCTTTTTGATCTTGATATTTGTTGGTTTAAAGTCTGTTTTATCAGGGACTAGGAATGGCAAACCCTTTTTTTTTTGTTTTTTTTTTTTGCTTTCCATTTGCTTGGTAAATATTCCTCCATCCCTTTATTTTGAGCCCATGTGTGTCTTTGCACATGAGATGGGTCTCCTGAATACAGCACCCCAATGGGTCTTGACTCTTTATTCAGTTTGCCAGTCTGTGTCTTTTAATTGGGCCATTTAGCTCATTTATATTTAAGGTTAATATTGTTATGTGTGAATTTGATCCTGTCATTATGATGCTAGTTGATTATTTTACACATTAGTTGATGCAATTTCTTCATAGTGTTGATGGTCTTTACATTTTGGTATGTTTTTGCAGTGGCTGGTACCAGTTTTTCCTTTGAATATTTAGCACTTCCTTCAGGAACTCTGGTAAGGCAGGCCTGGTGGTGACAAAATCCCTGAGCATTTGCTTGTCTGTAAAGGATTTTATTTCTCCTTCACTTATGAAGCTTAGTTTGGCTGGATATAAAATTCTGGGTTGAAAATTCTTTTCTTTTAGAATGTTTAATATTGATTCCCCACTCTCTTCTGGCTTGTAGGGTTTCTGCAGAGAGACCCACTGACAGTCTGATGGCCTTCCCTTTGTAGGTAACCTGAACTTTTTCTCTGACTGCCCTTAACATTTTTTCTTTCTTTTAACCTTGGTGAATCTGAAGATTATGTGTCTTGGTATTGCTTTTCTTGAGGAGTATCTTTGTGGTGTTCTCTGTATTTCCTGAATTTGAATGTTGGCCTGTCCTGCTAGGTTGGGGAAGTTCTCTTGGATAACAGCCTGAAGTGTGTTTTCCAACTTGGTTCCATTCTCCCCATCACTTTTAGGTACACCAAACAAACATAGGTTTGGTCTTTTCACATAGTCTCATATTTCTTGGAGGCTTTGTTCATTCATTTTCCTTCTTTTTTCTCTAATCTTGTCTTCATGCTTTATTTCATTAAGTTGATCTTCAATCTCTGATATCCTTTCTTCCGCTTGATGGATTCAGCTATTGATACTTGTGTATGCTTCATGAAGTTCCTGTGCTGTGTTTTTCAGCTCCATCAGGTCATTTATGTTTTTCTCTAAACTGTTTATTCAAGTTAGCAGTTCCTGTAACCTTTTATCAAGGTTCTTAGCTTCCTTGCACTGGGTTAGAACATGCTCCTTTAGCTCAGAGCAGTTTGTTATTACCCACCTTCTGAAGCCTACTTCAGTCAATTCATCAAACTAATTCTCCATCCAGTTTTGTTCCCTTACTGGCGAGGAGTTGTGATCCTTTGGAGGGGAAGAGGAATTCTGGTTTTTGGAATTTTCAACGCTGGTTTTTCCTCATCTTCATGGATTTATCTACTTTTGATCTTTGATGCTGATGACCTGTGGATGGGGTTTTGTTGTGGTTGTCCTTTTTGTTGATGTTGATGTTATTGCTTTCTGTTTGTTAGCTTTCCTTCTAACAGTCAGGCCCCTCTTCTGCAGGTCTGCTGGAGTTTGCTGGAGGTCCATTCCAGACCCTATTTTCCTGGGTATCACCAGCAGAGGCTGCAGAACAGCAAAGACTGCTGCCTGCTCCTTTCTCTGGAAGCTTTGTCCCAGAGGGGGACCTGCCAGATGTCAGCCAGAACTGTCCTATATGAGGTGTCTGTTGACTCCTGCTGGAAGGTGTCTCCAGTCAGGAGGCATGGAGGCCAGAGACCCACTTGAGGAGGCAGTCTGTCCCTTAGTAGAGCTCGAGAACTGTTCTGGGAGATCTTCAGAGCTGACAAGCAGGAAAGTTTTAGTCTGCTGAAGCTGCGCCCACAGCTGCCCCTTCCCCCAGGTGCTCTGTCCAAGGGAGATGGGAATTTTATCTATAAGCCCCTGACTGGGGCTGCTGCCTTTCTTTCAGAGATGCCCTGCTCAGACAGGAGGAATCTAGAGAGGCAATCAGGCTACAGTGACTTTGTAGCCCTGAGGTGGGTTCCTCCCATTTGAACTTCCCCACAGCTTTGTTTACACTGTGAGGGGAAAACCACCTACTCAAGCCTCAGTAATGGCAGAAGCTCCTCCTCCCACCAAGCTTAAGCATCCCAGGTCAACTTCTGACTGCTGTGCTGGCAGTGAGAATTTCAAGCCAGTGGATCTTAGCTTGCTGGGCTCCGTGGAAGAGGGATCTGCTGAGCAAGACCACTTGGCTCCCTGGCTTCAGCCCCCTTTCCAGGGGAGGGAACAGTTCTGTCTCGTTGGTGTTCCAGGCGCCACTGGTGTACGGAAAAAAAAAAAACAACTCCTGCAGCTAACTGGGTGTCTGCCCAAACAGCTGCCCAGGTTTGTACTTAAAACCCAGGGCCCTGGTGGTATAGACACCTGAGGGAATCTTCTGGTCTGTGGGCTGTGAAAACCATGGGAAAAGCATAATATCTGGGCTGGAGTGCACCGTTCCTCATGGCACAGTCCCTCCTGGCTTCCCTTGGCTAGGGGAGGGAGTTCCCCAACCCCTTGCACTTCCCAGGTGAGGCAATGCCCCACCCTGCTTCTGCGTGCCCTCTGTGGGCTGGACTCACTGTCTAAGCAGTCCCAGTGAGATGAGCCAGGTACCTCAGTGAGAAATGCAGAAATCACCTGCCTTCTGCATTGGTCTCATTGGGAGCTGCAGACCAGAGCTTTTCCTATTGGGTCATCTGGTCATCTTGCCCTGGACCCTCCCCTCCCCTCCCCTCCCCTCCCCTCCCCTCCTCTTCTCTCTTCTCTCGTCTTTCTTTCTTTCTTTCTCTCTGTTTCTTTCTTCCTCCTTTCCTTTCTTCCTCCCTTTCATTTGTTTTGAGACAAGAGTCTTGCTATGTTGCCCAGGCTGGTTTCAGACTCCTGAGCTCAATGGATCCTCCCAGTTTGACCTCCTAGTAGCTGGAACTATAGGCGTGCAGCACCATGCTCTGCTGTATTCTTTATTTGAGCTGCTGCAACTTATAATTTTTTAAAAAAACAATTTTGTAAACAAATATTTATAGGGACTGGAATTCTTTTTTTAGGGAGAAAAAGAAGGAATGGTTTCCCAAAATTGGCTTACAGAAATTTCAAGAGGTTCAATTTAGATATTATATTAACAGTGATCTTATAAATAAGGAAAATTGATTTACTGTAGGGGAAAGGGAATGATTAAGTTTACAACAATATTTATTAATTTTTACATTTTAAGCTTTTCTTAAGCTATTTACTGAGTGCATAGTGATACTATACACAGGCAAATATGCTCTTTAGGATTCAGAGATATGTATACCCCATAGCAAATGGATTTCAAAGTATGTTTCAGTGCTTCTGGATTAGCTTTTCTTGGAGACTTAAAAAATTATACTCATTTAAATGAAATATATTAAGTCTCAATGGCCAAAAAATAAAAGAAATGATGGATCAGAAGACTTTTCAGTGTTCTTTCAGTCTCTAGTTATTTATCCACCCTTTCAACAAATACTTATGTATGTGCCATTTGGTGTTCTAGCTGATGGCAATGGAACAAATAACAAAAAATCCTGCCCTTATAAAACCTTATAATATAGAGTTAGGAGGAAGACAAAATAAAAAACGAACAAGTAAATTTCCCAATCTTATGGAAATTAATAAGACTTATGACAAAGTAAAGCTGGGAAAGGAGTAGGAAGTGTTGAGATATGAAATAGGGTGGATAAGCAAGTCTTCATTGATGAGATGACATTTAAGCAAACACCAACAGAAGGCGGATATGCAAGCCATATGTTTATCTGAACAAAGTCTACTTTATGCAGTGAATCAGAAATGCAAAGGCCTTGAAGTAGGGGCATGCCTGGCTATTCCAGGAACAGAAAATGGTCAGTGTTGCTGGAAAGAGTTATGAAGGGTGAACTTCCTAGGGTTCTGAGATCAGAAAGGTAAACAGGTCCAGGTCCTGTAGGATTTTACAAGTCAGTGTAAGGACATGAGATTTTTCTCTGAGAGGTGAATCTTTTGGAAGTTTTGGGCAGAAGAGCGATATGCTCTGACTTACATTTATAAAAGAAACTCTCTGTATACTATGTTGCAAATAGCCTGTATGGGGTAAGATGGCAGCAGGAAGGCCTATAAGCAGGCAGTTACAATAATGGCAAGTGAGAAATAATCCTGATTGGACAGAGGGGGCAGCTGTGAAGGTGATGAGTAGTGGGTGAATTCTGGATTCTTGGATATATTTTGAAGATCGAGCCAATGGGATTTGATTATAGATTTGATGTAGAATAAGAAGGGTCTAGATGACTGCAAGATATTTTTTACCTGAGCAACTGGAAGAATGACATTGCCATTAGCTAAGGTGGAAAAAATCACATGTGGGACAGGTTTGTGTGTGCTGAAGGAAAATCAAGAATCCTGTGTGCGACATGTAAATTGGAGATGTCATTTAGATGTTAGAGGGGAGATGCTGAGAGGGTCAGCTGCCGGTTCAACCCTGGAGTTCAGAGGAGAGATCCAGACTAGAGAGATTAACTTGGACATATTAGTGTACGGAAAGTAAAGCCATGAGACAGTATAAAAATACTAAGATAATAGACAAGGAGAAGCAGTCCAAGATCTTTATGATCAAGGAGGAATGACTTATTATTAGTTTACCTACGGAGTCAGCTAAATCTGATATGCACACAAATCTCCAACCTGCAACGTCCACATCATCCACACATCCTTAGGCATATCCAATTCTTAAAAAATAATTATTTCAAGACTCATTCTTTCATTCAAGATCAAAACTGCCACTATCTGAGCTTTTGGATCCTAAAGTGCTTGATTCCCTATCATCTGTCCCAATGCTCAATTTTAGCAATTATAAGCTCTAGGCACTTATTTTATAATCTCCCTCTCTCTTTTTTTTTTTCTTTGAGACAGAGTCTCACTCAGTCGCCCAGGATGGATTGCAGTGGCATGATCTCGGCTCACTGCAACCTCCACCTCCCAGGTTCAAGCGATTTTCCTGCCTCAGCCTCCCAAATAGCTGGGATTACAGGTGGGTGCCTACATGCCTGGCTAATTTTTGTATTTTAGTACAGATGGGATTTCACCATGTTGGTCAGGTTGGTCTCGAATTCCTGACCTCAGGTGATCCACCTGCCTCAGCTTCCCAAAGTGCTGGAATTACAGTCATGAGTCACCACGCCCAGCCTATAATCTCTTTATTCCTATTATTTCCTATTATCTTTTGGCTTCCTGTTTAGGCAACTGATGGGAAGAAACATTGGGGAAAAAAACTGATTAGATTAATTTACTTCAATCACTGTTCATTTTAGTCAGTTACAAAAAAAAAGACATAATATAACAAAATCCAATCAGGACCAAAGTTTTGCCCTTTTTTTTCCTGTCTCCTCCCCTCTTCCTTCCTGCCCTCCTTTCTACTCTTTTCTTTTCTTTTCTTTTCTTTCTTTCTTTCTTTCTTTCTTTCTTTCTTTCTTTCTTTCTTTCTTTCTTTCTTTTTCTTTCCTTTTTCTTTCTTCTTCTTGCTTTCTTCTCTCTCTCTCTTTCTCTCTTTCTTTCTCTTATTTTTCTAGGCAGGTTCTTCAGCTCCTATACTGGTCTGTATGTCTAGGTCACATATCCTGTCTTGATAATCATCCCAATCCATCATGAAATGTTTATGTCCAAAGCCTATTTTTCACATTCTCATCTGTAGAGTCTGTGAATGCTATGGGATGGGGATGTTTTTGGCAATCAGATTAAATTTCTACCACTAGAATTTGGCTAGAAATAGTGAGGAATCTAATGAACATATGTTTCCAAAACTAAGTCTCATCCATCTCACTTAAAAATTTAGACACATCCATCTAACTTCTAGTTTAGAATTGGAATCCACTAAGTACATTTTATATCCATTATAATGTATGGATCTTTTTTATAGGATGTGTTCAAATGCTATAAAAAAGTAATTAATCAGTCCATAATCCCAGTGAGCCTGGCATTACCTGATACTCACCTATGTTTTTGCTCCAGGATTTTGTCTTTTGGTCTAGTTCTGGAGTTGATTGCACTGACTTGCTTTAGAGCATGAGCTGGAGAGAAAGACAGTGAGTGCTTTTATATCCAAAATTATAAGCCAACAATAAACAAAATAGAGAGAAGTATAATGGAGGATTACACAAATTGGAGAGGTTTTTAAGTTCTAGATCTATAGGTTTATTGGGAACCCTTGTATTTTCTCCATTATTTCAGCTTGTCCTAAAATGTTCTGTAATCTCATAGTAAAAGTGAGATTTCTTAATGAGAAAACCTACAGAGAAATTATTTTTTTTTTCTCTGAGAAAGGGATGCTAACTCTCTCAGTGTCCCTCTGAGAGGGCTGCTAACTTATTTCAGATCTTCCACAGAAGGGCTAAATATTTCCCAAGAGGAAAACCACTCTAGCCTTTAAAAGAAGCATAATTTCATGCAGCCTTTATACCAATGTGATTCTTGTGAAGATTAGTAAGAAAACACAATGGTAAATTCCCCAAAGCTGTCACTGTCTTGCAAGTGTCACTAACAGTGATAATAGCATCCTACGTGACACGTGTTGCCCTAAGGGCTTTGTATCTCTTTTAATTTTCAAAACTACCCCTAATGAGAAACGTACTACAGTTATTGTCCTTATTTTAGGGATAAAAAGACTGAGGCACTGAGCTCTTACACAGGAAACACAAACCAAGGTCATACACCTAGACCTATCAGCTACTGAGGTTCAAGTAACCTTAGTGAATCTGATGGTAAATGGGCTGGTGGATTTGATGGTAAATACCTCAGCGCTAGACAGATTTTTGTCTTTATTCACAGTATGATACTTGAACTCTTTGAATTTTAGATTTCTTATCTCTAAGCAGAAGGAATTGGATTTGGAGATTTCTAAGTTCTCTTCTATGAATTCTATGCTTGCTTTTTTCTAGAAGGAACCATCTAGCCCCTAATGGAAGAAATTGATCGATCTCAAACATCTCTGTGAAACATGGGGATTCCGTGGCTCAAAGAATGAAAATTCAGTTAGAAGATGTTTCAGCCTCTCCCTCTAAGGCACAGTCTCATCTTTATAGCCTTTAATAATAATATTTAAATTTATTTATTTTCAATTTATAAGATACTTTTACATGCATTATATAAATTGAGCTCACAAATGACCTGATAAGATATGAGAATAGGTAAATTTACCTATATTTTGCAGGAGAAAAAATAAAACTCAGAGAGGGTAAGTGGCTTGCCTGAAACCCAGAATTGTTTAAGACAGAGCAAGGGAGGAGACCAACTTTTGGGGAAGAAGCAAGCATCAGTAAAGGAGAGTGAGCCTCTCCTGCTTTTCACACTAAGTCAGTACTGAGTCAATGTACTTGTTCCTACACATTTGATACAATGTTTAAGAGCTTGGTTGTTCTCTGACATGAAACAGAGGTAGCATGGAATTCAAATTCTGTCACTTGCCTTCTGTCTTAATTTGAGCAAGACACCTAATCTCTGTAAAATGAGGACCATGGTAGCCTCTGGAGTTTTGGGGGTTGGGGGAGGATTAAGTAAATGTAAAACTCATGAATATATTGAGATCGTTACTATCCACGACATACAAGCTATCATCAGTATAATTAGCTTGTGTAAGAATTAGCCTAGGCTGGGCGTGGTGGCTCACGCCTGTAATCCCAGCACTTTGGGAGGCCGAGGCGGGCGGATCACGAGGTCAGGAGATCGAGACCATCCTGGCTAACACGGTGAAACCCCGTCTCTACTAAAAAATACAAAGAATTAGCTGGGTGCAGTGGCGGGTGCCTGTAGTCCCAGCTACTCGGGAGGCTGAGGCAGGAGAATGGCGTGAACCCTGGAGGCGGAGCTTGCAGTGAGCCGAGATCGCGCCACTGCACTCCAGCCTGGGCGACAGAGCAAGACTCCGTCTCAAAAAAAAAAAAATTAGCCTAACCTAAATCTGTAAATATGTAAAATTTATCTTTAGCTTTGTTATATTTTTCTTCATAAACCCATTTCTCACCTCTGATTTGATTATCTTATATAACATTTCCGTAAGGCAAAACTCTTAGATTTTTTAGAGCTAGGTGGAATCTTAGGGATTAGATATATCCAAACCCACATTACACTGCAAAGTGTACTTTTTACCATTTACTTTCTAAGCTACCTGTTATTGACTTCAGCAATGAGAGTAAGAATGATAGGAAAGAAAAAGAAATAGCTAATAAGTAGTTTGGGGGACAGGAGAGAGATAATAATGTACATTGTTCAGCTCCATGTCTGCCACTAGGAAAAACAGAGCAAGCTGAAGCACTATATTTCACAAACGGGAAGAACCACAAGAATGAGTCATTTGATGAAGACCGATATGGTTATTCAGTGAGAGAACTAGATTCCAGGATTCCTAACAAGTGGTCCACTGTTTATTCCACAATGTTCTGCTGATTTATACACTAGTTCCCCCTTACCTGCAATTTTGCTTCCTGCGGTTTCAGCTACCCACGGTCAACCGTGGTCCAAAAATATTAAATGAAAAACTCCAGAAATAAACAATTCATAAGTTTTAAATTACTTGCTATTCTGAGTGGCCTGTTGAAATATTTCACTGTTCTGCTCTGTCCTGTCTGGGAAGTGAGCCATCTCTTTGTGTAGCAAGCACATCCATGCTGTGTGGATGCTCCCCACACATTGCTCACTTAAGAGCCTGGGTTATCCAATCAACTGTCATTGTATTAAAGTGCTTGTGTTCAAGGAACTCTTATTTTTCTTCATAATGGCCCCAAAGCACATGAGTAGAAATGCTGGCATCTGGGTCTATTTTATTATTAGTTATTGTTGTTAATCTCTTACTGTGCCCAGTTTATAGCTTGAACTTTATCATAGGCATATACATCATTTCAAAAAGCATAGTATATAGAGAGTTAGGTACTATCCAAAGTTTCATTCAACCACTGGGGGTCTTGGAACGCATCCTTTGTGGATGAGGTGTGCCTACTGCACTCCCATTGTAGTGACACATAAACAACTAGAATTTTGAAACTGAAGAATTGTGTACCTTTTAAAAGAATTTTTGAACAGACTCAAGACCAAAAAGAGTGAATTATAATAAATAAATGAAAGATCACAGAGTGATTACACCTCTTACATCCTACTCTCTGCCAGGTAATTTCTTTCCCCTAAATCTCAGCAAAAGTGTGCTCAAACAGAATCTAATTTCCCTTGATATTTATGCAAATAACAGAAAGAAATTCCCCACAGGGACAGACTTGCACCTAAAATCTGTGGAACCAGAGCAAGAATGCAAATAAAGGCTCACATGTTGCATTTCCAATTATTTAAAAGTCATTGATGGAACTAAAAGACTCAAATTATATTGCTTTCTCTGACCAATACACCTTCCAAGCCACCTGGAAGGCAAGGATCTGATGAGAATGTCTGGATTCCTGAGACTTCCTCTGGGGGACATGGCAGTCCTTGATGAGTCAGTCTCAGCCAAGGCTTTTGCTGCTCTTCTCCCCCTCCCAAGCTCCACTTTGCACTCTCAGAAGCTCTGTACATCTGCAGATACCTCAGCTGCCACGTCCAGACTCTTCCCACTCTCCCACCTGCAAGAGAAACATCCTCAGGCCAAAGAATGATGCATGCCACAGGGCAGTCTGTCCATGAGAGAACAAACCTGAGGAATGAGAACCCAGGTCCCAGGAACAAGCTTCCATCATTTGAGCAGAGAATTCTGGGACCTGAGTACCTAGATGGTCAAGAAGCAGGAAATGGGGAGGACACTCCTAGGCAGAGAGCCATGCAGGGAAGGCTAGAGTGGGAACTGACTAAAGCATGAAGTACAGGGCCAGGTTCATTTGGCCCAGGTTTAGGGGGCAGCATTGCAGGACATCATGCTGAATGTAAGCTATTATTTAATGTAGTGTTTGATATCAAAATCCATTTTTGTCTTGCTCCCTACAGTGGCTAAGGAAATCATACTCTATAGAGCTAATCTTTTACAGATTATCTCTTGATCTAGTTATCTAGTTTTTATTGTGAGTATAAGTCTTTATGTATTTTTTATCCAGCATTCAAAAAATCAAAATTCCAGAATATTCACTTTTAATAACACATTCTATTTCTGGCATAAAAATTTTCTCTACTTTCCACCTTTCTGATTGTCATGGAAAAGACAGAAATATTGAGGTAATTAGAAAGAAGTTAAAGTTACATTTTTCTAACTCTGGCAAATTTCTGATTGTGAGTTGGTAACATCTATTAATAGAGATCTATTAACATCTATCAGTCCAACTTTAAGAATATTACTGCTTTTATTCTGCTACAGTAGAGGGCACTTGTACCTAAAAAAATTATACAAATGCAGAAAAGGTGGGATTTCTGTTTCCAAAATTGGATATTTAAACAACAGCAAATTCCACAGGTTTCAAAAGACATACTGTTTATATTTTATGGCAAATTACATATTTAACTTAAAGCTTACACTCTGCCTACTTTTGGAACTATATTTTCTAAAGTCATTCAATCTATATTTCATGTGACCTTTAAAATAAATGGCCACACACACAAGAAAGACACTGGCTCATAGCATTCCATAGCACCTTGTTAACTCCTGAGGGGATAGATACATTTCAGATTCATCTGTTTAACAAACAGCTACTGAGTGCCTGTAATTTGCCTAGCATGAGGCTACCTAAGTGACAGGGATAGAGAAATGACAGACTCCATGCTTCTCCTAGTCTAGGAGGCACTCCTAGACATCTGTTTTCTACACAAGAAGCATAAATTACTACTTAACCTTTCTGAGAAGGCAAGGAATCATTTCCAAAGTGCTAGACGTTAAGAAAAGAGGAAGTTCTTTTGTTAAGGATGCCAACAGTCATCTGACAATGCACCAAATAATTTTGCAAATAGAATATTTGTAATATGAGAAAGGTGGAAAAACAAGGAATTTTAAAAATAGTACTACAAAACTAATGTGCGTTAGCTTAGGTCCAAAAGAGAAACATCAACAAAATGACTTTGTTGTTGAATTTCATGGCATTAAAATAATAAATTGTACTGATCTTGTTATAAACCAACTTCATATTTTTAGGACTTTATATCCAGGACAAGTGTCAGGTGAGCTAATGGATACTAGTTCATGTAGAAAATAATGAGACATAGTTCTATATTTCTTCTTTTATCTTGAAATTATGAAATAGTTAACTGGTTTTACAGTTAGTTTGCTGCGCTGCTCTGGAAAGGTATAGGAAAAGGATCTAGAAAAGTACAGGAAAAAATATGATGGTCTCTACATGACAAACCATCTACAGCTGTAAAAAGAGATGATGGTACATTACCCAACTTTAGGATAATGCTGGATATCAGACATTCTTGCATCTTACACATTGGATAAGGATCAAACCACTTATTTTATTTTAAAATGTCCATACATCTTAATTTAATATTCTAGGGCTAGAGTAACAAAAATTGATAAATAAAACTAAATAAATAGTTAATTCTTAAAAGTTGAGCAAACATCGATCCCTTTTGCCTTTCCCAATTTCTTTCTTTTGTTTTCTCTTCCTCAATGTGCTATATTATATCTAGATGTTTAAAATATTTATTATTTATTTCACATGTATGTTCCCTGTTCTTAACTGAAAAGTAGATATAATGTTTAGAGTGATTATGTTCTCGACTTGGACTAGAGTTTATAAGTAATCTAATTTCTTATTTCATAAATGAATAAACAGGCCCCAGGGAACTTAAAACTTTCCTTAAAAATCACAAATGAGTTTGATTTAACTGATGTGTCTCATTGTATTTGCTTCTTTCCCAAGGAAAGGAAGGTGCCCCGCCCCTGACTTAAGCAGGATGAATGAAAATTTATAGCATGAAATTACGCAATTAATGAACTTTCAAAATGGGTACGTATACTGTATCTTATTTTTTATTGTGTCCTTACCTTTTTCTTGTTCACTGATGACTTGGTGCAAATTAGTGAGATTTTTGGTTTTACACAGCAGCTCCTGGTATATTCCCATTTGAGCTATTCTGCCACTTTTCATTACAACAATAAGATTCATTTGTGGCAGAAGTGTGAGATTGTGTGTCACTAAAATATGAGTCTGAAAAACAAAGTGTTTTATCTCAGAGATTACGAAAAATGGCTTTTTAAAAAAAGCTACAATGACTTTTTTCCTTTACTATTTCAGAGTATGATTTTTGGTAGGTGCCAGTTTAAGGCAGCATCTATGTATTTTACAAGGAATAATGACATGCTGCTAGATGAGAAAATAGTTTCTAAATGTGATTTTTAACACTTTAGTTCGGGTATTTTTTCGTTCATTAGAAATGAATCAATTTAATTGCAAATTTAAAACAATTTCATATATGTCATTCTTGCTTATTTTTAAATATACAGTACCATTACAAAAAAGTGTTTAATCCAAGTCATAATTCATAGTCCTTATTTTTAAATCATTCATATTATTTTATACATATACATACAATTAAGTGTGACATTTTTAATCTTGGGTTTATGTCAATATATAAAGATGTTTGTTTATTTTTACTGAGACATATATTTTATAATTTTATACATATATTTTCAAAGTTCTCTATATTAATAATTCCATAAACACATATTATGAAGAATGTGGCTTTGGAGTCAGACATACTTTTAAAAATCTCTATTGTTCTTAAGTTGAGCAACCTATATCAAGTCATTGTGAGCCCTGAGCTCCTTTATGTGTGAAATAGGGATTGAACTAATTTACCCTGTGAAATATGGCATGTACTGGTAAACACTAATTTTCATCTTCTTGGCCCTTTAACAAAACAGCTGAATCACTATGATTGCTGTGATAATAATGTCAAATTGCTATGTTAATAATATAAAATTTTATTAATATTTTGGTGTGCACCAAAATACCATTGTAAAAATCACTTGAGTCAACAACAATTCATTATGGCACATACATCCCCTTAGGATATGGTATTAGATGAAGAGATAACAATCACATAAATTGTCACCAGAGTAAACTTGTAAGTAAAACTTCAAAAATTACCCATTGACATTTGCCTGTGAAATTGCAATCTGAGCATCCCATTTTTTTCATGTGAAATGTGACTACTTTGCTTCAACAAATAAACAAAATAAATGGAATTTTAGGCACAGTGCTAGATATATCCCCTGCCCCACAAGAAAGCATAAATGAAACTATGGCTACCCGGTTTTTCAAAAGGCCCAAGGACCCTATCACTTTTTCAAAAAGCTGCTTTCCAACATGAACATCAATAGCAGACAAGGGATCATCCAGGAGGTAGACGTCGGCCCCACTGTAGACAGCTCTGGCCAGGCTTACTCGATGCTGCTGGCCCCCACTTATATTCACAGCCTGAAAATGGAGCAGAAGAAAAACAAGACCAGAGGAAATGTGTATAGATCTCAAAGCACGTGCAGTTACATCCAAATGCTCTTCTATGGCATGGATAGACAGCAACCCAAGATGAACGCTCCAACCTTTCTTTATCTACGACTTTCCAGTCCTAGCCCCATCTCGTTTCCTAGCATTACTAACTTGCACAAATTAGAAGATATATCTACTTTCTCTGAAGTGCTTACTCGTAACGATTAAGGAGATGCTAACGATTAAGGAGAAGCTAACGATTAAGGAGAAAAGAATTTCCGAATCTCTAACTCTGAAAAGTCGTGCCTGTAGAATATTAAACAAGACTTTTGGCTGCCAACCATATACTGGCCCTAGTGATTATTTTTAAATTGACACATAGGAAATTGAAAATAATAGCTAAATTACCAAAGAAGTAATCAACATGTCCTATTTTCTCCTGTAGAAAGATTAGTACAAGTCTTGTTGGCAAAAGTACAACTCTAAGAAGCAAGAATAGGGAATATTCATCACTCCATGTGAGAATTAAAGTTGACACGTACAACCATGTATGAAGAATTATGGAGCCAGGCCCAATTTACTTGATTTATTTTATATTTAGTGTTTACAGATCTGGTTTAAAATCTCTCAGTGCAGCACAGAACTTAGCCAATGACCTGTAATTATAAAATGCCATTGCCTCTTTGCATTTTTCATCCTTCTCCTACTCAGCAAACATCTTCTGGGTATGACTATATTTTGAGTACTATGCTAGTGCTTGGGATTTAAAGATAAGTGAAACAGAGTCTGTCATGAGGAGGTCACATTTTAGCAAGGGGCATAGGCATTATACACCCTCCTCTCACACACTTATATACACACACATGAAGGAATGTAATATGTGTGTGTGCATATGCTTATAATAGCACCTAAGTCATATGTTTGTTGGGAGCATTCAATAAGATTAGAGTAAAAATTTTAGGAAAAATCCAACACTCAGTATGGATACAATCAACATTAGCTATTATCCAGTTACTTTTCTTTCTAATTCACCCTCTACCTTGTCATCACTTTTCTGTAATTATGTCATCATCTTGCATGAAAACCTTGGATATCCGCAGCTCCCTCTTTTCATCACTCATGAGCAACAGCAAAAACAACAAATTATTTAGTATAAATCTAAGATGCTTATATTCTGGCATTAACTCATCTCTTCACCCACTCTCCCAATGTTGCCTACAAGTGACTGTGGTTTGCCAAGCAGACTAACCTGGTCTTTCATACTGGGAAGAGGCTATTCACTCTGCTTGGGAGACCACATCCTTCTGTTTTAACTTAAGGGCTACTCACACTGAAATGTCTTCTGAAGGCAACTTTCCATCAGGTGTCCCAAGTGAAGTGATTCATTCCCCTCCTTCCTGTCTTGCTGCACTTTGTGTATTCATTCCATTGCTAGAATTGGCAATATTTATCTCAGTCTCTCTCACTAGCCTATGAGCTCCTACCTAGTTAATCCTTGTGTTCCCGACACCCAGCATCTAACGCTAGATGATTCATAAATATTGATAAAGACAACTGATTAGTATTATTGGCAGAGGTCCACCAGACTGCAAATCCCTTGAAGGAAGAGTGGTAGAGCTCTCACTCACCATTGTGTACCCCATAGCAGAATAAGGGCATATAAAAAATTAATAAATGTGGTCAAATGAAGAATACCAAAAGAAAAGATGAATACAAGTAGGGGAAAAGTCTACAGTCATTGCCTTTATTGTCTCTTAAGTACCTGTAAACAGATTTCATTTTGAAATATTCAATTACATGTGTAAAGTTCAAATGCAGATCGGGATAAATTTAATCATAAAAATAAGACGTTATGAATGGCAATAGCATTCAATGCCTATATTAAATCTATACTTCTTAGTTTGGATTTGTTTCCCTTTTTAAGATTTTTTATAGTTACAAAATATCAGATATTTCATATTTTTAGAGATTGGGTTTATCAGCATCTTGTTCAACATGTATTAACAAGTTTGAAGAAGAATTCACATTTCTGCCTTTTAGCTATGGAATCACTTTGCTTAGAGATGGTGAAGATGCAAGAAGAAATCCAAGGGTTGGAAAAAATAAACCTATTTGATACTATTGAGAATATACATCTGTAGCATTATAGATTATAAATGAAGTAATTCTAGTTACAAGGTAAATTCTGGCTCATCCCGGATTTTATATATTTCTACGTTCTACAATTTTGTTATATATTTCTTGTATTAAACTCCATAATGGGCTTATTAGATAACATGAGGGCAGGTGTAAAGATGTCTAACAATTGTATGCTCGCTCTCTTTTCAGAGATTCAAAGCACTCAGTAAGGATTATTTATTCATCTTTATGGCACACATGAATTGTAGGCAGAGGCTACTTTTGCATTCATGTTTAATTAATGGAGATTTTAGTCAGGGGGTGGAGATAATCTCTCGTGGTTCATACTTCGGCTCGTGATATATATATTTTTTAAATCCAAAACACTGAGCAGAGTAATGACTATTAACTAACACAATGAAAATGAAATAGAACAAAGAGAGACGACTGGGAAACAAGTTCCACTTAAGCAGGAATGAGCAAACGTGGAGAAGGCACGTTCATAACAGTGTTGTTATCAGAGCTTCTTTAGAATCTGGACTCGGGTGCCACTGCTGGAGACTGATGCTCTTTCGCTCCTGTTTTAGCCCTGACTTTGCGTACCAGAGATACAGGAATAAACAAAACTATTAGTCACTCTTTAGAAAGTGAACTGCATTGTGCCAGCCACCAAAACAAAAGTATGATGATCTAATTAATGGGCTTTTATTCCCCCACGTGGATACTAACAACAGAATTTCCGACTGATTTTTAATCTGTTTTCCAAACAGTCAATTATAAATAATTACTTGTCCTTAATACTGCCATCTCTTACATAGGAATCACATAATAATTTTTTAAAATTATAGTTGTATAGCTCTTCGAGACTTCAAGAAAAAGGCCATAAACATTTTATTAGCACAGCTGAATGGGATTATATTTCTTTACATGATAAATTACAGTTTCCTTACTCTTTCTCCAATCTCAGTTTGATCTCCCTTTGGCAACTGCTCCAAATCTGGAAGGAGAGCACAGGCTTCCAATACTTGCTCATAAAACTCTTTCTTCATGATGGAGCCAAAGAGAATGTTTTCTTGCAAAATGCAATTCTGAATCCAGGCCTGCTGAGAAACATAAGCCACAGAGCCCTAAAAAAGAAAGAGGTTAAAAAAAAATTCTTAACTAGAGAAAAGGAGAAGTTGCATGCTCCATAGTAAAGGAACATATTTAACTCATGGTTTTGCCTTCTTTAGCTTTAAAATAGAAATAAAAAATTTAATATAGATAAATATAATTATATAGATCATGGCACCATATTTTATGTTTTATTGGAATTTCCTCCAAATGAGTTACTTTGTGCTTCTTATTTACTTTCACTGTAGCTTCTATCTAAGTTATCTGTCTCTAGTGGTATTCTCTGGAAGCAGATGCAGAGTGTGGTAGTTTGCTAGAGCTGCAATAACAACATACCATGGACTGGGTGGCTTAAACAATGGAAATTTATTCTCACAATTCTGGAGGCTAGAAGTCCGAAATCAGGTGTTAGCAAGGTTGATTTCTACTGAGGCTACTCTCTTCAGCTTGTTGATGATTGTAATTTTCTTGTGTTTCACATGGTCTCTCTCTCTCTCCCTCTTTGTGTGTGTGTGTGTGTGTATGCTAATTCCTCTTATAAGGACACCAGTGATATTGAATTAGAACCCACCTTAATGAGGTTATTTTAACTTAACTAGCTCTTTAGAGACCTTGTGTCCAAATACAGTCACATTCTGAGGTACTGGGAATTAGAACTTCAACATATGAATTTTGGGGGAACACAATTCAGTCTATAACACTGAATCAGATTTTGGGGCTCAAGTTGTTTATTTGGGATCAACCCCTGTGGAAGGAAAGGAAGAGGGAAGATTAGGCAGAGGGAGAAGCCACAGATGCAGATGTGATACAGAACCAAGAAAGCTTTGGCCAATCCTCCAGAGTGCCATGGAAGAGAACTGGTCATCAGAGCTGTCCCAAGTCAGGCTGAGCAAAAGTGGGACCCTGGGACAGGTCACTATCTGAAGTCCAGGCCAACCTTGAAGGAGATGACTTCCTGTTCATACTCCCACAGCTGGGACTTGTAGAAGTCTTAACTAATAGGAGGATCTGGGTGGCAAATCTCCGTGTGTTACACATTAACCACTGATCCCAAATTTATTTTTTATGATTTTATACCTTGAAATGATTTTTAAATATATGACAGTCTGCTGCATAAAATATCTTCTCAACTAACCCTTCTTTTCTAGAAAAAGAACCCACAGTATTTGCACTAGTGGCCTACCTTTCAATCTGCCCCATGGACTCAATCCAAACATTGATTTAGTATTTTAAGTACTCCACACTCTGTAACAATACCAGACACTTAAAGTACTTTCTGATATACACACATGTGCAGCCATTATTAGCCTTTTGATTTCTACCTACTACTTTAAAGGTGAAAGATTAACTTATAATTCTTCTTTGTTGAGTATGTAAGACACAGAATGGCTTTTGATCAAAAACAATATAATTCTGATCTGACCTGATCTTGAACACAAAAGGAATTGTTATCAAATTGCCTTGTGAAGTGAATAATCTAAACTTTGCTTTGAATTGCATATTAAGTCAGCACGTGACTGATAGATATTTTCAATATTTGCTATGTATTAAGCAAGTTGAGCAGTGCAGAGGATAAAAAACAAAGGAGAAGAGATTGAAGAACATGAGAAAACAGAAACTAAGTACTACATTAAGAGGTATGGCCTTTCATTGGTATTAAAACAGTTGAAAAAGAGTTGATCAATTTTCACAGAGATGTAAATGTTCTTTTTTATTATTTCCTTTCACATACAAATGAAAACATTTTGTTTCATTCTTAATAATGAACCTATAATAGAAGTTTTGTGAATTCAAAAATGGTCTCCATATCTCTGATGTTTCTACCACAGAACACTGAATACTGAATACTTTTCATGAACGGTGCCTGGTGTGAGCTTTTGATACTGAGAAGAGTAGGGAATCTACAGAGAAAGTTTAGCGATAATAGGCAGTCTTAGAGTTTGAACATTGTGGATTAAAATATGCCTCAAAAAAGTAATCATCTGAAAAACCGAAAAATAGAAAGTGCACACAAAAGCACTTTGAAAATGCTGCTATAATGTTAATTTTACTTAAATAGAGATAATCAAGATGATACAAATTCTGAATAAAAAATATTTGGGGAAATAATTCAGAGTGTGATACTTCAAATCCTGCCATTTATCCAGGTCAAAATCTTCCTGAAGGCCAATGACCAGTTATAAAAACAGATAATATCTTTTTACTTGGGCATCTGTAATTTAATATAAACAAAGAATATCCTCTCTGTTTTATCACTAATAATGGCATTATTACAGTTTCTTTCATCACTAGGAACACCTTCTTAATTAAAAACATTCAAAGATATCAGAAATAATCTTTAAATCTTATTATGAGAGCCTCAACAATCGTAATAAAGATGATGATCATCATACATATTCATAGAGAGGAGCTAGGCTAGGTCTTTGCACATTATCCTATGCAATTCTAACCCCAGCCTTTTCAGCTTATTACTATTATTAATGAATTAGGTGAAATCTAGAATTGACATTATTTTTATCTTTATCAATTTCTAATTATTTTTCAAGATCAGATAAAGAGCGACCTCCTCTCAGATTCTTTTTCGAACTCTTCGAAGCAGAATTTGTTGTTTTTTTGCTTTAATTCATTTTTTATATCTGATTTAGACCTTTTTATAATTGATTATTGCATTTCCCTCACTAGACTATGACTTTTGAAAGAAGAGGGGCATATCTTATTCACGTTTACTTCTCTGGCAGAAAGTGCTAGGTACATAGCATGGGCTCAGTAACTGCTTAGTGAAAATAGCTGAAAAAACTAAATAAAAATAAAATTAATATGACACTCATTATGTTTGTAATGTACACCCAAGTAAAAGGTACAGCTATCTTGAACTGCAGAGAAATGGCTAATTGCAATTGCTACAAACAGCATAGTGCTACAAAGATAGTATATTTAAGGCTTAAAAATAGTGGTGTTCATTAAGTGCAATTTTATTAGAAAAAGTCATAGGAATCATATTTGGCCCTAGACTAGGTAACGGTCATGCCGAGATAAAAGAGAATAACAAAAATTTAGTCACTAAAGGACTGGAATCAGGAAAGATGTAAGAGTATAAAGAAATATATGAGGAAAAATAAAAGGAGTTAGAGTTGATTTTTCCCAGAGAGGAAAGAAAAAATAACAGAGTGAAGAGATACTGATCTCAGGATACACAGAGCTTATTCATCTTGTCACAGGTAAGAAGAAAAGATGGGCTACTTAGTATTTTACCTAAGAGTTGATTACACGTAAGGAAAAACTCACCGGGTAGTCTACTGTTTCAAAAAGAGAAAGCTGATTAAGAACTTGTTCAATTCTTATTCTTATTGACCTTTAAGAATAGAACAATTAGTCAAGTGTAGACCTCTTCGTGGTCCTAATGCTGAATCTTAAATGTAAGTTATTAATAACTTTATTTTTCTGAAGTTTCTTTTTGGTCAAAGATCCTACCCGAGACTGGCTGCAAGACTTCTTAGAAATGAAATGGCTGTAATTACTTAGGGAACCTTGCTGAATAATACATAGAAACCTAATCAAATTACAATATAAATCACATTCTTTTCTCTATAATTGGTTGCAATTCAGTTAATATCATCAAACAATTACCATAAGCATTTATAAATGATTTGCTGAAGTATTTGGAGAACAGAATTCTGTCATTAATCTACCCATCATTCATCAATTTCTATGGAAATTGAAATGTTTCTTATAAACTAGAAATGCCCATTAAATGCTTGCATCTTCAATTCAACTTGATAAATTCTTATTGACACTAATGACAAGTTGGCTATAGCTTGTTACATTAGAAGATGTTGAAAGAATGTATTTTTTATTTTAGCTTTCTTTGAACTACTCCGGTAAGTTTCTCCATTTCCCCTAGAATGGCAGAAAGCATGGATGATTTTCCAGACCCAACTTGCCCTACAACAGCCACTAAAGCTCCTTCTGGAATCTTTACGTTCAAGCTGCATGAGAAGAAAGGGAGACAACATAGGAAATTCTTTTTGTGGTTGTTTTTAAAATATATTCCTAGATAAGTCACTGTATGCAGCACTTGGTGTCATCGCTGAAATTGTTGCTTTTCACCTTTTTCTACAAACACCTACCCTTCCAAAATGCAAACGAATGAACAATAAAGTGCTGCAGACAGAAGAAACAATAGAAAAAAGGACAGCAAAATCACCACGAAAATGAAAGGTAAAATGAGAGGTTAATTTCAGTATATTAATCTTATTAAAAACCTCTAAGAAATAAAAATATGGAGCATTTTAGAACCCAATATTAACATTAAAAAAAATTCACCAAACCACGACTTACTCTTTTAGAACTGGCATTCCTGTTTTATCCCAGGAGAAAGAAGCATCTGTAAACCCAATAGCATGATCTAAGGAAGAAAAAAAATATACAATGATGCATTTTAGAACCAATTACCTTCAACCCAGAAGTCAAATAAGTAATGAATGAAAAGAGGAAGTGCTGACCTCCTGTATAGTTCGTTTCAATACTTTGAGGAAGAAGCTCCTCAGTGTTGAGAAAGTCTTCCAAACGGCCCAGGGATATCTTTGTCTATCAAAATAAGCACAGATGGAATTTATCTGGGGTTCAAGTAGAATTTAAACTAAAAAATGTTTACTACGTTTTACAGGCTAAGTAGAATTTTTACGCAAATTAAAGATATTGAGATAAATATAGCAAGCATAGTTTGAATTGATTTAATGTTATAAATACATTCATTTCTAAAGACAAAGGGCAGTTTCAAGAATCAAAGATCAAAGCTAATGTCATCTATGCAGAAAGTTATAAGAAAAAGAAATGAAAATCTTATTTATTATTCTAGAAAAGCCATAATAACTCTTAATTATTATAGAAAGATTGATTTTTTCCCAACTTCTTTGAGGTATAATTGAGAAAAATTATACATATTTAAGGTATACAACTTTTTTTATATACATGCACATTTTGAAATGATTACCACAATCAAGCTAATTAGATTATGTATCACCTCCCGTAGGCACCTTTATTTTCCTGTGTATATGAATACCTAACATCTACTCTCTTAGCAATTTTCAAGTATACAATACACTATCATTAGCCATAGTCACCACGCTGTACATTAGGTCTCCAGAACATATTCATCTTATAACTGGAAGTTTGTAATCTTTGATCAACATCTCATTCACCTCACCCCACCCCAATGTCACCCTTGAGCCTTAATAAGCACTTTTCTTCACTCTGCTTCCGTAAGTTAGACTTTTTTAGATTTCACATATAAGTGAGATAACAGAGTATTTGTCTCTTTGTGCCTAGTTTATTTCACTTAGTATAATATTCTGCCATGTTGAATAATATTATATTGTTTGTATATTTTCTTTATCAATTTTTCTGCCAATAGCCACTTAGGTTGTTTCTATATCTTGGCTCCTGATAATGCTGTAATGAACATGGGAGTGCATATATCTTTTCAACATAGTAATTTTATTTCCCTTGGATATTTTCCCATAAGTGGGATTTCTATCTCGTATGGTAGTTCTATTTTGAATTTTTTGAGGAACTTCCATACTGTTTTCCATAACGGATGTACCAATTTATGTTCCCACCAACAGTACACAAGGGTTCCCTTCTCTTGACATCCTTGCCAACATTTGTTATTCTTTGACTTTTTGATAATAGCCATCCTAACAGGTGTAGGGTGATATTTTCTTGTAATACAGAAAAATAAGGCTTTAAAAGCAACTTTAAGATCGGTGAGTGAATTCTGCTACTGATGATAAACAAAACTATAATGTTGATAATAATAACATTCAATTATAGTGAAATAGGAAATAGTAATATAGTAAAATAGCTATAAAATGTTTGGCTACATTAGGATAAATAAAATTACATTGTTTTCTGAAAACTGACTTACATACAATTTCTAGTACATTTTTATTTACTTTGTGCTAGGGGACTTGTATCGTTAACACATAAGATGTAATTGGGCTGTAGTTTTGTTTACCAAGTGTGTCAAATCAGAACATACAGTTAGCTTTTTCTTTTTTTTCCATTTTGGAAAAATGGTCTCCTTAAATGAAGGTAGCAGAGTACTGCTAGCAATTGGAAAAGGCTTTGATATCGGACCTTTAGCTAGATTCTAATTTCAAAACTAGAACCAAACTGTTACTCTAAGAACTGACATTTTCTTTATGAGAAGCGTGCTATGAAATCAAATGCTAAAAGCATCACATCAGCGGTTCTTCTATGCCCTCTGTTGGTTATTTTAAGAAAAATAACATGAAAAAGATGTAACAAAAATAGCTTAATTGGTTTTTACTATTCAATTATGTTACTCCTTATTCAAATAATATTTTTTTAAAGAGTAAAGTTCTTAGATTAAAGGATGATTCCAATAAGCAAATATTCACTTTGTTTATGAATCCAGACTTGAGGAAAATAATTGAATGGAGGATGGCCAAACCTGACATCCAAAAAATGTAACCATAAATCTCAGGGCAAAAGGATCAAGGAACTTTTCTGGGTTTCCTGTGGCTTTAGCAACCATCTACTCATTGTATCTAGCATCTAAACAGCCTCCAGGAACTGGAGATTACAACTAAAAGCAGGCTGACCCAGACATCTCACACTTGGCTTGTTGGCTGACTGATATTATCAATGTGCTTGTCTCCCTGCTTATTCATTCAGTATAGATGAAATGCTGCTGAACCCTGGGAAAACATTCGATCTAGTTTCATACAAAGCACCTAATTATAACTTTTCCGTTGGAAACAGGAAATGAATCCTGTAATGGCACAGTGGCTAACACCAGCTTTAAAAATGCTAAGTAGAGAATCTAACACTTAACAAGAAAACAAAATAACATATTGAAATATTTAAAAGTCACTTTGATGGAAAAAAAGCACAAGCAAGGAAGACATGATTCTTTTTATTCTATAATGTTCTCTATTATTCCTTAATTCAGGAAAACTAATTTTGAATGCAGTGTTAAACAACTACATAAAGTGAAATAAAATAAAATTAAAAAGACAAAGAAATAAAATGTCACAAACCATAGACTCCAGTAAAGGAATAATTCCTAGTTTAAGGTATTCTGTATGTACCTGGACCACAGCTGAGATCACGGTTGGTAACTCAAACAGAGGAATCCTTAAAATATTAAACAAAGACATCGATGTGAACACTTTAGTGGCTGTTAAAATGTTTCCTTCATCCAGTAAGAAATAGACACACAAGGTTGCCAGGGACACCTAAAAAATAGAGATGTGTTATTTTCTTCAAATTTCTACTGATAACATTATTAGTTACAGTCCCCAAAATTAGAAAATAAAATCTAAATAATTGTGTTTGTTTCCTGAAATTTAGTACTCTTGCTGAAGAACATAAAATATATTTTAGTAAGGGTCATAAACTCATGTATCTCGGACAATGACATCCTTGAGACCATGTGGTCCAGCGCTTTTCTTGTAAGACATGTTATATTCTTACCACAGTTATTATTCCCATTTACATTGTAAACCAGTTCATCATTTCTTTAAATTCAGAAGTTTTATGTAAACTTATATTCCAGTTGCATACATTCTGACTTATATATAATAATTATTCTTTCTTTGTGTCATAAGATTAACTGAGGAAGATATGAATAAATCATGGCTAAGATTTATATTCGTTCTTATAAGTTTCATCTAGAAAAGGCAGGAAAAATTCATTCATGCATGAGAATGGACTTACTATCATGTATATAGTACTGGCTTAAGCAAATACATCTTGGATGGTCTTACCAATGTATTCCAAATGTAAATATTGCATTCACTTCCATAATACTCACGTTTGTTGAAATACAAAAAAATTAATTATCAACATAGAGTGGCAACTTTGATTAAAACTGATGCTCCGGTTATATGTGGCTTGCTTTTCCTTTGGCTTTTGCCCATGGCTTCATATCCCAAGGCAATTTATATTCTAGTTAAAATAGCATGGGATTCCCAATGTTTATGGTGTAATAGAAAGAGAATAATGTCACTTCATGTCAATTTGCCTCTAAATACCAATTTTATAACTTTGAGGATGTTTCCAACTACTCTGGACTTCCATTTCATCTTGTGAAATGAGAAAAATAATGCCTTATTATTGTGAGATTGAAATAAGGCAATGTATGTAACTTCCCTGACATTCAGTAACAACTCAATAAATGTTGCTTCTCTTCTCATCTCCATATAATAGGCCCTTTGAGTCTGCTTAAAAGGAATCAGTCATACATATCAAGCTTTAAAACTGGAATGAAACTCTGAAATGTAGATTATATTTTTAAGAGATATAGGCATATATGAAAAATCTCTGAGAAATTTACAGAGAAGTAAATCTTATTGTGTTTAAAAAATACAGACCAATGAAAACACATACAGTATTTTCCCTTTCTTTGTAACTTTTGTTCTCTAATCCACATAAGTTAATGAATGTATTTCTTTACAATTTTAATTCAGATACATAATATTTAACTTTATACATCTTAATTCCAAGTAATTTGGAGGTAAATCTGTAAATCAGATTTGAAAATCAAAACAGGAAATATGACATACACTCACCAAGAATGGAATGCAGGTTAATGTCAACATGGAAAATACAGTAAGATACCTAGCTGATTTTTGAAATTCCAATTCCTGATCTCGAATTTTGATAATCTTATTTTTATAGGAGGGTTCCCATGCATAAAGTTTGAGGATCTGTAAATGAGTCACACGATAATGATCTGCCAATCTATATCATAGAAGAAAAAAACTCACACATACAAACAAACAACACACACACACACACACACACACAATCGTGAAGATAAAAAATGATGGTACAACCATAAAGAAAACTAAATTGCTTCCACTTTGACTGAATCAGAATATTTTCTTAAATTGCGGTATTTTGGGGGTGGGAGCGGAGCAGAAGGAGGGAATGACCATTCCCCAGTCTTATGTCTCCACCACCTCCAATAGCTTATTTCTGAGCCAGACTCTGGCAACATCCCAGCTGTAAGGCACGAACTCCATAGAACTCCATAGACAGTTTCCGTCTAGCTCAGTTCTGTCACTCTTCCTGCTGACCAACTCTCACTTCTACCTATTACCTTTTTCTTTATAGCTAAACTCTTCTCCCTGCCTTTCTAGTTTCTTTACGACAGATGTTTTGGTACTTCAAGCCATTCTCTGAAGCTGATTAGTGTTTTAAGATTGTAAACTATTTTCTGAGACAGAAAATTTGGGGAAATAGGATCTTACACTGGCTTATTGCAAACACTTTAGAGTGAATTGACTTACATTCAAATTCCAGCGCTATGCGATGCTTATTTTATTTTATTTTATTTTATTTTATTTTATTTTATTTTTTTTTTTTTTGAGGTGGAGTTTTGCTCTTGTTGCCCAGGCTGGAGTGCAATGGCGTGATCTCAGCTCACTGCAACCTCCACCTCCCTGGTTCAAGCGATTCTCCTACCTCAGCCTCCCAAGTAGCTGGGATTACAGGCATGAGCCACCAGGCCCAGCTATTTTTGTATTTTTAGTAGAGACGGGGTTTCTCCATGTTGCCCAGGCTGGTCTCGAACTCCTGATCTCAGGTGATCTACATGCCTTGGTCTCCCCAAGTGCTGGGATTACAGGCATGAGCCACTGCGCCTGGCCACAATGCTTAATTTTATGTGACTGCTTGACTGGCTATGGGGCCCAGTTATTTGTTCAAACAGGAGTCTAGATGTTTCTGTGAAGGTATTTCTTAGATGCTGTTAGCTTTTCAATCAGTTAAACTCTGAGTTAGACAGATTGCCCTCTGTTATATGAGTGGGCCTTATCAAATCAGTTGACAGCCTTAAGAGAAAAGGCTGAGGTTCCTCAGTGGGGAAGGAATTCTGCTTCCAGATTGCCTTCAGATTCAAGATTGCAGCATCAACTTCTGCTAGAGTTTTCTGTTTACCCACCTGTTCTACAGATATTACACTTGCCTGCCCCCACAATCAGATGAGCCAGTTTCTTAAATCTCTCTTCATATTTCTCTATATCTATATCTCTCTATATGAAATCTATTGATTCTCTTTCTGTGGAGAACTCTAATACACTCTCACTGGTTCTGTAAATTCAGACCTGACCCTTAACTGCTCAGTGTCTTTGTTTCCTAGTTAATAAAATGGAAATGCGAAATCTTCTTCTTGAGGTTTATAAGAATTCCATGAGGAAACACATATAAAGTAATAAGCACAGCATTTGATGCATAGAAAATATTTAATAAATGGTAGCAATTATCAGTATTGTCAGAGAGAGGCTTTATAACACCTGTTATCAGACCCCAAGGATACTGACTGCTCTCACTTTTAAACTATCCCAGCTTTTCTAGAGAAAAATAATTTGCAACATACTATTTATAGAATAGCATTTATGTGATCATTTGTATCCCACATAAAATAACCTAAATGACACCTCATCACTTCCACTATATAAATCTGCCTTTACACTGATGGATGTATTATTACCACTCTTGCCTGCTTCATCGCATCTTTTCAACATAATACCTTAAAATAAGTAATATGTTGTGACTTTTAGGATATTTGTGTTTACTTGTGTGAGAAACAAAAAGAAATGGCTGCATTTTATTTGGCTTTGCATTTAAATGTTATTTTAGTGATAAGAATTCCTACAATATCTGAAATCTGAAATTTTCTGCCAACAATTATTATCTATCATCACTCTGAGATATTGAGAACACTACAAACTTCATTTGTATTACTATACTCAAAATAGATCCAAGGCATATCCCTTTCATACTACCTTAATTCCATGTAGGATTTCTTTGAGTAGTTTTATCTGTTTATCTTTGTTCTTTCTTTGGCTTTTCTATTTAATGGAAAGGAGATAAAAGAATATTTGACAAAATCGGTAATACTTTTACTGATATGTCCACAGCTATTTTAAAAATATGGTCTATTTTCTCTATTTTTACTTAAGATTTAATGGAGAAAAGCATCTTACAATATTTATACATTATTCTACTGACAATGTTGGAAGATAGTTATAAATAGGTAACTTGAGCATAGCCAACAGGCGAACAGTAGAATAGTAGAAAATATATTTATTTAAACCTAATTTGTTTAAAATGAATAATAAAATAACACCCACATCCTACTAAAATAGAACACATTTCTAAAAACTCCATTAACTGTTTATGTACATACTTAGAAGTGTCACAAGAATAAAAATAAGGCTCTCTATAAATTTTATTTGTTCTTTGGGAATTAGAATAATTAAAATGTATATTTTCAAATACCCTTCCTCTTCTTTTTATAAATGTTATGCAATTGTATTTTTATTCAAATATTTAACAATTATCATAATATTTTATACTTGTTTGGGTATCATTTCTTAAGTGTTTTCTCCACTAAATTGGCACTTTATATGTCATAAGTATTTGTATATCTTATGAAGAATGCATTACAAGCTAATCCGTCATATTCTGTGTGCAATTTAATACCACTAGTATTATGTGTGTGATTTAAAGGCATATTTTCTTTTCTTTTTCTTTTTCTTTTTTTTTTTTTTTTTGAGACGGAGTTTTGTTCTTGTTGCCCAGGCTGGAGTGCAATTGCATGAACTCGGCTCACTGCAACCTCCGCCTTACAGGTTCAAGTGATTCTCCTGCCTCATCCTCCTGAGTAGCTGAGATTACAGGCACGTGCCACCATGCCCGGCTAATCTTATATTTTAGTAGAGACGGGGTTTCTCCATGTTGGTCAGTTTAGTCTCGAACTCCCGACCTTAGGTCATCTGCCCGCCTCGGCCTCCCAAAGTGCTGGGATTACAGGCATGAGCCACTGCGCCGGGCCTAAAGTCATATTTTTTATTTAGTATATTTGGATATAATATTGAAATATCTTTGAAGGTTATAGGACTCTAGATTAAGGTTCAAAAAATATTTTTCCATTCTTAATAATGTGCCTTTAAATAGCAGTTTTTAAAATCCAGAATATATTTTTTAAAACTAGTTAAAAATATTTGTTATAAACAAATCTGTTATTCTAAACACTAGCATGCTAAGTACCTTTACTTCATAAATATATGCTATTTTCTAGTTTTTATGTTTAAAAACCAGTCATCTTTTATTTGAAAAATTAAGAAAAATATAAAATACTATACAATTTTTAGTCACTTGGGGTATTAAAGTCAGAAGTAAAAATCTATCCTCCTTCTGTCTAATTCTACTTTACAGGTAACTATTCTTTAAAGACTGATGCTTTATCTCTAGATTACTTCTATGCTTATGCAAATATATTTATAGCTATGTATCTTCATCTATTTACCTCTCCATTACACACATGTGTATAGGTATATTCACATTTTAATAATGGATCAATGATATAGCTACACATATGTATGATATACATGCATATATTTAATCTCCTTTTTGCTTTAAAATATGATTGACATGTTTCCATGTCAATATATATTGTTAATCTTTGATCCATTTAAAATTATAAAATGTTTTCATAAGCAATACATCCACCTCTGTTAATTTAACATATGAAAGCATCTATCTCATTGCAGTGTGATTTCCTTCAATGCAGTGAACTCTGTGGTTTCTCCATTTCTTAGAGTATAGCATAGTGCACACTGTCTAACACATGGCGGGATGTCAAAACATATATTGATGGTAAGATGAATGACTGAATATAAAGGAAGAATATCAACATTAATTTAGTGAAGCATTTCCTGTCTGCTTGCTGCAGTACTTCACTTTTCAAACAACCAAGCATACCCCTACCTCCAGGCTGCATGCATACTCTTCCCTTTGCTTGGTGTGTCTTTCCCTCAGATGTCCACTTGAATTACTCCTTCACCCTGTTGATATACCATTCCCTTTCTGAGGACTTTCCTGATCCTAAATGTAAAATGGCATCCTTTGTCTCTTCATCACTGTATTTTACTAAATCTTTTTCATATACAAATGTTTTCTCTCTATTTATGTACTTGCTTAATGCCTGTCTCCTCCACTACCCCTCATGAGAGCTGGACTTGTCATTTCCCCTCACTGCTGTACTTCCTGTGCCTGAAACACTGGCTGACATAAGATACATGCTTGTTCAATACTGGTTGAGTGAATAAGTAAATGATAAAATTCGATGACTTCCATTTGTAACTCTCTCTATATAATTAGCGAGATGGTGATTGTTAACTCAAGTCAGAAAACTCAGCTCCTGTTTGACACATGTAACATGAGGCAGTCATTTTCTTACCTTTAACTTTTTTATTTTAGTTGCAGCTAAAGCATTTATTGGTATAACAAACACAAGGACTGCCACCCCTGCTAACACTGCTGGACCCAGCTCTTGCCAAAGGAGATATACGGCCATTAGGATTTGAAAAGGGGCAGACCAGAGGAGATTGAGGTTTGCTGTCAAGTCCATGAGTTGCTGACATCAAGTTAATAATTTCCCCAGTGGAAAACTTTTGTCGAGAAACATTTGATAAAAGTAAGGCCTATAAAGAGAGAAGCAAATATTTTAGAGTTCTGTGATTATGGGGCATCTTTATAGTTAAGCAATGGTAACTTTTAATATCAATGTTTAATATAATTAGGAAAGTGTACAAGGTTATTTATGTATTGGGGTATTATAAAATGAAGAGACATGATTTTTAGG
Source organism: Homo sapiens (assembly GCF_000001405.40). Taxonomy (NCBI): domain Eukaryota; kingdom Metazoa; phylum Chordata; class Mammalia; order Primates; family Hominidae; genus Homo; species Homo sapiens. Next base: position 14,299,276 of record NC_000021.9, on the reverse strand, counting down.
TGAGGAAATATAATTAGTGATTAAAGTATATACTTTTGGAATAATGTTTATTGGTAGAGAGTAACATTTGGGTTTCCAAACAATAAGAATTTATGGCATACTATGCAGCCATAAAAAGGAAAGAGATCATGTCCTTTGCAGGGACATGGATGGAACTGGAAGCCATTATTCTTAGCAAACTAACACAGGAACAGAAAACCAAACACCACGTTTTCACTTGTAAGTGGGAGCTGAACAATGAGAACACATGGACACATGGGGGAACAACACACACTGGGACCTGTCAGGGGAGTGGGGGCAGAGGGAGGGAGAGCCTCAGGAAGAACAGCTAAAGGACACTGGGCTTAATACCTAGGTAATGGGTTGATCTGTGCAGCAAACCATCATGGTACATGTTTACCTATGTAACAAACCTGCATATCCTGCACATGCACCCTGGGACTTAAAATAAAAGTTGAAGAAAAAAAAAGAACCCTCAATAACTTGTTGATTACCAAAAAAAAATATATATATATATATATCTTCTAGATATATTAAGGCTCTCCTCAATTTGGTGTTGTCCCCATAATGCTACACCATCTAAATGTTATCAATACAAAGTACACAAATGAATCAGGACAATTAAAAAAGGACACAGTTTTATTTCTCAAGGTGATTACTATCTATCTGTAAATCTACACACATACTCTGTTTTGCTGTAAGTGTAAAAACAGCTAATAAGGGCCATGGGAACTTAGAGATGAAAGTACTGAAAAGGTGTCATAGAGCAGATGCAAATACATCTTTTCTTCCAAGTCCCATTTCTCACTTTCCACAAGTGCATGCTACTTAATATATGTATACTGAATCCAATATCCCCAAGCATAATTATTGGTAACTTTTTACAAAAGATGCGGATAGAAATTTATTTATTTAATTATTCCTCCATTTAAAATTCCCAGTGAAATACATAAACAACCGTAAAAGTAGTGGGAGATTTGTATTTCTACTGGAAACTGGACAAAGGTTCATTTATATATCAAAAAATGTATGGAATCTTCACTGCATTGATTTAAAGAGGGACAGGACTGAGAGTTGGGGATAGCAAGAGAAAATGACATACAGGAGTCCCTCTAAATCTATCTATTCAATAAATTAAAAAAAAAAATGGAAAAGTCCATCTGGAATATAGTAGTTTGGGCCCACAGTGGAACATATAGCCAGGAACATATAGCCACGTATATGTCATTAGTCGTTTATATGTCTTCTTTGGATAAATGACTATTCAGGCTTAAAAAAGAAGACAACTCTGAAATATGAGACAACATGGATGGACCTTAAGCCGTTATGCTAAGTGAAATAAGCTAGACACAGAAAAATAAATACTGGATGAATTCTCTTACATGAGGTATCTCAAACGGTCAATTTCATAAAATCAGACACTGCAATGGTGATTCCAAGGGTGGTGGGGGGAAGGGAAAACCGGGAAGTTAGTGCTCAACAGGTACAAAGTTTTAGATAACCAAGACGAGTAAGTTCTAGAGATCTGCTGTAATATATTGCACCTATAGTTAGCAATAAATCCTTTTTAAGCTTAAAATGTATTAAAATGATAGATTTCATGTTACTTTTTTTACAATAATAAAAGAAAAAATCAATTGCTTTTAGACTATTAGAGAAAATACTGAAAGGTATTATATAATTGAAGGTTGTTTGTATGGCATTTCTAACACTAGGGGAATTTTTTCAAATTTTTGGGTTTTTTTTCTTCAATATTTTTTTCTGCCAAATAAGCCTTTACATTTCTGAAAGAGACAAAATTCACAAGCCACGAAGGACAATTTAGTTACCATTTATTGCTAAATTATACAATCTAAGCTGCCTTTTTGTTATACGAAACAACTTGAAAGAATACTGTAATATGTGCCAATTACAGCGGATGGTGTAACATTTCTAGAATTGTCTGGTAGGAAGTACTTTAGTCTGTTACAGGAGGAAAAATGTGATTCAGGTGAAAAGAAAGGAAATCTGCCGGGCGCGGTGACTCACGCCTGTAATCCCAGGCGGAGCTTGCAGTGAGCCGAGATCGCGCCGCTGCACTCCAGCCTGGGTGACAGAGCGAGACTCCGTCTCAAAATAAATAAATAAATAAATGAATGAATAAATAAATAAATAAATAATAAATAAATAAAAAATAAAAATAAGTAAATAAACAAATAAAAGAAAGGAAATTTAAAACAATGTTAAAAGTTTGGAAGCTTCTAAGTACTCTTCAATCAAAATGAAAATTAGCCAGGTCATTTGTTACCTAATCACTTTTCTAAGAAGCTGTTACTTTAAAATTCTATCCAAGTTTTAGATTTGTTTTCTACAGTATTTTCATATCATACACATCTTAATACACCCACACACTCACACACACACATAAAGCTGTGTGACTCATCTGTTTTTAAAACTTCATTCATTTCCCTAATTGAATTATGCTCTAAGAAAATCAACATGAACCAGATATAGTTCCAAGCCCCACAATCTTGATTATCACTAGTTCAGTCCTTAATATTTCATTTTATGAACTGACGATGAAATTTGTTTTGCAATTTCACATTCTCCTTCTTATATATTTGTTACTTTCTAGACTCCATGCCATGACCCTAGTTCTTCATTTCTTTATTTCTTCAATTATTGCACTAGCTCTAAGGGTCTCCTTCTTTCCCATCTCATCTGTTTTTAATCCTTTTGTCCTGATCATCCATCTTATGGCTCAGCTGGGTCCCAATTTCCTATAGAATTCAGGTACATTTTAAAAATATAGCTTTCAAGTTTTTTTTTTTTTTTAAGCAATCCCTTCTGCCTTTACTATCTCTCCCCACCATTCTGGACATAAAACATTGTCTCAAGCCGATTTAATCTACTCACCATTTTCTGAGCAGGCCTTGTACGCATTTCTGTACTTTTTTTCTCCCAAGTTATTCTAACATCAGAGCCTTTACCCCATGCAATGTATCCTTCCATTATTCCATGACCCACATCATGCAATATTAACCATGACACTTTTCCTGACCATCCTAGCTGCAAGTAATACACATCATTTAATGTAGAGCCGCAAGGGCTCCAAAAATTCACATCCCAATGATCTTCAACCAGAAGTATGAGAAATGGTAAAGCTGAAGGTGGCAGCACATAACACTTATAAGAATGCATTCTTCAATCCCTTGTGTGCCAATAAATATGCCAAGATTCTCTTTCTGACTCTAAGGGCAGGATTTGGATTCTGTCTCTCCTTCTCCTGACTATACTTAAGTATCTCTACTTTAAGAATGTAACTAAATTTTTACCATTTTTTTTGCGTTTTATAATTACCATAATTAAAGTAAGATAACACCTTTAAACTACAAATGGAGACAGTGTAGACACCATACTAGCCAATATGGTAGCCACTAGCCAGATGTGGTTATTATATTAAAATTTAAATTAATTAAAATTAAAAATGGACTTCTTTAGTTGTACTAGTTACATTTCAAGGGCTCAGCAGCCATATGTGATTAGTGCCTACCATACTGTACAGTGCAAATACAGAACATTTTTAAAAAAAATCACAAAAACTCTATTGGACAACGCTTAATGGAGGAATTCCCCCAGACTGCCCACATTAAACCCAGGTTTAATTGATGCTTCTTTTTAAAAAAAGTTCTTTTTTTTTTATTTTTAATTTATAGATTTGGGGGTACAAATGCAGTTTTGTTACATGGCTATATTGGGTCATGGTGTTTCTCATCCCTTACCATTACCCACCCTCCCAGCCATCCTAGTCTCCAATATCTATTATTTCACTCTGTACGTCCATGTGTACACGTTATTTAGCTTCCACTTATAAATGAGAACATGTGGTATCTGACTTTCTGTTTCTGAGTTATTTCACTTAAGATAATGGCCTCCAATTCTATCCATGATCTAGCAAATGTGACATGATTCCATTCCTTTTGTATGACTGAGTAGTATTCCATGGTGTGTGTGTGTGTATATATATGTGTATGTGTGTGTGTGTGCGTGTGTGTGTGCATGTGTGTGTGTGTACACAGACATATACAGCACATTTTCTTTATCTGATCATCTGTTGATGGACACTTAGGTTGATTTCATATCCTTGCTGTTGTGAATAGTGCTGTGATCAACAAACAAGTGAAGTTATCTTTTTGATATAATGATTTCTTTGGAGTCATGTTTTGTTTTTTAGTCTCCAAGAATTTTCATGGAGCTTGAACCTGTGAACTAAGGGGTAACAGAATCTGAGTTTTGAGATCCACAGAATCTTAAAGTCATCAAGTGGAAGGAGGCCCATGTTCTTTCTTGCAAACCTAAAAATGATATTCCCTGAACTTTATTCCAAACTTACACTAGTAATTGTGGATGGATAAGGAACAAAGCACATCCTGATACCTGCACCCCTGATATAGTTTTGTTCTGTGTCCCCACCCAAATCTCATCTGGAATTATAAACCCTATGTGGCGAGGGAGGGACCTGGTGAGAGGTGATTGGATCATGGAGGCAGTTTCCCCTGTGCTGTTCTCATGGTAGTGAGTGAGTTCTCATGAGATCTGATGGCTTAAAAGTGGCACTTTCCCGTTTGCTCTCCCTCTCTCTCTTGCTGCCAAGTAAGAAGTGCCTTGCTTCCCCTTCACCTTCCACCATGATCGTAAGCTTCCTGAGGCCTACCCAGCCACGCAGAACTATGAGTCAATTAAACCTCTTTCCTTTGTAAATTACCCAGTATCAGATAGTATCTATATAGCAGTGTGAACATAGACTAATACAACCCCTCACCAAGAAAAGGACCTGAGACCAACTTTACCCTATTCTAGTCACAAGTCCCTGATGAAGTATGGCCAATTTCAGAGAAGTATGAGTCATCTGGAATTCTAAAACCTATAAAGAAGAAGGGAAATTTAACAATCCCTGTTCACCTCATGGAGAGAGACTTGTGTCTCCTGTTACACTGTAATATCCACTACAGGGTCCACAGAGTAGGCTTGATAGCAATACTCCTTTGATCCTTCAGTGTCCCTTAATCTTAAACAATCTTTAAGGAACTATACAAGGTCTATCCCCTGTAGTCACTATTCCCACTTTGCAAGACTCAATGATGACACTTGTTTCTCTTTTTAATTTCTAACAGCTTGCTCTAATTTCTACTTCAGTCCATTCTGTTTTTACATTTAAGGTGTTTGGACTCAGAACATGATACCCCAAAATGTGGCACCTTGGCATGCTGAGCACTTGGAACTGAAGAACATTGGGAAGGCCTCAGAAGCAAAGTCTCTCTGACCCTCTCCAGCCCTTTTGTCTCCCACTCCTCTTTCTTTCCTTTTTCCAAAAGTGAGTCACAGAACTAGAACCCCTCTCAAACAAGCCTCATTTAACTTAGAAAGGTAACACTTTTTCCCGTCTCTCTTGAAGACCATCATTCCAGAAGGGTCCTATCCAATATCCAGGGAAAGGAATACTATACAGAGAGGCCAGGAAGAATTTGAATGGAAAGGCCATGCTGGGTGTCTCCTCTCAGTCCCTTACTATTAGATCACACCCTTTTGTCTGATCACATTTCTACACTGCTGTCTATTCTCTATAGAACCTAAGCATAAGAATAGACAGTTTTCCCTGGATCATTGGGTCTTACTTCTGAAGAAGTAAATTTTAATTAAATTAACTTGTTTTATTTTTCTCTTTTCAACCTGTCTTTTGCTATAGGAATGTCCACTGCAACTCTTATGATGGATGAAAAGAGGTATTACACCTTTCTGCCCCTACAAAGGACTGCTTTTATTTAGAGCAGTTTTAGGTTCACAGCAAAACTGAGAGAAAGGTACAAAGAAATCTCATATACTCCTTATCCTGCATGTTCATAGCCTCCCCCATTATCAACATCCTCCACAGAGGGGTACATTTGTCACAGCCGATGAAACCACATTGACACATCATTATCACCCGAAGTCTATAGTTTGCATTAGGGTTCACTCTTGGTGTTGTACATTCTGTGGGTTTGTACAAATGTATAATGACATACATTCACGATTATACTATCACACAGAGTGGTTTATTGCTCTGAAAGTGATCCGTGCTCCACATTTTATGCTTCTGCATTCACTCTTTCATGGCAGTTTAGTCTTTTATGTTTGTAAATCCACCTACATCTCATGTCTAAACTCCAATGCTCTAATCATGGAATAAAATCCTGTTCCATATGGACTATATAACAAAACAAGTGTTAGCATTCAAACCAGTTTCTAGATTCTTCTGTATCTTTATTCCATATTGGAGGCAGCACATACTGCCTCTAGAATTAGGACTGGGACAGCCCCTCTAATCCTGTATGTGGACTGAGTTCTACAGAGCTAAACTCTGCTGCAAGTTCAGTTACCATTTACTGCTCAATTTGTACTTGGCTTTCCAAGATCCATAAAACCACTTCATGCCCCCATTGTGGCCCAAAGATCAAAATGGCCTGTAATGCTTTATGTCCAGCTCAGCCCAAATTATAACACTTCCTTCCCCTTACACAAAGTCAATAGCTCTCTCAAAGACCTTTTCAAGACTTCCTATGTGAAAACTTCCTTAACTATGTACAACCCCTTGTAGATTTTCTGTTCATCTGATCTCCTATAAAATCTGCATTTAGTTCCACATGTTTGTTATGTATGCTAACACTTCCCTCAATTTATTTGGAAAGCAGGGGCTCACTTGTTCATTCATTCATTCATTCATTCAGTAATCCAACTTTAATAAAGTATAAAAGTCATTGTCTTGTATGATATGGATACAACAGCTAAATAAATTTCTATTCCAAATCCTGATGAACCTACAATTTAAATCAGAGTGCAAAGCGGGAACAAAGTACACTTGTTGCTGGGATAATTACTTGATAACTAGGGGCGGGAGGAAGCTCTTTAACTGTTTATAATTATGTTGTAAATAAAAGACCCTCCATGGTAAAGAGGTAGTGTTTAAAAAAAGGACTAATTAAACTTTAGGGTTATGCCAGGAATAAAGATCAGCCAACTTTGGGAGGCAGGACTTAGAATAAGAGAGAAATGGGGAATGACAGTATAAAAATGAGTGACTTTATTGCATAAAAATGAAGTTCCCAGAGGAGAAAGGAAAAGGTAATATGAAGACTGAAAATAATATTGTGAAAAGGAGAGCTTTTATTGATGCATACATATAGAAAACCATGAAAATATTCAATTCCACTCACTTTGTGAGTAGCAGTTAGGTGGCATAAGATTAAACAAAGATTATCTTTAATGTAATGGATTAGGGCTGACTAGAAGTTGTAAAGACCAGAGAGAGAGAAAGAGAGAGAGAGAACATGTACTAAAGAGAAATTAATGCAACCAGTATCGATGAGCCAAAGTTCTTTTAAAGCAAAACAAATGTATATACAAAGGATTTCCTAAGGACTTTTTGATATACTCCCCTATTTTTCTAGCCCCCTTATTTTAAAGCACATAAGGGAGTAGTCCACCCAGGAATGGGGATTCCTTGGAATTTTTACCTTTTTGTAGATCAGTCCATTTACAGCTGTCTTAACTTTTGCTGAGGTGAGCATGTTAAAACGTTGATATTGCTGAAGAATCAGAGTTTGCAAAAAGACTACAACAAGAAGTGCCACTGCATAGCCATAGCCATTCCAGCCAAAATCTGAGCTGTGTTCACAGAAAATGATAATTTGCCTGCACGTCATAAAAATTGAGAAAGGGGCAGAAATGTTAAACATCTGAAGTGTTAAATGCTTATGAGAGTTTAGTATTGTCAAAGTGTTACACACACACACACACACACACACTCTTACCTGTTCTTTTTCTTTACTTGCTTAATTTGATATTTGTCCCCGCCCTCTCTTTTTTTTTTTTTTTTTTAGTAAAATCAGGAATCCCTTCCACTGGCTTGTGAGTACGAGGTTATTTTCTGGTTTTCACATGGCAGGCCCATCAAATAATTAACTTTTCTGGTATAACTTCATCAGAAAAGTCGAGACATAGATACATTTAAAACTTTATTTTTCTCAAAATTATGTGTTTTATCAAATACAGGGAAACATGACAACCAGAACGTAAGTAGGGGATCTTTTAGTATGGCCCACAGGTGCTGCTTTTTTTTTTTAAGCTTGATTTATATCTCATGTTTTATTGTCACTTTTATTCATAACCAATTTCTTTTTTCTCTCCTTTTCCTTATTTCCTCTTAAGTTTGTGACAGCATGATCAGGATGATTAGGGCCAATGCTGGGGAGCAGAAAAACAGTGGGGATGGTTCTAATTACAAGTATCTCGGCTGATAGTCCCTCAACTATAAACATTGTCTAAAACTCAGAGTGCCTGATGTTCACTGGTAATAATATTTTAAGCATGATTTCACCTTTTTAAAACTGCATCAATGCGACTGAAAATAGTGTTAAATTTAAAAGGCTATATAGCACATGCAATATGGTGAAAACAATTTGGGCGTATACTGTGACATACTACAAGGATATGCTGACTCATTTACCTGATGATCTAAACAAAAATTTTGAAGGCATCCTTAACTTCTCGCTTCCTCTCTCAACCTACATTCAGTCCACCAGTATATTCTGTTAACTCTACCTTTAAAACACAACCAGAGTCTGACCACTTCTTATCACCCTTATTGCTACTACCTAGTTGAAGCCACCATTAACTTTTGCTTGGATTATCGCAAACAAACTTCTAACTGGTGTTTCTTCTTCCACTCTTGCACGTCTTGATTTTATTCCCCACATAGCAGCCAGAGTCATTCCTATAAGACTTAAGTCTAAGCAGATCATTGTTTTTTTGCTCAAAATCTTCCAAATTCTTCCCTGCTAATGTGGACTAAAAGCCAATATTCCCATCATATTTCATAAGGTCCTTCAAAATCTTTTCATCTCTGCACCTTTCTGACCTCAGTCTTACCTTTCCAGCTCTCTGCTCCAACCTCACTTTGCCTCCTTGCAGGCCCTCAGAGATATCAAGCATGAGCTTCTTCATGACTTTTGCCCTTCCTGCTACCTTTAATCACAATAGATATTTTCTTGGCTTCCTCCCTAACTTCCTTCAGAACTGTGACCAAATGTCACCTTATCACCAATGTCTTTCATAATTACCTTACATAAAACGGTAACTTCTAACTCCTCAGACTGGCATTCCCTTACCCTACTTTACTTTGTTCCTAAGCACTGATGGTATCATTTATGTTTATTCATTTGTTTGGCTTTCATCTCTCCCCTCTAAGTGTCATCAGAGCAGGTTCTTTGTTTTGATTTTTGTTCTGTCCCCGCAGTCGACCTAGAACAGTTTTGGCATGCATAGGTGCTCAATAAATATTGAATGAATATATTCCTGAATATCATATGGGATCTAAGTAATGCAGGATTAATGATATTTTCATGAATTAAATGGTTATTAAAAACTCTAACAACTTGGAAATTTTTCAATAGTAAAAATATAATCACCAGTTAATAAAATATATGTTTCTTTGCATTTCCTTCATATGACAGCTAGGTATAAGTCAAGGTTTCCTTGAAAAAGGTGGCACAGTCAAAAGATCAATTTCATTGTCTGCCTGTAAACCATTGCAGGTAGATATTATAGAAATGTTTCAAGTCATTTTACTATGTCCATATCTAGATATAGAGATGCACAGAAATATACATATATTAGGTAATAATAATATATGTTCATATATGTTATACATAGTAATTGTGTGTGTGAGTGTATGTTTGTGTGTGTGTGTAATTGCCATGGCTGTTAAAGCTCAACTCTCAAAAGGCCACAACTAAGTATCGTAGTGAAAATATGTATCGCATACATTCAAGCGAGACTTCCTAGATTTCAATTACGACTCTGGCACTTTCTAGCTGTGGGGACTTGGACAAATTACTCCACCCTTTCTGTCTGTTTCTGCCATTGTAATACTGAATGTAATAATACTGTCTATGTTGCAGGAGTGTAGTAAAGATTAAATGAGATTACCAATGTGATGGTTAATTTTACGTGTCAACTTGACTGGTGAAGAGATGGTAAAACATTATTTCTGTTTAATAACATTTAAATAATGTTTTACCATCTACCAGATGTCTGGGTGTGTCTGTGAGGCTGTTTCTGGAAGAGATTAGCATTTGAATCAGTAGACTGAGTAAGGATGATCCCAGGGCATAGTGCCTCATCCAATTTGTTGAGGGCCTGGATAGAACAAGAAGGTAAAGAGAGAGTGAATTAGCTCTCTTTCCTGGAGCTGAAATATCCACCTTCTCCTGCCCGTGGACGTCAGAACTCAAGGTTACCTGGCCTTTGGACTCAGACTGCATTATGCCACTGTCTTTCCTGAGTCTCTAGCTTGCAAATGCAAGACTGTGGGACTTCTTGGCCTCCATAATTGCGAGAGCCAATTCCCATAATAAATCCCCTCTTATTTGGGCTTATATATCCTATTGGTTCTGTTTCTCTGGCGAACCCTTGCTTAATAAAATTAATATAAGATTTTAGAGCAGTGCTTAGTACAGGGTTGACTTTATTAGATATTGACTATATTATCCTAATTCCCATTTATATTGTAGATAACCCTAATAGCATGTCCACATCCTAATAATATTTGCAATAAGAACCTTCTCTACTCTTTTGTATTAGAACTTTTATATTAGAATACTTACTTTTCATTTATCTGTGAGGAGGGAAAAAAAACCCACCAGACTTTAACTTACTTCATTATGAGTGGGCTAGTGAAGGACAAAATATCAGCAAACACTTTGAATAAGGCAACTTGAATCAGGATGGATTTAAAGGTGTTCCACAATGCATAGAGTAGAGATGGTTTCTTGATATGTGCCTCTTTATAACAAGATACCTACATAACTAAAGAAAATAGACACAATGAGAAAATTGGACACAACTAATATTAATAAAATGAAATATAACTAAACTACTTATACAATTAACAATATTGCTCTAAAGACAATAAGGTAATAAGAAAGGAATAAATCAGTTAAACTTGAAATTATGACCCATATCATTGAGATGGTAGGTGGTGTTACTTATACCACATGGCATAAAGGGACAAGTGCAATAGTTGCATTTTATTATTTTTGTGAGTTTTGAAACTATTTAATTAACATAAATACAGTTTTTATCTCCAAATTATATTTTCTTTTGGAGAAGTCTGAAAATAATATATATGCATATGATGCTAGAGGTGGAGTGTCTGCTCCTGCTCCCATAAACTTCAATTTTGGCCACCATATAATTTGCTTTGACCAATAGACATGATGCTCTGAGATACAGAAGCTATCTTTGTCACCACTGGTAAGGAGCCAAAGATATATACATGCATATCAACACATTTGCTCCTGAACATTAAAGAGAAGGAATGTTGAGTAGTTTGAAGACAGAAATGGGCTGCAATAGCAACAAATTATGCTTATAAAAATAGATTGTCATTTCACACATTTTACAAATTTCGATATTAATAATAGTATCTCATACTTGAAAAAAGCTTTATCTAGTTGTCAGGCAGTAATCACTTCAGGAGTTTATAGAACTTCATAATTAATTACCTTTACTTTTTGCCTCTCTTGATTCCTTAAAACTTCCTTTCTCCATTGTTTTTCAAAGATGGGACACGCAGTGCAGAAGGAATCACTTTCCTTTAGTTCAAAAAGATCCTCTCTTTCCAAAGGTCTCTTATAGCCTAAAGTAATTACTCTAAAGATGAAAAAGTAAGGTAAACAAGACAGCAAAACAAATAATCTAGTTAAAAATAAATTGTCATACATTTATTACTTTCTTTGATTTTTGCATTATTTTATTGATTAAAATACAATGACTAGATTATGTGTTTAAACAAATCATACAGTTTTATCCTGGAGGTCAATAATGTGCAATAATCATTTATAGTTTTTATAAATGCTGTTTAGACATCCAATTATTCAGTGAAACACTGACTTCATTTATTCATCTTATATTTGGGAAATGTACCACTCAGCTCATTAAAATTTATATAGCAAATTTTCCCAGTAGAATATCACCCATACCACTCAAGTACCCAAACTGGCTTTTAGGCTTCTATTGGAGGGAAAACAAATCCAACCTCTGCATTTGCAATTTTCTTCTGTTCTACTAGGACTTTCTGTACAATTTGCCACTTGACTTTATAGATTGTACAACTGGATGTGGAGTACTTGTCCCTATCCCACAAGCTCTGGCCTTGGCCTTATGACCAACAGAATATGAGCCAATGTGAGAGTGCAGTTTCTGAATTGATGCCTTAAGAAGCAAGGCAAGTCTCCACCAGCCTCTTAGTTTTTCCACCCTTCTCCATTCAATGAGCTTATCCCAGGTGACACTGCAAATAATTATGCAAGAACAATGGGTCTAAACTGGGAGGCAAACAAGATGCATAGTGTAGTTTTACCACAGAAGTTACTGTGGGAGAGAATGAATTGTACTTACCCACAGCTCTAGCTCTGCTCTACCGTCTTTCTGCTAACAGGGATCTGATATTTCTTCAGTTGAAAATCTCTTGAACTCATGGTAAGGTCTTATTTTAGCCACAGAGTTATGAATTATAATTGATCTAAACCAGTCCTGGTACTCTCATTACCCTGTGCTTGGGATTAATAATATAACTGAGTTATGGCTAACAATACCCAAGCCAATATCTGCTAGGAAGAACTTTCTTTTTCAAATGAAAGCACAGAACTTCAAAAGGAGAAAACATGTTGCCTCCCTTCTCTTTCCCTTTTGTCCTTTGAAGCCATGATGCTTTGAGATATAAAAGCCATCTTTGCCACTACGGATAAAAAAGCCAAATAATAAGGATGGGAAGCAGAAAGACTAAAAAAGCCTGAGCCTTTTTTTTTTTTTTTTCCCCACAGACTCTTGCTCTGTTGCCCAGGCTGGAGTGCAGTGGAGCAATCTCTGCTCACTGCAACCTCTGCCTCCTGGGTTCAAGCAATTCTCATGCGTCAGCCTCCCGAGTAGCTGAGATTACAGGCACACACCACCATTCCTGGCTAGTTTTTCTACTTTTAGTAGAGACAGGGTTTTGCCCTGTTGGCCAGGCTGGGCTTGAACTCCTGGCCTCAAGTAATCAGCCTGCCTTGGCCTCCCAAAGTGCTGGGATTGCAGGTGTGAGCCACTGTGACCGACCTAGCCTGGGCCTTTCGTAACATTTCTGCAATAGTTCAACAACTTATTTCCAGTAACACCCTCTTTCCAATAACATAAGAAAATAAATACTTGTTTGTTTAAACTATTATTATCTGGCTATTCTGTTACTTGAAGCTAAACTCACTCTGAAGTGATTTAAATCAGATATAGTTTGTGACTTTGGTGACATGACTTGTTCAATAAGAAATTAAACCCATATTTAAATCCAGGCCTTCTGACTGGCCTAAGTTCTGTCCATATAAAGTGTATTAGCCGAAGAGGCGGTAACAATGCCTTAAACTACTCCAAATTGGGACTGCTTTCATTGGCCTTGTTACTAAATAATCTCAATTGATTGACTCTGGGATGAATTTAAACCCTATGGTAACAAAAGATTCCACTAGATTTTATTTTACTTTTAGTATAATACATAATATCTTACCACAATTCATATCTAACAAAAAGGTTTAAATGTAATAAGAAGGGATTTTCCGTAATCATGTTTCTGTTGGCTCAAATATGCTGGACATTTTCCTGCAGTGCACTTTTAAAAACATATTAAGCAATAAACTACTTTCTTGTCATATTAAGTTCTATTTCATTCCAGAAAATAAATATTCATTTTCAAAATAAGACTGCATTGACTTTTAGAAAAGCATTTTTAATAACATTTACTGCCTCAGCATTTTGAGTTAGAACTGTGCAAAACTCAGAGGTTTCGGTTCAGGGAAAAGTGACCTCTTGCTTTCATGCTGAGTCCCCAAATAATGCAGCATCTAAAAGTGACACTTAAGCTGACTTGATTGTGACTCTCATGGCTTAGTGGTTTAACTACCTTGACTTTTTTCCCAGATGTGTGTTCCCCTCCACTATCTTTTGCTCTCTTCTAACAGACTCTGATCACATGGCTGGCCTTACCTTCCCACACAAGAGTTTGGAAAAAGAATAAGCAAGGAAGTGATAACGAAGTGGTATTTATTTAAATCAAATGTTGAGGCAGCTTTTTGGGAAACAATGAGGACCCAGAGTTGGCCCTCTCAGTAAGTGAAATGTGTAACACATACTAGGTCCCATCAACCTGTGGGCTTTATTCCTAAAACGATAATACAGTTTACACATGTATCTCATATTTTTAGAATGATGTTTCTTTTCAAAGGACATTCACATCAATGAATTTGATTCTCACAACTCCCCAAAGCTGGCAGAGCAGGATTAATTTCTCATTTTTACAGGCAGTTAAACATTAAGAACTTCAGAGACTGGTGATGGTGTTTTGTATGTAAAATAAACCAGGGCTAACTTAGCAAAAAGCAGACAGTGAAATGTATTACTTCTGATATGGTTTGGCTTTGTTCCCACCCAAATCTCATCTTGAATTGCAGTTCACATAATCCCCACATGTCATGGGAGGGACCTGGTGGGAGGTAACTGAATCATAGGGGTGGTTACCCCATGCTGCCGTTCTCATGATAGTGAGCGAGTTTTTATGAGATCTGATGGTCTTATGAGGGGCTTTTCTCTCTTTGTTTGACACTTCTTCCTGCTGCCAGGTGGAGAAGGACGTGTTTGCTTCTTCTGCCATGATTGTAAGTTTCCTGAGACCTCCCCAGCCCTGTGGAACTGTCAGCCAATTAAACCTCTTTCCCTTATAAATTACCCAGTCTCGGATATTTCTTCATAGCAACGTGAGAACTGACTAATACAATTTCCACTCTTAAATTTTATTATCTTAGAGAGAATTTTGACTATATTTAGAATTATTAAATGTGCATAAATATCTCAACCAACTCATGTGAACAGAATAGAAAAACAGTGGCATTCTATTAGGAAGATGAGCTGAAATATAACTTTTATAGATGAGTAATATTTGAATACTTAGAAAGTACAAATATATAGTAGCATTATCAATTTTATTGCTATAAATAACCTTTTAAAACATTTCTGGAGGGAGGCCAAGGCGGGTGGATCACGAGGTCAGGAGATCCAGACTATCCTGGCTAACATGGTGAAACCCCGTCTCTACTAAAAATACAAAAAAAAATTAGCCGGGTGTAGTGGCGGATGCCTGTAGTCCCAGCTACTCGGGAGGCCGAGGCAGGAGAATGGCGTGAACCCGGAAGGCGGAGCTTGCAGTGAGCCGAGATCGCACCACTGCACTCCAGCCTGGGCGACTGAGCAAGACTCCATCTCAAAACAAAAACAAAACAAAACAAAAAACCATTTCTGGAAAGAGGTATTATGTTATGGGAAAAGGAAAGAAATCAATCTGGCCAAAAATTATAGGTTGGGAGAAAGTTGTTTAATGTACAAATTTTTTTAGTATGTGAGAAAAAGGACATATTGAATAGTGTATCTGGTTAAAATAATGACACTATTGTGACCTATGAAAACTCTTACTAGATTTTTCCATGTATATCTCTGGCCATGATTATTATACACTGGTGACAGATTATATTTGCTAATAAAGGCTTGGTAATTATTTGATCATCAGAATGATCTAGATAGCTATTGTCTTAGGAATTAAGGCTCATAAGTATATAATTTTGTAATTATTGTGTCATCTGAGCACATTTTAATTGAGTTATTCATACAATTATTGATGCTTGAATTTGTTCTAGGAAATAATTTGACACTATTCTGTAACTCCAAAAACAGATAGGAGAATACAATTAATCTTTGTCTTCAAAGGGACATTCTCTTAAACAATAGTTAGGTTTCAAATACAATTGTTTAGTCACCACATAAGAAATCAGATTAGATCCATGCCAATGACAGTTCTGGATAACAACATCCTATGAAAATATTTTGTATCTAATTATGAGATATTCAAATTAAACAGAAAATAAATGTGATATTCACAGAGCTTGATGGTTTGTTTGATTGACTTAAGATATGGATTTCAAAATACTAGGTTGTCATATTTGAAGATTTGCTATGTCTTATCTTGCTTATTAAATTTAATTTCAGCGTCTTTAGGAATGCTAAAATAATGTTTGCAATATTTAATACATATGCATATAGTTTTTATAGTTTGATAATCAAAGTTTAAAACTACATTTATTTAAAATTAATTTTATTTGCATTACTTAAATTCTGTGATACCTATGGATTTAAAATGAGACTAGAATTTTTTATTTTTTATTTTTATTTGTTTATTTTTTTTGAGATGGAGTCTCGCTCTGTCGCCCTGGCTGGAGTGCAGTGGCGCGATCTCAGCTCACTGCCAGCTCCGCCTCCCAGGTTCACGCCATTCTCCTGCCTCAGCCTCCCAAGTAGCTGGGACTACAGGCGCCCGCCACCACACCCAGCTCATTTTTTATATATTTTTTTGGGGAGACGGGGTTTCACTGTGTTAGCCAGGATGGTCTCCATCTCCTGACCTCACGATGCGCCCGCCTAGGCCTCCCAAAGTGCTGGGATTACAGGTGTGCGCCACCGCGCCGGGCCCGAGACTGGAATTTTTTAAAGCTGGGGTAGGTGTCACTCTTCCTCTCAACTCCCCCATAAACAAAATTCAGGTTTGGAAAACATTTCTATACCTATACAAATTTGAAGCATTAAAATCATTAACTGTAAATAGCTCACATTTACATTTCTAGCTATGCTTTCTCTTTTCTAGTGTGCTGCTTAATGTTACATAGTTTTGCCATCCTCTTTAAGAGATTCTTAGATTTGTGTAACTTGGAAATTTTATCACAATTTAACCCCTTCTGCCCAAGTATTTGCTCACAAGTATATACATTTTCTACTTCAATTGCTTTGAAAAACTCCCCAGTGATCTTCATGTTGCCAAATTTAATGGAGAATATTTAGTTATTATTTTAATTCACCCCTTTGCAGTATTTGGCCCTATTGACCACTTTATTTTTCTCCTTTCTTGACAGTTTCTCTTTTCTTACCTGTCACTCATACTATTTCATCAGATACTTCTCTTATAATATATTCTGAACACCTTTACTTAGCTTTTTTTGTAGACTCCTCTTTCTCTTGCCATTTAAATACTGAGGATTACCAATGTTCCATTTGTTCAGCCTATTCAATAGGTTCTTCCTCTGGGCAATCTCATTCATACGCATGGTTTCAACTACTGTCCTCTAGTCAGTGACTCCCAAATCCATATCTATAGTCAAAGGTTTATTCTAAGCCTGGAAGCCACATATCCAAACTCCTGTACATGTGATGCTTCATAAGTGTGGGGAAAAGAAAGACAGATCAGATTGTTACTGTGTCTGTGTAGAAAGAAGTAGACATAGGAGACTCCATTTTGTTCTGTACTAAGAAAAATTCTTCTGCCTTGAGATGCTGTTAATCTGTAACCCTACCCCTAACCCTGTGCTCCCTGAAACATGTGCTGTGTCCACTCAGGGTTAAATGGATTAAGGGTTGTGCAGGGTGTGCTTTGTTAAACAAATGCTGGAAGGCAGCATGCTCGTTAAGAGTCATCACCACTCCCTAATCTCAAGTACCCAGCGACACAAAATACTGCAGAAGGCCACAGGGACCTCTGCCTAGGAAAGCCAGGTATTGTCCAAGGTTTCTCCCCATGTGATAGTCTGAAATATGGCCTCGTGGGAAGGGAAAGACCTGACCGTCCCCCAGCCTGACACCAGTAAAGGGTCTGCGCTGAGGAGTATTAGTAAAAGAGGAAGGAACGCCTCTTTTCAGTTGAGACAAGAGGAAGGCTTCTGTCTCCTGCCCGTCCCGGGGCAATGGAATGTCTCGGTGTAAAGCCGATTGTATATTCCATCTACTGAGATAGGGGAAAACTGCCTTAGGGCTGGAGGTGGGACATGATGGCAGCAATACTGCTCCTTAAGGCATTGAGATGTTTATGTATATGCATATCAAAAGCACAGCAGTTTTTTCTTTACCTTGTTTATGATGCAGAGACATTTGTTCACGTGTTTACCTTCTGACCTTCTCTCCACTATTATCGTATTATCCTGCCACGTCCCCCTCTCCGGGAAACGCCCGATAATGATCAATAAATACTAAGGGAATTCAGAGGCTGGTGCCGGCGTGGATCCTCCGTATGCTGAATGCCGGTCCCCTGAGCCCCTTTTTCTTTCTCTATACTTTGTCTCTGTGTCTCTTTCTTTTCCTAGTCTCTCGTTCCACCTAACGAGAAACATCCGCAGGTGTGGAGGGGCAACCCACCCCTTCAATAAGTATCTCAAAAATTAAAAATTTCTCAGTCTGAACCCACAGTTTTTCACCACATCTGAACTTCACAGCCAGTTCTTTCCCACCTTTTATTGTATGGTTTTCACATAGTATTTGCTCAATTTGGGATACCACGTTTCTCACTCCTACACATCTTTAAATGTTAAGTGAAAGCATTGGTATCTGTGAAATAGTCTCTAATTGTGCAAACTTGATTAGATGATATTACTGAAAATTTGTGTTTGTCAATTACGCTTATGTTGCCTTTTCCCTTTTTTTGTAATGGTGGTATACTTTTTAATCTTTTTAATTCTACTATGAATTCCTAGAAGACAGAAACTAACTCATTTATCTCTGCATTTTTAAAGACTATTTGAGTTTGGGGTATCTAGTACCTAATCATTTTTTAAAAGATTAATCCACTCTTGGGAACATATCTGTAGATAAAATTGAGCAGTTTTGTTTCTGTGAACTGCAGAGCAAGGGGCATAAAGCTAGAAACACAAATTTAACTTCATATTATTATGGAATTTCTGTTATGGGGGAAAAAGAAATACATTTCTAAAGAAAGCTTCTGAATTTATAAAATAAGAAAACATCAACTCTTCCCATTCAATACCATTTAATTTCTGTGTTAAAAATCAGAGTTCACAATGGTATCTCCTGAAGAAATTCTGAGCCCTCAACATATGTTATGGGTGAATTATTCTATGAGAAAAACCATAATATATGTCATATAAAATGCTTAGGGCTGTGTGTGTGTGTTTTTTAATAATAGCATATATTAGTATAAAAGAGAGCATTTCTAATAAAAAGTAGATTGACATAGCAAAAATAAAGCTTGAAACATGAACTCATCAGAAATTGGTTTAAGACACATACTTACTCCTACATGGGTATCAATGGACAGGTGCTTTCGTTTCCTGAGCCTAAATTTTTCTCATGCAAATGCCTTTCTCATAGCACTTGGAGGAGAATTAAATGAAATAATAAACACAAAGTGGATAGCATATACTTGATGCTAAAAAAGAAGTTCATTTTTCTGTTCTTCCCTAGTGGTAATGAGATGAAAACCCGACAAAGATATAGACATATTGGAGGAATATTAGTACTGTTATCTGTGGAACTATTTAGTATGTTTTTACCTGTGATTTCTGTGTAATAAGTAATATGAGACAACTTTGTACAACTATTCACTTTGAGATTAAAGGAAATTCAGGTGTCATTTCCCTTGGGATCTTTTTCAGTGTGGTACACTACAAATATATTAGTAAAATTCCTACCTGCTAAACCAGGAATATGTCACTTTACTGAAAAATGAGGCACTTTTCTCTGGACTGCATTTCTGAAAAGAAAAAATATAGAGAGTAGTGTATAAAGTAAATATTTTAAATTTATATTTGAAATATTTTTTGTCAGGGGTAAATCTGACATGATTTATTCTACTAAGAGTTACGGATATGTTGGTATCATAATTCTTAAGAAATATAGTTAAGTGAAGATATTCTTGTATGGTGGTTGGACTAGAGGAATTTCAAGATTTCTCTCAATATTACGATGGTGCATGTAGCAGTAAATCATGTTGGGAAGGAAAATTGTATGTATATGTACATATACATACATAGAGAGATTTTAGAACTGTAAATTTACAATTATATGTATTTGTATACATATATACATATACAATATACATACATATACATATATATGTACACATACAGTGGGACAGTTCTTTGAACTTAGCCCATATTGTCTATTTACATTAACACAATTATATGACAGTATAAGTGAATAATTTATACCCATATGTATTATATATGTATATGTATATATAAGATAAATGTAAGCATCTAAATTGCTAAAGATAGTTTTCTTTTTCTGAAAAATAGAAAAGAGAATATCATAGTTATTTGGTATACTTCTGTGTGTGTTTACATATTTTAAAAATTATATACACAATTACATATTTGTCACAATTACACGATATCTTGGGGTGGGTTTTAACATTTCCATAAAGTTTTCCCATTTACTGTGTTGGTTTAACCAAGAGAAAAGAGGTTTAAAAATAGAGGACTCAAAAATAACCATTTTATGTTTTTATAGTCAGCATCAATCTCTTTGCATTTTAAAAAGTAAGACTGGTCACCAAGTTAATTTTGATTTTTAGAAACTGTCCAACATTTAAGAAATTTCCTAGTGATCTTCTCTAACTCAGTTCTGATTCCATAATCAGTGTTTACCAATTTAAAAAATTCTGAAGCTAGAAGGAATGACTAAATCCAAATTTCATCGTATACAACAAAATGCCCAAAGTAGAGATGAGAAAATGTATTTGACGCCAAATGTGTTCTCTGTGTTATAACAAATTATATAGTATAAATCATTTAAGATATACACAATTTACCAAAATGGCATTTATCATTATAAGATTGTTGCAAGAACTAATATAATGATAAATATAAAATACTTATCACACCATTAGCCCAAAACAATGACTCAAATATATGAACAATAAAATTGTCATCACTATTGTTACCAACATATTATTTAAAAAACAAGTACATAAATTATTGGAAAAAATATTCTAAAAATTCTCTAATTAACCTGGAGGACATATTTTATGTCATAAGTTCAAATTTCACAGGGAGTTGCTAATGTGATAATTTGCTACCAATGAAAGGATCGGATTGATAGCCGAAACACATATATTTCTGTGGAAAACTGTAAATGGCTACCAATTCTTTGCAGCTTTTCCCATCAAGAGGTGGAATCTATTTCCCATTCCTTGTATCTGGGCTGACATTGTGTCTTGTTTTGGTCATAGAAATACAACAGGAGTGACATTGAAATTCTAAGCCTCAAGAAGCCTTAATGCTTTGGCTCCTGCTGCGCTTAGGACACTGAGTGCACCATGTGACTGAGCTGGAGCTAGGCTGCTGAAGGATGACAGATCATGTGGAGGAGAACTAAGGCACTCATCTGATGGTCTATTACCAGGCCAATAGCTTGAAAACTGCCAGATATAGGAATAACGTGGTTCTAGATTATCTGCCTACCAGCCCATCTGCCAGCTGATTCTACAATCATTGTAGAATTACTGTCATTGTATTTAGTTCTCGCAACAATCCTATGCATAAAAGAGCGCAGGAGTTATCCGTCAAACTGACCCAAACCAGGACACAATCCAACTGACCCAAAGAATAATTAACTAAATAGCATGGTTGTTGTTTGAGGCACCTAAGCCTTGCAAAGCTACTGCAGATGGCTACTTTAGCAGACTAAGAACTCGGTACTTGGTTTAACATTCCCTCTAGGACCATTTTTTCATGTGAAAGCATCTTATGTGACGCCCTTTATATTTTCTGGTACATAGCCTCCTTAGATGTGAACCAGGTATCTTATGCTGAAGCACAGTAAAGTCCAACCATACTTTACTTCCCAGAAGGAATAGCAGCCAGGTTTAAAAAAAAAAAAAAAAGTCTGATGAAGGGAGTTAATCCTTACCAAGCACCAAGAATGTGCAAATGACTTTTCAATACATTCATAATTATTGAATTCATATCATGGATCTCATTGAGTTGATTATATATTGCACATAGTAATTTCTATGTAGAAAAATAGAACATGACAATTCTGAGTATCTTTGAATGTTCTAATTTACTCCCATCTTCTCCATTAAATATTTATCATCTTTCTAACTCATTTGTTCTCAATCTGACAGCAATTCTGGTCTGCTGACATAATTGACCCCAAGTGAGTTTCTCATTTCGTGTGTCCCCATGTCCACTACAGACCTTGTTTAAGCTGTTTTATTATCTATTGTATTTATTTACTATTGAGCTTATAGTAGGCATTCCATAAACATACCTTGACATTGCTGACTTAAGAGCAATTTTCACTAGAATGGAGGTCCTGTTACTTCTGGTTTATGGCAGAAAACAATAAGTATTTAGACCACTGGATCATAGCACAGCTGGGGTTCTGAAGTGTACTGTTTTCAAACTTCCTTGGGTTTAATGTTGAGATGTGACCTCATGGCAATACGGTTTGTGTGACAGATTGCTGTGTTTACTGATATCCCATAATGCCTAATTTCAGAAGCTTCCTATGTGGATTTTATAGGGGGATTTTGGGAATAGTGGAGGAAGTTACTGGAAAATGAAAGTAGATGCTCATGGAGAAGGGAACACTTCTGGAAATTAAAAAAAAAAAAAAACTTACTTTTTTTTTTTTTTTGACATGGAGTCTTGCTCTGTCACCCAGGCTGGAGTGCAGTGGTGCAATCTTGGCTTACTGCATCCTCTGCCTCCCAGGTTCATGCGACTCTCCTGCCTCAGCCTCCCAAGTAGCTGGAATTACAGGCATCTGCCACCAGGCTCTGCTAATTTTTGTATTTTTAGTAGAGACAGGGTTTCACCATGTTGGCCAAGCTGGTCTTTTACTCCTGACCTCAGGTGATCCACCCCTCTTGGACTCTCAAACTGCTAGGATTACTGGTGTGAGCCATGGTGCCCAGACAGATAAAACTTACATTTTTTTAATCACTTAAAAGATGCTAAATTCTGTACTAAGTATATTATTTCACTAAATGTAAAATACCTTTATGGTGGAATAATTTCTGTCACCCCTATTTTATAGAAAGGGAAACTAACACCCAGAGTTTAAGAAACTCGCCTAAGATCTTGCAACCAAGTATTGGAAACAAGATCTAAACCACTTAGTTTATTCTATACTCCAGTTCTAAATCCACACTCTCAACTCTGTACCCATGCAACACTGTTTTTCACTACTTAGACCTTTCCTACTGCCCACATCCTTCTGCCTCCCTTCTCCTGGCTTTTGTGCTTCAATCCTATTCAGGTTTCAGTGTCTTTTGTAATTTCTGTCCTCTCACTCCAGTCCAAGGCTCTGAAACACGTTCTGTATTACCAGAGCAACTTTAACATACTCCTCAGGGAGGACTTAAGGGCTCCTTCAGGTTGGCACTCACAGAATTTACCCTCATATTACCCAACTCTCTCATTATTTCCTGGAAGGTGCTTCTCTCTTACTAGATTTAGTGTCGCTGGAAGACAGAAACTATAGTTGGTTTATCTCTGTATCGCTAGCTTCTGGAGAAATCTCCAGTTTCTCAAGGCCCAGGGCCAGCTCATAATAAACATGTTTCGGATGACTGACTGAATGAATGGATGGATGCTAATCACTACCAACAAAAAATATTTAGAAGAATCTATTCACAGTCACCATGTTAGCCATAAAAATTCAATTAAAAAGGTATGTTCTTAGCTTATAGTTACATAGGGATTTTTACCTGAGATCTGTTGTATTAAAAATATGAAGTCAATATGTAAGTAAACAGAGGTTTTTTTATACATTTTGAAGCCATCAATTTTTTTTTGAGATAGTGTCTCACTGTGTTGCTCAGGCTTCAGTGAAGTGGAGCGAACATGGCTCACTGCAGCCTCAATCTCTCAAGCTCAAGTAATCCTTCCACCTCAGCCCCCCACCAAGTAGCTGGGACTGCATGAGCACGCCTCCATGCCTGGCCTCCCAGAGTGCTGGGATTACAGGCGTGAGCCACTGTGCCTGGCTACCACCAACTTTTTTTAAAAATTGCCATCATAGAAATAACAAATAGAGAATGAAATTAAAATGAATATTTTCAACCTTGTTTAAGTGGATTCCTGATCTATGAAGGCTATCAAAGTTGAATAATAATCAAGGAAACAAACGGTGTTTGAATACTAAAGGAAGAGTCGACTAAAATTTGGGGTGACAAAATTGAGTTTTATAATTTTTCAACTACAAGTTTATAATTTACTGCCTTTGATCACCTTGGCTGTTACACTAATGATATTAAACCAGTTTGCGCAATTGAGCCTGCCATCTCTACGGTACAGTAAAAAGAGGCATGCTATAGTGATGGAGCTTTTTCACATTTTCAAGGAACTTATTCAGCCCTTCTATCTTATAGATTTTTATAAAAGTACTTTACATATAACTTAATTTTAAATAAATTTATAGTTTGATTTTGTATGTGATCAAAATAGATGTCACATATATTTGACACTCAGAGTTACTAAAAAAGCCAGGATTAGAACAAGTCCCCTGAATCGGAATTATATATTTTTTCTTTGTTAGGACAACAGGGCTGTTTCTAAGTCCATGTCTTGTATAGTGATGATAAGTGAAACAAATGGAACTTTTGTTAGGGGAATTGTTGCTAATACACAACAACTGTAGGGCTCATTTCTCTGACTACCGCCTTAGCACGTGACTCCCATTGTAGAAGCATGAGTTATAGTGCGCCAGAGGAGAGCACAATTAAGTGTCTGAAGTTTCTGGATTTGCCCCAGACCTGGGTCCCAAAATCCACACTGAGTGTTATTAATCCCCAATGCTCTGCGGTTTTAATGGGATCACTCAATGGTAGTAGAATTCTGCTCCAACCTGTGTTCCTTCAGCGATGACAGGCCCATCCACGCTTTCTGCTTATGGGGGAGTTACTTATCTCTTCAAACAAAGATGCCTCTTCCTCTCCTCCAGCCCTACCAAGACTGAGCTCCTCTGGTTCAAGTTGCACCTACCCTGATCTCTGATCTCTGCTCTGAGGATTGAGTGTGTACGCCGGTCTGTCTGTCCCGTGTGTGTTGGCTACTGAAACAAGGGCTCGTCCGTCCACGTTCAGGGTTCGAGGACTCACCTCTCCCCACTTCCACTCCTGCACCCACAGTGGTCCCCACGACCCGCCTCTCCTCTCCCCTAAGGACCAGAGAACTTTACCTGTGTATCAAGCGCCCCGCGGACCCGCTGATAGGAGCCGCCCGCGTTCTGCGTACTGGAGAGCATGGTCCGCGGGGCGCCTGGCCGCTGGCTGAGAGCCCGGCTGCGGCTGTCACTTCCCTTGGCAGCGGACAGTCAGTTCAGCGCCAGCACGGTGGGAGGACACGCACTCCGCCCCGGCAGAGTCAGCTGTCACCTTAGTCCCTGCCTTTCAGTCCTACCCAGTGCGCCTGGGGCGGTGCGGGCAGTCAGCTTTCACCTTAGTCCTTGCCTTCCAGTCCTAGCCAGTGCGCCTGGGGCGGGGTGCTGGTGGAATGGGGTTGGGCCTGGAGGAGGCAAGGTGTGGAGGGAGACGGGAAGGGACGGTTCTACAGAGTCAGCTGCTCTCTGCCTGGCTGGGAGTTTGCACTTGACTCAGTAGTTCTCCCTTTTCCATTTCCTGTTAGAAACCTGTGTCTCTTTTATGACAGAAGCACAAAGCTAGTTTCTCGCTGGGATGGTATTTATACGTTTGTAAACAATGTTACAGCTGTCTCTTAAAAAAATTAAGAATAAGTGTCAGTAGAATTTTAAGGAGCAAATTTCTTGCAATGGCCTAAACTTTAAAAACAAATGAAACGCTCCCCGTGGTATTAGAAAACCTTAACAGTATACTGCATCTCATCTACGTTTTACTCTTCAAAGTAACTACGAAGCAAGTAAGTAAATGAAAAACTTCATGGTAACTAAGATGAACAAAGAATTAAAGGTGACACATGATGTACAAAGGGGAACATAAAAATTAAAGAATTGCATTCTGATTTCTAGTAAATATTAAGAAACTGCGAGCGTGTATATAGAAGTAAAGAGTATGCAACAAGTTGCTTTGAGGCAGATACTTGACACATGATGTATGTCATTGGTTTGATGAAGCATTTTGTTTTATTTGGCACCTGAAGCAACAAAAGAGGGAGAAATATTAGAAATTCCTAAATGTAAGGATAAAGATAAGGCCATGTAGTATATTACAAGGATGGGTATTATACTTCAGGACAAGGAACACTCCGTGTATTTCCTGGGATTTATTTGACTGCTAGATGGAGAGAATGAAGGATTTAGGACAGGAGAAGTCCTGCTTTCTGGAAGAAGGGGCATAAATCCTACCTGGGGAAGTCTGGGCTGGCCATAGAATGGGTGAAACTGAGGAACCAGACAACTTCTACATAAGAATTCGACCAGATGATACCTTATGGAACTGAAGTCCTGGGAAATGTTTAGAACACTATTCGTCTTCCTCTCTTAATACCATGCTTGTTTGGCCCTATGCAAGGAGGAAGTTGTAGGTTTAACTTTAAAAATCAACATGTGTGTGAAGAATTAAGGGTGCAGCTCAGGACTTAGAAACTTTGTCTCATTTCCACAAATGTGTGCACCAATTTGGGAACACCTCGCTCTCACTCAGCAGCCACAGCCTGAAGAGCCCTCCTCCTATCCGCACTTTCAAACTACTCACTCTGTGGATTCTCCACGGAAAATACAAGGTCTTCTAGTAGAATGGGCCTTGCTTTTTCAGATACAGTTATGAGGAAAGAAACAACTTTGAACCTGTGCAGGGAGGAGGAAGCCAGGAAGAAAAAGAAGCCTAAAAACAACGCAGGCACCAAACCCAGCATTTGTCTTTGACCTCTAGGAATCAGTCCCCTCAGGTAATGCTGGTGCTAGAAACTGGAAGCAGAAAGATTTCTACAGTTACTCAGCTCGGTAGAGATACCTGGCTCCTTGATTGGTGGGAGAAGGGAGGAATGCCTCCCAAAATTGTCTAGAAGTAGGGGAGGGTGATAGATGTGTGTGGGAACTATAGTAAAGAAGTCCCTACCTAAGGAGATTGGGGAAAAATTCTCTGGGAATCCCTCAAAATGTAATAAAAATTACGTTTTAATGTCAAGTTTCTCCATTTTATAGGAGGTGCAAGATAAGACTGTGCAAATGAGCAGGAAGACATGAAGGTTTGTAAGAAAAAAACTGAGTTTTCAATGCCTAGTTAAGGAAAACTGGGTGAAATACTCAGATTTGCCTAGGAAATAGAAAAGTACAAAATAAGAGGATCAGATATTCGCAAAACCTTACAACAAAGCTAGAATTCTGACTCGCTGATTTATCGTGCTAGCTGGGCTATGAAAGAAATACTTTTGTTTTCCAGGAAAAAGAAAATCATGAGACGGTGGAATAAAAGGATATCTAGATTGAGTAATGGGTGGGGCATATTCTGTGCCACAATACTCAATGTTTCGGCTTGTTGGAAAGATTCATTCTGTTGATGCTGTATAAGTTTTGCAGGTATGGCACGTCATCCTTTCTGGCTGGTGGAGGAGAGCCTCATAAACAGACCGTGAGGGTGATGAGTAAGGTTGAAAGAAAGAACTGTTTTCCACAGTTAGTTGGGCATATACCTGTCACTATGGCAGAGAGAGGAGAATCTCTTTCTTCAAGACAATTGTAGGTTATGTTTTTATGAGGGGTGGGAGATTGGGTAGATGTGATTTTCATTGTTCTTGCTAACTTTGGTATAAAAATTAAATTAACAATAATATTCAGTTCACTGCATATTATCAGTATCATTTTGTGAAGGGCCTTTCTATTTTGTTTATATTTTTCATCTGCTTATTTTCTAGTCCATTTATTTTCCCCAACAGAAGTCGTCTGGAGCAACTAGTAAGTATCTTTCCAATTCACCTTCTACAAATTTATTGAGATACTTGTTTATCCTTGAAAATATATGGTGCTGTTTTATGTGCCTTCAACATAGGCACAAGTGGTATTTTGCTATAAAGTCATAGCGATACAATTCTCTCCTGTCATGTAGCTTTGAAATGATTCCAAACATGTACTCTGCTATGTGAGCGATATATGTTTTGCTGTGATAAGAACTTGAAGTGTATTTCCTCAGCCTCTCAAAAATGTGACGTCTTATCCTACTCCATATGTGAGAACTTGGAGTGATCTTCCCCTGCCCTCAGGAATGTGACACCACACCTTAGCCTTATCATACCCCATCTGTGAGTTACTGATTTCAACCACTGGACTTCTATATATATATATTTGGCATTTGGAAGATATTTATAACTCAGGGAACTAATATTTCAAACTACCAATACATGATATTGTATATTATATATATATACACACACACACACATATGTGTATATATATATATATATATACACACACACACAATCTGAGAGCTTAGAACATGGTAGTCTACACTCTGTGAGCTACCTCCCTACATATGCTGACCCAGGGCTACACTGTCAGCTGCTTCTCGGAAGACTGAGCCCTCCGCCCTGACAGAGCTGCACCCTGTTAGCCTTTGAGCTAATCTCTGAAGCCCTGCCAACACCAGTCACCTTGCCTGTAATCTAAGATCTCTGCTTTGTCAGTCATGACAGTCTCACCTGAGAACCACTTATGTAAATATATACCTCAAATTTTAACTAGACTTTACTTTCTACAGAGGCCTGCTTCCATCCTAATTGACCCATTAGACTTCAGTAATTTTGGAATTCACTCACCGTGTAGTCAATGTACCTCATCTATCAAGCATATTCCCTGTGAGATTTGTTCTTCCTATTCCTCGTCTCTTTAAGTATTGTGAACCTAAGGAAAAAAAAATTTCTTCTTATATGATGTCTTGGTCTATTTTTTGCTACTACAACAGAATACCACAAACTTGGTAATTTATAAACAGAGATTCTTTGGCTCACAGTTCTGGAGGCTGTGAAGGCCAACACGAAGGCACTATTGGTTTGGTGATTCTGATTTTAAGATGGTACCTTGAACACTGCATCCTCAGGAGGGGAGGAACACCACACCATGTTTTCACATGGTGGAAGGTAGGAGGAAAAAAGACAAAATGGGGTGTAACTTGCCCTTTTATAATGACATTAATTCCACCCAACCCTCACGGCCTAATCACTTTTAAAGATCTCATTTCTTGGCTGGGCGTAGTGGCTCATGCCTGTAATCCCAGCATTTTGGGAGGCCGAGGTGGGGGGATCACAAGGTCAGGAGTAAGAGAACAGCCTGGCCAATATGGTGAAACCCCATTTCTACTAAAAATACCAAAATTAGGCGGGCATGGTGATGGGCTCTTGTAGTCCCAGCTACTCAGGAGGCTGAGGCAGGAGAATCGCTTGAACCCGGAAGGCGGAGGTTGCAGTGAGCTGAGATTGAGCCACCGCACTCCAGCCAGGATGATAGAGCAAGACTCCGTTTCAAAAAAAAAAAAAAAAAAAAAAAAAGATCCCACTTCTTAATACTGTTAAAGTGGCAATTAGATTTCAACATGAATTTTGGAGGGGACAGACATTCAAACCACGTTATATAGCAATAAACTTCAATTTGTGACATACTTTGATCATCTCTTTATTTCTACCATACAAACAACCCCCCTCTTCCCACATTTTAAAAAATGACATTATTTGTAAGGCACCTTACCCATGCGAGGCTATGCAGTCCTCACCTATGGTTTCTGACTACTGCATGCTGCTTTGTTCCATTCAAATACCACATTCTAGAGGAACTCCCATAGCAGAGTGATTAAGCACATAGGCTTTAATGTAAGACTGTGGGCTTAAATTGTGGCCTCCACTGCTTACCAGCAAGTCATGAACATCTCAGGGCTCACTTTCTCACCTATAAAATATAAGTAATAGTCATGCCTTCCTCATAAGTTTGTTGTAACAATTACATGACTTAATCATATAATAAGCAAAACGTTTAGAACAACAAGGGGACATGGTAAAGACTGCATAAAGTATTATGATTATTACTTATCTAGTCACATTGTGATCAATACGTAGGCTAACTCTGTGGTCAGTGCTGTGATAAACACCTCTCTCTGAGGACTGGTATGTGCATTTCTTTTTTTTCTTTTTCTGTTTTTCCTTTTTTTTTTTTTTTTTTTTTGAGATGGAGTCTCGCTCTGTCACCAAGCTGGAGTGCAGTGGTGCAATCTCAGCTCACTTCAACCTCCGCCTCCTGGGTTCAAGCGATTCCCCTGACTCAGCCTACCTATTAGCTGGGACTATAGGAGTGCACCACCACAGCCGGCTAATTTTTTGTATTTTAGTAGAGATGGGGTTTCACCATGTTGGACAGGATTGTCTCGATCTTTTGACATCATGATCCACCCACCTTGGCCTACCAAAGTGCTGGGATTACAGGCGTGAGCCACCACGCCTGGCCGTGCATTTCTTTTAGATCATGGTTCTCAAAGGTTTTGAATGTAGGACCTTTTATATATTTCAAAATTGTTGAGGACCCAATTAACTTCAGTTTGTGTATACTCTATCTCCCTATATTTATCAAATTAGAAATTAAAATTTAAATTAAAATATATTTATTTGTCAATTTATTTAAAGATAAACCTATTGCATGTAAATGATATATTACTTATTTGTAAAAATCCATATATTTTCAAAACTTTGAGAAGGTTGCCATTGGTTTGATATCATTTTAACATTTATGTTTTAATATAATTTAACATTTTAATGTCTGGTTTAGTAGAAGATAGTTGGACTCCCATACCTGCTTCTTTATTCAATCTGTTGAGATATTTTGTTTTGATTGAAGTAGATGAAGAAAGCCTGGATGTATACACATATGTAGTTGGAAGAGGCAGACAACTTCAATTAGCTTTCAGGAAATTCTGTATATTTTTCTTTGAGATAATACCAACATTTTGGTAGCATCTTCAAAGTTATTCACAATGTGGAATCTGAAACCATATTGGTAAATCTTTTGTGCTTTATTATATGAAAACTGTTGGTCTATCTTGCATTTTGAGTGGATATTTTATTCTTTCATAATTTTGTAACATCATGTATTGGTAGTTCAAAATATTAGTTCCCTGAGTTATAAATATTTTCCAAATGCCTGTGTATTTGTATTATATATATATCACAATTATATATCAATTATATAAATAATAATTAAGTTGCCTTTTGTTTAAAAATGTCAAATTATTTAAAGATGTTAAATTATTTAACATTGCAAAGAATCAGATGTTAATGGTGGTCCCCTCTGGGTAGTGAGATTATGAATGATTTTCTTTTTTTCTTTATATATATATATATATATATATATTTTATGCATTTTCCAAATTTTTTACAGCCATCATGCATTAGTTATAAAAGTAGACAAAAATAAATATTAACTGGGATTTCTCCATTAGGCTGATGTGTTTTTAAACACATACATATTTTTTCGACACGTGCTTTAAGAATTTCTTTGCCAGAACCTCCACCCTTACACTTTGCCAACTGTCTCAGCATAGAGAGGAAGGAGCTGATCGAGTGCTTCTTGTAAGCAGGGGCGTAGGTGTGAGAGAAACCAGAGTGTGCAACTCGTTTGGCATTTTCTACCTGTATAAAACAAGACAAATTTTGTAACCTCTTATTTCTTTGCCTCAGTTTCCTCAGCCTCATTTTTACCTCACAGGGCATCCAAAGTACTGAAAAAGATACTTAGTGTAAAATGCAGCATACAGACCCTGACGTGTTGTATGTACACAATGCAGTAAACACCACAATCATTATTTAGAGCCATGTCTTAAAAGGTATAGAGATGAAGGCTTAGCTGAGGCTGGAAACCATAAATGTGAAGTACAGCAATCGGGCATAACTCTAGGACCATAGTCCTAGATATGCTTTAAACATGGGAGCAGTAGTGACAGAAGAAATGATTGGACTTAACATAGAGGATCTGTAAAATGTCCAAAAGAAGCAAGAATCAAAAGTGGCTGTGAGGATGTCTGTTACTGAGGTCATTTTGTTTGGACACAGAAAAAGCTGAAGCTAGGAAAGTGATAGGGAACTGAGGTCAGGGTCAAAGTACTGAATGTCTCAAGGAGGATAAACTTTTATGAGTTATATTTAAACAATCAGTCAACAGAATGCAATTCAAATATGCCCTTGGAGTGACAAACCAGGCAATAGTCTACTGTCTCTGCCAAGAGTGCTGCCTGTTAAAGGGGGACTTGGCTGTCTTTTACTGGACATAAAGATGGTCTTATGGGAAATCTACATGCAGGTCTGTCATTTGGGGTCGACAACTTTATTCTCTATTGAACATGGCTATCACATTTTTCCTAGTAATAAGCATGGCTGCATCTATTCAGAACTTCCAAACTCATCATAATAACGATATTAAGCAGCGAAGGGGCAGGTGTTGATTTCCACAGGGAGAATTAAACATGTTTTTAAAATTAACTTCTTGGTTTATTTCTATTAAATATGCACAGGTTTCTCTCTGTGAAGTTCACACCTCAAGATCTGTCAGCGTTGGGAAAAATCACCAAGTTTTTTTCTCCCCAGTCCTCCTAAGATGAGAGCTGATAGTAAAATGGAGTTAGAAGAACATTAGCAAAAGTCACAAAGTTACTTTGTGCTTCTATTTATTAAAAGCAAGTGGAAGTTGCACTGTTTTTGAGTGAGTTAAAAAACAGTACTAGAGAAATGAAAATCAAAGTAATAGTAGAAAAGACTGCAGGGTTCTCAAGGTTTATTTCATGCCTACCAGGTCACAGAGGAGGAGACAAGGCCGAGAGAGTTCAGTGACTTTGCCGACATTACAATTGGAAAAAAAAACAGAGAAAAACATCAGATTTCCTTGAATCCAGGATCTTTGTGATTATTTTTCCACTATGCCAATCTGACACTCTCCCTTTGGCTCACATAATTACTGATTTGCAAATGTGAGAGAGAGGATACAAAATCTGCTCATTTTTACATTAACAAAGGGTAATACAGTTTTTTTTAATCATTTTTTATTGTGATCCTAAAGTTGTCTGGATATGATTTAGCAAAACAATTTTTCAAATATTTTTAAAGAATTTCTTCAAATCTCCTTGACTGTATTTTGCTGAACACTGTTCTTTATTTAATTGATATATTTAACAAGTGTTAATTGACTACCTTTTGTGTGTCAAGCCTTCTGGTACATGCCAGAAGTGTAGTAATTTGTTCCTGTCCTCACTAGATTCTACACTAGTAGAAGAAACCCAGAAGAAATGAGTATAGCAAAATAGTAATAAAAACAACAAAAAATGTACAGTACTATAGATAAAATGAATAGGATGTAATATTAGATAATAATTTATCAAGGTTCCACGTATTAGTCCATTCTCGCACTGCTATAAAGAAATACCTGAGACAGAATAATTTATAAAGAAAGGCCTAATTGGCTCACAGTTCCACAGCCTGTACAGGAAGCATGGCTGGGGATGCCTCAGGAAACTTACAATCATGGAGGAAGGCGAAGGGGAAGCAGACACTTCTTACACCGCCGGAGCAGGAGAAACAGAGAGAGAGCGGGTAGGTGCCACACATTTTAAACCAGATCCTGTGAGAACTCAGTTGGGAAACAGCACCAGGGGGATGGTGCTACACCATTAGAAACTGCCCTCATGATCCAATCCCTCCCACCAGGTCCCACCTCCAACACTGGGGATTACAGTTCGATACGCGATTTGAGCGGGGACACTGGTCCAAACCATATCACTCCACCATCTAGATTAGTTAGAGAAGGCTCTCTGAAAAAGCTAAACATGATGAATGAACTGGCCACAAAACAGTTGAAGGCAAACCATTTCAGGTACAGGAATAACATGGACAGAAATCTAAACACTTTTCTTTATGTTTGTTTTTTTCATTCTTTCTAGAGTGTAAATTATTTGTAAATATGTAATCTGTCCATGACTAAATATTGCTAAACCTAGAGCAGGACTGTATTCTTTATTTCTCCGTCTATCTTTCTGCACCACCTTCTGAATTGTTTGGTTTCCAGGGAGACATCGATGGAGTAAATTCCACATTTATTCTATTTAAATGAATATGTATTGAGCCATGCCCCATGAATCTGTCCTTTCTGTACATAATGCATTTCAGACAGATTTGAATATTTTGATCAAACTAATGTAGAGTGCTAGAACAGAGCCCTGAGGACTTTAAGGTCAAAACTGAATAATAGTTACTATGTATAGTGCTTTTATGTGTCAGATGTTATACTATGTTATTTATATTCAGTATTTAATTGAGTCCATACAACCAAACTCATGAGTTTTTCAGAAATTAAATAACTTGAAGGAGTCATATGGCTGATAATCCCAGAGTTGACCAGAAGTAGTTTTATCATCAATTTATTCAGAATGGAAGGAGATGGTGCCCCCAAAGCCCGAGAGCTGTGGCAACTTGCATGTGTATTAATATTAACACAGCTATGAAACGACTCCGTCAGCTATACGTGTCAACATCGAATAGGGTTAAGAGAGAAGTGAATTTTCTCAGTGTGAGTAGTCTGTCTTTCAGGGGGAAGGAGATTACTGTGAACTAGAAGAACTTTTCTGAATTTTCTGTAGTTTAGGTGAATAGTCATTTATTTACCCATCATGTATTTATTGCATTCCTATTATAATAAGGGGTAGGCATTATGGGAAGTGCTGGAAAGAAAAAACAGAGGAAGAAAAATCCCTCCAACATAAAATGTATATTCTAGTGTGTTTGGGGAACAGACAATACACATCCAAATAATGAAAGGTTTTGATGTCACATGACAATAAGTGGTGTTAAGAAGAATAATGAAGAGAAGAGGGATAGGAATATGGGTAATGTCACAATTTGTATATGGTGGTCAGGGAAGGACTCACTGAAAAAGAGTTAGAGGGAGGAAAGACTTTCCTTCTCTACCCTCGTAGGTTTGATAGCGAGGCTGTGAAATAAACTGAAAACATTAAAGTTAACAGGAGAAAAAGAATGTACGTTTCTTAATTTTTAGTATTATGTGTGCAGGGACATTGCAGAGAAAAAGTGAATATCCAAAAAAAACAAAGCAGTGAGATTCTGGAGCACATATACCATATACAAAGGGACATAATATATAGGAGAATACAGGGAAATAGAGGGGGGCATAGATAACTTAGGGAAGGGTAAATAATTTTTAGGAAAGGTGAGTGGACTTTAGAAGAAGAAGGGGTGGGAAATATGACAGTTTGTGGCAAAGTTCGTCTGGGTGTGATGTCAACTTCTAGTCCCCTCTCCTGTGATGAGTCAATCTTTCCTGGTTGACAAAACTCCTGTAAAAGTGATTGATGACAATTGTTTCATATGGAGGGTTTGTCTTTATGTAGATAAAGGGAGTTCAGCAAATGTTTCTCCCTGCCTTTGCTATTTTCCAAGAGCCTTCAGCTAAAAATAATCCATATACCAAAGCAGTATATTGTGGGGTATCATGTTCTGAATTCCTTCAGTGTGTTTAAGAAAATACCTGAGAGAGAAGAAGAGCAAGAAATATGGTTATTTGGTAATATTCAAGGAGACCCTGGCATTTAAACTTGCAGAACAGGTGTTAGAATTTGGAAGAAACCCAAGACCACAGTGCTTGTTTAGACTTTGTACAGAAGTTTTATCCTGACTAAAACCTAAACAAGTGATCTAAATAAGTATAAAATAACACATCTCATAGACAAGAAAGCATTGTTGGTTATAGTTTAATTTGTAGATTTTTTTCTTAGTAGTTCAGGAAATAATGATAAGGCTCACAATCATTGACATCTTAGATCCAACGAATTATCGTATTAGGAACAGCAGATGGAATTCAGTCAAGGATGACGATTGACAAAGGAGTCTTATCATTTAAAAAATCATTTCAAATTAAAGCTAATATCTTTTAAGTATAGAAGTAGACACAATAAAATCATGTGTACTGTAAAGGTTTAAAAAAAAGGTCACAACAGGTTAGTTCACAATTTCAACCTCATTTCCAGCCTCCTCCTTGGTCAATGTTCTCATACTTCGACTCACCATCGATCTTTATATATTAAAGCAAAGGTGGTGGTTATGACACAAGAATGTAGTCATTATCTTCCTATTTACTTTAACTAGATGAATTTATGGGATAAGGATGAGCTATGCAAGGAAGAGTTTCATTAATTTGGCTTTCAAAATTGCACATTAGTGAACAGAGAGAGAAGTCGGAAAAGTCTTTAAATTCTTCAAAGACTACCAAAGTGATTAACCTTCATTAAAGAAGATTCCTATAAAAATATAGATACAGTTTCTCCCTCAATGATTATTAATTGAGAATTAATTTAAGGATAAAAAAACTTTCCAAATTTGAACAAAAAGAAAGAGAAATCTGAAAACCTATATTATTTAACATGTTGAATTTCTCTCTTTGAAATCGCTGAAACAATTAATTAAAGCTCACATTATTTTGAACTTAGCCAAATATACTTACATTTATATTTGGAAATTATAATTATATCCATGAACATATTAAGCAAATTGCCTAAATGTATTACTGCCTATTTTATAAAAACATTTGAAAACATTAAAAAGAGCAAAGAAAAAGATCGCCTAAACTCTATCCTCACCTCCACCCCATGACAACTCTATGTGTAATTTTCTGTGCTCCAGTTCTTAAATAAGCTCTATTATTGCATTTAGTTACAATTTTACCATGTTTACATTTATTTTTTTCCATTTTTAGGTTTCACAAATAGTTTTCCTGCATTATCCCCATAATTATCATTAAAAATAACTACCTAATATTTTATTATGCTAATGTAGCATAATTTAATAATGTCAATTATTCAACATCTTATTATTTCCAAGTTTTTACTATGACATAAGCTTCTTTGTGCAGAAGTGTTTTTACTCACTTCTTTTTATTACTTTGAAATGAATTACAAAGAATTACTAGTTCAGGAGGTTTCAGCATTCTAATGGTTCTGCTTAACCTTTGGCAACATTATCCAAAAGCATACTAGTAACTTACATTGTCCCCAGAATGTTATTTATTTATAAATTGATACATTTATTTCACTTAACTTTACACTCATCTTCCTGCTCTGTGGGTAATAATGATAGTGATGATGACATCACCACCACTAATAATAAGGTTATCTAGTCTAAAACACGCTGAGGACTCTTCTAAGTAATTTATATAGAATTTTAATCAACAATTGTAGGTTTTATGTTCAAATCAATTTGTATTTGATTCCTTGCTCTTCTGCTAATTAACATTGTGGCCCAGGCAGGCCATTTAACTTTTTTCAGATAAACTTTCCCAGTCATACTATGCAAATAGCACTAAAACTCTTGCAGAATTTTTGAAAAGATTGGTTTTCTTAACATTTGATTTAAAAAATTGCCCTTTTAATCTTTCTAGAATTTATTTTTTAATATGTTAAAATGTGTGCATCTAGTCTTTTCTGAACAATTCATTTATCACAGTATTGATTAAATACTATTCAGTTCACCAATATTTAATGTGTACTTCCTTATATTCTAAATTATCATAATCCATTGTGTCTATTTCTGAACTTTCTTCAGCTCACCAATATTCAATGTGTACTTCTTTATATTCTAAATTATCATAATCCATTGTGTCTATTTCTGAAACTTCTATTTTTTCATTGATATAATTTTATGCCAATATAATAAATAAGATTTCAATGATTATTGCATCAAAATATGTTTAATCCTTTGGTAGACTATAATTTCCTTACTAAACTTTCTCCTTAGTTCAGCTAAAAATTGGGTTGTTTCCTGGTCACAGGACCAGGAAAGATTAGGCTCACAGACACTTTGAAGGGTGCGGGGATTATGGAATTTATTGGGCAAAAAGGAAAATAATACAGTAAAACAAGAGGGGTTCCTGTTAACAGGCCCCCATCTCACAAATAGAATCCCAGGTTACTTCACAGGAAGAGGAGGGACCAGGTTCCTTCCCCCTGCAAATGGGGGGAACTTCCCAAGGCTCCACTCTGTCCTCCCAGTGCACAGGCCGATTGGAGATTCTCTGGGGAGCTCTTTTTAATTGGCTGTCTCAAAGTTGTCAAGGCTTTATTGATATGTTCTCAATGTAGCACAGGTGCAGCAACCTCTGTAAATGAAACTGTTGGGAAGTTTCAGTGGTCCCATTAAAGTTGGCTCGAGCAAACTTTTAGAACTCGAACAAAACGCGTGTCTGATTGTAGCTACAGAATCAACGGAACTATATTGTAGGATGCCTTATTTGAAATCCATGAGGTATGAGTTCTGAAATATTTATTATATTTTAATACAAAATTTGCAACTATATTTAAATTTTCAAGAATATAAATATTGGTCTGTTGAACCAGAATGTGTCATTCAGAGAAAAGAATGAGTAAATTGTCTGATTTACAAATTAAATCCTGATTTAATTGAAATCCATTCAAATTCAATTAAATATACTCAGTGTCATGCTATTTAAATGGAAGACAGCATTGCATTCTATAACAAAAGATGGTTTCCATAGATATTTTAAAAACAAAAAAGACAAATTTACTGTAGATGAAAGGTCCAAATTACACATTAAAATTTTGATATTTTAGACATGAGTTCACAAAGTTCAACATTTGTTAAATAATGATAATATAATTAATATTGTTAGCATTTATTTAGGACTTACATGCTAAGCATATTCCCAGGGATTTGTACTCATGTTATCTTAGAGCAAAGTTATGAGGAAGAAACCATTATTACCTGCATTATATAGCTGAGGAAACAAAAGGTTCAGAATAAAACCTGAGAACTTTGTCCCAGATCATACAGAACAAGCATTGGAATCCAGATTTTTTTTCTCTCCAGAGTCTGTGCTCTCAACCATTTTGCCAAAAACAATTAAATCCTTTTATGTTTTGACTTTTCTTCTACTTTGCTTAGCAAATGATTTTTATTATGTATAGCTTTGTAAATTTAAACTGAAACCCTTTACAGCGTCTTGACTATTCAGCTGATGGAACAGCCTCTATAAAAGATCAAACAGTACTTAACAAGTGCTCTTGTTTAGGATTGAAGGCTAACACTGGGAAAAAACAGTGTATGTAGTGTGAATTTAAAATAGAGCACACCTTTCAAATAGCCTCTAAAATTAAAAATATGATATATGACTGTAAATTGTTGACTTCATGTTCACAACACTTTCTGATTTAATTTCAGAATATGTTTATTTTATGATTTCGTAAAAACTTATCAGTAAAGGGCTATAAAAGCTCTAAGATAATGGTTTGACCTTTGTTCTTTCAATACCAAAAGTAAAACTAGCACTACCATCCAGTTTCAATATATAGGCAGGGGGCTGTCCAGCTGGCATTAGCAATTGCAAATGTAGACTTCACCTTTCCAAGGCAAAAAAGGATGGTTGGCTGTGGGAACAAATCTTCATCTTGGAATAGCCTGTGAGAATGCCTAATCATCTACGAATATTACTTTGGCACCATCTACTGGACAGATTAAATAACAACCAACTCACTGTGGATTAGACCTACTTCTATTTCAGCGCTTTTTGTAGTAGCAATCCATATCCTCCAGATAGTCAGAATTAATTTCCCAGCCATAACATTCATTTTCTTCTTTTCCTGTTGATTTACTAGCATGGGGAGCTCCAAGTGGCCACGTGTGGGCTCAGCTTCCAGTTTAATGGAACCATATTAAAGCATCTCTGGTGGAAGCATTCCTCCCTTGGAAACCAAGATCACTAAGTTAGCAGAACCCCAAATCTTGGGAACATTAGGTCTCTGACACAATTCCTTAACTCTGCCATTGTAGTATGAAAGCAACCACAGACAATAGTAATGGAATGAGTGAGGCTGTATTATTACAATAAAAGTTTATTACAAAAAGAGGCAGCAGGCTAGAGGTGGCCTCTGGTCCATATTTTACCAACCTTTGATATACATATGATTTAAAACTCTACAATTTTTAATGACTTGCTCTATGACCTTGTATAAGTTTCCGTCTCTAACTGTGCAGTGTTCTTGTTTGTGGGGTGGCAGTCAGATGGATATAGAAAGATAAACAAAGATATTGAATTCACTAATTGCATTGTTCAATTTGTCTAAATCTCTTATGAATTTGTCTGTATGCTTGCTTTTTCCATTATGCATAAAAGTGTGTAAAATCTTTTGCTGTGATTGTGAATTTGGGTATTTTTCCTTGTGCTTTTGGCACTTTTCCCTTTATGTGTTTTGAGAATATGATATGAAGTACACACAACATTAAATTTATTTCAAACTAGTGAATTGAATCTTCAATTATTTTCAAGTGCCCTCTTTATCACGTGTGTAATAATGTTTGCTTTAAAG
Source organism: Homo sapiens (assembly GCF_000001405.40). Lineage (NCBI taxonomy): Eukaryota > Metazoa > Chordata > Mammalia > Primates > Hominidae > Homo > Homo sapiens. Next base: position 14,259,012 of record NC_000021.9, on the reverse strand, counting down.
TCTCTATTTCCTGATATCAATAAAGTTATACCAGCTTTTGTTTGTTTGGTTTATGTTTGCATGGTGTATGATTTTATATTTTGTTACTTTCAATATTTCAGTATACCTTTCCTTTTCCATTAGTTGGTTTATTGTAAGTCACATATAGTTGGTAGTTGGACTGTTTTTTTGTTTGTTTTGTTTTGTTTTGGAGACAGGAGCTCTCTTTTTATCACCCAGGCTGGAGTGCAGTGGGGTGAAAATGGCTCACTGCAGCCTCGATCTCTCAGGCTCAAGTGATCCTCCCACCTCAACTCCACAAGTAGCTGGCATGCACCACCACTGCAGGCACGCACCACCACGCCTGACTAATTTTTGTATTTTTTGTAGAGATGGATTCTGACTCAGATAACAGGGTTAGCTCTAAGAAACAACAGAGGACAAGCTGGCTGAGTGCTAAAACTTCAAGATACAGAGGGTGTTTGAGTATTCAGAAGCTAAACTAGACCCATAATGAGAGAGAAAAGGGGACTAGAACTCAAAGAACATACCTAGACCGACTTAGTTTCAAGAAGCAAGCTAGGGAGTAATTCCGGGGGGAAAGAAGGTGATATAGAGGAATCTCAAGAGATCCAACTGGAGAAAAAAAGGAGGAGGTTAGATGTTTCCCAGAAGGAGCCAGAATTTGGGAAACTATCAATAAGTTCTATTTCAAAACTTCAGATAGGAACTATTGATAAATTCTCCATCAATACTATAGGTAGTAACTATGAATAAGTTCTCTTTCAAAACTGCAGGGAGGGGCTGGTCGCGGTGGCTCACGCCTGTAATCCCAGCACTTTGGGAGGCCAAGGCAGGTGGATCGCCTGAGGTCAGTAGCTCGAGAGCAGCCTGGCCAACATACTGAAACCCTGTCTCTACTAAAAATACAAAAAATTAGCTGGGCATGGTGGCAGGTGGCTGTAATCCCAGCTACTTGGGATTACAGGCAGGAGAATCGCTTGAACCCGGGAGGCGGAGGTTTCAGTGAGCTGAGGTCGCGCCATTGCATTGAACTCCCACTTGGACGACAGGAGTGACACTCAGTCTCAAAAAAAAAAAAAAAAAAAAGAAAGAAACAAAGAAAAACTGCAGGGAGAGAATCTGTAATAAAAGCAATCAGGGAATGACCCAGTGGGGGACATGAAGCTGCACCACCCAGACAACCTTCAAGGAGGATTTGTCACCCCAAAGTTTGCTGGGATAGGTGCCAGCAGAGAGCCTTTAGTTGCCAAGTCCTCACAGGGTTGTCTCAGCTGCTAAGAGCAGTCTGGCCAAAGGCCACACACTTCTGTGGTGGCTACAGTAAATGACTGGTAGACATTGGGGTACAAAGACCAGACCACTTCAGTGCAAAACAGGATAGCTCCGATTATGAAGAGGCAGTGGCCTCCTTCACTCTTCACCTTTTCCTCTGCCCATTGCTGCTCACATCTCTTCCTTGTCACTGGTGGCGATCCCAAGAGCATTCTCTAGGAAACATACTGTATGCTAAACTCCATCACAGAGTCTGCTTCCTGTAGAACCCAACCTGTGATACACCCCTTAAAGAGTGAAATAGCAATACCAAACGGTTGTATAAAGTATGGGCAAATGTGAGGGTGGAAGGATGATAAGATCAGTAGCGTATTCATCCGTGTTCTTCAGAGAAATACAATCAATAGGATATATGTGTACAAATATAAATCTACTATGTAGATTAATAAATGTATATTTATTAATATATTGATATTTATTTGTGTAAATCTATTATAATATAAATTATTAGGTAAATCTAATATAAATCTCTATATATTTATATTATAACTTATATAGATCTACTATAGTAGAAATCTACATAAATATAAATCTACTATGTAGATTTAATTATATATAGTATAAATAAATTTATATTTATTAATATAAATTCTAAATATAAATCTCACAAATCACCAGTAAAGAACTTACTCATATAACCAAATACCACCTGTTCCCCCAAAAACCTATAGAAATAAAAAATTTAAAAAAAAAATCCCTTTTGGGATATCTACAGAGTAGAAACATGAGCAGAGGGAACAACATATTCCCTGTAACATCTCTAGGCCTTTTGTTCTCTTAACCCACTGTACTTAACCATCAGTTCAGTGGCCAAATAAGAACAGTATAGTCCCCTTGAGAGGAAGAGACCAGTACTCTCTCAGGGCAAACAGCTTTCACCTTTAAAAGAGAATCGCGGTGGCTCATGCCTGTAATCCCAGCACTTTGGGAGGCCGAGGCGGGCGGATCACAAGGCCAGCAGATCGAGACCATCCTGGCTAACACGATGAAACCCCGTCTCTACTAAAAATACAAAAAATTAGCCGGGCGTGGTGGTGGGCGCCTGTAGTCCCAGCTGCTCGGGAGGCTGAGGCAGGAGAATGGCGTGAACCCGGGAGGCGGAGCTTGCAGTGAGCCGAGATCGCGCCACTGCACTCCAGCCTGGGCGACAGAGCGAGACTCCGCCTCAAAAAAAAAAAGCGAATTCCTCCAAAACCAAACACTACTCTTGGACTCCCCCCTAGGCCTATTAGTAACCAGTTTATATTTTCTTCCTAGGAAGCCATGAAATGGGACAGAATGCAGAATCACAATGAACCCAAAAGTGAGTTTCAAGGTGACAGAGAATTACCCTGACTCAGAGACAGGCTTCGGATTTCTAAGGAAATAGTTCTCTAAGGGAATGCACAAAGTATCACCCAAGTGCTTTATGGTATACTGACTTCCCTAACTTGTAAGAGAAGTTAGCAACCCTTCAGATATGTTAGAAATTTTGTAAAGTGAAGGCTGCAGTAACCAAAACAGCATGGTACTGGTGCAAAAACAGACATATAGACCAATGGACCAGAATAGAGAACTGGGAAATAAGGCCACACACCTACAACCATCTTTGTTAAGAAGTAGCAGATGCTGACAACGTTGTGGAGAAAAAGGAACACCTTTACACTGTTGGTGGGAATGTAAACTAGTTCAACCATTCTGAAAGACAGTGTGATGATTCCTCTAAATCTAGAAGCAGAATACCATTTGACCCAGCAAACCCATTACTGGATATATGCCCAAAGGAATATAAATCAATCTATTATAAAGACACATGCATGATTATGTTCACGGCAGCACTATCCACAATAGCAAAGACATGGTAACGACCTAAATGCCCATCAATGATAGACTGGATAAAGAAAATGTGGCGCATATACACCATGGAATACTATCCAGCCATAAAAAGGAATGAGATCATGTCCTTTGTAGGGACATGGATGGAGCTGGAAGACATTCTCCTCAGCAAACTAATGCAGGAACAGAAAACCACACACCATGTGTTCTCACTTGTAAGTGGGAGCTGAAAGATGAGAACATATGGACACATGGTGGGGAACAACACACATTGGGGCCTGTCTTGGGTGGATGGCGGGAGGGAGAGCATCAGGGAGAATAGCTTATGGATGCTGAGCTAAATAGCTAGGTGCTGGGTTGTTCTGTGCGGTAAACCACCATGGCACATATTTACCTACGTAACAAAACTGAGATCCTCCACATGTACCTGGGAAGCTAAAATAAAAGTTAAAGAAAAAAGTTGATGTTAGACTTCGTAAAATTCAAAACTTCTGCTCTTCAAACAACATGTTAAGAGAATGAAAAGACAAGCACCAGCTAGGAGAAAATATCTGCAAATTACACATCTTATAATGGACTTATATCCAGAATATAAAAAGAATTCTCTCAAAACCCAATACTAAGAATACAAACAACCAATTTTTTTAAATGAGTTGAACAGACCAATGAAAATATATTCAGGTGGCAAAAAAGCCATGAAAAGATATTCAACATTGTTATTCATTAGGAAAATGTAAATTAAAACCACAGTAAGATACCAGTACATACCTATTAAAATGATTGACTTAGAAATAAAAAATAAATTTTATAAAATGAAACCATTTTGATTACATTTATCTGTTTGGTCCACATCCCTAGAATTAGTAACAATATTGATATTCAAATAGTATAGTTTTCTATCATAAAAATGTAAATATAAATGGAATAAAAACAAAGAACACCTGCTAAGGTCAGTGGTAAGTGTGATGCACTTCTTGCAGATCCACCTGGAGTTCTAGCGCCTTGGTGCTGCTCCCCACAGGAGGATCCCACAGGAGATGGGCAGAGGAAAACCAGCCCAGGGGATCCTTCTGCAAATAACATAACAGATCACACTGGCAGTTGCTCCTGGATACTTCCTTATTCCTGATATCTGCAAACTCTGGGTCTAGAGTACTTTTATTGCTGCCCCCACTTTTAGGAACAGCGTATTACATAAATGTACTGGGCTCTTCTTTCTTCTGGGACTTCCTATTGTTTTATATGCCTGATTTTTGGCATATGAAACAACATATATATATATTATATATATGACGCACACACGTACACACACCTATACATATATATGCCAAAAATAAAGCATGTATATGTGTTGTTTTTTATGCCAAAATTTGCCTTATATATGTGTGTATGCATATGACTGTTTTATCTGCCACTGTGAACCAGCAACCCCTTAAAAGCCCTGTGCTAATCTTTTCCTCAATAATTAAGGAGTGTTCTGTGTATTTGTGTTTAATCTACAATTTGTGATAGCTAAACTGTTCCTGCCACTTAAGATCACAAGATTGGTTCAAACCCTAAATTCATGTCTTGTGAAAAATTAAAAGGCATCTCCAAGATTTCTAGGAGTACTCAATATAGTCATTGCCATAGCCATCTTTACTTTCAAACTCTTGCTTCTACTAAGTTAAGACAAGTAATATATTGGCACTGTTCCAAACATTGTTTACTCAAATACCGACTCCAGAGGTTTCCTTATTGTCAACACACACACACACACACACACACACACACACACACACACACACACACACCCTATTCACAGAAGGCCTTTGCTGGCATTGCTGACTTTACTGGTGCTCTGGACAGACAGTCTAGGTTGATATTGCTGCAAATTTGAAACTGAATAGTGAACACTGTCCCGTGGCACCTTCTGCCAATAATGGATGAAGTCTTGCACCATGTTTGTAATTGTCTTCTCTCTTGCTCCTCTTTCAGTTTACCTCAGTTTTTCTTCTTTGTTCTTTCCCACACCATCCTATTCATTTCTGTCGGGTCCTGGTACATTTTACATTTCCTAGTTTTTCGCTAATTATTGCCCTCTAGTGGCTTTTCAAGGTATTTTTCTAAACAAAGATTTTACACAATGAAAACACAGATGCTAGCTTTTAAGATTAATTCTTTAATTCTTTTTTTAACACTTCACTAGAAATAGACTAAGCTAGTTGTAGCACATTTTTAGATAATATTTTTGAAATGTATTTAAGTTCTTAAGGAATTATAATTATATTAAGTATTTTTCCTACATATTTTGCAAAAGTGGCTTTTCTGAAAAAAAAATTCTGTCAATGAACAATATCAAATAAAAGCATCTTCCTTTTGATTAATTAACCTGGCCACATTTCACAGTGATTCACCCTGTTTTGTGTAGTAGAAGAAATCATTTATAAAGGAGCTCTACTAAGGTTCTTGTTGTTGTTGTTTTATTTATTTAATGGAACTGGCAACTGACTTTTACTACCCATCTGTGAAATTCTGTGGACCAAAATAATCTATTTTATTCTTAATGATCAGGTGTCAGCCAGATACCTATGCACACACAAGTGTGTGATTAAAAGGAGTTTTTTTAAAAAGCTGTCCATTGTCACCTCTGAGATACATTTCAAGAAGGGTTCCCTTCCTGAGAGGGAATTCAGGGAGAAGTGCTTAGTTTTTGAAGCAGAACTTCCTATTATTTTGAATCTTGGCTTTTCACCCCTGTTTTCCAAACAATCAACAACATTCAATATCCACAGTTATAGCACACAATAGGCATTTTTGTATAAGGGATTGGTATTCAGGGTGAGCTTGGTGGGGGATGGAATATGGACACAGGTGTGCTTCACAGAGTTGATGGATGAGATACCGCCAGGCACCACATAACAACATTTCAGTCAACAACTGAACTATGTGACAGCATATACGGTGGTTGACCACATAAGATTATAATACTGCATTTTTATTGTATTTTTTTATGTTTAGATATGTTTAAATACACAGATACCACTGTGTTACAATTGCATGTGGTATTCAGGACAGTCACATGCAGTACAGGGTGGTAGCCTAGGAGCAATAAGCTATACCATATAGCCTAGGTGGGTAGTTAGTCTTTCTATCTAGGTTTGTGTAAGTACACTCTATGATGTTGGTACAACAACTAAATCACCTAATGACACATGTCTCAGAATATATCCCCACGATTAAGTGATGATGACTGTATTTTTGACAAAAAGCATCATGAGAGAAGAGCAAAGGGTCAAGGAGAGTTAATTGATCAGTCCTAACATATACTGAATGCCCCTGACTCTGTACTTTTTACTAGAAGCTTGATGTCTACAGCTTCTTGAATTATGGTTGTCAGAGTGGAGTTTGCTTACTGTGTAGTTAACTGGTTGTTACTCTCTACTGGATTTGATAAATCAGAAAAAAATTCCGCATATAAGAATTAGTTGGATTAATAGCCAAACCCTGTTTTTAAGGGTTTTGTTTGTTTGTTTGCTTTTGTTTTCTTGTTTTACGAAATCTCAAAGGAAGTACTTATGGTTAGAATGCAAGACAAGGAGTCTTTTTCTGGGATTAGTGTTTAGTTTGGCTTCATAGTTCTTAAGTCTGAAATGATTTCCTTAGCCTTCTGAAAGCCACTAAGAAGGATTGATAATTCTGTATAACCATTCTGTATTTATCAACTGCTATTTGTCTTTCAGAAAGCTGCAGGATTATAATATAACAATTCTCAGACACATGTAAAACATATATTGCTCTTCTATTTCTCACTGCAAAAATGAATTTTGTAAAGTATTTTAAACATTGGTGTCTCCATGGTAGCAGAGGAGATGATAAGTCAGAACACGAACATTGTCTTTGCATAGATAAAACTGTAGAATAAAGTAAAATGATATGTTGAACACCGAATATCTAGTTATGTCCATCATCACTGCACTCTAGGATGTGAATATAGTTGCCTTGGATTTGCTAGGAAGAATTTTAACTCACTGTTCCTGCTGTATCACATTATAGCAACTTTTCCTTCACAATCTGAATATGCTAGTTAGATAATGGACTTAAAAATTGAGGAAATGAGGTATAGTCCTCTTCTAATCCTGTTTTCTACAGGGTAAAGAAATATTAAAATAGATTCTTGCACAGATAACTGAATTAAAGGATGATATCAATTATCTGATTCAATGGATAAGCATAGGCACAGAGATATGGAGAGCTGAACATACTGTAAAATATCCTTTTGTTAACATTGCAAGCTGTTAAACCATGCTGCTTTGTTGAGTGTTCTCTCATTCTTGGGGAACAAAGCTTTGCTTTTCAGTGTTTGTACTGACAGAATGTTGGTCCATTTCCATGTGCCCTCTCATAAGTACAAATAGAACTCTTGAACAAATGTGGAATAATTATTGTGGTCTAGAGGGAAAATCATATTTACTAAGCATTTACAAGGTACTTAGGACAATCTTAGTACTTTAGCCCCAACGTGGGGATAGATCATTGTCTCCCACTTTGCATATAAAATTATGCAAATTTCATTGGTCCATGATTCTGTACTTAATATGGGATGGATATGGATTTCAGGTATTCCATTTCATGAAGAAATATTAAAGGACCTGTTATATAGGGAATTTAGAACTGCTAGAATATGGTAAGTTCTGAAAATGTTCTAAGTAACCATATAAATCAAATTAAATGTATATGTGCCTGCAATCAGATTACTTATCATTACACACTTGACTTAAGTATTAATAAACAATGAATCTTCAGGTGAGTGTTAAGAAGAATTAATACCCAGTTTATTTGATTTAAAGGTACCAAATAGCCCTCAAAAGCTATGGTGACAGGCCTGGCCAACATGGTTAAACCCCGTCTCTACTAAAAATACAAAAATTAGCCAGTCTTCATGGTGCATGCCTGTAATCTCAGCTACTCAGGAGGCTGAGGCAGGAGAATCGCTTGAACCCAGGAGGCAGAGGTTGCAGTGAGCCAAGATTGCACCACTCCGGCCTGGGTAACAGAGGAGATTGTCTCAAAAAAAAAAAAAAAAAGCTATGGTGACAGATTAGTTTACTTTCAGGATATTAGGCTGCCATTAAGTCATCAGCACTGATGTGATTTTTATGAAATGTTTATTTTTTATGTTTAAATGAATTGTCCTAGCATGTCTTTATATGATTTTCCTAGTTAAAAAAATGAAAATTACAGAAAATATCAGTACTTTAAATTTACTTTTGAGATCATTGGAAACCAAAATCAGTCTTTGTATGGTATTTTTACCCCACCTGCTTGGTTTGATTTTTGTCTATTTTATATCTCATGAATAAAAGTGTTATTTAATAACTTCTTGTCATTTTAAGAACATGACTGTAATTAATTTGCTTCACTCAGCTTCTAAGATAACCACTAGTAGAAACAGAAGAAAATAAAACTCACAACAGCCATGGTAGTATCTTGCCTGGGTCTGGGAGAATTTTCTGGAGACTGCCTGGCTGATGGAAGTAAGTGGCCAATGAGTTCAGCTGTGGGAAACAGCAAGCCATCTATAGGGGAACCTGCCCCCAATATTTCAACATAGGTTCTTTCTATTTCCCCTAAGTGTCAGCTGGCCTGAGAAATAAAGAGAAACAGTACAGAGAGAGGAATTTTACAGCTGGGCCACCAGGGGTGACATCACACATTGGTAGGTCTGTGATGGCCACCTGAGCCGCAACACCAGCAAGTTTTTATTAGGGATTCCAAAAGGGGAGGGAGTGTACGAACAGGGAGTAGGTCACAAAGATCACATGCTTCAAAGGGCAAAAGGCAGAGCAAAGATCACATGCTTCCGAGGAAATAGGGCAAGGACAAAATCAGGAACTCCTGATAAGGGTCCAGCAAAGATCACAAGGCAAAGGGTAAAAACAAGATCACAAAGCAAAGGGCAAAATTAGAATTACTGATGAGGGTCTATGTTCAGCTGTGAATGTATTGTCTTGATAAACATCATAACAACAGAAAACAGGGTTCAAGAGCAGAGAAGTGGTCTGACCTCAAATTTACCAGGGCGGGATTTTTTTTCCCCACCCTAATAACCCTGAGGGTACTGCAGGAGACCAGGGCATATCTCAGTCCTTATCTCAACCACATAGGACAGACAGTCCCAGAGCAGCCGTTTATAGACCTTCCACAAGGAATGCAATTATTTTCTTAGGGTCTTAATATTTAATATTCCTTGCTAGGAGAAGAATTTAGCGATATCTCTCTTACTTTCACGTCTGTTTATAGGCTCTCTGCAAGAAGAAAAATATGGCTCTTTTTACCTGACCCGGCAGGCAGTCAGACCTTATGGTTATCTTCCCTTGTTCCCTAAAATCACTGTTATTCTGTTCTTTTTCAAGGTGCACTGATTTTATATTGTTCAGACACACATGTTTTACAATCAGATTTCATATTGTTCAAACACACATGTTTTACAATCAGTTTGTACAATTTGTGAGTTTTATTTTATTCTGTTTATACTAGTGGTTATCTTAGAAGCTGAGTGAAGCAAATTAATTACAGTCATGTTCTTAAAATGGCAAGAAGTTATTAAATAACACTTTTGTTCATGAGATATAAAATAAACAAAAATCAAACCAAGCAGGTGGGGGAAAAATACCATACAAAGACTGATTTTGTTTTCAAATTATCCCAAAAGTAAACAAGCAATCATCACAGGGTCCTGAGGTGACCTGTTACGAAGATAACAGGATTAAGAGATTAAAGTAAGAGGCGTAAGAAATTATAAGAGTATTATTAGAGAAATGATAAACGTCCATGAAATCTTCACAATTTATGTTTCCTCTGCCACAGCTCCAGCCCGTCCCCCTGTTTGGGGTCCCTGACTTCCCACAACAGCCATCCTTTCTTGATTCTCTGCGACTTTCTTCCTGTTTCTAAATGCAAATATCTTTATTGAATAGTAACCTTGACAGCCATTGATCTACTGCCTCGATGCTACTTTGTCATGTCAACATCTAAATTTTAAGTGAACTTTTTCTACATTACATTAGAGACCAAAATTCCTATCATACAAATGGGATGGAACCAAGGGCCATCTGAAAGTAAACTGGTGGTGGCAGATTACTATTTTCTGCAAGATGTAATGTCTACAACAAGCATGAGAAACAGGGAGGGGGTCAGGAAGACCTTCTCTCATGGTGCACACTGGGGATTTTACAGATCCATGTGCATTATCTGGTAGGAATGTTAAAAAGCCAGAGGTGAACATAGAAAGAGCTCATTTAATTTCTGCAGAACCCAAACAGATAAAAGCCTTCATAGCAATGAAAGAGCATATGAACTCAGCCCATGGTCCACCCATAGCCCTCTGATTCCAGGTAAGAATAAGATTTGTACCCCAGTTGAAACTCAATGGACATAAACTCATTCCTCACTTCATGTAATTGGGTTAACACTGCAGCTGGGAGAGTTCTCCTCATTTAGGAATGAGTGTACTTATAAAAGAGGGAATATTAAAATGTATTATACAGCAACAGAGAACAAATCATGATATTTCGGAGAAGAGGCAAATTCCAAAAATACTTACTTTAAGAAATGTAGTAATGAGCATGTTTATTATTCTCTTCAGGACACAAGATGCTTCAACATTAATTAAATATGAGAAGAAGACTACAAAGAAAGAACAGGTTGGTATGAAAGTGAATAAGATGTAATTTAAAAAGAGATGGATGAGAAAAAGAGTGTTCTTGTATATCCCATAAGTGGAAAAAAAGGCCAATTTAGAAGAATGAAGTGTATTTCAGGTAAAATCAATGAGAAGAATGTCACATTTTAAATATTCTATAAATAAGATGGCAATAGTATTGATAGGGTTTGGGTCTGTGTCCCTATCCAAATCTCAGGTTGAATTGTAATCCCCACTGTTGGAGGTGGGGCCTGGCGGGAGGTGATTGGATCATGAGCGTGTGATTTCTTCTTAATGGTTTAGCACCACCGTCCCTTGGTATTCTATAGTGAGTTCTCAGGAGATCTAGTTGTTGAAAAGTGTGTAGAGCCTCCCCACTCTCTCTCTCTTCCTCCTGCTCCTGCCATGTGACGCTCCTGCTTCACCTTCTGCCATGATTGTAAGTTTCCTAAGGCCTCCCCAGAAGCTGAGCAGATGCCAGCATCCTGCTTTCTCTACAGCCTTTGGAACCATTAACCAATTAAACCTCTTTTCTTTATAAATTACTCAGTTTTGGATACTTATTTATAGCAGTGCGAGGACAAACTAATACAAGTATTGAGAAAAATTCTAAAATTATGAAGGTAGAATAATTAATTTGATACAAAGAATAAAAGAATATTCATACTGGCTTCAGACTTCATCTTTGGGACATTTTTTCTTATATATCCATTGATAGTTTTTTTTTCTTTTGTGAATCACTGGTTAATATTACTTGCTATTTTCAAAACTGAAAGCTTTTAGTTACATAACTGACTCATATATGATGGTTCTTATTTAAAAGTTCAAACAATACTGAATTATAGAGGGAAAAATAAGTATTTTATCTCTCCAGCACTCATCATAATCATAACTCTTTAGATCAAAGCTAACCAGCTAACCACTTTCAAATAATATACTAGGAGTACTAAAATGAATCCTTCTGCATCCATTAACTCTTGGAGATGTATGTTGTTATGTAATACATACACAAATCAACAATTTGCACAAAGATGTCTAATATAGTATTACACACAGAGGTGAAAAATATTCAAATTTCTGAAAATAAAGTAATAAAACAATTTTATGAAATGCAGTTTCTTTAGGCTGCCTTAGCCTAGGGTTTAAAACATGATCATATCAGCTCTCACAAACTCTGTCTTGTTCTTGTCCATATCTGTTAGTGGAAAAATAGGAGGTGGTCAGCGAAGAGTGGGATTCTTGAAATTTAAATATGGAGAAGTTGCATTTTTTGTTGATGGGGCCAAGTCTTACATACAATGATGAAAGTGAATGTATTAGATAGGGTAAGAGTTGAAATCATTAGAGAAAAGTTTAGGAAATCAAAGATCCAGTGATTTGGAAGGATCAACTAGGTCTTATACTTGAAATCACTGAGAATTTTGGCAGGAACAGTGTTGAAAAGACTGACAGTGAGCCAGGTGTTAAATTCAAGACATGAGAGCACTATGAATGGTACAATGAGGAGGCATGGCTGGTGATAGTAATATATCGCAATGGCAGGGAAGAAGGAGCATGATCTGGAAGTAGCAATGTTGAGCAAAGAGGCAACTTTCTTTCCTCCAGGCCAAGTTGTATGAGGAGGGTATAAGAGAAAACAGTTATTACTCAAGAAAGCTGCAAAGGAACAAGTGTCTTTAGGAGAGAATCTAGTTTCAGACTAGGAAGGTAAGAAAATAAGTTAAGGACACAGAGGATTTTGCTGTTGAATGACTGTGAGTTCATAAAACATAGCAGAAAAGCTCCAAAATGGGAACGGGTGGGATATGAAATCTGCATAGGGATGTTCACATACCTAATGGTGCCTATGGTATGGGAAATGAGGGATGACCTGTGTTTTTAGTAGTGGTTGAGGTAAATAAAGACAAACAGCATAATAAGATTGATCTTAATGGTCTTAAGGGAAATAGTGATGAAGAAGCTTTGAGCACAGGGGTTAGAGTTGGGAGAAGAGAGAGTGGTGAGTCTCTCACCAGAACACAGAGATATGGAGCTCTCCTTGACCCCTGCTGAAGAAAGCATGGAGACCAAAGAAAGGGATGTCTTGTCATTACACACATGTCCCTTTGGAAGGAACTCCCAAGTAATCCAAATGAAAGGTTTTTAGTGAGATAAACAGTGCTTTTGTAATCTTACTTCACCTAAGAAGATTAAACCAGGTTTGAAGCTTTCCAGGTTATGTGCCTTGTGGTAGCTGGAGCATAGGTGTGAGGGAAGAAGTCCAAGAAATAGCTACCCAGATGGCCAACTCTGAGAGGAAACCAAAAGCCAACAATAAGCAGAAGTTGTGAATTCTTAGAACAGCTTTAATGTAAATTATTTCCTATGACTTTTTCAGACTAAGTTTAAAACATATTGGTTTATGGATATAGCATATGACTAAATGGAATTTTTATGTTTAAAATGAAATGAGAGGTAAATAAATTTACAAAATAAGTATTAAAGCTGTATAATTTTACTCACCCTTTAAATACAGGGAGGTATAGGTGTCTATGTAGATATAAACCTCCCAGTTAACAGATATGTATCAAAGAGATTAAAGGCAGGTCAATTTGCAGAAATGCATTTAAATTGTTTAGGGAGCATATAGAAAGTTATTAGAGTTGGTTAATGGAACATGACAAATAAATCAGTTCTTTCCTTTCTTCTTACTGCCTTTTAAAAGCAAATAAAGCTAATCTGATTGCATTAAAATTCTGAATGTTGGGCTTGGCAGAAATACTACACGTTGATGAAGTTTAGAAGGGGATGAAGGAAATACTCCTTTCCCTACTCCCATATCTACCTGAGTTCTGAAGGTAAGAGAAATACAACAAAAGAGTGTAGATGGAGGCCAAAACACAATTATTGCTGATAAAGCTTGGGAGGGGGATGTATCTGGGTATGAAATACAAATGGCTTCCAATTATTGGATTCCAAAGTTTAAAAAGCTTACTAACCCAGTAAGAATGGTGCTGGTAAGATTTACAGTATGGGAAGCAAAGAATAGCTATACCTTGAGGCCAACTCACTGCCATGAAGGCCAAGAAAAGGGGAAGTGCTTTGCCTTTGCCATAATAAAATGATAAGGATGGCTTTTTTTCCATGTCCCAGCAGCTGAAGCCTGGGATGCCTAACATTGAGATATAATTTCAGTTATCTATTTCAGTGTAGTAAATTACCCCAAGCCTTATTTATTTACACACACACAAAAAAAAATTATATCTCATGATTTGCTCCCTGTGATGTTGATGGGCATCATGTGGTAATATTCAGCTGGTGAGCTGATTCAGAGATCCAAAATAGGTTCACTCACAGGCCTAGCCATAGCAGGAATTGTTGGAAGGTTGGGCTCATCTGGGCTTTTTCCCTGTCCATGTAGTCTTAGAACTTCTCCAAATGGTCCTTCTAGCAAGATAATTGTACTTCTTATGTGAAGACTCAAGACTACAAAGGCAAGTATTCCAAGACACAAAATGAAAATGTTCATCTCTTAAGTCCTGGGCCCAGGGACTGACATAACATCATTTTGGCTGTGTTTTATTTGCCAAAGCAGTCAAAGAGCCCATTTAGGTTCAAGGAGAAGGCATGTATACCCCATAAGTACATGAGATGAATGTCAAAGAATTTATGGTCATCTTTAATGAGCCATTGCCTTCCCTCTGACCATACACAAAATACATTTAACCCTTCCCATGAGTCTTGTGAAGTTCTCATTGCATTATAGCACCTTTCTTAGGCCAGGTTTCAAGGGGCTATCATCTAATTCAGATCCAGGTATGGATGAGGTGTTCTGGCCAATTGGCCCTTGTTCCTCTGTATCTGATAAGCTGTGAACTAAAAAGACTTTTTGTAATTCCACACAATGGTGAGATGAAGAAAGGTAAGTGCAGTAGAAACTCCAGTTCACAAGTGGAGGGAATACAGAGGCACGGCTGTTATTGGTTATTAGTAATTCTGACATTCAGGGTTGGGAACAGGTCTGCTTCCTGGAAATGATTCCCCTTGTTTCTTGTTACTGCCTTCTGTGCTATTGATTCTGACCTCTGGGTCCTCCTCCACACAGAATGGCCATGTTTTGCAATCAAATAGCTCAACTGAACAGGCAAGCCACACCCCTGTCACATGTCCAGTGAGGGGGATCAGGGAACTCTCCCGTTTCATCCTTACAGTTTTTGAGGTCTCAACTAAATGATTTATAGCAGCCACATACTTGTGATTTTTATCCTGAGTTTCTTTTAGTGTGCTGGATTTTATATTTGCTGAAGCTGTTTCTTTTCTTTTTGAGAATTTTTGCTTGCAATAACTGGGGATGAATAAACATTTTCTTTTCAAATCCAACAATCTCTGGGTCCTTTATATTTCTTCTAAATTCCTAAAATATAAATTAAAATGGAACAGTTTCTCTCTTTCTTTCCTAGCCTCTCTCCCCCAACCAATGTTGTACTTAATTACAGGAAGCTAGAAAAAGCCTGGGGGCATTTTTCTTATTCTGTCTGCAAAGCTCTCCAACTAAATCAAAAAGTGTGCTAGATATCCTATTTAATTTCCATATTACAACAGGGAGCTGTGTGACTGAACTTTCCAATAACAATATCCTCAATATTTTTGGCATCCTCATTGTCTCGTGAAGCCCCTTCCAGCTTTAAAGGTCTTCTCAAGTCCTTTTCATCTTCTTCTTGCTATCTTGTCCCAGAGCCAATGGGCTTGGGTTTTTGTTGTGGTAACACCTTCATTCCAGGCACCCAACTTTATAGGTTACAACCAGGGAAGAAGACTTACCATGAATGATAAGGAATCAGGATTTAATATAGGGTAGACGAATCATAGAAGAATGTTACCACTGCATTTGGTGGGCAGCCTGAAGTTGCTATAGATCAATAGGGCCAGAAGTGGAAACACACACACACACACACACACACACACACACACACACGTGATCAGTGACCTAGGACAAACTGGAAACCATACCCACTTCTCAAAATATCCAACCATGATGATGTGAGTGATTTGTATGCGTAGCTGCTGTGTTTACTACAGAACTGTACACATGCCTGCTTCAGGACTCAGAAAAGCTAAACTGGGAGATCCACGGGATGTGGAGGCTCTGTGGGCTTGCCTCCTGACCCACACCAACAACATGAGCCAGCAGACCAGTAACAAAGTTCTTTGCACTGCAATACTGCCTGATGCCCTGCATAGAACTATAAAGCCTAGTGGTGGCTGCTTTGGGGCCGTTCCAATTATCGTTTCTCCTATGGTTGGCCCTGGCCTGAAATTACAAAGAAGAGAATTCTGGAAAATGTAGCACTAGCCTAGCTATATTCACACAGTACAAAATCACTGAAAATGTATGTGATTTCTTAGAGGAGAGTTAATTCATCCCCAAGTGTAAATTTGTTTCTGTTCTTTTTAAAAGCATATATATTTATGGGGTGCAACATGATGTTTTGATATATGTATACATTGTGGAATGATTAAATCAAGCCCCATAACATATCCATCACCACATGTACCTATTTTTTTTTGTGGTGACAACATTTAAAATCTACTCTGTAAGCAATTTTCAAGTATTCAGTACATTAGTATTAACTGTAGTCATCGTGTTGAACAATAGATCTTGGGTGGAGATCTTAACTGAAACTGTGTACAATTTGACCAATATTTTTTCATTTCTCCTCTATACCCCCATCACCGTGACCCCTGGTAACCCCCATCCTACCCTTCTCTTCTATGAATTTAACTTTTAGATTCCACACAGAAGTGAGATCATGCAGTATTTTTCTTTCTGTGCCTGGCTTATTTCATTTAACATAGTGTCTTCCAGGCTCATCCATGTTGTTTTAAATAACATTTCTTTTTATTTTATGGTTGAATAATATTCCATTGTGCATGTGTGTGTGAGTGCATATATACCACATTTTCTTTGTTCATTCCTCCATTCATGGACACTTAGGTTGATTCCATATTTTGGCTACATTTTTTTCAAATGTTCGTAGCTAATAGGACGCTCATGAATCTCATAGCACTGACCAGCCAATTTAGTCAAAAGCCAACTCCTAGTTGTGAGGGCTGTTATTACAGAACCCAGTATTTAGCATTGCCAAGTCTATTGTAAGAATCTGGTTTCAGCTCTGACAGAATGTTAGGGCTATTTAATACCAGGCAATCAGTGCTCATTGTATAGATACATAAATTGCAAATTTAAAGTCATTTAAGGATGTTTCCTAGTAGAAAAATTATTCTGATGAACATATTTACCACATTTTTGGGGAAAATTCACTCAAACATATTCTCTTCTTTTTCTGCAAGTGTCATTTGAAACACTGCTACTATCTTACAAAGACTAGACATTTGCAAAGGTGGATGTCTATCTTTGCAATCCGGAAAATGCTCTTAATTTTCATTTTCTGAAATTTCATTGCTGCACTAAAGGGGAGCTTTGTCAAGGAATGTTACTTCCATAAATGCAAAGGCATTTTTAGCCTGCTGCCTACACGCTTTGTTATAGATTTACTTAGGCCTTATCTTAGTCAGTTCAGTCTGCTATAACAAATATACCACAATCTGCCTGGCTTAAACAGTAAACATTTACTTCTTACAGTTCTGAAGGCTGGGAAATCCAAGATCAAGGTGCTGATAGATCTGGTATCTGGTGAGGGCCTACTTCCTGGTTTGCAGATGACAGCCTTATATTTTCACGTGGTGGAGATCAGAAAGAGAGAGGAAATAAGCTCTCTTATGTCTCTTCTTATAAGGATAGTAATCTCATTCATGGAAGCTCCATCCTCATGACCTAATTACTTTCCAAAGGCCTCACCTCCAAATACCATGACACTGAGTATTTGGCTTCAACATATGAATTTTGTGGGGGCACAAACATTCAGTCTATAGCAGACCTACAAAACATTCCTGCCTTCATGTTTGTCTCAGCTAGAAAAAACTTCCTCAGCAGATTTCTCAGTTGAAGCCGGATTGCTGTTTCTGGTGTTCTTAAATCTAGCAGCCTAGAGAGAACAGATAACTCTGCCATGTGCTACAGTTCCTCCTCCTTTTCACATACACGTTCACTTAAGACACAGTGGGCATACACATGTCTACCTGTAATAATTATACCACCTTGACTCTCTCCAATAAGACTTGGTATTTCCACTCTTCAGCCAGAGGCCATGTTATATGAATTCCAGAGCAGGCTCTTCCTGGTTTCCAGATGCCACAGAGTCACAGAATAAAGCTCTCTACGTAGTACAACACCTTTTTAACATAAAGATGTTCAAAGACTATGGGACGTTTAGCCCTTTTTTCAGTATTAGGTATCAATACCACTTGAAATAGGATTGGCCCATTTTTATAATTGGTAAAGAATATGCATAATAAAACATAAATTTCTGTGTTACAAGAGCTATCAGTTGAACAAAGATGAGAGAGAGAAGAAAAAAGTGAGAAAAGAAAAAAGGAGAGTGATTTGGAAATAAATTTCCCTTTATTATTTATTTCTAATGATATATTTACATAAATGTTCAAAAGTATGGATGCTGTTTTATCCTCTTCACCCTGAAGTCTACTGAAAACTAGTAAAATTGGTAAAAGTGTGAATTATATTGTCACAGAAGGGCAGTCTTTTCATATATATTTTTAAAATGAATTGCCAGTACTGTAGATCTTTCACCTTACATTAGAAAAGAGGAGACAGGAATTCAAAGCAAAGTTAACTCTTTAAAGTGATTATTTTGTCAGGTTCTTTATAAAATTATTGGTAAGAAGTTATTGAATTTAAAGTATTTTACATCAATCAAATAAAACAAGCAGAAAAACACATTTTAATTGCAACAAAACTTTATTAGTTTAAATGTTTTATGGAAATGAAAAAGCCTATGGAAATAGTACATTATTTGGAAGCTAGAGTAATTAAAACAATGCAGTATTGTAAAACCAGATAGTTGAATGGATTAGAATAAAAAACACCGAGACACAAACAAGTAAGGATTTACTATACAGCTGAAGAGTTACTTTAACCAACTGGAGCATAGAGGAGGATAGACCCTTAACTTATACCACACAATAACATTAATTCTAGGTAGATTAAACATTTAAATGTGAAAGATGAAATAACATGCCAGAGGAAAAGCTAGAAATAGTCGCATAATTTAATAATAAAAAGCCTTCCTGAGAAAATCAAACAAGGCATACACCAAAACAGAGAAAACAGACTTAGGCTTGAGTACACACTGTAAATTCTCCAGCTCAAAGATATCTGAACAAAATAGAAAGCAAGTGACAAACAGGGAAACTATATTTGCAAAAATTACAGATACCAATAGTTGTTACTTCTGCTATATAAGGACCTCTTAAAAATAATTTAGAAAAACATGAGCCCCTAATAGGAAGAATGTACCAAGAATTTAATTCACATGAATCAGGAAATGATTAATAAACAAGAAAAAAAATTCAACCTTCTTTTCCTCATATGTGTTATTTTATAATAAAGCATATGAAAATGTAAGTATCAACAAAGTAGCACATTTATTAGATTGGTGATTAGCAAATATTAAAGACATTAAATATCTAGTGAGGGTGAAACTGTTGGAAAATATCTCATAAACAGCTGGTAGAAATGTAAATTACCACAATCATTCTGAAGAGAAAACCCAGACAAGCACTATTAAGCAACTTCCTCTAAGTAAAAGATTAGAAGTGACGGAATTCAGATTTTAACAGAGAGATCTCTACCAGCTAGATCTATGATTTTTACTTTACAAAAAATATTTGTATTAAAGAGTGTATTACTTAGAATCCAAATCAAATACCTAAGCGAAAAGAGGGAACATATTGTAAAACTACTAGGTCTTAGGAAGTCTCACATGCCTTTATTATTTTCTTTTTTCCTGCTTTCTCTGCAGATTAATGTTAATATATTCTGTAAAGGACTTCATGTTTCATTTATCCACAAGATGAAAACATGGCTACAGACAGCCCTTAGATTTACATTTTCTGAATATAGCTACTCTTTCTCTTTTGTATTTTCCAGCAGAATCAACCATGATTGGCCTACTTTGGATTGAGCACCAGTACTGACTTATCACTTTTGGCTAGAAGAGGAAGATCACAAGGAAGACTAGCCTGTTGTGGGTCATGTATGCTTAGCTACTTTAGAAATATGTGACCTAAAGAAGTTGTATCCTTTAATCAAAATGGTTGTTATAATGTCAATCATGGTGAGAGAGGGATTGGTTTGTAAATGAGATTATTTAATGTGAAGCAATCCATAATAGATGTGCAGATATAATCAGGCTCCTGAACTTCAAAATGAAAGACTAGACCCTGAACCCTGCTGAATTCAACAATTCCAGCTTGTCAGGTGTCTTGTCAGGCAGCTGCTAGGCTCTCTGGGCAACAACCCTGCCTTACATTGTAGCTTTCTTTCAAATTTCAATACAGTCACTCCCCAATTTCAGATTTCGTTAAGCAAGTTTGCTTAAAGTTTGATTCAATAAAAATTGAATGAAGCAAAAACAAAAAAGTGAAGTACATAAAAATAGTTAAGAAGGTGACATTTCATTGTCATTCATCTTTGTAAAAGGTAGGTTTTTCTGCATTCAAAATTTACTTGCATTGTTTTGTTTGGGTACGATACTTCTTTTCTTAAGCACACACTCACTTCATTAGTTTTTTTAAAAAATTTCTGGTACCTATATTTTCTAAATAGTGCATATTTTGTCAAGAAAACGTATTTTCTAAATAGTGAATATTATTGAAACTTGGAGAAATAAAAAGCTAAAGTAGGACAATTTAAGTGGTCAAAGAATAAAAAAGCAGTTTTATCATAAAATGGTTCTCTTGCACAGAATATTATAGGAAAGCCTCCATTTCATTTTCCTGAAGTAAGTTTAATAGATCTGAAATTTACATTAAGCTAAGGCAGAATATTTACATAGAGCTTCATCCTTAGTCTATATCTAAGGATTAGATTATATCTAGGAGACTGGTAACAATGAAATCAGTTCTAGCAAGAGCTAATCATCATTTCTGTTAAGCAAATTTTCATTTGAAATCACTTTCCAGTTATTGTAGACCCTGCAAGTAGATCCTTAGTACCATCAGTGTGGTAATAAATATTAAGGACACTGGAACGAGTCCCACAAGATTTGTATTCTAGCTTTTCTTTGATAAAAAAAGATGTGTGTTTTTGGGCAACTGAACTGCAATTTCCTCATCCCTATGGTGTTATTCTCAAGGCTAATGTTTGGAGTGCAATAGCCTGAATAAATAGTAGTTATTGTGATTATTAACCTCTTACAGCTTAGTCCCTCATTCATTCATTCATTCATTCATTCACTTTCCTACTCCCAAAATAGAGTAATGAACTTTGCAGTAAACAAAGAAAGCTTGATTAATATTATTTTCATACCATTGCCTGAAAATTTAGTTCTTTGATACAGTTCAGTGAATTTATCTTTAATGTTCTTCAGAAAAGAACATTATGGTATCCTGCACACATTTTTTTCATATGGTTCTCAATTACTCCTAGGGTGCAGTGGATCAGAATGACTGGCTAAGTTCTACTTGGATGGACTTGGTGAGGGGGAAGAAGCTAGTGTGTAGGTGGCTGGATGTTCTGTGGGTAGAAGGTGGAGGTGGACCCAGTTTGCTGGAAAAATAGATCTGGGATTTTCATCAAAGTAATGACCTGTAACTTCCCCTATTCCATTTCCATGTAAAATTCACAGGCTGATCTTTTGGAGCTTCTTATATTGCTGTTTTCTGAATGTGATATTTATTTTAATCAGGTTTTACTTGTATGCATTTATTTGAAAGGTGGAAATTGCAGCAAATGGCTGTTCTGATTTGCATCTTTATTAAGAAAAACAAATTATAGCTCCATAGATCCACAGTTTGAAAAAGAGATCCATTAATTTTTTGTGTCCATGGTTTCAAACACTTGTTTCTTATAGTT
Organism: Homo sapiens; assembly: GCF_000001405.40. Lineage (NCBI taxonomy): Eukaryota > Metazoa > Chordata > Mammalia > Primates > Hominidae > Homo > Homo sapiens. The sequence continues at coordinate 14,237,206 of NC_000021.9, read as the reverse complement.
TGATGTCCTGTAAGATGGGTCCCTTTGGAATCACCACTTGTCTTACAACAGGACTCGGCATAAATTTCTTACCATCGTATAGATGGGTTAAAGAATAGACTTCAGTGGAGAAGTTTAGAGCAAGACAAGATAAGGCACAGTTTACCATTCTCCATTTATTCCCTCAGAGAAGCGTGCTGAAGCTGTGTGCTTGTGGGTTTGTGTGCTGTTGTAGAGGCCACTACTGCCTTGAACGTGAAGAGCCTGGGCACATGGGAAGTTTCAGTCCCCACTTCTTGTGGGTAGAACTGTGGAAGCCTCTTGTTCCATTGGAAATTGGGCTTGGATTTTACTTTCCTGGCTAGGAGAAGTGGGAGAAAATCCTCATTTCAGCTATTTCTTTGTCAAGAGCAGATAACCTGGGTCATTTTCAGAAAGTCTTGCTCCTTGCAAAACGCTGACAGTTGACTTTCCTTAGAGACTCACTCATCTATTAAAAAAATTAATGATAGCAGCCAAATTTCTTACATTATTTTAAAGTGTGTCATATTTCTTCAGATTTTTCTTGCCTAAATTCTATTTAGTTGGCTTTCACATTTCAAAATGTCTTTAACCATGTCTTACTTAAATTCTTTAAATTCCCCCAATATTATTTTCCATGTTTGTATTATGCCTTTTATTTTTCTGCCTCTAAACTGGCCATTTAAATAGTCTTCTCACTCTGGATGTTTCAAAATACCACTAATTCTTCTAAATTCGAGTTTAATGTGACCATCTGCATAAAACTTACTGTTACCTCAGGTGGAAATGGAATCTGCTTCACTGGAACCCCTTACTGAGTGTGGTATGTGTTCTATGCAGAAGGCTGGCATCTCATTCTACGAACTCAGCTAAGGTAAAACCTTCTTTACTTCAACTTACTTTCTGCTTCAAACTTCCATTCCAATGGCTGAGGTGGGAATAAATTAAGTTAGTTGGAATATTCACTTCTTTCATCAGGACTGCATCTTCTGCAGGATTACCTAAAGTCAGAATATAATTACGTATTTTGGTGTAATAAGCCTTCAAGCAGGTGTTCGGAAAAACAAACAAATGAAAAACAAACTCAAAATTGCTTCAGTTGTACTTTTTAAAATCTAAAGATTTTACCTCCTTATATCCTAATGCAATACTCCATGATCCAATATTTAATATTAAAAGTAATAAAATTCTAAGAGAAAACATAATTGATGTTTTCCCTTAATTTTTGATTGTAAAAGAGTTTTCTAAGCATAATTATAAAAACCTAGAAACCATAAAAAACACTGATGTTTGACTACATATTAATGATATGAAAATTAAACTCTTCTGTTCTTGAAAGAAAACAAAAAGCAAACTGGAAAATTTTGTGAAACATACACAAAAAACAAACAGTTAATTTTCTTAAGACCTTAATAAAAAGGATTTTAAAAACAAGTGAATAAGTACACAGAACTTCTTTTTAAACATGACATATGAAAACCAGACAGTTTTAACTCTTCTTCCTCCAAAAATCCAATTACAACAAATGTAAATAATTTTTTAAAAACTGTTTAATCACAGAGAATGAAAAAATAAACCACTACATTTTAGAAATTCTTTAGGTCTTTGATTAAACAAACCCACCAAAAATCTTTCTTGATCATTTATCCTTTTTGAGTTATGGTACTACTTCTCTGCACCACTTCACAACAGGACATTTGAGTAAGTTATCTCCTTTTTGCAGTCTTCCCCTTATTTACTTCTATTCTCACTTGAAATAACTCCAATCATGCTTTTGTCAGAATCAAGACATTCAAAATGTCTTAGATCAAGGATCATGGCTAAATTTAATGGTCAATTCTCTCTCTCTCTCTCTTTTTTTTTTTGACTGATTCTCACTCTGTTGCCCAGGCTGGAGTTCAGTGACGCAATCTCGGCTCACTGTGACATCCACCTCCCGGGTTGAAGCGATTCTCCTGCCTCAGCCTCCCAAGTAGCTGAGAATACAGGCATGAGCCATCATGCCCAGATACTTTCTATATTTTTTTGTAGAGATGGAGTTTCACCGTGCTGGCCAGGCTGGCCTTGAACTCCTGAGCTCAAGTGATCCACCTGCCTCAGCCTCCCAAATATCTGGGATTACAGGCGTGAGCCACTGCACCTGGCCAGTGATCAGTTTTGCGTCCTCACCCTGCCTGACCTGTCAATAGAATATGACACAACTCACTGTATCTTCCTCCTTAAAACATTTTTTCATTTGGTTTCACAGACATCGCATTCTGTTTGTCATTATACCTTGCTGGCTGTTCCTCATCTCCTTGAGGTACAAATACTGACTGGTAAGACCCAGGGCAATCCTTGGACTCGTTTCCTTTCTATCTTCACTCACTTCTAAGGCAATTTCATCCAGTCTCTAGGTTTTAACTACCACGAATATGCCAATAATTCTAATGCCTATATCGTCAACCTAGACCTCTTCCCTGGATTCCAGACTTGTGTGTACAAACTCCTATCTCCTATTAGATGCCTAATATGCAAATCGGAATGAACATGTCCAAAATTCTGCTCCTGATTTTTCTCCAAAACCTGCTCCTACACTGTTTCCTCTATATCAATAAGTAACTTCATTCTTCCAGTTGCTCTGACCAAAACTCTTGGAATCATTGTTGATGCCATTTATTCTTTCTCAATATTAGGATGCTTAGTAAACTGTTGGCTCTACCTTTAAAGTATATCCAGAATATGACAACATCTTACCTTTCTGTTTCTACCTTTTGATCCAAGCAATCCTTTTTTCTTGGCTGGCTAACTTCAATGGTCTCAATATTTCTATCCTTGTCTCCACTCCCATTCACAAAGCACCCTCACTAAGAATATATGTCAAAGTCCGTACAATAACTTCTAAGGTCCCTTAGTCAACTTCCTCCACTACATTGGCTTCCTTCACTTTCTCCCAGGAATGCTTCCTCCGTGGGCCTTCATCTGCTGTTTATTCTGCTTGGAATGCTCTTCCCTCAGCTATCCATATGGCTTACTCTCTCTCCAGCTTTGGCTCTGTAATCCCTAAAGCTTTCCCTGCATTTCCTCGTAATTATCAATTATTAAAATATAACTTTATATTTTATTTATCTTAATTATTCTATCTTCTTGATAGAATATGAGTTCCATGAGAGCAGGGATTTTTATCTTTTTTTATGTACTGCCATATCCCAAGCCCCTATATTCTCAAGGCGATGGAGTGGTAACTAGCAAGCAGCAAGCCATTTTACTTGCACAGGCTTAAAACTTGATGCCACCTTTCTAAGGAAGGATGAAGTGCAGAGCTGAAGATATGAGAAAGGCTGAGAGTTTGTACAGAAAGCTGTCGAACTCCTGGATTACCTCCTTTATTCTGTATAGTCAGGTGATTCCCTTTTTTCTGCCCAGGATTTATTTTCTTGAGGAATGAAGCTTGTCTTGCACTCTCATTATGCTCTGTGTTTACCTATATTATATTATAGCATTATCCTGATGTCATCTATCAAGTCAAGGTCAAGTGACTTGATACCAGTAGACCAGTAGCTTCTCGAATGTTGGGACCATACATTTTCAGTAATGTAGCCTCAGCACTAAAATTAATGTTTAGAATTATATTCAATCATTGTTGATTGATTTGCTTAATGGATACTCTAAGCAAGAAATAAAGAGAAACTGAACAAGGTCACAATGAGGAGCTAATGACCTCCTAGAAATGTACATGGGAAGTTGTCTAGAATAACTCTTAGGATTCTGATTGACAAGTTCTGATTGCAGAATGAGTCTGCAAGGTTTCCCTTGTGATTAACCTTGGAGGTTGGAATAAAATCAATGAAGACATAGTCAGCTTGGGGTACGTGGCTGGGGTGAGGGTTATTTTCCTATCCAGGATGTTACTCTTCTCAAATGAAAATAGAAGCAAAAACATTATTAGGATTCATATAGTATGTTGGACTGATCAACACTATCATTTAGAGAATGTTTTGATTATGTTTCCCAAACAAGGTAAAGTAATTGAGCCAACTATTGTTAGATTCAGATTCCTTGCAGTAAAACTTGTTATAAAGGCTTGTTGGGATCAATCATTCCAAGTTTTTAACACAGAGAGTACATTAGTTTGCATCTTTATATACTGGTTATGTTATCCAATTACAATATAAGTATGTATGTGTTTTCGTCAATCCTTATATAACCTGCTGGTGCGAAGTTGGTATTAGAAGCTCAAAAGAAAATTTCACCTGGAACCAGATAATAGATTGCTTGCCTTTACTTGCTATGGCAGGTTCTGCATGTACATGAGGTAATTTTTGTGGGTTGGGAATGATTGATGTGAATAAATAAACTTAGCCCACAGCTGGGGCATTTTGTAACTTTTTAGAACTCATTTTGACTAGGCAAAATAAAATCTTCACCAAGTACCTCAGCAAATCTCAGGGCAAATTGGAGAAACCGTACTCACTGAACTCACCTGGGCTTGAGGTGTGGAAGCAAATAGTATCCTTTGTTAAAAAAAAAAAAAAAAGCTTTTTGAGTTTTGTAAAGTAAAATAAGATTTCCAGAGATTTATATATTAGTGCTCATTTTCCCCCAAATCAAGCCCAGGCTATTAGTTGACTTTTCTTAATGAGGAGTTAATTAATGAGAGACAGACTAATTTCTGAAGTAACTGGCTTTACTAGGATGAGTAGAAATAGAGGTAGAATGTGGAAACTGTAAAGGATCTGAACTTTGACCACACACAAGAGCAGTGGGAGATGATACTCCATTAGTTCTTTATGAATCTATATTCCAGGAGCCAACAGTACTACTGTAACCTTCCTTCCTAAGGAGAGGGAAGATGAGGAATCCAACAGTCAAACCATCCTACAAGAACAGCCATTTAAACATGTGCCCTGCGCCATATCAACTGTGAGAAATATGGCCAGGCCTTAAGCAAGTAAATGGAGATGGACTGAAGCAACTGGTGTCACGTCTATCTTTTTATTCTGTTAACATTCCTAGTAAATGGGCCCATTTCCATTTATTTGAGTGACTGACATCAAGAGTGCTTCATTTTGTTGGAAGCATGCAAGTAGTCCAGGAAGGACTGAAACAGCTCTCTGAAGGTCATTGAAGCGTCACTATACTTGAGCAAATGGTCAATAGTGAAACATTGGCTAAAGCTGAGAAAACAAATAAATATTTAGGGAGAAAAATTAGCAATCGAAAATGTTGAATTTGCAGTGCTAATGAGATACCCAAGTGGGTATGTTCAGAAGGCAATGGAGAAAAAGATTTGAAGATAGTGTTAGAAGTTTTTGCACCCGGACAATGCTAATGAAAATGTAATTATTCTTAACTCCTTTTCTCTCTTTAAACTCTAAACAGGTAATAAAAAATGTTATATCAGAATTTTATAATAATCATGTTACAACAAATTGCTTATAAAATTTCATTTAATGTTGAGATTTCAAAGGTGATACCCTTGTATAAACAGGTACACATTTGAAACAATAACTCAGGATTAGTCACTTCATCAAATTTCAAGGGATTGTTTGGCACACATATCTTTTCAACCAATTTTAATTTTTCTCCTGTTTTGCCACTGCTTGATGCATTGCAGAAACTCATTTAAAAAATAAATTAGTGAATATGAGAATATACAAAACGTCTGATTTTTTTCTCAAATTCCAAGCTTCTTCTACTAGCGGCAGTAGATTGGATATATATGTAACTAAAAATAAGTAGATTTCAAGACTGAGGAGTTAAAATCAGAAGATTTCAATGATTTTAAATTATGTAGCATTGAGAACACTGGTAAGTTAAAATTTAATAGGATTGTAGTAGCTTAAAAATTTAATGGAAGTTTTATATTTTTTTATCAATAAAAGATATCATGCTAAATAGGTGAATCTCCTAGCCATCTGGTTGGTTCGAAGTTGTTAAAGTTGAGTTGTTAAAGTTGGTATCTAGATACTCCTGCCTACGCTGGAAGGAGTTACAATAATTTTTTTTCAGTTCTAACATTTTAGTTCATGTAATAATATTTCAATATAATTTTCTTAGACATATGTTATCCTTATCTCCTAAGAGACATTCCTTAATACATATTTCCTAAAATGCCAATCACAATGAAATAATTTAGGGCTAAGGTAAACTTCAGAACTAAAGGAAAGGCTGAGTGGAAGTTAATAAGTTGTTTAAAGATCTATTACTTTCTAATTACTCAGAAACATATTTTTCCCTTTGGCATGATTCCAAGTTGCAAAAATGTGAATTTTAAAAGAAAAAAATCTTGTATTTTCCAGTTTAAATTTTCAAAAACATGAATTATAGATAAAGCTACTGTATTAGTCTGTTCTTATGCTGCTATGAAGAAATGCCTGAGACTGGGTAATTTATAAAAGAAAGAGGTTTAATTGACTCACAGTTCTGCCCTGCTGGGGAGGCCTCAGGAAACTTATGATCATGGTGGAAGGCAAAGAAGAAGCAGGCACCTTCTTCACAAGGCAGCAGGATGAAGTGAATACCAGCAGGGAAATGCCAGACGCTTAAAAAACCATCAGATCTCCTGAGACTCACTCATTATCATGAGAACAGCATGGGGGAAACCATCCCCATGATCCAATTACCTCCACCTGGTCCTGCCCTTGATATGTGGGGATAATGGGGATTACAATTCAAGGTGAGATTTGGATGGGGACACAGACCCAGACCATATCATTCCGCCCTTGGACCTCCCAAATTTCACATCCTCACATTTCAGAACACAACCATGCCCTTCCAACAGTCCCCCAAAGTCTTAACTCATTCCAGCATTAACCCAAAGTCCAAGTCCAAAGTCTCATCTGAGACAAAGCAAGACCCTTTCACCTATGAGCCTGTAAAATCAAAAGCAACTTAGTTACTTCCTAGATACAATGAGGATACAGGCATTGGGTAAATATGCCCATTCCAAATGAGAGAAATTGGCCAAAATAAAGAGGCTACAGGACCCATGCAGGTCTGAAATCCAATAGGGGCAGTCATTAAACCTTAAAGTTCCAAAATGATCTGCTTTGACTCCAAGTCTCACATCCAAGTCATGCTGATGCAAGAGGTGGGCTCCCATGGCCTTGGGCAGCTCTGCCCCTGTGGCTTTTCAGGATACAGCCCCCCTCCTGGCTGCTTTCACAGGCTGGTGTTGAGTGTCTGCAGCTTTTCAGGTGCATGGTGCAAGCTGTCGGTGGACCTACCATTCTGGGGTTTGAAGGACAGTAGCCCTCTTCCATAGTTCCACTAGGCAAGGTCCCAGTGAAGACTTTTGTGGGGCTCCAACCCCACATTTCCCTTCTGCAGTGCCCTAGCAGAGATTCTCCATGAGGGCTCTGCCCCTGCAGTAAACTTCTGCCTGGACATCCAGGTGTTTCCACACATCCTCTGAAATCTAGGAGGAGGTCCCCACACCTCAATTCTTGACTTCTGTGCACCCACACGCTCAACAACACATGGAAGCTGCCAGGCCTTGGGTCTTGCAGCCTCTGAAGCAATGGCCTGAGCTGTATGTTTGTCCCTTTTAACCACAGCTGGAATGCAGGGCACCAAGTCCTGAAACTGCACAAAGCAGCAAGGCCCTGGACCTGGCCCATGAAACCATTTTTTCCTCCTAGGCCTCTGGGCCTTTGATGGGAGGGGCTGCCATAAAGACCTCTGACATCCTTGCAGACATTTTCCCATTGTCATGGTGATTAACATTTGGCTCATTACTTATGCAAATTTGTGCAGTTGACTTGAATTTCTCTTCAGAAATGGGTTTTTCTTTTCTGTCTCATCCTCAGGCTGCAAATGTTCCAAACTGTTATGCTCTGCTTCCCTTTTAAACAATTCCAAACCATATCTTTGTGAATGCATAAAACTGAATGCTTTTAAGAGCACCCAAGTCACCTCTTAGAATGCTTTACTGCTTAGAAATTTCTTCCACCAGATACTATAAGTCATCTCTCTCAAGTTCAAAATTCCACAGATCTCTATCTATAGAGGACATGGACAAAACGTCACCAGTCTCTTTGCTACAGCACAAGAAGAGTGACCTTTACTCCAGTTTCCAACAAGTTCCTCATCTCCGCCTGAGACCACCTCAGCCTGCACTTCATTGTCCATATCACTATCAGCATTGTGATCAAAGCTATGCCACAAGTCTCTATGAAGCTCCAAACCTTCCCACATCTTCCTGTCTCCTGAGCCCTCCAAGTCTCTAAGGAGTTCCAAACTTTCCCACATTTTCCTGTCTTCTTCTGAGCCTTTCAAACTGTTTCAACCTCTGCCTGTTACCCAGTTCCAAAGTCTCTTCCCCATTTTCTGGGAACCTTACAGCAGTGTCCCACTCCTGGTACCAAATAACTGTATTTGGTATGAATAAATACCTGATACTGGGTAATTAACAAAGGAAATAGGTTTAATTGACTCACAATTCTGCACTGCTGGGGAGGCCTTCAGGAAACATATAATCATGGTAGAAGGCAAAGGAGAAGCAGGCACCTTCTTCACAAGGCAGCAGGATGAAGTGAGTGCCAGCAGGGGAAATGCCAGATGCTTATGAAACCATGAGATCTCATGAGACTCACTCATTATCGCAAGAACAGCATGGGGGAAACTGCCCCCATGATCCAATTACCTCTACCTGGTCCTGCCCTTGACATGTGGGAATAATGGGGATTACAACTCAAGGTCAGATTTGGGTGGGGACACAGACCCAAACCATATCAGCTACATAAAGCAAAATTTAGTTTTTCATTTTGATTAGATAGAAATAAACTAATATTTATGTTTCAAACTTCACTATATTATATATTTGTAACCAAGATTAAAATTCAGTTACTCTCTTCATTAAAAACATATCTTTATTTTTTTAAATAATAAATATCTATAAAATGCTAGGCAACATGCAAAAGAAACATCCAAGCATGGCTTTTACTATTGAATTGAGTGGTTAATTCCCAACTGAGTTGCATGACTCTTTCAATTAGCTTTAGTAAATATATATATTCATCACTCTAGTTTGTAATGAGCTATAAACAAAAATGCCCAAATAATTTTATTTTTCTTCTAAAATAAATAAACCAAAAATAGGAAACTTGATTTAGACAATAAGTATTACATATCATACATTAATAAAATATTATTCTATTTACTTGCTCATTTTCATGATTTAAATGTTAATATAGCATCTCAAACCTTGCTAGCAAAAGAGGTGAATAATACACACTGACATAGCCAACTGATTTTAATGACATACAATTAATATGTGAGAAGAGGAAGGTATCCCTATAAATACACAATTGTATAAAAAGGGAATGATCCAAAAGTTGGTTTCATGATAATTATCTTTCCTTTGGTATCATTATCATATGTCCTCACTTTATAAAATAAACCTGAAGAAGAATATGGCTCAGAAACAACATATTTAGGTACTAAAAGAAAGGGGTACTAATGCCTGTTTATTACATCCTCATTAGGAACAATATGCAATCCTTAAATATCTGCACTACTTTCTTTCAGGAAATCCACCACTCCACATTGAATCCCAGCCTATTTGTAGTTGAGTGTTGGTTATAGGGGATAATCAAAGGGAACATGATGCTTTATCAATGTGTTCAATAAGTGACTTTTGATTAATAGTTTGGTGAAATTTCATCATTGGTACTAATAAAATGACAATAGTCTATTTGTTGCCAATGGGTCAAAAATATCATGACAAATACAAAAAGTGGTACATTATACTATTTTTAGAAAGCTTTTGTCGTTCAAGGCAAAAATTGAACAGCAAACCAGAGATAAGTCTTATTACTACATATTTCAAAAGACAAGATAGCCATGACATTGTTTATTTGATGGGATAACATCTTATTTTTTTCATAAGAGAACTAAGATCAGTGTAGGTAAGTTTCATTTGTAGGTAATACTAGTATCTTTTCTTCTTCTTAGACTTTCGGAACTTTTGGCTACATTCGTTGCCTCTGTTGTTGTCTGTGCTACTATCACTATCACTTGTTTGCTTTTGTCTCTTTCGTTTATTCATCTGATAAAGGTCAGAGTCACTTGGTTGTTGGTGAGTCCATTTATATGAGCTGGGTCCAGCCTCAAGATCTGGAACATGATTCAGTGAGGAAGACACGGATGCACTATTAGGAAGTGGAGCTGTCATCTGATAAAGGTCAGAGTCACTTGGTTGTTGGTGAGTCCATTTATATGAGCTGGGTCCAGCCTCAAGATCTGGAACATGATTCAGTGAGGAAGACACGGATGCACTATTAGGAAGTGGAGCTGTCATTTCATAGTAAGGAAGCTGCAGCACTGGATTATACACATGCCACTGCTGTGAAAACAAGACATTCATCTACCAAAACAAATCCAAAAGGTTAAGGAAAAAAAATTAACAGTTTACATGTATTATACAATAGCCATGAGTAAACTAAACTGTGTTTTGGTATAAGAAAGACAGTGACCTCTCATAGTAGAAAGGTAGGTGTTTCATTAAAGGGTCAATATAAAGAGTTGAGGCTGTGTATAGCTCACTACAATATAGATTAGTGCTATCCAATGGAAATAGTTTTTGTTTGTTTTTTTTTTTTTTTTGAGACAGGGTCTCACTTTGTTGCCCATGCTGGAGTGCAGTGGGGCAAATCTTGGCTCACTGCAACCTGCGCCTCCTGGGTTCAAGCAATTCTCCTGTCTCGGCCTCCCAAGAAGCTGGGACTACAGGCACACGCCACCACACCCAGCTAATTTTTGTATTTTTAGTAGAGACAGCGTTTCACCATATTGGTCAGGCTGGTCTCGATCTCCTGACCTCAGGTGACCCACCCGCCTCAGCCTCCTAAAGCTCTGGGATTACAGGTGTGAGCCACCGCACCCAGCCCACATGTAGTTTTAAATCTAGTAACTGCAATACAAAAGTAGAAAGAAACAGTGAAATTAAACAATGTATTTTATTTATCCCAATATATCCATTTAAAATGTTATAACTTTAATATGTAAATGATATAAAATTAATGAGATATTTTACTTTTTCTTCAAGTGAAGTCTTCAAAATATGAGGTGTATTTTATACTCATGGCATATCTCAATCTGAATGCTAAATTTTTATTGAAAATACCTGATCTGAATTTAGATTACATCAAATTTAGAGTTGAAAAAAATATACTCACATGGCCAAGTTGTTTCAAATATACTTAAAAGTTTTCTGAAAACCGAACCAAGTATCGGTTTTAAATTTTAATTTAAATTAATTAAAATTAAATAAAATTTTAAAACTCAGCTTCCTAGGTGCATATGTGGCAAATTGCCCCCATATTTTATAGCATAGTTATTTACTGTTTAGAGAGATGCTTCCTTTAAAAACAAACAAGCTCTTAACTCAAATTTCTAACTATTCAAAGATTAAAGATTAATAGAGATACCATGAACTTGTGTCTCTCTCCTACCCCATCTCTACCAAAAGATAAAAAATGCTTCGATGAAGACATTTATAGTTTCAGACGAGAACTGATTGTTTACTAATGTTTTACCATAGTTAAGAAAAGGGTTTTTTTTTTAGCAAAAGTTAAAAAGTATCAATTTACAGGAAAATTTCTGTTTAAAAATTGAAAATGGATATTTAACAAATCTAAAGCTCACATATACGTTGGGTATTTGCAAAAATAATAGTCTGTGAATCAGAAGACCTGGGTTAGTCCTACACCTGTCACTAACAAGCTGAAAATCTTGGGACTGTAGATTAACAACCCTGGACTTCAATTTCTTATTTATGAGGAATTAAAAAAAAATGAGTTCACCTTTAACAATGAAGTCCATAATTAAGATTTCTGGGTCAAAACCAATTTTTGGTAGTCTCTGGAAATAATTTAGTTTACTCGACCAATTGAGAATCTTCATTGCTATGATATCCTTCCCCTGTGATGTGTGCATGAAGGACTAAGTATATACTCAAGAAGGATAGTTTTGTCTTTAATTAAAAGGAGAAATTTACTTTAAAAATCCATGTCCAAAAGCAATCTATTTGGGATTGATGACATTATATAAAAATACTTCACTAAGTGAAATTATTCAAATTATGCAATTCTGCAAACATCTTTTTTTTTTCTTTTGAGACAGAGTCTTGCTCTATTGGCCAGGCTGGAGCACAATCTTGGCTCACTGCGACCTCCACCTTCTAGGTTCAAGCAATCATGCCTCAGCCTCCCGAGTAGCTGGGGTTACGGGTGTGCACCACCATGCCCAGTTAATTTTTTCTATTTTTATGATGGAGAGGGTTTCACTGTGTTGGCCAGGCTGGTCTCGACCTCTTGACCTCAATTGATCCTGCCCTGGCCTCCCAAAATGCTGTGATTATAGGTGTGAACCACCATGTCTGGCCACTGCAAACGTCTTTTAAAATAGTCATTTACATTAGAACTCTCTACTCAAATTTCACTTGGACTGCAGTATGTCGTCACTGCCGTCCATCCCTTTTCTGTTGACACCCTGGCCATTTGCTAAGGCATTAGAACTGAAATTTAGGATGATGGTGTTAGGCCAGGACACCACTGGAGGACAGTGCTGGGACATCTTGTGCCTTCATCCCAGTTTAGATTTGGGCACCATATGTTACAAATAGCCTTTATGTTCTTCATAGTTTGTATCATATTATATACTAAATAAAATGCATATTAAACTTACCATCTTCTGAAAGAGAAAATATTCTTGAGGTAAAGAAGTATTATTAATTGGAAAATACTGCATGGGAAAGGAAGATCTGCCCACCAACATTTCTTCATTCCTTTGAGGAGATGAAAGAAGAAGTAATAAAATCTTAAAATTCCTATTACAAATGTCATTTTCTCTTAAGAAAAACCACTATCTTTCCTCAGGGGATGCAAAGTTGTCTGCATAGAGGAATCACATGTAAATTCAGAAGTGTGATGGGCTGACATGTCTCCCCAAAATTCAGCTGTTAAAGTCCTAAATCCCAGTATCTCAGAATGTTACCTTATTTGGAAAAAGGGTCACTGCAGATATCATTAGTTAAGATGAGGTCATATTGGAACAGGATGGGTGCCTAATACAATATGAGTGGTATCCTGATTAAAAAGGGGAAATTTGAAGACAGACTGTTTTAGTCCATTTTCTGTTGTTATAACACAATACCTGTTTGTTATAACAAACTGGTATTATATAACAAACAGGTACTCTGTTTGTTATGAAGAAAAGAGATGTATTTCGGCTCATGGTTCTTCAGGCTGGAGAGTCCAAGATCAGGTGGCTTCTGGTGAAGGTGGTTATGGTTAGCTTCTGGTGAGCTCTACTATGTTATAACATGGCAGAAGTCATCACAGGCAGGAGGAGCTCACGAGAGATGGCCAAACTGGCTTTTACAACAGATCTACTTGTGATAACAAACCCACTTCCTCAATAACCAATTAATCCAATAATCCATTAATGAATTAAAATATACATGAGGGCATAGCCTTCATGACCCAATCACCTCCCAAAGGTCCCACATCTCAACACTGCTGCACTGGGGACCAAAATTTCAACATATGAACTTTTGAGGGACACATTCAAACTACAGTATGGTTACCCACAGGAAGAACACCATGTGAAGATAAAGGTGGAGATCTTGGTAATGCTTCTACAGGCTGAAAAATACCAAAGATTGACATCAAACCACCAGAAGCATGAAACAGATTATTTCTGATAGCTCTCATAAAGAAACAATGCTGCTGACACCTTTATCTTGGATGTCTAGCCTTCAGAACTATGAGACAATGAATAGCTATTGCTTAAGTACTCTGTTTGCGGTACTTTGTTATAGCAGCCCTAGCAAACTAACACAGGGAATATTCATTAAAAGCAGAAGGTACAAGAAACAACAAGAAGCATAAAAATCCATTTCCAAGGGAGAGCAAAGACTAGATTGTTAAATAAGCACCATTTTTCTCTGCAAATCACTTTGGGGACATGATAACCCATTTTATATGCTTTCTTTATAATATCAGAAATACTAGAAGAATAAAGTATTATCAATGAAATGTCATATCCAAAATATACACATAACTCAGGCTGTCTACTCTAGAATTTGTGATGACTTAGGGTCAGTGTATCAAACATAACTAGAAAATACCAGAGTTTGACTGCTATATTCTAGTGCCCATCTAGTCTTTTCTCTTCCGTCTAAATCTTACCAATAGCTTGTTCCTTCCTAACTCCTGAGGAAGAAGAGATACCTTTTCCCACTTGGTACTAGTAGAAAAAAGGAGTTCTTACATTATACACATGGCTCGACACATGAGTCTAGATAGTGCTTCCCCCCCTTTATGCTAACATTTGCGGAACATTGTATGCTCAGTATTTTAAGCACCTTGTGTTAATTATAAAATTCAATTCTCACAGTAACCTTTCAAAGTTTTATCCTCATTTTAGAGATAGGGAACAGAGTGGTAAAATAACATATCCAGTTCTTGTCTGAATTTGCATCTTGCCTCTGCTACTTTATTAATAGTGTTAACTGACTGTTAATAAACTGTTAATTGACGTTAATAAAGTGGCAGAGCTAACATGCAAATTCAGGCAATCTAATTTCACCACCTCCTTTCCTAACTTCTCATTTCACTGATGTAGAAATGTTGGGTGAATGAAGATGAGGAGCACACTGTTTTATCTGGGGTGCAATAATGCTCTGAAAGATAAACCTGGCTATTTGACAGTCCCGAGGGGCCACTCTCCAATGTTCAGAGGGTTGATATAACTAAAAGGGATAGGAGGGTCAGCTATTGTTAGTTTACTTGAGAATATTCAGCTCTGCTAAAGAAGACAAGAAAAAAAGCAGTATGGATGACACTCATACTGTTACTATGATAAACATTAGAAATGTAGCTAGTAGAGCTATACTTCTCTCTCTATATATAAGTATCTATATAGAGATACATAGATCTATATGTCTACTCTGAATAGAGTATATCTATTCCTCTCCTCTATATATAGATATAGATCTCTATCTATATCATACATCTATATGATATATCAGAACATAATATACCCTGACCTATTCTATCAGCCTGTGTAAGTTAACCAGACAGTACCAGAGAGCATGATGAAGCCAAACATTAAAAAAAAGAAGAAATGCAAAGAGAATGCAAAGAGAAGCACTTTCCCTTTGCAAGAACGGATTGTTTTTGTTATTCATATTTGTTTTCAGTATAGCAAGAGAAATTTAAAAACCAACAAGTGATACATCAAAAAGCCTGAACCACTTAGAGAGGCTGCAGAAGTACTGCAGTCAGCAGGGGAGGCTGATACAGCAGAGAGAAACAGGGCACGTGTTTATTAGTGTAACCAGAATTCAGCTAGTTCGTCCTTCTGCCTACTTGCAGCTTTTCCTAAGTGTGCTAAGCTATCCAATATCTTTCTTCTTGCTTTTCACTGTTTTTAAAATGGATGTAACAAAAGCTGTAATTTGAACATTTTCATTTGGTGTGGGAGCCTTTTAGTTTCATGACCTCTGGGATAGCCTGCCAGAGAGTGTATGTGGAGGCTACCATTGCATCAATAAATCAGGCTATACAAAATTCTAGATGAGTTTGAAAATTAACACAGAGAAGTTATTTCAAAAAGTAAAATAATTAATTCAATGGCTTAATGTCAGAAGGCTTAGTTTCAAAGCTAGCACTTTATCATCCTGTGACCTTAAGAACTGGTTAACTTTTGCAACTCCATTGACTCAAATATAAAATATAAATAACAGTATCCCTGTGATCCATGATGAAACCTTGTATGCTTAAATGATTTAACAGCTATGAAAAGCATGTAGAAAACTATAAAAAACTACAAATATAAGTCTCTACCCCCTACTACTGAAAATATTAAGACTGAATTTTAAATGAAAATATTTTCTATCACTTTTCATGGGCTCGGAAAAAAAAGATATTCCTTAATTTTATCCTAGGCCTAAAAAGTAAGGTTTTACAATAGCCCAAAATATATAAAAACTCCTCTTGGCATAAAAATATATTTGCTTTACCTTTGATGAGAAATATTTTTAAAATTACCTGTAGTTGTGTGAATTTATCTTAACACAGCTCTCAAAACTTTGGTTAGCTGGTTCAGAAGAGCGAGAACTCCCTTTGAAAGAAACAGAGTAACAGGTTACTTCATGGTACATTTTTTTTTGAGTTGTAATATTAAACCATAAAATGACTCAAAATATTTTAGGACGTAGTAGTGATTTTAAAATTCTGTACTCAGAGAAGATATATGCATATCTGACCTCTCAAATCATATTTATAGATTGTTTACAGTACTATATATATATCAATGAATTAAAATCAACCTTTGTCTAAATCAATGACTGTAAATAAGAATGACATTGACGTTGGACTTTGTAAGATACATGATGGTTTGTTCCAGACACCTGTAAACTAAAAATGGCAAATAAACAAGTGTTATTTGTTTCCAGTGTACAAGGCAGGAGTTTAACCCTCATGGACAAAAGCCAATTCAATCTTATACATGATGTGCCAGAACATAATATACCCTGGCCTATTCTACAGACATTAAAAGTAATGGCAAAACCGCAATTACTTTTGCACTAACCTAATACCAGGTTGTGTAAGTTAACCAGAAAGTACCAGAGAGCATGATGCAACCATGTATTACAAAAGAAAGGAAGAAAAAAAGAAATGCAAAGAGACGCACTTTTGCTTTGCAATAAAGCATTGTTTTTGTTATTAGTATTTGTTTGCTTTTAGTATAGCAAGAGGAATTTAAAAACCGACAAGTGACAGACCAATAAGCCTGACCACTTAGAGGAGGCTGCGTACATATTGCAAGAATTACCAGATGGCCTCTATTAGTCTCCTGAAACATGAAAGAGCTAGAGTAATGGTATAACATTCTCTTGGCAGCTAATCATGAATGATCTGTTCCTGATATGCGTGCAGGAGAAGTTGTTGAGGCCATTCTTGTCAGGAAGTTTTTTCCGCCACTACTAAGGGTAACTCTACGTTGCCTTTCACCACTTTGCTCTTACAGGGGCTAAAATCCTGTGCAACATGTATAGAAAGATTTCCCCAGAAGGACTAAATGCCCTCTCTCTATCTTCCAAATAGTACAGATTCAGTACCATACATCAGCAGTAACAAGATTAGTAAATACCCTTGCTATATAAATGTTACAGTTGTGTGACCCCAGTTCATTTAGATTTGCTCAATTTATAAGGGCCAATAGCAACCATCATAGCTACTTGCTGGCTGATACTAAAACGATTATCTTACATTTTATTTTTAGAAAAGATGCTATAGGTTTGTCAAGACTAATTAACTATATAACATTATGAATTAGACACGTGTTCTGAGAAAATTTAACAATGACCAGAAGGTAGAAGGTACTTTTTTTTGTTTTGGTCTTATACTACATAGGAAACAAATTGCTTACAACTCTGAGAATAGTACCAACCACAAAACACTTTGAAGATTAATCAGTGACAGGACCTACCAAATCGATACTGCACGTTAATTGGTCTTCCATATAAACGAATTCCATTCAGCAAAGCTATGGCATAAGACACCGATTCTGGGTGTTTAAAGCAGACAAATCCAAAAGACTTTGGCTTTCCTTCTCTGTCTTTGCATATAGTCACTTTGGTTAGTGGCCCCGCCTATAAGAAACTTAAAAATTATTTTCTCATAAATCCAAAGATTTTTTTTATACTCAAATAAGTAAATTCAACTTTAGACTAAAGAAATGTGTTAGCAATATCTTTATGTAGCTCTGCTAATAATGTATCTTTCTAATAATAAATATTACACTTCCTCACACTTTCTTTGTATTTTCTGGCTCATTGGGGAAACATACATGGTGTTAAGAACAGGAAATTCTAGGTATTAGTTTCAAACTGTAAAAGAAATGGTAGACTATCCTTCTGTTAGGCTTAACAAACCAATTTAGAAAACATATAAATCTAAGATTAAAATACTACTTTGTCTCCATACACATTCACAGTGTTGAATTCAAAAAATAACTGAAATGAGAAATTCAATGCTGGTTGAGTTATCCTCAAAAAAGCTGGCGATGTTATATCATAGTTTAAATTTTCTGTCATGAAGATTAAATATCTTTTCAAGAATAAATAAATTTATCATGCATTTTGATTTGGAAACTCCATCTGGTAAATTTCCAAAGGAAAAATGTTTAAATATGTTCAAGACTTTTAAGTATATTGCATTGTTTATAAGTGTGAGAAATTAGAGAGGCTCTAAATCTAACAACTGGAGATATTATTCCATGGTGTGTTACTAAAACGGAATAAAATATAAATTATAAATATTCAGATTATATTGATAGAAAAACCTATAATATGCAATGAAGATTTAAAAACACAGAGCCAAATATCATAGAAGATTGTTAATTACAACTAACGAAAAATTACATCACAGCCATGATAATGATTGGAGGAGGCACTTACAAACACAAACAACTGATTTAATGCTGAATGGTTCAGACTTTAATAACTGATTATTTTTCCCTGTAGAGTTGCATAAATAAAAAAATTGCTTTTACTCTAAAGAAAAATATTAATGATCATCTTTAAAATAATTCTGTGTGTTAAGATTTAGTCTTTTCCTTTCATTCTCTGTGCTCTCCCAGGGACTAGCTTCCCTTCCCTTCTGGCTTCAAGGACCACCTCATCAACAAATTTACTTTTCCCACCATGTCTCTTTCATGGAGACACCTCCTGGAGATGTCTATGTTTTTGTACTTCAATCTCAACATATTTGAAACTGAATTCACCATATTTTCTCTAAATCTCAACTCTAGTATTAAAAGTGTAATGATAATAAATCTGATTTTCTCATTTCCAAGTATAATCAGAAATTTGAAAGAAAATAGTAAAAGGATAAATATACTGTAATATAAAAACCAATAAAATTGGTGATTTTTATACAGATATTAAATAGATGTAATCACTATGGGACAGAACATGCTTACGTGATTTGAATTTTGACATAAATTTAGATATTCAAAGCATTTGTAAAGATAAAAGTCAACATGAAGACTTACTTTTAGCAACAATCACACTATCTTACAGTATTTTTTAAATCACAATGAAATACATAGTGTGATAGTTGTCAAGTTTTGCTGGGTGTTGAAGTCTAAAGTGGAAGAGAAACTCCACTTTGGCAATTCCTTTCAATACCTAGACAAAAATAAGAACTTATGCTTCTTACCTGATCTATTAAATAAAATTTATATTTTGCTTAGGTGGAAGAAGGAACTGATAAAGAATGAGAAGATAATATATAGTCTTGTGGATCCACACAACTGATATTGATCGAGTCCTGATTGACTAAAAATAATGGTTATTGGATAATGCAATCCCACCCCAGTCTTCCACTCTCCTTTTTTTGGAGGCTCAAAGTGAAAGAAGTCTTCTGGAGAAAAATAACTCTAAGTTTACTTTATATTTCTTTCGGTTTTTGTTGTTGTTTTTTTTAACTTAATATAGTAAGTTTTAAATGATACTGAATGAAAAAACAGATATGGATTAGAGTTCATAAAAAAGGAGGCAAGTTTAAAAAGATGAATTAAAAGGATGAACCTAAAAGTCTTAAAATCAATAATATTTTTCAAATAATAAAAAAGTTTTACGTCCAGGAAAGGAAACTGTATTCCTGGAAAGAACCCTCTCTACCAAATTGTATCTACAATTAAAAGAGGGTTGCTTTAGTTAAGTTTCGAGACAAAAGTAAGTCCTTTCACAACCAAATAAAGGACCCCTTTGACCCATTCAATCCTGAAAATTTAGTTCTGTAATTGCCTCCCTCGGAACTTTCCCTTATTCTGATAGGAGAAAGTAACTATTGATTTCTCTTGATGTTAGTATTATTACTAATAATAACAGCAGTACCATTAGCAGTAGTAGCGGTAGCAAACAGCGAGTGCTAGACTCAGCTGTAGCCATTTTACCATTAGGCCACATATTCCGATAGCCACATTATACTGCAGATACTACTACTCTCTTTTGACATATAAGGAAACTGAAGCACTGAGGAATTCATTGACAGGCTCAGAGTCACACTGCTGACCTCAGAGTTCGCACGCGGAACCACTTTTCTATCTATGTCCCTTCTCTTTTTATAGATTATCGTAAACATTGTAATTTTAAGTTCTCCCTGTTAGGAAGATAAAAGGATGTCTCGTCAATTTGTTTTCCCAGCACCCTCAGTATTTGCCCCGTAATTCCGGATCATTACACGGTTAGGGGAATGGCTGAATGAGTGTATCTTTTTGGCAAGTGATACCTAGCTGTATAGGACAATACGATAAGTGAGCGTGTATACAGGACACAGCAGGCTTAATCCTAGAGGTACCAGATCTCAAAGTTTCCGAAGGTCCTCTTGGTATGAATTAAAGGGCCTTGTCCAGGGAATCACCTGGTCACAGTCACGGTAAGTTGGCTGCCAAATCATCTCAAATCTCACTTTTCATGCTGGAATAAAAATACTGTCCGCATAAAAGGGCTTGAAGGAAGGAGCAAGGTGTAAAAGGAAACATTATAAAAGCGACCCCTCTCCTTTTGGGGGATGTCAGGCGTGCTTACTACTTGACGGAGAACAGTGACCAGGCTGTTTTCGGTTCTGCCCGCGCACACCCGAGGCCCAGGCAGCCTCTGGGAAGCCCTTAATCAGAAACGGGGGTTGAAGGAACCACGTCCCTGCCCAACCCCAGGACTCTGCAGCGCGGATGGGGATGGGGAACGCGCCCTCATTTCACTCCCCAGCCGCTCACCTGGAGACAGGTGCGCCAAGAGGAAACGAAATTAAAACCCCTGCTCAGGATGGGACGGAAGGGGGCCGGGCTCCGGGTGGTCCAGGTGCGCGCTATGTTTCCGGCCCGACGTGCTCCGCCCCTCCGCCGCCCCTTCCCAGAGACGGTACCTGAAGGAACAGCTCGTACAGAATCTCTTCCCGAACTCGGGCCTCTAAATTCCCAACAAACACGGTCCTGTCGGCCTCCTCCTGAGCAGGGAACATCCTCCGGTCTCGGCCGTAGAATGAAGTAGGAGCTGAGACCCCGCCCCTTCTCCGGCTTTACGGCGCCGCCTGGGTGAGGGGGCGGGGCCGGCGCCGGGAGCGCGCGCTGGGGGCGAGGCATGGCTCCAGGGCCACGCCCCCAGCGGACTTGGGGTACCGCCCACCGCACTGCTCCCTCGCCTGGCGTAGGGCTGGGCGGTGGGAGAGTGGGTGAGAGTAAGAAAGATGAATGCAGAAAGGGCTTTACTCTTTAGCTAGTGGGGTGGCTTCCTTTTTTTCTGGCACATTAATTGATTTTGGATTTATTCAATCAACATTTTAAATAAAGTCACTGTAGAGATGATTTAAATTGTGGTAACTTCATTGCAGAAGCTCCCA